>NC_000001.11:198184587-199434587 GCF_000001405.40 Homo sapiens
ATCAAAACACACATGCACACAATGCAACAACCATGGCAACAACAGTAACAGCAAGATTACCCTTACTTCCATTAATGAAATCACAATATATATATTTTTAAGATGGGATCTTGCTGTGTTGCCCAGGCTGGAGTGCAGTGGTGCCATCATGACTCACTGCGGCTTCGAACTCCAGGGCTGAAGTGGTCCTCTTGCTTCGGCCTCCCAAGTAGCTGGGACCAAAGTTGCACACCACTATGCCTGGCTAATTGAAATTTATTTATTTATTTATTTATTTATTTAGCTAGTTAGTTAGTTAGTTAGTAGAGACAAGGTCTCGCTATGTTGCCCAGGCTGCTGTTGCACTTCTGGCTTCAAGTCATTTTCTTCCCTTGGGATCCCCAACAAAATATTTTTAACCAAAATAGAAAGATAGTGGTGATTTTGGGAGTCTTGTGGCAAGACAGTTTTGAAAGGTACTAGGAAAACTTACAGTAAAAACAGTGTCTTACTGTTGTTTTTAGTATACAAGCAAGCATCGAATATAGACACTGGACACATTATTATAGATATCTGCTTTTCCTTTCTGAGGCACTTCTTTTACATAGTAGTACATGCTGTCTATTTTTTTTTTTTTTTTTTTTTTTGGTCAGAAGAGAGGCTTTTTGCTTAGTGATTCTGTGTTTGAACTTTGTTCTTCATAAATAGTGTCCATCAGTTGAGATAAGCCAGATTTTCTGGCAGATATTTGCGTTTTTAAAGAAGTGTTTTCAATGATTGGCGTCTTCTTTTGTGTGTTGTCCAAATTTGTGAAATTGCGTAAGAAATATATATATATTTTTAACTTTATATTCCTCTAGCAGGGAGCAAGTGAATTATCTCATGTCTAAAAATGCCTCAGTAGAGCTTTATTGGTAGATCTATGAAAGTCTTACTCTGACTTGTAGAACTAGATATCTAATTTAAGTTACAGTGTTCTAATATTTTAAAAATTAGAAATTTGTAAGAAACACCTTATTTTGACATATTGAAAGTTGCCAGCCACCTCTGACCATCCATGAAATGTAAGCTTTATAATGAGTGTGAGGACCAAACAGTACCTCCCATCTATAGGTAGTGCTGCCTGGAATGTCCTCTCTGCCCCATTTTCTCTTCTCTTGATTTTATTAAAATTGGGGCAAGGAGTGCTGAGTACCAGGATGGCAAGGAGTACTGAGAACTATGATTTTATTAAAATTGACAGAAGAGGAAATGGGGCAGAGAAGGCATTATTTGTTCAGTTTGATTGGTGATTGGTTGCTGGTTGTCTTCCAGATTAGTTGTCATTTTTATTTCAGTTTCATCAGGCTGTACCAGTAGGCACGTTCTGAAATATTAAAAGTGAAAATGAAAATCTATAAATCATCTTTTTTTGCTAAAACTCATACACATAGTCTTGGATCTAGAAGATAATCTTATCTCGAAGGAGCTATGCTGCAGCCCTTGACTAGCTGGAAGATTTATGTTAGCAGATCACCTTTCTAATGGTCATGTTACTTAACTTATGGCAAATATGTTTAGAACAGTAAAATGATCAACAGAAATTATTTTTACTTGTGAAAGGATGTATTTGAAATTATTTCTTTAGCTACTGAAATATTTCTGCTTACTTATTTTCTGTTTAGCAATGAATTCAAGTGATGTTAAGGCATATCGGTTGTATGTGATGTATGGCAAACTATAATATTGAAACCATTAAATATTTAGATTTATTAAACTTCCCTTTACCTTTAGAATTTCCTTTAAAAGTTTCAAAGGCCAGGATATTGTGTAAAGAGCAAAAGAGCAAGTTTTTGTTTTGTTTTGTTTTGTTTTGTATTGTTATTTGCCAGTTATCATACAGGCTGGCAAGGAATGCTGAGACCTGCTTTGCAGTTCTTTGACCTACTGGATTGCCTACATAACTAGCTACAGAAGTAGCTCAAAGATACAGGATGGCTGGTGCATTTGTTGTTTGGCATACTTGGTAAGGATGTACAAGGATGTGTGGGCCCCATGACAGACAGTCTTTCCTGACAGTCCAACCTTTGCCCATACACATTCTTGGTTGAACTCAAATTTTCATATGAGTATACCACCCCATCAGCAATTCAGATTAGATATGCTGTCAGGTGCTGAGGAAAAATTCATCCAGTTTATCTCATACAACACTTGATGAGGACAATTATCAACAGAATGAGGCCAACCTGCAGTATTCACCTCAACCATGTACCCTAGGATTCTGGACTCAACAAATTAAGTAAAGTCCCAGACAGTACTAGTAGATATTATTTCAGATAATCATTTAGCTCCCTTCCTTATGGGAAGTATGGATTGTTCCATCTGAGCAGTGGTATTAATTCATACATATCTTGGTCAGCCAGCATGTAGTTTAGGCCAGTATGTTATGCATTATGACTTGTACAAAGGAATTTTAAGCTGACCTGCTGATATTCCAGAGTTTGCACAGCCCCATTGCCTGTGGTAACTAAAGTTAAGGATAGATTTCTGACCATTTGCTCTGTGGCATGAATTCCACTGTCAGGGAAAAGTACTTGCACTGCTATGTGGAATGAGAAGCCTGCATGTCCTCTGGGTAGTTTAGCCTAGATGAGGCACATGTTGTCTTCAATATCTAAACAGTCCAATTATGTGCCAGGCTTCCCTTTTGGTAGGTGGGGACTGCAGGGTAAGTAATTTTTCCTTTATTGTCTCAGGGCAGTCAGCATTGCTCCTGAGAATTTGACTCCGATGGCTAGTCCCTATATCTCATCAGGATTAATGAACCACCCCTGGGCCCTCATGTGAGTCAGCATCTCTTCCAAAGCCATTGCCAAGGGAGAAAGGCTTGTTCCACATCTCAGCATTGATGCAAACAGCAGGAGAATTCAGATACTCCCGTGGCTGCTCAGTAAATCTGTTTTGGAACCTGGAGATAAACTGATCTTAATTTTCTGGTACCCAAGGGATTGAGAAAGAGACAGTAGCAATATCCAAGATGGCATACCAGGTGTCATTAGTTTGTGCAGTTGATTCAGTCATGGTCACAATGTCTGGAACACCCAGAGCAACAGGGACAACAACTGAATTCAGTTGGTGAGAATCCACTGTAGGCTGCCAGCTCTCGTTAGTGTCAGTATCTAAAAGAACCATACAAGTTTGGATTGCCCACCTTGACCTTTCTTCCTGAAGTCTTTCCCGTGGGTAGAAAGACTTTGGCTGCATCTCTGGTCCCTTTATCTTTAAAGGATAGCAAATTAGGGTACAAAGGTACAAGGTTATGTAATGGAGGCAATGAAGGAGTAATTTATTCTAAGGTTGCCACTCAGCTTCTTAGTTCCGCTAGTAGAGGGGGATTGATTTCCATGGAGGAATCTGGCTCTATAGAGGCACTTCTGGTTTTAATCAGACTGCTTTGCTTTCAACCAGCTACCTGCTTCAGGGCTCCCATAGCACAATTTCTGGTGCCAATTTTTTGGGTGCTGATCCCATCTGTGTTTGCTTAGGGAATCCTTGTTTTAATAGTCATAGTGACATTGCCTTTTGGCTTTCCAAAAAGTCGTTGTCTATCTCAGCACACTGCTCGCTCTACCTTTTTTTGTTGTTGTTTTGTTTAGGTGAGAACCTGGATTTCATAGAGAATGCAAGGGGTAACACAGTTTTAGAGGAAATGACTAAGTAAGCTGATTAGCTTACCACAACTTCATAGGTGATAAAAGTAGATAAGACTTAGTGATGAAAGCAAGGCAGTTTTTTAAAGCACAGCAAACAGCAGGAGTATCAGCATAGTAGTACCAGTTTTCTTGCCTATAAGTTCAGTGGAGAGAAGTGATGGCCCTTCATGGTGGTTATGCTTGCATGAGTTGTGTGGCAGCTGAGGAGCCCAGAACTAAGGGCTCAGTACTTTTTGTAGCAGCTAGCAGGGAAGCCTGACACCATTGGCAGGGAGTAAGCAGTTGTACTGAAGTCCCTGTAGTTACTTTGACCCGTGCCACTAGCTACATAGAAAGGGCTCAGGGACAGAAGATACTTAGACCTTGTAGTTTTGTCTGCTTCTTGAGGCTGTGCTGCAAACACTTGGCTCTCCTGATATATTATTATCAATATGAAACACCTAAAATATTATAAGAATAGGTATTTTTCAAATAATGTGCATGAAATAGTATAGTAATACTATATCTGAGTTCTGCTTTCAGAGTTAATAAAACACTTGTATAATTTATGTCGCGAAGTCATCCTACTTGGTGAAGTAGGCCAGGAAAGTTGATCATCTCCATTTTGCAGAAAAGAAAACTGATGCTCACAGAGGGTAAGTGGCACGTGGCAGATTATATGTGAAAGTTGTGCAACCAGGCATTGAACCTCATCTGTTTTCTTTTACTATCCTAAATCAAGTGCGCTTGAATGAGTAGAAAGTGATGATTTGTAGGTTATGGATAATATTTACATATCTGAATATTTCAATAAAATTGTTACTCTCTTGAAACTTCAAAATCCTAAGTTAACAGTTTGCCTAGGAAATACATTGGTGTTAAAATTTAGTTCAGTTTATGTGTGGCATGTTACGTATTTTGAATATAAGTCTGAATTAAGATTTTACTGGTATTAGTGTCATATAGGAAAAGAAAGTGGAAAAGAATGCTATTTGAAAGGATTTTTTAAAAACGTTGTTATTTTTGTTTAATTTTCATGTCGTAAGTCCCTAGTTGTATGAACTGACATCTTACAATTAGATAAGTTATATTTAAAGCACAATTGAGAGAAAAAGTTCATATTTATTTGCATCTTTCGAGTTAAAAGAACTAAAGATTCGTTCTAACTCTGAGTGGTATGAACAGTAAGCAGTAGGATACTACTAAGTAGAAGATCATAGTAGTCAGGCTAGTGTTAGGTCAGACTTTCCATTATTAATCCTTCTTTTGGTATATATAACTTTTGGTTGAAAATTCTAAGGAACAATTTGTATACAAATTTTCGGCCTGGGTTGAACAAATATGTCATGACCCACTTACAGGCCTCATTAAACATTTGGATTAATGTTAAGGGCTTTTAAGATGAAGGCAAATTTTATGTTTTAGAATATGTTTTCAAAGTATTTGTTCTTTTGGGACAAACAGCTTAAAGTTATTTTATTCATTCCTTCTGGGGCTGCTTTATTTTTAGTATTAAACTCAGAATAGCTACCAAGCTCAAGTGATAAACTTTAAAAACCTATAAATTGTAATCATTATGAATCAAAACAGCATTTAATCGCAAGAAGCTGTTGGATGTGAATAAAGAATTTGTGTATTAATTGATTAAAAAGTTAAACTTATCTCCAGGTTTCAATGATATTTTTAAAAAGAGAGGAGGGTCATTATTTTGTGGCTACTTAATTATTTAATTTGTATTGCCATATAGGCAAATGTTAAGAATGCAACATCTTGAATAATTCTTTCCTATACTTTGAGTAATTTTATTTTGAAAAATGCTTGCATTTTATTTGAAACACATGAAACAGAAGTATTTTAATGAAAATATTACTGCCACATTAAGTTTTCTGTTCTTGAAGATGTATAAAAATTACCCCATTTTATCTCCCTAACACTATCAGAGTTGCCATCAAAATCCGCTATGAAAACTTATCATTTAGTATATATTAAAGCATTCATCTGGGAACATGTTGTCAGCTTTCAGTCAGTTGCAACAAACAACAGACTTTTAGAGACTCCTCTAAATTTCAGCGTGCCTCCGTCTTCTTAAATCTATACCCCTGATATTTTCTCACACAACAAGTAAACCAACCTAAACTGGCAGAGAGGTGGAATTTTTATGCCAGTATTTTTCTTTAATGCTTTTGGATGACTTAAGCTTTAATAAAATGCATATTTATTAAGAGTATACTGTTTTATGGACTTCTAGAATAAAAATACAGTTTTACTAAATAAAATTGAACAGAATTAATCAGATATTATAGAGAAGACATGCTTCTCTGTGTATTTAGAGGATACTCTCTAAAGTCCCTTGTAACTCTGAATTTTAAAATCTGTGACTCATTCTGGTCCTAGATCATTTTTTTGCATTCTTATAAATGCAAATGTATCTGTAATTAAGTAATTGTTAATGGAATTACAAATTGAGAAATTTAGTAACTTTTCCTAGGAATGGTTTGTTTCTTTTTTATTTCTACCGTTATTAGGAGAGTGGCCCTGAAAGAGAAGGATGATAATTTTTTTTGTTTTATTTCCAACATATGGAATTTGTTATAATCTTCTTAGAATCTTGGCTTTTCTAGACTAGTAGAAGGATTTTGCTATGCTTCCTATTAGATAAATAGTAAAGAGGTGGTCATGAGTTTTATATAGTACTTTGTTTAGTGCATTTGCTTTTATTTCATACTTTGATGTATTCATATCATTTATAGATTTTTTAGAGTGTTTTGAAACAAGTAGTAACATCAACACTTAAGTTTACAAAATATTTTTTTTCTAACTCAGTAGATCAAACAGGGAAACTAACACATCAAGGGGTCCTAGGCCTTTAATCCCGCTGGGTCCTGGCAGAAGTGAAATGCTCTTTTCACTATGTGGCTATTACAAACTGTGCTGTCCTGAACATTTTTGTATGTCTTTGTGCATATGTTAGAGTTTTTTTGGAGTATATACTAGGAGAAGAATTGGTGGGTTGTAGGGATGTTGTCCTTCAAATATTTCTGCCTGTAGTATATGTGAGTTCCAGCTGTTCCATATCCTTGTTTTATTTTGACAGAATTTAATTTTTTTAGCCCATCTGATAAGTATGAAGTGGTATCCTGTTGTTTAATTTGCATCTCCCTGATTTGTGATGAGATTGAGAATATTTTCATATGCTCTTCTACAAATTACTTGTTAATGTCTTTTGCCAGTTAAAAAAAATTAGGTTGACTTTCGCGTATTGATTTTTTTCATAAATCCTAGATATGAATTCTAAGTTGTATGCATTGTACATATTCTTTTTATTGATCTGTGACTTTTCTTTGTACTTTTTAAATTACCTCTCTTGATGAACAGATATTTCTAATTTTAATGTAATTAAATTTGTTAGTCGTTTTTTTATAGTTTGTAATACTTGTCCTGAAGTGTATTTTTCTTTACCTAGATGTTGTGAAGAAATACTTGTCTATTTTCTTCAAAAAGTTGTAAAGTTCTGCTTTTCATATTTAGTTCTTTAATCTGCTCTGTATAGTACAAGGTGGTAATCCTTTGTTTCTGTGTGTGTACGTGTGTATGTATTTATTGATTCAAAATAATTGATAACCAGCTATCCTGATACCATTGATTGAATAGTCTATACTTCATCCACTTGCTTGTAATGCCACTTGTCTCAAAGATTTTTCCTGCATAGTAGTTCCAATGTTCTCCCTGTCTTTTCCTGCTTCAATTGCCCTTTCAATAAGCTTGGATCTCTATTTAGGAAAGGCCCTTTACCTTGGTAAGGGTTTTCAAAAATTTCTTGGCTATTTCTGGCCTCCTTTTTTCATATTTTAGAATTAATTTTTTATATGTACAAATACACATACATACTTTTTTCAGGAAGTTGTTTGTTTTATCTTATGTTTTCAGATTTACTGATGTAAAATTTTTTTTTTATATTCTTCCTTTCTTCCCCCCACATTTCTTATTTGGCTGGATTTGTAGTTATGCTGCTCTGTAATTTTTTATTTATTTTTGCTTTCTCCCTTTTTTTTTTAATTGATCAGTCTCACCATAGATTTGTCTATTTTTATTAATTTTTTTTTTTAAAGAACCAGCTTTTGGTTTTGTTGAATCTGTCTTTGTTTTCTATTTTCTCTATTTCTGCTGTTTGCTTTTTAATTTATTGGTGTGATGTGGAAATTGATTAGATATGGGTGAGATAGGGTTGAATGAAAGATTACTCCAAAGTTTCTTTGGTAGGGACCAGGTAGATGGTGGTATTTACCAGCTGAAGTGGAAATAGTTGGAGGCAATTTGAGGGGAAGATGTGTAGTACTTCTCAGCAAATGCAAAAGAACTGAAATCATAATAAACAGTCTCTTAGATCACAGTCTAGTCAAATTAGAATTCAAGATTAAGAAACACACTCAAAACCACAACTACATGGAAATTGAACAGCCTGCTCCTGAATGACTCCTGGGTAAATAATGAAATTAAGGCAGAAATAAAGAAGTCCTTTGAAACTAATGAGAACAGAGACAACATGTGAGAATCTCTGGGACTCAGCTAAAGCAGTGTTAAGAATGAAATTTATAGCAATAAGTGCCCACATCAAAAAGCTAGAAAGATCTCAAATTGACAACCTAACATCACAACTAAGAGAACTAGATAACCAAGAGCAAACAAACCCCAAAGCTAGCAGAAGACAAGAAATAACCAAGATCAGAGCAGACCTGAAGAAGACAGAGACATGAAAAACTCTTCAAAAAATCAATGAATCCAGGAGCGGTTTTTTTTTTTTTAAACTAATAAAATAGACTGGTAGCTAAACTAATAAAGAAGAAGACAGAAGAATCAAATAGACACAATCAGAAATAATAAGGGGAATATCACCACTGACTCCACAGAAATACAAACAACCATCAGAGAATACTGTAAACACCTCTATGCACATAAACTAGAAAATCTAGAAGAAATGGGTAAGTTGCTGGATGCACACACCCTCCCAAGACTGAACCAGGAAGCAGTTAATCCCTAAATAGACCAATAACGAGTTCTGAAATTGAGGCAGTAATATAAATAGCCTACTAACCAAAAAAAGCCCAGGACCAGACAGATATACAGCTGAAATCTATGGGAGGTACAAAAAGGAGCTGGTACCATTTCTACTGAAACTATTCCAAACAATTGAAAAGGAGGGACTCTTCCCTAACTTATTTTACGAGGCCAGCATCATCCTGATACCAAAACCTGGCATAAATAAAACAAAAAAAGAAAACTTCAGGCCAATATGCCCGATGAACATCAATGCAAAAATCCTCAGTGAAATACTGGCAAACCGAATACAGCAGCACATCAAAAAGCTTATCCACCATGATCAAGTTGGCTTCATCCCTGGGATGCAAGATTGGTTCAACATATGCAAATCAATAAATGTAACCTATAACATAAACAGAACTAAATGATTATCTTAAGAGATGCAGAAAAGGCCTTTGATAAAATTCAGTATCCCTTCATGTTAAAAACTCTCAATCAACTAGGTATTGAAGGAACATACCTCAAAATAAGAGCCATATATGACAAATCCATATATGACAAAAAAGCCATATATGACAGCCAATATCATATTGAATGGGCAAAAGCTGAAGCATTCCCCTGGAAAACTGGCACAAGGCAAGGAAGCCCTCTCTCACCACTCCTATTCAACATAGTATTGGAAATTCTGGCCAGGGCAATCAGGCAAGAGAAGGAAATAAAGGGTATTCAAATAGGAAGAGAGGAAGTCAAATTATCTTTGTTTGCAGATGACATGATTTTATATCTAGAAAACCCCATAGTCTCAGCCCAAAAGCTTCTTAAGCTGATAAGCAACTTCAGCAAAGTCTCAGAATACAAAATCACTTTTGGATACTGATTTTTATGAACTTTATTGGAAATCCGGATGGAGATGTTTAGGAGAGAGGTTGAACTTGAGATGAAGACTCTATTTTTTATTTTTAAGTTAAATTTAATTTCTTTTTGTCTTCTGGAATTTCTAGCTTTTTGCATTTTCTTTTTCTTTCTTTTTTTTTTTTTAAGTTCGGGGCATGTGGCAGGTTTCTTATATAGGTAAACTTGTTTCATGGGGGTTTGTTGTATACATTATTTTGTCACCTGGATATTAAGCCTAGTACCCATTAGTTATTTTTTCTGATTCTCTCCCTCCTCCCACCCTTCACCCTCCAGTAGGCCCCAGTGTCTGTTGTTTCTCTCTATGTGTCTGTTGTTTCCCTCTATGTGTCCATGTGATCTCATCATTTAGGTCCCACTTATAGGGGAGAACAAGTGGTATTTGGTTTTCTGTTCCTGAATCAGTTTTCTAAGGTCAGTGGCCTCCAACTCCATCCATATTCCCACAAAGGACATAATCTCCTTCTTTTTTATGACTGCATGGTATTCCATGATGTATATTTACCACATTTTCTTTATCCAGTCTACCAATAATGGCCATTTAGGTTGATTCTATGTCTTTGCTGTTGTGAATAGTGCTGCAGTGAACATACAGGAGCATGTGTCTTTATGATAGAACAATTTATATTCCTTTGGGTATATAACCAGTAATGGGATTGCTGGGTTGAATGGTATTTTTGTTTTTAGGTTTGAAGAATCGCCACACTGTTTTCCACAGTCGTTGAACTGATTTACACTTCCACCGACAGTGTATAAGTGTTCCTTTTTCTCCACAACCTTGCCAGCACCTGTTATTTTTTGACTTTTTAATAATAGCCTTTTGACTTTTTAATAGTAGCCACTTTGACTGGTGTGAGACGAAGATATTGATATTTGATATTGACAGTGGAGAGTAGCTGGAAGAAAGGGGAAGACAAAAGGAGTTTTTTTGGGGAAGGTTTAGTGGGAAGCTTTTCTGGCTTGTCACCATCTGTATTTCTATTTTATTAAAAAAATTCTGAATTGCTAGGGCGATTGGGCATATATTTACAATAACTGACATGTAAGTACCTTTCAGTAGACTAAAAAAAAACAGGGAGTTGTCACCTTCCCCTAGGGCCTAGCACAGGTGAAACATTTTAAATGCATTTGTGGAATCAACCCTTGACTCTCCACAAGAGTATACATACTGTTCTGTCATTTACACATGATTTAAAAGGAATGTATTATGGATGCTTATTCTAGAGGATTCTAGAAAATACCCATTTAACCATATATCCCCCATTGCCTTGAACTGTTTAATATAAATAGAGAGCAAATATTGACTTTTTAAATCAAATTTTAACTTGTCTTTGAAATTTAACCTGAATATGGGCCAGGCGTGGTGGCTCATGCCTGTGATCCCAGCACTTTGGGAGGCCGAGGTGGCCGGATCACCTGAGGTCAGGTGTTCGAGACCAGCCTGGCCAACATGGTGAAACCCCATCTCCACTACAACAAAATACAAAAATTAGCCAGGTGTGGTGGTGCACATCTGTAATCCCAGCTACTTGGGAGGCTGAGGCAGGAGAATAGCTTGAACCCGGGAGGCGGAAGTTGCAGTGAGCTGAGATTGCGCCACTGCACTCCAGCCTTGGTGAGTGGGACTCCATCTCAAAAAGAAATTTAACCCGAATATGCACTACTATTTTAAATGTATTATGATTTATATTAATTTAATAAATAGAAGACATTTATTAATCTGTATTTAAGGAAGATAAGTAATTTTCTTCCAATGGTCTGAGATATTTCTTTTAATAAAAGGTTATCTATAAATATATCTTCTGTTATTGTTCCTGCTACCAGAAGACATTTTTCTTCGCAGATTTTGGTCTTAGTATGATGATTAAGATAAAGTTAATAATTTATTAATTGAAAGTGAGTCAGACTCTTATCCATTACTATATTCTAGGAAAATTGGAAAGTTTAATGTTATTAATTCTAAAGCTAAGCTTAATGCTTCTGAGAAGCTCAAAGGGCATTATTGCTTATAGACCAATGTCTACAAAGCTGTATTTAAGTCAGGAAAGGGTTATCACAAGCTGATTTAGTGCAGCAACCAAGTAAAAGATGCATGAGAACAGAGTTCTCAGGTGACTTCTTGATGTTTCTGTAAATTATCTGTCTGGCTTTGGAATAAGCACTTATTTGTGGAAAATGTATTATTTACAGTTTGGAGTAAATGTTCATAGAAAAGTTACCCAGTTTGATGCTTTGTCGAGAGCTGGATTTAAGTTTAAATCTTGGTTCCCCACTTGCTAGCTGTGTGACGTATCTGTTAGGAATAGATTTAGCTTTAAGTAGTAACAGTGGCAAAACTACAAAGGGGTTTATTTTTCTCACATAATGAGAAATCTTTTTCAGTGACAGTAATTATAGTAATGTTCAGCGATGCCAGGGCTGGAATCTCTGTGATTCTTCGAACTTTTTCTCATAAAGAAAACCTGGCTGCTTTAGCTTGAGGCGTCATATCCACATGGTGGGCTGGGAGAAAGGAGGGAAGGGCAAAGGCAGCTTTTATCAGGACAAGATAATTTTGCTTATGTCTTTGGCCAAGTCCAGGTTATGTGGTTAAGTCCAGCTGAAAGACTGGCTGGCAGATGAGTAATTAGCTTTTTAGCGGCTGAGGTAGAGGCATGCAAGGAAGAGTTTGGGAATGGACGTGGGGTTGGTCAGTCTACAGAGTCTGCCACAGTGACCATGAGTGCCACTGGTAACCTGAATAAGCCTCACTTTTCTCTTGGGTATAGTAATAGAACCACTGGGGGTGGGACTTGGACTTTTTGTGTACCACTAAATCTCTAGCATCTAACACAAGGCCTGGCAGATGTATTTGTTTGGTGAATTAATACATGAAGATTATCATGAGAATTATATGAGGTATATAAGGTACTTGGCCCGGTACTTGGCACATAGTAGTATATAAATGGTATCTACTTTAGTGTTCAAGCTATGTAGAAATATAAATTTCTGTAATGTAATTATATTTGTTTTATTAGTCATTTACTGTATAATATTGCAGTTTCATTAGTTTCTTGACAGTTAACATTTCTAATAAAGAATAGTTTTTGACTGGTGTGGTCTTTGCCTACTATGTAGATACAGTGACAAAGATAGAGAAAGAATTAATGTATGTGAATACCAATATGATAAGATACTGTGAAGTTTCTTAATAAAGCACTTTTCTTTGAAAATGTGGATTGGATATAATTGCTTTTTTAAGAAATTTTTTATCGAAGTGCAACAAACAAATAGTACATTACATATTTAAGTGTACAGCTCAGCAATTTTTTTTCAAATTTGTTTTCAACATTTAGTTTATCATCTTCAAAAAATAGCTCCCCTGCTTAACTCATTAGCTGTATGATCTATCCAAGCAGCAAGAAGATGGTCATGCCATGGCAATCCTCTTCCCATTTTCCCTAGCCACTCAGGGCTGAACAGCAGGGTTAGGCTCAGGTGGGGGTAGGGGTGGGGAGCCCAAGGGCTACTTTCCCCTGGTACAATATGGCATCTGAAGTTCGATGGGAGAACAGAACTGGTGAGACTTGAGGGTAAGGTCCAGGGCCTGTATTCAGTCAGAGTCACTGATGGAAGAGGAGGAGGAATGCTTGCCATGCTCGTGGTGCTTGTGCATCTTTTTGTGAGCTTTCTTCATTTTCATCTGCATCTTCTTGTCCTCTATCACTCCTAGTCCGAACATGCCAGGAGCCAAGGGATTCACAGGAGGCATCCAGGGGCAGGTGGTGGGTATGGAGGAGGGTAGGGACCCGAGGATTGGCATCCTGGATACCCTGGCTGTGGCACAGGATGAGGGGGCCCACCTGGGGGGAAAGCTGGATTGCCCTGGGAGAGGAAGAAAGGGGCCTTGGGGAAAGGGTGGATTGATAGGTGGTGGGTGGGCAGGATTGGAACCTCCAGGGTACCCTATGGTGGGGGGATATGGATTTGGTCCTGGCTGGCCGGCATTGGGATTCCACATGTTGAGGTGTGTCCTCCAGCCTTTCCACCACCGCCTGGGCTTGATGCATTCTCCTCAGCTCAATACATTTTTAGAAGGGAACCCCCCATGTGACCACACACTAGGTGAAAATGTAGGACATTACGAGCACTGTGGAAGCTTTCCTTGGGCTTCCTTCCCTTGATCCTGGTTACTAGTCCGGTGGCCAAGAGGTGATAAATACTGATGGGACCTGTGTATCCTATGAGGTAGAAGCGCCTGTATTGTCTTCAGGTGAAGGAGGAGTGGGCCTCTTCTGCAGGCCCAGAGAGTTTAAGGTGATCTGGGGTTTCAAGATTTTCAAGCCTGTCGACCCACATGTCGCTATGTAAAGTCTCAGTCTTGGTTCTTCCCAGACAGGATCCTGTGCTTGGAATAGCAGATTTGCCAGGATTGAGTATTCAATGTTAGGTATTCAGGGTTTTTTGGCAATTTGTTGCCCTGATAATTAAATCCTTGGCCTGATTCTCAGCTCTTTCTGCTTTCTAACTGTGAGGAAGATGAGAATCTCTTTCCGTTCTCCACAGAGGCTTTTTAACCTTTCACATGTCACCTCAAATGATTCTCAGTTTTTAATTCCCTCTCCCCACAATTCGTCGGTAGCCCCCAGCAAAAGCTGATTCTGTAGTCCTTATAATTACTACTTCCTGTCAGCCTTTCAGATGCCTGAGATATTTCACCTCCCAATAAATTTCCTTCAGTTGGTATCCTGTGCCCACTTCGTGGTTGGTGAAAGTTTTAATAATTGCACTACTGCTTATGTGGGGGGCTATCCATACTTCCACCTACCATCAGTAATGGGACTCCTCATTACCAACCAGTGATGGAGCTGCAAATTCCCATGTTTGAGTCTGCTTTCTGGTCCACTTTAGTAGCAGCTGTCATTTAGCTGAATTCTCCAGGAAAGATTCAGAGATGGAGATCTGCATATATGGTGTTTATTGTATAATGCTTTTGGGAAGAGCACCATGAAGGAAGCAAGATGGATAGAAGAACCTGAACTGCAATATGGTTGCAGTAGAGGTTGCAGCCAGTCCCCTGGGGGCATTCTGCAGCTAGAACAGCCCTTCAGGAAGTGGTGTAGACCTTTGTTCAGTCACCTTGACCAGTCATTGGATGCAGCTGCTTAGAGAGAGACACAGGTGTGAGCCATCACTCCCTGCAGCTTGGGGAATGAATGCCTTAGTCCTGGAGGGTGATCTGCACAGCACACCATAGTATCCACTGCAGAAGCTTAGATACTGATTTTCAGATTTTCTTTGTTTTCTAGTGCACACATTTAATTAATTAGTTAATTGTGTGGTTTAACTCCTCTCTCTATACTATACTTTTTTTTTTATATTGCTTTTTCTGTTTGCTGCTGGAATTGTTTTTATCCCCTTTTAGTACTATTCGTTTTTGCTTTATATATTCTGGCTATGTTATTCAAATGTGGGATTGTTACGTCTTGCTGACGTGTATCTATTATTTTTATGAAATATTCCTCTTTATTTCTAATTCTTTTGGTCTTAAAAGCTACTTTGTCTAATATAAATAAAGTTACACCAGACTTCTTTTGGCCAGTGTCCACATAGTGTTTCTTTTTCATCTTTCAAAAAATGTTTTTATGTTCTGATATGTAAGACATGTCTTACAAGCAACTTAGAATTAAAAAAAAAGTTAGTTGGATAATTTTTGTTTTTCAATTCGAGCTTTTTGTTCATTCAGTGTCATACTAATATATTTAGATTTAAATCTGTCATCTTATTTGTTTTCTATTGTTCCAACTGCTCTTTGTCCTATTTTGCCTCCTTTCTTGCTCTCCTTTAAGATTACTTAAATTTTTTGCTACTTCTTGCCCCATTACCCTGCTCTTTGTGCATTCATTCATTCTATTGGTGAACACTCTAGAGATTTCAATGCATCTTTGACCTATTAAAACCAATATTTAATTAGGACTTCTATTGTTTTGTGGACAGTGCATTTTTTTCTTTTATAGATTTCAGATTTCTGAGAAATTCTCTATTTTAGTCTAATTTATAGAGCATATTAATCATAATTATTTTAGTTTCTGATTATTCTAAAATCTGGTTCATATATGGGCCTATTTCTGTTGTCCTCCTCCTTATTTTGGTTTCTGTATCCAATTTCTTGGCCAGCTTGCTTTTTTTTCTAATTGTATACCAGATATGTATACGAAAACTTGTTGAGGCTTTAAATGGTACCACCATCTCCAGAGATGATTCAATATTTTTTATTATGAGCATATCTGCTTTAAGTGCAGGCTGATCTGTCTTCAGAGGTCTTGACTGAATGATGAGGGTGTTTACACAGACCTCTGCTCTTTGTTGCTTTCTTTTCTTTCTTTCTTTTTTTTTTTTTTTGGAGATGGGGTCTTGCTCTGTTGCCCAGGCTGGAGTGCAGTGGCATGATCTTGGCTAACTGCAACCTCTGCCACCTGGCTTCAAGTGATTCTCCTGCCTTAGCCTCCTGAGTAGCTGGGACTACAGGCATGTGCTACCAAACCTGGCTAATTTTTGTATTTTTAGTAGAGATGGGGTTTCACCATATTGGCCAGGCTGGTCTCAAACTCCTGACCCCAGATGATCTGCCTGCCTCGGCCTCCCAAAGTGTTGGGATTACAGGCATGAGCCACTGTGCCAGGCCCTTTGGTGCTTTCTATACTCCAGTTTTGTCTCCCTAGCACTGAGTCTGCCAGAAATCTTGGCTTTGCTTTTTATCCTGTTAGCAATGCTTTTGCTTTGGTTTCTTGGATTATTTGGGAGATTACAGACTTAATGGGTGCCCTCTCTGTGGAGATTATGTGTTTATTCATGTTGGCTTGTTGAGATTTATAGGATTTTAGGTAGAGAGTGATTTTTGTGGTACATAATGTGTGGAGTATATTTTCATTGTATATAATTGCTTAATTTCTACTTTTGTTTTTTTAAGTGGAAGAGGGTGCTGTTTTTGTGTGTTGTGTTGACGAGGGGATAACAGAAGCATAAATTAATGAGTCCCACCAGAATTTACTCCATAGGTCATACCTAAATTTATACAGTGGTTGGCCGCAAAGTATTTCAGTTTTATTTTAGGATACACTGAATGGGTCTGTATTCTATGCTGTCTCTTAGAATTGTTTTATTAGTTTCATTTGAAAAGCCAGGAGTATATAGTGGTTTTTTTTAACATATAAAATGTTATGTACTGTGCCTGTTTTTGTAAATAAAGTATTATTGGCACATAGTCACGTATGTCCCTTTATATATTTTTATGGCTGCTTTGCCATTAGAGTTGAACAGTTGGAACAGAGAGCATTTGATGCCTGTGAAGCTTAAAATACTTACTGTCTGACCCTTTACCAAAAGGTTGCTAATTCCTGCTTTAGTTAGCAAACTAAAGTGATTCAGTTCTTTTTATAGAATCCATCATTAATATTCTAAGGAATTGGCTGTAGCTGAAGGAATATATCTTCTCTCTCCTTTTCTTTTGTCCTTATATAATTTTTATGCTCTTCTGCTCCCATTTTCTTCTCTTTCCGGAGCCTCACCCTGTTGATAGTCTTTTAGGAAAATCCAGGTGACACCAAGACACACTTGGAGTTTTTGCACCAGAGATTTGTAAGTATAGAGGAGGAGGCATGTCTTCCGACATAGTGACCATAAACAAGAAACACTTGAAGGTCACAGTCAAGCTTTATTTAAAAATATAGCATATATCGAGATTGGTTTGAGAATTGGGGAACCCTTTGTTCAGCAATGGCTTTTAATAAACTGTGTGGCAATCACAAAGAGCACTGTAGTTTGGATTTAGCACCAAGCTAAAGTTTCATATCTTAGGACAGTTTATTACAATCAATTCATCTCAGGGCATCTAGTCTGCTGACTCTTTTTGGCTTTACCTAAAAAGTCAGAGGTACTTCAGCCACGTCTATTTCCAAACCAGAAATAACTCAGACGTAGCCTCAGCAGCACTAGAGATCCACATTAGTTACACTGGCTTAGGATTTAAATGTTCACAGGCATCAATCATCATATTAATGTTTCAGTGCCGTTGTAGGTGTCGTCAGGAATATTAAAAAAAAAAAATGTGACCCAGCCTTTCTTCACAAGGAGGATTGGAGAGGGCTGGTTTGGCGCTTTCCTCACTTTAGCAATCCCCTGTCAATCATTGAGTAACTTGCCCAAAATCCTGTGTGGAAACTCATTACTGTTAAAGGTGTTATTTTTGGATGGAAGCAAATGATTGTAGCACCTCTAATGCTGTATGCACAGCCTCTCAGGCAGGTGGTGTTCCACGTCCGTGTTCTCCCTTCCAGTTCACTGGTGAGTGTTACCAGAAATCACAGTGGCTACGCTGGTGCTGCTTTTCTCAGAATCTCTCTGTATTAGTCTGTTCTGAAAAAGAAGTCTAATGGAATCATAGTTTCACGTGGCTAGGGAGGCCTCACAATTCATGGTGGAAAGTGAAAGACATGTTTTACATGGCAGCAGATGAGAGAATGAGAGCCAAGCGAAAAGGGAAACCCTTTATAAGACCATCAGATTTTGTGAGACTTATTCACTACCATGAGAGCAACATGGGGGAATCTGCCCCCATGATTCAGTTATTTCCCACTGGGTCCCTCGCACACCACATGGGAATTATGGGAGCTATAATTCAGGATGAGATTTGGGTGGGGACACAGCCAAACCAAATAACTCTCCCTTATCCCAAATGACTCTAGGGTCAGGGATGGGAAGGCTGGAGAAAAAAATGGAAACAATAATACATTGGGAAAACACCTTTCTACCACTTCTTTTTTTTCAGGCTAGAATTGACATATTTGAATTACAAATGCTTTTGGAGTAAAATAAAATACTATGACGTTTTCATGAGTTCTCACATGGCATTTATAACCATCCTTCCCCGCTGCCAGTAATTTCTAAAGTCTGTTAATCTTTGTGATTGGGATGTATTTATATAAAACTGAAGGGGGTGAAATAGATGATATGTCACAAGCCTTTAGATGGAGTGTCACATTAGTTACAGTTAATATTGGCTTAGGGCTGCATTTCTCAAGCCTGGTGCTTGAAACTGTCTTCCTGGATCATCAGTTCCACTGAAGATTTTTTTAAAGAAAAATCTTTTGTATAATGAAGAGGAACATAAAAACAACTCATCTTTAAAAGAAAAAGTAGATTTTGAATGAATTTCTTACTTACATGGACTTGCTTCTGGTTGCACCCCCAGGTACAGGAATAGACTTTATCTTCATTGCTCATGGAAAGGTTTGAGAAGCAATACATTAAGACAAACACACAAGAACTCTGTTACTTTAATGTCTAGGAGAAGTAGAGATTTCTGTCTGTGCGGACATTGGTATCTATTCCAGAGAAGGGAAGCTGATTCTGTTGTGACTCAGACAATCTTACTGAATTTTGGAGAATAAAGCCCCTTTTCATCCAGTGAGGACTGTGAGAAGTAACATCATGTGTTTGAAAACACTTCCTAGTCAGTAAAAACAGGAGCAGTCATGACAGAAATAATAAAACTAACAAAAGAATGAACCTCACCCCCCACATCTAAAGCAGGGGCTGCTAATAAAGAGAGCTCAGAAAAAGACCCATTGGTTTGACCTGTGGCCTAGAAAGTGACAGAGGTTGAATTCATTTTTTTTTTGTGTGTGTGTGTCCTTCCTTCCTTCCTTCCTTCCTGTTTTCTTTTGTAAAATATTTTTTCATAGATCCTTTTTGGGAAAGTAGTAGTCTTTGTATTTTGAGGATACAATGGAAAACTTTAGAGATGAGAGCGGCCAGTTGCAGGGGCTCATGCCCATATCCCAGCACTTTGGGAGCCTGATGTGGAAGGATGACTTGAGGCCAGGATTTGAGACTGGCCTGGGCAGCATAGCGAGATCCTGTCTCTACAAAAAAATTTCTTAAAAATTAGCTGGGCATGTTGGCACGTGCCTGTGAGCCCAGCTACCCGGGAGGCTGGAGCGGGAGGATCTCTGGAGCCCAGGAGTTAGAGGCTGCAGTGAGCCGTGATTGCACCACTGCACTCCAGCCCGTGTGACAGAGTAAGAGTCTGATACAAAAGAATAATACAAAAATAAAAAATAAATATGAGAGCAAGTCATAACACTTATTTTTTGCTGTGCTGTAATGTTGTTACAGTACCTAAAATGGCATATATTGAGATGCTTGATTTCTTTTTGTTTTTAAAGTTTAATGGGTTAGATCTGTATTTGTTATTTTAAAAATGAAACTCAGGGCCCGGCGCGGTGGCTCACGCCTGTAATCCCAGCACTTTGGGAGGCCGAGGCAGGCGGATCACGAGGTCGGGAGATGGAGACCATCCTGGCTAACACGGTGAAACCCTGTCTCTACTAAAAATACAAAAAATTAGCCGGGCAAGGTGGTGGGCGCCTGTAGTCCCAGCTACTCGGGAGGCTGAGGCAGGAGAATGGCATGAACCCAGGGGGCGGAGCCTGCAGTGAGCCAGAGATCGCGCAACTGCACTCCAGCCTGGGCGACAGCGAGACTCCGTCTCAAAAAAAAAAAAAAAAAAAAAGAAACTCAGGTATTTCATTTACAGATATTGGCTGAAATAACTATTCCAAACATTGCAATTTGAGGAATAAAACACATTTTATATAGATTTGTAACTAATGTGTGACTTGAGATCTGTTTTTTAAAAAAAAGGAATGGGGAGATATTCAAGAGACATCCGCGTGTGCCTGGGAGGGATGTTTGTGCTCCCTCCCAATTTTCCTTCTTCTTTTAAAATGTAACATATAATAACAACAATATTAACAACAACTAAAATGCCCCAGGAATAGTCCAGGCCCCTGCTACTGTTGCTGCTCCCCGTCCCCCCTTCCTTCTTCTCCTACTTCCACTAAGTAATCATTCAGTGTCTGTGAATAAAAACCCCATTGCTTATTTTTGTTTGGATCCAATTTATACTCAGAAAGGCACTGAGCATGAGCTGCTTCTTTCATGTTCTTTGCCTGAGTCTAAAACAGCTTTATTAGTGGGGCCAAAAACAGCGGCAGTTTTGGCAGGCATTGCCAAGTGCGCATCACTTTCAATGATACATCTGGATGCAAAGAACTAAACTGAAAATAGAGTGAACCTCCACTCCTATTAAATGAAAATACTGTGCCAGTCTCAAACCTAACTGTGCATGATAATCATCTCTGTACCGTTTTATTTATTTCGAAATACAGAAATGTAGGTCCTACTTCAGACTTACCTAATCATAATCAGGGGTGGAGGTGTTGAGTGGCCCAAGCAGTTATATTTAAAACAAAAAAAGCTCCATGGGTGATTCTGATAGCCAAGCAGGGGTGTGAACTACTTGTTCATAGTATGCACTCAGGATTACTTGGCCCAAAATAATTAGGTTTATATAACTGTATTTGCTCTGGGAGAAACAGATTTAATGTGTAATTAATAAATGAAAAGTATTTACTCATGACATACACTGCACTCACATTTTTTTTTTTTGCTTTCTCATACACATCCTAAGGTACAGTCTCAGATTTGAGTTAATCCTTTTGCCTATTTAATAATGGTACGTGGAGTCTATTTCTTATTAGGTTCACAAAACTACAGAGTAAGAGCGAATAAAAAGATAAGTAAAAAGGCAGCTTACTGTAGCTTTTTTTCCCTTTAAAGTCAGTTTAAAAAAATTTTTTTAATGTTAGGAATATGAAACAAGTTTTTAGAAAGAGGAAAGTACCACTTCTCTTCCATTGTGTTACAGTGGGTTTGGGGGAAAGAGGAGGGAAAGAAGAAAGCAAAATTTTAAGGATTTAGTAAGGATGATATATTATTTATTGTCTTAATTTCATCAGTATGGGATTTGGGGTTTGCTTAAACAAACAAAAGTAGTACCTTGTGTAATATTTTTGAAGACATCATGTTTTTGTGTTTTTGAGTTCTATTAATATGGCCTACTGGTTTTTGCAGTTTAAGTTAAAAAAAAACTGTAACTTTAGTTTCAGAATTAAATGTCAGAATTAAGTCATAAGGCAGAATCAAAATATTAGGTAACAGACTTTGAATTAAGTACATTCATTAGGGAGTGAGTTACAGTAATAACCACAACACTGATTTCAATAAAAATCAGTGAATATGGGAAGTGATTGGCTGATATGTGCTCATTTCGTTTTTGGGTCAGTGGTCCCTTGATTAAAGATTCTGTTTTATGTGCTAGAAGCCTTTGTATTTAGAACTGTTAACGTATCAATATGTAGTAAGGAAGAAGATAAAATTGAACCAGCAGGTGTCAGCAAGAACCAAAATAAAAAATATTAATCCTGATTATCTCAACCTTTATTACTTTTTAGTGATGCTGCAGTGTAAAACAACTTTAAAATGATATTTTAGTGACACATGCCTGCATTCTAAAGTAGAATCTTTCTTTGTCAGTGTATTGCCCTATTGGGAAATGATCAGATATTTTAGAGAATATGTCTGAAATACGGCAACAGCTCCAAAAAGATTTAAAAAAAAAGACAAGTGCTGTGAACTTTTTCTCATTTCAGTGCCTTGAAAAATTTTTTTACATAAATTATCCTATATCCAAAAGCTTATGTTTAACAGTTTTAATATTTCTATGGTTATATGTTATGCATTTTTCAGTATTCCATTCCTATTGATTAGTTAATAACCATAGGCATTTTATAGAAATAAGAGTAGGAATTCATAAACAACTGTCCTCATAGTGGGCTTAATTTTCTGATGAAAATATGGCATTTATATGCTTTCAGCATACAATTTAAGATTTCATTTTAAGTCCATTCTAATTCAGTGAATAGTCAGGGGAAGGTAATGTCTGCTTTTCCAAAGAATTGAAAGGTTCATTACATTTCTCAATTTGTCACAATTTTTATTAAAATCCTATTACTTGTTTCTTCTTTATCACTTGATGAATTGACGAAAATACAAATTCAGTAGGCAAATATGATATCCAGTATTTTTGATAATCTTATTAGAGTAGTAAGCAATAAAATAATGAGTGACAGGAACATCGCCGAGACCACAAAGAAGGTATGTGATAACTCAGGCCAGTCTGAAATACTTTCATTCTCTATGTTTTATTTCTTGTTATGCCAAATAAAGACCTGCTATTTTACATTTATCCTTAACTTATTAAATGTAATACTACCCAGAAATTTGATTCCTAGGTATTTACCAGAGCGTAGAGTGTATTGAAAACTTATGTATGGACTGGTACGCAAATATTTATAATGGCTTTATTCATAATTGTCCTGAACTGGAAACAATGCAGACCCCCCTCAGTTGGAGAATGAATATTGAGATACGTCCATTCAATGGAGTAGTACTCAGCCATAAAAATGAACAAACTGTGTAACCTTGATGAATCTGAAATGCACCATGCTAAGTGAAAGAAGTCATATTCAAAAGGCTTCATTTATATGATATCCTAGAAAAGATAAAACTATAGGGACAGAATACAGATTAGTATTTGTCAAGGATTGGAGGAGGGTTTGACACTGAAAGGACACAGGGGACTTGTATGGGCTGATGGAACTGTTCTATATTTTGATTCTAGTGGTTGATTTCATTACTGAGTTTGTCAAACTTCTAGAAATTGTACATTAAAATGGCAATTTAATTGTATATAAGTTATACCTTAATTTAAAAAGTTCTAAAAATAAATGTTAAAAAGGGACATAGACTGAAAAATAAAAATGAAATAAAGATAATGTTAATATAGTTTTTCTTTTCCCAGACATCCTAATAGAACCCTTAGAACACTTCAACTTCATTTATCTCTCTATTTATGTGTTGGTTGTCATGTATTTCAATTTTAGATACATTTCTAACATGGCAATCACTTTTATCTGTGGTTTCATGTAGATGTTTAATTAAATTTGCCCTGTTGCCATGCTCTTCATTTAACATTTCTTCCTATATCTTTAGCCTTCTATCTGAGGTCATTTTGATTCTGCCTATTCTCTTTGCTATTTTGTGTTCATGTAGTCTTACTTGCTTGAGTGCCTGGCTGTTTTTCATGATGTATTGGATATAGTATGTGCAAAATTGTTTGTACAAATAATCTGGAGCGTAAGATGTTATCTTCCTTCAGATAATTTTTACTTTTTGTCTAGGTAGCTGGGGGCAGTAG
The DNA here is from genome assembly GCF_000001405.40 of Homo sapiens. Lineage (NCBI taxonomy): Eukaryota > Metazoa > Chordata > Mammalia > Primates > Hominidae > Homo > Homo sapiens. Next base: position 198,208,327 of record NC_000001.11, read on the forward strand.
CTATCAGAAATCACTTTAATTTTAGGGTTTGAATAAATGTATGAAGTATAATGTGTTTTGTTTGTTTATTTTGGGACAGGGTCTTGCCCTGTCACCCAATCTGAAATGCAGTGGTACGACTGGTGCTGCAACCTTGACCTCCCAAGCTCATGCAGTACTCCCACCTCAGCCTCCTGAGGAGCTGGGACCACAGGCACCTGCCACCACGCCCAGTTTATTATTTTTATTTTTTGTAGAGACCGTGTCTCCCTATGTCGCCCAGGTTGGTAATGCATTTATTAATTAGCTTGATTGAGCTATTGTACAATGTGTGCATATTTCAGAATATGTTTGTATGATAAATATATTCAGCTTTTGTCAATTAAGATAATTTTAGTATTTGAGATAATTTGATGCCGTGAGAAGGCTTGTTTATGATGTTTAAGGCTTTTGAAGTCCTTAGCCAAATCATGGGGATGTTCATTGTAGTCCCTTTTTGAACTCTAGACTACAATTTCTGTTTCTGTGTTTCCAAGAGACTGTAAGAAACGCCATATAGCCTCTTAGCATCTCAACTGCATTTCCACAGTTTGCATAACAGTCAGTGGAAAAAACATGCTTAGATGTTGGGTTCGCTTTTCTTGGCTTCCTTCAGCCCTCAGATACTCTGGACCGCTAATATGTCTCTATTTCATTAGCTCTCTGATGCATTAAAGCATATATGTGTGTGTGTATATATATATATATATATATACACACACACATACGCACATATGTATATATACACACATATGTACACACACATGTAATATACACATATATACACATATGTATGTGTATATATATACTTTTTTTTTTTTTTTGGTAAAACTCTCCTCAGAAGGAGCGCTTGTCTGAACTATTTTGCCACTATGAAAGCAAAGACTGCCTATACTCTTTTTCATACCCATACACACATGCAAATGTGCTTTTCTTAAAAACAGTGTTAAGACAATTTGTACATTTTATTATGCAAAGTGATGTTTTTTATTTAGTAGATTACAGATTCTTAGTAGAATAATTCAGCAAATATTTATTTACTATATGTTTATCCCTGTTCCAAGCACTGTAGGGATAAAGTGATACATAAAAGGATTTCCTAACCTTATTTGGCTTATATTTTGGCAAGGTAGATAGCTTCAACAAATAACTATGCAATTAACTAAATGTAATTTTGATAATGATAAGAATAATATCCTTTGAGTACGTATAACATGGAAATTTGTTTTTGAGTCTTAGTTTTTCATTTCACATTATATTTCATACATTTTAAAATATCACTAAAACATTTAATTTTTCTTTCTTTTACTTTCTCTCTCTCTCTCTTTTTTTTAATAGCAAAGATGGAGTCTCGCTATGTTGCCCAGGCTGGTCCTGAATTCCTAGGCTCAAGCGATCCTCCTGCCTTGGCCTTCCAAAGTGCCTGGGATTACAGGTATGAGCTACCATGCTGGGTCTAATATTTATTTATATTTTTATTTATTTATCTGGAGATGGAGTCTCTCTCTGTCACCCAGGTTGGAGTGCAGGGGCGTGATCTCGACTTACTGCAACTTCTGCCTCCTGGGTTCAAGCAATTCTCATGCATCAGCCTCCCTAATAGCTGGGACTTCCTGGCTATTTTTTGTACTTTAGTAGAGACGGGGTTTCACCATGTTGCCCAGGCTGGTCTTAAACTTCTGAGCTTAGGCAGTCCGCCTGCCTGGGCCTCCCAAGGTGCTAGGATTACAGGTGTGAACACTGCGTCTGGCCTATTTTTATTTTTTTAGGGACAGGGTCCTACTTTGTCACTTAGGCTGGAGTGCAGTGGTGTTATCATAGCTTACCGTAACTTTAAACTCCTGGGTTCAAGTGATCCTCCTGCCTCACCTCCTGAGTAGCTAGGATTATAGGCACATGCCACCATGCCCAGCTGTTTTGTGTGTGTGATGGGGTCTTGCTATGTTGCTTAGGCAGGTCTTGAACTCCTGGCCCCCCAAGTTTTCCTCCCTTGGGCTCCTGAAGTGCTGAGATTGCAGGAGTAAGTCACTGAACCTGTCCTAAAAATTTTAATAAATATTTTCAATCTAGTGTTCTATTTTATGTATTTGCTGTAATTTATTTGGCCATTCTCATATTGTTAGACTTATACTTTGTTTCCAATTTTTAAAAATGATAAATGCTTTTTTAATATGTACCTTCTTATATGTAATCCCAAATTTAGTCACTGATTAATTTTTTTAGAAGAGAATTTTGGGAGTAAGAGTACTGAGTAAAAGTATATGAAAAAATCTTGATATCATTTTTTCTAGAAAGGTTATATACCTATGTAAACATTATATATACTTTGTATAATATTTATTATTTTGATAGGCTATCAACTGTATTATATGTCATTGTCCCTTCAATTTGTATTTCTTTTTTTTTTTTTTTTTTTTTTTTTTTTTGAGACGGAGTCTCGCTCTGTCGCCCAGGCTGGAGTGCAGTGGCGCAATCTTGGCTCACTGCAAGCTCCGCCTCCCGGGTTCACGCCATTCTCCTGCCTCAGCCTCCCAAGTAGCTGGGACTACAGGCGCCCGCCACTACGCCCGGCTAATTTTTTGTATTTTTAGTAGAGACGGGGTTTCACCGTTTTAGCCGGGATGGTCTCGATCTCCTGACCTCGTGATCCGCCCGCCTCGGCCTCCCAAAGTGCAATTTGTATTTCTTTATTAGTGATATTCAACATGCTTTATGGTTATTTCCAATATGTATTTCTTTGTGTCTATTAGGTTGTTAATAAAGTTAAGACAAAATTACTCTGCTTTATGAAGAGAACTATGGGGTTAACATTAAAGTAGGATTAGGTCTTCTAATTCTTTTCCAGTTCTGTGGTTTTATTATTTTATATTTGGATTATCATTTTTAACTTATTTCTTTGTTGAGAATACTTTAAAAAAGCTTTTAGCAATGAGTGTCAGGAAACAGATTCCAGAACCTTATTATTATAGGAAATTATGTATCAGATGAAGAATACTACAGTTATCATTGTTACAAAAGAATGAAATATGAAAACCCTATACACAATTCTCTTTTCCATTGATTACACTCACAGATTACATAGTTTTAAATCTTTGTGAGATCTCAGGCCATTCCTAATGGGTCATTCTGATTTGTGATGTGTGTGTACACATGTGCTTACTTTTCATTATTTTGAGGTGTTTTAATATTTTTAGGGATTTATAGTATCCAAAGTAGCATAAATAATATTTTTAGGAGACAATTTTAGCATAAGATTGAAGAAAGTATAAAAAATAATAGGTTATTGAATTAGAACAGTGATTGAAGAATTTGAAAAATGTTCTATTTTCTGGTGTTAATAATATAGTTCTAATGGAAAAAAAATGCAGTTTTTTTTTGGCAAGATGGCGGACTGGAGGCATCGTTAGCATGCCTTTTCCACTTCGAAAGACAAAACTGTGTGTAAAGGTTCATGCTGTGAACTTTTTTCCAAGAAGCAACACCGGAACTTAACAGGAAAACTGAAAGAAACCACAGACCTTTTGAAAGACGCAGTGGACAGTAGCACCATGAACTGAATGGAAAACTGTCTTCAGACGGTGACACACACTCCCGCAGGGGAGCGGGACAATCCAGGCCATAGGGGAAGGCCTTAACCCTACCCAGTCCTGGAGCTGATGAACTGAGCAATGGGAAGTCTATGAGAAGGAAAGGCATTCGGATGTGTCTTGCGTGCATTCCCAGACTCCAGTGGGATGGGAGCGAAGCCATTCCTGATCCTGTCTCACAGGGGACCTCACGGAAGTCAGCCAGCTAACTCAGGCTCCGGTCACAGGTTGAGAGAAGCTCCCAACTGAGATTTGTGTAGGGATGAACCTCATTGGCTGTAACCGATGAGCAAACGAAAGGTGTGCTGTAGCCACAGGTGCAGGAGCTGGATGCCCCTGTGTCACAGGTGTTGGACCAGGAGAGTCATCGCCTGAAAGCCAAAGGGCATATGGCCTGGGGGCAGTTTTGTGTTCTGAGCACAGGCTGCCTGGAATTCAGCTAGCCGCTGTTAGCAAAACACTGCGGGTGTGAGACCTGCCTTGCCACGTACCTGGGAGCAGAGTGGGACTTAACTGCCGCCTGCTAATCCCCACTCCCAATGGGGATTCTTTTGTGCAGTAGAGGCAGCTGCACTCCTGCCTTAAACATTACCCCGCCAGCAGCCAGGGAACTGCCCTCTGATCCCCACTGGGGCCACTGCTTGTGCCTGCACGTGGGGAGCCAGAGCATGGACTTGCCTGACCCAGCCCACACCTGGTTTTGCTCCTCTATCTGCCCTTGTAGGGTAACACAATGGACAGGGACATTTGGGAGCTCCATGGCCCAGCCCATTGCCTGAAATACCAGAGTACCACCCCAACATAAGGCAAGCAGAAAATCTGCTGTCACCACTACGGCTGATCCTCTTTTGCAAGTGCCACCTCCCGGCTGGAGGCCAACCAGCACAGTCCATTTCAACATCTGCAAGCACAAAAAGCACAGCACTTAGGAAGAAGAAAACATTTGCATGACCTCAGCTATCATCATTGCCTGAGTCATTCTGGCTAACCAGGAGATCTTGAGTCTCTTCACTTGCCCAATACCTTACTGTTACAGCTGGTATTTGACAAAGCCAACACACTAAGGCTCTTTCTAACCAAGGAAATCTCAGTATCTACATCTTCCCGCCCACCCCCATCAGAGCTGGTGTGGTACCCACTGCTGGGAGACTAGAGGACAGGTCACACCTCTGGATTCCTTGCAGATATTCCACAGCACCAATCTGGAGTGGGACAGCATCACTTGACCGAGAGTCATAGAAGGATTCACAGTAGTCTGGCCTTTAGGGACTGTTAATCTTAAGGGAAGGGGGAGTGTACCACATTAAGGGAGCACCCTGTGGGACAAAAGAAACCAGATTGCAGGCCTTGAGCCTCTGAACTTTACACTAGTGGAAAGTTTCAGCAGAGGCACAGATGCAGTGCTGGGCTCAGTGGGGAAAGTCTGCAGCTCTACCCCAACAGTCAGGAAGCCCTTGTGCTTGTGAAGGGTCTTGGAGAAGGGGGCTTGTTCTCCCCTTTGCCTACCACTGCAGAAACAGCTGGGGCTTCTCCCACAGGAGCTCAGCGTAGGTGCATCTGTGGACAGCCTTCCTGGAACACTTCAGGGTTACTCTATCCTCAGAGGAGGAGCACTCTCCTCGTTCAGGCTTGTATGAGAGATAGAGTCACAACCCCTCTCTACATGGAACATCAGCATTCCTGCAGATGAAAAGAGGTGCCTGTCTGATCTCAATAGCCAGAATACTGGGTTAGGAGTGTTACTGGGAGGTGGGTCGCTTTCCTGCTGGCCTGGAAGGACGGCTGTGGTGCCTTCCTTCTTTCCCCTTGAAAGATGTCAGTGGATTTCACTGAGCACTTCCCCAGCCACCTCTGTCAAGGGTGGGACCTCTGCCCACCATTGGGATATTGCATTTATCACTGGCTTTAGCTACAGGCAGTTTTACCCATGGGCATGTCCTACTAGCCTGAAGCCTGAACTGTTCAACCCAGTGTATAAAATATTGGAGAAAAAAATTTAAAAAGTGCACATCACTGGGGACTGAAATAGGCTTCATGAGACCTCTGCTATTCTGGCCCCACAGGAGTCAGTGAATCTGCTCATATACCCGGCACATTGCTACTACAACCACCATCTGAGAAAGCCAGCATCTTGCACAAAGATTCTCTGTAACCAAGGAATTCACACAGTCTTTGCCACTGAAAGCCCCCAGAGCTGAAGCTAGATGACAATAAAGTCACATCCTCAAGGGGGAAATAAAACCCAGTTGAATAAAAAATAAATACGAAAATAATTAGTAAAAATAGTTTACCCAGATGAGAAAGAACCTGAAAAATAATTCTGGCAATATGAAAAAATAGGGTTCTATAACACCCCTAAAAGATCACAGTAACTTTCCAGCAGTGGATCCAAATCAAAATGAGATGTTCGAAATACCAGGCAAAGAATTCAAAAAGTTGATTATTAAGTTACTCAAGGAGATACAAGAGAGAGATGCAAACCAACATAAGTTTTAAAAACTATTCTGGATATGGATGAAAAATGTTCTAAAGAGATGGATATTTTAATGAAAAATCAATCAGAACTTCTGGAAAAGAAAGACACATTTAGGGAACTACAAAATGCTATGGAAAGTTTTAACAATAGACTAGATCAAGTAGAGGAAAGAATTACAGAGCTTGAAGCAAGGCTTTCAAATTAACCCAGTCAGACAAAAATAAAGGACAAAGAATCAAAAGGAATGAACAAAGTCTCCAAGAAGTATGGGATTATATAAATTGGCCAAACCTAAGAATTATAGTTATTTCTGAAGGAGAAGAAAAAACAAAGTTTGGAAAACCTATTTGAGGGAATAATTGAGGAAAACTTCTCCAGCTTTATTAGATATTTAGAAATCTAAATACAAGAAGCCCAAAGAACTCCTGGGAGACTTATTACAAGAAGAATATCATCAAGGCATATAGTCATTAGGCTACCTAAAGTCAATGTGAAAAAAAGAATTCTAATAATGGTAAGACAAAAGCATCAGGTAACCTACAATGGAAACCGTATTAGATGAACAGCAGAGTTCTCAGCAGAAACCTTATAGGCCAGAAGGGATTGGGTTCCTATCTTTAGTCTCCTTAAAAAGAATAACTGACAGCCAAGAATTTTGTATTGAGCAAAACTAGTTTTTATAAATGAAGGAGAAAGTCTTTCTCAGACACACAAATGCTGAAGGAATTTGTCAATACTAGACCAGCCATACAAGAAATTCTAAAAGGAATTCTAAATCTTGAAACAAAAGGTTGATATGCATGAGAATGGAAACCCCTGAAAGCATAAAGTTCACAAGGTTTATAAAACAATAACAAAATGAAGAGAACAAAGTCACTAGGTAACAACATGATGACTGGAACAGTACCTCACATCTCAATATTTATATTGAATGTAAATGGTTTAAATGCTCCACATAAAACAAGCTTGTCCAATCCACATCCCATGCACTACATGTTGCCTAGGATATCTTTGAATGCAGCCCAACACAAATTCTTAAACTTTCTTAAAACATTATAAGATATTTTTGCATTTTTATTTTATTTATTTTTATTTTGCTCATCAGCTGTCATTAGTTTATGTGTGGCCCAAGACAATTCTTCTTCTTCTGTTGTGGCCTAAGTAAGCCAAAAGATTGGACACCTCTTAACTAAAAGATACAGATTGGCAGAATGGATAAAATATCAAAAGCCAAATAAGTATTGATTTCAGGAGACACACCTAACACGTGAGGATTCTTATGGACTTAAGGTAAAGGAGTGGAAAAAGATATTTCATGCAAATGGAAACTAAAAGCGAGCAGGAATAGTTATTCTTATATCAGATAAAACTGTCTTTAAAGCAGTAACAGTAAAAAAATAAAAAAAAACATCATTATAGGATGACAGAAGGGATCAATTCAACAAGAAGATATAACAATCCTAAACATGTATGTGCCCAACTCTGGAGTACCCAGATTCATAAAGCAATACCACTAGATTAAAGAAAAGAGATAGCAACACAACAGTAGTTGTGACTTTAACACTCCACTGACAGTGCTAGACAGATCACTGAAGCAGAAATTTAACAAAGAAACACTGGACTTCAACTGCGCTCTAGAACAAATGAACCTGCACCGTAAACAAATGAACCTAATAGATATTCACGGAACATTCTACCCAAAAACTGCAGAATATACATTTTTCTCATCAGCACAAGGTATAACACATTCTCCAAGATAGACCATATGATAGGCCACAAAATGAGTCTCAATAAATTTATAAAAATAGAAATCACATCAATTATATTCTCAGACCACAGCAAAATAAAACTAGAAATCAATTCCAGAGGGAACCATCAAAACTGTATAAATACATGGAAATTAAACAATCTGCTTCTGAATGATTTTTGGGTTAACCATGAGATCAAGATGGAAATTTAAAAATTTTTCAAAATGAATGATAACAGTGGCACAAGTTATCAAAATCTCTAGGATACAGCAAAGACAGTGTTAAGAGGAAAGTTTATAGCGCTAAATATCTATATCAAAAAGTCTGAAAGATCACAAATTGGCAACCCAATGTCACACCTTCTTCTTAGAGAGACAAGAACAAACCAAACCCAAGCTAGCAGAGGAAAAGAAGTAACGAAGATCAGGGCAGAACTAAATGAAATTAGAACAAACAAACAAGCAGAAGTACAAAAGATCAGTGAAACAAAAACTGGTTATTTGAAAAGATAAACAAAATCGATAGGCCACTAGCTAGATTAACCAAGAAAAGAAGAGAGAAGATCCAAATAAGCTCAATTAAAAGTGAAACTGGAGACAATTACAATCAATATCACAGAAATACAAAAGATCATTTGACATTACTATGAACACCTTTATATGCACAAACTAGAAAACATAGAGGAAATTGATAATTATCAATTTCCTCGAAAACGACAACCCTTCTAGATTGAATCAGGAAGAAATAGAAATTCTGAACAGACCAATCACAAGCAGTGAGATTGAATCAGTCATTAAGAAACCAAAAACAACTGCCAAGAAAAATAAGCCCAGGGCCACATAGATTCACAGCCAAATTCTACCAGACATTCAAGGAAGAATTAGTACAAGTGTACTGAAACTATTTCTAAAGATTGAGAAGGAGAGAATCCTCCTGAACTCATTTTATGAAGCTAGTGTCACCCTGATATCAAAGCCAGGAAAGGACATAACTGAAAAAGTAAACTGCGGACAAGTATCTGTAAAACACAGATGCAAAAATCCTCAACAGAGTGTTAGCAAACCAAACTCAACAGCACGTCAAAAGAAATAAAAATTCACCATGATCAAGTGGGTTGCAGGGATGGTTCAACACGTGCAAGTCAATAAATGTGATTGATCACATGAACAGAATTGAAAACAAAACCATATAATCATCTCAGTAGATGCAGAAAAAGCATTTGATAAAAGCCAGCATCTCCTTATGATAAAAACCCTCAACTAGGCATAAAGAAACATACCTCAAAATAATAAAAACCATATATGACAAACCCACAGCCAACATCATATTGAATGGGACAGAGTTAAAAGCATTCCCCCTAAGAACTGGAACAAGATAGGAATGCCTACTTTCACCATTTCTATTCAACATAGTACTTGAAGACTTAGCCCGAGCTATCAGGCAAGAGACGGAAATAAAGGACATCCAAATTGGAAAAGAGGAAGCCAAACTATCTCTGTATGCTGATTATATGATCTTATACCTAGAAAACCCTTAAGACTCCTCCAAAACACTCCTAGATCTAATAAATGAATTAAGTATCAGGTTACAAAATCAATGTACAGAAATCAGTAACACTGCTATACACCAACAATGAACAGGTTAATAATCAAATCAAGAACACAATCCGTTTTTACAATAGCTATAAAAAAAAAAAAAAAAGCCCCAAGCCTAGGAATATACTTAACCAAGTAGGTGAAAGATCTCTACAAGGAGAACTGCAAAACACTGCTGAAATAAATAAAACAAATGGAAATACATCCCATGCTCAGGGATTGAAAGAATCAATATTGTGAAAATGACCATACTGCCTAAAGCAATCCTATGAAATTCCTATGAAAATACCAATATCATTTTCACAGAATTAGGAAAAACAATCCTCAAATTTATATGGAACCAAAAAGCCCAAATTGCTAAAACAATCCTAAGCAAAAAGCATAAGTCTGGAAGCATTACATTACCTGACTTCAAATCATACTACAAGGCTGTAGTAATCCAAACTGCATGGTACTGGTATAAAAGTAGATGCAAAGACTAATGGAACAGAATAGAGAACCTCTAAATAAAGACAGACACTTAAAACTAACTGATCTTCGACAAAGAATACAAAAACATAAATTGGGAAATAGACACCCTATTTGATAAATGGCGCTGGGAAAATTGGATAGCCACATGTAGAAGAATGAAACTGGATCCCTTTCTCTCACTATATTACAAAAGTTAACTCAAAATGGATTAAAGATTTAAATCCAAGACCTGAAACTATAAAAATTCTAGAAGAAAACCTAAGAAAAACTCTTCTGGACATTGATCTAGGTAAAGAATTTATGATAAAGACTCCAAAAACAAATGCAACAAAACCAAAAATAAATAAATGGGACCAAATTAAATTAAAAAGCTTCTACACAGCAAAATAAATAATCATCAGAATAGACAACCTGTAGAATGGGAGAAAATATTTGCAAATTATGAACCCAACAAAGGACTGATATGCGGAATATACAAATAAATCAGCAAGAAAAAAATCCAATTAAAAGATTGGCAAAAAAAAAAAGCATGAATAGACATTTCTCAAAAGAAGATATACAAGTGGCCAACAAATATGAAAAAAATGCTCAACATCACTTATCATCAGGAAAATACAAATTAAAACCACAATGAGATACCACCTTACCCCAGCCAGAATGGCCCTTATTTAAAAAGTCAAAAAGCCATAGATTCTGGCATGGATATGGTGAAAAAGGAACACTTACACACTGCTGGTGGGAATGTAAAGTAGCACCACCTCTGTGGAAAACAATATGGAAATATTTCAAAGAACTCAAAGTTAATCCACTATTTGATCTAGTAATTCCACTGATGGGTGTCTACCCAAAGAAAAAGAAGTCACTGTATCAAAGAAACGCTTGCACGTGTATGTTTATTACAGCACAATTTATAATTGCAAAGAAATGGAATCAACCTAAGTACCCCTCAACTGATGAATGGATAAAGAAAATATTGGTGTGTGTGTGTATATATGTTTTATATATATCTATTAAATTTATGTATATTTTACATAAAAATGTTTATAATTTTCTATTTTTATATATAATTAATATATTAAAATATGTGTATATATATGTGTGTATGTTTGTGTGTGTATATATATATGTGTGTGTGTAGAATACTACTAAGCTGTAAAACGAATGAAATAATGTCTTCTGCAACAACTTGGATGGAATTGGAGGGCATTATTCTAAATGAAGTAAATGAGGAATCAAAAACCAAATACTGCATGTTCTTACTTATAATTGGGAGCTAAACTATGGGTACATAAAGGCATACAGTGTGAGTTAATGGACATTGGAGACTCAGAATGGGGAAGGGTGGGAGGGATGTGAGGGATGAAAAACTACTTTTTGGGTACAGTATATACTATTCCGGTGACAGGTGCATTAAAATCCTAGACTTCACCACTGTACACACATTTTAAAACATCATTATTGTATAAAATAAGTATATAGAATTTTTATTTGTCGATTAAAATAAGTTGAAGCAATTCAGGGTTTATATTTTTGGCAGGAATATCACAGAGGTGATGTTTTCTACTAAGTGCATTGTATTTGGAGGCACATATCTGCATGTCCCATTACTGGTGATGTTAACTTTTGATTATTTGGCTAATGTGATGACTGCCAGGCTCTCTACTATGAAATCACTCTTTTTCCCTTTGTAATTAATATGTGCTTTTTTGGGGCGGGGGGTGGGGTGGGAAATACTATGAGACACTGTAAACTTTGCTGCACTAATCATCCATTGATGATTCTTGCCTGAATCAGTTATTTCTGTGATGACTGGCAAATATTGATTTTTAAATCCCATTGTTCTTGCTTTATTAGGTGGCATTCTTTTGTAAGAAGTAGGTTCCCCCTTTTCACTATTTATTAATTTATATTGTTATTAACTCATAGGTTCTTACTTTATTCAATGGATTATAATTTGTTACTCTCAAATTGTACCAAATGTGGCCGATGGGAACCCATTCAAGCTGGCTTTTATGTCTTTTTGACATGTCCACATTGTTCTTTGAATACTACCTTGTCTTTGGCACAACAAAATGTTTCAGACTCAGCTTGTTCTTTCTCAGCCTGAGTCCTAGAACCAATCATCTCTCCAAAAAGCCCTAATTCCTTTAAATGGAGAAGGGCTTTAAACACCAAGATTGGTATTAGGTTAGTTTAATGTGTTTAACTATAAATGTTGAGACTGGGATACTAGAAACATTCATGGTTCTTTTCAAAGATCTGATAGTTATCCTAGTAGTTCTTAAAAACTCATTCATCATAACACAGAAATGTTAAGAATGAACTATCAACTCTAAGCACTTATTTTTTTGCATTGTCTGATATCGACATGTCACTTGCTTGATTATGGGAAGTACTGGATGACTCAGTTAAATGGAGGCAGGTGAGTGAGGTCAGGAATATTCCTGCTGAATGGTGACTTGGGGCCAAGAAAAATATTAGTTCTGGATTTGAGTGTTCAGACTCTGCCAAGTATCAGTCACCATCAAGTTTCCATGATACCCTTTCATTTTTTAGGTATCACATGTACATACAGCTCAGTCAATAATTTTCCTTTGGATGGGAGTAGTGTTGCTACTTAAATATGATTGATCCTCTTTTTTTGTTATTTATGAGCTGTAGTTGTAATCAATGAAATGTCTTATTAATATTCTCAGAATATTTAAATGGTACATGTAACTAGAAGGAATATTGAGTTTTTGAATAACCTTGAAGATTGAAAAGACACTTTATTTCAGGAAAAGGAAACTATTAATAAGCTTGGACGAATATGCTTCAACTCTAGAATTCTGAAAAAAATCAGAAAACTAAAAACTTCTGAAGCTCTATTTGAAATCTCTCTTCAAATTGGTAAGCACATATTTTGATATTTAAGATTTCATACTGTGTCAATAATTCATTTTAGGGAAACTTTGATAGCATCATGGAATTATTACTTGGAAGCATAAAGAGGAAGTCTATTTAAATAATCTTTGGAAACATAAAGAGGAAGTCCGTTTGAACAACTAGAATCTATGGATATTCTTGGTTAAATTGGATTTACGTTACATTTTAAATTAAAAGTTGAGTTTGAAAGATTATGAGATTGACCAGTCTTTAAATCTTTCTTCATTAAGTATATATAGAATGAAGTATTTTTCTTTGGTTTAACATTCTTTAATATAATTAATTTTTTTTCTGCCTAAAGACCAATTATAAAGTTTTTTTGACAAAAATTATGATCACAGGTAAAATGCACCAATGATTTTTCTTAAAAACATATTTTTAAGCCTCATTAAAAAAACTTTTATATTACACGTTTTAAAACTATATAATTGGCCAAGAATCAGATTAATGTTTTGAAATGTATATTGGTTTATTTTAGGTCAATTTCTGCAAAATAAATTTTCAAAGATTAAATGCACTGAAGATGTCTACAGATGTAGATTAAAGCTTCTTATTTTGATTAAGATTTTAGCTAAGGTAAATATGTTAGCTGTAGTTTTTCAATTCAAATGATATTTAGGGAAAAGTGTATACTTAGCATGATTTAATTTGCTGATAATTATCTTAGGATTTTAGCTTTAGAAAAATTAACTTATTAAATATGGGAACTAGGAAAGGCATTATTTTCATTTAGGGAACTGTGTTATAATGTTATTTCAGTTTTTAAATGAAGATAGTTATCTAGTATAATGTTATCTAGTATAGTGTCGTTGAGAACTGTATCATTTGTAATATATACAGTATATTGTACTTTGTTTAATAGTTTTCTTATCAGGGTCATATGAATTATGAAAATTCAGTCCACTGGCAAGCAGATCTGATGTCTTAAAACTAAATGGTTCTGTCATTTAATTAGCGCTTGTGTCTGATATTCAGATTCCTAATTTTGTTCTTTTATTTTCCATAAAATATGTGACCATATGCAATAATAGGGTAAGAAGATTGTTTTACTTTAATGTGTATTAGGTTTCTGGATATATGTGAAAATATTTGTAGTACTTAAAAGATTTGGAGTTACCATAATATGCTTAAGAGAACTTTTTTCAATCACATTAAAAAGCTTTAGGTGATAAACAACTAATTGGTTTGAGATTTTCAAGACAATATATTGAACTCCCCTTCCCCCAAAGAAATTTGAATATTATAAAACTGTTCTGTATGGTTTTTCTCCTAATAATTTACAGTTAGGTTTTTCTGTGTGAATCTCATTCTGTACTTTGTCCTTCCTGACACCTGCCCTGTTTTTATTTCCCCTCTATTACCTACTTTTGACGGTGGTACCACCACGTGCTGTTTCCCCCAAGCTAAAATCGTGGAATCATTTTTAACTTCCATTTTCCATCACCCACCATATCTAATCAGTCACAAGTCCTAAAAGTCAAAACAAGCAATGCTAACATCGATCCTCTATTCTCCATTTCCTTTCATGTTTTATTCATTCAGCGATGTTTATCGAGTGTCCATTATATGCCAGGTACTTGCTGATGAATACAGCAGGGAACAAAATGACAGTCTCGCCCTCTGCTACTTATAGCAGAGGAGATAAACACAATAAAAAAGTAAATAATAAGACAATTACAAATTGTTATAATTGCTGTGCAGAAACTAAAGAGTGAAGATAAGAATCAAGCGGGGGGTGGGGGTGGATGGGGGCCGCACACTACTTTGGCGAGGGCAGTTAGGGTAGAGCTGATTTTGAACCAGCCATTCGGGAATTCTGGGCCTAGAGGATAGCAAATACAAAGGCCTGATGCCAGACAGGATTTCACAGGTTTCAAGAACAGAAAGGAGTTCAGTGCTGATGGAAGGCATTCATTGAGAGAGACTGGGCTGGAAATGTGGGAGAGGCAGGCAGGAGATTACTTACAGAATTCTACTGTGTTTCAGAAAGGAGTTTGAATTTTTATTCTAAGAACAATGAGAGCGTTATAATTTGATTTATGTTTTCAAAATATCACTTTGGAGAGAATGGTAGAAAAAGAGAGATCAATTAGTAGGCTATTATGGTAGTCCCAGGTGGAGACATGATGATAACTTGTAGGGTAGTAGTAGTGGTAATGGAGGAACATGAACAAATTTCAGATATATTTTGGAAGTAGAACAAATGATGCATACTGATGTGTTGGATGTAGGGAGCAAGTTTCATTTTAAAATGTCCTTGATGAAGTGGTAAAAGAGTATTATTCTTATCAAATGTCAACTTTTGAGTATATGTCTTTTAATATGATGTGTGAAATGGGAAGTATGCTTAAAGTTCTACTGCAGCAAATCAAAGTTGTCTCAAGGAAAAGCATTTCTGCAGTTGTGCAGCAAGGTGAGTAGCTACCGTTTTCATGGAACACCATGTTTACTTGAAAGCAAGACAATATTCAGACAGGCATTTCATAGATATTTTTAGGAAAACAAACTGCCTATCCTTTAAAGGAAAACAACTGACATTACTTGTTGTTAATGATATTTGAACTTTTAAAGTAAAAATTAGAGTTTTGGGAAACCTGTATTCATCAGTATGACCTTGACATCTTCTTGGTATTTAAAGACTTTTTGGATGAGATTAGTGGTGATGTTGATTAATGTGATTTTTTTTAATGGTATAATGAAATAGCCAACATTTAGAAGATCTAAATAACTCAGTGGACTAAAAATTTTCAGATGACCAATGTAAAAATCTTGTAGAATAAAGATCTTTGCAAAGGGCAAGATAGACCATTGGATTTTAAGAGTATGAAGGCTCATTGAAATAATTTGAGTCTGCACACTGCAGTTTGGGAACCTGCCACCTGTCAAATTTGGTATAGTATGAAAGAAGAATACAATGATATGAAATGGTTATTGAAATACTTCTCTTTTTTTCACCTATACATTTGTGGAAGGACAGATTTTTTAATATATAGCCATGTGCCACATAATGATGCTTTATGGACTGCATATAAAACTTATGGTTTCTTAAGATTATAATGAAGATGAAAAATTCCTATTGCCTAGTGATATCATAGGTATTATAATGTTTGTAGTGCAATGCATTACCTTTTCCATGTTTAGATACAAAAATACTTACCACTGTGTTCGAGTTGTCCATAGTATTCAGTATAATAACATGCTATACAGGTTTGTAGCCTAAGAGCAATAGGTTATACCATATAGTGTAGGTGTGTAGTAGGCTATACCATTTAGGTTTGTGGAAGTACACTCCATGATGTTCATACAATGACAAAATCAACTAAGAATATATTTCTCAGCACATGTCCTCTTCGTTGAGCAACATACGTCTGTACTTCAACCGAAACAATGTGTCTCAACAGATTGAATGCAGAAACGTTTTCTATGAGGATAGACATTAAGTTTGCAAAATGTAAAACAATGCTTCCTTTCTAACTAATTTTTGGAAAATGTAGCTATTTATTTTATATATATATATAAAATGGGCTTATGTTATTGGTAAATAAATTAGTATGTATTTTTAAAATTTCTGAGTTTTAATTTCCAAAATGGAGATGGAGAATATATGTGGATATAACCCACACAAACAAAAGGCCTTTTAGAGACCTCAGGTAAAGAAATGTGGAGACCTAAAAGTTTGAGAATTGTGGAACTGGGTCAATTAAGTAGATGGTGATACATGTAGAAATAAAAAAAAGATTGGAGGAAAAGTAAGTTTTGTAGTGCATGAGAGGTGGAATGCTTTATTCTGGTGGAAACACCAAGTGGACAGTTGGATGTAGGCGTTTATAGTTCAGAGCTCAGGATAGATACCTGCAGTGAAGATACAAATTTCAGAGTAATCATATAACAGTAGTAGTCAAGGTCATGATCCTGGCCAGACATGGTGGCTCACGCCTGAAATCTCAGCACTTTGGGAGGCTGAGGTGGGAGGATCACTTGAGCCTAGGAGTACAAGACTAGCCTGGACCACATAGTGAGACCCCATCTCTACAAAAAATAAAAATTAAAAAATTATAAAAAAATTTAAAGGACATCATTCTGGATGACTTGAGAAGCGTGTAGGTTACAAAAAAAAAAAAAAATTCAGGTCTTGGAGCACTCCAGCATATATATAAGTTAAATAGAAAAGGGAACTTAGAATAGCTAGGAGAGGAACCAGGACAATGGAACACTTCAGGAAAGTGGGTTAGTTGTGTTGAAAGCTGGTGGGGGATGAGTAAGAGGACCCTCATGATGGCTCTCGTCATCTCTTGTCTGTATTGGTGCAGTAGCCTGTTAACTGGCTTTCTTGCTTGTGGTTGTGCCCCTCTGTCCTATTGCTAAAAAGATTGTCTTTCAAAGATAGTGAACTTCTCTCTCTCTCAGCTACTTAAAACCTAACAATACCTCTCTCATATCAAATGGATATCATAATTTTTTTCCATGAACTGACACTTGTCTATTTTTAGATTAATCTTTTGCTACTAACTCCCCACCCACCGTCTCCCACAACTCACCAACTTTAGTTTGAAATTACTTATAAAGTGGTGTGTACTATACTTTTTACTGTTTTGATGTGTTCTTTCCTCTTCTCAGAATTCCTCTCTTCCTTAGCTCATCTTTTCCTATTCATGATTTAAAACCCAATTCAGGCAGCACCTTCTTTGGGGAGTTTTTTTTGTTTTGCTCGAAGATTGGTTGCCAGATTTGTTGAATGTGATGATAGTTTTTTCATCATTGATTTTATACTTAATTTGTAGCAATAATTACTTGATTTTTCTTGACATGCGTACATGCATTCATTCATTAAATAAATATTCCTTCAGCCACCTATTTTGTACCAGGTATTGACGTAAGCACTGGTGATACAGCTGTGGATGACACAAATGTGTCCCTGAAACATGGAACTTACAATCTGGAACATTGAATACATATTAAAATATTTTATATATTAAAATATATTTTTGTTTCATTTTATGAAAGGATTAGTGGTACGAGATACACTATTTGGTGTTCTGAGGGCATGATAAGTAATGGTGTTAAATCAATATGTAAACACTGACATATTCTATAATAACATTAAGAACCCACTGAAGTCTGGGCGTGATGGCTCACCCCTGTAATCCCAGCACTTTGGGAGGCCAAGGCGGGTGGATCACCTGAGGTCAGGAGTTCCAGACCAGCCTGACCAACATGGTAAAACCCTATCTCTACTAAAAATACAAAATTTAGCTGGGCGTGGTGGCACACACCTGTAATCCTAGCTACTCAAGAGGTTGAGGCAGGAGAATGACTTGAACCCAGGAGGCAGAGGTTGCAGTGAGCCGAGATCACACCGCTGCATTCCAGCCTGGGCGACACAGCGATATTGCGTCTCAAAAAAAAAAAAACCCACTTACACATGGAATTATGTTAAATATATTATGCAAATAATTTTTATTCATCGTACTTACTGTAATATGTATATGTTTTCATCCACAGTTCCTGCCTCATAACTCCCATAATGCTTGTTATAGCCTTTTGCTCTAATATTGGGGTGCCTCAGGGCTCAGAAGGAGTCCTTCTAACAATCTCTCTCTGTGAACTTCTCCTGCCCTTTCACCTCCTTCTTTCTCTCCTGAAGGCAGAAGTCTTCCCCTACCTTTCTGTCTTGGAGATGGCCATAAAGAAATTCTCTGACCTGCTTTGTCTGATTGTAGATCTTTTTTTTTTCATTATACTTTAAGTTTTAGGGTACATATACACAACGTGCAGGTTAGTTACATATGTATACATGTGCCATGTTGGTGTGCTGCACCCATTAACTTGTCATTTAACATTAGGTATATCTCCTAATGCTATTCCTCCCCCGCTCCCCCACCCCACAACAGGCCCCAGTGTGTGATGTTCCCCTTCCTGTGTCCATGTGTTCTCATTGTTCAATTCCCACCTATGAGTGAGAACATGCAGTGTTTGGTTTTTTGTCCTTGCGATAGTTTGCTGAGAATGATGGTTTCCAGCTTCATCCGTGTCCCTACAAAGGACATGAACTCATCCTTTTTTACGGCTGCATAGTATTTCATGGTGTATATGTGCCACATTTTCTTAATCCAGTCTATCATTGTTGGGCATTTGGGTTGGTTCCAAGTCTTTGCTATTGTGAATAGTGCTGCTATAAACATACGTGTGCATGTGTCTTCATAGCAGCATGATTTATAATCCTTTGGGTATATACCCAGTAATGGGATGGCTGGGTCAAATGGCATTTCTAGTTCTAGATCCCTGAGGAATCGCCACACTGACTTCCACAATGGTTGAACTAGTTTACAGTCCCACCAACAGTGTAAAAGTGTTCCTATTTCTCCACATCCTCTCCAGCACCTGTTGTTTCCTGGCTTTTTAATGATCGCCATTCTAACTGGTGTGAGATGGTATTTCATTGTGGTTTTGATTTGCATTTCTGTGATGGCTAGTGATGATGAGAATTTTTTCATGTGTTTTTTGGCTGCATAAATGTCTTCTTTTGAGAAGTGTCTGTTCATATCCTTCGCCCACTTTTGATGGGGTTGTTTGTTTTTTTCTTGTAAATTTGTTTGAGTTTATTGTAGATTCTGGATATTAGCCCTTTGTCAGATGAATATATTGCAAAAATTTTCTCCCATTCTGTAGGCTGCCTGTTCACTCTGATGGTAGTTTCTTTTGCTGTGCAGAAGCTCTTTAGTTGAATTAGATCCCATTTGTCAATTTTGGCTTTTGTTGCCATTGCTTTTGGTGTTTTAGACATGAAGTCCTTGCCCATGCCTATGTCCTGAATGGTATTGCCTAGGTTTTCTTCTAGGGTTTTTATGGTTTCAGGTCTAACATTTAAGTCTTTAATCCATCTTGAATTAATTTTTGTATAAGGTGTAAGGAAGGGATCCAGTTGCAGCTTTCTACCTACTGCTAGCCAGTTTTCCCAGCACCATTTATTAAATAGGGAATTGTTTCCCCATTTCTTGTTTTTGTCAGGTTTTCAAAGATCAGATGGTTGTAGATATGCAGCATTATTTCTGAGGGCTCTGTTCTGTTCCATTGGTCTATATCTCTGTTTTGGTACCAGTACCATGCTGTTTTGGTTACTGTAGCCTTGTAGTATAGTTTGAAGTCAGGTAGTGTGATGCCTCCAGTTTTGTTCTTTTGGCTCAGGACTGACTTGGCAATGCAGGCTCTTTTTTGGTTCCATGTGAACTTTAAAGTAGTTTTTTCCAATTATGTGAAGAAAGTCATTGGTAGCTTGATGGGGATGGCATTGAATCTATAAATTACCTTGGGCAGTATGGCCATTTTCACGATATTGATTCTTCCTACCCATGAGCATGGAATGTTCTTCCATTTCTTTGTATCCTCTTTTATTTCATTGAACAGTGGTTTGTAGTTCTCCTTGAAGAGGTCCTTCACGTCCCTTGTAAGTTGGATTCCTAGGTATTTTATTCTCTTTGAAGCAATTGTGAATGGGAGTTCACTCATGATTTGGCTCTCTGTTTGTCTGTTATTGGTGTATAAGAATGCTTATGATTTTTGCACATTGATTTTGTATCCTGAGACTTTGCTGAAGTTGCCTATCAGCTTAAGGAGATTTTGGGCTGAGACAATGGGGTTTCTAGATATACAATCATGTCATCTGCAAACAGGGACAATTTGACTTCCTCTTTTCCTAATTAAATATCCTTTATTTCTTTCTCCTGCCTGATTGCCCTGGCCAGAACTTCTAACACTATGTGGAATAGGAGTGGTGAGAGAGGGCATCCCTGTCTTGTGCCCGTTTTCAAAGGGAATGCTTCCAGTTTTTGCCCATTCAGTATGATTGAAGGTCTTAACACCATTTCAGAAGGCGTTCTGCCCCATACTCTGGGGAAAGGAATGCTGCACAAAGAGGCCAAGAAGAAGCTGAACAGACAGGCCTGGCTGGGTTTTCCCACTCAGTCTGTTAGTATTTGATCATATCTTTTTTGTCCAGTCACATTTCTGTATGGTTGTCAGTCATGCCTAGCCAATGAAATCTCCACAAAAGGCCCAAGTGGCCAGGTTCAGGGTGCTTCTGGATAGCTGAACACATTGGAGGTTCCTGGAGTGTGGTGTTTCTGGGGAGGGCATGGAAGCTCTGCAACCCTTCCCTCATACTTGCCCCATGCATCTCTCTATCCTTATGCTTTGTAATATTCTTTATAATAGACTGGTAAACGTATTTCCCCTCCTGAGGTCTGTGAGCCGCTCTGGCAAATAAATCAAACCCAGAGAGGGGGTCAGGGGAACCCCAACTTGACGTGGGTTGGTCAGAAATTCCAGAGGCTCGGACTGTGACTGGTGGAAAGGGGGCGGTGGTCTTGTGGGACTGAGCCCTTAACCTGTGGGATCTGTTGCTATCTCCAGGAAGATAGTGTTGGAATTGAATTGGAGGAAACCCAGCTGGTGTCCACTGCAGAACTGATTATTTGCTTGATGTGTGGAGAGAAACCTTTACACATTTGGTCACAGAAGTCTTATTGTGATTGTTGTATGAAAGCAGAGGAAAAACACAGTTTGTGGCTTTTTTCACTCTTTTTAAGTTTACATTCAATATGAGAAATTTATTCAGAATTTTATATCTGAGCAGAGTCTCCTTGACCTTCTTTATGGGATACTGTAGAAATGAGTTCTTTATGTAGATTTTTAGAGTAAAACACTTTAAGTTTCTTTGAGTTTTATGTTTCTTTTTTCATTGTTTTATTTGCTTAGACATTGTCACGTATCAGTAGCTATAGCAAAACCACTTTATTATAACCTAGTACAGAATTTCTCAAAATGTCTTCTTTGGATCAGTCAGACTGTGGGATATTTTAAAATGTCACACAAAGAAAGCAAAGCAAAGAAACGAAACTTAAGAAACTTTTACTAATTGCAGGCCTGCTTGGATCTTTTACTGTGCTATTCACTATGACTCTTCAAGAGAGATTCATATAAAAAATGTTATTTCATAGGGGTCTTTGACCAGGAAACTTTTTCTTTTCTTTACGGAATATCTTGTGAAACTGTCTGTGGGACACCGGGTATGAAATGTTGATTTTAATATTGGATTTCATGCTAAAAGGTATTTGGATTCACTTCTAGGATTATCCTTCATCCTCCTCCCGACCTTGAATCCAATACTGCATAAACATGATTATTTATCATGACCAAGTGGGGTTCATCCCACAAATGAATATTGCTTTAATATTCAAAATTGAATCAATATAATTCAACATTTTAACAGATTAAAAAAGAAAAAACATGTAATCATTTCAAGATACACAAATTTTTTAATAAAAATCTAACATCTATTCTTTGTAAAAACTTCCAGCAAACAATAGAAGGGAATTATCAACCTGATAAATCAGGGCATCTATAAAAAATGTATAGCTAACATAATACTTATTGGTGACAGATTTAATACGTTTTTCCTAAGATTAGGAAAAAGGAAAGGATGTCTGCTCTCTACTTCTATTCATTGTACTGGATGTTCTATCTATTGTAGTAAGGCAAAAAAACTACAGAAAAGCTACTTGGACTAATAAGGAAGTTTAGGAATTTTGCAAGATACAGGGTCAATATACAAAAAACGTTTTATTCCTATATACTAACAATCAGAAAATTGAATTAAAAAACCCCACCATTTACAGTAGTATCAAAAAATATAAAACACTTAGGAAATAATCTGAAAAAAGATGTGAAAGACCAGTATAATGAAACTGGAAGCCATTATTGAAAGAAACTTAAATGAGATAGTCTGTGTTCATGGGTTTGAAGACCCCATATTATTAAGATGTCAATTCTCCCCAAATTGATCTTTAAGGTCAACGTAATCCCAATCAAAATCCCAGCAGTGTTTTTTTAGAAAATCGAAATAGGCTGATCGATTTTACAATTCGTATTAAAATCAGACACGTAATTAAGTAAATATCAAGACTTTATAATAAGCTATAGTAATTAATACTGTAGTTTTATATAGAGTAGTAATAGTACAGTGTAGTAGGTACACTGTAGGGCAGTAGTACACTGTATAGTGTACTATTGTTGTTAGTGCAAATAAATAGCCAGTGCAACAGCAAGGAAAGTGCAGATACCTATATGTGTGTGTGTATATACGTGTATGTGTGTGTGTATATATATATATATATATATATATATATATATATAAAAACACATGATCATTTGGTATATGACAAAGATGACCATAGCAGCAGTGCAGTGTGGTAAAGGATAATTTTTTCAATATATCATTTGAGGTCAGTTGGATATCCATAAAGAAAAACAAAGATTGACTTTGCCTTATATCATAAAAAAACTTAATTCCAGATGGTTTGTAGATCTAAATATTAAAGGTTAAAAAATAAAGCTTACATTAGAAAATAATATGAGCACTTAGAGTAGAAAAATAATTCATACATAGTACACAAAGCATTAATCATAAAGAAAAAGTTTAAATACTTAGACCACATTAAAATTATGAATTTCTATTCATTAGTTCATGGAAAGATACCATTGGGAAGGTTTTAGAAAGACAAGTCACAGGGTAGAGGAAGAAATTTGTAATACAAATGAACCATGCCCAGAATATTTGTATTGGTTTTTAAAGAGTATGATGAAGTGAAGATGTGTTTTAGTTGTTCCATCAGTTAATCCCATTTAAAAGGGAAGCTAGTTTTTTGAGTCTTAGATTTTGGTCATAAAATAATATTTATAGAGAACCTAGAAACACGTGGTGTTGAGTAGAATCAGTGCAAATGTAGTTCCTGGAGTGTAAGGGCTGTGTGTCATTAAATATTTCAATTTTTGAGTCTTGTGCAATGCCTGACATGCAATTACCTTCAGCCTATGTATACTGAATTAATGGATGAAATGCTTTATAATTACAAAGTATGCGTAAAAGAGTAGACACTCATATGACGACTGGCCTTTTAAGTTTAAATTTAAAAAATCACAGTAAGCAGTTGGATAAAAGAAAGTACTAACATTTTTAGACTATAAAGATAAGGTGCATTTTAGGGATGTAAAACATTGAGCATAATTTTAGGGAGCTTACTCTGTTACTTAGCTTCTCATAGTGGCAGGGTAGAGGAAAGTATCTTTGATCTAAAAGGCAGAATGCAGAAGAAGGAATTTCATCTCAGGAAACAGGATTTTCTAAGCAAATAATGCTTTTGGAGAAGTGGAAATGGTTGAGACAGTGAATATTTGTGGGAGCTAACTAGAGCTTGGATTTAGCAAATGGCAAAAGAGTGTGGTATATCTCAGTGAATTTTTGAAGCATCAAGTAAATCTCTAGCATTTGAATGCATGTGTCGGTGTATGATGAATGATGTGAATTGGTAATGATTACATTATTTAAATTTCAACTTTACATTTTTGCAGAGTTCTAAAGTTCCTGTTGCTTCAGACAATGGATGAGCAATCACAAGGAATGCAAGGGCCACCTGTTCCTCAGTTCCAACCACAGGTAATTTATCCTAATTAAGATGGGCAGAACTATATATAATCTGTGTTAAATATGTGTAAGAAAGTAGTACATTTACAGTTCCTTTAGGAAATAAAGTAGCACAAAAGTGCTAATTTTGAATTTCCAAGTTTTAATCAGCATTTTTTTTTTTTTTGCTTTGTTTTTCAGTTTTGTTTATGGCTTTTGGTATAATTGTTTTAGGTGTAATTAGTACACTTTTTAGATATAATTATTTATGTGTAATATATTATTTATTTTAATTGATACAGTACAATTGCACATATTTTTAGGGTGCAGTTTGCCATTTTGATAGAAATATTTATTTTAAAATATTGTTTGATAATGCTTAGTTCCCATTTACAAACATGAAAACAAAAAGGCAGCTTTAGCTTTTAACTTTATTTGAATGACCTGTAAGCTCTGAGCGTTAGTATTAGGTTTAGGGAAGGAAGAGGAAAAAAAAAAAAAGGTGAGACTGTGCCTAAGCTTGGGAGTGCCAGTACATTTTGTACCTGCCCCTGCTTTAGTGAGCTGATCTTGCCTTGCCCACAGCTGCCTTCCATGATGGTGACTTTTCTCTCCCTATCACTTGTAGTGTATTTCTCCTGTGATATATTTGCTTGTTTCTTGTATTTAATAACATAAAATGAAATAAAAAAATCTTTTAGTAAAAAATGTACACATATTCATTATTTAGCATCCTGCATTCAGTATGAATACTTGTCATAAAGCTAACGTGTAATGACATGTTTAAAATAACAGTTGCCACCCCATGTCAGGGCAATACCTCATTTTTATTGCTGTTGTTCCTGAAGACT
The DNA here is from genome assembly GCF_000001405.40 of Homo sapiens. Taxonomy (NCBI): domain Eukaryota; kingdom Metazoa; phylum Chordata; class Mammalia; order Primates; family Hominidae; genus Homo; species Homo sapiens. Next base: position 198,233,456 of record NC_000001.11, read on the forward strand.
ATATTTCTCAGCTTGGTGTTTGAGGCATTCTACAATATGTCTCATGTATACTCTGCTAACCTTGTCCCAATTTTGTTTGGACGGTATTTCTGAAAACATGCCTTTGGGCTACTGATAAGTGTTCTTTCACAAGAGTTCTATAGTCAAATAGGTTTGAGAGACTTGGGGAAAACAGTGACTTTGTGGCAGTACTTCCTCAGAGCCTTTCCTACACTAGTGTGCATTGTGAATGAATTTCAAAGAGTGGTATAGGCTGTAGTGTTTTCCAAACTTATTTGTCTATGGGATCCTTTTTTTTTTTTTTTTTTTTAGTGCATCTATTGACTTCTCATGGAAGCACTGTTTAGAGAATAACCGTCTACAAAAAACGATCTTTTCTGCTTGTATGACTTTGCTGATTTTGATTTTGTACCCTCCATCTTCCCCTCCAATTTTCTAAATCCTGCCCATCCTTTAAGGACCAACAACAAAGCCGTCTCTACCATAAAGCTTTGTCTGATCCTCTGAAAGCAGTCTTTCCTTGGAAATGTGGCGGTATCTTCTTTGCATCTCTCTTCTGGTATTCTGATACTTTGGTGTCATTTTTATCTCTCTTATTAGGTTAAAATCTCCTTGAGGGAAAGGACTGTGTCTTATTTACCTTGGATGCCCTCTGGTACTTCAATTTCTCACCTGTAGCAGGGGCTCAATAAGAATATGTAATTGAAACCAACCAGGGACTCAATGAAATGAGTCCTTTACTTAATTGCACTATTACATTGCTTTTCTTTGTTATACCTGTCTGAATTGTCTATATTGAGTAAAAAGACCCTTTAGCTTAAAGTAAGGCCAATATTTTGATTTCAAGAAGAATTTTTTTTTTTAAGTCCCCATATATATTTATGTTATGATCATAAATTATCAAGATTATAATAAACAAACATATCTATTAAACATAGACCTCTTAGGACTCATTTTACACACATACACAAACATTATTGTTTCATATTATTTCCAGCAAAGGCAATAAAAGAACACTTTTAAAAATTAGGTAGTTCATGTTATGATTTTGAGATTCACAGTTTTAAACAACCTTGTGTTTCAAAGAGGAAAAAAAGTAAGCACTTTCATTTTTGCCTCCTACTGACTCACCAACCAGGAAAGGTCGGAGTGGCAGTAGGAAGGAAAAATAAAAGTGATTGTTTTCCTGTGAGACACTGGGCTGCCCCACAGTATAAATTTCAAAATTATAGCAGCGATTCTGCATTTCTTTTTACACTGTTCCTTTCGTTTATGCCTCCTGCTGCTGCTCCTGTGTGGGTGGACTTCTTTCCCTGTTGGAAACAGGCAAGTGTCGTCCCAGGTTCTAGCTGCCTTGTGGCAGGTGGGGGAAGGGAGAAGGATTTTTTTCCCCTCCTCTCTGCATTCACACTGATGGTGTGAGACAGTGTAAGAAAGATTACCTGACAAGAGCTTATAGGCATTATTGCTTATTAAGTCTTTGAAAAACGTTACTGCTCTCAGTAGCATTATTTTAGAAGACTGGGAAAGGACAGCCTCTGCTCAGCTTTGACAACCTTTTTTTTGTTTTGTTCCACACCACTGGCCTGAATAATGGGGATGATATGGCAACATCTGGTTAGCCCAGTGACTTCTTTCACTTTTGTAATAGAAGTCTGGGCATAAACAGAAAACTAAGGATGTCAAGTTTCTGAGTGTCAAATACCAATTCCCTGTTATAATGATAAGTGATGTATATTGTTGGCATATCCATTCTTTTTCTTGTTTCAAAATGAATACTCTCACCCCATAATGTATAATATGTGGTCTCATTTTTGGTACAGTGTAAGTTCCTTTTGTTTTGTTTTAGAATGTGAGATTTATGTTTCTTTATTAATGTATTTTGAAATTTTTTCTATCAGCTCCACTCCTTCCCACCCTCCCTTCTTTTCCCCCTTTCTTCCTTTCTTGATTCTTTCCACTAACATCTAGAAGGTACTGAAAGGATATTTTGACTAGATTCTTGTTCTGTATATTTTCATTGCCTTTGGACTCTTGTTTTTGGAACAGTGGATTTAGCTTTTTAAAAATAAAAATAAAAATTCAAACTGTATAAAGATGGTGGTTGGGAAATAGTAAAATTTTTACTCTTTACTGTAAGACTAATTTTAAACAATGGAAGTTTACAATTAACATTTTGTGAGTATTTTGATTTATGGTTATTGGGTGAAGATGGCTATGGTAGAGTCACATTTTTTTCCAAAAAGTTAATTATAAACCAATTATAATCAGAGTACAATTTTAAGAATTTTTGCGAGTTATTAGAAGGAGGATTAATTTTCATTGTGATATGATCAGAGGCCTAGGTTATTTTTTTTTAATTTGAAGATAGTGTAATATTTTGGCTACTTATGAAAGAGAAAAGACATGTCACTCAGATCTGTGGGTAGAAAAAACAGATATTCCTTATTCTTACAGTGTGGAAAGTATGAAAATCTTATCTTGGAGTCTTGCAACTTAACCAGTAAGGTAGACTGACCATTCCTTTAAGCTTCATGGCAGTTCAGACTGTAATCCATTTACTATTTTGCATCTCTGTGGAGTGACTGTGGAGGGATGAAATAAAGTTTACCTTGAGTAGCATGTTCAGGGTAGTAATCAGGGTTCATTGTAGGCCAGCCAGAAAGTATCCCTCTCTATTGAGTGGGTATGAATTTTAGACTTGATAACTATATTACCTTCTTTTTTCTCTAGTTTATCTTCTGGAGTTACTTTCTTTGTGAAGTAAGTGTCATTTAACTTGTTTCTTTTGATAAACTGATTTTGCCAAGGTGTTTGTCATAGGCATTGAGTAGAGTGCTTCTATTTTTGGAAGTCTTTACAGAAATTTAGATGTTTCATTCTCCTAGTAACAGTTTCCTTCATTGAATAACTTTATTGATGGTACAGAAAGAGCAGTAGCTTTTTTGAGGAAAGAAGACTCTTGCTATAGGTTAAATTTATGGCCATGAAACTCAAAGCCTAATGCTGCTCAGCAATCATCCTTAGCGCATCCACTCCCTACTTTCCTGGCTCCAAACTCTCCCACTTTGTATATTTTCTGTCCTCAAACCCATAACATGTCCTTTCCTCATCCTAGCTCTAAGCTGATGCCCTTGCTCCTATTTTACTGAAGAAACTGAAGCAGTCAGAAGAGAACCTCCACAGACTCCTACCGTAGTTATCCTCCTCCCAGAATCTGTATTCACTTCATCTGCCTTTTCTGTTGTTACCAGATGAACTATCCACACTGCTCTCAAAGGCCAACCCTCCCATGTGCACCCCCTCTACTGGGTCCGTGCTACTATGCTATTACTTCTCCCATCTAAACAACAAAATGAAACAAAAGAAAACCCCTTAAACAGTCTAAGTTACTCTTCCTTCGAGTTGTTAACCTATTTCTCCGCTCCCTTTTATAGCAAAGTTCCCAGAAAGGTTTTTCTGTAATTCAGTCTCCCATTTCTCCTTTCTCTCTAAAATCTACTCTAATTAAGCTCTCTACCACACTGTGCCACCTAAGCTGCTCCTGTCAAGTTACAGTTACCTCTCCTGCTCCATCCAGTCCAGTTTTCAGGCCTCATTTTACTTAGCAGCTGCATTTGATAGAGTTGATTATGCTGTCTTCTTTGAAACCTATTCTTCACTTGGCTTCCAGGAATCTTATTGTTCTCTTGTCTTAATGGTCCCTCTATTGATTTCTTCTCACCTTCTGAGAAGGTGACACTTAACAGTGGAGTGCCCCAAGGCTCAGTTCCTTAGACCTCTTTTCTATCTATATCCCTTACTTAGTGTTCTCTTCCAGTCTCATGATTCTATGCTGGTGACTCTTTGTATCTCAACCTGGACCTCTGCCCCGAATTCCAAACTCATGTATCCATTTGCCTACTTGGCATCAAATTTTCATGTTTCAACCCTAATGCTGCCCAAACTGAATTCTAAATATTTCCCTCCAGACTGACAGCCCACCATCTTCTCCTTCTCAGTGGCAAGTCTATCCTTCCAGTTGCTGAGGTTAAAACTCTTAGAGCCATTCCTAACTTCCTCCTATTTCTCTGGTCTCATACTTAATGTTAGCAGATACCAGAGGCCGAATCTTTAAAATATATTTAGAATTTGAGCACTTCTTTTCTTCTCCACTGCTGCTACTCTGAAGTTACTTAATCTTTCACCTATTTTATTGCAGTATCTTCCTAATTGATCTCTTTGCTTTCATCCTCGCTCCTTTCCCCTTTAATCTATTCCCAATACAGCAATATTTCAGTCAGTCACGTCTGTTTAAAGCCTTTCAGTAGTTTCCCATTGGCTTGCTCATTCATATTCTTCAAGTATATATTTTAATATCACCTTCTCGATCACTCAATGAAAATGGAATCTTCCCACTCACACAGTATGTCAACCCTGCAATATTTTTCTCCATAGAATGTATCACCTTATCACTTATTTTGTTCATTGTTTTTCTTCTCTTAGGGTATAAGCTCTCTCCCTAGTCCCAGAGTGGTACACATAGTAGGCATTCAATAAATATTTGTTGAGTGAATACAAACTTGGTTTCAAATCAACCTGTCCACTTTCTTTATGAGCCCTGCTTTTAAAATGAACATGAAAATACATAAATATCTTCAGAATTTGTCTTTCATTATGCATGTAACCACCTACATTCTCCCTTTCTTATTGAAGTTTTAATTTTTCCCCACCTCCTTGCTTCAGTTGGAACACACTTCTCCCCCCCAGGACACTGCTTCCCCTGTAACCCTCTCAAGTGGAGGCTACTTATTCTCCCTTGCCCACATACATAGGATCAGGAGGTCGGAACCACAAACTTCTCCATCCACAATGCCTCTTCTAGAACACTACTTCTCCTTTTTCAGAGGGGCAAGGGGCGGGGTGGGGTGAGGAACCACAGCTTTGAGGCTTATTCCATTCAACTAAAGGACTTATACCTTCCTTATTGCAGTCATCTTCTGACCTCCTCATTACCTCTCACATGAATTGAAAATTTAACCCCTGACCCACTCTCTTGCCACCTTCATTCTGGACAGTAGTACTGCTGCTACCATCAGTGTTTACTGATTATTGTGCTCTTAAAATGTACCTACCCCATTACCCCATGCTTACCATTTCAGATAACATTGCCTCATTTAATCCTAACATAAACCATATAAGGCATTCTTTTTTACACATTACAAATGAGGAGACTGAGGCTCCGACTAATTAACTAACTTGTCCATCGTCACATAGCTAGTAAGTAGTGAAGCTGGGATTTGACCCAGGTCTGTTTGACTCCAAGCCAATTAGTTTTTAGCTTTCACAGAGAAATCTCAAACATTCCTTGAACAGTCTTATCTCCTCAATTACTGACTCTTGATATTCTTATAGGTACCTCATACTTACAGTTTTCAAGATGAAATTTATCGTATTCTGTTCAAGGTTACACTTTTGCTTGTGATTAGTACTTATCTAGAGTTGCCCAACCTAGAAACAAGGGAGTCTTATACTCATGTTTAGGCATTTTCAGTGTTCTCTTGATTTTGCCGCTTAAGTAGCTGTTGAATCTGCGAATTCCCTATGTCCTGGCTATAACTCCTCTAGTTTAGAATATTGTCATTTGATGCCTGGATTATTGCAGCAGGTTTGTAACTGGTCTTCTTTCCTCTCATTTTACCATTTCTAGTTCATTCTCTACATTGCAGCAAGAGTTGTCTTTCTAAAGTATACATTTTATTATATTCCTCGCCTTATTTCTTCTGAATTCTTATTACTTTTAAGATGAATTTTACATTGCTTTATATAACTTCAGAGATCTTTATCATCTGGTCTCCTTTGATTCCTCTAGCTGCATTTTGTGCCATTTCGAATTTTGGACTCAGATTCAGCCATTTGTTGATTATAACCATGCTTTTTTCATCTCCAAGGTGGTAATGTGATGGATTTAGGTGATATTCAAGGAGATTCAGTCAATAATGAGACATAATGAACATACAGAATCATTACAATATATATTGCCTATAAAAGTGGTTTTATGACAGAGATCCTAAGAAAAATATTTTAGTAACAGAAATATATACTTTGGAAGACAATAATGAGATTACTTTGAGAAACATTATATGGGTGACTATATTAGCATGCTTCTAATAATATGCTTTGTGAGTATTGTTTACTTTTGTATATCATATTTTATATCAGTGAATACTAGATAAAGGGTAATCAGCAAATGTTTTTTGAATGGATAATCTCTAACTGAAAGTTAATTTCTACTTTTTCCACTAAATATTGATTAGTTAACTGTACAGTCCCGAGTCACCTAACATCAGGGATTCATTCTGAGAACTGCATTGTCAGGCAAGTTCTTTGTTTTGCAAACACCATAGAGTGCACTTCCACAAACCCCGACAGGATAGCCTACTACACACCTAGGCTATATTGTACAGTCTGTTGCTCCTAGTCTACAAAGCTGCACAGTGTGTTACTATACTGTAGGCAGTTGTAACACAATGATAAGTATTTATGTACCTAATCATATCTAAACCTAGAAAAAGTACAGTAAAAATATGGTTTTGTAATCTTATGGCCAGACATTCCTATACTGCCTGGTGTTGGCTGAAATGTCATTAGATGGCGCATGACTGTATTATTCTTATAGTATGTAGATTTCAGTTATTCTAGAGTTATTTTAGAAAATGACTGTGTGACAATATTGAATACTAAGAAAACTGTCAAATTGGGGAATGACTTCAAAATATTTAAAGTGCGTTTGAGTTGTCTTTAAATTTAGATTCATCACACTTACATACTTACGAGTGAGAGTACCTCATATTTTAAGGGAAATGCTTGAGAAATTTACATGATTTTTGAAAAGAATGAGAACACAGTAAGAATTCTCTTGCCTGCTGCTTTCTTGGAAATTTCTATTTGAACAGTCTGTTCAGAGCGATGGGGCAAAGATGAGGATGAGGCTGATTAATCAAAATAGTCTTCCGTCTTCCAACTTTATTTGAAACAGTTTAAGACAGAGTGAGACTCCGTCTCAAAAAAAAAAAAAAAGAAATATGCTTTAATAACCACAATGATGAGATCATTGTTTTTTTGAAGGTGAATTTGATATTTGGAAATATCTTAAAATTCTTTAGACCCAAGTGTTTACTTGGTTTTGAATAAAGTACATAGTCTTGGTATTCTTTTTTTTGACCAAAATGAGATATATTCTTAAACCAATAATTTTTTTGTTGTTGTTCTTGAGACGGAGTCCTGCTCTGTCACCTAGGCTGGAGTGCAAGTGCAGTGGCACGATCTCGGCTCACTGCAACCTTTGCCACCTGGGTTTAAGCGATTCTCCTGCCTCAGCCTCCTGAGTAGCTGGGATTACAGGTGTGTGCCGCACACCTGGCTAATTTTTGTATTTTTAGTACAGATGGGGTTTCAGCATCTTGACCAGGCTGGTCTTGAACTCCTAACCTTGTGATCCACCCGCCTTGGCCTCCCAAAGCACTGGGATTACAGGCGTGAGCCACCACTCCCGGCCAAGACCAATAATTTTTATACAATTCACATGCTATCTCTGATTACCATTCTAAAGAAGAAGTTTCAGACATGTTTTCAGTAGTGGAAGCCTTCCTGGTGTAAAACCATAGCCTCCCATGGTAGCTGTTTTGAAGAGCAATGTTGAATGTATACATTCTAATCTGTTTGTTAGAGGTCAGTGGTATTTACATTTAGGATACCTGTATATTTTGTCTTCCTTTATATTGTTACTATGTGAATATTACGATCTTGTCATATGATTCTTATGTTTCACATAGCTTTCTCACTAAATATTCATAAAACAAACACAAATTTCAAAATTTGATGTTTTTCTTGTCACATTCATATAGAATACATTTAATCATGTCTTCTTTTCCTTTAGTAAATTTCATTCAGTGTTGGGGCACAAGTAAATAGAGGAGGAGGAGTTTCTAGTACAGTTATGATAGGTGTCCCTTAGGGGGTCAGGGGAGTACCTGGAATTAATTTAATTTTAGAACCAATAAATGGAATGATAAATCAGATTACCTGGAGTGAGTGAGCAAAAATTAGAAAAGAATGCTGAGGATGATACCCTGTGGTGTACCAGCATTTATGGAGAGGAATATATAGCGGACCTGGAAGGAAACAGAAGGACATAGCTTAGCATGGTGGGTTAGAGCATGAGCTCTGAAGTCATATTGGCTGGGATCAGTTCTTAGTCCCTCACTTCCTAGCTGTGTGATGGTGAGGGGAAGTTGTTTAGCATCTGTAAACCTCAGTTTTCTTATTAGTAAATGAGATGAATCAAGTTTTTACCTCATCAAGTTGATATGGAGCTTTCAGTATGATGCTTGACACATAGTTAGCATTCATTAAATGTTAGCAAAAATGATGATGATGACTGCAATGACAACAAGCTGCCAATAATTGTCTTGGCCCACATTTCTCTACCCATTGTTTTCTTCCATATCGTATCTTTTATTACATCTTTATTACCTATTTTCTGCCTAGATGGCTTCTCCTTTAGCCTTGTTTTTACCAGTAAATGGCAGCACTATTCATCTGTGTGCTTCAGCCAAAAATCTCAATCATCCTTGATTTCTCTCTCTCCCTCACTCCTCATATTCAATTAATTGGCAAGTTTTTGACTCCATCTCAAATTATATTCTTATTACATCTACTGTCCTCATCTCTCTAACTCCTCAGGCCACACCTACTACCTCCTGTCCAGTCTCCCTGCTTCCATTCTTGCTCTACTCATCCTCCTTCCCAGTTCTCCATGCAGCATCATGAGTTATTTTTGTAAAATGTGTATCAGAACACAGTATGGTGCTACCTTGCTGAAAACCCAGACCCCCTTACTCCTTACTCTTGCTGTCAAAGTGTAATATGATTTTCTCAGTGCTTACCTCTTTTTCTTTCTTTTTCTTTTTTTTTTTTTTGAGATAAGGTCTCACTCTGACACCCAGGCTGAAATGCCGTGGCGTGATCTCAGCTCACTTTTTTTTTTTTTTTTTGAGACAGAGTTTCGCTCTGTTGCCCAGGCTGGAGTGCAGTGGCTCACTGCAAGCTCCACCTCCCGGGTTCAGGCCATTCTCCTGCCTCAGCCTCCCGAGTAGCTGTGACCACAGGCGTGCGCTACTACACCCTGCTAGTTTTTTTGTATTTTTAGTACGGACGGGGTTTCACTGTGTTAGCCAGGATGGTCTCGATCTCCTGACCTCGTGATCCACCCGCCTCGGCCCCACAAAGTGCTGGGATTACAGGCGTGAGCCACCGTGCCTGGCCAATCTCAGCTCACTTTTTGTATTTTATTTTTAGTTTTTATATTTTTAATTTTTTTTTTTGTATTTAATTTTTTTTTTTTTAAGTAGAGATGGGTTTTTGCCATGTGCCATGTTTTCCAGGGTGGTCTTGAACTTCCGAGCTCAAGTGATCCGCCTGCCTTGGCCTCCCAAAGTGCTGGGAGTGTAGGCATGAGCCACCTCGCCAGAGTGCTCAGTGCTTACCTCTTTAACCTCATTTCTAACCATGGTCTCCCTTGCTCACCGTACTCCAGCCACAGTGTCCTTTCCGCTGGTCCTTGAACACATCGAGTTCATTTCTTCCTTAAGACATTTTCTCCAGATGTTTTTCTCTGCTATGGCTTCTTTCCTTTCTTTTCATTTTTTAGTCTCTGTGTAAATGTTACATCCTCAGCAAGATCATCCCTAAATTAACCAACCTAAAATAACTATCCACTGGTTTTCTGTCACATTCTATATCACATCACTTACTTTGTTTTTCTGCATAGTGCTTCAGTATGCAGAATAAATATTAGATATTATTATGTATTTGTTTATTGCCTGTTTAGTGTCTTTGTGCTATATCCTCCCCCAGTAATATTTGTGGAATAAATGAATAAATTTTTAACAACTGCTTTTTACTCTGTCTCTGTCTTTCAGTAAAAGGCTTTTTCTCTCCATATTTAACTTTGCCAGGTGTAGCTGGTAGTGCTCATAGGGAAGTAGGGGAGATGGGAGTATCTTTGACGTTAATTAATTATCTTGCTCATGATAACATAGGAGAGATAATCAGTATTTTTGGTTACATCATTTGGATGTAGTAATTATTATGCTGGTAATTTAACTAATGATAATTAAATGCTACATATGCCAGGGTCTTATAAATGTTTAATTAGATAACTGCTTATATTTGGTCACTCATTTTTCTTACACAATAGTAAAATTTCCTCCTTTGATAAAAGGCCGGTTTTAATGATTAATGGCATATTGTCTAAACTGATGTAAGTCTCTGACACTTAACGAAACTTTAGGAATAGGTTACATTTGACATTTGACATAGTTAAAAAATTTAGGGAGATAATTTTTCAAATAGGAAGAAACACGAATAATTAGGTCTTGGTGGCACATATGGTGTTTTTTTGTTTATTTGCCTTTTTTGGTTTCCAGTGAAGTCTGTAGAAAATATGACAGGAGGTCTATAGAATACATGATAGAAAGGATATTCTGGTTTGTGTAATTTGTAGGTGGGTAACACCTTTTTAAAGATAAAAGATAATAGCATGAGCTTTATTGCTAAATAAAATTTGAAAGATATTTTAAAGTTTTGTTTTAAATTTTGGAGAAATCCAACAATATTAATATAAAATGTAAGGTAGTTTATTTAAAATAATTAAGTGGCACAGGAAAATCAGTAAGAGATGAATTTTCAATAACAATGAAAACCTTATTAATGGTGTTAATTACTGTAATTAATACTGGCTTGTATATTAAATCATTGATAACAATACCTCAAGGAATTATCAGTACATAATTTTCTCTCTGGGGAGACTATTGAGTTCATGCTGTGACTCTTCTAATTTCCCCAGAGAGGATTATCATCATAATGTTATCCTGAATTATCTTATTGCTCAGTAAGTGTCCTTGCCTTCAAATTTAAAGCAAATTAAGAAATTAATTTAGTCCTGGGAAGTTATTGTTTAAGGAGTCTGCACCTGTGAAAATATGAACCCGTGGCAAACAGAAGGAATTTTATTTTCAAATGAAAAGTATCTATGTGAAGGAAGCTCAGTAAACACAGACTGATACGTAGAAGTTAATCCCAATTAGTTAGTAAGATCTCGTGTTAATGTGATTAGAGTGTATTCACATCAAAAAAATGTTTGTTAATAAGAACCCAGAACAGTATACTGATTCTCTACTAGATTCTACTTAGAGCTGGTAGATAATTATAGTCATGCCCTTTGTATTTTGGGCCTTTTACATTCATTTAGTTCTTTCGAATACATTCACTGAGTTAGTATTTATTCTCTACTTCATGGCATTTTGATAAAAAGCTGAAAAAAAAAACCCCCACTTTGGTCTCTACCTTTGAGAAACTCAGTGTGTCTGGAAGGAGAAATGTATATACATAATTGACCCTGGAACAACAAGAGAGTAGTTTGTGCAGCTGAAAACCTGTATATAACTTTTGACTCCCTAAAAGCTTAACTATAAATAGCCTACTGTTGACTAGAAGCCTTACTGATAACAGAAAGTCAATTAACACATGCTTTGTATGTTTTGTGTATTATATAATGTGTTCTTACAATAAAATAAACTACAGAAAAGGAAATGTTAATAAGAAAATCATAAGGAAGAAAAATGATATTTAATATTCATTAAGTGGAAAGTAGATCTTCATCTTTATCCTCATTGTCTTTGCATTGGGTAGGCAGAGGAGAAGGAGAAAGAGAAGGAGTTTCTTGCTGTCTCATGGAAGGGAGAAGTAGAAGAAAATCTACATATAAGTGGATCTGCACAGTTCAAACTTGTGTTGTTCAAGAGTCAATTGTATAAACGAGTAATTAAAAGCCTGTGTGATCCAGGACCCAACATGGTGCCTGCGTTTGTATGCCTCTTTATAGAGTTGAATGACTACTGTCAATTGCTACAGAAATAGAGGTAGAAGCCAGTAAAGCTGCCTGAGCGAGCTGAAGATGATTCCTTAGAAGAGCTGACATGGAACTGAATCCCAAAGATGAGCTGTGGTTTGCTGGGTATGAAAAAGGAAGTTATTCAGAAGGCATGGGAATAAGCAAGTGCAATGCCATGGGCATGAGGCCAAAGTTCACAGTGCACTTGGGAAATACATGGTGCAGCTGATGGAGGGGGCCATAGCGAGGTGCAAAATTGACTTGAAAAGCCTTCTGTCATAGATAAGGCATCATTATCCTCATTTGATAGTGGAAGAAACAAAGTGGGTTTTTACTTCCATAAAAGTTGAAGGTCCTCTAAGTGACTCACCTCAAATCTAAAAGCCATTTTGTGCAGCTTAGAAAAAAAAAACCTGGGTCATTAAGGAACTTCAAGAAACTGAGACTCAGTTTACACTCCAAATTAAGAACAGCGAAACATCAGTTTAAGTGATTTTATTTGGTTTATATTTCATATTGATTTGAATCTCAGTATTTTGCTGAGTTATTTTATTCCCAGTAACTTAAAACATATGGGACATAGAACATCATTCAACAAAGAGAATATAGCTATTTCCTAAAAATAGTTCTTTACTTGAGTGGGAACCCGTTTGATGATACCATTTTTTATTTAAAGCACCTAATGTAATGCTACCTACAGTGGAATGTAACTCAGCAAAATGAAGTATGGCATTGAAAACAATATACTATAATCGCTACCGAAGTATATAGATATATTACCTGCCTGATGATCTCCTAAAGGAGACCTCCTCTTATACAAGCTTATTTTTATACAAATTGCAGTGTGGCAAAGAGACCCAAGGGTAGTTGGAGATGTGCAGCTATGCTCCTTCTCATGTCAGCTCTCCACATCTACACTGGGTGACAGGACATGGGAGCAGATGAGACAAGCTGTCACTCACCCACACTGCCCTTTGAAGAAAGGCCATGGGGGGAAAAAGGTGCCGCAAATGGGCTGTGAAGTTTACATACACTGCCCACTGTTAAACAGATTACGTCTAATGAAGTGTCTAATGCTCAGGCCATATCAACCTAATCCTTGGTGGCAGTTCATCCCTCAACTGCCAAAAAACACCGCCCTCTGGCCCTCTTTCGCCACTCTGGCGGCCAAGCACAGGGAGGTGCCCAGTCTTAATAAACCAAGACAGTGTGTGATCTGACATGCAAATGTAGGTCATTGCATATGTAAATGTGTGATTACAAACCTGCATGCCAAAACACATTAGTAAGACTTTGCTCTCAGCATGCGGTTGTCACACTGCCTTAGCAGTTCACGCTAATATTTGTCAAGTTATTGTGCAGACAGAAGATGGAATTCCCAGTCAAATTTAAAGTATCTGAATTGTTTGATAGTGTTCCTAATGATGAAGCTGTATTTTGCTGTTGAGATTGACAAATCTTCATTAAGTGAAAGAATGGTCTCCGTGTATGGGAGAAGGATTTATACTTATTAGATGACACAGACTATTCCAGTGCATCAATATAAACAATTCTTAGGAAATCATAGACAATTTAAAACATGTTTCCTTTTTAAACAAAACCTTTATTTAAAGTTAAAAACGTAAAAAATTGCCAAATATCCATTGGCTATATCTGAGAAGTGGTACTTTGTGAGTTTCTTTGTTACATATATATCATTTTGTCACATTGACACTTAATTGTAAATTCAATGGCTATGAAAAGAAATCCATTTACAAATGAACATCATGGCAAGTTATCTCCCTTTATTTCATAATTTTATTTTCATTCTATGTTTCTTATTGTGGAATACTTTTTCATCTTCATTTTAAACATGTTTCTATTCCATTTTTGTCTTTATTTTATTTTTTTAGTCAAAAGACTTAACATTGAAAATATCTGTGGATCATCATGTAGGGTCCCATAATGTTGGGTCATACATAAGGTGACTTTGCTTAATAACCTGGCAGTGTGGCATAGGCTATACTTGGGAATCAACTAGACATTCACTTGGTTTGATGACATCTACATGATGGGATTGGTGAGAGAATTGAATTTGATGGCATTTAAAGTCCTGATATACAGTGCCTGTTAAGTTGTGGGGACGAAAATGGGACCTTCTATCATTGTTGTAGTAATTATAAGAATTATCTTATGGACCTATACTTATGAAATGAATTTGCGAAATTTGAAAAATTTCTTGTACTCTGGTTATTTTGCATATTTTAAAGGAAGCATGATCTTTTTCTTGACAGTATTTTGGACTTCTAGAAGAAGAAAACAATGTACAATAACAAATTATTGCTTCTTTTTTTTTTAAGAGAAAACATTGGGTTTGAATTATAGTGACTCTTTGGCAGAATTTTACAGTTAGATGTAGTGAATTTTACATGATAGATGTAGTAAAATTAAAAGATAAAATGTACTAAGGGTTAATGCAAAGTGTTGCCCGTATATCAAAATAGCCTTTCTGCGTAAGTCTAGGATATGGGATCATCAGCCTTATCAAAGGTTTCTTTGAAAGACTAAGAGTTTAAGCTGAATGTAATGTGCTCATGAACCAGTGCCATCTTTGCATTAATAGGTCTTTAATATTCAGTTTCATTAGAGGGTGCACTAGCCTGGCCCCACAAGAATGTCATGTTTGGCTTGGAGAGTACAGAGGGGGTGTGAGGAGAATGGTAAAAGGCACGGAAGAGTGTGCTCATCAGTACTCCAGGAATCTTGAAAAGGCTCAGGCATGCCTAGCCGAAAAAGAGAAGATATGAGGGCATGTGATAGTTTTAAATAGGCTTTTTTTGTTATATTTTAAACAGCTAGAGATGCTAAAATGAATGCCATCAGGAATGTAAAAGGTGATATTCCAACTTTAGCAATAGACAGTGTCTGACTGTAGTAGATGTTCAGGTAGTGTTTACCCCATAACTGAAGATTGAATGAATAAGTCCATGAACAAAAAGTGAATAAAAGAACTAGGACAATCAGTAAAATTTATAACCTGAATTTAGTCTCAAAATAGGGATGGCCCCTGCCCCCAATATCTTATAATTATTTCTCTCATAGCACAGTGAAGAGCCTCTTCTATGTATTTGGGTAAGCCGTTTGAGAGCAGAAAGCATATCTCATTCATCTCTATTTCCCTAGCAGCCAGCATAGTGCCTGGCACATGGTAAATATCAAAAAATGTTATTTAATGATGCGGTAGTAAACTTCTTGACACTGGACATATTCTTTGCAGAAGTTAAATAACTGTCAGGAAGTTAACAGGTGTTTCATGCATTAGTTGACAGTTTGGACTAAATGATTATGTATTTTTGTAAGGTCCATTTCAACTCAAAGATCTTTTCAAAAGAAAAGAAATAGCAGAGAAATACTAGATTGGGTGGGACAAGTTTATATTCTGTGAACTAAAGACAAGTTATAAGGAGTTCTTTTTTTGTGTGTGTGGGTTCTGCAATTGCTTTTATTTTATTTTATTTTATTATTATTATACTATTATACTTTAAGTTTTAGGGTACATGTGCACAATGTGCAGGTTAGTTACATATGTATACATGTGCCATGCTGGTGTGCTGCACCCATTAACACGTCATTTAGCATTAGGTATATCTCCTAAAGCTATCCCTCCCCCCTCCCCCCACCCCACAACAGTCCCCAGAGTGTGATGTTCCCCTTCCTGTGTCCATGTGTTCTCATTGTTCAATTCCTACCTGTGAGTGAGAATATGCGGTGTTTGGTTTTTTGTTCTTGCGATAGTTTACTGAGAATGATGATTTCCAGTTTCATCCATGTCCCTACAAAGGACATGAACTCATCATTTTTTATGGCTACATAGTATTCCATGGCGTATATGTGCCACATTTTCTTAATCCAGTCTATCATTGTTGGACATTTGGGTTGGTTCCAAGTCTTTGCTGTTGGGAATAGTGCTGCAATAAACATATGTGTGCATGTGTCTTTATAGCAGCATGATTTATAGTCCTTTGGGTATATACCCAGTAATGGGATGGCTGGGTCAAATGGTATTTCTAGTTCTAGATCCCTGAGGAATCGCCACACTGACTTCCACAATGGTTGAACTAGTTTATAGTCCCACCAACAGTGTAAAAGTGTTCCTATTTCTCCACATCCTCTCCAGCATCTGTTGTTTCCTTTTTTATGGTTGCCATTCTAACTGGTGTGAGATGGTATCTCATAGTGGTTTTGATTTGCATTTCTCTGATGGCCAGTGATGGTGAGCATTTTTTCATGTGTTTTTTGGCTGCATAAATGTCTTCTTTTGAGAAGTGTCTGTTCATGTCCTTCACCCACTTTTTGATGGGGTTGTTTGTTTTTTTCTTGTAAATTTGTTTGAGTTCATTGTAGATTCTGGATATTAGCCCTTTGTCAGATGAGTGGGTTGCGAAAATTTTCTCCCATTTTGTAGGTTGCCTGTTCACTGATGGTAGTTTCTTTTGCTGTGCTCTTTAGTTTAATTAGATCCCATTTGTCAATTTTGGCTTTTGTTGCCATTGCTTTTGGTGTTTTAGACATGAAGTCCTTGCCCATGCCTATGTCCTGAATGGTAACGCCTAGGTTTTCTTCTAGGCTTTTTATGGTTTTAGGTCTAACGTTTAAGTCTTTAATCCATCTTGAATTGATTTTTGTATAAGGTGTAAGGAAGGGATCCAGTTTCAGCTTTCTACATATGGCTAGCCAGTTTTCCCAGCACCGTTTATTAAATAGGGAATGCTTTCCCCATTGCTTGTTTTTCTCAGGTTTGTCAAAGATCAGATAGTTGTAGATATGTGGCATTATTTCTGAGGGCTCTGTTCTGTTCCATTGGTCTATATCTCTGTTTTGGTACCAGTACCATGCTGTTTTGGTTACTGTAGCCTTGTAGTATAGTTTGAAGTCAGGTAGTGTGATGCCTCCAGCTTTGTTCTTTTGGCTTAGAATTGACTTGGCGATGCGGGCTCTTTTTTGGTTCCATATGAACTTTAAAGCAGTTTTTTCCAATTCTGTGAAGAAAGTCATTGGTAGCTTGATGGGAACGGCATTGAATCTATAAATTACCTTGGGCAGTATGGCCATTTTCACGATATTGATTCTTCCTACCCATGAGCATGGAATGTTCTTCCATTTGTTTGTATCCTCTTTTATTTCCTTGAGCAGTGGTTTGTAGTTCTCCTTGAAGAGGTCCTTCACATCCCTTGTAAGTTGGATTCCTAGGTATTTTATTCTCTTTGAAGCAATTGTGAATGGGAGTTCACTCATGATTTGGCTCTCTGTTTGTCTGTTATTGGTGTATAAGAATGCTTGTGATTTTTGTACATTGATTTTGTATCCTGAGACTTTGCTGAAGTTGCTTATCAGCTTAAGGAGATTTTGGGCTGAGACAATGGGGTTTTCTAGATATACAATCATGTCATCTGCAAACAGGGACAATTTGACTTCCTCTTTTCCTAATTGAATACCCTTTATTTCCTTCTCCTGCCTAATTGCCCTGGCCAGTGCTTCCAACACTATGTTGAATATGAGTGGTGAGAGTGGGCATCCCTGTCTTGTGCCCGTTTTCAAAGGGAATGCTTCCAGTTTTTGCCCATTCAGTATGATATTGGCTGTGGGTTTGTCATAGATAGCTCTTATTATTTTGAGATATGTCCCATCAATACCAATTTATTGAGAGTTTTTAGCATGAAGCGTTGTTGAATTTTGTCAAAGGCCTTTTCTGCATCTATTGAGATAATCATGTGGTTTTTGTCTTTGGTTCTGTTTATATGCTGGATTACATTGATTTGCGTATACTGAACCAGCCTTGCATCCCAGTGATGAAGCCCACTTGATCATGGTGGATAAGCTTTTTGATGTGCTGCTGGATTCGGTTTGTCAGTATTTTATTGAGGATTTTTGCATCAATGTTCATCAAGGATATTGGTCTAAAATTCTCTTTTTTGGTTGTGTCTCTGCCCGGCTTTGGTATCAGGATGATGCTGGCCTCATAAAATGAGTTAGGGAGGATTCTCTCTTTTTCTGTTGATTGGAATAGTTTCAGAAGGAATGGTACCAGTTCCTCCTTATACCTCTGGTAGAATTCGGCTGTAAATCCATCTGGTCCTGGACTCTTTTTGGTTGGTAAGCTATTGATTATTGCCACAATTTCAGAGCTGTTATTGGTTTATTCAGAGATTCAACTTCTTCCTGGTTTAGTCTTGGGAGGGTGTATGTGTCAAGGAATTTATCCATTTCTTCTAGATTTTCTAGTTTATTTGCGTAGAGGTGTTTGTAGTATTCTCTGATGGTAGTTTGTATTTCTGTGGGATCGGTGGTGATATCCCCTTTATCATTTTTTATTGCGTCTATTTGATTCTTCTCTCTTTTCTTCTTTATTAGTCTTGCTAGCAGTCTATCAATTTTGTTGATCCTTTCAAAAAACCAGCTCCTGGATTCATTAATTTTTTGAAGGGTTTTTGTGTCTCTATTTCCTTCAGTTCTGCTCTGATTTTAGTTATTTCTTGCCTTGTGCTAGCTTTGGAATGTGTTTGCTTTTGCTTTTCTAGTTCTTTTAATTGTGATGTTAAGGTGTCAGTTTTGGATCTTTCCTGGTTTCTCTTGTGGGCATTTAGTGCTATAAATTGCCCTCTACACACTGCTTTGAATGTGTCCCAGAGATTCTGGTACGTTGTGTCTTTGTTCTCGTTGGTTTCAAAGAACATCTTTATTTCTGCCTTCATTTCGTTATGTACCCAGTAGTCATTCAGGAGCAGGTTGTTCAGTTTCCACACAGTTGAGCGGTTTTGAGTGAGTTTCTTAATCCTGAGTTCTAGTTTGATTGCCCTGTGGTCTGAGAGACAGTTTGTTATAATTTCTGATCTTTTACATTTGTTGAGGAGAGCTTTACTTCCACCTATGTGGTCAATTTTGGAATAGGTGTGGTGTGGTGCTGAAAAAAATGTATATTCTGTTGATTTAGGTTGGAGAGTTCTGTAGATGTCTATTAGGTCTGCTTGGTGCAGAGCTGAGTTCAATTCCTGGGTATCCTTTGCAAGGAGTTCTTATCTAAAAGTTCAGACTCTTCATCCCTATGTTGTATCCTTCTTCCTTAATTAACTTCCTTTTTAGGCTTTCCTATCTCACATACTATATATATATATATATATATATATATATATATATATATAAAAAGTACATATATACACATATATATGTATGTTTATATATTTATTAAAACATGTATATGTATGTTTTATATATTAAAACATATATGTATGTTTATATATTAAAACATATGTATGTTTATGTATTAAAACATGTATGTATGTTTACATATTTATTAAAACATGTATGTATGTTTTATATATTTATTAAAACACACATATATATATATGTATGTTTTAATGTATTCCTTGTTTATTCCCCTCACTAGAATGTAAGTTCCTCAGGTACAGGGATTATTGTCTCTCTAGTCTGCTACTGTATCGTCAGTGTGTAGGACAGTGCCTGGCATAAGTTCAGTAAATATTTGTTGTTGAGTGAATGGATGTCTGCAAACTTACCCTATGTGTCACCTACATATATGAAAATGATCAGTGATTGTGTGTATTGCGTGTATATTGTGTGATTGAAAATTTTTCTGACATTTTTAATTACAGAAGGCCTTACGACCGGATATGGGCTATAATACATTAGCCAACTTTCGAATAGAAAAGAAAATTGGTCGCGGACAATTTAGTGAAGTTTATAGAGCAGCCTGTCTCTTGGATGGAGTACCAGTAGCTTTAAAAAAAGTGCAGGTAAGATGACTTTAATTATATAAATCAATGTAAAATTATACTATGTGAATTATAGATGAGAAAAGTATATCCTGAATGATTGGGTACTGATAGCCTTAAGTTGAGAATGCTGGGAAAGATTGAACGTTGTATTTTAAAAGCCAGAAACAAGTGTAGTATGGAGTGGAAATATTAGTTTTAACACTATTTCTAGGCTTTAAAAATTTAGCTCGTATTGAACCTCAAAAAGCTTTCACAACTCTAGATTTTAAGAGGCAGATTTGAGTCATCACCATTACTTCTACCTGGACATTTAACTAGATGTTGAATACTCACTGAAGTTCTACAGCTATAGGCACTGTAGTCAGAAACTAGAGTCACAAAATGTACTGCCCGAAGTTAGTAAATGGCAGTTAAACTATACCAGCAAAAAAATGAAAGGAAAATGAAGTGAACTTTATTTACTTGGAAATAAAAACGAGGCAGATAAAATTAGAACATTGATACCTAACTTTAAAATCTCTTATTGTATTTGTGTCATTCTGGAATCAGATTTGCTCTCTAATCCAGACCCTTTCCTGTCTTCTCGAATTCATTTATCTTGCTCCAGCTCCTCTTTCCAAGTCCTGCCCTAACCCTGGAGTTGCAGTCCAACTGAGCTACCCTGGAATGCTCACTTGCCAGAGCCCTGAGTGTTTCACTTGCCCTAATGAGGTCCTCTGGCCTAGAAAGTACTTGTCTTTCTGCCTTCCAGTGTGTATGACATCAAACAGTAAATCACACAGTGAATCATACACTTTTACTTCCCTTTTTCAATTATGGTAATAGTTATTCTTCACCTGTGCTACAGACTATTTTGCTTTGCAACTCTTTTATCTTTTTTCTGCAGATACCTGTGAAATCTAAATGTCTTTTTTTTTTTAAACTTCTTAAGATGATTAGTATACTTGTGACAGCCAATATAGAGATGAACAGTTTTAATTTACATTTAAAAATGAAACTAATGATTTATAAAAGGTTTTATCTGGTATATGTGTTAGATGTAAACAATAATAGAGATACCCGCATATCCACAAGGCAGCTTAAGAAATAAACATTAAAAATATTTTCGACATGTGTGTGCTACTCCCTTCCCTCAGAGATAACCATATCCTGAATGTAATGTTTATCATTCCTTTGTTTTTCTTTATTGTTTTTCCTACATTGGTATGAATTTCTAAAATAGTCTATTGTTTACTTTTGCATTTTTTTAAACTTTACATAAATGAAGCATGTTTTATATATGTATTACACGCACACACACTCACACAGCTTGCTTTTTTCACATAGCTTCGTGTTTGAGCAATTAGTCCGTGTTGGTGCATGTGCTGTAGTTTATCCTTTTTGCTACTGTATAATATTCACTTGTTCTTGTTGATTGTTGTTTAAGTTGTTTACAGTTATTTGCTATTACAAACAATGCTTCTCTGATATTCTCATGTCTTTCCTAGTTTACACATACAAGAATTTCTCTCTTGTTTGTGCTTAAGAGTGGAAATGACTGCATCCCACAGGGGATGCATGTGTACTGCAAGTTAATGCCAAGTTGCTTTCCAAAGTTGCACTGGTGTAAGTTTTCGCCAGCAGCATATAAGAATTGCAGTCTTCTCTGTTTTAATATGCCACTCAGAGCTTAAGAAAACACAATATGGGATGTAGTTATTAGTGTTTATGAAAGAGATTACTTTTGGAACGATTATTCCCTTACAAAAGAACTCTGATTCATTTTTAAAATGGATTAAATTTCTACTGTGATCTCTGAGCACCCAGGGAAATAAAAAAGAAACTAGTGGTATTATTCCTGCCCTCCAGGGGAACAAGAGTCTATCTAGAACAGTTTAATGTTAAACCCTGTGGCATGGGTTCCTGATTTAAATAAGAGTTCACAGAATGGAGATGTCAATTTGAGCTGTTGGAATTGGTGGAATTGGAACTTAAGCCAGGCTATAAATATGAGCCCAGATTGTGGTGAGCATTGGAGCCAGACAGAGGAATTTGAACCGTAGGCAATTGAGGATGCATTGTGGACTCTCAAGTAGAGTAACAATCTTCAAAATCCATTATTTTCAAAGTAAAATTACAAGCTCAACATACAGAATAGAATGGAGAGAACATAGCTGCCAATCTGCCACAGATTGTCAAGATGGGAGGTTGGATGGATTGAGATCCATTTGGAGGTCTCTGGGGACTCTTGGATCCCTTCTCTGATTCTGAGTGTGGAAAACAGGGCTCAATTCTGTCTCTAGTGATTATATTTTACATTGCAGAACCTTCTCATTAGAAACAGAAAGAAAGAAGGGAAGAAAGAAAGAATGGAGGAAGGGGTGGAGGGAGGAAGAAAAAAGCTCTTGCTGCATTTTTCTATTGATTGGGAATTTGAATAAGTGTGAGTTAATTTGCACAATTGTATTTCCATTCAGTATTAATTGGACATTACCCTCTAGCTGCCTCTGTTTTACGCTGTGATAAACCTCAAATTACTGTAGGAAGTTAAAGTTTATTCTTTTGGATTATCCCATTCCTTTCTGCTTTAGTGTGGATATTGTGACATCTAGTTTAAACCTAATTTCTTCATAGAAGACAGAAATGATATTGTGAAGATATTCTTACCTTATTTATTAGGGAGCAACGCCTTAAACCTTTGTAAGGAGAAATATATTTGCATTTTAGACATATTGATTCTTGTGACATATTACACTTGTGCTGAACAGGAAAACCCATGGTTCTTTATTTTTAAAAAGTCATCTCTGCAGCTTAAAATACAAAATTTTATAATATTGCTGACCAATGCTTTTCCTTTTTGAAGAATGCTAACCTAACTCTTTAAAAAAACCCTAAAGAATTAAATATTGAATTTCCTCATGCAACTTGTTATTTTAAGGCTATATTACTTGTCTCAAGAACTGTATTACTGTTCCCAGGTCCACTAGACTCCTTGAATACTTTGGTTGAGTTCATAAAATATTGGTTTTATCATTCATTTCTCTGCTTACAAATTTTTAATGAGATACCATCCAGAATCCTCAGCTTAGTTTTTAAGGCCCTTCCCTACTTTGTGCCACTCCATTTAGTTCACTGATTCAGGGCTATTAACAAAGGATGTGTTCAGCTCTGGCCATTTTCCTGCAGGTTTGCCTGTTACCTGTATGGGAAAGAAGAGTGTGTGCGCTAAATGCATGTTACTTCTTGGAAATCATAAAGGGATCTGAGAGCCTACAGTATATGGCAACATTAACCAATCTTTTTGAAAATTTACCTGTATCCCATCATGGTTCATTTGCAAAAAAATAAGATGGTACCTTAACTAATAAAACAATTTTGAAATTCTCTGTACCAACTTTGCTTTTCTTTCTCTCTTGCCTCCTTCTTCAGTGCTTCCCTTCCTGCTGATCATTGAATTCATTCCTCCAGTATTTATTGGCCACCTAGTGTTTATTGGTCAGTGTCTAAGGCTTTAGGAAGATTAAGATAAACATAATGAGACTCATGGGATTCTAGTGGGGGTACAACAAAGACACCTCTAACATAATGAGATAGGCACTCATGTGATAGGAGCAGCCTTGAAGAGAACAGGTGTGAGGAGGAGCTTAGGAAAGAGGCTTCACAGAGTTCGTGAGCTGGGTCTCAAAACTTACGTTCTTTATGTTGGAAGATTATCAAAAACTTATTTTGATCTGGTATATGCAATCTCTATTTTATTATATTTTGCTCATTGATTAGAGCTATAGGAATGAAGTTGGTTTTTATTTCATCAGTCTGACATAGTGTTACAGTAGTGTGAATTTTGGGTCTCACTGTTTCTTAGTTCTTTGACCATTGTACTCTCATTTTTAAATAATACGTGAGGTATTTTGATCCTTTGTTCATTAATGCTTAATTTCGCTTTGCTTACTCTTAACTATATTTCTAGATAACACTATTTTACTGTGTGGCAGCCATTGTCAGTGAGTTTTTTTTAGGAAGAAAAGCTAAAATAATACTTTATGTATTTATACAAATAAACATAAAGTGATAATATTGTTCAGATTTACCTTTTGATTCAGGTGATCTCAAAAAGTCTTCCCCAAAGTATTCTTTGATATTGAATGCTTACCTTTTATTTACTTATGTTTGTTAGTTGCTTTAAAGTATTTTTCAAGCAAATAACTTTTTAATTTCTATTAATAAGTTACTTTTTATCATCTTAAGTTTAGATTCTGCATGTTTGCATATAATTAGAAATTAGGATTATATATGATCAGAAATTTGTGGACAATGATAGCACTTCCATAATACATAGGCTGATTTTAATATATTCGTAACCTCTGTGGCTCTGCCTTCAATCTCTTTTTCAGTGTTCATTGTGATTAATAAATTTATCTTGCAGCTTTTATGAACTTCATTTAATCTCTATAGACTTCCTTTCAGATTTCCAATTGTTATTTGAATAAATGAAAACTAAGCATTTGTAAGAATAATTCATAAATGACATTTAAAAGATACAGAACAATTTGGTAAATTAATGTTAGTTTTTACTTGTCAAGGTGGAATAGGCTTTTATCTTTAAAATTAAAGCTTTTTAATTTTAATTACTTGTACTTGCAATCTTAAGCATTTCTAAGCAGATAAGAAACAGAAAATTTCCAGTTTTATGGATTGTTTAACATTTTGGGGTTAAACTACTATATGGCAGACACTGTACTTGACAATAGGGACACAATAGTGGGACACAATAATTAAATCCAACATTTTTGTGTGGAAAATAGACAATAAATCAAATAATTATAGCAAAAAATAAATCAAATAATTATAGCCAAAAAGGAAATGACCATGCTGTGGTATTAGAGACAAACTAGAGGAGGAGAGCATTTTAGATAGAGTGTGCAGCAAAGGCCTCTCCGAGGATGTGAAATTTAAGCGTAGGTGGAGGATAAGGAGTCAGTCATCTGAAGGGTAGTGACAGGAAGGTTCCAGCTGTAGAGCCGGGCACGGTGACTCAACGCCTGTAATCCCAGCATTTTGGGAGGCTGAGGCGGGCAGATGACGAAGTCAAGAGATCAAGACCATCCTGGCCAACATGGTGAAACCCTGTCTCTACTAAAAATACAAAAATTAGCTGGGTGTGGTGGCACACGCCTGTAGTCCCAGCTACCTGGGAGGCTGAGGCAGGAGAATCGCTTGAACCCGGGAGGTGGAGGTTACAGTGAGCCAAGATCACGCCACTGCACTCCAGCCTGGAGACAAAGCAAGACTCTCTCAAAAAAGAAAAACAACAACAACAAAAACTTGCTTAGTATATATTTTTAAGTACTTTGTTTTCTGCATTTTAAATGGTCTTTCTTCTAACAATTTGACATATGCCTTTTTAAGGGGATATTTCTGTTAAGTTACTAGAAGGATTTCATTTCCTTTTAAAGAAATCTAGTGTTAACCTTTTCAGTTTCATTAGCTATGAGTAATTTTGGCAAAATTTTAAGATGACAAAAGAAAACCTTTAAAATGATTCAGAGAATACCAAGAATTTATCAGTCATTACTTGCCTAACCACAGCTCATCCCTTGCTCTTACCAAGTATAAAATGAGTTTAAAAACCTGAAGAAACTTTGGTGGAGCTGAATGAAAATGATGCCTCCTAAAGACTTGTTTGTACATATTATATGCAAGATATTCTTACAAAGTCCATATTTTCACCCAAGACATACTGCTTTTTCTTGCTCATGAAATCATCGGACAGCTTTGAATCTGTGTTTGGGAATGATGTAATCTAAATATTCATTATTATTTATTTTTGTCTTGACTTGTTGGCTGAGAGAAAAAGAAAGATAAGATACTTCTGAATTTCCAGTTAAATGTATTTGTAAATGTATTTTGCTCAGAATTTAGTTTTGCTTTAGATGTGCCATCAATGCTTATTTCTCCCTGTGTTTGAGGAGTGACTTTTGATATTATTGAAAATTCAGTTAAAAATAAAAGTCAATTTGTAATTCTAAATTAATTTTTATAACTTGAATTAAAGATTTTCTATGTAGCATGTTTCTATCTTGATATGTTGTATCTTGTTATGGTTTCCTAAAACTCTTATACATCTATTATTCATTCTTATCTCACTCACCCTCTTTTGTTTTTAAAAATGTTGTTCCACATCATAGAGACATTGATTACTGAGAGATTAAATACATATATGTCTCCAAGTTTGTGATTTTCTTCATTTTAATTACTGGTACTATATGGGCATTATTCTTTCTCTGCCTCCTAAAACAAACAAACAAAAATACCAGGAATTACATCAAGATCTGATATACTTACAATTTTGTGCTTTCCAGTATATCTTTGATTTATCTCAAATTCCTTGTAAATAGCATTTCCTGAGAATGGCATCAGCATTTATGATGTGTCAAGAATCAGTTATTTCTCATGCCATTTTGATTTAAAGTGCAAGTAGTCTGTGTGTGTGTGTTTCATACCTATAACTAATATCAAGTTCAAATTTTTCTGTTTCCATTAGTGTTTGTTTTATTGTTTAACATGTTGATATAATAATCCCTTTGGGGGAATGAATGGCATTTCTATGTGAAATTGCTAAATGTAAAGCTTATTCCTTCAGTTCAAGAACTTTCGATTTTACACACACACTCACACACACACACACATATATATTTTCCTGAAGGGCATTACGCATTCCTGCTTATATAAATCAGTTATTGAGAGCCCTTCCAGCCAGCCATGCTCACCCCCATTAAGGTTCTTACATCACTTTGAACAAGTAGCACTTACAAGTTGCGTGTTAATTTTCTGTGTTGCAGTCTGCATTCTGCATCTGACACTGTGCATCTTAAAGGACTGCAAGATGGTTTTCTTATTTGTATCTGTAATAAAATCTGATAGTAAGATGGCATTCAGCATGGATTTTTATATGTAGAAAGGGTGGGCATTAACAGTTTAAGCTTGTCTGTACTCAGGATCAGGTTATTCATATTAATAATTTGTGTGTAGAGTTAAAACTATGATGCTCTTGGAGAAAATTTCTGCAAGGTTTTTCCTTCCTTCCATAAATAGTGTCATATGGTTTGTTCTTTAATACTGGTAATTTTTTTAACCCCTGCTATTGGTGTCCATTTATATCTAGCTCATTTTGTCAAAGCTTAATGTATACAACAGCTTAATGTTAGCTAAAACATATCTTACTAGATAGTTTATGTGAACTTTGTGATAGTGATTTGCCACTCATAGTCCTTTCCTTTTTTTTTTTTAACCCCTTTTCCTTTCCTTGCTGTTGTTTCATCGTGTTGCATTCTGTTCCATTCTGAAATCATGGTAGTTAACATGAGTTTACTGTGGCTGACATGGTTAGAATTACTGCTAATGGAAAAAAGAGAAGTTAACTCTCTTTAATATATGTACCGGCATACATATTTCTTCTTCTGTTATTTGATTAAGTGGGAGAAACTTTGATGTAATCTAGTCTGTCTCTTTTTGTAAACCATCAAGTAAGGTAAGGCTTTATATTTTTTCAAATCTTAAACTGCAGTGCTCAATATTTTACATTAAAAGTTGCAGAACGTAAATTTGATACTTGAAGTTTTCATTAGAAGTAGTAGAACCAAAATAATGTTAGTGAAAAAGCATATATATCATTTTATATACTGCTATTTTCACTATGCAAAAAGCACATGCGTTTGTACAAGAAATAGAAGGGACTGAGCCAAAGCTAAAATTCTTTAAGGCAGTGAGTTTATGGATTTTATTTTTGCTTTATAATCTTATCTAATATCTTCATATGGTTTTTTAAATTAAGACAAATTAGAACTTTGTGTATCTTTGGATATTAAGAATGATATCTAGAAAAAGTTGCCTCTTATAAGCTGTAATTTTACACCCTTATTCCATATTTACTTTTATGCAGTAGATATCTTTTGTTTCTGACTGGCAGAATCCTATAATTCTTTCAAGGTTCACCTCTAATGGTACCCGCCACCCTACATGGAAGGAATTTCTTCCTTAGGTTTCTAATACTACACTTTGTACACACATATATTTTAATACTTATTAGCTAGTTGTGTATGCATTAGACTTTGTGACAGCCTGGCTCATTGAGAAAACACTGACTATGGAGCTAGAACAACCTGGCTTCAAGTCCTGATTCTGTCCTTTACTAGTTTTATGATCATAAGCATATTATTTAATCTTTTTGAGCCTCAATCCTCATCTTGTTATTGTGGCCAATACTACCTGTCTTATAAGATTGCAATGAAGTTTAAAGCATCATGTGTAAAGAGGCCAGCCCTCTCTGGTAGTGTCTAATAACTACTTCTTTAATTAAAAAGACTTGGATTCTGCCACTCCTTTGACATTGTACCTTCTTTTCCTGGAATGTTAGCTGGCTGAATCAGGAAGACTTGATCAAGCTGATTACTAAAAATGTCATTAATTTTTTTATTTGTTATGTAACTAGGGTTTTAATCAGCTTGCAGTACTGACTTAGATTTTTTTTGCAGTCTCTAAGATATTGCTTTTTTAAATGTTATTTTCCACACACTTAGAACCTTGAGAGATTTGTGTTTTCAGAGACACATGAAATATCTTTTTGATTGTATTTTTTATTTTTATGTTTTTAACAGTAGGTTAATATTTTTCAACCTTTTCTTCATTATCCTCCCCCCAAGCTGCCTGTTTAGACATTTCTTCCTAATTACCTCTACCCATGAAATTTTAATTCCACAAATACAGTATATCTGTTTATGTGTAGTACTGTATGTGTATCTATACTTTATACTTAATAGAGTAAAATTTTGTTACCCTTCTCCACAAAGAACCAATTTTCACCCCCTTGGAATGATATCACCCTTGTCAAGAATGCATGCATCAGACCTTTTAGACATGATTTGATGGAACAGATTAATGGTTCAGTGCTTGGGTTCTAGATGGATAACTCTGAGAATGAATTCTGCTTGCTCTGTTGATTAGCTGTGTGACCTTTTGTCATTCTCCTTAGCTTTCTAAAGCTTCTCTTCTTCATCTGTAAAATGGGAATACTACTATTATCATCCTCATAAGGTTGTGCAGTACATTTAGCATATATTAATTGCTCAACATATATTAGCTATTACTTTATCATCTTAATAATCACAACTTTAATTTTGTTCATTGGAACTTAAGACCTGAGTGTTAAGGGGTATCTACCTGTTCTCTTTATCCATTTTTTAAATACTGACTGCTGAAAATGTAAGCAATGTTGGTAACATAAGATACCTACAGAACTCCTTAATAAAGAAAAGCTAATCAGAAAGAAAATTCCTTAGTGTACAAATAATTACATGTAGAGTATTAAAATGAATTTACACAATAGCTTGAACCATAGGTTATTATTTTATTAAGTAATTCTGGGTTCTGTTTTTAGATATTTGATTTAATGGATGCCAAAGCACGTGCTGATTGCATCAAAGAAATAGATCTTCTTAAGGTAATTAATGAACTGTTGACTCTTTTGAACATAACATGGTGATAAAAGTGATTTACTAAAATATCACACTTAAACACAAAAAGGTTTTTAAGACTTATGCTACACTGATTTCAAGTAATATTATATAAGGTTAAATTTCAGTATACTGAAGAATGTAGTTATTTTTTGGATTTATTGTTAAATAACATAATCAGAACATTTGTAGGACCAGCTTTTTTTTCTCATTTCAAAGTAGGAAATAGATAAAATGGGCATAAAACATTGAAGAATTTTTTTTTCTTGACCACCCCAACAAGACATATTCTAAAGGTTAAGTAATATAAATGCAAATTAGCATTATCTCAACATGTATTATATTGAGAATGTGGACTAATCAAAATGGTTCACATGCATTTTCTAATGTTTCAATACTTTTTCCAGACTTAGACAGAGTGCATGTAAAGAGTATGCCAGGAATTAGCTTTTTAGTTTCTCATCTACTAAGAATATGACTGAGATTTCAGTTATTTCTGCACTGCTTCTTTTATAGTGAAGTTTCTTTTGAGAAATACTGCGGCCTATGTTGTATTTTTAACTTTTAGTTAAGACTTCGCTCTTTTTTTATGCCATCCGTTTGTGTTAGTGCCTAAAATGAACCAGATTTATGCAAAAAGGAAGAAAGTAAGGTCAAAACAATGTTTTCTGACTATTCTGTTAGTTGTAGTTATTTCTTGGCACATGAAGTAGCTGGCTTAAATATATGTAAACTTTTACTGTGGAAATAGCATGTCATCATAGAAAATTTGCAGCGAAAACTTTAAGTAGAAAGAAGAAAGTCACCCATACTTTCTGCATAATTTCTCAGAGAAACAATTCATCTTGTATTAATATGTTTAAAGATTGAACAAAAGGATTGCAAATGAGTAGGGACTGATACGTATATTTCTACAAGGTAAAATTTTTCTTAGGGATGATTTTATGAATTGGCTCACATGAATAAGTCCTGTATGTTATTTGATATAAAAGCAATAGTTAGATATAGTATAGTAGGTACCAGCTGTGTTTTGTCTACTAGCTGGAGTTATTCTAGGACCAACCATAACTTCCAAGTAGGAGTAAAAAGGGATACTTTATTTATCATTGAGTGTTCCTAAATGAAAGTTCTCATTTTGAGGATGTAATTTTTAGCAGTTGGCGACCTAATTCTATCATTTACTTCTTGCATCTGTTGATATGCTTATTGGGCATAGCAGTACTTTTAAATTAAGATTTAAACGTAAAATATATTCTTTCTAATAAAGAATATTAAGATAAATTAATTTATACCTAGTTTTACTTTTAATAATTGTAATATTTGTTTCACAATTCACTAAAGAAAAGTATACTGTCATGTTAAGATTTCTGTAATTTAAAAAATACGGTGAAGTTTGTTCTTAAGTACAAAACTATAAGTGACTCTTGGATATTTACAGTAAGAAAACTTTCTGATGCCTGTTTTATTTTCTCAGCAACTCAACCATCCAAATGTAATAAAATATTATGCATCATTCATTGAAGATAATGAACTAAACATAGTTTTGGAACTAGCAGATGCTGGCGACCTATCCAGAATGATCAAGGTAAGTTTTGAAAAAATTGTCTTAATGTTTTGTTTTGTTTTTTTTTCTAATAGAATTGTCTGTTAAACACATAGGGATATTAGATATTTTAAACTAAAGACCTCAATGCAAAGCTTATCTGATAGATATGTAACAAATAGTAGATGGTTAGTGATCATAATTCTGAAACTGGTTTACTTGGTGATGTTTACACTGATCAGCTTAAATATCTAAACACCCCAAAACCAACTTGGAAAGAGGCCAAGATACTTGTCTTCTGTAAGTTGAGTTAAAGTTTTGCTGTTTGATTCTCTGAGCAGACCATGCTTGATCCTGTGTCTCTGGACATGAGTAAAAGGAGGTAGAAAGAGACTCTAGAGCAGCTTGACCTGTTTCTTGGGGGGGAATCCATCAAAGAAAGTGGGATTTGCAGTCAGACCTTGGATATCAACCCCACATAAAAGTTGTTTAACCTTCTTTTCTAAGGGCATATTAATTCATAATTAATATAATTAAGTTGTTTAACC
Organism: Homo sapiens; assembly: GCF_000001405.40. Lineage (NCBI taxonomy): Eukaryota > Metazoa > Chordata > Mammalia > Primates > Hominidae > Homo > Homo sapiens. The sequence continues at coordinate 198,264,742 of NC_000001.11, forward strand.
TTCTTTTCTAAGGGCATATTAATTGGGTTTAAGTTCAGCTGCAATTAATAGAAACCCTTAAATAATAGTAGCTTAAAAACTGTTTGTCCTTGGGCCAGTTACTTCTCTGTGTCACATTTTCTAAAAAACACAGTAATAATAGAACCTACTTTATAGGATTGTTGTAATGATTGAATTAATTAGTATTTATTAAGAGCTTAGAAGAATGCCTCACACATTGTAAGGCTATGTAAATGTATCTGCTGCTGCTATTATTATTGTTATTGTTATTATTTCTCTGTCACATAAAAGTCTGGGGCTAGTATGGTAGCTCTGCTCTATCAAGAGTATTTTAGAGACCCAGCCTATTTCTAGCTTATCAAGTCACACTAGGCTTGAAGGGACAAAGAGTACATGCTGGCTTTATCTTAAAGCACATTCCTGAGTGCTGCCTGTCACACAACATTTTCAACTTCATTCCCTTGGCCAGAATGTACTCTCATGAACCTATCTAGCTGCAAGGAAGGCTGGAAAAGAAAGTCTTCATTCAGCTGGCCATATGCCCAGCTAAACTTCTGTTACTATGGAAGACAAGTTGAACCATCTAGAAACAAACAAGAATAACCGAATGAGAAAAACAAAAGCTATTTATTTGAGCTTGCTGTAGCAAGGGAGTCAGCCAGTCATCACTTGCATCTTGGCAGAGAATTAAAAGCAAGCAAAGGAATGAAAGGTTCATAGAGGGAAGAAAAGGGAAGCCTTTGGGTATGCCCTGATGGGAGGCTGCTGACATAGAGAAGCTATAGACCGGCTGACTAGAAACAGGACGTCCTTGTGATTGGTTAGGAGTACATATTTGGCTTTCTCTGGTTGGTCCTAGTTAGAGGCAGAGACAAAATTAGGGAAGCTGTCAGTTATTAATCAATTGTTATAGAAGTTACTGTTTAGCTTCCTAGATTGTCACTAGAGGTAGCAGTCTGGCTTCCTGCAAGTCTAACTTATAGCACGCTGGCTTCCTGCATTGTTTAGTGTAGATAAAGAGTTGATTTCCTGGGCAGGTAGGAAAGATTGATATGTGGTTGGATATATGTACATACATTAGTACATATGCCTTTAAATAGATGGATGGATATGTGTACATACATTAGTACATATGTCTTTAAAAAGTATACATATAAACATACTATATATTATGTTACTTAACCATCATAATAAAACTATATGACAGGTATTACTGACCCAATTTTATTTATATGGTCCTTCCTTTTTCTCCCTCACTCCCATGTCCCAGAAATAACCTCTAACCTTTACGTGCACAAAACCTTCCCAACTTTACTTACTATCTTTATACCCATTTAAATATAAGAATATATACTAATACATTTATTCTTTCTCAGACACATCACGATTTATTTTATTACTTTGTTAATAATTGGATTGTTTTCATTTTTTATTCTTACAGAGAAATCTCAAGTACAAAGCCTTATCTACATCAATACAACTATATCTATACATACTCTATTGTCTATTTCTATTACATAGATTCATATAAACATTGCCGAGTAAGAGTATGCACATTTTAAATGATAATAGCTATTGCCAAATTAGTCCCTTAAATAGTTAGTACCAATTTGTAGCTTTTAAAAAATAGCTCTAGATTTTATTTTTTCATTTATTAGACATTTACTATGTGCCAGGTGCATGGTTCATGGCTTTTTGGAACTCATCATCCAGTGGGAGAAACAGGCATTTGACTAATACTAATATAAAACTATATACCTGCAGTTGTAATGAGTTATATAAAGGAAAAGTGTGGGTTATAAGGGATGATTATAACAGGATCTCTGAAACTACACTGGTGAATTCAGATGGCAATTAAAGGATTTTAATCAGTTGTCCTAGTTATTTAATCTTAATGATTGAGCCAGTTTCTACATCAATAAAATTGGGTCAGTAATACCTGTCTTACAGTGTTGTTATGATGGTTAAGTAATATAATATATAGTATGTTTATATATATACTTTTTAAAGACATATGTACAAATGTATGTGCACATACCCATCCATCTGTGCCTGTATGCATGTATGATATCTGATAGGTATTCACATTTTCTTTATTCCATTTAAACCTCTGATCACTACTCTTCTTCTAGCCCCCTTGCATCATACAAATCTACCCTTTTCTACTCTTCAAAGTTGACTTTATTCCTCCAGTTTTACAGAGTATTTAGAAGTCACTAGACAGGAGCACCCTCACCTTCCCATAACTGAACCTGCTAGACCTACTTGTGTCTGTTACTGTTCTCTCCTCCTTCTCTCCTGTTACCGTATTCTTGTTAGATAGGAGGGATTGTTATGTGTCCCTCCACCTGGGTTCTCTATCCTTTCTCTGCCTGTATTCTCAGAAATCTTAATTCCTATCATTATCTGTTCCCAGTCCTAGATTTATAACCATTGTGCACTTCTGAGTGCCTTTTCTCATCATTTAAATATGCTCAGGTCACTGTTATTTTAAACATATTTACATGTATATACATGCACACACACCTGTTCCTCATTCATTCATTCATTCATTCATTCATTCAAGAAACTTATTTTCCAGTGGGGAAGTCAAATAAAATGCTAAAAGCAAGTAGAATATATGATATGCCAGATGTTGATAAATCAATTGAGAAAAATTAAATAAGGAGTTTGGAGGAGGTGTGTTGCTATTTTATTTTATTTATTTAATTAATTTTTTTGAGATGGAATCTCACTCTGTCGCCCAGGGTGGAATGTAGTGGTGCGATCTCAGCTCACTGCAACCTCTGCCTCCCAGGTTCAAGCAATTCTCCTGTCTCTGCCTCCCTAGTAGCTAGGACTACTGGTGTGCACCACCACACCTGGCTAATTTTTGTATTTTTAGTAGAGATGGGATTTCCCCATATTGATCAGGGTGATCTCGAACTTTGACCTCAGGTGATCCACCTGCCTCAGCCTCCCAAAGTGCTGGGATTACAGGTGTGAGCCACTGTGTCCAGCCTGTGTGTTGCTATTTTAAGTAAGATGATCTCAGAAGACCCTCTTAAGTCCTACCACCCTCACCTCTGCCTGCCTTTTCCTTCAATTACTACCCTAGTTCTTTTTTTTCCTTCACAGTCAGACACTTACTCCTGACCCTCTTTCCAACCTACCACTCGTAATGGCTCTTCAATGACCTCTCTCATGAAACCAGAGGACTTTGTCCAGTCTTCATTCTGCTTGATTTCTCAGCAGCATTTGGCTCTGCTTTTCATTCTCTTCCTAAAACACTCCTCCATCGGCTTATTGAGTCCCACAGTGTCTTGATTTTCTTCCTACCTCTCTGGAGACTATCATTTTTCTTAACTGACTCATTCTCTTCTTCCTGGCCTTTAATGATGGAATTTTAAGTTTCAGTCCTTGACTTTTTTTTTTTAATGTTCTTACGTTATAGCTGATCTCATTCATACCTACGGATTCAATTACTCTCTATACTCTTGTTGACTTCCAATTTTTTATCTTTAGCATGGAGCGCTCTTTAAATTCTGACTCTATATGGCTCAATATGTCTGTAAACAAATTCCTTACAGACTACCCATCCTCCCATGTTCCCTAACTCGAGGCCTGGCACCAGTTTATCTCGTGCACTCTGGAAACCAGGACTTTTTTTTGACATTTCACTCTCCCTTACCTCTTCTTTTCAATCTCACCAGATTCTGTTTATTTTTTCTTCTAAATGCCTTTCAAATTTCTCCACCCAGCTCCCTTTCCATTTCTCTCCCTATCGTCTCTCATTTGGAGAGAGCGAGAGCTTTTTGTCTCCCAACATCCAGCACCCATTCCTTAAATCCGTTTCTCCATCAGTCTTTAAGACGTTAGAAGGGAGAGAAACAAAGAAAAAAGAAAAACTTCCTTTCAATCACATCTTTCTAGGTTTTCACTTTAAGGGTAAAGACTAAAATGTTTGGCAAGATTCAGCAAGCCTTGTGTGATACAGAAGATACGCTCCCTCAGAGAGGATCCGAGTCCGTTTTGTGTATTCACATATCCCAAGTGCCTAGAGCAGTGCCTAGCACAGAGCTTGTGCTCAGCATATATTTGCTATGGAATCTGACTCCTGCTCTTGCTGTGGCTCATTGGCCTTTCATTTCCTTGAATGTGATTTTATTTTACCTGGGATGCTCTTCTTCTCCATTCTTGGCTGACTTTATTTCTGCTGGTACTTCAGTTCTTTACTTAGGTATCACTTCCTCAAGCATTTTCCTTTGACTCGTAGAGTACTTTATGGTATAAGTGCTCCCAGAGTACCCTTCCTACATAGCACTTAGTAATATAATCATGTATTCATGTGTGTAATTATTTTATTGGTGTTTGTATTTCCCATTAGACTTAAATTTCTGTTGAGCACAGAGACCATGCTGGCTTTGCTTGCCTGGCTATCTTCAGCTTCTAGCTCATAGCACCAACTTCAATAAATATGTAGTGAATAGATGTATAGAAGTTGGTTGTTTTACTTCTATTACACTTCTCTGTTCCAGGGCTCAGTAGATAACATGGGTGGTTGTATAACTGTCACAGCAATTTCCTGCTGCTTTATGCTCTCGTTTCATAGAGAGTTGCTGTGATATTCAGTGTATTTTTTTACGGGAGTGGGGTTGGGTAGTTAAGAAATTCTAAAATTGTTTTCTGAACATGCTTATTAGTTCTGTAAGCAGTTCTTTATAAAATAGATTATATCAGGAAAAAAAATCATAGGAACTTCTTTTGTGAAGGAATAGAACAATGCCTTAAAGCTTTACAAAGGACAGCAGTGAATGCTTGAATTGTAATGAACATGATTCATTTCTTTTTAGTGAGTAATATTGTAAATCATTGTGCATCATAACAATATATTTCATTCTCTCAAGTCTTCAGCTTAATTGGGGTACAAGAGGAAATATAGCTTCTGGTCTGTATTCCAGAAATGAACCTCTGGATAGCATTGCATCAAAGATTTTTACAAGTAAATAATTAATTGGTTCAGAGCAGGCTGACAAATATAATTAAGCAATTTATAGTTGAAATATTCAGTATTTCTCTAATTAGTGACAAAGGAATACCTGAGGCTGTGGTCAGATGAAATACTTCCCAGATGAGTTTTAGGATAAAAGGAAATCTAGAATTTTTCATCATAATTTCTTCATTATCAGCAATCAGAATTTTAAAGGAAAATCGACTCTTACAAAACAGATTTCAGTTAAATTGTGCTGTGTATGCCATATATTTTCTTTATTGTAGTTAAATTGGACACATACATGCTCCATTTTGTAGTATGTCTTATTATACTGTTTATTTCACTATTCTAATGTCAAGAAACATATTTGGTGATGAAGACCCAGTGTAGAGGAAATTAATCTCAAAAAATATATAAATAAGAGGATTTTAAAATTTCAACTTGTCAATAGAAATGTTACTAAAATATATTTTAAATTTTCATAGTTCATTTCACAAAATATACTTCATTCATTGAATTAATTTGTAAGTGCCTGTATTTATAACTACCTATTTGAATTAATATAGGTCAATTTGAGACAAATAGAAGAAACTGTAAATGCATGTATTTAATATTATATATTTTTAAAAATTGTTTTGCTAGACTAGCAATAAAACAAAATGTAACCTAATGTTTTGAGAAGAAACTCAGAGGTTTGTTATCTGCCAAGAGAATGTCATACCGTATCACAGTGGCTAAGGAGGAAATGAATATTATTCTTACAATTTTTTTAGTGAAATATGCAATACAAATAATTTAAATGGATGTCTGTTTCCTGCCAGGAGTTTGGTACTGCACAAAATAAATAAATAAGACCATCATTTCTTATTTCTAGGATATTTAGGTATAGGCTATCTTCTTAGATTGCTGACTTTGTATTTTCTACCTTGTTACCACCTGTAGGTCATTCCTTCTAAATTTGCTAGGAGCCTTAAAACTCTTTTTCTTTATACATACATAAGATTAATTTTACATACTGATTTTTCATGTGTTTACAACTGTATTTTGTATTAATTTTTTATTGCTGCATAGCAAATTACTACAAATTTAGCAGCTTTAAGCAACACAAATTTATTACTCTAGATTCCTGTGGGTCAGGATTAGTGGGTTCTCTGCTGAAGGTCTTAGAAAATTGAAATCAAGGTGCCATCTGGGGCTGTGAGCTCACTGAGGTTCAGGGTCTTTCTCCATGTTCACTGGTTTTTGGGGGAATTCAGTTCCTTGAAGTTGTATGGCTAAAGTTCCTACTTCCCTCCTGGTTGTCAACTGGGGGTATCCTTAGGTTCTTGAGGCTGCTGGCCATTTTCTGCCCCATTCATCTCCACAACCTGCCATTGTGTTCCCTTAAGACCAGCAGGAGAGTTTCTCTGGATTCAGATCTCTCTTGACTTTTTTGAATGGCTCACCCAATTAGGTCATGACTACCCATGCTAATGTCCTTCTTGATTAACTCAAAGTCAGCTGATTAGGGACCTTCATTACATCTGCAAAATCCCTTCTTCTTTATAACATCATATGAAATGGGAGAGTAATTCATAATATTCACATGCCCTACTCACATTCAAGAGAATGGGATTATACAACAGGACTTGAGAATTTGGGGGAGTGAGGTACATCTTAGAATTCTGCTTATGACAGACGTTAATAAATTAGCTAGAATGTCAACCATGTTTTGGAGATAACTGTTATCTTCAAATATTATAACTTAAAAATCTTGTTCACATACTTGGTTTGGCTGTTTTTACATTTGCAGACACATCTTTATTTGTCCTTATCCAAATGTAGAGGTTGTATTGGAAATAAAATCACTTTGAAATGTCTTTTACACTCTTGGCCTTTGGATCCTTAAAGCAATAAAGGTTTCCCAGCAGTCCCATCTCTCTTTGATAACTCTGATTTATTGTTTACCAGGATACCCACACTTTCCATTTCAGCATCTGGACAAAGTGTATAGCCCATATCAGACAATTATGAGAACTGCCAGTGATTCCAAATGCAGTTTCCCACTAAGTCTTTTGTATGAGATCATCACCTGTCTTATATTTCATTTTAGAATTATTCTGAAGTCCTAAGGTTGCAAGTTAGCACTATCTGAAAAAACTACCCAGGATTGAATATTATTTTATATATATATAAATTAAAAATTTATATTTTATATATATATATATATATACACACACACACACACACATAGATACATTTACTTAGGTACCTATACATAACATATGTACATCTATGTGTCTATATCTGTATAAATTTATGTCTACATATGGTATGTATATGTAGGTGTGTTGTATAGAATTATTTTTTTAAGAGCAATGTTACAGATAAAATATCACTTGGGTTTTCCTTGATACTTAAGTAGTTTGAAGTCGAAGCAGTATAGAACTTAGAGATTTTAGGAAATTGAACACTTTATACCGTGAAATGACCATTATTTAATTCTGTGAGCATAAATAAAAGGTGATGTACGAACTTTGAACTCTGTTTGCTTGGAAAAAATTGAAGATAATTTTGAAGGAGCTTATTGCTCCTTACATTTGAAGATGATAATGATATAAAGCTCCCTTTTGTAAACCATGTAATACCATCGTGAGCAGTAATTTTGGTAACTGTAGACACTTAAGTAAAGATAAGGGATACAGACACCATTATGCTAAGCATCTTAATTTCTCTCCTTTAGATTTCAATTGAGATACTTTTACTGTTCTGCTGTGTTTTCTTTGTTCATTATGAAAATTAAAATATCTCTTCAACTCTCTTAGTGTTGTCTAGTATAACATAGCAAGAAAATTTATTAAAGAGGGAAATATTTCTGTTTATCTTTGTGACCTTCTATTTCTCCTCGAAGACTGACTGACTGTTCTTTTTAATCTCACTTTATCTATCACTAGTACTCTGATGCAATAGAGAAAACATTTTAAGTATTTCCAAGTATTTTCTTATCAGTTTTAGTAATGTGGAAACTTCTCTTAAGAATTATTCACATGGCAGCAATGCAGGGACCATTCTTTTTAGTAATTCTGATGCATTCATGTGTTTTTATTGTTGATCTTTTAGTTTTTTAATATTCTAAATAAGTTGCCTTGATATTGATGTACCAGTTTTCAGGAGGCAACTGTTTTGGGGAAGTTTTGTGACTTTATGGGTACTTAGTTTTCTTGTTTGCTAAATAATTTAAGAGGTTTTTTTCCCTCAAGGTGTAATTGCTCATGAAAAATATTTTCTGTTTCACATTTTCTACCCTAAGATGAAATATATTTTTGGCTTGCATTAATAACTTGCACCATTTTAACTTTTGGGAATGAATTGATTATATTTATATTCTATTATAATCTAAAAACAGCTTAGCACTCTTAATAGATTTTCCAACATTACAGGAAAAGACAAAGACTAGTAGACCTTGGATAAGAAGATAAAATGAGATGCTAGTGATAAGTATTCTCAGTGATCTCATGACTGTCAGGCCCATCCTACTTTACACCTTCTAATGCAACTTAAGATATCTGAATTGTATTCATTGTGCCAAAAGAGAAAATACTTATGCACTGTAAATTAGTGTTACATACCAAAATTTTAATTTTATATAATTTCCCACAATTATGTATAGCAAATATTTGTGAAGTTTAGTTTGTTGATACCTCATTATGCCTTCCAAAGAAAAATGTTTCCATAGAAAGATTAATAAATGATAAAAATCACACTTAGAACTGTCCATTATACTTCCAGAAGCATCCTATCTTTTTCATCACCCAGTCTCTGTGAATTTAATTCTTTGAAATAACCACGACAAAATATAGTCTTATAAAATTGCATTATAATTACAATGCTGTGTTTGAGAACTTAACATCCCCTCTGATGGTAAATGTTTGACCTAATTACAAACTTATAACAAAGAATTCTAACTGCTTGTCATCTCATGTTAAGACCTTTTATAGTATTAAATGGACCAATAGGGATCTCTGAGGTTTTTTTGTTGTTGCTTTGTTTTTACTAATTGGATATATGAAGGATAAGGCATACCAAGAAACTATTATTTTTAAGTATGAAATGTGCCAAACAGACATTTATTATTTCTGTTTTATTTGAAACTAAGACTGTAGACCCACAGATTATATTTTAGAAGTGGTGGAGACGTCATAGATCATCTCCAAACTCTGTTTATAATAGAGTGAGGAAGCTGAGACCCATCAAGGTTAAATGGCTTGTTCAAGGTCACACAACCAGTTACTGTCAAACCTTATAATCAGGTCTATTATTATAAGATGGATATGGATTGTGTTAGTGGCACATTTAAACATTTGACAACACTCCAAGCAGGAAATGCTTCCTTATATTTAACATAAATCACTTACTTCCTCTTACTAGATACTTGGAAGAAATGGAGAGCAGCTGGTGCCTGTAATTCTAGTTCTCTTATGACTTCATTATTTCTCATCATTTAATTAACATTTTTCCTAATCCTCTTCAAAAACACCTTGCACACCAGGATTGCATTTTTTTGTTTGTTTGTTTTTTATTTTTTTAACCACAGCAGTACATTTCTAAAGGATGCTTAGTGTATGATTCCCTGGGTTGGCTACACAATTGCAAGTCCCTTTGTTAAAAATTAAAAATTTTTAAGATGGCAGTAACAGAGCTTTAAACCCCAAGTGCCAGACCTGCATAACACAGGTTTCCTGCCCATGAAGCTGACCCTGATAGTTCCAGATATTTTGCCTGAAATTTTCTTTTTTAAAGATTAACATGTCAAACTTTATGCTTAAATGTTTTGATATGCCACAGAGAATAGTAATTTTTTTGTAAAATAAGATCATTTTCTATCTTTCTCTGTTGATGAGGTTATGCTGGGTAATATCACTGAAGCTCTTCCTGAGATTTCTTGAGGAAGAATATTAGAATTATATAACTCAGAAATAAGCAGTGTATATTCTACTTGGAGTTGTAATGTCTAGAATGCAGGAACCAAGTTACTCAATGGAGTTCAAAAATGATACTTAGATATTCACTGTCCACTATATAATTGGATTTGGTCTTGGTCATTTAATTTGTAGTGGGATGTTTGGAGATGAATAATTTTAAAAAGAGTGTGTCTATTAAGATGTGACTATTTTCCCAAAATCTTTGAAAGGAGACAGCTTGGATCAGCTATAGCCCTTTTTATATTAATATAAATCACTTAGGTGGTGACGCAGATGGGTTTTACCAGATATGCTGAATTTCACCTAAGTGAAATGATGGTAATCTTCTTACACATAAGTCAGAAATAATATAATCTGATGTTTGTATATACATACTTTTATATGTAAATTGATTAGCTTTTTGTCACATCTGATTTTTCTGTTTGAATAATATCCAGTATTTATTTGAATAATTTTGATAAAAGTGGAAAAGTTACTTTTAAAGTAAATAGTATTTGAAGATTTGCATAGGGAAAAGACTAGCCTACTTAAAAAAAAAAAAGACTAAACAAAATTATGTCCAAGTGATCAGGTATATCTGGGTGTTTATTTTTGCCTGCCCATAAATTTTCAGATACTTTATTTTCAACTATAAAAAAGTTGCAATTCTATTTCATAGCATAAATATTGTAAAAGCGCCCTGTCACATATTCTTTCATTTTCTTATAAATATTTATATTGATACCAACTTTTAGATGGATTGGTTACATTATTTATTGCTATATTAAAAACTTACTATATAACAAATATATGTACATTTTTACTTTTTACACGTTGGCATTAGATTTTTTTTTTTTTAATCAGAGCTAAACATTTATATAGGGCTGCCTTTTTTCAAGGGAAACAGGATTTTCAAACAATAATGCTCTTTGGCTAGATAATTAACTTTTAAAAAGATATGTGTTTATTAGAATAAATTTTAAGAGAAGATTGTCCTTTCTTTTTTTAAATTCTTTGGCTTTATGGAAGTTCCTGCTTTGTAGTGCTAATATACATTTTACCCATAGTAAAAAGAATTCGAATTTTCATTGCCTTTTTGCTGTTCATCCTCTTTTAAGAGATAGCCAACAGTGCCACCATCAGAACAGACAGGCTTTTCTCATTTTAAGTGTTGGTTTTCTCAAAAAACAAAAAAAAACAAACCCCCAAAACCCTATACTTAAGGAATGGTTTAAAAACCACATATGTTTAAACACACACATTAAAAATAATGAGAGATACTAATGGCATAATGAAACTGCCTTTATTTTGTGAAAAAGTCAAATTCATGTCATTCTTTAAAGGCCTATAACGAATTTGGATACTTAACTCTTAGACCAGGTCATTCTGAGTAGTAGTATATTGAATTCAGCTTCTTGTCATCAGGTTTAACTTGTAAGTTACAGTCTCAAAGAATACAAAAACATGAAAATAATCAGATTATCTTGGTCCGGTAACGTCTTCCCTATTGTGCAATTTGGGGGCAATTTTTAAATTATGCCTTTTCTTTTAGATTTGATTTCTTTTTTATAATGGTATTTAAAAAGTAAACTGCCAACTACATTATAATTATGATGATTTCAAAATCCGTATTAAAGCATAAAAATTTGTTTTCATGGTCTGATACACACATGATATGTTATATTTATTTTTGAATGAAAAGAAACCTGGTCCCCATCTTCCTGTTGACATCAAACAGTCCTCTGATATGCTAATCCAGCATCAGGGAGAGCACATATACAGGGTTTATTTGGACTCATTCCAAGTCTGAAAGAAAATTATGTGTAAAGAACTGATTTTGTAGCATTGCCCCCTTTGAATGAAAACTGATGTTGACACAGTCTGCAATTAAAAAGACTTAGTATTGAAACATGATATGGGAGGTTTCTAACATTTTAGTAAGACCCTGATTTGCTTTTTAATTACCTGGTCATCTAATTGTTATTTATTCTTTGGGATGTAATGTTACTGATATAATAACTATTGAAATTGCTAATAAATTTATTTCTGTAATATGTGTTATAAGAAAGATTAAACTAAGATTATTAGCTTTTCCTTAAAGATTTATCTTTTGGTACATACCTTGAGTACATATGAGACAGTAGATATAATTTTTTGCTAAGTATGAAGTAAGGATATCAGCAGATTTCCTTGTACTGTTTTTCCATTCAGCCTGCCCTCAGCTGGTCACAGGTGTAAAAACTGAAAGGTAGCTGTTTTAGAATTTTCTCAAGTATAGTTCCTCCATATTCAATAACAAAAAATCAATTTAGTTGGACTTCTCAAAATGTCTTTGGATAAATTGCATTAAAGTACATATTTAAATTTTAATACCTATATATATTTTAAAACAGTTAAAATTATTAGAAAATTTTATGGAAACCTATTACAATGCAATATTCATGTTGGTCATTTATAGGTATTGTTAAATGGGAAACCAGTTGCATTTTGTTTTTGAAAAATAATTTTTATGTGTTGAATCTTTGTAAGTCTTATGAAGCTAAGAACTTTGTCCTTGAAGTAGTATATTATTAGTATAGTCTTCTAGCAGATTTATTGTAGAAAAAATGAGCATAAATAAGTACCTCTGGTTTTACAATTATTGTAGTATTTGCCCTCTTATGTGCCAGGACCCCTCTCCTAAGTAGCCTATTGGTGCTGTCAGCTTTTTGCCTGGGCATTCCTGTAAGGTTTTTCTTCCATGGAGTTTAGTTTCATTCATTCAAAGCAAAGTACAAGTTTGACTTGCATTGTGCAGTAGAAATATTCATGAAAACTTTCTACATAAATTCCTTTTATTTGTTTAATTTTTAATAAATTATGATATTTCAAATCACCAGGGTGGTTCAATATTTAAAAGGAATTCTGTAGTGAAACCTTCTGCCAGGAGAAGAATTGTCTTTTAATGAACATAATTACCTACTGGTATCTAGACTTTTTTATTCTGGCTCTTCTTAAAATCAAATTTGACATCTTCCTTTTAAGACAAGAAATTGTTTTATATAGATGTTAATTTTTTGAAATAGTGGGACATCACAAAAAGGTACTGTTACACAGTTTCCGCTAACCTTAGTTATAATAGGAAAAAAACTTAAGCCATTATGTCAGATAAAATTATTGGAATAATTTCAGTATAAAGATCATATGCTTTTTAGTTGATAATGGTAGATAAAATTAGCTGTTTTTCTGACTTACGGATTTTTGCTTACCAGAATCCAGTCTTGAGAAATTTTAGTTTTTATAGTTCTTATTTTTAATTTTCAAAAAGCATTTTAAGAAGCAAAAGAGGCTAATTCCTGAAAGAACTGTTTGGAAGTATTTTGTTCAGCTTTGCAGTGCATTGGAACACATGCATTCTCGAAGAGTCATGCATAGAGGTAAGATAAAATCATTAAGTACTTTTAATCTTGTTTTAAATGATGTAAGTTCTTCAAAGTAAATGTCTTCAAGTCAGTACATAATACCATACTTTTTCAGGTAATTATTTTCAAATTATAATTATGCTAGAATGTTAAACCTTTAAATAAAGCACTACTAGGTTTTAAATAAGAATGTAAATTAATCTGCTTGACTCTTTTGAGCATCTTACTAACCAGTAAGATGCTGTTGGTAAAGATAAGACAGCAATCAAATATATATAAGGAAGAGTTTTTTGTTTCTTCAAATAAACAATGTATATCATAACCACTTAGATTTTTAATATTCAGTATTAGCTCAGCATTCTTTTCATTCAAGTGGTTGAGCAGAGTGTGTTAACATTACATCAATAAGTAATTGATCCGCTGATACTGAAGTGTGAAAAATTTTAATACAATTCATTTATGCAATTAAGATTTTTAAAGCCATCTAAGTAAATAAATATGTGCCTTATAGTGTTGTCGTGGTTTTATATTTTATGCAAATCTACCAGTAAGTTAATTTTTATTAAGATATTTTATTTAAAATTGATATCAAAAGGACACGTGTATTTTGTGCTTTGAATTTCACAGGTTTTTTGAAAATGGAAAACAAAATGCATTTGAAATAGAAATTAATAATCATGTTCATCATGCTACATTGATGATTAGCTGTCTAGCAGAGAATCGAGAACTCCTAGGTATTAGGATATATCAGAATTATTCAAAATAAACTAATTGGTTCATAAATCAAACTTTCATGATTAAAATAAATTTTAAATTCTGTCACGAAAAGTAGTTGTTAATTCCTTTAAAATTTCTAAAATGTCTATCATCTTTTACCTGATCCCTTCATTTATTCACAGATATAAAACCAGCTAATGTGTTCATTACAGCCACTGGGGTGGTAAAACTTGGAGATCTTGGGCTTGGCCGGTTTTTCAGCTCAAAAACCACAGCTGCACATTCTTTAGGTAAGAGACACAATATAATTTCATTCAGTTACTTTGTGTATGTGTGATTAAAAGATAAGAGGTATACCAATTACATGCCAGCTCTTACATTCTTAATAAAACTATTTTAAAAATCACCAGGTCCTGAACAGATGCCTGCAACTCTCTATTAGGTATAAGGTTTCCTCTAATATGACAGTTGGATACTTCTGTTAACTTGACCTCAGGCAGACACTGAGTTAAAAAAAAAAATGCTGATAAGTCTGGTTTAACTATTGCCATAGAAAAGTCCTTTTATTGTACATTTAATAATAGATAATATGGTGATTAAGCTGTCTCTTGGAAGAAGACTTCACCTGACCATTTAAAAATACAATAGTAGTTTGTAAATTTTTATTTATTAAAATAAAGTATATGGCTGTGAGTGTTATTGTTTAGAATTAATAGAAATTACTAAAGGAGATCATTTTTAAATTGAGTAACTTAAAAGGAGTGATAGGGCTTATCTTAAAACTCCTCAAATTATATATTCTCCTTGTAAATACAGGACTTAGATCAAATGGTGACAATCAGAATTAAGTAAAAGTTATGTTAAAAATAAGTTTGCTTAAATTTAATGGTGCTCATCTTTGGTGTCATAATTTCATAGAAAGCCTTTTTTTTAATAAAATTGTTTTGAGATATGAAATAAAAACCTTTTAAATGGCCTGATGAGGAACAAATGAGTTATACTAAATAACAAAATAGTGAAATGAGCATCTGAATTAGTTGACTAGAGATTTTAAGTTTTTCTGGCTTTGTTACCTAAGGTTCCGTGTGGCCTTGAACCTGTCATCGAATTTTTCTATATTTCTAAAACAGTACCTAAAACGTAAGTAGGTACTCAATTAATATTTGCTGAATTACAAAATATTGTATCCTAATTTCAAGAGTGTTAGAAAGATAATGCTTTGCATTTTTAACAGGATTTCAATTTTGTCAAATATTTTGAGAAAATGAAATTTCACAGTGATGCTGAATAACATAGTTTTTTTCTCCTTTCACTTCACATTTATTTTCATAGAGCGTTATAATTTTTCCTGAATAAAGAAATTTGACATGAAATTCCATAAGAAATGGATAAGTTTGCCCAGCACTTTAATAAAGTTTTATTGGGGAAGTTACAGTACATGCAATACAAAGAGTGGAGGAGTTCTATAGAGAAAACCTTGGACTGTTCCAAGCCAGGGCCATTTATCACTAGTAGATAGCATGTTTTCACTTTATATTACTCATCTGAATAGAAGAATGTCATAAAAGCATTCTGTCACTAGTTTAGTTAGAAATGCCAGGCTACAATTACACACACACACCTGCACATGCCCCTGCTCATGCACACACGTGTGTTGTTTACATGCTGCTTTGCAGACTGTCTCTGAGCCTGCTGTAGTTATCCAGTCTGAAGGATCCAGCATTATTATATGAAACCCACTTCTTAACCATTTTGTTTGGTTTACCTGATACTGCCTCTTGTAAAAGTTCTAAACAGAATTTAAGAACATATATGCATCTCCAAATTGAGGTGATATGCTAGTAGAAATTATAGAGTAAAATTAATTTGAATAGATTTAATAATTCATTATGAATTTCTCATACCAAGTTTTATCAAAATCAACTTACCTAGGGTCATGTAATTATATATATGTAATATATATACATTATGTATATTTATATAATATATATTGTTTTATATATATAATGTGTGTATATATACACATTATAAATAAACATATGCTCATGCCCATAATTACTAAGCATTCTAAGACATACCTGAAATACAGCAGTGAAAAAATAGAAATGAGACTGTTTTCTTAACAGATGAATCATAGAATATAATTTTTTCACAAGTATTTTTTGTTTTACATATTATTTTGAGAAAAAATATATCCTTAAAATAAGAAAATTTCCTTTATCCCTTGTCTTCTCTGTGAACTGAAGATTTTGATTGTTTAAAACTAAAGTTCACTAAGCATAGTGCATTGAATACAAATAATTAAAATTTGGACTCCAGTCTACTAAGGCTCTTTGGACTCCATAAAAATCCTACTTAGAAGAATCAGGAAAAATTCTCTGCTAACATACAATATGTATAAAATAGCAAGGATAGAAATCCTGACAGACATTCTTGATGACAAATTGACCCTAATTTTTACTTTTGGAAAAGTATTACTCTGCTATGTTGTCATATATTTTTAAGAGCAAATTTAAGTTTTCTTCTCAGAGTTGGCACTGAAAAGTAATTGAAAACGTGGTGACCTATGCAAATTTATTTTGCTTATAGAAAACACAGTAGAACTATAGATTTTATTGTATGTTGATTCATTTTTTAATTTTACTGAGGATACAATCTATAGGTCATGATTCATCCATAGAGCAGGTATAAATTTCAGTGAAACTATAAATAAATGAAATCTCTATGTAGTTCATAAAGAAAAATCTGAGTAAGTTTACTTTAAACAAAGTTTGTACTGGAGCCAAATTTCTTTTAACTTTGGAAAGGAGGTATTTTCAGGAATTTAATTTTAAAATGCAAAGATATATAGGATTTTAAAAACATCTTATGCATTTATATTTTCAAAATACATTTTTGTTGAAAAATCAAGATACGATTTTAACTCATTTTAATTCATTAATAGGATCGTGCACTTCCAAAACTATTTTGTATTTAACAGTCCTTAAGAGATTGGCAAGTCTTTGCATTTTCAATTGTCTATTCATTTTGTGTCTCTTATTTGTATCTTTTCATTCCATAATAAATCAACATACAATAAAACCTGTAGTCTGTCTTCTGTAGCAAATAAAGTTGTATAGGTGGCCACATTTCCAATTAGTTTTCAGAACCAATTCTTAAAAGTATGATGACATAGCATAGTAGTAATTCCTTTAATATAAGGATTGAAAATTACAAATACTAAATCTGATATTGCTGCATGTTCAAACTATGTTCAGATCTTCAAAACAGAAAAATATCCTAACAGGTCTTCACTTGTTTTTCTGCTTCCTCCCTGCTACCACCACATACATTGTCTCAAAATATCTCTACTTTCCGTTCCCTCATCCTTACTCAACAATTACTTCACATTTGGACTAAGAGATTACACTCTTTTGTTTCTGATATTTTTCTTCATAATCCATTCTGTGTGTTTCCACTAGAGTTATCTTCCTCAAAGACACTATCTGATTGTGTTACTTTCCTCAAAATCCTCCTTGGTTCCTTGTTGCCTGAAGAATGTCATGCAAGGTCCTTGGCCTGGCATTCAGCGCCCTTTACAGTTTGGTGTCCTCTAGCTTCCCACTCTGATTATTGACTGACTGTATCTCCCCAGTTCATGATGTGCCAGCCATGTTTTTCCTCTTGCTTTCTTGTGAGCATGAGAAAAAGCATGATGCTTTGGGAAGAATTTGGGATTTGCATGCTCTGTAGGACCTTTATCAAGCCATGTATTAACTTTTCTAAAACCCAGTGTCTGGATTTATAAAACTAGAAATGCAGGTAATAACCATCCTATGTTGTCCCTTAACTCCTAAACAGTCCCTGACCAAATAATATAATGAATGCAAGTGTTTTCTTAACACTGTAATGAACTGTATAAATGTTCAATTGCTTGTGGTGGTGGTGAAGTGATGAAGATGCAGAGAAAGAAAGGGGGAAGTGGAAAAGGAGTTCTCCAGGTACAATTTATTTATTCTGCCTGAACTGATTGATTCAAAAAATAGTTTTCATACCTGTTATATGCAGGTGCTATTCTAGAGACAAGGAATGTAGCCTGAGCAAGACAAGTCCATGTCCTCAGGGAGCTTACCTTATGGTGGGAGGAAATAGATAATAAAGCAAACAAAAAACTAGGATGAATTATTAGTGATATGACAGAAAATGGCCAGTTGGGGAACTAATTTGGAGAGAGTGAGGTGGGGCAAGTCCCTTCTGAGAAGGTGATATTTAAACTGAGATGTAAAGGATATAAAAGAGGCAGCTATGAAATAATGTCCCAGGTAGACTGAAGAGCATTTCATACAAAAGGTGGATACAGGATAAGCTCTGTCTGCTGGAACTGAGTGAAGAAAAGACAGGGCTGGATGTAGGAGCAATTCACATTTTATTCTAAGTGCAGTGGCAAGCTTTCCCAAGGTTAAATATAATGAGAGCGATGTGATATGGGTTGAAGACAGCAGCCACGAGCCTCCTTCGTTCTTCTTTGGGCTAAGCATGCCCAGGGTAGTCTCCTATCTTCAGGGTCTTCTGTGTCCTGCGAGTCTGCATCTTTTCCTCTCAGAGTACCCTTAGTATGTGCTACCCAGAACTGAGCAGAGTACACCACATTGGAACTCATTAGCCCATAGAGCAGAATGTTTACACTGCCTGTGGTCTGTGATCTAAACGGTTGTTTGGTTTTTTTTGGTCTCCTTATCCTCCTCCCACCTTCACTTTTGTTTTTACACGAAGTTATGTTAGGGAAGATTTTCAATTGTTGTTTTTGTATTAATTTGTATGGAGGTGTGGCTAGGGAGACTAATTGTAGGATATTTTGACATAAGTGTAGGACACTTATGAATTTTGCCTTATTATTTGTCAATCTTATAAAAATATATGTTAAGAAACTTATCTATATCTACATCTTTAAAATTTATGATGAGGGCACAACTTTCTTAAGCTTTCTAATAGTATAGGTCAGTGGCTTTCAAATTTCTTGACAATGATGGAACTGCATTACATTCTGATATTGTCTGTTCTATGTTATTTCACTAGAAATCACACTGGTTACAGCCCACTAAATTGATTTCACAACTCGTTAATGGGTTGTATGACCCACAATTTGGAAAACAGTGGTCTAGGTCTGCAGCGCCTTCATGCTGTTTCATTTACTTAAAGGCTAATTCCCATTTTCTACCTACTTTTGGACATTCTCCAGACTTGTTATCTGGCCTGTTGAATTGGTCAATCATAAATTACTCATTTACACAGCTTCTTGTGCTTCTGGAGGGGTATAATAACATTTATCATAGTTCTTTACAGTTTGCAAATCATTCAACTCTCTAAAATCCTTACACATACATGTGAGCTATGCACATGAGCTGTTCGTATTCTAAAGTTGAGAAAACGAAGCAGAGAAAGGTAAACAGCTAGAAGATAGTGAATAGGTCTGTGGCTTCCTAGTCTGGGTTTACTCTAGCATGAAGTCTGTTTTTTCATTATGTCAGTTCCTTGTGACATTTTTTCTTTCTTTATACTGTTTTCTGATTTGTTGTTATTAGATCTAGAAATACTATATTCGGCTTTGTTACATTGCTTAGGAGCCTACATATGAAGACATAGTTTGCTCTCTCTCCTAGAATTGACTACTCTTGCTGCTCCAAGATTCAGAAGTAAACAGGAAATAGGCCGCTAGGATATCAAAATCTGTCTTCATGGCCATCTGTCCACCCTTAACTTTAGCTGATATTTCTAAAGAAGTGGCTATTTTATACTGAAAGCTAAAATTTCACCAAAACTTGTGAAATTGGAACACGGCAATCAAGTAATAAATTTTCTCGTATCGTAAGAGGCAAAATGTACTTTTGGTATATTTCTGTTTCTTAAGTTACTCTGAGGTCTCCTTTCAGCAAATAAAAACATTCTGAACCAGAGGCAGCTTACTAAGAGATAAGTATCTTAATCATTGAATATTTAAACATATAAACAGAGTACCAGAACAATTTTATATATTCCAAATATATACTATTTCTAGGCAAATCATATCAAACTTCCCTTATTTCCTATAATAGTGACCCAGGAGAATCCTCTGTTGCTACTAAATATTAACAATAACAGTAATGGCAATGAATACGAGTACTGTATAGCATTTAAAAATTTCTGAGCATTTTAAAGCACGTTTTCTCCTCTGTTCCTCAGTGTTGTGGGTACAGTAAGTTACAGATGAGAAAACTGAGATCACTCTATTTAAAACTGAACCTGACTGCCCCCGCTTCACTCCCACTCCACCCCTAGAACTCCTAAACCTTACCCTATTTTATTTTTTCTTTTTTCCTTAGGACTTAGTATCTTCTGACATGCCGTGTAATTTACTTATTATGCTTTGTATGTATTGTCTCTCCCAGCGAAATGTAAGTTTTATGAGGACAGAGATCTTTGTGTATTTGGTTCCCTCATGTATCCTAGATACCTAGAAGAGGGGATTGCTCGTAATAGATACTCAATAAATATTGATTAAATGAATGAAGCTTAGAGACAGACTACATACATAAAGGGTGAATTTGACTAAGTGTATCAGTAAGTATAGGTTAGATTATGCTGCAAGAAGAAACAATACAAAAAAGCCTCAATTGCTTAGCAATGAAGTATGTTCTAATCTTTTGTCACCCACAGTGAGTTGTAGACGCTTGTTGGTCTTTAAGGTAGCTGACGTCCCTTCATGTGGTGACTTGGCATTCCAGGCAGCTTCAGTCTTGTGTTATATTCATATCAACATACGTTTTTGTGATCCCATGAGGGGAAGAGAGCATGGAGAATCACTTACTGGCTCTTAATTAAGCCCTTCTGCTTGAATGTAAAAGATTACTTCCATTCACATTTCATTGGCCAAAACAGATCTCATGGCAATGAGTATCTCAAAGGGACAGGGAAATGTAATTCTCCTATTTGTTCAGGAAGAGGAGAATCAGAAATAATGAATATGAGTATTGTTCATGGCTTTGAGATAGAGGAAAAATACCTAATTTCAGTTTTTTTAAAAATACTGCTTGTATCCTTTTTCTACTTGTTTATTTTTGTGACATATTTGTAGCTATTGCAACCAAAGGGTAATTAACTCTCTTAATGGGAATGGGTGGTAGTGGTGAATGAAGAGTGAGCCGTTAGGAAATTTACATCTTTCTAAATTGGAAAATTCTAAGCAGAGAGATTATCTTTAAATCCAGAAAGATTCATGAGGTTCACTGGAGTATTGATCCCTGGTGACTTTTCTCTGGATCAATAAATCTGCAGTTATCCCTGCTGGACTTGCTTTTGATAAGAGCTTATTTTGGTCAATTTAAAACATTTATAATAAAAAATAGTTACTTATCAAGCTTCAAATACTCATATGGACTAAGTGCCATGTAGCACATTAACTGATTTCTATTCTACATCTCTTTGAGATAGGTATGATTATCAAGTTTAGATTTCTGTCAGTGACCAAGCCAGAGTTCATTTAAATTACAAAGGACCATAATTTAAACCTGTATACATTGCCTTATTAACCATATTATTCTTCTTTTGGCAAATGTATTGGCTTCTCCTGCTCCGCCACCCCTGACAAAAAAGAACACCATCCCAAAATGATCCAGTGAGCTTTTAGAGGTCACACTTTTTTTTTTTTTTTGAACCATATGCATTTTTCTCTTACCCCCTCGGTCCTTATGTAATTCTTGGTGTGAGGTAGGTCCATACCACATAGAATTGAGTGTTTCATTCTCCCACTCAATGCATGAATCATTAACACGTTTGTATTTATTTTCAATTGCTGCCCTAACACATTACCAAAAACTTAGTGGCTTAAAACAACAGAAACGTATTATTTTTCTGTTCTGTAGGTCAGAAGTCCAATATGACTCTAACCAGGCTAACATCAAGGTATCTGTAGGATTGCAGGACTTCTGGAGGTTCAGTCCATTTCTTGTCTATTCAGATTATGGCAGAATTCAGTTTTTTGGTTTTGTAGGACTGACGTTCTTGTTTCCTCACTGGCTGTGAGCTGAGGGCCATTCCCAGCTTCTAGAGGCTGCCCTCATTCCTTGGCTCCTGGCTTCCTTCCTCCCTTTTAAAAGTTAGCAGTGGTGGAGAGTCCCTCTCACACTTTGAATCTCCCCTGCCCCTTCTGTTGCATCTCTTACTGATAATCTAGGGTAATCTTCCTATTATGAAGTCCTCAACCTTTATGGCTGCAAAGTCTCTTGCCACTACCGTAACATAAACAGGTATAGCACCAAGAGGCGAAGATCATGGAGGCAAAATTTCTGCCTGTAACGCCATTTTAATAGACTAATTTAATAGACATTTTAATGGACGCGACAGCTAGGGAGACATTCATATCCTCCTCTAAAGCATAATTAGGTGAAATTGTTTAAAAGCTAGAGAGGTTCTAGGCTGGGTGCGGTGGCTCACACCTGTAATCCCGGCACTTTGGGAGGCCGAAGCGGGTGGATCACGAGGTCAGGAGATTGAGACCATCCTGGCTAACACGGTGAAACCCCATCTCTACTAAAAATACAAAAAAATAGCTGAGTGTGGATCACGCCACTGCACTCCAGCCTGGGCAACAGAGCAAGACTCTGTCTCAATACAAAAACAAAAACAAACAAAAAAAAGCTAGAGAGGTTCTGTGGAAGAGGTTCCAAAATTAGAGGAAGTTTACATTTACTGAAAATAAATATTTCTTTTTTGAAGAGATATTTTGACTTTAGATTTTCACATTTTTATTATAGGTCTTTATAGGTACTTTATTGCATTGTAATTTACATTTACTTTTCAAGGGAGAAAATGCCACACTTGGCTTAATAAAAATTTATAAACAAATCATTTTCTTTCATTGTTAGCTTACTGCATGTTTGTGTGTGAGTTTACTTGTATGTGCTTGTTGTACATCCTAAAAATGAGACAGATTTTTGCTTTAAAAAAAAAAAAGCTAACTAAAACTCTCTGATATTGATCCTTGTGCTAAACAAATATTTGAAACCTCTTGGGAGGAAATTATGTTCTTGTTTTTGTTTTTGTTATAGGATTGCTTGAACTGCTGTTTACCTTTCTCAGTGAGACAAATGGTTCTTTGATTTTGTAATATTGCCAGCAGAGTAAATGCATGGCCATCATTCAAGCTCGATATCAGAATTTTCACACTAGAGTCTCTTGAGTGTACAATTCGTGTTGCCCACACTATTTCCAAGTGTGATATATCCTCTGATTTCAACTTAGAAAATTAGTGTTCTTGAACCAGGCATTAAAACAGTTTCATTTTTGGTGCCAGGTGCCACCTGTGGTCACATACTTGTTTTTCCCACACCTTTCCTAGCACCTCTAGATAGATCTTTGGCTTATTCCCCTTCGTTGTTCAGGGTGGTTGAGAGCTGTAAAGGCAGCATATGTTCAGTCAGTACTATAGGCTGCTTTCACTGATTTATTTTTAACTTTCAATCCCTTCTTAAGTAATTGCTCTGGTAAGGAGCTATTATCTAATTTTAAACGGTGTACCTTTAACCTCCCAGCCGCCATAACAGGTATTTATTTAAATCAGCGTAGCTGCAGAGTAGCATAATTTTCACATGTGGCCCATTGAACCTGGACCCTTATTCCTGGTTTTTCTTATGTACATGCTGTGACTTTTAGAAGATTTCTCTGCTTCTTAATTTGGAAAGATACAGATATTTTTTTCAGTTGTATTTCACAGTGGTCAGTTATAATGAAATAACCATCTGCTTAAATGCAAGAGACAAGAACTACTTAGGTTTGAATTCCAGGTCTACAGCTTACCAGTTTTATGATCTTTGGCAAGTTACCTGACCAACTTCCCTATGCCTTCTCTCTAAAGCAGTATAATAATTGAAACATCTTATAAAACTACCTTATAATAGTCCCCGTTTTCACTGGACTGTGAGCCCCACAAGATCAAGGATTTGTCCTGTTTACTTCTGTCACCACAGGACCTAGAATTGTGTATGCCATGCAACAGGGCATGGTAAACTTTTGTTAAAATTCAGCAAGATAATACATAGGATGCATTGAACACAGGGCCTGGAGCACAGCAACAATAACAATAAAATATGCTTAGGTGTTTTTCCTCAGCATTATTAAAGCTCTTAAATGTTATCGGTTGCACTTCAAAGATGACAAATTTTATTTTATAAATGTCTTTTGCAGAAGAAATATTGATCTCCTACTCAGCCATTCTATATTGACCTCAGTTAATACTACTAACAATGAAATAAATTTGGCCTCTCTCCATTCTGTCTGCCAACATAATTTCTGGGCTGACTCATGAGTATGAAGGAAAGAATGGAAATTAAGTCCTATTCCCTGAAGTTGTGTGTGTGTGTGTGTGTGTGTGTGTGTGTGTGTGTTTATATCGAACTGAGGTGTAAGATGACTTGTCTCCTTTTAATTTTCCCAGCAAGGAATATTCAAAGCTTTCTTTTCTGTAGTTTGCTCTGATTCTAGGAGAAAGAAACTATATTTCTAAACTCAGTTCGTTTGTTTGTACTCTCCGACTTAAAACACTCTCACTCAGCTGTCCTAAGTAATAGTTTAAAAAGGACAATTTTTTTTTCCATTTTGTTTTCCAGATGGATTTTTGTAGAGTTTCTGTAAGTGGTACAGAATTTTAAAGCAAAAGGGACCTCAGAGATCAGCTCATCTTTCTCATTTTATCTTACAGATGAGGGAAGGAAATAAAAAGAGAAGTTAAATGGTCCTAACTAGTTAGTGGCAAATGTAAGATGTGAAAGAGATTTATCTTTCACTGGTTTTGTGCTGCCTCCCTTGTTTAAAAAACACACAAAAAAGCAATCCAAAGCTAACTGCATGTGAGGATGCTTCAGTCGTTGTTTTCTTTTTTCATTCAAATTTTTGCAGAGATTACAGTGCTAAATTGTTAGCTAAACTATTCTGTATATAACCTGCTCTGATGAAAATTATCAATTTAGTGATATCTTCCATAATAGCAACATGTTAGCAGAACTTGTTGGTTCACTTAAACATATTGCAGAACTTCTAAATATCAGTCTTCATTTTATTCAGGATAAAGATTAGAATATATTTATTGTTTATGGAGTATATACCATATAAAACTTTTCTCATATAGCTAGAATAAGTCAATGTAATGAAAGGGATTTTTACATATGGATGACTGTCTTAGTATATTTTAATGTAATATTCATATAGAATAAAGAAAGGTCAGGTAAGATTTTTAGTTGTTACCAGTTTTCCTCTAATGTCAGCCTCTGTTTTTTATAATGTTATCATCCATTTCCTACTTTTATTCATGTCCGAAGGTTAAAGTGGCATAAGTATCTGCTATTGCAAAATGTACTTTCATTTTACCTACAATCATAAATTCTTGAAAGATAAGTGGAATTACATGTGCTGTAGTCTTCAAGCTTCTCAATACATAGGACAGTAATTCGCATGATCATTTTAATGTCTAATCATATCACTCCATAACTCTCTTTTCTTGTACAGCTGTTAAAAGAAGTCACAACATTCTTGAGGCAACAGTAATCGTAGACACAGCTGTCATGAATCTCTGAAAAAGGTTTTTGGAAATAATTATATCTTCATTAATTTTGAAATGTTGAAAACATATCACTGCATTTAAATGTACTGCAAATTTTCCTGAGCACTTAAACTTTTAGGCCTCTCTGCTAGATAGAGAGAGGTAAGGACTAATCAGTTTACGTGATGGGGCTGAACCTCTTTGCTCAGTGTCAGTCAGCGTGAGTCCTTGTCCAGAACGGAGGGGCATATGAAGAAGCGTGTCAGGAGACAGTAGACCTCCCTCTTAGGCCTGTGTTCCCTAGTGAATTATGAATTTATCCTATTAATAATTATAGTGCAGAATACAAAGTTACTCATCTTATATAATGACTGTTGGAAATTTGTTGATCAAAGAGGTGAGTAGCATCCTTAGCTTTACATTTTAATATATACTAACGAATATATGTAGTTTAAATATTGAAATAAAACATGCTTATTTAATATAAAGAGGCTTGTTATTTATATTAAGAATCAGTATCTAAATTTAAAGTATCAGTGTTAACTGAGTGTGTAACTTTTTGCAGTGACCTCCAGCAGCTCACTGAAAAAGGATTTTTGTACATTAACATTTTTTACATTTTAAGTTTAGCTTAGTAGAATTCCTAATCATTCTTTTCCTCTGCTCCCTTCACTTGGGTCGTCCTTGAGTTCAGTTTGTGTTGCAGTTAAGGTGTTATGCTGGGGCTAATCTCTGTAAAATGCTAGCATTTGTTCTTCTTTTTCCTTATCATCAATCTTTCACACTCATATCAAACCCCTAATGTACAGCAGGTTTCCCAGAGCTACTGGTTAAAATTACCTTTGCTTTTGGTAAACTCTGAACCTTCAAGCCTCAGTGTTTTCAGTTGCCCCCCTGTGGATTCTGTGAAGCCTCTCTCTGCACATTCCTCACTGCCAGTCACTTGCTTTATGTCCTGAAACCAGGAGCAGAGCCTGTTTATTATTCCAACTGTACCTACCATCCTTCCTTAAATGGAGAGAATGTGTGAATATTTCCAATAATTGGTGTCACTTATGCAAACTACAGGTGAAAGTAGTTAGAACTCCCAAAGCTAGATAGCTTGTGTTTATTTTACACAGTAATAATACAGATTCTTTAAACCTAGCTGTTTTCCAAAGTTCTTTGCTTTTCTGACACTATAGAAATTGGCGTATTTACCTGTTTGTCTTCAAAGTAAATGCTACAATTAAATAATTTATGTCTTAAAGTTTGTCTCATTAATTTTTGTATATTAATAGTTCGTATTTTATTTAAGTTTCTTATCCTTCTGTTTGCATACTTTTTTTTTTAACGTTTCTTCATCACTTTCATAAATACTTTTCTTTCATCCAGTCTGACTAGGGCTATCCATGATTAGTAAAAACGGATTCCGATACAGGTAGGATATCATGGGTCATGGTACATGATGTTTTCACCTTTAGCTTAGTATAGTTTCCACACATAACTATTAGGTTATAACTTTATTCTTTTGGCAAACTGACTCCTGCCTTTGAGTATAGTGCTTTGATTATTGGTGTGAATCTTTTTGTTGCTTCTGACTAAAGACCCCTATTCAGTCTTGTTAGTCTTATTTAAGATTTATAGTAAACACCTGGGGAGGTCTTGAAAATTAATAGAAAAAGGAAAATGCCCTTTTCTTTTTGAGTAGCAACATATTTTTGGTAGCCCTTCCCTCAGGTAAATAAGATTCTAAATATTCTTAAACTTTGACTTTCTATTTGGCAAAAAGCCTTAGACTAATGATGATGAAATAGCCATCTGAGTTTGAAATTAAAGATACTCACTTTGAAAGTCACTTAAATATTTTTACACTTCAAAGTGTAACATATATGCTTTTGTTTATTTTCAAGTGTTTAATAGCATCTTCTAAAACAGTCATTAAAAAAAGAAAAAGTATTAGCACATCAAAGCAAGCAATTAAAACAAAAATTATCTTGAGTGTCTTGTCTCTAAAAAGGTCTCAGTAGTAACAATAACTCAAGACATTTTTCCAGAGATGCCAGTGCCCTTTCACATTTGTTATTATATAATCCTTTGATGTACAAAAGTCTGTGGTATTCTTTCTAAAGTGGAAGTAAGGCATCAAGTGTTATATCATTTGTTAACAGCCACGCTGTGTTCTAAAGGATGTTTCTGTAAAAGTTAACAAATATGATTTATTTACTCATACTCTACTAAATTGTTATATTATTTATTTTTAAATAAATTATCATGCTTAATTATTTGGGATATTCAAGCCATATTTTTTTAAAAAAATAAAGCCAACATGAATCATTTAAGTAGGTATTCTTGGCAGAATTACTTTTTTTCCCTTAGTTATGCTCCGTTGATTCTTCTTGGATTGATCAAAAGGAAATAAAGTTTAACCCACCACATTGTTTAGTGCAGTTGTTAGTGTACTATTTAAGGGTCAAGGAATAAAGAAGAAATTAAAAAGTTTTTAGTATTCTCAAAAACAGCTTTCGATCCTAATGAATTATTTTGGTGATGTTTTTAAATTCAAAATTTTGTATGTAGTTTCTGACCACAGCTGTATCTTTATTTTTATATACCTCTTACTTTATTTGGTTTGTTTTTTTGCAGTTGGTACGCCTTATTACATGTCTCCAGAGAGAATACATGAAAATGGATACAACTTCAAATCTGACATCTGGTCTCTTGGCTGTCTACTATATGAGGTAGGTAATGTTGATAAATTCCAAATATTGATGCAGTTTTACTTAGTATATTTCCTCTATCCTTATAGTATATACTTACTTTTTTCTGGATGTTTAAGAATCACCTTTTTAATTGTGAAGAATTTTCGTTGGGTTAATAACTTTGTATAATGGAATTTAATAACTATACATTCCTACACATCTAATATATTTTTAAATTGTGTTCTTTTGATGAGAAGTTTATTTTTAAAGCATTAACTTTTATGTTAATATAACGCCTTTCTCTATATCTTGCATTTGTAAAAATATACGTTTGAACATCTGTAAATCTTGATCCATGCATTACAGGAGTGGCATAATGGATTGGATTTAATATATGAAAGTATAGTAAATATTTTTATCAATATTTTATTTCACTTTTACACAGGTGTAATTTAGCATTAAGGATAGTATGCAAACAGATAGTTCTTCTAGGTTATCAATTTAGTTTCCATGAGTAACAATTTGTATTGGTAAAGCTCAGTGAAATACTCTCTCTTTTGTTCTACTGGTGATCATTTATCAAAGGAAGATGGAATCATGTAGGTAGGTCCTCTAGAAATGTTGCACTGTAATAATTTGGGTGGATAAAAGAAAGCATGTTAGTAACACATTTTACATCTGTGTTGGTATAAAAGTATCTCAAGCTAGTGACTTCTGTAATTTTGTTTTTTTAATTGAATGATAATTTTCCTAGGAATATAGGCTTCGAGTCAAAGCTGTTAATTAAAAATTAGTCTATATCTAAGTAGGTTTTAATAAAGTGAGGAAATGTAATACATGGAAGCATTTTCATATCCCTGTGTAGGAATCATTTTCATATCTCTGTGTATATGAGAGAAGTCTAAAGAGGATAAATAGAAACCAATGCATTTCCTACTATATATATTTCCTGTCTCTTGTCCTCCAGAATTAAATGAAATATATGATGAAATCATCTATTTTAATTGTACCACCATTACTTGGAAGTAGAGCATTAGGAGGTGTTTTTTGACTCTTTAAAAATGTATGTCATGATCTTTTATTATTTTATTCATTGCAGATTCAAATTTCCTTAATTTAAGGAACCTGAAATTATTTGTTTTGTCCTTCCTACTAAAGTGACTAACAACTACTTAAAATGAAAGGATTTTTAAATATTCTTAAATAAACTCATACTTTGGATAATTTTTGTTATGAAAAATTATGAGTCAGTAATGTAACAAAACATGTTTTTATATGTGCACGAGATTACAAGAAATTACGCTCACTGTGTTATATTTTGTTAATAATTTGGTACAATCCTAAAAAGAACTGGATTGTTTATATTGTTACTATAATGTTTAAAAGTTAGTCACTCTGTACATTTAAAATATTTTATATTTGTTTAGTTAACCTTAGATTCCTTTAGGCCATAGTCTAATATTATCAAAGCAACATATTCTCTTCAAATCCCTAAAAGTAAACAGCAAATTGGTTTCCAATAACTAGATTAAATTTAGCAATAAAAAAGAAAAAGTTCTGTTGAGGTAGTAAGTGGTTTTTGAGAGGAAGTTTGCATAATTCTTTTAGATTTAGCATACTCATGTCAAAACTGAAATAATTTATCACATTTTGAATTTGCCTTTGAGAGACGGTGTCCCATTTTTGTATGGACTTAAAATGCCACAAAAATAAAAATAACATCTTTGGACATTTCTACATCCATGAGTTATATGTATTGTGGATGATTTTGAGTTAAAGTATTATCATGCTAATGTTAGTTTTCATCTCAACGCATTTTCTTGATTTCTCCATGCAAATCTTTTAGAAGAACTAGAATTTTTCTAAAGCTTTAATTTAAATTTATGTTCTATTTCCTTTCAGTTGTGTTTCAATGTACTGTTAATAGAAATAGCTAACAGTTTGGCTTTTAAAAATTGGTCATAACATCACGTATTTTGTATTGTACCCACTAAAAAATTACTATTAACAATGAAGACGTAGGAAGCCTTTTTTGAAAATGTATTTTAAACTCAGAAAATTAGACTTTCAAATATTCCTGAAACCTCAAAAAAAAAAAAAAACTAGCAGTACAGTTTTAATTGATATGCAACAAAGTAGACTTTACTAATTAAAATCAAGATGCTGTGCTTTTGCTACACGGACCTTTACATGGAAAAGTAGGTTTTACACATTTCCTTTATTGTTCAGCGCAGCAATTGCATCCTTACAGGGTTGTAGGTTGGTGGCTTACAGTTCAAAAAAAAAGAGAGCTGCCACCAGCCCCGAAGACAGACAGTGGGCTTTCGTCCCTCCGACACCCCCAGAATACTAATCAGGAAAGTCAGACCCTGGAGGTCAGGGAGTAAGTCAATCATTCTAGCGATCGTCTCAGTGTGGAGGATCAAATTAGCCTGAAAAATTCAGCTGCTGGGAGGAGAGGGCGAGCAGCTGTCAGGGGCAGCATCGAGATGCACTAATGAACCAGATGAATAGTGCAAAAGCTTGAAAATAAAAACAGGACAGTTGACATTTTTCATCTGTCAAAGCAGGAGATGCATGAAAATATACTATTCCTGTTTAACTCCTTAGGGGACATTCAGATTTTTTTTTTTTTTAACACTCTGCAGTACTGAGAAAAAGGACTATAATGAACGCCTAGAATATGATAATGAATATATGTACATTTACTTAAGGTTTTGCAAACACGGAGAGACTATAGTTTATATATACAGTGTATTTTTAAGGTAAGATCTTAAAGTGTCCTTGCATTTAAAACAAAAACCACTATTATTATTATTATTATTATTATTATTATTATTGTGGTTCTTTTAGAAATTTCCTCTCAGAGTGTTTTATATGATTAGGGGCATTCAGATTGTTTTTAACTTTTTTCTCGTCATGTGAAACAACTCTTCCTAAGGTACTTCTATATAGTTGTGTGCACGTTTTATGTAAAACATAGGCAAGATAAAAATGTGTTGAGCTACTTTCCAGTTTTGATTTCCAATCCCATCCCCTTCTCATCAAGGCTCTGAAGGAGTTAAAGCTCTGTCTGGAGCACAGAAGACAGATGAGAGCCATTTTCAGCTTGTCCTGTCCCCACTGACGCTCACTGAGTAGCACAGCATGGACTAGCGTGTTTCACACACACTCTGCCTGTCTGGGGAATGTACACATTGTCCTTCCAAAATCAAACTTATTAGCACATGTAGAAAAGGGTGACTGACTTTGGGGCAGCCTGGCACTCCGTGTTGTATTCTTGCTGCTGTGGTTCAAAGATTTAGAAGGTTTTGAACAGGATGCGAACATTTTAAATTGAATTTTTAGTTTGTAACACTGCTTACCACAGTACTTGCTTGCACTTTAAATGTCAAGTTAGAACCTTGTCTTAAAATAAATTTAAATTCGATAATGTCTTTTTTAAAGTTGTTCATCCTTTGGGTCGTGTTTTTCTGCATAAAAATCTCATTTGGAAGCCTTGAATTACAGCTATGACTCATAGAGCTTTTGAACATATTTAATTTAATGTTTTTGAGACATTATCAAAAGAGTTCTAATTCATTGTAAACTATTTGGGGATCAGTTATTGCATTTAAATTGAAAAGACTGCTTTTTCTCAGAATAACCTTTATCTTCAGAAACTATTATGCAAGAGAAAATGCTCTGCATTCTCTTCCCTATGCTAGATTATAATTCAGTTTTAACTTCAGTTTCATGTTTGTTCTGTATGGTTGAGCTACACCTTGTGATGACTGTTTTGTTGTGAGATATAGTAGTTGTTTTTGTGTCATTATAGGTACAAAGAGTTTTTAAATTATGTGTTATTTTTCTTTATTGTTTTATGTTGCATTTGTATATAAAGAAATATGCTAATTCTCTATTTTAGGGAATTTTAAATGTTGGAAAAAAAATAACCAAAAGTTGCAGTAAGATTTTTAACTCTTAATAAATTTCCTCAGAAGGGGATATTCATAAAAATCAAAATGCCCAGGTATCTCTATTTAAAATATTTGTGATTATTTTCTACCCCCGTATAATATACTTGATGAAATCACCTTTTAAGTTACCATCTAACTATATCAGTTTCATTGGGGGCATTTTACAGATGGCTGCATTACAAAGTCCTTTCTATGGTGACAAAATGAATTTATACTCACTGTGTAAGAAGATAGAACAGTGTGACTACCCACCTCTTCCTTCAGATCACTATTCAGAAGAAGTAAGTCATTTTCAGCCCACATGTTCTTCTGTTGTCCATTTTGCTAACATTTTTATTTTACCAAGAAATTTTACTTTATCCAAAAATGAAAATGAATGGTATAGGTAGCAGAACTAGCACTTTTTAATTCTGTTTTCATTCTCTTGGAGACTTGCTGTCTAAAGAGTTGACTCTGCAATTGATAATGTGTAGTGCAACACAACACAGCATGTGGTGTAAAATTGGCCACTTTCTAGGTGTGATAAGAATAGTAGCTGACTCTACAGTGTACTGAATCGTGCAAAGGGCAGAATTAATGCTCATACTTAGGCTCTAGTTAATCATCATGTCTGATGGCCCTTCCTAACAGGGCTAACTCCTTATTCTCACAGTCCCAGACCAGACCAGCACACAGTTGTAATTTTCTATTTTGGCAGAACTTCCCTTTCGTCCATGTTTTCCAAAACTCGAAACACGCATCTCTTAACTACATATCTCTGAGCCTTATTATTTAAGCTTTACCTTCTCTCCTTTGACAATACCTGTCCTATCATCACCTCACTGCTATACTCAGATTCTACTGGGGAAATGTTTCGAGGTTATCATTGTAGACATGTTTAAAAAGTGTGTTAGTTGTGGCTGAAAATCTTAGAAGGCTACCTTATTAAGATCTGAGTCTGAATGCTTGCTTGCTTGCTTTGGTAACCCATTGAAGTGAGTTGTTTTGGCTCTACCCTATGTCCAGTCTTTCATTGAACAAAACATCTCCCATTTTAGCCTAACGTATCATCATTTTACGAATATTTAAGGAGGATGTATGCAGAATAGCAGTATCTCAGGTCAACTAAAATGTTTCATATTAGCTCTTTATGGAATACTCATCAGGGACCTACCCAGAGAAAATAGTGTGTTGAGTTAGGACATCGCACCTTCTCATGAGCAACAGATTTTTTGCCTCAGGAAAATGGAAAGGAGAAAAGGAAAAATATAAAACAATTATAATGTTCACTTATTAGGTAATCATGTCAGTCTTTCTATTGTGAAACGAATAGCATAGGGTCTTAGTATTATGTAAGGAAATTTGAGTTCGTGTAACTTGAATAATAAATATCTCTAAAGAATTTTCACCACATGTAAAGCATTTGTGTTCCTAGAATATAATAGGCACTTTTTCTTCTGGTAGTTTTGATACTGATAATCAGTGATGCCTGTTTTTTTCTGCATAGCATTTGTATTCAGGTAATTAGAATAAACTGTTACAGAGCAGTGATGATAATTTAAAAGTATTATCTTTATTTGATGTTAATACTATTATGTTAGCCATTTTTAATTACTATTTTGGGTATAGACTATAAATATGGCATTTCACAAAACCAACTTCAGAACTATAGGCCTGGAAATACAGTGGGGTGTGAACAATAATGCAAAATGATAGCAAGAATGTCAGGGGCCTTTCTTTGTTGTGTCATTCATGCTGTCTTCTTTTTTCCATGAAGCGCATGAATATTTCACATATCTGCATCCTCATCCCCTATTCTTCTTGACTAATTTTCAGACTGTCTGAATTTGCATTTCACATGGTAGCTGATTAGGAGATGCCGAGTGCAGCAGTGAAGCCTCAGCAGGCGGTTACCATGGTGACCTTCAGCAGGATTTTAATGATGATACCACTAGTGGTTCGTTGAAGTCGGCCTGCCTGCAGGGCTACTTCACTGCAGCTAAGTGTGAAGTTGGATATGCGGATTCTCAGCCAAGGGGCAAATATCAAAGTCTGGCCCAGATAGAAGGTCTTAGAGTTGGGAAAGGAAAATAGATTCCACTTTTTACTTCACTCTATATAGTTACCAGTTTCGAAAAGAGCTGTAAAGCAAAACACATTATATGGTGTACTTTCCAAAAAAATGTGATTCCTCGTATTGGTAAAATGTGTTGTCATTCCCTGATGAAATAGAAAGCTGTAGTTTCTAGGTAAATGTGGAAAATAATTCTTACTAAAGAAATGAATATAAAAATATGCGGACTGTATAACAATGTTACTTTAATCTATTTAGTTATGTAGAAGAGTTCTCAAAACAAGAGCTTTGAAATGCAGATGTGCTAATAAATATTTTCTCTCCTTAAGCAGGAACTCAATTTGTAAAATAATTATTCAGAATTCATGGTAGCCAAAAATCCCAAATTTGGTAGTGCTATAATGTCTTAAATTTTTTAAGTAAAGTAGGCTTTTTAGATCTTTTAAAAATCTAGAATATCATTTAATTTGTTAGTATGGCAAAATACAGGAACTAATAAAAAGTGAAGTACAGAGTTTTTCAACAGTGAACTTTTAATTAAAAGACAGTTTATTTTGTTAATTTTATAGCTACAATGATAACAGAGTGTGTAACTATTTGAAAAATAAAAAAATTTAAGCAAATCAACTTATCAGGTATGTATTTATGAGCTTACCAAATTTGTGTAGCTACTGCCAAATTTTTAAGGTTACTGCCCAAACAAGATTTTAAGGGAGGATTTCATGAGAATACTAGCCATACCTGCCAGTCAGCCTCAGTTGATAGGAATCCTCAGGAACCCTACACAATTTATTTCTAGATATAGTCATTCTATCTAAGAACCTAGAGTTTAAAAGCTTGGGATTTTTCTTTTAATTTCCTATCTTATATTCTAAAACATACATAACAATTAAGCATTAAAACAAAAAATGAGAAGTTTTAGAAAAATAAGCCTGAATGTCAAATCTTTTCTTTTGAATTATGTGAGTCTTAGTGTGTACAAATAATTAGGGTTCTGGATTGAAATATTTCAGCTACACATAAGTGATATTAGGGAATCTATATTTTATGGCTGACTTAAATATATTTATTTCTGATTTCTTTTGATGTTTTGTATTTTCTCCTTTTCTAGTAATGATCTCATCCATGTATCAATGGGCAATTACTATGTTTAGCAAGAGTCCTGGGTTGAAAAGATAGATATCTTTCCTTAGATGTCTCTTAGTTTAAATGAAACTTGGTATTGTTGGTGACAGTGAAGCAAACATTTTCTTATGTATAAGGAATTGTGACTCAAAAGGCCCGTCGTAAACTGACCTGGGCTCATCTCTCAAGAATTATTGATCATCGGATATTCTTTTCTTCTTTCTCTAACTCTTATCAATGCAAGTTCTACTAGAAGTTCCATAAATTTTCATGCTTTTATAGATGATGTTTCCTCTTTCTGAAATACCTCTTTTTCCTGTTCTTTCCAAAGAAACTCACTCTTTTCCTTTCAAACATAGCTTGGACATAAAGTTTTCCTGCACAGTTTTCCCTGACATCCTTTCTTCTCTCCCCATAGCCTCCTCCCTTGGCAGTTACGCCATGTTGTAGTAGCTTCCTTGCATGGATGCCTCCCCCTGCAGACTGTCAAGCTCCTGCCCTTGAGGATCAGTAACTCTGCTGCTTATCTGTATATCTCTAGGGCCTGGGGCCTGACACATTTTAAAAGGCTTAGTAATTGATTGATTGATTGATTGAGGGAATGTGGCAGGAATCTCAGAGTTAGATTAAAGGATGAACCAATAAATGACAATTGAATGAGTGAGAGAAACTTCTCCAAAGAACTCTCTGTAGAGTAAGGCAGAAAATTACTCACAAGATAGGCCAGAGGATGTGATAGTTTTCTTTTATTGATATTACTTTCTATTTTACATAGGCATCATTTTCTCTGTAATGCCAGGTGTCCATTTACTGGGAAATAAGATAAATAGACTGTTTTCCTTCCATTTCAGTATTTAATTTCTTTGAGAGACATTGGAGTAGTCATCAAAATTATCTATTTGTTCACAAACTTATCTCATGAAACTCTAAAATAGTAAATAGCTATATTGTTAATTATTTTGAAATTTAACTGATACTGTTAAAATGTCAGCATTAATATCAAGCAAAATATATACTTCGTTTCTTTCAATACTTTTTATTTGTTATTAAAAATTCCTAGTTTAAATAGAGAAGGCATAAGAAAGGTTGACACAGTGGTGCCTCAGTGGTTGCTTTAGCATAACATTTATGGGCCGGGCGCTGTGGCTCACGCCTGTAGTCCCAGCACTTTGGGAGGCCGAGGCGGGCGGATCACGAAGTCAGGAGATCGAGACCATCCTGGCTAACACGGTGAAACCCCGTCTCTACTAAAAATGCAACAAATTAGCCGGGCGTGGTGGCGGGCGCCTGTAGTCCCAGCTACTCGGGAGGCTGAGGCGGGAGAATGGCGTGAACCCAGGAGGCAGAACTTGCAGTGAGCCGAGATCGCGCCACTGCGTTCCAGCCTGGGCGACAGAGCAAGACTCCGTCTCAAAAACAAACAAACAAAAAAGCATAACATTTCTTTTCATGTTAGGTTTGAGGAGATAGATTTGGAAGAAAGTTCTGTAAGTTGAGTACAGGGTTTGCAGATGAAAGTTTAAGAAATGGAAATGAGAAAGAAGGATAAAGGGTGCCCTTCATTGAAGAAAATTGAGTAAAGATAAATTGAGGACTAAAAACAATGCTTTGAGTGAAAAAGAAATTTAAGCATTTATCAAACATTGGAAAGACGGTTAAAATGTTTTTAATAAAGTAGACTATTATTACAATAGTGCTTGCCGATCTGAACTAGTGGCTATGGCAGATGTTTATTTAGTAATAATTGTAAATGTATTGTAAATAAGAAAGACTATTGAAGGATACAATATTTGTGGTTATTGTGATTATATTCTGATTATATTTTCAAAAACTTGATAGTTCAGTAAGTCTGATTAACGCTTTTTTAGGTGAAGAAACCAACAAAATGTGATTTTGGAATCGGAATTATTAACCCAGTGATCAGTTTCCACATCACTTAATGTCTCTTTTGTTTCACCTTAAATTTCTGTTCATTTTATGACTTTATACCTCCAGCCCACAGATAGAAAACTATTTGTTTTTTAAAAAGATCAAGTAATGAGCCCACTCAAAAAAATTAACCCATAAAATATCAACCTGAAAGGTCACATTCAATCA
This sequence comes from Homo sapiens, assembly GCF_000001405.40. Classification (NCBI taxonomy): domain Eukaryota; kingdom Metazoa; phylum Chordata; class Mammalia; order Primates; family Hominidae; genus Homo; species Homo sapiens. The sequence continues at coordinate 198,302,235 of NC_000001.11, forward strand.
AATAACTAATATGAATGAATCATAAACTTTTACCTCATAAATACTAATAAATATATTTTGGTTTTATCTCCTTTCTATTATTTTTGACTTTCTTTCTTAGGTGGACACTGTCCCTCTCCTTTTTTTTTTTTTTTTAAAGTTAGAGAAATGGAAGGCAGGAGGGGAGGGTTCTTTCTGGCTTCTCCTGGAATAGTTTAGCAGTGCAGCCTGATAATATCTTTTCTGCTGCTTCACTCAAATGTTTAAGAATTTCTGGCATCATTTCCTATATTGTTGAAACAAGAAAAGTCTTGATTTTCTGGAGTATTTAAAATGAACACAGGGATTAAAAAGTACAGGTATTTTTTCCTATGGTTGATTATGTATGAATAACAAAAATAAATTTTTAATTGAACTAAACTGATTTCAGATATTTATAGGTTATTGGAGAGTATAACATATTTATGTGGCTTTGAATAAAATTACAATACTGAATTTTTTTCAACTTTTGAAATCACATTTTCTTTAATGCGATTATCAATTTTCCTGCTAAAGAAGGGCAATGTCATCATTCCCACTTTACATATGAGTAAGTAGAGACCTAGACAATGTTTAGAGCAAACACTGGACATCACAGTGGTACCTGTGCGGCATGGCATCCCCCTGTTTGTGTTACAAGAACACAGAGCCCAAAGTAAACTCTCAGGTGTTTTATGAATGAGCATTTCATGATTTTTACTCTTAGACTTACTAATTCTTTATTTTTCTCCTCTCTGTTCTTAACCCTTTCACTCACCATCTTTATCTGGAATCTCCTTCCCTAGAAGCATAGCAGGTTAGAGGGCAGAGGCACAATGAGGTGTTTGCTTAGAATACTCTTCTGGCTCATGGTAACTCAGGGGCAATGTAACATTGAAAGGAAAGAATGAGGAAACGGCAGAAGGGTAGGAATTATTTCCATACATTTGAGTATGAAAAACCAAGCATATATCTCAAGATAGCAAATATGTTGATCCATAATATATTGAACAAAAAAAGTTACAGTTTGTCATAATTTTACTAATACTTTGTTTTCAAATGGCTACTGTTAAGGAAAGGAAATCACTAAATGAAAGCTTTAAAAATATAACTGGGTTTCAAACCGAATATTTATAAATAATTTTTGTTTATTTTAAATTTAGAATAAATTTAAAGAAGATTTTTAAGGGAGTTAAGTCAGTAACAAAAACCATGACCTTTGTTTTGGTTCATGAAAAGAACTGCTTTATGTAAATATGAAAAAAAAACAAGATGAAAGTGTCAGGTAGAGATTATTTTTGCATCTTTGAAGTTAAATTAAGTTTATAAAACTTTTTTATTCATTTGAGCAGTCCAAATATTTTTAGTTTGTAATTGCTAGATTTACAAATTTTAATAGATCTATATAAGTTTTCTGGAGTTGTTGCTGGAAATTAACCACAGTTGTTTAAGTTGGCGTTAGAGGATTTTTTTCTAATACATTTTCCCAAGATTATTTAAAAGAAGGACATTATTTTATATGGCACAAATAATGTCTGAAGGTAATTCTGTACAAATATTTCTGCAGTCTCTGCAACCATGTAATCAAATGCTGAAGTAAGAGTATTTTACTTTAAAATGTAGAGAGAGATATATAATAAAATCAATAATATATAATTGTGCCATTATTTATTAAAATTAACAGTATTATCTCAAACGCTATTAATAACATTTGATTTTCTTTCCTATAAATTGTTTCGGTAAATTTAACATTCTCATCACAGTATCAGTTGGCCACCTTGCTGAAAGTTGCCATGTAAGATTAGATCTTTAAGCTTTGAATGTTCTATTTTTGTTTAAAAAATATAGTTAAGCAGTCCCTTTGTTCACCTATGCTTCTGAAGCAACACTGGGGACTTGCTCCTTGATGACATGAATCCAAAACGGTGTCCTATATTTCACATGTCCTGTGGGATCCTACAAAATCATGTAACTTTCTGTAAGACTTTCACAGTTTTCAAAAGACACTGAATGATCTTCAGCTGTGAAATATAGACATTACATTACCTTATATCTGTGTAAGATTACTTTCTTTTCCCTTTCCCTTTACCCCCAATTCAATCACTAGTGACACTTTGGTGTACAAGTTGGATACGCCTAATCATTTTGTATGAATATCTAAAGCTCCAAAATATAATGTACTTTAATGTATTAGACCCACTTTGGGGTGCTAAAATGTGTCCTTGGGTAGATGGAAATTGGGTATATCCTGGAGGCTGACATAACATAATTGGTCTCAGAGGGATTAAGATGGGGGTGAAAAAGAAACAGTACCAATAGCACTAGTCTTTATTATTCTGTTGAGAATTGTGTTAGTGACCTAAAGCTGTAATGCACAAAGAGCCCTATTGTTATTACCTGTACGTGACTGAACTTGATCTGTAATTGGGTTATCACCCTGACAACAATGACTGTTAACATTGTCTTCTTTTTAATATTTCTGGTATCAACCTATTTGCTTTGATATCTCTTTAGAAATATACAGATCGAAATGTATTAGTATTTTCTCTACTTTATTGAGAACATTCATTAATTTCCTTATGGTTAATGACCTCGTAATCCCTTAGGAATGTTGTAGAGAATCCATTTTATTTTTACTTTATATACTTTGTTTCATTTAAGTGTTTCTGTGTTGCTTTTTAAATTTTTGTGAAGCATCTGAATTAAACAGTTTTCTCTGATTTTGCAAAGGCTTTTGTATATTCAGACCTTTACTTTTGCCTTATTTTTAACATATAAAACAATTTTTATAAAAGCAACAAAGTAGACATTTTTTACAAACAAGTAGAAAGTGATGCAAACTAAATTTTCTGAGATAACATAAACCATGAAATGCTTACTTAGTTGTATTTATTCTTATTAATGTTGTAATATCTACGGATATTGGAATTATTTCTAAAATTTAAAGCAATAAATACAAAGCTAACTCCCTCAATTCCAGGACAGGAAAGGTTTTGAACAAGTGATTGATTAATACTATTAGAAATTGAAACCTGACATGAAGGAATAGATATGAAGTTCTTAATGTTATTGTCTGATCACATTTTCCTTGAACATGGTTAATAATGTAGTACTTAGAATCATTGCACAGTATTGGATAAATGTTAAAAGTTTTTAAAATAACTTTATTCCTTCCGGAGGTTAACAGAAACTTTTAAAAAATGTGAAATAAACAGGGAGATGTCTAAGATCTTTATCTCATTTTGATTATTTGATATCTGGAAAAAAAAAACTTAGAGGTATTTCTTATGTTCATCAGGTCACTATGTAAGTTTGTAATCCGGAGTAAAGAAATTGTTCTGTGACAAAAATTAACTATATTTCATTTGGAGGGAGTTTACTGCCATTTCATGAGTCAGATTAGAAATAACATTAAAATTATCCCTCTAGTCATAATAATCTGAATATTTTGGTGTCATCATTTAAATATATCCCTCACAGATAAAGTAGGCCTGTGTCTTATTGGGAATTTTGCAGAACTCGAGAGAAAATTTTTTGGTTTGTTTTATGATCAGAATTGGCCTATGAAATGTGAAGGCAGATCCATTAATTTTAGAAACCCGAGGAATTGGTGTTAGAGCTAACATTCTTTTGAAAGTCTAATAACCTAACAATCTATCTTTGACTGTGTGGAAGGTCACCCCACCTTTGTGCAGAGGTGGCCGTGAGGGACCCTGCAGATCAAGTTAGAATTTTCCCGGGCAGTATAATATAGTACTGTATATAAAAGCTTGGGCGCTGGAGCTAGACTGCTTCGGTTCAAATCCAGGCTTTGCCCCTTATGCCTTTGTGGCCTTAGGAATGTTACTACTCTATAAAATTGTACATACCAGTAGTGTCCACCCCCATAGAGTTTTTATGAAGATTGAATAAATTAAATCATGTAAAATGCATAGAGTCGTTCATAAATATTACGTATTAGCTTTTAGGAAATAGTTTTTCTTTACTCAAGCATTGGAACTAGCATTTAGTTGAAACCCTAGAGTTATCTCAGAGACCATAAGGAGATATATTTTGATCTGAAAATGTTCAGGGGACTATATTTTCAGTTCTCCATTGGAGTCTTAGAAAAACTAATAATTCCGTGGAATATCTAAGTACTATAACCCCAGGTATGTTCACTAGCTTCAAAAAGTGACCCCTTAGTAACCACGAGTCAACCTATTATGTGTATTTAACATTGTAAAAATGGGTTTTTCTCTTCTTCTAATTAATAAATTTTAAACCCTAGCTCTTCATACAATTCCTGGTTTATAATACACAGGTGACTATTTTATCCTCCTATTCATGATGGCAGGAGCACAAATAACTCTACGATCTTAAAGTGGTATTATAATTTTGTATTCATTAAAAGAAGAAGGTGTGAGATGTGACCTTGTTTATGATTGTTATTTAGTCTTACAAGAGACTATTCATGGATCCATATGAATTCACATTTTTAAACCAAATTATTAACATTAAAGGCATAAAACTTAGTCTGTGGTTGTTTATAACACAAAAGTAGGTTACTTGTGATTTTTCCCCTTATTATAACAAAAGACTTTTGCAACTTATTTTACCCCCACTAGAGTAACAGGTCTATTTAAGTATATCTTTAGAACAACAAATAGTTATTTCATAAATACCAAGGAAGATTACATCAAATTCAGAATTCAGCCTATATAAATCTATTCTGTAATTTACAACCCACTTTTCTTTAAAAATATTTGAGATAATTTATTGCAATGGACATGACTTACCTGTTGTTAAAAGGAACATTTAAGTAAAATTCAGAGCCAGGGATAGAAGGGAATGTAAATGTATACCTGTTATGACCAACAGACTTGCTGTGATTGAGATTCTCATTTAGTTATTGCTTCCTTTATCTCATGGCACAAAGGGAAACATAGTAAGCAAATTAGTTTCTGCTTATAAGGGGGAAATATACTATTAATAGTTCCTCACAGAAGACAAAGTTTTCTCCTACTAAATTATGGTATAAATATCTCATATGAAGATCTTTGAGTAATGTACTAAGCAGTGTCTTCAACATCAATTTTACAGCAAATACCTAAGTGATGTTTGATAAAATCCAAAAGCAAGTATCAAAGCACAGTTTTGGAAAGGCACTTTGTCAGCAGGATAAACAAATGTGCTCCCAGGATGCAGCCTTCTGGTGGTCTAATTTAATTAAAGGATAGAACTTAGATTATCCAAAGTTGTAAAGATAAATTTTATTCATTACAGAGTCTTCCCTAAATTTTAATTCTCAACAAGAATTTCATAGGACCCACTACACGGCACACTATTTAAGGTTATATGCTCTTTGATAAGAATCTATTCTGCCGATTTGCTTAAGGGAAAACAAACAACATGTCAGGTGGACACCCTTAGTGAAATTTGAGCCATCTTACCACTGCGTTCACTGAATAAAACTCAGACCAATCTCTGAGTGGAATAAACTATGTTACTTTCTCCATTCTATGATGACCTGTTAATATCTAGTCACTCATGTCTCCTGACTGGAACTCAGATGATACCTTAAATCAAGTGGCATCCCTTTATAATGGAAATGATTTGAAATTAGTGTTACTAATAATCATCATGTATATATAGCTGTATTAAGCATCATGAGAAATTCAAACCAAAAGACCAAGTAGGTAAAAGTAAAAGTAAACAAGCTGTCAACAATGGCAAGTGGTAAAAGACCTGCCTGGAAAAAATCAAATGCCTTGGGTTCCAACTCAAGTTCCACCTTTAATTTTTTAATTCATTCTTGGATTTTTCATCTATAAAATGAGACTGTTGTGGGAGATTACAGTGCTTTAAAAATAATTGTTAAAATTATATGGAAGGTTTTGTAAAATGATAAGTTCTATATAAATATGAAATATTTTTATCCAGAATGGTACCTGCCATTAAGCAAGACTAAATCAACACATGAGTATTGAAGAGAAGCATACAATTAAAAATAATTGTTTAATATAGGTTACAACTTTTTACTTGAGCTGTCTCCTTTATCTTCATAATCTGGATCTGGTAGAGTCACAAAAGTTATTTAATGTATACAATTCAGTTATCTCGATATGAATGCAGAATTAAACCCAAAATTCAGGCGTTCATATTTCTACTCAAATCTCAATGTGTCAGTATCTCAAATGTGATGACTTCAAAAACTCAAAGTATCCTTCTTGCCCTCTCCAGGCCACACCTCCTTTAGTGTTACCACTTCTGTTATCCCATTTCAGATACCCTGGTGAATATTTCTGATGAATGCTATTTCTTGCCTGAAATCTTAAAGGAACTTAATTGAGCATTCTGCTGGCATTGTTCTCTTTTTGTCTGTCTTTGTACCAAGAAAATATGTGCTGAAGCACGACTCATGATTTCTCCCTCTTGCCTTAAATACTGATTTCCCATTGTCTGTGTGAATAGATTTCAAACCCTTAAATCTTTCTTTTCTTTGACCTCAGCTTATCATTTCATCCCTGTTGCTCCTCAGTCATGCATAAGTACTTGCCATTGCTTTCACACACATCATACTTTCTTTGGCCAAGAATCGAATTCTGTTACCTCTGCTTAGAATTCTCTCCCCCCCTTTTATATATTAAGATTAAGTTCTTGCTTCAAACCTCAGCTCAGATGCCACCTCCACAAAACCTTTTCTTTTTTCCTCAGCCAGAAGTTACCCATTCATTCTTTCATTCATTCAGCAAGCCAGTGAGCACTTACTGTTCATCCGGTATCCATCCTCTAGATCTTGCAGTTTAATAGAAGAAAACAGACATTTAATGAAGTACAATAAAGTGTTATAAGGACTTTAATACAAGTATGTGAAGGGTACACTGGGGGCCAAGTAGAACAGAGTTAAGTTCCACGTAGCAAACACAGTAATGAGGAAGGACTTTAGAGAAGAGATATACAGTGAGCAGATGCATGGGTAAGGCAGACAGGTGAGAGAGCTAGGGGTTTTGAGGGAGGTGTTATAAACAGAGGAGCAGCATAAACAAAGATATAGGGGCATGAAGCAGTTTGGCAAGCACAGAACTACAAGTGCTTTATTATGGTTAGAAAATAGGGTGGGGTGGGGGAAGGGAGAAGGAGTTTGGGGCTAAATAGGAGCCTGGAAAGGGAAGCAGGAGACTGATGTCAGTGGCTCATATTATGCCAGGCCAAGGGCCTTAGCTTTTCTTTTCTTTTTTTTATTATTATTATACTTTAAGTTTTAGGGTACATGTGCACAATGTGCAGGTTAGTTACATATGTATACATGTGCCATGCTGCTGCGCTGCACCAGCTCGTCTTCTAGCATTAGGTATATCTCCCAATGCTATCCCTCCCTCCTCCCCCCACCCCACAACAGTCCCCAGAGTGTGATGTTCCCCTTCCTGTGTCCATGTGTTCTCATTGTTCAATTCCCACCTATGAGTGAGAATATGCGGTGTTTGGTTTTTTGTTCTTGCGATAGTTTACTGAGAATGATGATTTCCAATTTCATCCATATCCCTACAAAGGACATGAATTCATCATTTTTTATGGCTGCATAGTATTCCATGGTGTATATGTGCCACATTATCTTAATCCAGTCTATCATTGTTGGACATTTGGGTTGGTTCCAAGTCTTTGCTATTGTGAATAATGCCGCAATAAACATAAGTGTGCATGTGTCTTTCTAGCAGCATGATTTATAGTCCTTTGGGTATATACCCAGTAATGGGATGGCTGGGTCAAATGGTATTTCTAGTTCTAGATCCCTGAGGAATCGCCACACTGACTTCCACAATGGTTGAACTAGTTTACAGTCCCACCAACAGTGTAAAAGTGTTCCTATTTCTCCACATCCTCTCCAGCACCTGTTGTTTCCTGACTTTTTAATGATTGCCATTCTAACTGGTGTGAATTGGTATCTCATTGTGGTTTTGATTTGCATTTCTCTGATGGCCAGCGATGGTGAGCATTTTTTCATGTGTTTTTTGGCTGCATAAATGTCTTCTTTTGAGAAGTGTCTGTTCATGTCCTTCACCCACTTTTTGATGGCGTTGTTTGTTTTTTTCTTGTAGATTTGTTTGAGTTCATTGTAGATTCTGGATATTAGCCTTTGTCAGATGAGTAGGTTGTGAAAATTTTCTCCCATTTTGTAGGCTGCCTGTTCACTCTGATGGTAGTTTCTTTTGCTGTGCAGAAGCTCTTTAGTTTAATTAGATCCCATTTGTCAATTTTGGCTTTTGTTGCCATTGCTTTTGGTGTTTTAGACATGAAGTCCTTGCCCATGGTATGTCCTGAATGGTAACGCCTAGGTTTTCTTCTAGGGTTTTTATGGTTATAGGTCTAACGTTTAAGTCTTTAATCCATCTTGAATTGATTTTTGTATAAGGTGTAAGGAAGGGATCCAGTTTCAGCTTTCTACATACGGCTAGTCAGTTTCCCCAACACCATTTATTAAATAGGGAATCCTTTCCCCATTGCTTGTTTTTCTCAGGTTTGTCAAAGATCAGATGTAGATACGTGGCATTATTTCTGAGGGCTCTGTTCTGTTCCATTGATCTATATCTCTGTTTTGGACCACTACCATGCTGTTTTGGTTACTGTAGCCTTGTAGTATAGTTTGAAGTCAGGTAGTGTGATGCCTCCAGCTTTGTTCTTTTCGCTTAGGATTGACTTGGCGATGCGGGCTCTTTTTTGGTTCCATATGAACTTTGAAGTAGTTTTTTCCAATTCTGTGAAGAAAGTCATTGGTAGCTTGATGGGAATGGCATTGAATCTATAAATTACCTTGGACAGTATGGCCATTTTCACGATATTGATTCTTCCTACCCACGAGCATGGAATGTTCTTCCATTTGTTTGTATCCTCTTTTATTTCCTTGAGCAGTGGTTTGTAGTTCTCCTTGAAGAGGTCCTTCACATCCCTTGTAAGTTGGATTCCTAGGTATTTTATTCTCTTTGAAGCAATTGTGAATGGGAGTTCACTCATGATTTGGCTCTCTGTTTGTCTGTTGTTGGTGTATAAGAATGCTTGTGATTTTTGTACATTGATTTTGTATCCTGAGACTTTGCTAAGTTGCTTATCAGCTTGAGGAGATTTTGGCCTGAGACATTGGGTTTTTGTAGATATACAATCATGTCATCTGCAAACAGGGACAATTTGACTTCCTCTTTTCCTAATTGAATACCCTTTATTTCCTTCTCCTGCCTAATTGCCCTGGCCAGTGCTTCCAACACTATGTTGAATAGGAGTGGTGAGAGAGGGCATCCCTGTCTTGTGCCCGTTTTCAAAGGGAATGCTTCCAGTTTTTGCCCATTCAGTATGATATTGGCTGTGGGTTTGTCATAGATAGCTCTTATTATTTTGAGATATGTCCCATCAATACCTAATTTATTGAGAGTTTTTAGCATGAAGGGTTATTGAATTTTGTCAAAGGCCTTTTCTGCATCTATTGAGATAATCATGTGGTTTTTCTGTTTGGTTCTGTTTATATGCTGGATTACATTGATTGATTTGTGTATGTTGAACCAGCCTTGCATCCCAGGGATGAAGCCCACTTGATCATGGTGGATAAGCTTTTTGATGTGCTGCTGGATTCGGTTTGCCAGTATTTTATTGAGGATTTTTGCATCAATGTTCATCAAGGATATTGGTCTAAAATTCCCTTTTTTGGTTGTGTCTCTGCCCGGCTTTGGTATCAGGATGATGCTGGCCTCATAAAATGAGTTAGGGAGGATTCTCTCTTTTTCTATTGATTGGAATAGTTTCAGAAGGAATGGTACCTGTTCCTCCTTGTACCTCTGGTAGAATTCGGCTGTAAATCCATCTGGTCCTGGACTCTTTTTGGTTGGTAAGCTATTGATTATTGCCACAATTTCAGCTCCTGTTATTGGTTTATTCAGAGATTCAACTTCTTCCTGGTTTAGTCTTGGGAGAGTGTATGTGTCAAGGAATTTATCCATTTCTTCTAGATTTTCTAGTTTATTTGCGTAGAGGTGTTTGTAGTATTCTCTGATGGTAGTTTGTATTTCTGTGGGATCGGTGGTGATATCCCCTTTATCATTTTTTATTGCATCTATTTGATTCTTCTCTCTTTTTTTCTTTATTAGTCTTGCTAGCAGTCTATCAATTTTGTTGATCCTTTCAAAAAACCAGCTCCTGGATTCATTAATTTTTTGAAGGGTTTTTTGCGTCTCTATTTCCTTCAGTTCTGCTCTGATTTTAGTTATTTCTTGCCTTGTGCTAGCTTTTGAATGTGTTTGCTCTTGCTTTTCTAGTTCTTTTAATTGTGATGTTAGGGTGTCAGTTTTGGATCTTTCCTGGTTTCTCTTGTGGGCATTTAGTGCTATAAATTGCCCTCTACACACTGCTTTAAATGAGTCCCAGAGATTCTTGTATGTTGTGTCTTTGTTCTCGTTGGTTTCAAAGAACATCTTTATTTCTGCCTTCATTTCGTTATGTACCCAGTAGTCATTCAGGAGCAGGTTGTTCAGTTTCCATGTAGTTGAGCGATTTTGAGTGAGATTCTTAATCCTGAGTTCTAGTTTGATTGCACTGTGGTCTGAGAGATAGTTTGTTATAATTTCTGTTCTTTTACATTTGCTGAGGAGAGCTTTACTTCCAAGTATGTGGTCAATTTTGGAATAGGTGTGGCGTGGTGCTGAAAAAAATGTATTTTCTGTTGATTTGGGTTGGAGAGTTCTGTAGATGTCTATTAGGTCCGCTTGGTGTAGAGCTGAGTTCAATTCCTGGGTATCCTTGTTGACTTTCTGTCTCGTTGATCTGTCTAATGTTGACAGTGGGGTGTTAAAGTCTCCCATTATTAATGTGTGGGAGTCTAAGTCTCTTTGTAGGTCACTCAGGAGTTGCTTTATGAATCTGGGTGCTCCTGTATTGGGTGCATATATATTTGGAATAGTTAGCTCTTCTTGTTGAGTTGATCCCTTTACCATTATGTAATGGCCTTCTTTGTCTCTTTTGATCTTTGTTGGTTTAAAGTCTGTTTTATCAGAGACTAGGATTGCCACCCCTCCCTTTTTTTGTTTTCGATTTGCTTGGTAGATCTTCCTCCATCCTTTTATTTTGAGCCTATGTGTGTCTCTGCATGTGAGATGGGTTTCCTGAATACAGCACACTGATGGGTCTTGACTCTTTATCCAATTTGCCAGTCTGTGTCTTTTAATTGGAGCATTTAGTCCATTTACATTTAAAGTTAATATTGTTATGTGTGAATTTGATCCTGTCATTATGATGTTAGCTGGTTATTTTGCTCGTTAGTTGATGCAGTTTCTTCCTAGTCTCGATGGTCTTTACATTTTGGGATGATTTTGCAGTGGCTGGTACCGGTTGTTCCTTTCCATGTTTAGTGCTTCCTTCAGGAGCTCTTTTAGGGCAGGCCTGGTGGTGACAAAATCTCTCAGCATTTGCTTGTCTGTAAAGTATTTTATTTCTCCTTCACTTATGAAGCTTAGTTTGGCTGGATATGAAATTCTGGGTTGAAAATTCTTTTCTTTAAGAATGTTGAATATTGGCCCCACTCTCTTCTGGCTTGTAGAGTTTCTGCCTAGAGATCCGCTGTTAGTCTGATGGGCTTCCCTTTGAGGGTAACTCGACCTTTCTCTCTGGCTGCCCCTAACATTTTTTCCTTCATTTCAACTTTGGTGACAATTATGTGTCTTGGAGTTGCTCTTCTCGAGGAGTATCTTTGTGGCATTCTTTGTATTTCCTGAATCTGAATGTTGACCTGCCTTGCTAGATTGGGGAAGTTCTCCCGGATAATATCCTGCAGAGTGTTTTCCAACTTGGTTCCATTCTCCCCGTCACTTTCAGGTACACCAATCAGACGTAGATTTGGTCCTTTCACATAGTCCCATATTTCTTGGAGGCTTTGCTCGTTTCTTTTTATTCTTTTTTCTCTAAACTTCCCTTCTCGCTTCATTTCATTCATTTCATCTTCCATCGCTGATACCCTTTCTTCCAGTTGATTGCATTGGCTCCTGAGGCTTCTGCATTCTTCACGTAGTTCTCGAGCCTTGGTTTTCAGCTCCATCAGCTCCTTTAAGCACTTCTCTGTAATGGTTATTCTAGTTATACATTCTTCTAAATTTTTTTCAAAGTTTTCAACTTCTTTGCCTTTGGTTTGAATGTCCTCCCGTAGCTCGGAGTAATTTGATCGTCTGAAGTCTTCTTCTCTCAGCTTGTCAAAGTCATTGTCAGTCCAGCTTTGTTCCGTTGCTGGTGAGGAACTGCATTCCTTTGGAGGAGGAGAGGCGCTCTGCTTTTTAGAGTTTCCAGTTTTTCTGCTCTGTTTTTTCCCCATCTTTGTGGTTTTATCTACTTTTGGTCTTTGATGATGGTGATGTACAGGTGGGTTTTTGGTGTGGATGTCGTTTCTGTTTGTTAGTTTTCCTTCTAACAGACAGGACCCTCAGCTGCAAGTCTGTTTGAGTACCCGGCCGTGTGAGGTGTCAGTATGCCCCTGCAGGGGGGTGCCTCCCAGTTAGGCTGCTCAGGGGTCAGGGGTCAGAGACCCACTTGAGGAGGCAGTCTGCCCGTTCTCAGATCTCCAGCTGCCTGCTGGGAGAACCACTGCTCTCTTCAAAGCTGTCAGACAGGGACATTTAAGTCTTCAGAGGTTACTGCTGTCCTTTTGTTTGTCTGTGCCCTGCCCCCAGAGGTGGAGCCTACAGAGGCAGGCAGGTCTCCTTGAGCTGTGGTGAGCTCCACCCAGTTGGTGCTTCCCGGCTGCTTTGTTTACCTAAGCACGCCTGGGCAATGGCGGGCGCCCCTCCCCCAGCCTCGCCGCCACCTTGCAGTTTGATCTCAAGACTGCTGTGCTAGCAATCAGGGAGACTCCATGGGCGTAGGACCCTCCGAGCCAGATGCGGGATATAGTCTCCTGGTGCGCCGTTTTTTTAAGCCCGTCGGAAAAGCGCAGTATTCAGGTGGGAGTGACCTGATTTTCCAGGTGCCGTCTGTCACCCCTTTCTTTGACTAGGTAAGGGAACTCTCTGACCCCTTGCGCTTCCCGAGTGAGGCAATGCCTCGCCCTGCTTCGGCTCGCGCATGGTGCGCGCACCCACTGACCTGCGCCCACTGTCTGGCACTCCCTAGTGAGATGAACCCGGTACCTCAGATGGAAATGCAGAAATCACCCGTCTTCTGCGTCGCTTACGCTGGGAGCTGTAGACTGGAGCTGTTCCTATTCGGCCATCTTGGCTCCTCCTCCCCATCTATGGTGGGCCTTAGCTTTTCTAAGAGGTATGAGGAGCCATTGAAATGCTTAAAGTTGAAGCATCACCTGGCTAGTTAGGCAGTGCTAGAGAAATAGGAAGACAACTGAAAGCAAAGCCGTCAGCTGGAAGACTATCCAAGAGTGTGGCAGTGGAGATGGTGTGGCAGGAGCAAACAAAAGGTTTAAGGAGCCTGAGACCAATAGGACTGGTTGCTGACGGTTAGGCAGGTGGGAAGGAAGTATGATGAGATGTTTGATATGAATTTCAAATTTTTGACTTAAGAAGTTGGAGGTGCTGTTAGGAAGAGCTGGTTGGGGAGAAAAAAATACTAATATTTCAGTTTTAAACATGTTTAATGTGAATATTTACGTGCAGCTCTACTCAGAAGGCAGTTGGAAGTATGGGAACAGAGCCTGCAAAGAGGTCTAGGCTGGAGACAGATAACCTGTGTTCCTCAGCATGTTGGTGGTTATTGAAGGCATGGGAGTAAGTGCAGTTGTTGAAGATAAGAAGGAAGAGTGAAACAGGAAAAGAGTTAAGGAAAGGAAAATATTTAGGGCATACCAACATTTGGTAGATTTTTCAAAGGAAGATAAACCTCCAAAAGAAACTAGGAAGAAAACGTCAGGGAAGAGAAGGTCTAGGCCGGAATTGAATGATGTAAATCCAAAAGGATAGAGCTGACCAGGATGAAAGGGATTGGAAATGGTCTCAGTCAAATCAAACACAACCATACTGGAGGAAGGGAGGGAGAGACACAGAAGGACAGTTGTGTGTGCTTACATTTCTGATGTGACACAGCATTTTAAGAAACAGGCTGTGTCCTTGGAAGACAGAGACTAAATTGGTATGAAGGTGAAGATTACAGTCAGGTAATCAAAGAGATTTATATTGATTCACATCAAATAAATGTGAAAGTGACCCAAGATGAGGGTTGCAGTACTTGGAATGGAGAAGGATACTGTCAGCTGTGTGGGTATCGATACCTCCGTGTACGAGGTGCAACAACTCATAGTTAAACAGATTTTAGAAAAAGAGGAAAGTAATTATTTCCTCCTCTGGGCAGCCACACTTAATCTTTTACCTTTATCTCACAGATATCTCTTGAGATACCTATCACTTTGTAGTTTATAATAGAATTATTTCTGTGATTTCCTCACTTTCACATTTGTTTCTTTGTTCTGTCTATCTTCCGCTAGATTGTAGGCTGTTTAAGGGCCTGTGCTGTGTATTTTTCATTATTGCTTTATCCTTACTACCTAACAAAGTGTCTGGTACATAATAAATACTCCATTGGAAACTATTGAATGAACAATTGAATGAACGGATGAAAATGGAAGAGGGGGCAAAAAGAAAGAACAAAAGAGTCAGATGGTTAGAAAGGAAAATGAGTCATTCTCTCACTTCTCATGCTGGACAACAAGCCTTCCCTTGTGGACAGGTCCTTTGTCTTATCCGGTGCCATCAAGTATCACCAGCATAGTGTCTCTTGCAGAGTAGATCATCTAGAAATGTTGCTGGAGTGGATAAGTGGGAGCATTCCCAAAGCATATTTTAATTTCGTAGGTTTTCTTTCTTTTTATACTTTATTAATTTTTTAATGTAACAAATAATTGAGGAAAAGTTATCAACAGATTGATTCATAAATATAGTAAAGTATGCATATTCTGTATTTCACATATCTGATTTTATATGGTGATAGCCCTTTTGATTCTTCTGGAAAAGGAAACTCTTTATGACAAGATACACTTCGTATTTGGTGGAGATTGAATCAATAAGTGGGGAAGGAAAAGCAAACTCCAAGGTGCTGTGGCTCTGCCTGTCGCAAGGTCACCAATTGACCTGTCATCCCTTTGAAAGGCCATCCTTAAAGGAGCAGTTTAGAAGCATCTGCTCACTGGCACTCCCACTACCTATTTACCTTATTCAGTGTCTTTCTCCCTTTTTGTTATTCCCAATTCTTGTCTTTTTACTTTGGTGAACTAGAGAATCACTGTCTGCTTCAACTAAACGTGCATCATTATATCTCTAATCTTGGTTTTTCCTCATGCCAGGAGAACTTAAGGGCCAGTCATTCATTCTTAGTGGTTGGAAATTCTACCCTATTCTGAATTATTACACAGGAAAAGTTAAGGTTTCTGAACCAGCTTGAAGGATGTGGCAGTGTTAGGAAGTCAAAAAATTGTTTACTGCATGCATCTACTTGTATTTTAGCTAAATATAATGAACTTTTTGTACCATGGTTATCTTTTCCTGCTATTCTTTCTGCTTGCTTTCTTGTTTTTATCTCTAAAGAAAATATCTGACAGCTAGATGACCCATTAGAACACATTATCTTTTAAATTATGTGTCATTATGTAAGTGCTTTTCCCACTTTCTTCTGCATTGTGTATTACTGGATATATTTATTTTTTTTTTTTTTTTTTTTTTTGGTAACCTGGTAAAATGCCAGTCTCTTTCTGATGTAAATTTCTCTTAGATCACCATAATAAAATGCTTTGTGTATTGCTGTACCCCTTAAGGGTTTTAAATGCTGTTCTCTGCTCTTTTGGAAGGAATATAAATTAAAATCTTCAGGCTCTCCCAGTGGGTGTAACATTACTATGAAACATTGTTGAATTTCCAAGTGTAGCTAAAATTGATTCATTAAATTTCATTCTGCTAGAATCGTAAAATGTAAGAGATTAGGATGAGAACAGCCCTTATAGGTCATCCACTCCAACTTCCCTATTTAATAGATGAAGAAATGAACCTCCAGAGACAGTGACTTACCCAAGGGCACAGAGCTACAAAGTGCCTTCAACAAGACTGGTTTCCATTTCACTGTACTCCTTACCAAACTCTGACCCTTCATCTGGCAGACTCTTTGACCCACCTCCTCTTTCAGAATGACATTTCTCAGTGCCATTAGCCTTCTCCATAGCACTAGCAACATCTTCAGCCCAAGCTTTTTAATCATCACTTGTATTTTCTCTGGTTGAAAGTTATTTTATGGTAGAAATTGAGAACTATGAAGAAATTGTGCTAATTTAAAAATTTACTAAGTGCTATATCGTGGCCAGAGTTAATGCAAATTCTCAAAATGTCTAAACTGTTCCTAAAGAGACCTACAAAGCAAAAGAATATAGTTTTTCCTCTTAGTTTATTGTCTATGAAGATCATATACAATGTTATGATGACACATAGTTTCATAAACTGATGGAAATTAGAATTGACAATAAAATGCTATGTTCTTCTACCCGATGGATCGAGGACCATATAGGAGGGTAGTTTCTTAATTTATTGAAATCTGCTTTTATTCTATGATATAAATAGAATAAAATAGTAAACCTCAACTCTCTCATCTATAAAGTGAGGACATTTAAATACTGTGTACACAATTGAGGATTGGAATAACACTTATAACTTCCCATATAATTTATTATAATTAGTTTAAAGGAGTGTTTTTTTCTCTAATACAAAATTTAACATAAAACTTTTAATATATATTTGTACAAAATGGTTCATTATAAATGTATGTCAACTCTAATTGCCTTCCATTTAAACTTACAATTAAGTCTGTTGTAGTAGATTCTAGATCAAATATGTATGTGTGTATTTACAGTTAACTTGGAGACTTATAGTTATAAGACTAGTGTCCTCAGTGACTGCTATCTTCTGATTAAACTCTGAAAAATTAAGAGAGTCCATTTTAAAGCCTCTGATTGTGGAAAATACTTCTTGGTTGACATTAATACTGTCCATTCAATGCACTTCATAGAACATTTAACTTATTGTAAGATCATTGGCAGCAGTCTTATATATATTTCTAGTACAGTGAATGTTTAGTCAGAAAATGTACTTTCCTTGTAAAATCTATAGCTATTCATAATTTCTTCCTCTCAGTAAACTAACCAAAAATAGTTGTCTTAATCAGGTTTTATTGTTTTTCTTTCTTCACAGCTCCGACAGTTAGTTAATATGTGCATCAACCCAGATCCAGAGAAGCGACCAGACGTCACCTATGTTTATGACGTAGCAAAGAGGATGCATGCATGCACTGCAAGCAGCTAAACATGCAAGATCATGAAGAGTGTAACCAAAGTAATTGAAAGTATTTTGTGCAAGTCATACCTCCCCATTTATGTCTGGTGTTAAGATTAATATTTCAGAGCTAGTGTGCTTTGAATCCTTAACCAGTTTTCATATAAGCTTCATTTTGTACCAGTCACCTAAATCACCTCCTTGCAACCCCCAAATGACTTTGGAATAACTGAATTGCATGTTAGGAGAGAAAATGAAACATGATGGTTTTGAATGGCTAAAGGTTTATAGAATTTCTTACAGTTTTCTGCTGATAAATTGTGTTTAGATAGACTGTCAGTGCCAAATATTGAAGGTGCAGCTTGGCACACATCAGAATAGACTCATACCTGAGAAAAAGTATCTGAACATGTGACTTGTTTCTTTTTTAGTAATTTATGGACATTGAGATGAACACAATTGTGAACTTTTGTGAAGATTTTATTTTTAAACGTTTGAAGTACTAGTTTTAGTTCTTAGCAGAGTAGTTTTCAAATATGATTCTTATGATAAATGTAGACACAAACTATTTGAGAAACATTTAGAACTCTTAGCTTATACATTCAAAATGTAACTATTAAATGTGAAGATTTGGGGACAAAATGTGAGTCAGACACTGAAGAGTTTTTTGTTTTGTTTTAATATTTTTGATATTCTCTTTGCATTGAAATGGTATAAATGAATCCATTTAAAAAGTGGTTAAGGATTTGTTTAGCTGGTGTGATAATAATTTTTAAAGTTGCACATTGCCCAAGGCTTTTTTTGTGTGTTTTTATTGTTGTTTGTACATTTGAAAAATATTCTTTGAATAACCTTGCAGTACTATATTTCAATTTCTTTATAAATTTAAGTGCATTTTAACTCATAATTGTACACTATAATATAAGCCTAAGTTTTTATTCATAAGTTTTATTGAAGTTCTGATCGGTCCCCTTCAGAAATTTTTTTATATTATTCTTCAAGTTACTTTCTTATTTATATTGTATGTGCATTTTATCCATTAATGTTTCATACTTTCTGAGAGTATAATACCCTTTTAAAAGATATTTGGTATACCAATACTTTTCCTGGATTGAAAACTTTTTTTAAACTTTTTAAAATTTGGGCCACTCTGTATGCATATGTTTGGTCTTGTTAAAGAGGAAGAAAGGATGTGTGTTATACTGTACCTGTGAATGTTGATACAGTTACAATTTATTTGACAAGGTTGTAATTCTAGAATATGCTTAATAAAATGAAAACTGGCCATGACTACAGCCAGAACTGTTATGAGATTAACATTTCTATTGAGAAGCTTTTGAGTAAAGTACTGTATTTGTTCATGAAGATGACTGAGATGGTAACACTTCGTGTAGCTTAAGGAAATGGGCAGAATTTCGTAAATGCTGTTGTGCAGATGTGTTTTCCCTGAATGCTTTCGTATTAGTGGCGACCAGTTTCTCACAGAATTGTGAAGCCTGAAGGCCAAGAGGAAGTCACTGTTAAAGGACTCTGTGCCATCTTACAACCTTGGATGAATTATCCTGCCAACGTGAAAACCTCATGTTCAAAGAACACTTCCCTTTAGCCGATGTAACTGCTGGTTTTGTTTTTCATATGTGTTTTTCTTACACTCATTTGAATGCTTTCAAGCATTTGTAAACTTAAAAAATGTATAAAGGGCAAAAAGTCTGAACCCTTGTTTTCTGAAATCTAATCAGTTATGTATGGTTTCTGAAGGGTAATTTTATTTTGGAATAGGTAAAGGAAACCTGTTTTGTTTGTTTTTCCTGAGGGCTAGATGCATTTTTTTTCTCACACTCTTAATGACTTTTAACATTTATACTGAGCATCCATAGATATATTCCTAGAAGTATGAGAAGAATTATTCTTATTGACCATTAATGTCATGTTCATTTTAATGTAATATAATTGAGATGAAATGTTCTCTGGTTGGAACAGATACTCTCTTTTTTTTCTTGCAATCTTTAAGAATACATAGATCTAAAATTCATTAGCTTGACCCCTCAAAGTAACTTTTAAGTAAAGATTAAAGCTTTTCTTCTCAGTGAATATATCTGCTAGAAGGAAATAGCTGGGAAGAATTTAATGATCAGGGAAATTCATTATTTCTATATGTGGAAACTTTTTGCTTCGAATATTGTATCTTTTTAAATCTAAATGTTCATATTTTTCCTGAAGAAACCACTGTGTAAAAATCAAATTTTAATTTTGAATGGAATAATTTCAAAGAACTATGAAGATGATTTGAAGCTCTAATTTATATAGTCACCTATAAAATGTTCTTTATATGTGTTCATAAGTAAATTTTATATTGATTAAGTTAAACTTTTGAATTGATTTGAGGAGCAGTAAAATGAAAGCTATATCTATTCTAAACCTTATTTAGACATTGGTACCAGTTACCCAGGTGAAAATATGGAGTAACTTTGTTTTGTATGGTAAGGTTTAGGAATGGTGGATGAAGGGTATCTCTATATAAATAAAGTGCTCAACAATGTGCAATGATTGTAAATTTAGTAAGATATTACAGCCATTTCATGAATGCTTTACCATTCAACATAGTATCTATTACAAAACACCTTTCTTGTATCCATATACTTCAGGTGTTGCTGTTAACATTTACTATGATATTTATTTTAACCAAAATGTTACTCACATTAAATGTTTATTCTTTAAAATGAATGTATTATGTTTTTAACCCACAAATGCATACTTACCCTGTGCCTCATATTTCAATAGTACTGTAATATGGACATCTTTTGTGAAATACTTTTATTTTGTTATGCTTTAAATATACATACAAAAAGATTTCTGTTATTAGCTTTGAAAATTGTATAATATCCTAATATAAACAAAAATATAAAAATAAAAATGAATACAGTAAAATGTCTGGGTATCTATGATTTTTTCCCCTAAAGTCTTCCATTTTTTATTTTACTTAATACTTAATGTACAGAAACAGTTCTTACGCATTTTCATAACTTTGCCATTTTGGAGAAGCTTAAGAATTGGAATAGACAAGGGTGATAACAGAGATTACACAAATCCTAAAAAGTAGTTTTATCAACATGCATTAAACTAAGGACATCTTCAGGACATCATTTTCTGTTTTTGAATGAGAAACGTTTTCTAAAAGGTAAAAAAAAAAAAAAAGGAATATTAATCTTACTGCTTTGAATCTTTAGAGCAGGGGTGTCCAATCTTTTGGCTTCCCTGGGCCACATTGGAAGAAGAATTGTCTTGGGCCACACATAAAATGTGCTAAGACTAACAATAGCTGATGAACTAAAGAAAAAATAGCAAAAAAAAATCTCATAATGTTTTTTAAAAGTTTACAAATTTGTATTGTACTGCATTCAAAGCCATTCTGGGCCGCATGCGGCTCATGGGCTGTGGGTTGGACAAGCTTGCTTTAGAGTCTAAAATTTACATGACAGATTCAATTCCTGTCATTGTAATGGGCTGCTAAGAATGTTACAGATGGTTTATGTTGAGTGTTATCTTCACATAATAAATGAAGGTTACTGCTATACCTGAAAACTGAGTCTGAAAGATCTTAGCGGGATGAAACCTACCAGACTGTTGGTACAGTGAGTGGATATACCTTACACATCAGAATTATATTCCAAATATACCGTCATGAAGAATGACCCATTTTGTAATAATTTTAGTCACAAGACAGTGGGGCTAGTTATGAATTTTTATTTCAAAAAAGTATACTTGTTTTTAGGCATATATGCTTAAATATATTAATTGGTACAGCTGTAAGTACCATTAAATTGATGCAATTACTTTTTAAAATCAGAATGATGACATTATTAACAAAGACAACTGCAGTGAATCCCTTGAGTTATCGAAAGACTTCCATGAAGTTGTTGCGTTCTTTTTAATTACATGTGAATTTCTGGAAAATTAATGATGATTAACAGACAAATATGTGAATGTTTGCAAAGTTTCTATTTAATTGAGAGATTTATTTGAGGGAGTTTTCTTTCTGGTCTTCTTAGATACCAATTTCAATGTTCGCTTGGGTACCTAAATCTATTTTTAAACCTTGAAAAAGTCAAAGGAAATTTTAAAGTTAGGATTCGTAACCAGGGGGTTCGAGTACCTTATTTTTACTATGAGTGTTACAATGCATAGGAAATCATTTTTTCACTCCTTTCTCAAAATGAAATCCTGTATATAAATTAATTAATTGCTCATATCCTCACTTTCTCACATATATTATAGGGATATCATTTCCTAACTCTACAGGATAATTGTAATGCATTTTATAATGACTAAATGCAATGCTGCATATTCTCTTCTACACTCGCGTAATAAAGAGCTACATTTATCAAGCACTAATAGTGATAAATGTAGCAGAGCTACATTTATCAAGCACTAATAGTGATAAATGTAGCTCTTCATACACGAGTGTTGAGAATTTGTGTGTTTCTTCTCTCGCTATATTTCCATCTACTTTTGCCTTGTTCTCTCCATTAGTCCCACTGGCCTAGTTTTTCTTTTTTTTTTTGAGACGGAGTCTCGCTCTGTCGCCCAGGCTGGAGTGCAGTGGCGGGATCTCGGCTCACTGCAAGCTCCGCCTCCCGGGTTCACGCCATTCTCCTGCCTCAGCCTCCCAAGTAGCTGGGACTACAGGCGCCCGCCACTACGCCCGGCTAATTTTTTGTATTTTTAGTAGAGACGGGGTTTCACCGTTTTAGCCGTGGCCTAGTTTTTCTAAGGCCCCAGGCTCTTTCTCACATTAGGAACAGTGTAGCTTAAATGGCTCCTCCCTTTTTGCTAGCAAAAAAAAAATCCAACTAATCTTTCAAAGCTGACTTTAAATACCCTTTTTCAGGAGCCACCAAGTACATTCTGTACTTTTCCATTTAGTGCTTACCCCAACTGTAGCCAAGTGATTGCTTGCGTGATTCTTTAATTTCAATCTCCCTGATAGATAAATGCTAGAACGAAAAATACTTCCTGCGTTGTTCACTATGGTGTTCGACACTTAATAGCACAGTGCCTGATTTGTGGTACTAGTTTATTTTTGCTGAATTAATAAATGAGCATTATCCAAGCACCACAGAGTGTTGAACATAGATGCAAAACATCAAAAATCAGGAAAGACTGGGACAAAGAAACAGGTAAGAGATGCAAAAACAAAGAAGCTAAACCAAAAGAAAATTTTGAAGTTATCATTTTCATGGGTTGCAAAGAAATTGAAAGTGATAAGGAATGAGATTAGGCCCCTGGACTTAATGAGAAACACATCGTAACGTCTTCAGAGCAGCCATGTCAGGAGACTAGAATAGGAAACATTGGGGTAAAAATAGGAATGACGGCATATGGAGAAAAATCAGATGATAATCGGAAGTGGTAGCAGATCGTTTTTTTAAAAATTAAGTTTAAAAGTTAAGAGAATTAGCAAATGAAGAAGAAACTGAAGGTTTTAGAGAGGGAGTGCAAAAGGTGGTAAAGAATGGGATCCACAGAAAGGATTGGTCTATTAACCACAAACAATTATCAAGTAACCTGTGTACTAGACCCACATGTACAGTCTTAAGCAAAATGATTCTGTTTTTATGGACTTAAAAATCAAGTTGGGAAGAAACACATGTAACAGAAATATAAATATATAAATGCAAGTTTTGATGAGTGCTATAAAGGAAGAGAAAGACCGAGAGAGTGACATTTAAATTAAGATTCGTAAAAGGACTCAGCCAAAGAACAAACAAGGGGAAGATCATGCCAGGCAGAGGAAGAAGACCTGTGAAGATCTTGGGGTGAGCGGTAACTCTGCTATCTAAGATGCAAAAGAAGATGAAAGTGGGTGGGTAGGGGGTGGAGTAACGCAAGGTAAGTTTGGAGGTGTACCTTTCCTCTCTACTTGCAATAATCAGCAATTTAAATGGGGGAAAATCATGATAGTTAAAATTATAAAATGCTTAGAAAAATGATCAAGAAAGGTGTACGACTTCTATGAATAGAATTATAAAATCTTGTTGAAGGACACAAAGCAAATCCTGAACAAATAGAGAAAGAGATCATGTTATTGAATGGGAAGATTAATATAAATATCAAGCATTCTATAATATTAGTATTGCAGTATCAATCCGATTCCCACTTTCTTTTTGGAACCAGATAGAATGATGTTAAAGTTCATATGAAAAAATATATTAAAAAGAATAGTGAAGAACATTTTTAAAAGCAAAAATGGGCTGCACTTATCAAATATGAAAACTTACCATAAAAATAATTAAAACAATTTGGAATTGGCAAGGAATATAGGTAGATAGAGTGGTGGGGCAAAAAAGGTCAAACATACACCCAAGTATTATTGGATCATACATGAAAGAGAGGACTTCTGTTTATGGGAAAAACTTCTATGTGCATTTCATTAAAAGGTACTAGTACAACTGTTCACTGAAAGAAAAAAAAAAAAGATTCCTAACTCTACATAGAAAAGTAAATACCAGATGAATTAATGATGTAATTTCTTTCAGAAAGCAGAAATTATTAGGAGAAAATTTAGGAAGCACAACCTTGGGAGTGAGTGACCTATATAAGGTAGACAGAAAACTTGGAAAAAAATGAATAAATGGCAATGGATAGGAAAAATCAAAATACAAGAATAAACTGAGGACTACATACAAGTAAATATCCTCAGATTCGTAAGTGAAATAGGTAAGTAAAAAGGCAAGCAAATAGAAAAAAGGAACAAAAGATTTAAGTGGACAATTCACAGTGGAAGAACATCAATAATCAATAGCAGAAGAAATCAGTCAATAAACATGAAAAGTTATGTCTTCCAAGGTTGGAGAAGATGGAGGAAATGCACTCTTCTGGTTGTTGGCAGTGTGAATTGTGAATAAAAAGTAATCTGGCATTATGTGTTAAATACACGTATTCACTTTGACATAGCAATCTGGAGAATCTATTCTACAGAAACAAAAGCAGCAGCTTATAAAGATTGTCTCTCTGTTTCACTGTTTTTCCAAAGATTGTTATTGCAGCATAGTATACGGTGGAAAAATAACTGGAAGAAGAGGAACGCTGAATGTCTGTGAATAATAGGGCATTGATTGAATAAATTATTTTACACTCCTGTTATTAATAAAAAGATGGATTTGGCTTTATATCTTTTCCTTAAGTCCATGATGCTTCTTTCCATAATAATATGAGTTCCAAGCCAATATATGGTGGTTCCCTTTAAAAACAACAAAACTAAGTGTGCTTATGTTTGAATGTGTTTACATTAACATACAGGAAGGTAAGGATGAACACAAACTAAGCTGCTAACATTAATCATCTTAAGAGGATAGATGGCAAAGAACGTGACCAATATAGTTATATTCTTCTTTATACATCTTTGTAATTTTTTTTTTGTTCAGTACGAAACATGGATTTTTTTTTTTCCTAATTAAAATAACTCTTGCCTGGGTACAGTGGCTCACACCTATAATCCCAGACTTTAGGAGTTCCAGGCAGGAGGATCACTTGAGGCCAGCCTGAGCAACATAGCAAGACCGTGTCTTTTTTCAAAACATAATTTTTTTTTTTTTTCAGTTAGCTGGGCACAGTGGTGCATGCCTGTGGTCCTAGCTATGCAGAAGGATCGCTTGAGCCCAAGAGTTCCAGGTTCAGTGAGCTATGATCACACCACTGCACTCCAGCCTCGGTGACAGAGATCCCAACTCTAAAATAATAAGGAAATTAACTCATTTTTAACTTTCAGTTGAGTCTATGCCTTTAAACATTTAATTTGGGAATATTTGCAAACTTATAGAAAAATCTCAAGACTAGCATAAAGCTCTCCCACGAATATTTTACCCAGGTTCCTAAAATGTTAATATTTGCTTTATTATTGTTTCTTTATATATACATTTTTTCTGAGCCGACTGAGAGCAAGTTGCAAACATGAAGCCCATTACCCCGTTATTTTAGTATTTATTTCCTAAAAGACCAAGATCATGTTTTACATAATCACAATACAACCATAACAATCAGGAAATTAACATTGATTCAATGTTTTTAACCTACGTATTATGTTCAGATTTCATCAACTGCCCTTTATAGCAAAAATCTTTTTTTGTTGTTTGTTTTTCATCCAGAATTTAGCCAAGGTTCATATGCTACATTTAGTTGTCATATCTCTCTAGTCACCCTCAATCTATAATAAATTCTCAGTCTATTTTTTATTTTGCATGACCTTGACATATTTTAAAATTAGAAACCAGTTTTGTAGACTGTCCTTCGATTTGGGTTTGTCTGGTATTTCCTCATGATTAGAGTCGGGCAGGAATATCACTGAAGTGATGATGTTGAGTTTATCTCAGTGCAACCTATCATAAAGAAAGAATGCCAATTTGTCTGTTATTGGTGATGTAAACTTTGATCACTTGGTAAATTGGTGATCTTAACTATAAAGTTACTGTTTATTTCTTTGTAATTAATAGTATGTAGTGGGTTAGATACTTTGAGAATATATCGATATTTTGTTTCTCAATAAACATAAATAAATAGTTTTAAATAGTTCTAAATAGTTTTACCATCTATTGATCATTCTTGCCTGTCTGAAGTATTACTATGATGGTTGCCAAATGGTGACACCAACATAGTCATTCCTCCTACATTTATTGGCTAGCGTTCTATTAAAATTTCTCCTTTCCTCCAATTTATGTTTTATTCCTTTATTACCTATATCAGTGTAGACACAGATTCTTATGTTATTCAATGGGTTATAATCTGTTACTATTATTACTTCTCTGATGCATAAATTGTCCCTTATTTTGTTAATGGGAGCCCCTACAAACTGGCTCCTGTATCTTTTTGACAAATCCCCATCATTTTTTGAGCATTTCCTTACTTTCTGGTACAAATATATATATATATTATAGGTTAATCTTATATCCTCTCTTCCCCAGGCCTAGAATCAGGTTTGTTTTGTTTGTTTGTTTGTTTGTTTGTTTTTGCTTTTTTTTTCCCCAAAGTACCCGATTTATTTTATGGAAGAATGGTATTTAGAAATCGAGACCTGGATGCCAGGTGTGCTCATTTGTACTGGGCTGGCATTGCTTCTGGGCCTTTTCAATAGACAGAACTAGGAAATGCACATACACGTTTGCATATATTTCTGTATCCATCTGTCTATATGAAAAACAAAACTATGAGGTTACCCTAAGACTTTCAGTTCTAATCCAACACCATAAGTTTTTGTTTTCTTGTTTTTATTTTTCTGAATTTTAACTCTCTTTTCAGACAGTGAGAAACCCAGGTCTCGGTATCAATATTTGCTCTTTCCCACTGTACGTAGATGGTCTTCTGACCCTACCGACTGCTGCTTGGCTCGGACAACCTCCTTGGCGCAGACTTGCAGACTTCCACCACCTCCTCTGTCTCAGCCCTGGATGCCCTGCAGGCGCAGCTGCCTCCTCATCTCCAATGTCCTCTGGAGCCGTAGTCCTGCAGACAGCTCCAGCCCTATCTGTCTTAAAGGAAGGGAAATGAAGCAAGAAATTGTGGTTTAAAAGACAGAAAAGGGAAGGGAAAGATGTAAGACCCTTAAAAATAACATTTAAGGGCTGGGCATAGTGGCTCACGCCCGTAATCCAAGCACTTTGGGAGGCCAAGGCGGGAGGATCACCTGAGGTCAGGAGTTTGAGGCCACACTGGCCAACATGGTGAAACCCCATCTCTACTAAAAATACAAAATTAGCTGAATGTGATGGCACATGCCTGTAATCCCAGCTACTTGGGAGGCTGAGGCAGGAGAATCACTTGAACCTGGGAGGCAGAGATTGCAATGAGCCAAGATCGCACCTTTGCACTCAAGTGTGGGCAGCAGAGCGAGACTCCGTCTCAAAAAAATACATAAATAAAATTTAAAGAGTCAAATGTCACAAGAGTACAGTTATTAACTAATCATCCAGATACATGCATATAACTTAAATACCTGGGACCATAAATATTGAATGTAAGCATAAATATTGAATCAGTAGATTTCTCGGAATGAATTCAACAAATGGCGTCTCTTTCAATAATATCTTATTACATAGCTAGATGTTGCTTCCATCCAATATTTTTCCTTAACTTTGATAAGTATGTATTTCATTTAGTAAACTGTTAATGTTCAGCAAATATCAAAAAATGTTGTTCCAGTCTGTTGTATTAGTTACTCTTGACTTTTAGTGTTCCGTTATTCCCTGCATTATTTCACCTCTATGAAATAAGTTATTATTTCACCTCTATGCTAATATTTATTAATCTAATAGAACACTGCATATTAGGTGTTATAGATCATGGAACTCCTGTGGTGTTTTCTAAATAAAACCACCTCTGCAGGTCCAGGTGTGGATCTTACTTTGCAGAACACCTCCCCTTTGCTCACTTCACATCAGCACTGTAACAAGACCGGCATATTATACAAATGGACTTTTTAAAAGGCTATCCTGATGTAAAAGAACAGGACCATTTCATGAAAAATATATGTCACACTAAGAAGCCACAGTCTTTCAAATGTAGAATGCCAAATTACTATTTTATTGTATGTAGAGCTGATAACCTCAGAGTACGGAAAGGACACCAGGTACTCTCCCCATCCTTAAACATATATGCCAGCCCATCCAATCAACAAGGTATCAAATTAAATTTGATTTTAAATCTAAATATTGTTTTGGAATAAAGCCTATAGTTTCCTTGCGCTGCTAGGCTTTCTTTCTCGCCTCTCCCACTGTCCGAGTCTAACCCACTATCATCTGATTCTCCCATTTGTTCTACCTGTTTCCACTCTTACCTTTCTACAGTCAGTTTTCCATGCGACCATCAACATAAACTATTCATAATATAAATCGCATCATTTTTATTTATCTGCTGAAAATCTTTCAATATCTTCTTGTTGTATTTAAAATCCAAACTATCATGGCCTGAAAAGGCCTGGAGAACAAGCCGGTACCTGGTACTCTCTCCTACCCACTATGCTCCCACCATCTTGATGTTCTTTCTATTTTCAGGATACACCTATCTAAGCTGCCTCAAAAACCTTGCCCTGTTTTGAGTAAAGGTAAACTTAAGCCCCTGTCCTCACCTTTTCTCTTAGCCAATTCCTTCCTACCACTGATGTTCAAAGGCTCCCTCTTGAAGAGGACTTCCCAGACTATGCTATCTAATATGATGTCACCAACCACCTTTCCTCCAGCATCCCTGACCTTGTTGACTTGGTCACTCTCTAAAATAGCACACTTTAGAATCATCTCAGAATTTGCCCTTTATTGTGGTTCTAGCACACACACGAATGTGGTTTGTGATTTGCAGTAAGTACCTTAGCCTAGGTACACTCTCACCTCAATCCAAAAGCAGTTTGAGACAAGGGGCTGCCTGCAGGTCATTTATTTTGGGAAGTGATCATATGAAATGAGAGTGGGAGACTTTGGAATTATGCAATAGGGAAGGAGAAAAAGGCAATACAATAGTGTTTCTGCAGTTCATCACAACTGAAGAAACAGAACTCAATCCTACTGGGAATTTCTAGGCTAGAGAAGGCATGCCTGGGATTGTCTACCTCAAGAATGGAAGAGGGAAGCACTTACGCCTTGATTCTTGTCTTGCATTGTTCAAGCATGGGAATGTCACCCCCCTCACTTAGAGGCCATGCATGCATAAGTTCCAGGCCAGTTTCCCAGGCATCCCTTACCCTAGCATCAGAGAAGCCCTGGGCAGACAGGAGAATCAAGTGTAGCAACTGAGGTCAGGTGCTGTGGCTCACCTGGGTGAAGCTGGTTGTCTCAGCAAAGGCTGGAGTAAAATGCAGTCCAAGAGGATGTGAGGCAGGGCTCTTCAAGTACCTTTCTCCTTGCTCTTGTCTACCATCTGGAGAGAATCCAACGAGTTGGCTACTGAGGGATGAGTTGTTTTGATTTCAAAAGGAATTTTGCTAAATGGAATTTTTCAATGAAAGACTGCAGTGTGAAGGCTCAGGAAGAACAAAGGGAGAATGAGGGAACAGGAGGACAGAGATCTCTTATTCTATATCAAAATGAATATTTGTGTGGAAACTCAGTGAATGAAAAAGTGTTAGGAAGACAAGAATAAGGAGATCTTGCAAAGAATATTGAGATATTTATAAAAGCTTAAAGAAAGTCGTTCATTGAGAATAATGGCTCTAAAGTGTTGGTTGTGTCTTAAAGTTATGACACAATTTGTATGACTATCAATTTGAATTCACACTCTATTCCACTAAGATTGTAAAGAGAAGTACAGTTCTCTACTTTTCTACTATTACAACAGGGCTACTTTGAAGCTAGTTGGGTCTGTTTTAGCAATTTTCCAGGTGTCTAGTGAGGGACTGATTTACCCTAATGCATAAAAATAAGCATAATGCATTTTTTATTTGATCCAGATTTAAGGTGGACTATGATGTGGAGATCTGAAAATATTCATAAATGCTATAGATATAATGTGAATTCCTTAATTATAGGCTGCCTTGTGTTGTTTCAGAGAAATTGTGCCTTAATTTTAATCCTTGTGACATTTAGAAACACATCTTGAAAAAGATTTAACTGCTTCATAATTTTACTTGCCAGCACAAAAGCAGTTCAAGGAAATTCAGGAAAATTTAAACATGACATGGATATTCTGAGTTAGGTCTGTCACTTCCCTTTGCCTTTTAACTCTCAAGTGTATGCCAGATACAGCATTTGGGAGGGGTGCCCTGCTGAGGCTCCCCCTTAATAATGAGGCAATAATTAGATAAATTAGGTATAAATCACATCAGTGGATGTTTTTTTTCCCTGCGTCTATTGATTTGTCAAAACACTTTATTATGAAAAAGCACAAATGAAAACAACTATTTTCTCTCTGTAACTAAGGCAGCATGCTTTTGGGTGAGTGTTTGCCCACCGAGCCTGCGATTCCTTGACTATAAAGCCCTCTTAGCAATTCTCCCGGAGTTCTGTGAACCAGACTGCCTTGCACAATCTCTTTCTATCATGTTTGACTCTGTGTTTTGTGCAAGGCTCTCTTCCAGTTAAGGATTTAAAGCTTGCTCTCATGTACACAAAAAAATCAGATTTATATCTTTGTACTGCAAAATGAAGCAATTATTTTGTCTTCCAATAGATTCCGCTTCCTCTGCATTGGCACCAGCGCTACCCACTGTTGTCAGCAAGGCGGTGACACTGGTGTACGCTTCATTAAATAGAGCCCTGCTGATACTGACCATTGATCCAGCAGCTAGCTCAGGTGCATTTAGCCACAATATTTTCTCCCTCTGCTCTTTACTTCTCTCCAGGGATAACCAATCAGAAGAAATGACCCTCATGCCTAGTGTTTTGAGAAGCAGAGAACAGTTTGATTTCAATTGCCAACCTGTCCACTAGCTTGGTAAATCAAATTTCAATCTCTAAGGGCAAAAGAACACACAGCCTGCTTATGTATATCTATGTATGTATGTGTGTGTGTGTGTGTGTGTGTGTGTGTGTGTGTGTGTGCATTGTACTCTAAGATCTGGTCTTTCCATATATTAAGCCACAGGAATTCACCTGGTAATGTAAAAATGAAAGATTCAAAAGTATTCACTCTTTAGAAGTGAGATTAATATTATTTAAACATACCATTGTTCCCTGAAATCGAGAATTACACACCAGCTATGTAAAATGGGCCAACTGAAATCTGATCCAGGTCATTACAGAAACCATTTCCCTTGTTGGGTATTTGGTGGCAATGTGTGAAAAAAAAAAAAGGATGATTTTTAAAAACTTGTATCCCTGCTAAGTTATCAGTCTAGGATGCTGGTTTCTTTCAATAAAATTTCAGATAAAAGCCATTTTTCCCAACCCATGCTAACTTTGATATTCCAGAAATAACAAATCTAGGTACTAATTTTACTGCAATACACCCAGGACATGTGGGTATGAAAGTAGTAATGCTACACCAGTTTACCTTGGGCTTTATATACTTAATTCATTCTCTTAAATATATTATCTGCTCAAATAAGCCAATGTTTTCTCCTTAGCGTTTCACAGGCATAACACAGTTTAGCTATGGAAATCTGTGAGCTCTGCTTCTTTGCTAGGTGACTCTATGGAACGTGTCTTTAGAGAGTTGAAGTAGTTTCCAATTTTATACAATGATATTTTTCATTTTCAGGATGTGTTATTCCGCTTTTAAAGAATTCAGAGACTTGTAAATAATATTTCTTTGAAAACATTGAGAACATGCACTGTTCAAAACCCTTGTCATTACGTGTTGTAAATAAACCCCAAAGTTACTCTGGCTATGGAAGGAGTAGAAATGATATATAATTCAGTAGTTCCTTTAGAAACTCCTTTTTCCTCTCCCTGATCTTCTCACACTGTTCCCCCTCTGGGCATTAAGCACTTTGTAAGTAAACTTACAAAAATAAAAATGGGATTTTCATGTATCTTTAACATTTTATGTGTCATCACACATTTCACATGCCAGGTAATTTAGTCATCAACCTATTTCATGACAAAGGATTAAACTTTCTAAATCTCTCTGCACCTACTGTTCTGTGATTTGTAAAAATCTTATTCTTGATATTATATATAATATTTTTATAATTCTTAGGTTGCTTTTAAGATTTGTCCTGTTTTTGGTCTTTATACATAAATGTCCTTAGATTTAGCTAAAATGATTTGAGAGTGTGGCTGACAGAATATTATATTGTTTATAGAAATTACTAGGATTTTTGAAGCTTTATTTTCTGGCTATGAAGATGAAAGGGGTTGGTTATTTCAAGGAAACGTCTGTGCCTAAAGTTCAATAGGTAACAAACTTAACTCAGAAAATTTCCCCATGACCCACTAATGTGAGCTGTTTCCTTCACCAAGTCAATAATAAATAGGAAGTGCAACCATGAATTACAATTTTTTTTTTAGTTTACATTAATACTGGTCATCACTTAGGCCAGTGATTCTCAACCAGCAATATTTTGACTCCTCAAGGACATGGCAGTATCTGGAGACAGTTTTCATTGTCAAACCAGGTAGAGATGAGTAGGGAGAATGTACTGCTGGCATTGAGTGAATGGAAGTCAGAGATGCTGCTAAATGTTACAATGCACAGGGCATGCCCAACAATAGAGAATTATCCAGTCCAAATGTCAATATTGTTGAGGTTAAGAAATCCTTACGGACACTAGAGAAGTATAATAGAATAGTGGAAATTAGGAACTAAGTTAACTCATACATTAAGATAGTGTCTATGGAAATTATCAGTGAGAGCTATTAATGTTATAGAAGAGTTCTTATAGTTGTCATTTAAAAATATTGTTCATTATTTTATTAAAGCCAGATAGAAGGCACTTTCTCAATATTCCCATTAATATGGGTTTCTGTCTCCTTCCCAATTTATCTTCACATAAATTAGGATGCATTTTCTATAAGGATACATGATATAGTTAAGCATGCTAATCTTCACCAAAAGGGTAGACTGATTATTTAAGTCAGTTATTTCAATTTTTTTTTGTCTTCCCAGCTAAGCCAATTGGATCTGTCAGTGAAAACAAAAAAAGAAGGTATTTTATTTCTCAAGAAATGGCATTCACTTTAATATATTGCATTAAATCCAAATACAAAATATATTTTTGAAGTCGAATAATGAAAGAACGTGCTTCATTTCTTCAGATATTTGTGACTTAAAATCAGTTAATCAATGTGTCATAGGTATATATGTATTTGTATTTCTGTGTAGTGGCTCATAAATAACCAATTTTACTAAACTACACATAAACATTTGTAGCCTTCCGCTTTTAACTCTGTATGTCATTTTTTAAATTTAATATCTCATTTATTGCTGAGATGGTGTAATCATTTCAAATTATTTGATGATTTTAAGTATTTCTAACTAGTTCATATCCTTTTGGCAAACCATGCTCAAGAGTAAAGTCACTCAATAATGTCCTTAAGACAAAATGAAGATCCTTTTTTCAAATTTTATTATTTTTAAATTTAACTTTTATTTTAGGTTCAGGGGTACATGTGCAGGCTTATGATACAGTAAATGTGTGTCATGGGAGTTTGTTGTGCAGATTATTTTATCACCCAGGTACTAAGCCTAGTACCCATTAGCTATTGTGTCATGGGGGTTTGTTGTGCAGATTATTTTATCACCCATGTACTAAGCCTAGTACCCATTAGCTATTTTTCCTGATCCTCACCTTTCTCCCACCCTCCACCCTCTGATAGGCCCCAGTGTCTATTGTCCCTCTCTATGTGTCCATGTGTTCTCATCATTTAGCTTCCACTTATAATGAGAACATGTGGCATTTGGTTTTCTCTTCCTGCATTATTCTGCTAAGGATAATGGCATCTAGCTCTCTTTATATTCCTGGAAAGGGCATGATCTCATTCTTTTTAATGGCTGCATAGTATTCCATGGTATATATGTACCATGTTTTCTTTATCCAGTCTACCACTGATGAACATTTAGGTTGATTCCGTGTCTTTGCTATTCTGAATGGTGCTGCAGTGGATGTAAGTGTATGTGTGTCTTTATGATAGAATGATTTATATTCCTTTGGGTATATACCCAGTAAACAGGATTGCTGGATCAAATGGTATTTCTGTTTTTAGGTCATTTGTTTTTATTACCTCTGCCAAGTTCATTGTTAGCTATTCATCCTCCTCATCCCCTCTGGAAGTTCTTTCTAAATAATGTTGTAGAATTATTTACTCTTTTTTTAAAATTCATTTTTGAGTACTACTTTATCTCAACAGTAAAAGTTCCTGAAGTTACTTATATAAATTCATTAAATTTTTGTGAAACACACACTAAAGAAAAATTGATTCAGAAATTGTCTGTTTTTAAGATATGGAGTATAGTTTGGAGACAATATAACCGAAGGTAAGTGCCTTAACAAGAATCTTCCTCCCTATTTTATACTTATTTCTACTACAGTTTTCACTTGGTTTAGAAACCTTAATTCCCAGACTGTCAGCCTCATTAGGGCAGGAAGGGGTCTACTCTGCACACTGTTGTAGCTTTAGTATTTAGCCCAAGTGCTGGCCCAGGGTGCACTCCATAAATATTTATCTTCATTTTCTATTGGGGCTATAGTAAATTAAATAATACAAAGTTATTATCTTACAGTCCTGTAGGTCAGAAATCTTAGAGGAGTCTCATAAGATTTCAGCAGGGCTGATTCCTTCTGGAGGCTCTAGGGGAGAATGTGTTCCTTTGCCTTTTCCTACTTCTAGAGGCTCCCCACTTTCTTTGGTTCATGGCCCCTTCTTCCATCTTCAAAGCCAGAAACTGCAGGTAGAATCCTTCTGATGCTGCCATCTCTCTGGTTCTCTGCAGTTGGGAAAGATTCTCTGCCTTTAAGAACTCATGTGATTAGATTGGGCCTATCTGTATTATCCACAGTACTCTCCCAATCTCAAGGTCCTCAATCTTAAGCACATCTGCAAAGACACTTTTGCCAGGTAAGATAACATGTTCACAGGCTCTAAGGATTAGGCCATGGACATCTTTAGGGGGACCTATCGTAATGTCTATTAAATGAAAAAAACCCTGAAAACGTCTCATCAATTTTTATCATCAAAACTAGTCATCTACTTCTAACCATCTGTTGAGCTCCACTTCCATTTCCAGTGTGGGCACTGACATTCCAATGGGCATGCCTACCTTTTTTCCTAAGAATCCCTTGCTTTGATGGGTCAGCCTTCTTCTTTGGTGTTCGATTCTGCCTCTGTTCATTATCACTCTACCATGTCAGCAGTCTACCATTAGGGATCACTGTCAATAATGATTGGAAGTTGATATGGTTTGGCTCTGTGTCCCTGCTCAAATCTCATGTTGAATTGTAATTCCCATTGTTGGAGGTGGGGCCTGGTGGGAGGTGATTGGATCATGGGGGTGGTTTCTAATGGTTTAGCACAATCCCCCTCGCACTGTCTTGTGACAGAGTTCTCACAAGATCTGATTGTTTCCGTGTATAGCACCTCCCCCTTCACTCTCTTTTCCTGCTCCACCCATGTAAGCTGTGCCTCTTTCCTCTTTGCCTTCTGCCATGATTGCAAGTTTCCTGAGACCGCCCCAGCATGCTTCTGGTACAGCCTGTGGAACCAGGAGCCAATTAAACCTCTTTTCTTTATAAATACCCAGTCTCAGGTAGTTCTTTATAGCAGTGCAAGAATGGACTAATATGGGAGTGAATCTTTCAAATTCCAGAGCTTCAAGATGAGTGTGTGGCAAAATGGGAGAGAAGTAAAGAAAGGAGAGGTTGCCCATCTCTCCACGTTTTGAGCTATACCTGGTGAGAGGCATTCCAGAGTTTTGTTGCTGACATCCCATTGTAAAGAGTTTCTAATATAGTGTTTTTGATATCAATTTATGGTTCAGTAGATCCCTAACATGAGTCTATGAGACTGGATGAGAGTTAGAATCAAGTTATAAACACAAAAATGTACTGTCAAGCTTAATAAATGACCCAATTTGCTGTTTGATTCATCCTTTCCTGAAAATGAATTTTTTTCTTCATTTCCCTGGTCAAATTGATTTTTGGTGGTGTTTGGACATGTCTGCATTCCAGCTAAGGCTACATGTGGACCCACCCACATTGGATCACTTGGTTTTCTTGTTCTTAGCAGATTACAAGCAACATTTTTGTTGTTTGATGCTGGTAAGCAACCATAATGGCAAAAGCAAAGAAGGGATAGTTTCTTATCCTTTCAAAAATATTTATTAGGTACATATTAAATTCTAAGTTCTACTCTACTATTGGGGCTGTAACAGTGAGAAGAAATTAAAAGACATTTTGACAAATATCCTGACTTATTAAAAAGAAATAAAATCTGCAGAAAGCCAATAGTAGAATTCCAAGAGTATAGCCATCAGATGAAGATGATAGGCCAGAAGCTAAAAACATCTTTTGAATCTTTTATATCATTGTGTATTGTATCAATAATAGTTTAACCATGCATTTTATGTACTGTTTCTCAGTAATAATAAAAGCAAATATTGTTGAGCGTGGATTTTATGCCAGGAACTGTTCTAAGCACATTGATTCCTCACAGCAACCCTATGGAAACATTATTATTAGTATCCCTGTTTAACATATGAGGAAATTGAGAAAGGTTAAGAGAAAGGTTAAGTGTCATGCCTAACAGTAACAGATGGTGGTTGGCAAAGCCAGGATTTGAACACAGACATTCCAGAATAAAGTCTACACTTCTAAACACCATGCAACAATATAAGGAAGTGTTATATATGTTTTAAAAGTGTCTCATAGAATTGTTGGCATATAAATAAATGTCATTACTTTATGATAATTCATTAAACTGTATACTATAAAGATAAATGTACTTTTCTGTGTGGTGTATGCTAAAGTTTTAAGGGTTGGTTATCATAGTACCTAAAAGGCTAAATCTAAATAATCAATCAATTCTATGGAAAAAACATGTTATTATGTTGTTATTGGACTATTACTATACTTATTCACAAGCAGAGGAATGGGGACATAATAAAGGAAGGTACAGAGAAGGGCAGTGAGTATCTGTGAGGAAAAGATGGTAGTCTCTGGTGGGCAAGAAGATCCTGCACTAAATCATGCCTCTTTATTTTCTGTACCTCTGATGTTTTGACATCTGGGGCATTGCTGCTTCTCTCCAGACTAGCCAATTCCTAGAGATTGCCAATGGGTTGGTCTGCTGGTGTACTTTTCATATGAAAACTAACCAATCCACAGTTCATATCCCCCAACTGCCTTCTTTATCCAACTCTTATACTCCAGGGCCACTATTAGCCTGCCCAAATCACCACAGGGTGCCAGGTATCAGACAACTAGGGCCAACTCCTTCATCTCTCTTTCCCTGTCTCCTCTGACACACATTATGATGAAACTATTCCAACTAGCCAATCATAAACCTGCATAGCCTGTCTACCTCTCCCACTCCTTCTTGCTAAGAAAAACAAAATAAAGGCTCTAGCCCACATTTTTCTCCCTCTTGCCTCCTGACTGATCCTGTGCTTCCCTGTGTGGTCCCCCTGTGGTGTGGCATGCCCCCTCCTTTTGGAACTGTGAATAGGAAACAATCTTTTCAATGACAGTTGTCTCCAGGTGTGTTGGCCTCACCATAACTGAATAATAATAAAACCGATGTTTTAAAACAGACCCTTGGTATTTCCTCCACATATTTTTCTAATTTGTGATACACTTGGACAAGTGTCTTACAAAAATAAATTCAAAATTTTTTGAAGACCCACTAGAAACAAATTAGTTCTAGATACTATGGACATTTCAAAAATGAATGGCATGGCATTTGTGGGCAAGGAATCTATTTTTCAACCACAGGAGATAATATAATACATTGATAATATACACTATAAGACAGACTATATGTACTAGTGAAGTGGACCAAAGGCTTTAGAATTATAAGAGGAAATAACTATTAAAACTTGTTAAGAAAGTCAGGGAAGTCTTCATGTAAAAGAAAGTATCTAAATTGAGCTTTGAGGGTTATGGAGCATTTTGACAAATAAAGATGATTTCAGACAGAAGAAAAACTATGAATTTTAATTGAACTATGCAAGGGTCCAGGGACAGGAAGACAGAAACTTTGAGTATTTCCACTGGGTGGAAGAACAGGATGCATGTTTGAGAGACATAGATATCACAGAGATAGATGGTAGAGTTTTAGAAGACCTTGGCTAAAGAATTAGAATTGAATTCAGGAAAATGCCTAGGTTCTTGTTTAAGCATAACCAGGTTATATAATTACTAATTATATACAACTAGTATGAAATATTGGTAAGTGGGAAAACCTCTTCCTCTTTTTGCAGCCAGAGACAGGGGTGCATAATAAGTCAGTCTCAGGCTCTGAAACTGTGCAGAATCTTAGGTCGCAGGTTCATGCCCTCACTACCATTACCCAGAGTTTGCTGGTTCTTCTAGAAGAGAAAGATCTTACCTCATAGAGCCTAGAAATCCTGAATTTCCACTTTATTAGCCATGATATCAAACAGACTTGAGAAATATGAGTTGTATTCTATAGTCTACGAATGGGTGCTAGACTGACTATTGCTTATTTATAGAATTCAGAACAGGTCTTGCATTTGGGCTTTCAACAGAGCCATTGGGAATTTTTCAATGAGAACTATTGAAAACCAGCACAACACTATGCTTTGTTTGATAAATAGGGTAAATTCCCTTCTGAAAGTTTAGGCTGAATTATCATCTTAGTGTGCATAACTAAGCATCAAACCTATATCAAGCTCTCAGAAACAGGAATCTTAATGAGGTTGGTAGTGGTTTGTGAAGAACTTTAGAGGTCTAGACAGTACACAGGATTTGGGGTAGTTAATGTAGAGGAAAGATTATTAACTTTGGAGTGAGAACTATGTGGAGTTGTTTTGTGGCTTAGTCACTGAATTGCTCTCTAAACTTGGCCACTGTGGGGTAATGAACGGGGTTGTTCAATGGTGATTCTGGAAATATTCTGGATTGCCTGAACGGTGAGCTGGGCTGGGGCACCCCCACCTCATTCCGGTGAAAAGGGGTATTCCCAAGACTAACTCCCCATAGTTTCAGGAGCTTCTTCTTCCTGGTAGATGTGCAACGCACCATGAGCCCCAAGTTCTTGAGTTTGCTGGGCAGCTGCCATTCCCAGACTACTTCTGTAAACCGCTGACACCCTTGATGGTGGTGGAGGTGTTGAGGAAGGACGAGGAGGAAAGAACTCTTGAAACCCTGTTTAGGTTTAAATTACATAATGAGTTTATAAAATATTTAAATTTCTGCTGTGGGTCCTGGGAGCTAGGGGAAAGAGGAGAGGGAGAAACAAAGAGGGCAAGGACTGAGGGAATTGGGAACTGGCATCAGGTGGTAAAAATTTCTCTTCCTAAGTGTGAAGACTGAGAGTTTGGAGACACAGATTTAGAACATACTTTCCATGTTCTATAATAATTATGAATGCTGGGCGCGGTGGCTCACGCCTGTAATCCTAGCACTTTGGGAGGCCGAGGCGGGCAGATTGCCTGAGTTCAGGAGTTCGAAAACAGACTGGGCAACACGGTGAAACCCCATCTCTAATAAAATACAAAAAATTAGCTGAGCGTGGTGGCATGCACCTGCAGTCCCAGCTACTCGGGAGGCTGAGGCAGGCGAATTGTTTGAACCTGGAAGGAGGAAGTTGCAGTGAGCTGAGATCATGCCACTGCACTCCAGCCTGGGTGACACAGCGAGACTCCATCTCAAAAAAAAAAAAAAAAAATTATGACTAACATTTATCTTATTTATCGCAATGGTCCCTAACCATTTTGGCACCAGGGACCAGTTTTGTGGAAGACAATTTTTCCACAGACGAGGAGTAGGAGAGCGCTGGGGGGTGGGCTAGTTTAGGGATGAAACTGTTCCACCTCAGATCATCAGGCGTTGTTACATTCTCATAAGGAGTGCACAACCTGGATTCCTCCCGTGCTCATATCACAATAGGATTCGTGCTCCTATGAGAATCTAAGGCAGCTCCTGATCTGACAGGAGTCGAAGCTCAGACAGTAATGCTCACTCACCCACCCCTCACCTTCTGCTGTGCGGCCCGCTTCCTAACAGGCCACTGGCCTACTAGTACCAGTCCACATCCCAGGGGTTGGGGACCCCTGATTTATAGTTCACAAACTTGTACAAATACATCTTCCCATGTAATTCTTCTACGAGCCCTGTAAGGTACATATTATCATCCTTTGAAACTGGAGGAAAAGTAGACTCAGATGAAGTTAACTTTTTTTCAGGGGCACTCCATAGTGAACAATAGGATTAGGCTTTCAACTCATCCTTAGACTTTGCCTATGACTAATGGACACACTGCCATCTCTCTACTAGCTAACATAGACTCCCTCAGTTAGAAGAAGAGTCACTTTTACATTAACCCACAGGTTAGAGCGAATGCCCCTTGTTTTCTACCTGGACATCTAGGTCAAAGAAGCATGGTGTTCTCTGCTCATAAACAATTTTGGTCTAAATGAACACATGCTTGTCTGATTTCTAAGGGAGTTCTCATCAATATTGGGCTGTGTTTAGTGTCTTCTTTTTCTGTCTAGGTCTGGGAAACCAGTCCTCCACAGCTTTTAGTCTTAGCTGAAAATATTTACACAGAAGCAGTGAAACAGCTATAATTCTACCAAATTGAACAAAATATCATGAATAAATTTCATATTTTTAGAGCAAAGGACCTTAACATTTAATTATTTTATCACATCTCTTGTTCCATCTTCAGCAAATGCAACTGGAAAGAAAAGAAACCTTGTGTAAGTTACAGAACAAACTCGTGATGCTACCATTATACAATGCCAGGGATTCTCATAGAGAAAGCTGTGGTGGAAGAGATAAGAGCACCAGAGACTCGCAGAGTTAGTGGGAAATGCTTGCACCTTTGTGATTGGCTACCATGTTCTGACACAGAGTATGCCATCAAGTATATATTATTTAATTTATTTCTGTAGAGAGACTGAGTCTTGCTCTAGTGCCCAGGCTGGAGTGCAGTGGCACAATCTCAGCGCACTGCAACCTCTGCCTCCGGGTTCAAACAATTCTCCTGCCTCAGCCTCCCGAGTAGCTAGGATTACAGGCGCACCCCATCATGCTGGGCTAATTTGTGTATTTCTAGTAAAGAAGGGGTTTCACCATGTTGGCCAGGCTGTCCTCGAACTCCTGACCTCAAGTGATCTGCCTGCCTCGGCCTCCCAAAGTGCTGGAATTACAGGCATGAGCCACTGTGCCTGGCCAAGTATGTACTATTTTAATGAGCACATGTTTGTAAGAGCTAAAGTATATAATGGGCCAATACACATCTATGTATCTGTCCCCCAGAAAATTGACAAGAATAATTTAAATTCATTTGCTAATGTTTTCTCTAAAATAGCAGAGGAAATCCAGTTATTATACTCTGTAAGCAACTCCCTTAAAATATTTGGAAATAGATGTCCTCTTTCTTCCTCTTCTCTTCTCCTTGATAAATTTTCAATCATGGAGTCATCATTCATTTGACCAATTTATACCTGTTCGGTCATTGGCTGTCTTCCAAATCATGCTTGAGCACTTCACAGTTTTCCCATGAAGTTAAAAATGGTCCACACTGCATAATGTAGTAAGAATTGTGACAATGAGCTATATGTTACACACCTTCAGGGGCAGGCATGATTTGTCAATGACTGATGTATGTCACTTACATCTTTAGACTGTGATCCAATTTATTTTCTTTCCAACTCTTCACAGTTTCTATCTTATATTGATGCAATTTCATTGTACCGATTACACAATTATCACAATTACAATATTGTAATAATCATATTGTTATAATTATTACAATTTCATTGTATCTTCATATTATTGCTCTGAATCATCACTAAGAATTTCATGAAGTTTGTTTCTGATTCCAACTCTAACATACCTCAGCCATTGAGATTCAACTACCTCACTCTCTCCTTGGATTTGTTTTCCTTTTTAGATAGAATGAGGAAGCTCTCCTTTCCATCATTTGACATAAGGCATTGATGAAGCTTTCATCATCACTTGCCCTAGTAAGGAGCCATACAGAATACTATTATGTTTCCCCTCAGTGTCTCTTGACTGCATTAAACTACTCACACTTATTTAGATGTAGCTTTCCAGCTGAAACAAGAGCAACTGCAATTTCCCCAAAGGAGCTGTGTGTTCTAGAACAATTTTTTTATTCAACTTAACGAGGGACAATACTAATACCAAAGCTTTGCCAAAGCTGCCTGCAATGAAGAACGAAATAAAAGGAGAATGACTATACATTTAGCTGCCAACACTGAATATGAGAACACATTTTTTTTTTTTTTTGCAGGAAATGCCATGTCTGTACCCAAGAGTAACATTTTCCTCTTCATACAGATTTACAGGTGCAGAGCAATTGTCTCCCTCATTTTTAGTAAAAAAAAAAAAAATTAATAATTTGAAGTTAGACTCAAGTAAATCTATTAATTTTGAAATAAAGAATTATTTAGAGTCCAGATTTAACATTTTTTATTAAAATTTGAGTTGGGACTTAGATTTAAAACATAATCTGACAGAAAATAAAAGATCAGTTGTATAAGCAGTGGCTATTTGCTTTGGTGGCTGGTTTTATTTGAAAGCTTCTGATAGCTACAGGCTGGGAGAGTCTTTGGCAACAGTCAAAAATGATTGTTTATTTGGTTGAATAACCTGACAACATATAAAAATAACTGCTAGAAATGCTATCTTCCCAAATTCAAAAGAGAGCCAAAGATTTCCTGGCAAACAAGTCTGGTTGTTGAGACGCTTGTGTGCCTCCTCTCCTGTGTGATCAGTGATCACCACGATTCTGGCCCTCGCCTGCATCCCAGGCAGGCAATGTCAGAGCCCATCATGACATCCCCCTCACTGTGCCATGTTGCTAAATCATCCTGTACTCAGCCACAGGGAATAGGAAAAGAAATAACGAAGCT
Organism: Homo sapiens; assembly: GCF_000001405.40. NCBI lineage: Eukaryota > Metazoa > Chordata > Mammalia > Primates > Hominidae > Homo > Homo sapiens. The sequence goes on from NC_000001.11 coordinate 198,344,972, forward strand.
TCTGAAGAAAGAAACGCTTTTCTACCCATCTACCCTCCCCTTAGCTGTTAGAGCCAGCATGGAAAGGAGGTTTTGAAGTGACTGTATACCAAATTGCAATAAACAAACAGAAGAAACTTTATTGATTTCCTTATTCTTTGAAGGGCTAAGAAGCAGTATAGAAAATTGTGAAACAGCAATATCACAGAGCTCAATAAGGCTGCTCTTAGAGCAGAACCAAACAGACGAGGGAATTTACAGATCACCTGCTGCCCAGAGACCACTGGGCTTTGTGTATGTATTCCTGAATACAGAAAAGTTGAGCAAACAGGTATTCATCTTTTGCATTGCTAGGTAGGAGGCTGGAATGGACTTGCTTTCTTCTTTAATTCTTTCACCCATTTATATCTGAGGTGCCATGCTGGCTACTGTCATTCCAAAGAACTGCCCATGACCAAAGTCAACATCCCCTTCTTGCTGACCACATTTTTTTCTTTTAGTTTTACTGACTGTAAAGAATTCCTTCACTTAGAGAGGTGATCAAGTTGTTAGCCAAATACTCTGCTACAGATTACACTCCTTGCTGAAGCATAGATAATATTGTGATAATGAAGCTCACTGATGTAAATCCTTTAAATTTACAAATGTGGTCTGATTTCTTGGGATATCATCATTACGTGACATTACCTGAAGCAGAGCTCAATCTAGGGGGCCAAGTCATGCATTTTATTAAATCGTTACCAAAAATGACTGGCCCTTAGAACTGCAGTGGTATAAGTTGCACCTTATAGGACTCTTAATTATTGTCTTCATATCTTTTCCAAAAGGCCTATGAAGTTGAAATGCAATATTTCGTTTTTGACACTTAATCCATGAGGATGTCCTTGGAGATCTATTATGCCTTTAAATTAATTTATGTACATTCTGTAATGATTGTGCTATGCTGAAGATGCTACAAAATGCTTTGGGTTTTGTAAATAGGTTCAATGGGAAAGTTACAGTAAAACTTTTATAGTTATAAGTCAATGTAGAACTAGAGTTAATCAGAAAAAAAAAGCAGCTAATTCAAATGTTTAAAAATACTGTCAAAGTGTTATGGATGTATGAATGCTTCCCTTTTTATCATTAACTAAACATTTCTGATAAGATGTAAAGGAAACAGCATGGCTTTGTAATCATATAAGCTGTTTTTATTTCTTACCCTGCTACCTAGAAGCTATTTGGCTTGGGTCATCTCGGCAAGCCTCAGTTTATCTCTAAGATAGGAATAAAAATACTGATTTCAGTTTGGTTATAATGGCAAAATAAACCCCTAGCACGGTACCCGTTACATAATTGGCAAAACTGGAAATTTGTTTACTTTCAATTAGGTTAGGGATCAGAGTTAACTTGCTCCTCTCTCAGACTCTTTATTATGTAACATTTTCAGGACATGTCCAGGCCAAGTTCCTACACTGGTCTTTAGACTCTCTCCCAGGGACAATCTGTGGGCAATTATTCCACCTATAGTGCTTTCTAGCCAATGAAGATGGGATAATTGGCAAGCCATTTTTCTGAAGAAGTAGAAAGCTCAGTAAGCTACTATGGTCAAACTGTCCTGTCTTGCCTGATGCTCATTTTGTGGTTCCTTAAGAAATCCTGAAGCCTGCATAAAAGCTTCAGGATGGCAAAAACCATGATTCTTAGGATCCAAAGTGGAAATGGTTCTCTCTACATGTAATGATTGTTAACCTGAAGTTACACCAAGGCAATTTGATCTTTTGGTGCTTTTGTAATTTTCCCATAGTAGACAATCATTTGATCTGAGAGGGCAAATGCCAGAATGTCTAGAACAAGTAGGACCTCGAACAACCAGGGGAAATAACAATGGTTACACTAAATTGGAAGATAAAACTGTCACCTGGACATTTTGGGCTCCTTATGCTCTTAACCAATAGGCAAAAAATGGGTTCCTTTAATGAAGTGGACAATTATTTGGAAAGCCACTAATTTCTTACCTTTAGGAAGCCCAGATTTTTAGTTACACTTGATGCTGGCTATCCCTATCCTAATAACCTGGGATGGCAAGCCACCAGGGCCTGTCTCATAATAGCAGAATGTCAGAAAACCAATTGCAAATAAGATTAGGTTTAACTGGAATTATTTATTGTCAGCTAAATACAACTAATTCTTATTTGTTCAAATATATAGAATTTCAGATACTCTTGAGTTCAAGTTTCTACTTGATATCAACAATAACTTTGCTGTATTTTGCTAATATATATTATCTTTCCTGTAGTTGAGCAAGGCTAGCATGATTGTTAATTTTAGCATGTCAGCTTGACTGGGCTAAGGGATGCCCCCATAACTGACAGAACATTATTAATGGTTGTCTGTGAGACTATTTCTGGAGGAGAAGATAATTTCAGGAAGAGGTATAGGTCTATTCAAAAGGTGCAAAACATAGAAAAGGCATAGCCATTGCTTCAGTGCAGTTAAAGCAAGGACATCTATGGGATAACATAGTAGATGAGCTGTTAGACAAAGCTGAAATCTGATCAAGAAAGATGTAGTATGTCAAATTAAGAGCTTTCAATTTCTTCTTGCAGATGAGGGGAGCTACTGAATAATTTTCAGCCAAAGAGCGACTTGACCTGACGTGAATTTTGGAAAGATTGCTTTTACAGGCTGTGGAGGATGGATGGGTAGAAGCCTGAAGTTTAATATCTGAGAACATATCAGAAGCTTTCAAGTAAAATGAAAGTACTGAGATAGGTTTGCCACCATTTACAAAGAGACAATGACACTCCTCCTTCTTCTGACTCCAGGTCAAGTAAAACAGAATGATTAGGAAATAAAAGGGTGGAGGAAGCTAGGTGAAGCTCATTTGGGGCCTCCTGGCATTGGTAGGACCCTGCCAAGTCCTACGCAGCTACCTATATTCATTTAGTAAAATATTCTCTGCCATGGCAAGATCTACGAGGAAACAATCTAGGAAATCTCAAACAAAATAATGATGGCTTCCTTTCCCTACACCTTTTCCCCCAACATGTCCCCAAAGACCCACAGTCTGTTGTGGATAACTTTCTACCACCCCCAAGAGTTCAAATATTTTTTGTCCATGCTTTTGAAATCTCTTTTCTCTCCTGCAACTCATCTTTGTAATGGTTCTCCTCAGTCCTAGATTACTCATTTAGGGAGCAACTTATTTTTAATATAAATTTATTTTAAGATAAATAAGTAGATAATTTACTAATTAAATTACTAATTGGAGTCCTCTTACCCCTATTTAGCACAGTGATCAGACGTTCCAGCCTTATGCTTGTCTCTATTTGCATTCTAAGCCAGTGGGTTACTGTTTTCTCTTCCCTGCTTATATAGACTATATTTGGTTTTATTTTTCTCCATTCACATACCCAAATGTGCTTGTTGAATTTTTTTTTTGAGTTGGTAACTGTTACTTAATAGCACCTGGAGCAGATTGCATAACTTTCTGGTATTTTTCTGTTGTGAAAAATTCAGTCTAATTCAGTTTGAATACTACTTTTATATTTGATTCAAAGTTGTATAAGTTTTCTTAACTCTATCAAGGGCCAGGCTGGAGATATAGTAGATTTAAAGGAGGCAGGGAGGTCTATTCTTTCTATCCCCTCTCTACTTCTGCCCCTTGAAGTAGACACAGGTTGATGGAGCCATGGTCAGGTTTGAGGATCTCTCTTCCTTATCAAGACCTAACTCTTTTGATGTTGGATGCTAGGAAAGGGAACAGGAAGGAAAAACAAACATCATTTTACTTAATGATGCATGGTGGTGGCTTTCTCTGTTGATTATCACCTCCCCTCCAACACTCACAGACCATCAGTTATTTTACAAATCATCAGTGGTTTACCTGGATCCCCACAAGCAAATGCGAATCCAGGTTTAGTGAGGCCTCAGCTGAAACAATTTCAGAGACCTTATTTAAGGAAAATGATACAAAGTAAAAATGCAAAATTAGGTAAGGGAGTAAATGCTATTTAAGGTGAGGAAAGAAATCACATATTGTGACAATTAAGAAGCTGACAAATACCAAAAACATGATAGAATTACAAAAAAAAATTTATTATTAATTGTTTAACACACACTTAACACTGTTTTTCACAGCCTTTTTGGTTTTCTACTCTTTTTTTCACTTCTCCACATGAAGACAATTTTATAATTTCATTTCATTTTCTATAGAAAAATGTTTGCTCAATTTTTAAATTATAATAGTACATAAAAGCTTTCTGTGGCTTCATAACTTGTATTTAGTCACATCAAGTAAATTTTTAGGGTAGTCATTCTATTCGTTTTCCTTCAAATATGAGTTATAATATTTGAAAAGAAATTCTACATCTAGCTCCTGGCTTCAAATATTTAAAATTTTATTTCTCTTCCACGGATTACAGACTTTCTATGATGAGTTTTCAGGACACATTCCTATTATGACATGACCTTTGGCCCATACCTTCATACTATAGCTTTGCAAAGTGGGCACACTAGATGCTAGGAGTATTTATGGAAGCCATTCTTATATTAGGAGAGCCAGCAATAACCTAATTGTGAACAGAAATGGCTGAGACCCACATAAATGTATCTCACTAACCCAAAACTAATTATATCCCTAAGTTTATTTCCTCTCAACTGCATCCCAACATGCTACCCAACCTGAAAGGAAATGTGACGGAAAGGAAAATGAAGTACAGAGACAGTGATCTTAAGACATTTTGGTTACAATAGCTGTCTTAGTCAGTTTGGGCTTCCACAGCAAATACCATTGACTGGGTGACTTAAACAATAAACATTTACTCCTCACAGTTCTGGAGGCTGAAAAGTCCAAGATGAAGGTACTGGCATTTGTGGTGCCTGGAGACAGCCATCTTCTTGTCATATCCTCACATGGCCAAGTGGGATGAGAGAGTGGGGACAGCCATCTTCTTGTCATATCCTCACATGGCCAAGTGGGATGAGAGAGTGGGGACAGCCATCTTTTTGTCATATCCTCACATGGTAAGTGGGATGAGAGAGTGGGGATGGAGGTGGGATGGGGTGGAGGGGAGAGAGACTGAATCTCCTAATACATCCTTGAAGTGATATTGCTCTTCAAATGTTAGTGTTTAGTTTATAATATGTCTTTTATTTGGGATTCTTAGTTGTCAATTGGAAGGCAGTAGGAGAAAATATAAGTCAATGTTTTCTTTTTCAACCCAATTTAGCACATCAATTAGGAATTGAGACACCTACTCCTCTCAGTTTTTTTTGTTAGCTCCACAGTTTGTTCCACTTCAGTCCAAGGTACAGATTGCTCACCTTTCCTCTTCTATGTTCTCTTCCTCTTTTCTCCACCTCTCCCGCCTTATGTCTCCTTCCTTTAAGTTAGGTCATATTGCATTCCAAGGGGTTCCTCAATAAAAAAAGAACCTTAAATGTCATCTGGTTCAGTAGTTTCGTTTCAAGCAATAAAAAATAACTCTCCTATGCAGACAAGTATTTTTGAAAGGACCCTTTCTTGACCTCTGGTACACTGAGCAACCCCTTGACTTCAGCCCTTTCTTACCTGCCTTTAACAAGCAGCCCTTTATTAAATTGTTCTTTTATTTCAAAGTTTTTTCTAAATATCTTCATTTTCTTCTTTTATCCTTGACCCTCCCCTGTCTACTGGCACACAGGATGTCACTTGCATTTATATTTCCAACTGCACTGCCCCCTAGGTGGCTGAACATTCATGAACTGAGATTTCTAAGGTAATTTTACATGGATAACCTTTTATTTGTTGGGTAAGATGGGACTACACTTTAATAGGTAGTAGATTTTGGAGGGAAAATATGTTTATTTACAACCACAAATTCTGCCTGGTTTAGTAAAGTCCCACATATGGCTGAATTACTTGCTTCAAATAAAAAACCCAAACAAAACAAAAACAACCTTTTCCAGAACCCCAAAACACACGCATGTGCACACATACACATACACACAAACAACATATCCTAAAACAACAACAAAAAATCACACTGAGTATGCACAATAAGACTATGCTAATGGGAGGGATGGATTATTTAGGAAAAAGATGTTTCAATATTTAAGGATCCTGTGTGGGGTAGAATCACAAAACATCAGGAGAAAAGAGAGCATTTTCCAAAGAAAGGCTACCTTATTGGTTGGCATATTGAATCAATGGCAAATAGATTCTTCAAACTTCTAAATTTTTTCCATCAAAGATGAAAATTAAGTACAAGCAGTCTAATTTATACCGTTCTTAGAATTTAAGGCATAAGGAAAATGGCTTAATAAGGAGGCACTCCCCTGTCAAATACCTTTAATGTGTATTATAGAGCTTTTTGGTTGGAAATAAGACTTTTTAGTCTAATCTGTCAAGTATGACATGTCAGCAAAACTTGATCAATTATGTGAGTGTTTTATGCAGCTAAAATAATAAAGCAACTGATACTAATCTTCAGTTAAAAATGACTGATCCTGCACATCCATTCATGGTCTTTTAGTTAGGCTGATGTCTGGACTTCATTTTCATTTCTCTTTGCACTTGATGTTATTCTTAAAGCTCTCAGCCGCACGCTGCTTTTAAAGTCTTAACCTGCAAGCCATTTCTGCTGTTTGTCAGCTTTGGTTTTTCACTCTTTTGTTCTCCAGTACTGACTTCATTATTTATAACAACACAGGACCATATGCAGACTAATTTTTATAGAGCCACCCACTCACTTTTGGCATATGAAAATTCTGGGTTTCTGAACCACCTATCTAATATCCATAATACATATATAATCATACACCTATATATGTTAAAAGACTAGAACTTTAAATAATACCAATGGCAGGTTCAGACTGATATTGCAGTTAAGTCATATTGTCTTGAATATTTTTAACCCTATTCAGTGAATGTTTTGGTTGAGGGTTACCAGTCATTAGAGTTTAATGGATTATTTCTTTTCTAAGATTTGTATTTACTTAATACAGAAAAATACCCCTTCACCAAGGACACAGCAAGATCCTCTGTGAAGAAGTAATAAGGTGATGACAATATGTGTCCCCTCTCCCCATCCACGGTGTAACCAGGATAAGATAGATTATCCCCAACTCCAGGTAGCTTCACAAGTTGCCAACCTTATAGAATTAATTTGCATGTGAGTTTTAGGATAAAATTATCATGTAACTGAAGCAGTTTAGCATGACCAGTAGCTCATATAGCACAAGCACCTCTGTGTAAGTCAGTTTAGGTTTTAGTAAAGTTTAAATTTTCTTTTTAAGAAGTGTACCACTGTAAGAGAAGGAACTTAGAGAAAGCCAAGACCTTTCTTTTGTGGGGTGGGGGTGGGGGGAACTATCTCAGGGAAGAATGTAGTCATTGCTGATGGAGTATTTTCATATTAATTAGAAGCCTTAGATTTGTTTTTGTTGCCTTAGGATAAGCAAAGCATACATCTCAGACTGGTATGTAAATATCTATATAAATAATGTTTGATTTTCAACATGTGTGAGTATTAAAACATCAAGTTTATATGTAAGTTACAAGACCAATCTTTGCATGTCTTGTCACTATAGGGTTAGATTCAAATATGGATGGTCCTGAACCTTCTAAAATTTTGGAAAACTTTTAAAGAGTAATACACAAAATTATCAATATACCATTAGATAAAAGTGAATATGTACTGAGAATGAGTAAAGAAAATGTAAGAAATGAAAAATGTAAAAGGCTGACAAATCTCATATCACAAATTCTAGAAAAATAACAATATTTTAATTAATTAGCTGCTTGCATACTCCTAATTTTCATCTTCAAATGATAAGAATTTTGTTATAATTCTAACTGAGAAAATGGAACCATAAATTTGGTCTTTTTCCCTATGTGGTTGATAAAAATTTGTTTTTTAAAAATTATTGTTAGATGTGATTTCATAGACATTCTTGCCATTTGTGGGATTGTCAGGGGTTTGTAACCTACAAATAAAGGAATTCTTGTTTATTCTATTTCACTTGATTTTTATAAAAAAGAAGAAAATTCAGTGTACACTTCTATATGCTTCATCATCAAATATGGAAGAGAACTTTCATCTTGACTAAGCATCTATGAAAGCTGAATCATCTACTTACAAATATACATGTTTGATAACCGCAGGGGGTTTCTACAGATTTGCTTCTGCCTTTGCATATTTTACACTTTGTTTCTTCTTCATTGCTCACAGCTAACTTACTTCCAGTACTGGTTGCCAAAAGTCACACTTTGTGTGATATCTGGCCAGGTAGGTTTGTGTTACAATGTTCAGTGAGTAAGCAAGGTAAGTCTTGGAAGTTATTCCTACACAAAAATGATTAGTGATAAATCCATTATACATTGAAGTGATGAAAACCACATAAATGTATCTAGGTATTTCATGAAACATTATCTGTCTTATGCAGAATGGATTTGATGAGCAGGAAGTAGCAAATACTTCAGATGCTTTCATGATACATTTGCGAATGATGGAGTGAAACCCTGCAGAAATTCAGGGGCCTGCCACCTTAGTGAAGTTTCTGAAAGTTCAATAGTCTGCAGCATGCTGAAACGTCCACTTCAAAGTGAAAAACAAATTACTATATCTTGCATCACCTATGAAAAACAGAAGTGTTTCTTGAATTTTGGGGGCACTCTATACCACATTTGAATGTGCTTCTTAAATTACTTAATGGGTACAATGCGTGCTATGCTGGTGACGGATACCCTAAAAGCCCTAGTTTGACCACTATGCAATCTATGCATGTATTAAAACTGCACTTATATCTCATACATTTATGCCAAAAAAATCATTCATAAGACTGCCAGTTTTGAGTGGGTAGTGAAGAAAAAACTGAGCTCTGCATGTTTAGAGTTCTTAGTCCTTGACGTGGAAATGTTTCCACCAGAGGACATAACAATTGTTCCACTAAATCAGATGATGAGACTAAGACCTTGGCATACAGGGCTTGTTATGCACGGAACCAACAGGCAAACAAAAATGGGTTAATTCTTAAGTAACTTCACCTGATCACCAAGAACAAATTAGGTTGCTGCTGTAAAATGTGGTCAAGGAAGACAATGTCTGCAACCCATGGGAATGTCTGGGGGTCTTTTAGACTTTTCGTGTCTAGTAATAAAGATGAATGGAAAACAACAGCAACCAAAAAAGACAGGACAATTAAGAACTCAGACCCTTTGAAATGGAAGTTTGAATGATTCCACCAGGTAAAGAACCCAGAGCAGCTGAGGTTTTGCCTGAGGTAAAGGAAAGTATGGAATGGGCACTGGATAAAGAAGCCATAGATAGCAATTGCAACCTCATAACCAATTATAGCAACTAGAATTGTAGTACCTTTCAAAATTTTCTTTTCTTTAAACATGTGTTTGTTTGCATGCACTTAACGTTTTCTTCTTTCTCCTTCCCATTTTTACTTTATGTTCAAGCTGGTGGATTATTATCATTATTCTTGAGACAGGGTCTTGCTCTGTCATCCATGCTGGAGTGCAGTGACACAATTATAGTTCACTGCAGCTTCAAACTCCTGGGCTCTAGCAATCCTCTCACCTCAGCCTCCCGAGTAGCTGGGACCATGGGTATGTGCCACCATACCTGGTCGATTTTTATCTTATTTTATTTTATTTTTTGTAGCAAAGCAGTCTCACTATTTTGCCCTGGCTGATCGTGAACTCGTGGGCTCAAGTGATCCCCTGCTTTGGCTTCCCAAAGAGTTGGGATTATAGGCATGAGCCATTGTGCCTGGCTTAATTTTATAATTTAGTCTCTAGGTGTTAGGATTTTCAGTGGGACTATGAATAGAAAAGAGAAAACTTTTAATATATAGTCTTTAGGTGTCAGGATTTTCAGTGGGACTATGAATAGAAAAGAGAAAACTTTTAATATATAATTTGTGGATAGTTCAAATTCTCAAAATAATTCCATGCCATAATGGTAATGTTACCTAAAACGGAATACTGCTACCTGCATATGTGGAAATGATCAGAAGGTTTGCTTCATTAAAGAAAAAATTGTGTATTTAAATTTGCTTAATTGTGTAAATGTTTAATTACAAATATTTTTTCTGTAATAAACAATCACAAAAAAATCTAGATTAAAGAGATAAGTATTAATTTCTAAGAAAATGTTTTCACAACTAAGTTAAATCCTAAACTAATTTACTCATAGGAGTTAAGAAATTATTTTTCTTTACATACCTTTCAGAGTTGTAAGGATTAGAAAAGTAGGTAAAGTACCCAGCACACAGACAAGCTCAATAAAGTTATAGCTATTATAATGGGAGCTGGAAGGATAAAAGTTGTAAAAAGAAATAAAAGTTTGAGTGATATTACAGTGAATAAGATAAGTATGTGATTCTTGTATATGCAATATTCTATTTACGAGCATGTTAGAAAAGGGATGGGCTACTTTTATTTATCATAAGGAAAGAAATGCTGTATTCATAGGGATGGTGATATGGTTAGGCTTTGTGTCTCTACTCAAATCTCACCTTGAATTGTAATCCCCATAATTTTCAGGTGTTGAGGGAGGAACCAGGTGGAGGCAATTGAATCATGGGGGTGGTTTCCTCCGTGCTGTTCTCGTGATAGTGAGTGAGTTCTCATGAGATCTGATGGTTTTATAACCGTCTGGCATTCCCGCTGCTGCCTTGTGAAGAAGGTAGCTGCTTCTGCTTTGCCTTCCGCCATGACTGTAAGTTTCATGAAGCCTCCCCAGGCACGCAGAACTGTGAGTAAATTAAACCTCTTTTCTTTATTAATTACCCATTCTTGGGTATTTCTTTTTAGCAGCATGAGAACGGACTAATACAGACAGGAACCATACAAATGTGAAAGGTAGAAGTATGGGTCATGAACTCCTAAATGAGACTAGATGGCGTCCTGTACCACCTCGCATCTGCCCACTATTGCGAAGCGTCTGACTGTGATTATTCAGTAACGCCAAAGGGTCCACATTTCTCCAGAGGTGAATTAAGTCTATGATCGGATGTTCCTAGGACAGGTTGCAGTCTTTGAAAGATATTTTTGTACTCATGTTCTGGTGGATTAAAAAATTTTTTCCCCCAAAATCCATTATTTCAGATTCAGACGTCATATCTATGGGGCATATCTTCCCCCCGAGGATAAGGAAAAAGGAGAAAAGATAGCCAGAGGTACAGTTATTGGTGTTCACCTTCTCATCCAAATATCAGGTTCCCGCTGGCAGGAGGAAGAAGGCTTGGGAGTGTGCAGGCACCTGCCTTTGGGAGTGTTTCAAGTCATTTCTTTGTGGGGGATGTAGCACTGTAAGGTGGAAAAGCAGAACAATTTGTATCAAGCCAGACCTGAATTTGAATCCTGTCACAGCTCATAATAATTGCCGCCTCAGCCGAGCTGCTTGATAACTTTGGCTTTAGTTTCAGTTGCATAATGGGGACAACATTACCTATATTTAAAAATTATAATCTGTAAAACAGAGATCATATAAAAGTACCATATACTAAAGTATGTTCTGGAGATCACTGGACTCCAGGAGATGTAAATCTGTGCTCAACAACTGAAATCTCTATGGTCAAATAAATGTGGGGAAAGCTACTTTACTAAACCCCCTTCTTGGAGGTTCACAGCATACACACTGGCAAATACATTAATAGTTCCCGGAAATTCTGCAGTAAAAAACGAAACCTAGTTAACAGTTAAACATATCACTTTATTTGTTTGGGAAAGACTTGTTTTTTCTTGGATTATCTAATTACATCCCACAGAACATTTTTACCTTAATATGGTTTGGGAAACCTTGGGCTCATACAGCACATGGAACGTGACAGATTTCGACAAAGGATAGCTATTATCTGTGGATTTATAAATGTGTAGCTGGAGGATAACCAAGGATAGAAGGGGCGTCTTTAGTCCGATATAAAGCTAATAATTAAGACGGAAAGTTCCTGTAGGGAACAAGGCTAACGTAATTAGGTCAAGTTAATTTATGTGGCTATTTTCTTTTTGTCTGTTTATAGTGAAGTAAATCAATACTGGAAGTGTAAGAGTTTGAATATATATTTTGGACTCACATAAATGGCCTTTGACAAATTACATACATACTCACAGGCACACACATCCTTCTTAAGTTAAAGACAATATAAGGTATTCTCTGTATTGATTAATTTTAATATAGGCTTGTTTAAGAACTCACTTGAAGCTTATTAAGTAATGCCTTTAGTTCTTTAATGATGAGTTCTTCTTCCTGTTTTTAGGAGAATGGTTATCAGTTTTCGAATTAAGAGTGGGGGCTGGGTTGATACTCACTTCCACAGTTTATCAGCCACGTGGCCTTGAGCAAGTTATTTAATATCTCTAATCTCAGTTTTCTTATCTGATACCTACTTCAGAACTTTATTGAAAAGATTAAATAAGTTAATCCACATATTTACTATAGCAGTTGGCACACGGTAAGAAGGAAATAAGTTTTAGTTATTAACTGTAATACAAATATTTCTATTTAGATATGCAACTAAGCTGGGCACGGTGGCTCACGCCTATAATCCCAGCACTTTGGGAGGCCGAGGCGGGCAGATCATGAGGTCAGGAGTTTGAGACCAGCGTGACCAACACGGTGAAACCCTGTCTCTACTAAAAATACAAAAATTAATGGGGCGTGGTGACACATGCCTGTAATCCCAGCTACTCAGGAGGCTGAGGCAGGAGAACTGCTTGAATCCAGGAGGCAGAGGTTGCGGTGAGCTGAAATTATGCTACTACACTCCAGCCTGGGTGACAGAGAGAGACTCTGTCTCAAAAAAAAAAAATGCAACTGAAATATTTATTTATCAAAAACCGAATCTACTCGGCTGAGAGTTATTCTAAATGCAGTGCAAATCATTTAACTCTTATTGAGGTTAAATTAACTTACCCAGAATGACACATACTTAGGGAAGAGAAGGGACCACTATGTTCCTTCTTATGTAAGACAAGATTGCTGATTTAAAAAAAGGAGAAATGCAGTGACTCCTCAATTTCCAGCGTAAAATGAATGTTTTTATCCCATTCCTTCTGTTCAAGTCTTGAAATACAAAGACTTTGCTATCTTAGGTTATAAGATCAGTGATAGCATTACCTTTCTTTACCACCTATTCACTTCAGTGGGTGAAGTTTCACTCACTGATGTTAACAACTAAGAGATTTGTCATTATAGATCTATGATTTTGATGAATCTTTAGTTTCAAGCATATTATGGTTGTTGTTATGACATTCTGAAGGTAAGTTTAGTTTTTTTCTATCCCCATTCTTCACATCAGTGACATGTATTCTTGAAACGAGTATTTCATTCCTCTAGTCATTGTCTATTGTGTTTACAAACTTAACTGCACATTTTCAAGTTTTTCTATTTTCCATGTACTTATGTATCTTTGCTTGTGGTACATAGAATTGTGGAGATGTATACACTGTGTCTTCCACTTTGTGGGAAAATTCCAGATACTTTTTTCCAAGAAAACAGTTTTTTGTAGATTTCTGATTGTTCCAATTTCACAGTGCCTTTAAAAAAGCTTTGATTTCAGAGACACATCTTAGACTGAGGAGATGCCTGCTTTGTAGTCAGATAGATCTGATTTGAGATTCAGGTTCTTTATTTCTCTTTATAGCTGTGAGATTTTGTGCAAATAATTAACCTTTCTAAGCTTCTGTTTTCTTCTGGAGTTCTGAGAATTCAATAAGACAACACACAAAAAGCACTTAGCATGTGTCAGGCACATAGTATGTGTTCAGAAAACATGGGTGATTATGTTATATTAATAACAATAAAACACAAATCTTTTTCTTTGTACATAAAACCTATTCAGATAGATTCCTTGCTTTCCTTTCATGTGAGTACTGCATAGAACACTTTGATGATAGCAACATTATTTTTCCGTAAGATTTTTTTAATGGTTTTTATTTAGCTTTGCTTTTGAAAAGGTGTTAATTCTCTTTCTGACCTGTAAGTTGTTTCCATAATACCACAAGCAAATCAGATATAGCCACAAATTTTTAATCAGAACATTTATTGAGCATAATCCACCTAGTCATCCAGAAAAGTAATTTGTGCTTCTAAGTCTTTGCTTAGTAATTTATTTGTATACAGAGGCTTCTGAGCAAACAAATGTTTCACTTTAATGTTATATAGCCCTTGTCATATATACATCTATCGTGTGTGCATGTGCGTGTGTGTGTGTGTATGCATTTTATTGTCTTTCTGCTCAAAATTTATAAGGCAATTACAAAATATTTTCTGTCAATTTAAGCTTCATACACTGCCCCCTGCAGGAATAACAAGAATCATGACTGTTTATTGAGCCCTGTTAGGTGCCAAGCAGTGTGCTAGTTGTAATTCACAAATTATCTTAATTCTCATATCTTACAGCCCCCGTTTTACAGATGAGAAAATGGTCGTTCAGTGTTTACAAAATTTAAGGAGGTCTCCACAATTTATAATTACCAGAACCAGAACATAAATCTGCATTCTTGTGTCCACAGCCTGTGCTGTCTTCACTGCACTGCTCTGTGACCACTGCTGCCTCTGTTAAAACGTTTCTGCTCATTCAGAATGTACATGCCAAACACCCTGGGATGACTCTGTTCAATGGTCCCCGAGTTTGAACATATTAAAAGTTTGCTAGTAATATTTAACATGTTTGTCTTTGAATATCACACAGCCATAAAAGATTGTTGAAAAACTAAATTGACAAGTGATAAATGCAGTCTGATAAAAGATAGATGTAATTGGTTGATTACGAGGGAAAAGTGATTCCAGTGAAGTAGCAAAACTCACAGCCTTTCCATAACTAAAACATTAAAACAACAGCAGATTTCTCTCTATGCATTAACACAGTATAGGGGAATAGTTGTATCCCATTCTTTGCCATTAAGTTCTCCCTAAATTAATTCCTAGAGAAATTATAGGCAAATAGCACCTTCCCTGCAGCACTTTTTTAATGCAGTAAGATAAGGATTAAGAAACCCTGTGGCCCAGTAAGAAACCTATTTTGTAGTCTCTTTGTACTGATAAAATTTCTTCTGGCACTGAACTCCCACTGTCAAAAATACTACAACATTTTACTAGTTTGCAAAAGATGAAAATGTTACCAGATGTTAAATTCAAGGAGCAAGTTAACAACTTCTGTTTTCAAATGGGTAGGTTTCCATCTTAAAAAGAAATAAAAAGGGACTCCATTCACCAGCCACAGTATAAAAAAGTCAAGTCATTTCTGACTTGAATTTTATAATTATTTAGTCTCACAGGATTGAGCTTTTGAATAATGAGATGTGCGCTAATTACCTTAATTCCCAGTAGGCTTTATAAATGCCTTCTTTTGAACCAGAAAGGTTTGAGTTTCCAGAACAAAGTAATTAAATAACTTTCACTCAGCAACATTATGGCCATAGATAGCACATGCCTTAATGCAGGAAATCTTACCATTATTCATGTGTTATGTATCTTTTGCTCTTCCATGATGATGTCTCTCCCACCCTGACCTGGCTCCTTAGCATAAAAGGTTTATTGAAATGAAAGCATTTCAGAGGTCATTTTCTCACCTGACTCGTTAATCAGGGCTGGCATTTTTATTTAGTCCAGCTATACTCCACGTGAGAAAGATTAGTAGATCAGCAGCCACACAGAAAATGTGAGAAAAGAATAGGAGAAATGAATACACTTATCAAGTGAGTGTAGGCCTGTGTTTTTATTAGTCTTTTGATGGATCGCACTGGATACTTGGGGGAAACACACATGTGGTATTTTTCATCTGTATCCCAGAAGGATTTTTCAATGTTTCACCTTAGGTTCTTCAAAGAATAACTCTTTGATTCAGTAATAGCTATAGAAACCTTCTCCTTTGATATCCAAGGGTGGTGTGGAACTCTTCTTTTGATTAAGAAGCGCTCAGGCAATTGAAGAACATTACAATAGATGAAATAGGGAGAGGTTGTCAATCATCTTACATTAAGTCAGGCCTATACTAAAGACAAAATTGAGTTAAGTGTGAAAAAATATTTGATGCTACATATTCAAATATACAGAGTGATTTTTATTCACCCTGTGCAATTCATCCTTTCCCTGTTCTTCCTTTATGCTAATTTCAATCCTCATTCTAAACAGTTGGTAGAGACAATATCAAAATTATGAGAGATGAACTCAATATTTTAACATCAGATTGGCAAATTGATAGTTGTTGCTTGAATACGGCATGTATGCTTTTGTTGTAAGTCCTGAAAACTTTAGTTTCAGGGATCCATCTTTCTGTGTCCATTAGACTGTCTGTGGTTTTCCGAACACTTGTCCCTTATTACTTGAGATGGGACAGTGAAAATGTATTGTTGAAGATGTTCCAGTACTCCATATGGGAATTCAAATAAAGACCGGTTAGTTTGCAAGTATGATTTCGGGATTCTTTAAAATTAACATAGGATACTATTTCAATTACAGATGCTACCTGAAATATTAACAATGTTGATGCAGCTCTACTAGCAATAGATACAAGCTTATGTAAAAAATACCCTGTAACCAGGAAGCAATATGTTGATTTTTAAAAAAAACTATATTGGAACAGAGAAGTTAAAGCTGCAATTATGCAACACCACTGATGCAATGATTTTCAAATCAAATATGGGTTTTATGCCAGTGATTCTACATGCAGACCTGTGCACTTCTCTGCTGAACTCCAGACCCTCTACTACTGTGTCACGATTGTCTCCTCCTGCCCTTCTTCCCTTCCTTTTCTCCCTCTTCCTCCCTCTTCTCTCCTTCCTGCTTTCTGCTTCTCTCTTCTTTCTTTCTTGCTTTCTTCTCTAAATAAAAACTGAACTCTTAGTTTGTACCCATAATTATGCTATGGGATATAAAACAATAAATAAGGCATTCCTGGAATTTGAAACCTAAAGGGGAGCCATGTTAAAGTTGATTTTGTCCATACATATACATTATAATAGGTATAAGTGGCAGACACAATTTTCCCACAGAAACCTGATCCTTTTGTTTTCTTTTTCTCTCCATTATTGGAACTCCCATCCGTCAAATCACACAAACATGAAATCCAGGAGTTCTAGGCTCTTTCCTCTCTCCTTAAACATCCAGTCTCTAAACTAGTTAAGTCAATTATACCACCTTAATGAGTGTTTGGTCAGTTTTTTTTTCTGTTTATTTCCCCTGCTCCTATCTGTAGGCTGTCATTATTCTTTCATCCATATTTCAATAATTATAAAACTAGCCTCTCTTTCTTCAGTGTGTCTTTCTCCAGTACAACCTTCATATTCATTTTTCATTATCAAATACATACTGAGTGCCTATTAGTGCCAGACACTGTGCTGGAATTCTTTTCAACACACATATCTTATACTGTCTCCCCTTTTCCCAAGCTTATAAACTTTTGATGGGTTGTCATAGCCTTTGGAATAAATGTCAGACTCTGAAGCATGGTATATACAGTCCTTCAACACAGGCTTCAACTTCTTCTTTTTCTTCTTATTTTTCTTTTAGTTTTTTTTTCTACCTCTCACTAGTCAGCCTTTACCACAATTTCTTACCATATCAAACCTTTTCATTACTCTGAATCTTTTCAAATACTGGCTCCTGTGATTCTCACCTATTCTTCAATTGACAAATTTCTCCTTATTCTTTAAGACCTAATTTTAACTCTTCCATCCTCATTGAAGCTTATCCTGACTTTTCCACCATGTTTATACCTCTGTTTTTCACTCTTATGTTTACCATCATTAATGTCACTTGCATTAGATACTGGGCTCTTTGAGTCCAGAGATCGTGCCTCATTTATTCTTGGGTCCCAATGTCTATGTCATTACTACTGCATACTAGATGCCCGTAAAAAACCGAACACATGGCTCAGTGACTTAATTAACCAACATTTAGCTTGTTTTCATTTATCAAACAATCAATTGTCAAATGTTCCTTCACAAGATGACAGTTTAACTGGTAAAAGATATTATTTTATTATTGATTTTAAAATAAATACCTTATGAAAGTAGAAACATAGAATCAGTGCCACACATAAACTGTTAGGTTATGGAAGTTTATCAGGGGAGACTTTTTTTTTTTTTTTTTTTTTTTGTCCCTTCTATCCTAGTTGGAAGGGATTAAGCTGTTAGTGAACATCTGATGTCTCTGGGAGATACAAGATGAAGACAGACTCAGGTTAAGTAGTAGTTTTACTTGTCATGCTAAATGAAAAGATGATCTCTGGCTACATAGTATTTAGAATTCATATTTTCTTCCCTTCGGGAATACCTTCCCAAACTTGCCTGTTTTCTCCTTCAAAACTTGGCACAATATGCTTACAGGTTAAGTTGACTTGTGGAAGTTTTCTGTCATGACTCTATTAAAATTTAATTCACATTATAATATTAGGTATGTACAGTTATGCTGCCTTGATGCTGTTTTCATGATACCTGCGTGCATGCATGTGCTTTTGAATTGGCAAAAGAGACCCACAGTTCCTTCTCCTTTGAGATACATGGCAGAGATTCAGTACCTATGGAAGAAGGAATGTGATCTCCCTGCTCTCCAAAGATTAGCCACCCAATTGAGGATGCATTTCTATTGGTCTATCTGGATAGTCTCTATAGCTTTTTCACTTAGTTGAAAAATTACAATTGTTTGCTGTCTTTTAGAATGTAGGACATAGATTTCATTAAAAAGTAAATGTAGGGGATGCAGGATTACATTATTGTTGCTCAGAGCCATTCCTATATCACTTGATTGGTATATTACATGTATCTGGTTCATTCAAAAAAAGGTGGTTGGCCAGGTTCAGGATAAGTGTGTGGTTGAAGCACAAATACGCAGAGCAGGAACAATCTCTCTGTCCTACAGGATTGCTCTCTAAGGTCAATATTGCATTTGAAAACAGCTTTGCTTTGAATATGACAGATAGGTTACCCAGAAGACCAGAGGGAATCAGTTGGTTCCTGGAATAAGTAATAAGAACTGAAACAGTAATCTTTTCAAGTGCAAATTTGACAACTGAGCTATGTCTGACTAATATCGAACATCCATATCGACCTGTTGAGGTCAATAGTTGGGCTTAGTTATGCTCTGTATTGACTGCTTACATTTTCTAAATGAGAGAGAAATGGCCAAATGGGAAAATTCAATTGCAACTAGAGAAAGGTTTTTTTTTTTTTTTTTAAAGTGGAATTTAATTTTATATGGTAAATGAAGGCTATCTTTTGAAAATTTGGCATTAGTTTTATTTTGATCTTATGAATTAATCCTATAGAAATCAATGTGTGTTTAGAGTAAGTGAGGATAGATAAATAGGTATGTATATACAACTATAATACTATGGCCTAAGTTGTTTTTATAAACCAAGAGACAGTGCAGCATAATGACAAAAGCCTTTGGCTTTGGATCCATAGAGATCTGTGACTAGGCTTTGACTTCTTTTGTTCCAGATTCCATCCTTGGATAAGTGCCTTGAGCTATTTGGTCCTCATTTTCTTAATTAATAATAATAATATAGTAGAAGCTCTTTAATCCAATGCAATTAGGACTGTTTTTTGATTAATGAAAAACGTAATTTAAGTGAGAAATCATAAAATGACATCTGTACAACACAATTTTAATCTTACCTAGAATGTCTAAAAGTACATTCATTCATTTAGCAGTTTTTTGATGCCAAGCCAATGTCAATTCTCTAGATAGAGTCTGCAGTCAGCATGAAATTCCTTGACCTAAATAGCCGCAATGTTCTGTATATATTTCTAGTTTTTGTTTATGTAAAGTGGAATAATAAAGAATCTTGCAAAAGAAACTCAATACAGTGACCTTTGAGATATTTTGCAATTTGTCTCTATTTTTTACATTTGTCATATCTGTACCTAATTCAATAGCAATTTATTTTAGCAACCAGCCTTTCTCAAGTCTTATTTAGAAATAAGCCCCTTTTTGTTCTCATATCTTAATATTTAACCAAGTTACACAATGACAATAACAAGTAGAATGGATAATAAGCAAATATGTAAAGAAATGCAGCTGATTTCTTGCTAAGCACACATCACCGCTGCTGGGAGCAGAAGACCCTTTCTAGAACAGTGCTGCCATCCCATAGAATATGTGAGCCACATATGTAATTTTACATTTTCTGGAAGCCACATTAAAAAGGAAAGACAAAAGGTGAAACTAATTTTAATAATATATTTAGCTCAATATAGGATATTACTGCAATAGGCAATCAATATAAAATTTATTGAGATACTTACACCCTTTTTTCATAAGAAGTCTTCCAAATCTGGTGTATATTTCACACTTGCAACGTATCTCGGTTCAGACTAGCACATTTCAAGTGTTCAGTAGTCGCATGTGACTAGTATCTACCATACTGGAAAGCAACATTCTAGAGATTAACCTATTCAAAAGTGACATAAGCTTTAGCCCCTATTTGTGCCAAGGGAATAAACAATATGGTTAATTCCATGAGGCAGATAAGGGAGTATTTACAGAGGTAGGTTACACTGGACCTACCTTACGGGCTTGTTATAAGGTTTGGTAACATTGAGAAGCTACTAGGCATCACTGCACTATATGCATTCCATATGCCTTGTCATTTAGTCCTCACGAAAGCATTGAGAAACAAGTATTAGGTTGGGGCAAAAGTAATTGCGATTTTTGCCATTACTTTAAATGGCAAAATAATATTAGTCAGATTTGGAAAACTGGGACTCAGAAGGGTTAACTGGGAGATAGCTTCTCCCAGTTCTGAGAGGCTGAATATATAAAATGAATCAATCTCTCTATCTGTCTAATAAACAAATGAGGGGTCTAGATAAGATGGAAATAAGAAGAAGGGGTAGATATCAGCCTGGCAAAGCCTATGACAAAAGAGAAAGAGTTGGTAGAACAACGCTCCAGGCAGAGACAACAATTTCCTGTGCAAAATTTGAAGACGAAAGAATCTGCCAGGGATAAGGCAATGCAGCAGCTATCAATGTTAGAGATGAGAGATTATGAGGGTGAAATCATGATATAAATGTTTATATTTGAAGCTTTTAACCTAAGGCTTAGCATAGAATAAACATAACCATTTAATTCACAAATAAACCAGTATATAAAGAACGAAATATACATAACACATGGTATATTTTATTGCTGTTGATATTTTTGGATTTTTCCAAAAGTTTTTGAATGTATGTGACAATGAATTATATAAAGTTTTCGCTGAAAACATCCAGGGAAAACTTATTATCAAGGAATTAGGAGCATCTTTGTCAAACTGCACTGCATGATCTTTGACTACTCAGACAGCAGTCCAGGAACTTGCAGTAGCTCAGGCCCATCATTATGATCATAGATTATCAGTGAACTGAAAAATGTGCAAGTCCTTGTTAACAGAAATTCCCAGCTGATAGATTCCTGGGTGATAGTTTACTATTTTGTTTTGTTTCTTTCATTAAATAAAATGCTTTCTTTTTAATATCCATATCCAGGGCTGCCTTGGAATCAAGAAAAGTTCTTGGAATCAATTTCTAAATGCAAAGCACAACAATTAAACATAAAAATAAGATATGCTTGGGGGCCTATTTTGGTTTGTTTTTAGCCGCAGCAGTAGCTGATTTTTTTTTCTTTTTTTGTGCTGTCAGGAGACAGTGAATGGTGAACACATGAAAGGTGGCTTTTAAAGTTTTCCTTAAAGAGCCTCAGCAATGTCATGAAATTGCTTCAGAAGAGGATGGCTCTCTTCAGAAAGCAAGAAAAAGGTAAAAGGGGGATGAAATCAAAGTAAGGGAGAAGGGAAAACTTTATAATAAAAGGCTCATATGTAAAGGAATGCCATTTGGATTTAGGGGATGGAATGTGAATAAAAAGAAGAAATGAAGGAATACTGAAGACTATATAAAACAAAAGGCCTTTGAAGAAGGGACTGACATCCTGAAGAGTGCATAGCTATTTGCTTAAGAAGGAGGCATTGCATTCCATCTAAATGTTCATTTAGACCACATAGTAAAATAAAGATAGTAAAATAAAGAATTTACTTCCACTGTGTTTAGTGGATATAGACTTTTGCTTTAGCTCAGAATCTCTCTGTCACACAGAAAAAGCTCAACCTTAAATTATAGTTTAGAAGATCTACCATGACCATGGCCCTGAATTCAAACCCTAGAACTGACTTTCTGAGAGACCATATGTAGAATCCATTTGTATTTCTCCCTTTTTAATTCATTGTCACCTTTGGAAAATGGGACTTGTGTTGATGCATTAATTCAAAACCAAGCTCAAGAAAAATGGGGAAAGTTTCATAAACATTTTGCAAATGGAAATTGGAAAATAACTCTGGCCTTAATTCCACAAAGACCATATAGGAATGTGGAAATGTTTGAGGTAATGAGAAAAGAAGTTTGCATTGTACATACAATATGACTACAGCTCAGAAAAAAAGAAGGAATAATTGACACAATAGAGACAATGACTAATTTCTTTCTTTGTGATATAATTCATACAATCTTGAAAAGGCAATAGAGTAAAAAACAAATTGTTACACAGTAGTGTCTTCCACCTTCAGTTCGTCAAGTTCTCACCCAACCTACAGTTTGAAAATATTGAGGTGGCAGCTTTCTTGTACTCACCATACATCAGAGGGAACCTCTGCTCTGACACAGGGAAGATGAGATGCTGCTTTTTTTTTTTTCCTTTTTCAGTTCCAGCTCAAAGAAGAGATGAGATTCTTCAGAGAAGAAACTGGGGGCAATTTCATACATTAACATGGCTTTATCCCACTTGTATATACCCATTTCTATTAATAACTCCTTTAACCCCAATTTCGGTATAGAATTAAAGCCCAGATCACAAAGAATCTCCTAAGGAGTATGTTTTAAGTAGCTCCAGGAAGATATGCTTCCCAGTTATTTCAGTTGTTGAGAAGTTATTCTTTTGTCCTAAGAACACCCTTTCCTAAAAGTCTTCTTTTAAAATGTAAATAATCCTAAAGTTATTTACATTTTAAGGTTATTTAAGAGTGGCAATCTGATGTTAAGAACATTCTGCTTCTTCCTCTCTTAACTCTAGATCTCTCGCCCAGACTACTGCACCCACTGTTCTAACCAGACTTCCTGCCTCCAGTTCCTCCACTTTCTAAACTATCTTCTACTATGTCACTCATTCTCTTTCTAAATCTCAGATTAGGTGTAATATTCACATGCTAAAACCCATTGCCTAGAGCAAATTTTCTTTCAAATTGAGGTCACAATCCTCTTGGCAGATCATAACGGACACAGAATAGAATGAATGGGAATAGAAAATATCAGTGTTTCACATATTGAAAGAGTAAATGTTTCATAAATATCAGTGTTTCACAAATTGAAAGGGTAAATGTTTCACACATACCAGCATTTTACAAATTGAAAAGACAAGTTTTATGTGAAACTTTTTTATTTTATTTTATTTTATTTTTATTATTATACTTTAAGTTTTAGGGTACGTGTGCACAATGTGCAGGTTAGTTACATATGTATACATGTGACATGCTGGTGCGCTGCACCCACTAACTTGTCATCTAGCATTAGGTATATCTCCCAATGCTATCCCTCCCCCCTCCCCCCACCCCACTATTCACAATAGCAAAGACTTGGAACCAACCCAAATGTCCAACAATGATAGACTGGATTAAGAAAATGTGGCACATATACACCATGGAATACTATGCAGCCATAAAAAATGATGAGTTCATGTCCTTTGTAGGGACATGGATGAAATTGGAAATCATCATTCTCAGTAAACTATCGCAAGAACAAAAAACCAAACACCACATATTCTCACTCATAGGTGGGAATTGAACAATGAGAACACATGGACACAGGAAGGGAAACTTTTATTTTAATATATGTACCTTTGTATTGGGCTGCATGTAGAAAGTATTTTTTTTTTTTGTGCACTGTGATAAAAATTCTGAAAGCCATTGGCTTATAAATCACAGTTGTATGCCAAAAGTAGAATTCTAAGGCCCCTTCCCAAACCATCTGAATGGACCCCTCCTCTCTGGCTAAGGCATTCCAAAGTTAACCTGAAAAACTGGTTCAGACCCTGACAAGAAGGGAGGATCCTACATGCCTCATAATACCCTCCTTCCTTATGGAATTCAGGAAAAGTGGACCAGCACTTAACATCAACACAGACCCTAAATCTGATAAGAAACATATTCAATCTATTCTCTCTGAAGTCTACTACCTGGAGGCTCCATCTGCATGATATAAACTTTGGTTTCCACAACCCCTTATTGTAACTCAGACATTCCTTCCTATTGATAATAACTCTGTCAAACAATTGCCAATCAGAAAAATTTTATAAATCATCTACTTATAACTGGACCAAACCAGTGTATATCTTATATGTATTAGGTTGGTGAAAAAGTAATTGCAGTTTTTGACATTACTTTCAATGGCAAAAATGGCGATTATTTTACACCAACCTAATATTTGATTGATGTCTCACATCTCCCTAAAATGTGTAAAACTAGGTTGTGCCCCAACCACTTTGGGGACATGTTCTCAGGATCTCCTGAGAGCTGTGTCACGGGCCATTAATTATTCATATTTGGCTCAATAAATCACTTCGAATATTTTACAGAGTCTGTCTCTTTTTGTCAACACAGTTCATGTTGAGTGTGGCTTAGAGGTCCTTTCACCATTGGCTTCGTCTCTATCATCCCAGCCTGTCTTCCCTTCTCCTCATTCCTTTAAATGTTATCTCCCTGAACGTATTTTTATGCCTTTGTGCCTTTTGTTCATGTGTCTACTGCATTTCTTTGCTTGATGAACCTTAGAGGCCCAATTCAAAGATTACCTTCTCTGTGTTCCTCTGAGGCAGAATTAAGCGCTTCATGTTGTATTTTAAATGTATCTCTCTCAAAGAACTAAACACACACTGTTGTATTTAGTATATCATCTCTCTACAATTAAAAACTCCTCAGAGAACGGCCTAGGAAAATGTGAAATGCTCAATGTCCATTGAATAAATGAAACAGAAACACAAATGAAATAATAACTTTTGTCAAGTATAGAAAAGGTATTTTGACTACAAAATTATGGGACACTGAGGAAATCTGGAAAGAAGCAACATGATGAAGGCAGGAGATTAGGAGGGAACTTCCACCAGCTAATAGTGGTTGAGAATTCCATGAAGGAGTAAGGTGTGTAGTAAATAAATCATAGACTGTTAATTCTGAGGGTAAACAACTTTTACATAAACTGATCATTTGTTTAAAAAGTCCAACTCAAGAGTAGTTCATTGCTTTTCAATATTTTCACTGATCAGTAACAAAATTATCTGTGGCATAATCAGTAATAATTACTGATGGACCAAAGACCACCCACCCAATGAATCTTATTATCTCAAATATTTTGGCAGTTTCATTCTCAGTGATTTTATGATTTCTTGGAATTTTTTCCTTCAAGTTACAAATGTGTTTTGTTTCCTTCTATTTTCAATTTTTATTAATTTTGGTATAGAACATTAATTTCCATATAAAAATGTAGAATTTTTCTGAATTCCACAGTTAATTTCTCAGGAGGAAGGAAACTGTTAACATAAGGTTAACCAATAATCATTTCTACACCTGACAAACTTACTCCACATCAGAACTTTAGTTCACTAATATCTGCATTTATGCTCATTAACACAGTTCACTAGAGATTTATGTTTATGGGTTTTCACTGTCATTGAAATGTGTTATTCTTTCCATTCCTTGCATATTGATACTCATCAGACCTATGGTTTATCTAATTTGAGTTGAGTGAAGCAGAACTAGATTAAGTCCAGAGGGAATTAGAATTAATAAGGACAAAAACCTTGTGTTCAAATATTTTTTTTTAAAAAAGCATGACATAGAATATAAGTATTGCATACTGCTCAGTTCAAACCACTTTGAGGGGAAAAAATAACTTTGAATCTTTGGTAGAAAAACGGATCTCTTTATCTTTGTTGACATAATAAACATTGATAAAATATGGCTGATTTTTGTTTCTATTTCCTTTTGCGTTCTTCAACTCTGGGTTCTTTCTTTCCCTAGTTTGTAGATGTAGTTCTTAAATGTTCCCCATTTCTTTCTGATACTTTTTGTTTACCTTCAATTTTCTATCTTTTTCCCCTTCCTGTTTCCTCTGCTCTCCTCCTTTTTTCTTTTCTCTCTTTCCACCTTACAACGTTGTTTAAGCATGTTGTAAACTTATTCATTCCCCAAAGGCAAAAACAGCTATCTGAGCAACACTTTGTCAGCATAATACATTTACAGAATGCATATTTATGAACCTTTGAGCTTTTATTGTTGCAGAGGGCAAATAAAAAACATGAAAAGTAGCAATATAGTGTTTCAAAGGTCCCTCAAGGAAAACAAAAGTAGCTGGAAATAAATTTGGAAAAAGGTTCTTCTGTAAAAACAAAACCTTGAATTTGTACATGCAAAAGGTTGAATAGTAGAAACCATTTTTGCTCTTCCTCCTAAACTAAGACTTAGGAAATTTTAAACTTTTTAATAGGTCTAGCCTCTTAAAGTCTGGAAAATAATAATTTTAAAAGGGGATTGGATATAAATGTTTATAATCCACAGAATCTTAAAACAGCATGTTGCATTTGGCTGTAATAAAAAAAAAGAGGAAGGAGGGAGACTTAAATTGAAAAGCCCATCTTACTTCCAATTACAAGTTTGGCTTCCAGCATGGAGTCTTATACTAAATGAGCCAGATTAAAGAGTTCAGGACTGGAAATGAAACTCTAATAAAATGTCTTTTGAAAGGCTTATTTTAATTGATGTTAGCAAATTTAATTTCTCATAATTAAATTCTCATTGTATTCCATAGCTCTCTAAAATGAATAGTTGATTAATATTTAATGCTTGGTGGGGAAGTGGCCAAATACACCACTGTCCAGACAGAATGGGGTAACCCAGAGCAAAAGAGAAGCCTAGAGGTGAGAATTCTGAAGCATTTTGAGGGAAACCTGTGAGCCTCAAATCTTCATATGTACATGAAGGGCCAGGGGTGTGGTTTTTTCAGGGTCATCTTTGTCCTTCAATATATTCCATTTATCAATGCTGTCAGTTTCAAGCTCTCAGTAAACAAATAGCGTATCTCCAAGGTCTGTATCTAAAAAGCATCAAAATGGACCTTCCAACTTTGAAGTTCTGCAGTTTGCACAGTTAGGAATGGAAGATTATCTGTAACCATTACCCTAAAATCAACCTTTAATCACTGGGCAGTTTCTGGCAATGAGCTGAGCCTAAATCAGGGAGTTTCAAACAGAATAAATTGAAATTAAGCTCCAAATCCTATTTGCAGTGGAAAGCAGTGGATTTCTTAGACTGAGAACTATTGTAGTATTCAATTTCCATTGAAGAATGTGTGCTAGAGAGTGGTACATCCCTAAAGATCCTATTCATCCTGTCATGTACACTTTAGATGTAAGTCCATAATAACACTTAGAAATTTCTTCTGTAGAGAGAAAAGAAGCCCTAGTCCCCAGCTTATTCCACATTTCTCTTCAACAATAGAGTTTTCTTGGCTCCACTGAATTTCAATCAAGTTATTGCCTTCCATTCTTAAGAAACTCCATCCAGTTACAATGTGAAAATCCAAATCACAATGGAACCAAGCCAGGTAACAATGAACTTTTGATGAATTCTTAAGTTTTCCAGGGAAAGTTGCATTCCACCTCTCTGACTTTATTAGTGAGAAAATCAGGTATTGGCAATGAATCATGAGGTTTCTATGAAACACTAATTGGGAGAAGAATGATAAGTACCAGAGAGCAGAAAGAGGTCTATTTCATTTATCATTGTGTATCTAGTGTCTACAAATGATAGTTGGTAGATGATGGATATTTGGCTATATTAATGAACGTAAATAGAACTGTGGTCTTTATGCATTGCCCTCCTGATTACCACTTGACTGTCTCTACTGCACATACAATGTTTATTCTGCTGGGGTGCCAAATAACTGTCTGTTTATTTCATTGAGCAGAACAAATAATTTGATTTTTATGTTTTTGACATTAAGACATGTTACATTTCCTTTTTCTCTCAATTTTGTCTGCTTCTTCCACTTTTTAAATTAACCTCCATTGCACCAATTCAGGTTCTTTGTGGGATATTAATAATCCTAACACTGCCTCCAGAAAAGCACACACACTAGGCCATTGCACATAAATATTTATAGCATCCCCATCATGTAAAAAACAAATTTAGGAAAAGATTTTAAATAGCAATAATTAAATGATATTATTAAGTACCATGTAATATGTTAACTGTTTGTAGTGCTATTCGTTATAGGGAGACCCTAGAACTAATAGTGCATGGAAGAAAGAAAGAAACCATGATTTAAATAAGAGTTACTTAGAAATTCTTTTACTTAAGTGTCTCCTTATCTACACTGGTTAAAATACAGTATCCTTAGAATGACATATGAAGTCCTGCTTATATCTCTAGCTTTTTCAACAATTTATTTCGTACACATACTATCCGTGTACCTACTGAACTACTCTCATTTTTCTGGGTACTAAAATTGTTTATTGCCTTCATTACTTTGTATAAGTTTTGTGTACCCAGTAAGCTCCTACTCATCTCTCAGGATTGACTCATGTTCTCTCTAGGAATCTAATCTAACACCATGCCCTGCAGAGGCTGAGCTAACAGCTCTCTTTGTTACATCACTCCTTTGTTGTAATTACAGATTTTTGAGTGTTTTGAAAAAAATGACTGTGTATTGTTCATTTTTATATCACTGGGGTCTAGCACAATATCTGTCATATAAAACCCGCTTAAAATATGTATAGAATAAATGAATATATGGATGGAAGGGTAAATTAATTAATGATTAAGGACCCAGTGGCATATTGTCACTAGGGTGAGAGATTATAATATTTGATCATGATGAATATATAAGACAAGCAAAGTTAGAGATAGCTGGAAATGCATGGTTTTATCTTCTCTGGCATATACCCTATGTGTGCCTTTCACCTTTTTTCTTTGGCCTCACACATGTCACCATATCTTTGCATGAAGTTTCTCTCCCTTTTATTTATAAATATTGCTAAATCAATTTTTGAAATCATCAGTTGGTTAGCATTTCAGAGAGAATATTCATCAACACTGATGGTTACCATTTTCCAGAGATAATAAAGTATACCATTTTCTTTCAAACCCCAGGTGGTGAATTAAAGGGGGCCACACATTCTTTCTAGCTCTTCTCATCTAGAGATAAGGTCTATTTCCCACCTCCTTGAATATGAGCTGAATTTTTAACTTGCATTAACTAGTAGGAGGTAGTGAAAGAGGATGTACCAGTTCTGTGTCTAGGCTTTCAGAAGCCTGACAGCTTCCAGATGCATTCTCTTGGAATCCTAGGCTACTATGTAAAGAGTTCTGACTACCCTGCTTGAGAGCCCATGTGGATAGAGAGAGGTTGTCAGCACATTCTCAGCAGTTTGAGCCATCTGGGTAAAGTGATAGACATGTGAATGAAACCATTTTGGATTTCCAGGCACAGTCAGTAATCCCAGATGACTGCAGCCACATGAGTGATGCCAAGTGAGACTAGAAGAACCACCCAGCTGAGCCCAGCCTAGATTGCAGAATAAATGTGGTGCTAAACCACTGAGTTTTGAGATAGTGTATCACACAGCAGCATATATTCCAGATAACTGGAACATTGAAGAACCCATTTGTGAATACTTAAGCTAGCCTTAAAATGATGTCCTAAATGACATATTCCTCAGCAATGAGTTTGCTAACACCAAATGCCTGTGAAATAGTCATTATAATTAAAAATCCTATTATCAGACACATTTCAGAGTTTGGTCTTACATGCCTGGAGATGTGTTCTTTTTTCCCCACTGCTCTACTCAGCAGCCCTCTTTTAAGGTTGTGTCAATGCTTCAAACATAATGTTTTTCTGAGATTTATAACTTAGCCATAAGACTTTGACCTAGGCTGCACTTTGGTATTTTAAGTGTCAGAAGGGGACATTTTTATGTTTATCTTTTAATGGGCTCAGAGAAGTGTGCAGTAACCTTATGTCTTTTTCAATGTGCACTTTGTCAGTAGAGCAGCTTTCAATGTCTGAGGGCATGTCAAAACATCTGAGTTTTATAGATCATGGATCTATTTGTTAGCCACTCAACTTTTCCATGATAGTTCAGCTCATACCATCTGGTAGATTAAGTTGGACATTTTGATGAAGAAGCAAGTTACAATTGATATGATTTTCCAAAGTTAGTGTGCAATGTCTTCTAAATAACTACCTTAAAAGTGGCTTCACATTTCTTGGTCTGCATCCATCCCAGGGGAATAAAATGTTTTAGTTGATTGAGAAAGATTTCATATAAAAAACTTAGGCAGAGGGAAATGTGCTATGAGGTCTTCTGACAAAGGGAAGGGTAGGACATCTTTCCCTCTACCTGCCTACCACAGTTAGGGAGGGAACTTCAATGGGACACTTGGAGAGTGTGGGATGTATTCCCTGCAGTCACTGGGGACAGTGGAGCCTGACTCGTGTTAGGGCCTGTGACCACAGAGTGAGGGCTACTTCTGAGAGTGTCCAACACAACCTTCTAATAGCAAGTTACATGTGAGAATGTCAGGGACTAGATGCAAAACTCAGCTAGATTGTCAGTCCGTTTTGAAGGAGATCCTGCCCAGTAGGGAAGATTTCTAGGTGCTGGTCTTCAGAAGTAAGGGATGAGGGTGTCTCAGTAGGGGATGAAACAGAGTGAATGTCAGGAGCAAGCACTTGAAAGAGTCACTGTGCTCTGCCTGCACCAGGGGCTTGGGCTTCAGGGAAACTAAAAGAACTTGGGAGCACCTGGCAGAGAAAGTCAACTGTGAAAGCTGTAGCTCAAGAGCACGAAAAGGCAAGCTCTAACAGTCCCAGTCAGGTTAGAGGTGTCTTTACTTTTCCTACTTTCCCTTCCTCCACCCCTGGCTGGGACAAAAACAGCTGTCAGTTGGGATGAAGTGAGAAGAAAGAGGGAAATCGTATCTTTTTCCTCATGGAAATGACAAGCCCACAGCAGGCCCCAGCTGAAAAGAGAAAAAAATTTTATTTAAATCAAGTATAAAGTTTTGCTTATTACTAGAGCATGGACACTTTTTCTTGATTTTTGACTTACGGTGACTATCAGATGTTCTGTTACCCAAGACGAGTCAGAAAAGCCATGAGAATCAGAGCAGAGGAGAGACTGTTTCCACTAAATACATTTTAAAGGAGTAGGGGGAGACAAAATAAAATTGCATTGTGATTACATTCCAAGTAATCAGATATATCGTAATCCAATACATTGATTACATCACCCAATTGGTTCTTTTTAAGATTTACTAGTTTCAAGTATTTAAAATGTAATTAAAATATTTTCTTATATCCTTTCACAGAAACATAACCTCATTTATTCCCTACATCTTTACTTTTCAAAAAAAAATACAATGAATGCAGGGAGGAGGACACACTGGAATTCATCTGAACAATATATTTTTTTAAAGCTACTGTTATTTATTAATACTAAATAATATGCTAAAATATTTCCTGGAATAACTTTGATAAAAAGTTATTTAGATAGATTTTTAACAAAATCTATCATGATCTCATGTCCTGACTTCTTATTTGATATGATTTATTGGTACATTATCATCAGTGATGAATTCTACTTTTATGTATTTTACATCATAAACTGGTAAACTGTATATAGACTATAGAGACAAGAGAAGCTCATTATCTTTTCAAGAAAATTAGTAGTGATTATCTATTGATCTTGTAATAAAATGTGACTGTAATAGTAAAACTTCATGAGTACACACATTTTCTGTGCAAATATGAAGTAATACAATCAAGAACGGCTGTTTGATAAAATTCTTTAAATTTTCTATATAAACATGACAAATAATATTTTTTAATAATATTTTTTCTCTAAGAATTTCTAACTTCTTACTCAAGACATATTATTTTTACTTACAGGAAGAAGAAAAGAGTTATAGCAAGGCTAACTGACTTGCCTAAGGTTAGATACCAAATCAATGAAAGGAAACCCATAATCCCTACCTGAAAGCCTCAAACCACCAGACTAAATGCAAGGTCTGGATAAAACATAAGGGAGTAATACAGCATTTAGGGAAAATGAGGAAGGAGGTATATACCCCATGGGTGAACTGTTAGGTCTTTTCTATTTCTTGTTTTTCAGCGTATTTGAGTCTTTATGGAGCTCTAAAAATAGATATATCCGATATGTATCTAATAAAAGAGTCCCTGGTTACACATTTTGGCATACCATGCCTTGCTTACAGTGTCTATAATTGAGAGCACAGAACCTATCCTGAATTTTGCCAACAGAAGTAAAGGAAATAAAAACCCCTCTTAGTAGTAAAACACAGATTGATGTCACAAAAAGGAGGTTTCAAAATAAATAGAAAATATGCAGAAAAATGGAAGTAATGAGGAAAATAGTTCTCAAAACTAGCTTTTAAAACACCATCAGCAAAGTTGTCTGTGGTGAGGCAGAAAAAACACTTGGGTCCTAATCCTGATGCTTTAGTCATCTATAGATGCTTAACAAATTACTGTAAAGTGAAGTGACTTAAAATATTTATGATCTCACAGTTTCTGTCAGTCAGGAATTCATACATAGCTTAACAGAGTTCTTGTTCTCATGGTCTTTCAAGAAATTGTAGTCCAAGTGTTGGTTAGGGTGATGGTCTCATCTGAAAGATTGACTGAGGGAGGATCTGCTTCCAAACTCACTCATGCGATTGTTAGCAACTCTCAATTTCTTGCAGGCTGTTGAATTGAAGGCCTCAGTTTCTCACTGGCTGTTGTACAGAGGCCTCTATCAGTTGCTTTCCATATAGGTCTCTCCATAGGGAACTCACAACATGGCAGCTGGCTTCCATCAGAGTCAGGTGACAGAACAAGAGAGGTGAGCAAGAGAGAATGAGTAAGATAGAAGACAATATTTTGGCAGCCTAATCTCAGTAGGGACATCCCCTCACTTTTACAGTATTTTATTGTTAGAAACAAATTACTAGGTTCAGGCCATACCTGGGAGGAGATCACACAAGGGCATGAATACCAGAAGGCAAGGACCTTAGAGAGCTGCCTACCACACCTAATCCTGCAAACTAATGAGTTACATAAGTTTAGGCAAGTCACTTCATACAATAATTTTAGCTTCTCCCTCTATAAAATGAGGGGTTTGGACTAGGTAATTCCTGAATTTATTTCTAATTTTTTAGTTCCATTGTTCTGATTTGCAGTTTAGTAAAATATCAGTTATATATTGAGGACCAACTACATGGTAGGCATCATGCTGGATCCTGTGAAATTAGTCATTGCTTCTGCCCTCAAGTAACCCAGAACCACTTAACATGGTACCCTTCCTCAGCATACTGGGGATATTGAGTCTGCATTTTAAATTTAATCACAAGCTCTCGATCCAGCATATGTTCTGGGACATTTGGCTTCATTCAGAAACACTTTGTTGCAGCAGTATGAGACAGATTTTATAACTGATAATAAGCAGAACAGGGATCAAATAATTCAGGTGTGTCTTACTTTCTGGAGTAAGTACATTTCTGATAATATTGAATGGACAAAATTAGTTATTCAAGCTAGAAATTTATTAATACTGAAAATGCTATGCTCTAACTTTTAAGGAAGTTAAAAGTTACTCTTTTTTAAAAAAAATAAAGACAGTGAATACATCTGTGGAGTGAATTTTGTACATAAATACCACTTATGTGTGGGTGCACGGTTTTTAAAAAAATAGACAGTTTCATTTTCTGTGTATACTTAAAGGAGAGAAACAAAGAACAAGAGACAAAATTATTCTGTGGAAGACTCTAATGTGGAGAGAAAATTTCTGGGGTCTATCCTTTTAAAATTTCTATAACTGTTTTTTACTCTTACTTCATCTTTCTGAGCTGAACGTCAGCCACTTTTATCTCTTTAGTTTTTTTTTTTCCTTATTCAAACATAAAAGCTCCCACTTCCAAGAACTACAGACTTATTTCTTCGGACCATCTCGGCATTCATGGCTACTGATTAGATTGTCATGATACACTTGGTCCAGAGATTGCCGGAGAGAAAAGTACAGTCTGAGAAGCTATAGAAGTAGTGGAAGCTTGCTGAAATGGAACCCAGGCAACAATAATAGACATTCATTAAGGATGTGCTGTGTGCCACACATTATACATGCATCATCTCACTTATTTCTCATAAAATAATCCAATAAGTAGCTACTAATATTATTCACATTTTACAGAAGGGAAAATGCAAACTTAGATTAAGTGCTTTGCTCCTTAGTGACTGACCCAGATTTGGAAACGAAGGTCTGAATCCAAAGCTTTGCCCAATACTGAAATGACAGACTTTCAGTCAAAACACTCATTAAAGACATGAAGTATTTGGTGATAACTCTGCTTTCCTCCTCCCAGACTTTTGGTAAGCATTGTATCTAAAACTTATCTGTATCTCTATTGTTGAAAACTTGAAGCATTTATTGAACCCCTGTTATGCATCATTACATTATTTTGCTCTAATCCTAGAGGAATTCATTCATTCATTTGACAGGTATTTACTGAGTGCCTGCAATGGGCCAGACACTGTGGCAAGCACTGAGGATATAAAGTGAAGAAGGTAGACATAGTTCCTGCTTGGGGTGCAAATAGAGAAGTGAACAGGCATTTGTAATACTGTGTGATAAATGCTATGATCAGCAAGGCCTGAATGCCTAGGAAACATGGAAGAAAAAAGTGCCACATTGGGAAGTAAGAAAGGCCATTAAAAAAAAAATCATGTTTGGTTTTGTTGTTGTTGTTGTTGTTGTTGTTTTTTGCACATCTGCAGATGCAAATTATCTGACCTGGTTTCCTTTGCATGGTGGGTATATTAGGTTGCAATATCAGAATACCTAATGCAAATCTTTAAGAATTGATCCAATAAGGCCAGATGCCACTTGTTGAAGTTGTGTGGTCATTTATTCCGTACATCTGGGACAAGAGCCTTCATTTTATTTTTTTTCCTTTGGAGAATGATAGAAATTATATCTACTCTGGATAATTGTCAAAGCACATAGATTTTCTTTTAATTGGCACAGAAAATGCCTATACTTCAGATTTCACCTAGGGAATGTAACTTTGTGCTGTCTCTTTCCTGTTTTTAAGACATTTGTTTGTGAGATTATAAGCGTTTCCTAAAAGATATACAATCTATTAATTCTTGATAGTTGACAATTAATTTTTAAGTCAATCCAATTAATAACAAAGTTACTACTAGGATGATATAAACTTGCACTTTGACATTGTAACATTGGCTCTTGTTGAAAATGTTGACATAATGGGACTTTTGTGACATTATGATTTTACTATGTCCCATAATGTCCCTTTATGAGGATCAGGGAAGGAATATTTTTTGGAATTTGGAAAATATATCCTCCTGAATAGCTGGGTAAATTTCAGCTGATGCAACTTTGCTTTGGATGCTAGGAAGCTCAGAGTCAAATTCACAGTATGGTTCTCAAAACTACATAAGACCTTCCATGATTCACAGCATGCATTACTCTTGATACTGGTTTCATCTTATTTTTCTTTCATTTTCTGTTTATCCAACTTTGTAAAATTATTTTTTTCAGCCTGTTTCATTTTTAAATTATATCTTCTTTGAAAAAATGTGAATCAACTCATGAGAATGATTGAACATTTAAATTTTGGAGACAATTTCCTGATTTTTTTAATATGTGCAAAACTTGCAATGCTTTAAGTTTGTTACAGGCATTCATAATGAATTTTCATTTACTATCCGAAATGACACGATCTTCCATAGTAATGCAAAGGGAGAGTGTACAGAGTTATCCCAAATTACAAGCAGTTCAAAAATAATTTATTTTTATTTGGCTTGAAATAAAATTTGACATTTACTTATGACTATGACATCTGAGTTCTCATTTAAAAATTTTCAGAAAACAACCTTTAAGTCAGTATGCAACCCTGGCTTAGGAGGACCTGCAAAATTATTCCAGTAATTTCTATTGCCCTTTGCTTAGCACTCTATCATTTTTCCTTCAAAAGAGAGGAGTGGCCTATTATTTTAATCTGATGTAGAAGAGTAGCCTAAACTAAACTGCTGTCTTCTCTCTTTTTTTTTTCTCTTTCTCTCTACTTATTATTGGTGTGGTTTAAATCATTTCCTGCTTTATCAGAGAATATTTTGGCTTCAAGTTCTTGCTGAACTGCAAATTGCTTGCAGCAATCAAAGTTAAAAAGGAAAGTATCAACAAAGAACAAGCTTACTTAATTACACCAATGAGAACTTGAAAGTATCAAATTCAGTTTTAAAAGGTATATAAGCAGAAAAATTATTTCTCCAGAGTGATTATATTATATTTGCTGTGTGTGTGTACTGTTATGTATATTTAGCAGTTTTCTTCCCATGTCATCCAAATGTTTTTAGATATCAAAATGGAAGTAGAATATAATATCCATGGCTGTGTGACCAATAAATTGTATACACAGCATGTTTTCTCTCTATTTTCAAATTGCTTTAGTTTATTTACCTTTTTTCACACAGAGTTCATATATTATAAATCACAAGGATGTTTCAGGGCATGACAGACCCTCGTTCCTGAATAGAATGGTCTCTCATGCATAACTTTCTTTGATCAACCATTCAAGCCAAATGAGTTTAGGGTGAAAAGAACATGGAACATATTTAAACCAGAGAAGACAACAGCATATGGACTGTCATTTAGATTAAAAGATATCTATTGTTAGCCTGGTGCTTTGTTTCTACTCTTTATGAAAACAAATGGATTTCTCAGTAGTACATTCCCTAATAGATTTTAAATCTTGTAAGACTCAGTCATTCTTGTGGCTCACAAAAATAATGTTTTGACCTGGTTTTTAAAAAGATAATGGTAAAGACTCTGAATTGCTTTTTTATTTAGTCCTTGGCAAATAAACCAAATTGATATCCATCTATAATTCTAACTCAAAGGGTGAATTTGTTTTGATGGGACCATCTTTGGTAAGATAAGTGAAAATTCATCTACAAAGAAATCTTTGTCTGGATATGATGAACTCTACTTTTATAAAAATATTATGAATAATCAAATCATTGATGCTTGAAAATTAATTTCAGCTTGAAATAGAGTGCTCTACCTTCATGTTATTAGAATATACTTTCAAAGGCTAAACCAAACTCTAAAATAAATATAAGTATTCTAGATCGATCTGATATTTTTATGCTTTTGAGAAGAGATTTATTTTTACTTCATCACCAACTGCATAATGCTTTTGATTTATCCAATAAATAAGTCTTTTTGCTAGTGAGTCTTTTTGCTAGTAAAGATAGTTGATGTAATGTTTACCAGATTCCCATTAGCCTAAACCTAAATGGCATCTCCTGTGTGTTTTCAGTACATTTAATATGAGTTTTGGCCAGAATTTTATTGGAATGTCTACGGTTTGGTTATATATTGGCATGATAAAACAGACATTTTCTGTTTGAGTACATGATCCTCATTTAAAAAAACCACCTAATTATGTAATTACATGGAGAGTTTTGGAATAATTCCAACTTTTAAGATAAATAATATAGTATACATGTTTAACAAGGGTGGTGGTGCTAATTACATATTTATTAGAGAGGCAACGTTTTATTTACAATTAATCTGTTGGGCACCTTAGATAAAATGTTTTTTTGTTAAATAAGCTTCAAGAGTTGAAAATGAAGATAATTCTTAACTTGAATAATAAGTATCAAATGAAGACTGTGTCATTTCAGGAATATTAAAGCTAATTCTCTTGCAAATAGAAAGCTATGATTTAATCTGTTTGAAATAATTCTACTGCTCTAATACATTCAAGATCCAAAAATATTTGAATGCTTTATTGTCACAAAACTATTTCTTCAGTTTTAGTTATAAATTCTATTGAAGGACAAAGCTGCTTTCACCATACCTTTAATATATTTTATTAAATATGTTTACATTTAAATTTATTTATACTTTTTGATCAATACATGTGTGAATTATAGGATCCTTAATTTAAAAATATTTTATGTGGCTCTACAAGCAGCGCTTTGTTATTTCCAGTGATTCACTTATATCGTGGTGAGTTCTGAATGTTCTTATGCATAAATATTTACCAAAATAGGTTGAGACTATAGCAAACTCCTAATCATTCAGAAATTGATTTTCCTGGTTTTGGATTCTTAAAATCCTTTGGGCTAACTTCTCATCTCTCTTGATGGCTGCTTTTAAGCTGTCCATGTATCCATCCATACATTTGATCATTCCTTCTACATTTACAGTGTACCTATTGTGTGCTAGGTACTATACCATGCTGCAGATACATTGGTGCCCAAGGTAGAATTATTTCCTCTCTCATGGTTCTTTTGTCTAGACACATGCATTAAATAAGCAATTATGTAAAGTTATGTGATCACCATTGGG
Organism: Homo sapiens; assembly: GCF_000001405.40. Taxonomy (NCBI): domain Eukaryota; kingdom Metazoa; phylum Chordata; class Mammalia; order Primates; family Hominidae; genus Homo; species Homo sapiens. Next base: position 198,383,392 of record NC_000001.11, read on the forward strand.
GTAGATGGGGCAGAATGCTCTAAAAAACATTTAATGGGAGGAACTAGCTATCCAGGGGGAAATGTAGAGATGGGGTCAGAAGAGAATCCTAGAAGACCGGTGTTGAAGTTTAGACCTGAAGGAAGCTAGGAGTTGGCCCAGAGAAGATGGATAAAAGGTTGGCAGAAGAGCATTCCTGATAGAGGGAACAGTATGTGTCAAGGTCCAGAAATGGAAATAAAAATTGAAATTGATGTACAGAACATACTAGAATGGGGAGAGTAGCTGGAGATGAAGCCAAAAAGCTTGATAGTGGCTATCAAGCCAGAGAGACAAGGAATGATGGTGACTTCGAGTGTCTGTTTGTTGTATTTCTTACAGCAGCTCTTTCAGAAAGCTTGGAGGAGAGGGAAGGAAGAAAACATTGAGGTCAAGAACTTTACTAAGTATTTTCATAAGTGTGAGACAACTGTTTCAAACTTTTACCTTATCCTCCAATGGCAATGGAATTTCAGCCCCTCCAGTATAAGTCTCCTTCTCCCAACTCACTATCTTGTGCGGATGTCTCTGTCAGAGGAAGCTTTGAACAGTTGGCTCTAGAAATACCTGTAAATGGGTTGTGGTTGTCTCCATCACCTTCACATTTGCCTGTCAACATCTCTCTCTCCTCTCTCAGTGCCCACCTCCAGGACCTGGTTTGCAGTACCCAGACCTCTATGGTCACCCACCTCAATGGCCCCACATTCTCTTCCATTAATTCTTACTTCCTATGATGCACTATGTCAAAGACCTACTCTCACATGGTCAATAATGGCTTAAAGCAGCAATTATCAACTGTTGTTTGTTTCCAGGAGACATATACCCAGTGATGTTTGAATGAATGACATATACCTATGTATGTGTGCTAAGATATTTTTCATTCAGCACTGAGGCTGAAGTGATGTAGGCTTCATGTTATGGTCAATGTCCAGTGTACTCACTATAACTCAGTCCTCTGCTTTCTACTCTTGCTTTATAGAATTTCTGTAAGTCTCTATGAACATCTAAAATGCACATACCCTTCTACCCAGCAATTCCATTTTTAAGAAAGTGTCTTTCAGAAATCTTTCTACATGTGCCCAAATATATGTGTGCTAGAATATCAATTGCAACTTTTTTTGTAAGAGTAAAAAATCACAAACAAATGAAATGCCCACCAATAGGGGGCTGCACACCTTAAAACAAATTTGCTACCTATTTCAATTCATAGAAAAATACTTTAGAGAATACGCTGTAATCTGTTGATAATAATTATCTCAGAAAATGCCTAAGGGTTGAGGGTGAAAAGATGATGAAGTAAACTTGCATCCTTTATTCCATAGATTTCTGTATTTTTAAATCTCTTTTTCAGTGTGTATTTATTATTTTTGTAATAAAGGTCAATAAAAGATTCCTCCCTTGTCCCTCTAAAATGATAGCATTTTAGACACTGAAATGAGCCAGTGAGAGAGGTATTTTTGGAGTAAGGGATCTTGCTGGCACCACTTGTTTTAACTTATGTGGTGGCCACCTGCTTCACCCCTGTGTAAGGTTGGCCGTGGCCAGGGACATGTTGTGGGGGAACACAGAGTAACTGGAATGGGAATGAAACAGCAGCAAGGCTGATTTGCAGTGTTGAAATTATGGCCACCTGGACAAATAAAGACTGCATCCAATGGCCTTGCTGTTGCCTCCATTTCTGAGAGGTAACCACGCTTCTGTGGTGCTCATCACTGAAAGGTAGACTGGCAAATTTTCAGCTTCATCAGTGTAGTGAACCACATGAAACGTGGCCAGGGGTCCTGGGAAAAGAGTTTACAGGTTCAACTTGGTTATATGGGATGGGGCTAGTTCTGGGAAGACTGGCTTAGCCTTAATATTTCCCTGGAAAATAATTTTTTAAATTAAAACAAACAAACAAACATAATTTTTATTAACTTTAAGTGGGCCAATGGGAATTAGTTTCAGGAGGACCAGAAAGTCTTTTCAGGAGCCCTAGTAGGCTGCGACCCTTCATTCTGCCTGTGTGTCTGCCTTCTTCACTACATGGTAATTTACGCTTCTTAAAAGGCTGAAACTTTCTTATTCACCTTTCTGGCTCTAGCCCTGTGCTTGACATAGGACAGCAGGAGTAAGAGTGAAATACCTGGAACTGGTGGAAATAACCTAGTCTAATTTAGCCTAGAGCAGACTGAAAATATGGTTAAAATAACTTAATGATCTGGCCAATGTGGTGGAATTGAGAGTGTGTGCTTTGCCATCAATCAGACCCAGTTTAGAGCCCATCTCTGACGCTTCCTAGTTGTACATCCTTGGTGAAATCAAAACTCCCAAGACTCAGTTTCCTCAGACATAAGGTGGGGACATTAATTCCATCTCATAGCATTGGAATAATTATCCAAGATTATATATATAAAGGACCTGGGACCTGGTGGAGGCTCAATAAATGGGACAAATGGGACTTGTCATGGAGCAGAGAGTTGTGGGGCAGAGACATCATGAGTTACTGGGAAATTACAAATAATGTCCCTTAAGATTGTAGTACAGAGCCTGACACTTCCTCCTCCCTCCTCCATGACCATATGTAGTGGAGTGCTGTTTTATTTAAATCAATCATTATGGTTTACTACTGAAAATTTGGTTTGTGGCAGGATATATACAGTCTGATGGAAGAGGTAGGCCTGGTGTGGATGAGTGATTATTAAACCCTTGAAGATAACAAAATGGCACTTTGAAGGATTTCTTTACATCCAAGGTGTGATCTCCATCATGGGCATCCCCTGTCTGCCAGGACTTCAGATCTCCAAGGGACCTTGGACTAATTTCAATTTCATAAATGTCTGAATTGAGAGTGACCTTTTGATGCAAAAGAAACATTAAAGGAGATTATAGGACCAAATCCTCAGAGCAGCTACATTCTAAAGTCCCTATTCTTTAAAATGGCAAAGCTGCTGGAATTTTGCCAGGAGAACCCCACTGAAGCAAGGGGCATGAATAAATAATAATTATGGGCATCTCTTCTTCCTTTGTTTGAGCTCTTAGGGGCAAAGACAGCATCATTGATTATAATAGATTCTACATTTCTTTTTACTTTAAAAATAATTTTGTTCTTCCCTATTTCTTTTCAACTACTTTCCTTTCGTGTATTGTCTATCCTTTATCTTTTCGAGGCTCTACTGTTTTAAATTTCCCCATTTCCATCTATGTTGTTCATTTTTTCATGTTGAAGCATTTCCCCCTTGGTCCTGAGTTAATTTTCATTCTGTTTAACATTTGCTAGTTCCTTAGTTACTGTTCTCCTTCACATTTGTTTTGCCACAAATTGTTCCTTGTGTTTAATGCATTTCTGATGCCACCTATGCTTTCTATCTCTTATCTAACTCTTCCTTTTTTTTCCCGTCTTAATGTTTTTGTATTGAAGTAAAGTTGTAGTTTGAATTGAAGAGATCTTAAGGATGCAACTCTTATTATTTCTTGACCCTTGGCATGTGGACTGTCTCCTGTTTAGCTGAAGATGTCAATCCTGTACCCATAAAAGTTGTGTGTGTTTGAATATTAAGGGTATAACAAACCTCGGGAGCAAGGATACCCTATAAATGTCAGAATGTGAAGCGATTTCAGGGTGGTCTGAAATGCCTGTGTGTGGCTCCCCGATGACGAGTTTCCCTCCTGTTTGTGAATATTTCTTAGAAAAATAGGGGATTTGCCTCCAACTCCTGGTATTCTCTTCAATATTTTTAAATGAAAGACTTTGTGTACTTTCCTCAGAATCTTGGTAAAATTGTCGTTGCTTTTCTTCACTTTTGATAGTTCAAAAAACAATTTGGTCTACCAACATTGAAGTAGATTTTGTCTTCAGACAGCTTCTAAGCATGAAGAATGCCCTGGGAGAAGCTGGTGTTTACTGCCTTGCTCCCAATTAACCTTGAGGTTTTGTGACACCCCTCATGCCTGCCAAACAGATTATGGCTTAGTGGTGGGATGAAACCCTGTCAATGCCAATGTGTTCCATAACAAAGTTGTGTTGGCTCGGTGGGAGAACCCCCTCTAGCCGATGACATGTTTTAGCAGAGCATGTGTTGCTGAGTGCATGGGCTCACACTTGCATGAATGCACACATGCACACACCTGTGGGCATATAAGCGTGAAGCTTATCTGCACTGTTCTTTGCACTCCCCACAATTATCACAAAATGCTGCCCACTTTGGTGTGATTCAGGCATATGTTGAGGCTTTTGTGAGTGAATGAGAGGACCTTTCTTTTCTTGGCAAAGCATTTAAAAATTCCTACTCAGACATACTGAGACATCCATCTAGAACTAGGCAAGAAGAATATACACTACAGCAGAAGGCATTCAAATGCCTAGAATTCCAGAACTGGAAAGAGGCTTAAAGGTCAGTCCCTGTCTGATGTTGGAGTCCCGTCCCCTCTGCAAGCTCCCCATGTAACCCTTCTCATGCTTTGCATACCTCCGATGTCTGGGAACTTACTGAATTGCAGTTCTAACAGAATCTCCATCCGTCAATCATGGTCTCTAAACTTTTCCTTGGTAGCAGGTTGTTTTTTATTCTGAGGTTAACTCAGCAAAGTAAAGACTGGAGCTTAAAGTTCTCTAAGCACCCTTTGTTGTTGCTGCTCCTCTTTTGTATTCCTCTAGACCTTGATTGTGTGGTCACTTCAGTGTGTTGGTGAAAAAAAATTCCCTTTTACAGGAGTAGGGCAGCCACAAGGTCTTCTTGCATGGGGGCCTTGGCTGTGTGAGGCCAATGCCCTCCCTTCCTAGTTCTCTACTTCTCTGTGGAGAATTACAGAACACTTTCTCTCAGGTCTTAACTCCAACTTCACTTTCATAATATACTCAGCTAATGGCCATTCTAATGGCATCTTCCAATGGGGTTTATAGAGGTGACATTTTTATATATGTGCTCTCATGTATTCTGAATAATACAAATATCTTCTTAATATATAATTGTTACACAAAACTCATAAAGGAAATCTCTACAGCACTCTTGAAACAGAGGTAGAGTGTTTACCTTGTGTAGTAGTTAAAAGGATGGCAGAGAGGAGACAATAGCAAATTGGAGGTTTCCCTCAATTCCTTCTTCCACACTTACCATGTCCCAAGACTGTCTATTGAGACAGCAACTGGAAAAGGTCATTCTTGTAGTGAGCTAAAATGTGTCTTCTTGAATTTCCCAACATATTTTTTGACTTATACAGAGCAACTTTTATCCCTCTTCCACAGCCCTCCAAATAACTGAAGACAATGCCTGTGTTCCCTGTTTCCTTTCTTCCTCAGGCAAACGACCTCAGTTCTTCCCATCCCTCCTCTTAATGATATAATTTGGAGTCCTTTTGTGTATATCTGGTTTCCGTTTCCTACATGTACTCTTATGAGACCATATCTCTCCTTAAAAAGTGTGACATCTGCAACTTGGTTCAACACTTTGTTTTCTATTGCAGCACATCTATTCTGGATACTGGGCTAAGATACACACACACACACACACACACACACACTCTCACACACTCACATTAAATATACTCAATATAACACATTTTCCTAGTCTACCCTCACAAAATTGGTTGGGGACATTCAAACCCAGGCGTCTATATTTCATCCTGTGAAATTTCACTATCCTAGATGCAGTTCATCATTTCAACCTAAGAAGTTCCTTTTGAACCCTAATTTAATAATTCGAGGAACTAACTATATATGTATACCACAAACTGGATAGGCATGCTCTACAGATCTTCATCCAAATCATTGAAGATGATATAGAACAGGCCAAGGATGTTGAAAGGTGAAGGACCAGTCTTGTGGCCCTGGAAACCTACCTTAAGACTGGCATCAGCACACTGATTGTTCAGTGCCCTTTGAATATGGTGATTTAGCTTGTTAGCTTCTTAACTAATTCTTCTTGCATCCAGTTCGTATCACTTCATCTTTCCACCAAGGATATTACCTAAGCCAAAATGAATGAACTGCTCAAATATTAAGTATCTACCAGATTGTGAAGTTCTTGAGGATAAGGAATATGTGTTCGTTATCTTTGTGTCCATAGAAACCAGCACATGGTCTGACACCCAGTAGATGCTTAATAAATTATTATTCAGTAAATATGATGAGAAAGGACACGGGCTAGAGTATATGAAGAATTTCAATGTATATAAGACACAATGTCTGTTCTGAAGAATATTAGAAAGATAAATCTTATATATGAATATTGAATTATCTAAACTATTATTTAACTATCCAAAAGTAGGACAGGCAATATAATCAATGGAGAGAGAGAGAGAGAGAGAGAGACTGATCACTTGGGGTTTATTGGAATGCCAGGCAGGCTTTTTAGAGGAAGGGAACTTGAGAAAATTAAATCTGACCAAGTTTAATGGGTACAAAAACATAGAAAAAATAAGATCCAGTATTTGACAGCACAGCAGAGGGACTACAATCAACAGTAATTTATGGTATATTTAAAAATAACTAAAAGAGTGGAATTGAAAAATTCCTAATACAAAGAAATTATAAATGCTTGAGGTGATGGATTCCCCCAGTTATACTGATGTGATTATTACACATTGTATTCCTGAAACGAAATGTCACATATATCCCCTACATATATATACCTGCTATGTACCCATAAAAATTAAAAATAAAACACTAAAAAAATCTTGACCAACTTGAAATTCCCTTCCAGCTCTAAACATTCCATAATTCTAGACCACAACACATGTCTAGGAATAAAATAAAGAAAGAACTCCATCTAGATGGAAAGATAATGGGAAAAAAATATAGAGGCAAGTACAAGTTGTCAGGGCAACTGATGTTAAGTGATTAAACAGTACTTGATAATTTGCACGTACTTGAAAGACCAGAGAATAGATTTCTTTCTTGGTACCAAGAGCAGGGAAAGATTCCCTCAGAATTCACTTTTTGAACATATTTTAGGCTCTGACTTTTTTCTTCTCATGGTCACAACAGGAGTGGGGTACATAAATTCTTTTAACATCTATTATGGGTGTTAGAATTTCTAACATGGATGTAGATCATTTTCACCTCCCTCATTTTAAAGGTGGGATAACTAAGAGTTAGAGAAGTTCAGTAGATGTTCCAGGTCACCCAGTACCTGCAGAGCCTGAAGTAGACAGACTCATGGCTTTGAAGCTCTTATTTTTTAATCAACTGGAAGATGAGCTGCTTCAAAGCATTTCTCAGACAGTTGTGGTATTAGTGTCTGGGTTTGCAGTGGTGCATTACAAAATAAGTACTTTTCCTGTTTATTATTATTATCAGCTCATTTAGGTAGAGGCAATGTCTTTTTTTTTCTTTTAAATTTTCTGTAGTCCTGAAACAATTTAGAGACTCAGAAAATGTGTGAAGAATGGGATGGGAGCTAAGAAGTGAGTCTACGGTAGAACACAAACAAACACACAAACACATTATCTAGTCTTTGGCCCTTGAAACCTGGGAAGAGATTCAAATAAAAAATGAAAGAAGCATAGGTTACTTTTCTACTTCATTCAATTAAGCAATGTTTTCCAGAGACAGTCAGTCAGATGACCTTCCTTTTCCAATACAACTTGGGCATCCCGGAAGCTGGTAACCAGAATGTACTGAAATGGTTGCCAAGATAACCTGGAACCAGAGCATCAGCTCTGAAGCTGGCTCTGCTAGAAGGACTGGGCTAACTCACAGTTTTAGAAAATGATTTCCACTAGGTTAGGATGTGTCTGAGTCCCATTGTTCCCTCTGTCAGATCAGGGATACCCTTTGCTCCTCTGTTGTCTTTAAGCCACCTTCCTTTGTTTCAGCTCACATAAATTCTGAGGCTCACACAAGAGCAGCTACACTGAGAAAAGTGGTAGAATTCATCCCTCCAAACCCCAAATATCTTAGTCATAAAAGACACTCATATTTATATACTAGAAATTTCTTACTGGCTAATGTTTTGACACTAGACTCTTGTTTTAGGGTGACAGTAAAATAGATGATTGACATTAAACTTTTTTTTTTTAATAAAGGGAATCTAAAATCTGTTTCGTCCACTTTTCCTGCTGTAGACATACACGGCTTCATTCCTGGTTCTTTATTACCACCCACAGGCTAAAACTCAGACTGTAAAGCTTGGCTCTATAATTAAAGGAGAACCTCACTTCAATCACAGATTCAGCAGAGGCTCAATTGGGCAGGCCCACCAGCTGCGGATTTGCTAACCCAGAGAGCGACTTCGATTGTGGTGCACAGAATTTCTCCCAGTCATTCCCATCTTATTAATGCTTTGGTGTAGCATAAAGCTTCATTCATTATTCATAATAATCCAGTCAGAGGGCACTTGGAGACCTGATAAATTCTCACCTAAGTGACAACGGCTGACAGGGCCTAGGGTTTTATAGCCCTTCTCCTGCCATAGCAAGGAGCTGTGAGCAAAGGTCCAGAATGATCCTCCACTAATGACCAGTGTGATATACGAGCAGCTGCTGATTTCCTGACACCAAGGCTCCTCAGCTGAGGCTCCCACCTGCAAGCTGTGAGCTGGAGATGAATATCTGTCAGACTATAAAATGCAGGAGCAGACCACAACGTGGTATATTCTTGGGCACGAAGAGGTTAACTCCGAGAGCAGGAACATAAGCATTAAGCCTGAGAAGAAAAGAAGAAAAACCACCAGCTCAAATCCCACAACAGAATAGGTGTAAATTTGGGATTGTGTCAATGGGCTCAACTGATGGAGGGCTTCAATTCTGCAAACTCTACTTTGTGACACCCAGGGGGCTGAATAATCATGATTTTTTTTAAAGGATCTGGTAAATTGGTTTCTAAAAATCAATAATCACAATAATCAGATTTTGAAGGACATTAATTGTAATCTTCACAAAGGTTAAAAACTTTGGAATATGTTGTTAGTTTTTGGAGCCATCTTTGCTATCATAGGATGTGAGGGAAAAGCTATTTTTTTGTTGTTGTTCAAACCAGTCCTACTTTTTGAAAAGTGCAGGCAACTTCCTCTCAATGCTGCAAACTCCAATGAGGTGTAGATGCAGTTATTAGCATTTTCCCTTGGCTTTTTAAGTGTGCTGAACACTGTGAAGATGTTCTTAATTTATAGCTTTTTCTTTTAATTTTCACATGTGTGCTTGTTTGGCTCTATCTCTCAATTTTAAAACTTCTGTAGATTTTTCTTGACTTAGAAAAGTGATGGAAGAAAGTAAATAATGGAAAGTAGTTGTCCCAGTAGGCATCTATTCAATTCTGGCTGACATCCATGCATACATACATACGTATGCATGTATGTCAGCCAGACATCCATGCATACATACATATGTATGCATGTATGTCAGCCAGACAGCCATCTATCTATCTATCTATCTATCTATCTATCTATCTATCTATCTATCTATCTATCTGTATGTGTGTGTATGTGTGTGTGTGTCTGTATATATTAATCTCATTAATCAGATTTCTGTTAGAAGGGAGTTTCTCCAAATATTCTTGGCTTCTTGATCTACCTTCCCATTCACTTACCCCTGGAGAAGAAATAGTAAATTTACTGGTATAATACTTGGGAGGAGGAAGGTATACATTACTCAGTCCTGCCTTCTTCTCTCCTTCCAGGATCCTGTCCTTCTCAGAAAGCTGCTATCTGGTCTGGTCTCCATGCAGAAAGTTTTGCAGGCCATGCACCCGAGGGAGGCCCAAAACTGGGCAGGTTAATTCTATATTAGGAAGCCCATGATTGCTACAAACTGTGCTATGCATTCTGACTTCATCTCTATGTATTATAAAGCTTGTATTTTTATTTCTTTGGTTATTACTTTTTGTCTACCATTGAGCTGATTAGAATTCAAGAGGGGGCAAATAGTAGTAGTATTTTTTGTTTCTCCTTAAAACCCAACTGCATCTTTTTAAATTATGACAATTTAAGAGAATTGGTGAGGTGCCGGGCAGAATATATGGGACATAATTTTGCCCATGTAGTTGATAATCTAGGGTTGCCACCATAGAAGTGTGTTCCTGACAGCTGGTAGACACATACTCCTAGATTTAAATGATACTGAAATTATGGTAAACAGACCTCCCAAGGAGAGCAACTGAACTTCTAAGTAAAGTCCTCACACCGGGGCTTGTCGAGGGGGTGGGAGGCTAGGAGAGGGATAGCATTAGGAGAAATACTTAATGTAGATGACAGGTTAATGGGTGCAGCAAACCACCATGGCACATGCATACCTATGTAACAAGACTGCATGTTCTGCACATATATACCAGAATTTATAATAAAAATTAAAAAATAGAAACTTTAAAACTGAATCTATCTATAGTCCTCTGTATAGCATTCTAAATGCCATTGTTTTTCTACTTGTCTATAATCTTCATGTGTCAGACATGGTTTATGTTCTATTCTTGAAACTACTTGAGTAGCAAAGGCTTATTTTCTGGTTATTTACATACGTATTTTATTTGGAAATAAGAACCAATGTGAAAAACACTCCAGGGCCACAACAATAACAAAATGAGTGAAAGCTCTTTGAATGCTGGTGCTAAGCAACAGATTTCTTTTTTTCCTATGGTTAGCATACTGCTTGGCACATAGGAAACCTCTTAGAAATGAAAATTGGTTTTGTGTTCAGAGGTCAATATATGAGAGGAGCTATAGTCTACCTCCTCTTTTTCTCTTTGCTTCATGGTATTTTCAGAAAAAAAATGGCCACTATCAATTTATTTCCTTTTGTTAATTTCAATGAATGAATAAGTAGAATCTACTTCCTCTCACCTTGAATCCAGTATAGCTTTGTGGCTTGTTTTGACCACAGAATGTGGCAAAAGTAAAGCTGTGCCATTTCTGGGACTAGCCTTAAAGTAGACTGGCAGTTTTCCCCTCCTTACTTTTAGAAGCCATTCATGTACATACTGCAAAGCCTCTCTCTGAGACCACTGTACTATGAGGGAGTGCATGCAAGTCCCGTGGAGAGGCCACATGAGGAAGCACTGAGGCATCATCCATGGGAAGGAAGAATTCTTGGACTTTCCAACCCAGTCCATTGACCAGTGGAATGCATCTCAGTGACTCCAGCTAACACTAAGTGGAGCAGAAGAACTTACTAAATGAACTTGCTCAACCCACAGAATTATGGGTTGTTATTTTAAAAATAATTATTATTTTAATTTGCTAAATTATGGGGTAGTTTTTAAAAGAAAAGAGACAACTGAAGCGATGCCTAACTTATGCCTGCTCTGTTTTTAAAACCTAACTCCGATTATTTTTCCTATATAAAACATTCCCTTGCTGAGTCCAGGAGGAGGAAAATCTTGCTCTCTTGAAATGCACTTGAAATGTATCACACTTACTGTTAGCATGCCTTGTCTGACATTATGTTCTACAAAGGTTAGTTGCCTTTCTAATGTGTTTAAGTTTTAAACCACTAACTAGGTTATATACTTGTTAAAGGGAAGGCCTATTTGTTTTTCCTCTTTCTGTACTTCTTTTTTTTTTTTTTTTTTTTTTTTTTTTGAGACGGAGTCTCGCTCTGTCGCCCAGGCTGGAGTGCAGTGGCGCCATCTCCACTCACTGCAAGCTCCGCCTCCCAGGTTCACGCCATTCTCCTGCCTCAGCCTCCCAAGTAGCTGGGACCACAGGCACCTGCCACCACGCCCAGCTAATTTTTTGTATTTTTAGTAGAGACGGGGTTTCACCGTGTTAGCCAGGATGGTCTCGATCTGCTGACCTCGTGATCCGCCTGCCTCGGCCTCCCAAAGTGCTAGGATTACAGGCATGAGCCACTGCGCCCGGCCTCTTTCTGTACTTTTTAAAGCCTAATTAGAAGTTTGAATATTGTAGATATTCATTAAATATTACTATTGATCATTGATTACTGGAAGTCTTTAATAATTTTTTTCATTGAAAAAGGATCTCATCGGTTACTGATGAGAAACTGAGAGCAAGCATTTCAACCACCTTATTTAGTCCTCTAGTACCCCAAGCTTCCAAGATGTTAACATATTGAACTAATAATACTTTTAAGTATACTCAAATCTTAGTCTCAATACCCACTTGTCCTTAGCAGTGTTCAAAGATCTGGTCTGAGAGTTTTGTTTCTGCTTGTCATTTATTACACCAAAAAAAAAAAAAAAAAAACCCACAAAATTATGTACTGTAGAGAGAGAAGGGGCTATTTAAAGTATATGGGCATATTCTTGACAAGGATATATTACTGCTTTTTTTAAAAAAAAAAAAACAACAACAAATGAGACACTGCAATGGAGAAATAAATGATTTATTCAAATAGCTTCTCCATAGGTTAATGTTGTATATGGAATTCTGGAGGCTTCTGGTCCTTTGGAGGAAAAAGGAAACCACACAGCACGTTGTTGGTGCACATGTGTTTTTATTTGCTTAAGAATTCCATAGACTCCCTGTTTCCGCAGGACCTGAATAGATGCACTTAACAGGGATAATTCTCTTTCTCATTCTGTCCCCTTCATTTACGAGACTGATTAATTTATTTTAATAAGAAAAACTGCATTCTTTTTCTTTCAGGGACCCTGAGCCCTTGTCGCTGGGAATCCTTATTTTGAGCTATTTCCCTGAGATTTGCTGGCTTGGCAGCAGTCTCTTTGGTCTTTTTCTGGGCAGGAGGAAACAACATTTTGTTTGGAGAAATTCTATTATTTTACAAGGTTTAAGTAGAAGAAAAATGTTCCTATTCTGAAAGTAATAGCTAAAAATGTCCTAGTAATAATTTTTACCAGGGATGTTTTTGAGAGAAGGTGGTGCTTTTCATATGTTGGAGTTAGCCCTGTACCTAACAGTCACTATCATTTGGAGAGAGAAGCTTTTGAGTTGAAGCTAAAATTCTGCAGCAGTGTCATTTTATTCCCTAAAATCTCAAAGCATAATAGCAATATAGGAGGATTCCAACTGGACAAACAAATTCTCAATGGTGTATGAGTTGCTTTCTTGACATGTGTCCCCAAAGGAAGGCTGTTTTGGTACATGCCTACCTTTGATAAATGGCTGAAAAGTGCCCTGAGCACAGTGTGGGCTGCATGGCCCTGCCTCATCACAAAGCATCTTTGGTTTGCTGTGTTTCCTCTCCTTGTCTTGTTTATTACGATCCAACATTCCAAGCTCATCACTGATGGCAGAAGATATTCTTTTGTGGGCATTGAGTAGACACAGACTTTCATTTCAAATACCATAACACAAAAAGATAAAAATAATAGAAATATTTCTTTGTGAAAGTCCCTGGGCCTGCCTGCAGGTGCAGAAGGTGCTGGTTTCATTTTACTTTATCAAATCAACTGCAATATCTGAACATAAATCCCAGCTTCAGTTCCTTTCATGGCAGACCATAAGTACAGTTGTTCACACTTTGTGTTTGGGGATGGGGGTCACTTTTTCAGCAAATTCTCATTTCCCCAGTCCTTGCCTTGGGCTAATAGTTAGTTACAAAGCTCAATCTCAATGTCAAACCTAATAAAAAGAAAGAGAAATCATAAAAGAGAAAGATGGCTGCAGTTACCACCCTGGGTCCCTCTCATTCAGGCTTCACAGATCTATCACCCAGTGAGAGAGGCAGGCTACTGCCTCCCCATCCCTGGCTACCATTGCCTCCCCAGTATCACCTGGGTACTATTAGTCAAAGAACACTTCTGGAAGAGCAATATAGCAATATAGAAAGACCTGGCTGCTGAGTAGCAAAAGAAATTGAACCATGCTTCCACATTCCTCAGTCTATTCACAGCAGCATTTATGTCAATCATGAGTGTTAAAAGATGTGAACTTTTAATTTATAAAGCAGATGGTCTTTTTCTTCTTTGCTGTGTGGACTGGGATACCTGGATTTAAAAGATGTTCAATGCAATAGGATTGGGAGAAGGATTATGAGAGCCTGTTAACATTTTAGGCAGACATTTAACTTTCGAACCCAAACTCTACCATAGTGATGAGGCTGTTACTCAGGGAAAGAATCCCATGGAGATCATCTCTGAAACTTCAAGAAAATTAGCTATAGTGGTCTCTGACAAGAAGACAACGGGGGCATAAAAGATCCTCCCACTCTTCCTCCCTCCCTCCCTTGCTTCCTACCTTCCTTCTCTCCCTCCTTCCTTTCCTCCTTCCATCCTTCCCTCCCTCCCTTCCTTCCTCCCTTTCCTTCTTTCCTTCCCTTCTTCCAACACATATTTTCTGAATATCTTTTATTTACCAGGTACATAGTAGGTATTTGTTCTATAATAGTGAGCAAAGTAGACAGTCCTTGCCCTCATGGGGCTTCCATTTCAGTTGGGGACACACATTTAGGAATACACAAATAAATATAAAACCATTGTCATGGTTAGTGATAAGGAGAACATGGTTCTATACAAGTACTTAATAAACCTGGACTTGCTCTCTGGCTCACATTTGTTCCCTAATCCAATCTATTTTGAAACTTTTTTTAGCTTATTTCTGGAGATCATGCCTTTCTAAGATGTAATTGGGAAGGTAAGGATGATCTGAAAAATGTAATAATCAGAAATAAAGAATAGATACGAATTGAATTGGGAAGGTAACGATGATCTGAAAAATGTAATAATCAGAAATAAAGAATAGATACGAATTGTAGAGATTAAAAATAATCCTAAATTGTGACAAAATAAGGGTTTAGCAAACCTGATTTATTTTGCTAGTCTCAACTCTTCTTTATTTCTGGTTAAGTAGACACAACCCTAAAAGGTTGTTAGTGACTTTAGGAAGTATAATAATCATTCTTTAATATTCAAGTTCAGAGAGGAAGGCTAGAAGAAAAGATTTTCTAATATGACAGCTATGGTGAACACTACCCTCTTTATGTTGCGTCCTTACATGAATACACTTCACCTGGTGATGATTAGGTTGGTCCCCTATAGGCTCAATGTGGACAGGTGGAGACCCCACTGGACCTGCTGACATGTGACTCAGTCCCAGGCTAATCTCCTGGACATTGGTAAGCAACCCCTTTGCAAGAAATTCTTAAGTTATTCAACAAATTAGTATGAGCATCTCCTATGTGCCAAGCAAAGTTCTAGAATTTGGGGACACAGCAGTGAAAAAAAAAAGACAAAAACCCTTGCCTTCATATAACTTATATTCTAGTTAGACCATAAACAAGAGAAGTGAAACATATATAATATTTTAAATGTTATATACCGAGAAATAGCACTCCATAAATATTTTCATGTTTCTGTATGGTCAGGGCTTTCTGAGCAAAAGTTAGTGGCAACCGGGTTAAAGGATGATGGAATTACAACCCTAGCCAGGCGCTATGGCTCATGCCTGTAATCCCAGCACTTTGGGAGGTAGAGGCGGGTGGATCGCTTGAGGTCAGGAGTTCAAGACCAGCCTGGCCAACATGGTGAAACCTTGTCTCTATTAAAAATACAAAAATTAGCTGGGCATGGTGGTGTGTGCCTGTAATCCCTGCTACTTGGGATGCTGAAGCAGAAGAATTGCTTGAACCTTGGAGGCGGAGGTTGCAGTGAGCCAAGATTGTGCCACTGCACTCCAGCCTGGGCAACAGAGCAAGACTCCATCTCAAAAAAAAAAAAAAAAAGAGACTTCTGGAAAGATAGAGCTATTTCTTTTCTCTTTCCTGGAGCCATTATTTACATTGTATGGACAACAAAACCAACCGTGAGCCATTTGCTTATACTCCAGGGTAATAAATACCTAGAGATCATCCCTTCTGCTCTCCAGAGAAGACTTTTTTACACTCCAGAGCAAACATTACTGTTTCTCCAGAGACAAATGTGCCCACCATCTTATATTAGCTCCTATTTTCATGATCTCTGTATACATGAGGAGATGACAGGTTCTCATCATGTCACCCCATGGGGAACAAGAACAGTATCTGTATGTATATTGGGCTGAATGGTGGTCCCTAAAAAATAATATTTTATTCCTATGACCTATGATTATTGTCTTATATGGCAAAAAAGTGAATCCGACCTTATATGAAAAAAAAGATGTGATTAATCACAGGCCAGATAATTAATCACACCACTCCAGAGCAAACCACATTCCTCAAATATGTATGAATGATGCTCTCTGCCATTGGACAATAAACAAGCATCTTGAGAGCAGGTGTTTAATCCTTGACTTTCTGAATGAGCCAGAAATGCAATCACATGTATCCTTAGAAGAGAGAGGCAAGTAGAGTTTAGAGACGGACACACAGAGGAGAAGAGGAGGAGGGACAATGTGGCCACAGAAGCTGAGATTGGAGTGGGGCAGCCATGAGATAAGGAACACTTGGAGCCACCAGAAGCTGAAAGAAGCAATGAACAGAATCTCCCTACAGCCCTCCAGGGAGTGTGGTCCTGCCAATACTTTGATTTTGGACTAATTTCTTTTAAAACTGAGAGAATAAAATTCTGTTGTGTTGTGCTAACAAGTTTATGGCAAATTGCTACAGCAGCCACAAGCAACAAATATAGTGGGTGATTGAAAGTCTGTCTCTAAGCCAGAGTTTCAGTATTCTGTTAGTGTGTGTGTGTTTATAAAATTGTATGTATATTGCACACACACACAGTTATGTGCTACTATAGGTGTTATATATAGGTTCTATGTAACTGTGCATATGGTAACATCTCAAATCCTTCACACTTTTGGAATTAATATTAGTAAGCTATGGAGAAAAATAAAGTAAGAAAGGAGACTAGCTTTTTGAGGGTTACAATTTTAAAGCAGGGTGGTCATGGAAGCCCTTCTTGAAAAGATGGCATAGAGACCTGAAGAGTTTGAGTAGACTTCCTATAAGTGACATCATGCCAGGTTGCTCTGATGCCAGAACATTTTAGTCCCAATCTGAGTACGCTTTGTCCTCAAACTCTCGGTCCTACAAGCAAATCCTTTTTTCTAAATCTTTCAGCAGTGGAGAAAGTACATGCATATCTTTTAGCTGTCAGCACAAGATAAGTTGTCACTAAAGGTCGGTAATAACTATTTGCTTAAGACATCGCATTTTCAGCATCCAGAGTTGCCTGTATAATTGCAGCTACTCCTAAGGGGTAGCAAATTAAATATTATCAGTCATTGAATAAAATAATTGGTAAAACTTCTTTCTACAGGTCAGAAAATTCATTTCTGGATTGTAGTAGAATATAAATTGTAGTTTATAAGTTTTGATATTGGGAGAGAGAAACAAGATGTGCTTGAAGCCAGGAGACAGCTCAGCAGACTCAGCACATGGATGGGGCAGAAAAATGGCACTGAAATGAATGGGGAATGATTCCTTAGTAGAAAGAAAAGTCATCGAAAGAGGATGATGTCAAAAGAGAAAACTGTTGATTACACAGCTTTGATTTGAGCGAGTTCTTAGTTGTCATAATTAACACTACGATTTTAAAAAGTAGCTCTTGGCATAATCTTAAGGGCAGTTTTCCTGGAGGGGGGGTGGTGTCTGTTGAATGGATGACTTACAGACTTGCTTTAGATTTTTAGCCATATTAGTAACAATTGCTAGTGTTGCTAGTAGGATTATTAGTAGGATTGCCATCTTTATATGCTTAGGACCATGGATTGGAGACTTAGGAGAACAACTGTGATTCTGTGGTAGACTTTGGGAGATAATCATATTCAGTATACACAAATGCTAGTGACTTATTGAGAAGGAACTTTACAGAGTTCTAGGACCAGATCATTTGAATAATTACACTTGCATATGGGTTTTCCCTGTCCCTACATCTATAATCTGGTCAGATAATCAAGTGTTCTTCATTTATTTGTAATAAAATGCTATTATCTACTACATTGAGTTCAGTTAAGAAGTGGGAAAGATATAGCTGACGTATAGGCACATGGACAGAAGGGTTCCTTTCTTGTTATCCATCACCTTTACAAGAAAAGGACTCCATTTATTAACTCACTTATTTATCACAAAAGCCTTCTGAGCTGGGTATCTTTCTAACTAAATCATCCCCATTTTATAGATGTGAAAACTGAGACATGGGAAGGTTAAATCATTTGCCCAAGACCATACAACCAGTTAGTAGTGGAGCCAGGATTTGGATGTGAATTGACACTGTTAACCACAGCATTATTCTACCACTCTAGTAGGTACACAATATAAATATGTGTTCAATGCATTAAAGAGTTCTTGTGCTGAGTTTTTTGGTTTCTTTTAGATCTGTCTCTTATTCAACAATCTTATTAAAGTTGATTATATAGGAATGGACATTATGCATTATGATAAAAATGAACTATTAGGCATTTCAAAATTAAAGTTTAGTGTAGTCCTGCTGTATTTATGTACAATGAAGATGGCATTACGTAATGTATGGGGTTCTTGTGAGAATACACAACATTACAATGTTTAACCAAGTGTCTGACATAATGGATGTTCAGTAAGTGTTTCTTTTACCTCTCTTTTCATAAAGAAGATCCAGGAGACTATAAAATACACTTAAAAGAGCAATATATGAAGAAGAAATCAGTACATTTTATTAATACTTTCTCATAAATGATATTCATTTTATCTTCACCTCTGCTAAATACTAAAGAATATGGGTTTGCACTTAATCAACAACCTAAGATATGTGTACTCCATGCCCTTATCAGAGAGTTTAACTTTGAATTCTCTGACACACAGCTCTTAGTAAAAAGCTCAAAAGGCAATTGTATAGAATAACATTTAAGGGAATTACCTGTAAAAAATTCATTAAATATTCCAAATAAAGTTATCCCATATATTTAGCCAGATTAGAAACCTTCATTCTTCAGCTATCTCGGATGTATCCTTATAAAATTAAAATATGCTTAGATGTTTTACTTCAGCCTATATTTTGGGATATTACAAATAACACAATGAAGATAATTATTGTTTTTTACAAGCTAACTTTGTTGGTATATAATTTACATATAATAAAATGTACTCATTCTAACTATACAGTTTGAGGAGTTTTGACAAATATATAAACTTTTGTAACTACCAATGTAGTCAAAATATAAAACATTTACATTGCCCCCAAATGTCCCTTTGCAGTCATTTTCTTCTGTCCTGAGTCCTGGTCTTCTTTCCGATAATATGGGTGAGTTTTACCTTTTTTGTAATATCATATAAATGGAATCATACACTATGCATTTTTTTGGTGTCTGGCTAGTTTTTTTATGTAGCACATATTTTTTAGATTCATTAATATTATTACATGTACCAATAGTTGATCCTTTTCATTGTTGAGTAGTATTCTATTGTATGGATAGGTCACAATTAGTTTATCGATTCACTAATTGATGGAGGATTGGGTTGTTCATAGCTTTTGACAATTATAAATGACACTGATTAGAACATTTGCATAGGAATCTTTGTGTGGCTATATATTCCCAATTTTGAGGGTAGGTACTTAGAAGGGAAATTGCTGAATTACACGGTAAGTGCATGTTTAACTTTACATGAAACTGCTGAACTCTTTTTCTGAAGTGGATGCATCATTTTACATTCTCATCAGCAGTTTGTGAGAGTTCCAGTTGCTCCACATGTTTAGGGATACTTGGGAGTGTCAGTCTTTTAAATTTTAGCCATTCTAGTAGGTCCATAATTGTACTTTTTGTAAGGTTATTGAAGCCATTGTCTACTATATCACATAGTGCCTCCTTTATGAAGAGCCATAAAAGAAAATTTTCTGTTTCCTTTCTAAAAATAGATATGTTCTTGAGCAAATGGTTCAATTTTTTAAAATGGACATTGAATCATGTAATCATTTGTTGCTGTTGACAACTTGAGCCAAATTGCAACCCATCATTTGGAAATGTAGTGAATCTTACACAGCTATTTTGTGTATGCAACATAGCTTAATATTATCCTTTCCTTAACCTCAAACTTCTATTGATGTTATCTTGTTGTGTCTTACACATTTTTTTCACCAAATGTTCTCAATTTAAAAATCCTTTTGTATACTATGAATTCTTACAATTTACCTCAAGCTAATTTTTATGAAATCTTATATGATTTACAAAATCTGAAAGTATATCATAATTTTCAAAGTACAGCAATTCAATTTAGCAAACACTTACTAGATTCATTCTAAGTGCCAGCTCCACAAACTAATAACAAGGACTTTGAAAGAGTTAAGGAACTTTGTCAGATAATATGTAACAAAATATTGGGTTGAATGTAGGTAGAGCTTGAGATGTATTTTGAAGGAACAAATAGTTTCATAAGTGAGGAGAATTTCAGATGGCAAAGAAGAGTCAATAATCTTCTTATTGCAAGCCCCTTTTAGAGAATTCAGACATTCTTTTCTCCAAATCATTTTCTAGGATTTCATTTTGGTTTGGGTTTTCATTTCCACTTGAGAAAAGCATATTTCCCTTCCACACTGTGCAGATATATAATACGGGGAACTGAGAAATAAACATGAAACATGTAAGAACTTAAAATAAAAACTTAAGCCCAAATTAGGTTACAACTCTTAATGGTAATGGCACTTGCTTACAGTAGATTCAGTTTAATTTAGCTGATATCTATTAAATGTCTGCTACATATCAGGCACCCTAGTGGACACTGAGGGACCAAAGATGAATGGTCAATGGTGCTTAGCCTGTAACTTTAAAGAGTTTACTTTGTAGAAGGCAGAAAGAGATAGGTAGATTAGCAAATGAAATGTAATGTTACCAAAACTGTGATACAAGTCTGTTTAGGGAAGGGTAGACTTATAAAGAGGGGTGGGTAAGTTCTACCATATTATCACAGTATATTAAAATGTTTTCGTAATTAATACATCAATATGATTAATTTAAATACATACTATGTATTTGGCACTGAATCTTGTCGTGTGGAAAGTATGGTAAAAGTATAGACATAATTTTTGCACTGAAGGTGTTTAGAATCTTGTTAGAAAGATGAATACTATAGACACATGATAAAACAGCAAACTGCATCCTTAAAACTACTTATCACCATATGCAATGAATAGACTGCTTGAGTTCTGACTCAATAAAACAACTATAAACATAGATTTATAAGAAACAGAAGAGTCTATATAGAATGCTATATTTTATGTTAGAAAAGGGGGCAAATAGGAACACTTATCTGTATTTGTTTATTTCAAAAGGAACAACTACATGTTAAACCAGACATCAATAAAACTGGTTATCTACAAATGTAGAGAGAGAAAGTGGGAAGCTAGAGCTCTCTGTACTTTGTTTTATAGCTTTGAATGTGGAGCCATTTAATATTTTACAGAGTTAAAATCAAATCAAATCAAATCAAAACCAAATAATATTTCTCAAATAAAAAATGAATGGAAACAAACGAACCTAACTGTGAGAGGTGAAGCCAGCTGGACTTCCTGGGTCCAGTGGGAGCTTGGAGAACTTTTCTGTCTAGCTAAAGGATTGTAAACGCACCAATCAGCACTCTGTAAAAATGCACCAATCAACGCTCTGTGTCTAGCTAAAGAATTGTAAACGCACCAATCAGCACTCTGTGTCTAGCTAAAGGACTGTAAATGCACCAATCAGCACTCCGTAAAATGGACCAATCAGCGCTCTGTAAAATGGACCAATCAGCAGGACGTGGGCAGGGCCAAATAAGGGAATAAAAGCTGGCCACCCCAGCTAGCAGTGGCAACTGGCTGGGGTCCCCCTGCAGGCTGTGGAAGCTTTGTTCTTTCGCTCTTCACAATAAATCTTGCTGCTGCTTACTCTTTGTGTTTGCCCTACCTTTATGAGCTGTAACACTCACCACGAGGGTCTGCGTCTGCAGCTTCATTCCTGAAGTCAGTGAGACCATGAACCCACTGGGAGGAACAAACAACTCTGGACATGCCACCTTTATGAGCTGTAACACTCACTGCCAGAGTCTGCATCTGCAGCTTCACTCCTGAAGTCAGCGAGACCACGAACCCACTGGAAGGAAGAAACTCCAGACACACATGCAATCTGAAGGAACAAACTCTGGAAACATCATCTTTAAGAGCTGTAACACTCACCGCGAGGGTCCGCGGCTTCATTCTTGAAGTCAGCAAGACCAAGAACCCACAAGAAGGAATAAATTCCAGACACAACTGTATCTCAAGTTGACATAATAGCTACACAGGGAAAAATTATCTCAATTTATTTTAAAATATAGTATTTTGACTGTATAAACCTAAACCCAAGAAAACAAGAAAAATCTAGATTGTAATCAGAGGTCCTGTAATCATTAATGTTGATATTATTATTTTAGAACAATGCCATTATCAAAAATGACATTATAGAAAAAAGACTTTGTCTGTTACATATAAAAAAATAGATAAAATGTGACTAAATGTTAACAGTTGTAAAATCCTGATAATGGTTGATAATGGGTATATGGAAGTTCAATATATTGTGCTTTCTATTTTTCTGTATGTTTTAAATTTGCCATAATAAAAGTCTAAAAATAAGCAAAAATGGTGTTAAATATCTATATATCTATATGTAACAACTATAGACTAACATAACAATGGCATTATTGGGGGCCTTTAAACTGGTAAAGGTTAATTCAAAATAATACTCAATGCTGGTGAGTATGTTGCAAGATGGCACTCTCATATTGCTAGTAAAAATGTAAATTTAATTTTAAACAAGCAAAAGTTTCTGGAAAGCAGTTGAGAAAAATAAGCCCTAAAAAATGTTCATTCTCTCCCTCTGTGTGAACTTGTATTAGTACATTCTTTCATTCAGTATTCATTTTGCTGGCTCCATATGGTCACATGTAGGATAAGCATAGCAGATTATCAAAACAGAGTTCGTTAATGTAAAATCTGCAAGGTGTCACATACAGCAGGCTCAAATATACTTTTCCTCTGTATATATAGGTTTAACAAAATAATCCATGGTCTAAGTAAGATTACAATGTTTATTTAGTTTCAAAGGCAAATAAGCCTAAACAAGCAATTTCCATTTCAAAAGTTAAAATGTTAATATCAAATACACTTAGAATTTGATACTGGATACTGGAGTTTCATTCATTCTTCTTTCTTCGTTAGAATAAGTATATTTGAAAATTCCACATGTTCTCACTTATAAGAGGGAGCTAAATAACGTGTACACATAGACATGGAGTGTGGAATCATAGACATTGAAGATTCTCAGAGGGTGGAGGGGGGAGGGGGGTTGTTTGATGAGAAATTACTTAATAAGTACAATGTGCATGACGTGGGTGATGGATACACTAAAAGCCCAGACTTTGCCACTATACAGACATGTAACAAAATTGTACTTGTACCCCATATATTTATACAAATTTTTAACATATATTTTAAAATAAATAAATTTTATTTCTTTTCAAACATTTTGTAATTCACAATTAGAAGCAATTTAAACATTTAAAGGATAATTTCCTTGTATTAAGAAATGTCAGGTTGGAGGGCCTGTTTATATAAATCCAATATTCTATATAATTTTTGCCTGATATTCTTATTACTCAGATTCAATTATTCTTTTATTAGAATTTTTTAAAAGGTGAGCCAGACAAGAGAAAGCTATATTGCATTCATTTCCTAAATTGCAATAAGAAATGTTGGCTCTGCTCTGTAGCACTGTTAAGAGAATTCTCACCATCCTCCACCTACAGTGACATAAACAGGTAACTTTATTTGTTTTGCATTGTGATTTGAATATGATATCATTGCTGTACTCAAAGTCTTTTATTATACAGTAGTTATATTTTGGATATCTTTCTTTTTTCTCTATTTCACTTTCTCTTCTTGCTCTTCTTTTTTATCTTACACTTCCCACTGTTGTAGCAAGAAGCAGTTCACAAGGGAGAAAAGTTATTCTGTTCATTAAGCAACCTCAAGAAACAGAGGAAAAACAAGTTTTCTTCATGTTTCAGACAGGAGAATTTCATTCTGCCTTGGGTGAATAAAAAATAAATCCCATAACCTCATATTGTGTTTTAAATGTAAGGCTGTGGATAGTTTCCACACTAAAGGACTAATTTCCCTAATTTTGAAGGGCTATAGAATTGGGTAAAAACAACTATTTCTTACACCCATAATATTCTTTAAAAATATTTCCCTACTTGGGGGTTGTAGGATTCTCATGGGTTGAATGTGTTGTGCTCATATTTAGAGGGTGTTTAAAAAGCATTATGAAAAGACAACACAATATTCTTTCAGCTACTCTAGAGAGAGTTTTTCTGTACAAAGAAAATAGTTTCTTTTTCTTAAGGCCTAGAAACAGCACTAAACCTTGGATTATGCTCCAGCTGAGGCCTGAATAATGAAATGGAAATAAGCAGGTCATCACTGTAGTGACATCCCACTAGAAATGTCACCACAGTTGGTTGAGATACACAACAAAGACTGCAGGTTTGCATGTGGAATTCACCCGCCTCCTGCAGGCACTGTGAACTTCCTGGGACTTTTTGCATTTTTTTCCCTACATTTTTGTTTTCAGCATCCTTTTAGGAAACTAAGCCTGAAGGGAGCAAACTTCAGAGATTGATTGTGTGAAAGTCACTTAGAGCCAGGAGTAAAGCAAGAAAGCAAGTCCATTCTAAAATCCCAGCCACAAGGTGCTGAGTCTCATAAATCCATAGGTCAGGCTGGTGATCTCTTGCCTTTGGGCCTTCAGACGAATTTAGAAACATGAGAGCTATGAGGAATGCTGATCTAGTGTCTCTCCCAACTCCTCACTTTGATAAAGGAAAAATAACATACTAACTCCTATCTCCAGTGTTGGCAAAGAAGCTAAATAGGTAAAATTTGGCTTTGTGACTCTTGACATTTACTCAAAGATTCGCCCAAACCCCAATACCAAATGGAGACTCTTCGCCATCCTTGTGCCCAAGTGTCCCTGACTTCCTATTCCACTCTTTCACCTGCCACCTACATTTTCCCCTTGACAAACGTACACACTGTCTTCTTGGAATTTTTCCAGTGTGAAGGCTAATGTAAAAACAAGTCAATATGAACAAATTCTGCCACACAAACCATGTTTCCCTTCCTTTTCTTCCCACAGGATTATTGCATTTAATAGAAAAATACTTTAACCATTATGTTTCTCATAATGTTTTGGTAGATGAAATGGGGAAATACAGTGATACCAATGATAGTGTAGTCATTTACATTCACAACACAGTACTGGAAAGCTTGTTGAATAAAAGATTTATACCAAATTGGTTCTTTCCTAATTACTGAAAGTCTGTACTCATTTAGTTTGGATTAATATTTTTATTAATGATTCGAATGAAGATAGAATTCTTTTTATAATATATTAAGGAGTGTTATGTGTTGGCATTGTTCTCAGCACTTGGCATCTATTAACTTATTTAATTCACATTCGATCCTAACAGTTAGATATTACATTCTTTTTGTAGGTGCTTTTAACTACTAGAGCATCCTTTAGAAATTATCAAATGTAAAGAAGATGAACACCCAGGAGTAGGCACTAATGGTCTGTAGAAGACAGGGAGACTTGGCAGCAGCATTTCTTTCTTTCTGGACAATTAGAGATAATGCAGCTCAACTGATCATTTGCTCTCCCCTTAGTTCACATGTGCCTCTAGAGACTATATGCTTGACTGAGGTGTCAAATGCTGACTCCACAAAATATTACCAAATAATTTGTGTAATACAAACCGGAGTTTACTCTTACCTCAGGAAAATGGAGCACTCTCTTGACAGAAGAGCATTAGGGGTGCCTCAGAGAGGGCACAGTAAAAATTGAGACTTTTACTGAGATGTTGAAGTCTGGTTTTGATTCTCGAGCTCAACTTCTCATGATATATTAAATGAGAGAATGAACATATGAAAACAAACAAACAAAACCAAAACATGCTTAAGTTTAAATGAAAGATATAAGGTAAAATTTAACCAGTCAAATGAAAAGTTAAGTAAGATATACTACTATAGAATGAAGGTGGTCTGATTCAATACTAATTAATTTGTTGGGATTGGGGAGGGGAGAACTCAACTAAAATCCTTGTGTTTCATTTGACTGTAACTCAGAAAGTCAATAATGTGTGGTGGCTTTATGGAGACTAATTTATCTTGGGTTGGGCTGATGATGTATTATAGAGTATGTAAAGTAATAGCCCAGGACCCAACACCAAGTCTGACCCATGTTAATTCATTCATCCTTATTTGTCTAATAATTAATTAAGTCCGTGAATTTTTTTGAACAAATTGTGGGTCCTAGGAACTTATAGTTCTCTGGAACTGCATGTGAGGAAAGGGAGAAGCTAAGTTAGTTCAGGCCCCTTCAACCTTGAAACAAGTAATCTCAATCTACTGTGGGCTAAAAGGTGTGTGCAGTTAAACCTAACTTGGACATAATTGTCTTGGAGACTATATGTTCTACTTCAGGCCAAAAGGATGTCTTTTTGGCAGAGAAAATAACTTAAAATGGCTACTTGGTACAGGATAGAAAGGTAAGGTGCTGATACTAGGAAGTGTAAATGGAAGAAAAAACAATATATGACACATTTTTGTGTTTGATAGTCATTCACTGATAATCATTTAACAAAAAATATGAGATTTGGGTCCTTTCTTCCAATGAACTCTGAGCCCTTTAAGGACAAGGGCTCTGTCCCATATATTGTAGCATAATCATATATTGTACAGGCATAGCATATTGCAGGTGTTCAATAAATAGTCTTTGATAGACTGAAACTGTGATAGACACTAAGGTTATAGTGGTAAACCCAGCATGATCCTTCTGGGTATAAGCATTTTATTGGGACAGAGGGATTTGTAAACAGCAATGCCATATAATGTGAAAAAGAAGAATGAATGCAAACGGCATGGAAGAGGAAGCCCTTACGTATTAATCTCTAATGGGGAGGGCTTGACATAGCAATAGCATTTACCAGACCCAGAAGCAGAGGAAGATTATGGAAAAGTCATAGCATTGAAACAGCATAATATGCTCAAGGCCAGCAGGTAGTTTAGCTGGAGCATAGGCTGTATGTAGCAGCAGCAGCAGAGAAAACTGGGGTTTTGATGGAAAGCAGCATTGTCAGTGACCATGGTTGTCATGGTAAAGAGTTTGGACTTGATCCCATATACACTGGGGAGACCTTAAATGATTTTCAGCAGAGAAGTTAAAAGATAATTTTTTAAAAAGGGTAAAATCATGACTCTTACACAGATATAAAAATGAACACATGTTAAGGGTTTATTTAACCCATGAGGGACCTAGACAGATGTTAAAACTGATTCATAGAAGAAGTCAGGAAGTACAAATTTATATGGAGTCAAGCAATGTTGATATGAATATGCAATGGAGACAAAACTGGCTTCTCAACAGCTGGGGAAGGGAAATTATTTGACCCTCTACTAGGCAGGCCAGAAATCACATTTTATCTGTTACCTACAACTTAGAGCATTTAAAAGTAACTCAAAGATAGTGAAAGACAAGAATCAGATAATCTCGAGGGGGATGTTTTCCAGTAAATTCATTGTTTTTCACTGAAAGACAAATTCTTTATTCTACAAGTGATTTCTCTGACTTGTGTTTGTAAAGATCATTCAAACTGTAGGGTGAAGAAAAAAATAGAGAGGTGAAAGAGAGAACCTCTGAACAAAGGTAGTAAGGATGGAAAGGAAGAGATAGAATTGAGAGAAATGATAGATGAAAATTATGTGACTTTGAAAGCAATTGAATGTGGATGGTGAGCAAGAGAAAATTGTCCACATTGCACTGCTACATAAATTGTGATGCTAAAATCCAATTTAAGGGAAAAAATGGTATGAAGAGAACAATTAAGTTTAGTTTTGGGGTTTATTGTGTGTTATGTGCCTTTGGGACATCCAAGAGGAGATAGTCAGTTGGCAGTTGGCAGAAAATAGATAGGCACCAGAGACATGAATTTGGAAATCCAGTGAGTTAGTGACTCAAAATCTTAGATATAAATAATGACTTTCAGAAGTAGTAAAAAAATATAATGAAGTCTGAGACAATATTTAATCCTTCCTCTTCTTTTTATTTTTTCTTTAATTTTATAAATTGGCATATAAAATTGTATATATTTACTATGCACAAGACAGTTTTCTAAAATGGTCAGACTAAGCCAACCAAGATATGCATGACTTCACAAAGTTGTCATTTTTGTAGTGAGCACATTTAAAACCTACTGTCAGCATTTTTCAAGAATATAATATATTTTTATTGACTATAGTCACCATGTTGTACAATAGATCTCTTGAACTTATTCCTCCTGGCTAACTGAGCTTTTGTTACCTTTGATCAATCTTTCCCCAACCTCCTCCCCCACCAGTGCCCCAGCCCATGGTAACCACCATTTTACTCCTTACTTTGATGAGATAAACTTTTTCGGCTTTCACACATGAGTGAAATCATGTGGTATTTCTTTCTATGCCTAGGTTATTTCACTTACTATAATGTCTTCTAGGTTATCTGTGTTATTGCAAATGACAATTCCTTCTTTTTTATGACTGAATAGTATTTGATTGTGTATTTATACCACATTTTCTTTATTCATTCATCTGTTAATAGACACTTAGATTGATTCTATATCTTGACTATTGTGAATAGTGCTGCAATTAACATGGGAGTGTATATATCTCTTTTACATACTGATTTCGTTTCCTTTGGCTATACAGTTGGTCCTTGAACAACAAGCACAGTGGTTAGGTGTTCCAACTCCCCATGGAGTCAAAAAATTGTGTCTAAATTTTGACTTCCCCAAAATTCAACTACTGTTGAATGGAAGCCTTTCAGATAACATAAATGGTTAATTAATATATACTTTGTATGCTGTATGTCTTGTATACTTATTTTTATAATGAAGTAAGCTAGAGAAAAGAAAATGATTAAGAGAATTATAAGGAAGATAAAATATATTTATTGTCATTAAGTGGAAGTAGATCATTATGAAGTTCTCCATCGTCATCATCTTCACATTGAGTAGGTGAGGAGGAGGAGAAAGAGGGGTTGGTTTTGCCATCTCAGGAGTGGCAGAGGTGGAAGAAAATCCATGGATAAGTGGACCTATGTGGTTCAAACCCATGTTGCTCCTGGGTCAACCGCATAACCAGTAGCAGTATTACCAGATTATAAGGTATTTCTATGTTTAAACTTTTGAGGAACCTCCATACTATTTTTCATAATGTTATATTAATTTACATTTTAACCAACAGTGTGCAAGCATTCCCTTTCCTACACATCCTTGGCAACACTTATCTTTTGTCTTTTTTATTTTAGCCATTCTAACAGGTATGAGATGATAACTCATTGTGGTTTTAATTTGCATTTCCCTGAGGATTAGCGACGTTGAACCTTTTTTCATATACGTGGTTAACATTTGTATGTGTTCTTTTGAGAAATGTCTATTCAAGTCCTTTGCCCATTTTAAAATCAGGTTATTTGTTTCCTTGTTATTTAGCTGTTTGAGTTCTTTACAAATTTTAGATATTAAACCCTTATTAGATATGTAGTTTGAAACTATTTTCTCCCATTCTGCATGTTGTCTCTTCATTCTGTTGTTTCATTTGCCGTACAGAAGCATTTAGCTTGATGCATACCATTTGTCTATTTTTGCTTTTTTTTCCTGTGCTTTTGGGGTCATAGCTGAAAAATCATTGCCCAGACCAATGTCATAGAGCCGTCCCCTATGTTTTCTTCTAGTAATTTTATACCTTCAAGTCTAACATTTAAGTCTTTAATGTACTTTGAGTTGATTTTTATACACAGTGTGAGATAAAGGTCTAATTTCTTTCTTCTGCATGTAGATACTCAGTTTTCCCAACACTATTTGTTGAAGAGCTTGTCTCTTCTCTATTGTGTGTTTTTGACAACTTTGTTGAAAATCAGGTAGCTGTAAGTACATGGATTGGTTTATGGGCTCTCTACTCTGTTCCATTGGCCTATGTGTCTGTTTTTATGCTAATACCATGCTGTTTTTGTTACTGTAACATTGTGGTGTATATTTTGAAGTCAGGTAGTGCCATACCTCCAGTTTTGTTCTTTTTGCTCAAGATTTCTTTGGCGGCCAGGGGCGGTGGCTCACGCCTGTAATCCCAGCACTTTGGGAGGCCGAGGCAGGTGGATCACGAAGTCAGGAGATGGAGACCATCCTGGCCAACACAGTGAAACCCCGCCTCTACTAAAAATACAAAAAATTAGCTGGGCATGGTGACGGGTGCCTGTAGTCCCAGCTACTGGGGAGGCTGAGGCAGGAGAATGGCGTGAACCCAGGAGGCGGAGCTTGTAGTGAGCCGAGTTCGCGCCGCTGCACTCCAGCCTGGGCGACAGAGCGAGACTCCGTCTCAACAACAACAACAACAACAACAACAAAATTGCTTTGGCTACTTGCGGTCTTTGTGGCTCTATATGAATTTTAGGATTTTTTTTCTATTTCTGCGAATAATGTCTTTGGTATTTTGATAGTGATTGGGTTGAATCTGTAGATTACTCTGAGTGGTATGGAAGTGTTAACAATACTAATTCTTCCAATCCATGAACACAGGATACATTTTAATTTATTTGTAAGAAACATTATTTCTATTGAATGTCAACATTTAAATAATAGCTGTAGGAAGAGTTGGGATGGAATTTAGTGAACTAAGTAGAGAATGTAAAAATGATATGTCATGGAAGCTGTATTAGTTATCTATTGGTGCATAAAATCATCTCAAACTTTAGTAGTTTAAAACAAACCTTACTTAACAGTGTTTCTGAGAGTCAGGAATCCAGGTGCTGCTTTACTGGGTGGTTCTGGTCCAGAGTCTCTCATAAGGTAGCAGTCAAGGTGTTGGCCAGGGCTGAAATCATCTGCAGGAGCAAACGTTAGTTCCTCACTGGCTGTTGCCTGGATGTCTATGTTCCTTATCACAAGGTGCACCTTTCCATGGGCAATTGAAAGATCCTCACAATCTAGCAGTTGGATTCTTCAAGAGTGAGTGATAAAGAAAGAAAGAAAAAGAAAGAAAGAAAGAAAGAAAGAAAGAAAGAAAGAAAGAAAGAAAGAAAGAAAGAAAGAAAGAGAGAGCTCAAGAGAGCACGAGCCCAAAGCTGAACCAGGAGTCTTTTATGATTGATCCTTACTTTGGCCATATGCTATTTATCACATAAACAACCCTGATCCAATGTGGCATGAAAATCATCTTGAAGGCAGCTATTACAGAAGCTAAAGAAAAAGAGTTATAAGAAGGAAGCACTCAATAATTATTTTTTAAAGTATTCCCACCGTGTTTCATAGTTCAAGAATGACATTAATAAATTAGAGTTCAACCAAATGGTGAAGAGTGTGGAAATTTGATTTTACAAGGAACAAATTAGGGGTATATGGATGTTTAATGTGGAAAAGAGAAGAATTAGAAAGGACATGCTAGCTGTATTCAATTATTTATAGGGATTTCATGTAAGACAATTTTGCCTGTATTTGAAGTTCAGTTTTTAAGGTTCTTCAAATTTCAAGGAACAGAGATATACTCAAGTAATGGAAATGACTCATGAGAAAATACAGGGGACTAGGAAGAAGTCTTAATAACTGCAGAGTTTAAACTTCATAGATAGTAGAATTGCATTCTGATTACAATCACCAGTGGAAGTTTGCTCTGGATATACAATCATGTCATAACCTAATCTGGCTACCCCTAGAATCAATTGATGGATTGATTGATCCTATTATTATGATTTAGCAAATCTTAATCTCTTCTTCTACTATTGCTATCCACCCTCTGAATCTTTCCTCTCCTATCATTGTTTAGTTATTGCATCCACTACCTACCTCATAAATTTTGCTTATTCTTAGTTTATAATATGTTATATTCTACCTACTGCTTTCTATCATGTATCTATAGGCTTGTACCCACCATATTATCTGTATGTTTCTAGCACACATTTAAATTTTGGGAAGGAAAAGTTTTTTTAATTGCTTCAGTTAATATTCAGCAAACATAATAACTCCATCCAATTATCTTCGTTGGATGGAGTTCTCCTATCTAATTATCTAGTTTTCTGGCCACCCCATTTTGTGGGTGCTATTTGCCTGAGGCAACAATCTTTGGTTTAGTTGCTTGTGGTGAGTTTAAAAATCACAAGGTACAAGGTGCCATTCTGACCTAAAAGTCTGTTTTTAAAATTTTCTCAGCAGGGCAAATAGACATAGAAAATGTCAGTCTGGTATAATCAAGCAGTTCAAATAGAATCAGTGGATAAAATGTTATACCAAAGCCGATGTTTACATAATGAATTTTCTAATCATTTAAACTGCTACAAAGTAAAATCAACTTAAAGATGAGACAATTAATTCCCTAATTTTGTAAGTATTCAGTATAAAAAAAAGACGAACAGAGATTATAGAGAAGCTTATTGAACTGGAGGGCAGGTAGAATTGTATAATTCACAATTGATCAATGTTAATGATTTAGAGTTTTTACAACCCTTTTCTTCTAAGTTACTGAAAGTTTCAATCCACTCAAAGGAATAAATCAACTGAAATTCCCTTTAGGCAAAATATTGAATGTTGATTAGTACAAAGGCTCTGGAATCGGGCAAACTGTGGTAGAAGTTTTGATTCCTTCACTTGATAGTGGCTTTGGGTAAATTAATTCACTTCTCTAAGATTCAGTTTTTTTTCATCTACAATATGGGAATAAATACTGTCCCCACTTCACAGGGTTGTTGTAAGAATTTAATGAAATGTTTTGGAAAGCACCTACCACACTGTCTGTTTTATAGGAAGGACTAAAAAAAGATGTCAAGATCCAGACAGAAAATCAGAAACTACTCAAGTATGTCAAGCAGAGGGAATTTTATTTAGGGAATTGGTTAATGAAGGTGGCTAGAAGGGCTGAAAAAACAAAAAGGGGAAGGAGGGGTCTAAAGTTTTTAATAAGAAGAAATAAAGAGACCAGAAGTTGGCAACTCCCCAGAGCTGGAGCCCAGGTGTTTATACCTATTGCTTTGCTGCTGGAGGGGCTGTTACTGTCAGTTCTGCTTCCTCAGTAGACAAGCAGCCTCCATGAGGTCTGAAAACCCTAACAAGGTTTTACCTTTTCATCCTACCCTCAGTGCCACTAGAGCACCTCCAGCAACTGTCAGCAAGTGCAACAACTATCTGAATCAGAAGCAGGGTTCTTATCTCCAGTCCAGCCTCCTCATCTCCCGCCAGTGCTGTCCTATTGGCAGAACCTAACAGAGAGTCAGCTGGCAAAAGAATGTGGGAAATGTAATTTGGCAAATCCTTGCCCATACAAAGCTGAGCAAAGCACACAAGTATAAGAATGCAGCTGAGAGAAAAACAGGGAAATAACTTGGCACAGCATTTGTTGTCATTATTACGGCTATTAATACTGAAATTACTCTAGACAATGTCACCCATTACATCGCAAATCCAAAAGTTATTTCTCAGTCCCCATCTTATGCATCCAATCAGCAACACATTGCAAAGCTGAGCACATAAAAGTTCCTTTGCACCCACACTGGCTGTTCTTGGTTTACTTTCCTTATTCCTCCTCATCTTCCTGGCTTCTTAATGACAGAGAACCTCAGAGGTCAGTTCTTGGATCTCATCTCTTCTCCATCCACATTCTCTCCCTAGATGACCATCTTTGGTCCTGAGTACCTTAAATGACACATGTATACTGATGACTCCCAAATATACAGATTAGCCCAAACCTCTGTCTTCAATCCCAGACTCATATATTTAAATGACTTCCCTTCACTTGCACTTCTGAGTTACTTCAAAATTATTCAGTCAAAACTGAATTATTGATTCCCCACCAAGTTTGCTTCTCTCCCAGTCTTTCCTGTTTCAGTAAAAGCCTGCTCCATTTTCCACATCCAATGCATTGGCAAATACTCTGTTTTAATACACAACTCAAATCCAATCACTTCTTACTACCTCCCCTGCCACCACCCCAATGCAAGCCACCATTGTTACTCACTGAATGATTGCAACAGCATTGCAATAACCTCTTAGCTGATCTCATGGCTTCTACTCTTGCTGCCATGTGGTCTGTTCTCTTCACAGCAGCAAGCATTACTCCTTCTAAAATAGAAGTCAGATACTGTCATTATTCATCTCTAAGATCCTCAATGGCTCCCATCTTATTCAGAGTAAAAATCCCATGTTCTTTCTATGGTTTATAGAACCCTGTTGGATCTGGTCCTCTACTCTATCTCCAACTGGCCACTCTCCTTCTGCTCCACTGACCTCCTAGTCCTTATACATACAAAGCTCTCCCACCTCAGGGTCTTCGTTCTTGTTCTGCCTAGGATTCCTCTGCCCCCAATAGTCACATGGTTTATTCCTCTCTTCCTCCAGTTTTCTCTTCAACGATCACCTCATTGTAGAGGTCTTCCCTGAACATCCCATCTAAATTAGCACCTGTTCCCCTCTCACCTGTGGTTCTCTGCTTCATTTCTCTGCTTTATTCTTCTTTCTAGGAGTTATCTCCAGCTGACATTACACACACACACACACACACACACACACACACACACACACGTTTATTTGATGTTATTTCTTACTGAAATGTAACCCCATGAGATCAGATTTAGTTTTATTTATATCTGTGTTGTAGAACATTAGTTATTCAACAGCCATTTGTTATATGAATGAATTGTGACTGAAATTTTAGCAACACACTGTGGACACCTACTTGTCTGGAGATAGTTCCTATAGGTATGTCAAGTTCCGCATCCTGCTCTAGTGCCGTAGGTTGTCTGAACATCATCATGGGAAGCATGATAATTACACAATGTGATCTTTTTATGGACAAAATATAATTTACCCTCAGAAATGTTGGCTATTTAAACAAGCATATCATTAGAATTAAAAGTTGGGAATGTAGAGTAGTATCTTGTTTTCAATCATGAAACTTAAAAAATTTAAATGTGTGTAGAAGAATAAAATACCTTTTATTCTATGTCTACGAAATGAAAAAAAGATTTATTTATCATAGTACTAATAGAACTTCAGTTTGAATAAAGTGCCTTCTTGAAAATTAAAAAAAATGACAGCCAGCAAATAATGAATATTCATGAAACAATAGCTGGATATTATTAATAATATTCAGATTAAGTTCCACTTTCCTTAGAAGACCACTGTACTACTGTAGCCCAGTGTGAGGCATTAACTTCTCTAAATCTGTATTTCTAAAGCTGTATTTTCATAAGTGACATTACATTAAATTTATTATTTTTTTAAAATCAGAAGTCTCACTTCCTGTATATACCAAATGGGATTTTTTGAGGTGTTCATTATTATTTTTTTAAGTCAAAGACCATGACTTATACTATTCTGGCTATTAAATTTCAGTAACTTCAGTACCTCACACGTAATTGATGCTTAGTAAAGAATAATAATGATAATTAGTAACTACCATATTGAGACTGTCATTTATTAACACTTCATGAAATTCTATGAAGTAGATACTATTATTATTTCCATTATATAGTTAAGGAAACTGGGTGAGAGAAGTTTGGCAAAAGGGTTGTAAAAGACGAAGCTGGACATTGCACCTTCATCTATGTTGTTGATAGATTTCCAGGATGTTTGAGGTACATTGAATGATGCCGATTTGTCAGGAAACAATGTTCCTGTGTCTCCTCTTCTAATGGACAACCATACACTATTTAGTTACTTCGAGGCCAAACTCTGTTCATTTATGACACTAAGAATAACTTGGATGTTCCCCAGCTGATGTTCTGACTTTGTTTAGGTAGTACTGTCATTGTTGCTTTTTTTCTAAAACATGCACACAAACACACACACACACACACACGTTTTGGAATAGTTCTTGGTTATTTTGGAGAGTTTTTTTTTTTGTTTTTTTTTTTTTTTCAGAGCATGGCCTCCATTAGATGAACACATTATAGTAACTTATTCTGGAGTAAAATTTTTATGCTTGGCCAGGCGCGGTGGCTCACGCCTGTAATCCCAGCACGTTGGGAGGCCGAGACGGGTGGATCACGAGGTCAGGAGATCGAGACCATCCTAGCTAACATGGTGAAATCTTGTCTCTACTAAAAATACAAAAAATTAGCTGGGCGTGGTGGCGGGTGCCTGTGGTCCCAGCTACTTGGGAGGCTGAGGCAGGAGAAAGGCGTGAACCCGTGAGGCAGAGGCAGCGGTGAGCCGAGATGGCGCCACTGCACTCCAGCCTGGGCGACAGAGCGAGACTCCGTCTCAAAAAAAAAAAATTATGCTTATTATTTATATCAATCACTAAAAGACATTGTGATGTTTAATATCTTGCTGGATCGATTCCCAAAGAAAAAGAAAAACCTGTTCTAAAAATCAAGAGCTAACTGCAGTTATTTTACAAGTAATTGCTACTTTAGAATTCTCTTTAAGTATCTGGTCTTCTTTTGAAATGGATTGAAGTGGCTTATTGATTAAATAACAACTTGGGATACAAATTTTTACCAAAAAAAAAAAAAAATAGGAGAGAGTTCATCAAGAAAGTACTATGCTCAGAGGTTTTTAAGAACCATATGTGGACTTTGCTCTAAGGTTTTTTAGCAACTAAAGCAAAAGGGAAAATCTATTGAACCATTTGATTTTCATTTTTCAACAACAGAAAGAAAGTACACTGAAAAAATAGTAAAAATGATCATTTTCCTCCTGGCTTAAATGTCTCTTCTGTAAAATAAAGACATTAGATAAGGCAATATCTTACTTTCCTTCTTTTTCTATGATTGAATCATCTTCAAGTGTAATATTACAAAAGTGAAATGAAAAGACATTTCTCATTTTAACCATTTGTAAAGGCATCAGAGAAGAGTGAAGGTCTTTCTCTGAAAGAATAACATAAGCCAGTTCCAATGCTTTGAATTCTGATGGTCTCTGTATTAATACAGGGTTAAACAATCACAACTAAATGTTTGTTTTAATAAATTTAACCAAGGCTTTTCTTATAATCAACGATTACTTAAAATATAACTAGTAGCTTGACCATATTTTTTAAACAAAGATTGGTTACATGTACTATATATACAAATGTAGCTTAATTCAATTATTATGGAAGGCAAACTTTCAACTTTCCTGTATATTTAGTTTTTTCTGTATTCTTACTAATGTGGACTCTTGTTTTTTACAGTAATAAAAGAAAATGTGACAGTGTGGGATAAATCATTTCCTTCTTGTGCTCTCTTGATCCCTTTCTCTCAAGAATTTCTGCCTTCAGCAACTTTTCAACAAACACTTATTTAATGTCTACTGTGTATTAGGCCCTGAACCTAAGTGAAGAGATGACACCCAGTTCTATACACCCACGACTCCAACCCTGACCCCTTTTTGGTTTGAGAACAAATCTCACAGCAACTTGCGGGGTATCTTCACTTAGTTTGGATGCTTTTGTCTCAAATTATACACACCCACAATCCAGTTCCTTCTTATTCTTCTTCTGAAGCACGCTCTCAAATTTTTGTTTTCTGTAACAGTCAGTCCATTAATTGATTTAAAACACATTGCTTTAGTTCTTTCTACATGATTGGCACTTGGCAAGATACTGGAGATAGGGTGGAGAACAGGAGTGACAAGTCTCCTGTAACCTATAGACAAGGAGCAATCAAGTATATGTAAAAAAAAAAAATAAAGTATTTACATTGTGGTATATAACCAGGGAAGGTCATTTTGGTGTTATCAGGGAATGACATCTGAAAAATAATGATGTAGTTCCATTCTGTGAGTACTTCAAAGTAGTAACTGTGGGGTCATCTTTAATTCTCCATTAATTTATCATTCACCAATTAATTCATTAATATTCATTTGATATGCATTTATTGAATTCTCGCTATATACTAGGATCTGTGAAAATGCTTGAGAGGTGAAATGGATAAAACACATCCTCTGCTCTTCATGGATGTGACAATCTAGTGAGGAGGCTCATCGATAAGCAAATAAAGTCAATGAAGTGCTATAGTTATTTTGGTAGATTCCTATATGGGATTCAGTTTAGGTGAATAGGAGGGAGGTCCTTACTAGGGCATAAGCTTAAGGACATAAAATATATTTTATTCCTTTAAACATCCCCAGCCACAAGACCTGGAAATAGGCAGTGAAAGGAATATGATGAATGGCTATATAAATGGCACCACATTGTTATTTATCCTGGAGTTGAGACTACATCAGAGAGTCCTATTGGTTTGATTTATTTATATGTAATTCTGTTTTTCCAGATATGGTATATTTCTTTCAATATCAAGCTATAAGTATTTCATTATTCATAATTGCATACCTGGCATTTTTAAAGTTTTTTTCTTCTCTGGAGATTCCTTTCCTTTTCATGTAGGCTTTTTCATAACAAGGGTTTATAGTTATACCTCTGAAGTAATGCCTAAAATTACTTCCCCCACAATATATACTGGTAAAGTCCAACCCAGAATTATGGTTTTCTGATGGGTGTCCCAGTGATTTTCTTCAGATCTTCCAGAAGGACATACCAGCTATAGAAAATGTTTTAGACTTTTTTGTTTGTTTGTTTTTGTTTTGTTTGGAAGCTATAGTAAAGGATCTTTTTTTTTAATGCTTTAAGTTTTAGGGTACATGTGCACAACGTGCAGGTTAGTTACATATGTATACATGTGCCATGTTGGTGTGCTGCACCCATTAACTCGTCATTTAACATTAGGTATATCTCCTAATACTATCCCTCCCCGCCCACCACCCCACAACAGGCTCCAGTGTGTGATGTTCCCCTTCCTGTGTCCATGTGTTCTCATTGTTCAATTCCCACCTATGAGTGAGTTTTAATCCCAAAACATATGAAGCCTTCAGTGGTACAAAAGCTAAATTATTGTGTCACATCTCAAAACAGCAGCAAACAGACAAAGACCACAAAAATAAAACCAAAAGAACAAAAATCCAATGAAATCATAACAAGCCATTAGTTTCATTGCTCTATCGTAGGTTCTGGCATATCTATTATCTACTGACACATTACAACGACCTAGGCAAGTCAACTTCTGTTTCCCAGATGAACAGACTGAACTGCAGAGTTCAGTAATTTCCTCAAATCACAGAACTTAACAAAAATGGCAATGAGAAACCTCGCCCTTGACACAGACTAACAACGATTCTTCTCTGTCTCCTCCATAGCTGACATACTGCAGAAAGTTAAATACCAGAGTCACATCTCCACTTTCAGCTGCATGAACTCTATTACCATTTATTCCTCACTATTAGTAAATTCATATTTTTTTTAATGTTGCTTTTGTTACTAAGTATAACTAGAAATAGTTTCATCTTTCCCTGGCCTTGGTGTACTGGAAGAAAAGCAGGTTGTCTTTCATTTGTAAGAGTTTTCACAGGTGGAAAGATGAACTTGTCCTTCAAATGTCTCTTTGTCCAGGTAAGTTATCCTTTCTCATGGTTTGGGCTCATTTTTATTTTGCTGTCTCTTTAGTTTTGTGGGAATTTAATTATTTCTTGTCAAAACAAAGGATCTCAGCCTTAATCTTGTGTTGGCAATATAATCAAACAGAAATCATGCCTCTTGTGAATTTTCTCATAATATGTTTATATTTGGAGGAAATTAGTTATAAAGTTCACTGGAAAATTATTACTAAAATCATTAATATTTTTGTTTATGACTTGATTCTTCTAATGACCTGAAAAGTCAGTAGATTTGGATTATGTAAAAATATGAACATTGAAGTTAGTGCTTTATTTAATTTATGTTATTTTATAAAATCATCTATGCAAATATTTTCAGAATACACTTTTCTCTCTAATATATTTTATCTTCTAAAACAGCAATCACTATAAAAGTTGATATACCTTCTTTATCTACTTTTAAAAAATATAAGCATCTGGTTTATTATATTTACTATAGACCATATAAATTTGACAATCAGGTAAGAGGAAACAAAAGCCTTTCTAGAGATCTTAATACTTTCATAGAAAGAAGGTTTTTAGTAGAACTTGTGAATAAGTAATTTTTTGATCATCTGCAATTTTATAGGTAGTTGATAACACTGACTGGAAATTTTGATTTTTTTTTTTTCACATAGCAAATTAAGTAAACCTCTATAAAAGATGACAGTTATTCAGCCTGTCACTAAGTTGCCTGTTAAACATGACTCTTGGGGGGAAAACACTCTTTTGCAGAACTGAATCTGAAAAACAATGTAGAATTCACCCTTTGTTTTGTTCTTAAACTTTGAGATAACAAAGTTGGAAGGCAAGTCAGAATCATAACGATATTCCTACAACTGCTATAAGAGATTGTTTCTAAAAGAAGGAAGAAGATACCAAATTGGAAATAATGATAGAGGAAAAGTCATAGTTAGAGAATCCTGAGAATGGAAAGCAGAAACCTAATTGTAAGGCCTACAGCCTCGAGCATGCACAGAAAGTAACTTAGGTCTGAGGTCCTCTGGAATAAATCTTTGGTGATAACAACACAGTCCACAACAGGGATACATTTGTATTTATAGTTTATTCTCCATTATTGCCAGAGGCCTCAAATCCCACATAGTCAAAATCTCCATTCACTGCTGCCTGCTGGGCATTTAACAAGGGCTCTTGTAACAGGACCCAGAACAAGTATGAACATGAATAAAAAGTGCAGGGGCCAGCCAGGCACCACAGGCTGCAAGGTAGCCAAGTGGAGGCATTGGAGAGAAACAGAGAAAGCAGACAATGACCCTTAGTGCCTCAAGGCATGGCTTCAAAAGGTGTCAACACCAATTAAATTGTAAAAGCTCTGTCAGCTTCTGAAAAGTCATCCAGACAGGGACAAGACAGTACATAATCAAAGGACTGGGACGTGATTCTGTATGGCCCACAGTAGACCCAGTGTACGCATGTACGCCTGGCAATTTGTGATCCATATGTGAGCCTTCAAGATAAGTCTGTCCTTAAAGGTGTAAATACCCTTCTTCTGGGAGCTCTCTTGGTTTACCACTGGGGGATGTTGGAAACCTGTACTAGTAGGTAGCTACTGGTAGGTCCCATAGGTAATTTGCCTAAAAATATAACTATAACTAGAATGTGTACTATTGATTATGCCCACAGACTCATGGATAAGCTAAAGAGTAATTGACAAAGTTCTTGGCTTCAGCTAAACAGTGGCAGCTAAGCTTTCTGTAGTAAACAATATTATGGAGAATTTTCTTTGTTGGCAAGATACTGCAGAATCTACCCTTTCTGATAGTAGGACATTCTGACAACAATGACTTTGCAGGAGGTTTGTTTCAAATACTTACACCAGTAAGAAGGTATTTTGCATTTCCTATTTGGCCTTGGAGAGGGTTAATGTGGCTTTAAAGAATTAATTGGTTCCAGGCAAAGGTACTCTGATCTAAATTCAAGAAATTATGTCTTTCTCTCTCTCACTCTCTCTCTCTCGCTTGCCTAGAAGTAACTATGATAGGTATGACCAATTTATTGGATGGTTTTCAAAGTGACAGCAGAGTTGGGGAGGAGAAGAAATATATTTTATAGCTGGGGGCAAATACAGAACTGTCGAAGCATTTATCACATATTTCATAGCTAAGTAATTTTCTTGGTCTACAGAACTTTTTCACTCCCCAGATCAAGTAAAATGCCTGGGTTTTAAGATAGATGCGTTTATGCTAAAAGGAAATGCCGATATGCTAATGACACTGAAGTTCCAAGCATATTTTTTTTAAATCACTTGAAAGTATTATTCTTCCCTATTTGTTTATTTATTTATTTTTGAGACAGAGTCTCCCTGTGTGGACCAGTCTGGAGTGCAGTGGCACGGTCATCACTCACTGCAACCTCAAATTCCTGGACTCAAGTGATCCTCCTGCCTCAGTCTCCCAAGTAGCTACAATTTTTTCTTTTTAATGAGGGAGAACACTACTTATCAGAATGATTTAGAATGCAATTGTTCATTTTTAATCAAACAATTTGCTCTTAGTATGGTTGAAATTACTCTTATTTTTAAAGAAATATTAACCAGATATAAAATAATGTACCATATTGCAAACTATCAGGTTAAAACTACAATGTGTTACATTACCTATTAGATAATTTATTTAAAAGTATAACAGTTCTTTAGAAAATGAGTTCAATAACAACAAGAAGCTAGAAAACTGGGAAACACATTTATTCAGATTTTGGTATTCATCTTGATTTAATTGAGATTGGCTAAATTATGCCACAATAACAAAGAAAGAAATTTCAGTGGCTTAAGACAGAAAAGAAGTCTCACTTATTTCACTCTTCCATGGGTCTAGGAGACTCTACAGAGCAGTGTTCTGCCATTTGATTGCTTAGCATGGCATCTCTACCAATATGTGCCTCTAAAATTGTCAGGGCAGGCAAAAGACATTAGA
Source organism: Homo sapiens (assembly GCF_000001405.40). Classification (NCBI taxonomy): domain Eukaryota; kingdom Metazoa; phylum Chordata; class Mammalia; order Primates; family Hominidae; genus Homo; species Homo sapiens. The sequence continues at coordinate 198,425,595 of NC_000001.11, forward strand.
AAATCAAGTGCCTACAATTAAATGCTTCTATTCAGGACTGACACACATCATTTCTGCTCAAATTTAATTAGCCAAGGCAAGTCGAGAGGTCACATCTTACTTCTGGAAGTGAATAAGATTATCTTGTATACCTGAAAGGAGAAGGAATTGGTATTGATAAACAGTTGTAAAGTCAGCCATAGACTACTCTTCTGATAACCAAATATTCTTTCCTCTTTTGTTTCCCAATCCTACATTCAATCCCTCCATAAGAGCAACCCTCTAAAAGTCTTATGCAAGCTCTTCATACAGCATGAAGTCCAAGATGTCTGTGTAGTACCTGGAAGTCAGGTAAGAATGGGACACCTTTGATATGGAGACAAAAGTTATTTTCTCCCTTCATAATCAGTAGAATATAAAGGAATAAGGACAATTCAGAAACTCACAGTTACTCAAGTGTGGTAATTTAGTCAAGCTGCTGGGGGCGACAATCATTGTGAGGAATGTCTTTACTGGGAGTGGGAAATGTTCCTTGTTTAAGCCTCATTTCTGTTTCCTGGGAGGAGAGAATCCCAGTCTGTTGTTCTTGGTGACTCCTGGTTCTACACTGTAGAAGGATCAATTCATCTTTTATGCTACTTCGTCACATCTGTAATAGGCACTGGGGAAAAGTCTCTCTTGAGGAATAAGCAGTTTTCTTAGTTCATTGCCTGCCTGAGGAGTGTTAAGTACCAAGGTGATTTTATGTCTCACATAGCCACAATCTCTTTGAGTCCAGTCAAGGGCTTTTCTTTAGCAGTGAATTTCTTTCAAAGGTTTTATAGGCTTCTCAGCTATTTGATTCTGCACAGCTCCATGTACCAATTCCATGCCCACAAGTTTTCTCAATGTTTAATTCCTAGAATATTTGCTCTCATGCTCTCTCTTCCTCTCTTTTTGTGTTTGCAGTTGCTTGTCCAGTAAATCTATTGAAGTTCAGTGTCAGAGTCATACACCTAGTCTCTTTTCCTTAACTATTTTTGTCCAGTTGAAAGGCTGGATGGGGCCTCTACTTTAAATTATATCTTTATTCTGAGACATGTTAATCCATTCCCAAGTTTTAACTTGGTGTGGTACCAATACCCTTGGTTAGATCCTTGCCTTGAGGCTTAGACTTCTTCTTTTTGTTTCGCAAAAGTCATTCTCAGTTTTATCGTTTGTTCTTTTGTAGCTGAGTTTTTTCTTTTTCTAATCCCACTAGTCCTCAAATTTTTGTACACCTCTACTTCTTTTTATTCCTGATGGCAAACTCATCTATTATTTTCTGAGACTGTCTCTTTTTCTATTTTATTATACCTTGCCAATTGCAGACAACATCAATGCCCAGACACTCTGATTTTGTTTTTTAGTTTTTCTCTTAGTGCAATAGTTTATTTTGCATAAGATCTGTCTTATAAATTTTCATAGGTAATAATATTACCAAATGCTTTGCCATTGCATATGACTAATTGCCACTTTATAGCCTCCACGGGGGGTGGCCATTCACAATCCCCATGCCCTATAGGGTCAACCGCTAAGTGTATGCCACATGTTTTAGAGATTTTTTTTTTTTTCATAGCAGCATCCAATCCTAGCATAAATAACTGTTTTAGTCAGCATGGATTAGGTTAGGCTGTAAAAGCCAAGAACTCATATTTCAATAGCTTATCGTATGAAGATTTCTGTTTCATACAAAGTCTACTATGAGCCTCGAGAACTCTCCAGGCAGCTGAGCTGTCTTCTATGTGATGGCTCAGTATTGTCCTTCCTTAGCGATGCAATTTTCCAATACTCATGGCAGAGAAAAAGTGGGGTACAGAGTTAAGTGCCAACAATTGAAATTTTTTTCCTGGGAGTGATACCTATCAGTTTTGCCATGCTTAACTTCCAGGAGGAAGGGATGTATATTCTTCTTATTTGTCCAGAAGGAAAGGAGACTTGGTTATCAGTGAACAGAGCTCACATCTACCAAATATCCTGACTGTGACCTATTGAATGGGAACATCAATTTAGGTAATAGTTCCCGAGCCCTACTACTGTAAACACTTTACTTCTATTTTAAAAAATCACCATTACAATTCTAACTGGCAAACTTTGAATACCTGCTAACTTTTGAAAGTATTTAAAAGGTTTTAGTATAACACATATGGATGGTTTATATCTTCTACTTATTCAGATTCCAACTGACTTTCAAAATTGGAGCTATAAAATGTTACTTATCTAACATTTTCCAACTATAGATGTCAGGTGTTATGTAGGGACACTACACTTTCTGTCTTGATTTGGTATATTTTAGGAAAGAGCATCTATAGTGGGTTAATAGTGGTGTCCCCAAAAGATAAGTCTGTGTCCTGGAAACTGAATGCGACTTTATTTGGAAAAGGGGTCTTTGCAGATATAATTACATTAAGGATCTGGAGATGAGGATATCATCCTGGATTAGGGTAGATCCTAAATCCAATGACGTGTCCTTGTAAGAAAAGAGAAAGGGATATGACACACAGAAAGGAAGGCCATGTGAAGTAGGGAGTAGATTGGAGTATGCAGACACAAAGATGAAGTCAGCCACCAGAAGCTGAAATAAGCAAAGAAGGATTTTCCCCTAGAGCCTTCACAGGGAGCATGGCCTACTGACACCTTGATTTCGAACTTCTGGCATCCAGAACGGTGAAAGAATACGTTTATGTGATTTTAAGTCACCAGGTTTGTGGTAATTTGTTACTGCAGACCCAGGAAAGTAATATAGTATTCATCTGAGCTTTAGGTTTTTTTTAAGAATAAAAGATACAATGAATACATACTAGTATTTAATATCATATTTACTGAATTAAAAAAACAGTGAAGACTTAGACATTATCATGAGAAAGTCTTATGATTTTATATAGAGTCCCAGGTTTGAAATCAGATGATCTGAGTTCCAGTTTTAACTTTTTGAAATGGGTAAATGTTTTAACCATTAAAAAGTCAGTTTTCTCATCTATAAAAGGGAAATTATACCAAATCCATGCCAAACTGGGACATTGCTTTATGAATCAAATGAGATTATTGATATAGAGTGCCTTGAGATCAGTAACTCATCAGATTAAGGAAATTTTAGTTATAGCAAAGGTAGATATCACCATAAATAAAAATTAACCCTAGACCATACATTATAATATTAAAACATTTTCATTTAAAATGGACCTCATTTAGTGGGCTTCTTAGATTTGCAGCAAAAGGACAAAACAGCCTAAGCACTGGGAAGACAAAAATCTTGCCTTCTTTTGAGAAAAGCCTACTGACTTCAAACCTTTCATTTCTGTTATTATTTTTTATTATATCTGAAGAGTGTAAAATAACTAGTAACAAAAGAAACTCCTCAGTTTTTTGGTCAGGTACTCAAGAAAAATGCAGTGCAGTGAGATTAAAAAAAGCTCTAAAAGTTGGTTAAAATTTTCCAAAGTTTCATATCATACAAATCCTGTCTAGAAGATTTATTATAACAAAATAATTATATTTCAAGAATAATACTACCTTATTCGTCCTAAGGCCTCCCTTCCGTAACTAATTTCAAATATGCTAAAGAAAATTAACCCCTACGATTTTATTTTACATCACAGATGTTGTTTTCATTTTACAGATGAACCAGGGAGGACACCACAAATCATGGACCCAACTGAGAATAAAACTTTGTCACTCAGCTTTGAGGTAACAGAGTAACAGTGGTAAGTGTGCGCATGTGGAGGGTGGGAGCTGTGAGATCTGAGTCGATTTATTTTTTTAAATTTACTTTGGGTTCAGACTACTGTCTAAAATCCCCACTTGTCCTCCTTCCTCCCCAAACCCTCTGGAACTCTAACCCCTTGGTTGGTAACCCCCTTCTAAACCATCAGTCTCTTCTCTGAATAGTCCCTTCACTAAATTACTGTAAAATTTGGCAGTGTCCCCCCATCATCCTTTTCCCTGGAAAATCTGTTAAAGAGAGACTACATTTCCTTTCATATCTCATTATTTCAAGGTCAGGAGATGGGATAAATATGGACTTTCATTTCCAACTGCTGTTGCATGACTATCTTTTCTTACTTTTCCAAACCCTAGCTTTTTCATAGCTGATGGTATTCTTCTTTACCATTTATTATTACGGCTTTCATCTACAAACAATCATGAAGACTTTGTTTCTCATTCAATATCTTATTTTTTAGTTCTGCTGCTTGCATTTTCAGGAATTTCAACCTCTACATAAGTGATCAAGTTAACTGATTCTTCTATTCTTTTACATCACCTTCAAAATTCTTTTTCTCACTCTCACTTTGGTTTCTAGCTTCCATGACCAAACTATGGGCCTTGTCATTAGTAGTCACTGCTCCCCCTCCAAAACTTTTGATTTCAAGCATCACATTGTTTTTTTTTTTAATTTAATTTTTTTTATTTCAATAGTTTTGGGGAAAAAGTTGTTTTTGGTTACATAGATAAATTCTTCAGTGGTAATTTCTAAGATTTTGGCACCCTCATCACCCGAGCAGAGTACACTGTGTCCAATATGTAGATTTTTATCTGTCACCCCCTCCCACTCTTCCCCTCCGAAGCCCCAGAGTCCTTTGTATCATTCTTATGCTTTTGCTTCCTCATAGCTTAGCTTCTCCTTATAGGTGAGAACATACGATATTTGGTTTTCCATTCCTGACTTACTTCACTTAGAATAATGGTCTCCAACTCCATCCAAGTTGCTGTGAAAGCCATTATTTTGTTCATCTTTATGGCTCAGTAGTATTCCTGGTGTATATATACCACATTTTCTTTCTTTCTTTTTCTTTTTCTTTTTTTTTTTCCGGACAGAGTCTTGCTCTGTCGCCCAGGATGGAGTGCAGTGGCGCAATCTCAGCTCACTGCAAGCTCCGCCTCCCGGGTTCACGCTATTCTTCTGCCTCAGCCTCCCGAGTAGCTGGGGCTACAGGCGCCCACCACCACGCCCAGCTAATTTTTTGTATTTTTTTAGTAGAGACGGGGTTTCACTGTGTTAGCCAGGATGGTCTCGATCTCCTGACCTCGTGATCCACCTGGCCTCACAAGGTGCTGGGATTACAGGTGTGAGCCACCGTGCCCGGCCATATACCACATTTTCTTTATCCACTCATGGTTGATGGGCATTTAGGCAGGCTTCATATTTTTGCAATTGAGAATTGTGCTGCTGAAAACATGCACGTGCAAGTGTTTTTTTTCTCACATAATGACTTCTTTTACTCTGGGTATATACCCAATGGTGGGATTGTTAGATCAAATGGTAGTTCTACTTTGAGTCCTTTAACGAATCTCCATACTATTTTCCATAGTGGTTGTATGAGTTTACATCCCCACCAGCAGTTTTGTAAAATGATTCCTTTTTCACCACATCCAAGCCAACATCTATAATTTTTTGATTTTTAAATTATGACTATTCTTGCAGGAGTAAGGTGGTATTTCATTGTGGTATTTGATTTGCATTTCCCTGATTATTAGTGATGTTGAGTTTTTTTCATGTTTGTTGGCCATTTGTATATCTTCTTTTCAGACTTGTCTATTTATCTCCTTAGTCCACTTTTGATTCCATTATTTGTTTTGTTCTTGCTGACTTTTTTGAGTTCCTTGTGAATTCCGGGTATTAGTTCTTTGTCAAATGCACATCTCATGAATATTTTCTCCCATTCTTTGGGTTTTCTGTTTACTCTGCTGATAATTTCTTTCGTTTTGCAGAAGCTTTTTAATTTAATTAGATCTCCTTTATTTATTTATTTATTTTTGTTGTTGTTACATTTACTTTTGGGTTCTTGGTCATGAACTCTTTGCCTAAGCCAATGTCTAGAAGGATTTTTCCAATATTATCTTCTAGAATTTTTAGGCTTTCCAGTGTTAGATTTAAGTCTTTGGTCCATCTTGAGTTAATTTTTATATGTGCTGAGAGATGAGGATCCAGCTTTATTCTTCCACATGTGGCTTGCCAATTATCTGAGTACCATTTGTTGACTGGGGTGTCCTTTCACCACTTTATGTTTTCATTTGCTTTGTCTAAGATCAGTTGACTGTAAGTATTTGGTTTTATTTCTGGGTTCTCTATTCTGTTCCATTGGTCTACATGCCTCTTTTTACACCATTACCATGCTGTTTTGATAACTATAGCCTTGTAGTATAGTTCGAAGTTGGGTAACGTGATGCCTTCAAATTTGTTCTTCTTGCTTAGTCTTACTTTGGCTATGTGGGCTCTTTTTTGGTTCCATATGAATTTTAGAATGATTTTTGCTAGTTCTGTGAAAAATGATGATGCTACTTTGATGGGAATTGCATTGAATTTGTAGATTGCTTTTGGCAGTATGGCCATTTTTACAATATTGATTCCACCCATAGATGAACATGAGATGTGTTTCCATTTGTTTGTGTCATTGATAATTTGTTTTAGCAATGTTTTGTAGTTTTCCTTGTAGAGATCTTTCACCTCCTTGGTTAGGTATATTCCTTAGTATTTTTTTTTTTTTTTTTTTTTTTTTTTGCAGCTATTGTAAAAGGGACTGAGTTCTGGATTTGTTTCCCTGTTTGGTCATTGTTGGTGTATAGCAGTGTTACTGATTTGTGTACATTGATTCTGTATCCTGAAACTTTACTGAATTCATTTATCAGATCTAGGAGCTTTTTGGATGAGTCTTTAGGATTTTCTAGGTATATGGTCATACCATCAGCAAACAGCAACAATTTAACTTCCTGTTTACCGATTTGCATGCCCTTTATTCTTTCTGTTGTCTGATTTTTCTGGCTGGGATTTCCAGTACAATGTTGAATAGAAGTGGTGAAAGTGGGCATTCTTTTATGTCTTTTTCAGTTCTCAAGGGGAATGCTTTCAACTTTTCCTTGTTCAGTACAATGTTGGCTGTGGGTTTGTCATAGATGTCTTTTATTACCTTGAGGTATGTCCCTTCTATGCCAATTTTGCCGAGAGTTTTAATGATAAAGGAATGCTGGATTTTGTTAAAGCACATTCTGTATCTACTGAGATAATCATATGATTTTTGTTTTTAATTCTGTTTATGTGATCTATCACATTTAACGACTTGTGTATGTTAAACCATTCCCACATCCCTGGTATAAAACCCATTTGATCATGGTCGATTTTCTTTTTGATATGCTGTTGGATTTGGTTAGCTAGTATTTTGCTGAGGATTTTTGCATTGGGTCATCAGGGATATTGGTCTATAGTTTTATTGTTATATCCTTTCCTGGTTTTGGTATTAGGGTGATACTGATTTCATAGGATGATTTAGGGAGGACTTGCTCTTTTTCTTTTGAAATAGTTTCAGTAAGATTGGTAACTACTCTTCTTTGAATATCTGATGGAATTCAGCCTGGTCCTGGTCCTGGGTTGTTTTTTTTTTTATTACTGTTTCGATCTTGCTACTTGTTATTAGTATGTTCAGGGTTTATATTTCTTCCTGATTTAATCTATGAAGGTTGTATATTTCCAGGAATTTATCCATCTTCTCTAAATTCTAGTTTCTGCACATAAAGGAATAGTCTTTTGTATTTCTGTGGTATCAGGTGTAATATTTCCCATTTTATTTCTAATTGAGCTTATTTAGATCTTCTGTCTTCTTGGTTAATCTCACTAATGGTCTATCAATTTTATTTATCTTTTCAAAGAACCTACTTTGTTTCATTTATCTTGAATTTGTTTGTTTGTTTCAATTTCATTAGGTTATACTCTGATCTTTGTTATTTCTTTTCTTCTGCTGGGTTTGGGTTTGGTTTGTTCTTTCTCTACTTCCCTGAGGTGTGACTTTAGATTTTTCTTTTTGCACTCTTTCAGATTTTTTGATGTAGGCATTTAATGCAATTAACTTTCCTCTTAGCACTGCTTTTACTATATCCCAGAGGTTTTGGTAAGTTGTGTTACTCTTATTGTTCAGCTCAAAGAATTTTTAAATTTCCTTCTTGATTTCATTGTTGACCCAAAGATCATTCAAGAGCAGATCGTCAAACTTCCATGTATTTGTATACTTTTGAGCATTCCTTTTGTAGTTAATTTCCAGTTTTATTCTACTGTGGTCTAAGAAGATACTTGATATAATTTCATTTTTCTTAAATGTATTGAGACTTGCTTTGTGACTTATCGTATGGTCTGTCTTGGAGAATGTTCCATGTGCTGATGAAAAGAATGTATATTCTGGCCAGGAAGAGTGACTCACACCCATAATCCCAGCACTTTGGGAGGCCAAGGGGGGAGGATAACTTGAGCTCAGGAGTTCGAGACCAGCCTGGCTAACATGATGAAACCCTGTTTCTACTAAATACAAAAAAGAATTAGCAGAGCATGGTGGCGCACACTTGTAATCCTAGCTACTAGGGAGGCTGAGGTGGGAGGATCACTTGAACCTGGGAGGCGGAGGTTGCAGTGAGCCGAGATCACAACACTGCATTCCAGCCTGGGTAACAAAAAAAAAAAAAAAAAAAGAAGAATGCATATTCTGCAGTCGTTGGATAGAATGTTCTATAAATATCTATTAAGTCAATTTATTCTAGGGTATAGTTTAAGTCCATTGTTTCTTTGCTGACTTTCTGTCTTGATGACCTGTCTAGTGTTGTCCGTGGAGTATTGAAGTCCCCCACTATCACTGTGTTGCTGTCTATCTCATTTCTTATGTCTAGTAGTAATTGTTTTATAAATTCGGCAGCTCCAGTGTTAGGTGCATATATATTTAGTATAGCAATATTTTTCTATTGCACTAATCCTTTTATCATTATATAATATTCCTCTTTGTCTTTTCAAGCATCCCATTTTTTGACCACCACCTTCAATTTTAGCTGACTCACAAGACACTTTACAAAGGTAGGCAAAATCTATGAGATTTTTTTTTCGGATGATGTCCCTGGATATCAAGCCATGGCCAAACTCAAAAATGCTCTTTTTTTTAAAATGTATTTTTTATTTGTACAAATTTATAGGTACATGAAAACATTTTATTATATGTATTTAATGCATACTGATCAAGTCAGGGTATTTAGGGGGTTCATCACCTGAGTACAATATATTTTTGTTAAGTATAGTCACCCTACTCTGCTATCAAACACTGAATATATACCTTCTGTCTTAGTGTACTTTAACCCACTTGGCTTCATCTCCTTCTTCCCCCCTACTCATCCTTCTCAGTCTCTGTTATCTATCTTTCCACTCTCTACTGCCATGTGATCAAATTTTTTAGCTCCCACATAAGTGAGAACATCCTATATTTGTCTTTTTGTGCCTGGCTTAATTCACTTAAGACAATGACCTCTTGATCAATCCATGTTGCTGAAAATGATAAGATTTCATTCTCTTTAATGTATTCTATTGTGCATATATAATACATTTTCTTCATTAATCTGTTGATGAACACTTAAAATGATTCTATATCTTTGCTATTGTGAATAGTGCTGCAATAGACATGTGAGTGCAGGTATCCCTTTAGTATATTGAAGTTTTTTCCTTTGAGTAGATACACAATAGGGGATTGTTGAATCAAATGGTAATTTTAGCTTCTTTTGAGAATTCTCCATACTGTTTTTCATAGTGGCTGTACTAGTTTACATTTTCATCAACTTTGTATAATAGTTCCCTTTCCTCTGCATCCTTGCCAAAATGTGTGTGTGTATTTTTTGCATCCTTGCCAAAATGTGTGTGTGTATTTTTTGCATCTTTGCCAAAATGTGTGTGTGTGCTTTTTTTTTGTGTGTGTGTGTGTGTGTATGGTTTTTTTGTCTTTTCAATAACAGCTTTCTAACTGGAGTAAGATGATATCTCATTGTGGATTTGATTTGCATTTCTCTAATGATTAGTGGTGTTGAGCATTTTTTCATATACATGTTGGCCATTTGTATGTCTTTTTTTTGAGAAATGTTTACTCATATCTTTTGCCCACTTTTTAATGGGATTTTAAGTATTTTTCCTGTTGAATAGTTTGAATTCCTTGTATATTCTTGATAGTCCCTTGTCAGATGGTTTGCAGACATTTTCTTCTATTCAGTAGATTGACTCCTCACTGTGTTGTTTCCTTTGCCATACAGAGCTTTCTAGTTTAATATAATCTCATTTGTCTATTTTTGTTTTTGTTGCCTGTGCTATTGAGGTCTTAGTAATAAATTCTTTGCCTAGACCATAGTCCTGGAGAGTTTACCTAGCTTTTGTTCTAGCATTTTAATACTTTTGGCTCTTATGTTTAAGTCTTCAATCCATTTTGCGTTGATTTTTGTATATGGTAAGGGATAGGGGACCTGTTTCATTCTTCTGCATATGGCTATCCAATTTTCCTAGAACCATTTATTGAAGATGGGGTTTTTTCCCCAATGAACACTCTTGCTGGCTTTGTTGAAGATCAGTTGGCCTAAATGTATTGGCTTATTTTCTGATTCTCTATTCTGCTTCATGTCTATGTGTCTATTTTTATGATCTTTGATATTTATGTGCACTATTCCTATTTCTCACAGTCTCTCCTGGGGTAAGTCCTTTGCCCAAGTAAATTTGAAATTGACACTTTTTAGGAGAACAAAGTCTCTAATTTATTCTTTTAATTACATTTTTTTTCTTACTTCCAAGATTTCCACATTGGATGGAAGAGTAGCCAAAAATGCCTGAGGAAATGTACAAAAACATTTCTTTATGAGCCCATTCTTATGTTCTGCATATATTTTACTCTTCTCAATTTAAAACCACTGATTGTATAATATAAATATAATTACAATTTTATATATATATATATATATAGCCATAGGTTTTTTTTGTCTGTTGAAAGACTTTCTGTTTAAAAGGAAACTGGTGTCATATAACACCACAGTTTCTTGTTTGAAAATTATATTTCTTAGGCTGAAAACTGCCAAGGAACAAAATAATGTGTAACTAGGGAAATGTCATTGTTTCCATAGTGAAAACAAGCACAGATCTTAAAATGTTAAAATCCCAGCACTTTCACATTAACTTTAAAATCTGCAACAAAAAATTTATGTAAGTACCTGTCAAAGAACAGGATAAAAACATTTAAGATTGTTGGTAGAAGAAAAGTCTGGGAGTGAAAATTGATTCATTGTTATTCTACTTCCATTTGTTAATTTTCCGTTCCTTTTTCCCACCAACCCCTTTTAATTTTACCTTATCTGTGTTACATTTTAATATGCATAGTAGGACATTCAGACAAAGATTAAATTAACATAATGTAAATATAGAGAAAATGCCATAATTTTGTTTCTCACAAACAAAATGTAAATATGACATGCCTTCACCTGGACTGCCAAATAGTTGCATCAATGCTTGTCTGCTTTCCTTTGACTGAGTCTATATTTTTAAGAGCTTTCTAGCTCAAAACTGATATAATTAAATAAATATAAGTGTAGAGAAGTTTTGCACATTTTTAAAGAGAAACCCAAATAATACACAAAAGCTTTATGTGGCTTATACGTTATTACTGATTAATGTTCTCATCAATCTGCCAAATTATCCAAATGGTTAGATCCAGAAGCTATAAGCATCTGCCAGAATAAGTTGATACTGTCCATTGACTTAATTATCAGGATTTTTTTTTCTTCAGTTTCTGTCTGGTACTTGTTTTGAAAGGGCTTATTCAGTTGCAAATAATAGTAAAAACGAATTCAGATACTTGTTAGCAGAAATGGTAATTTATCAACTCCTTCAACTGAAGAATACAAAGATAGATTCAGATATGGCTCAGCCCTGGACCTCAAACTACATAATCAATTATTTTTCTTTCTCCTTCCACCCCCTTTAAGCACTGCCCCTCTCTCTTTTGTATCTTCTCTTTGGCTTCGTTCATGGTTCCCTCTGTATGGTAGTTGCAAGAAGTTTAATAATGCTAGGCTTATACTATCTTAAGGTTGGCAATCTGATTGGAAATTTCCAGTGCTTTTCCAAATAGTTAACAGAATTTTAAGATTATTTCTGACTCATAGGAGTGCAGCCACATGCTTATTCATGAGCCAGCCTCTGTGGCCAGGAGATAAAATGTTCTCATTAACTAGGCCTGGGTTGTGGGTCAATTTCTGGAGCCAGAGGACTGGGTTCAAATCCTCCCTGAATCAAACAGTCCAAGAATGGCAGATAGAAGTTACCTGATTCCAAATCCGGATGCAATTATTTAAAAGGAGAGGTTAGGCAGTGTGCAAGTTGCATATTATGGAACTCATCTGTAGGCAACAATAGAATTGTTAGTTTTATATCTGTGCACTCTTATATATGTCCAAAATGCTTGATTCATTGATCTCACTCTCTAAATAGTTGTGGAAACTTCACAATTGCTTAGCATAAGTGCTCCAACCAAATGCTCATCAATTTTGTTTACAAAAGTTCAATTTCCAATCAAGTAGAAAGATAAGAGAAAAAGAGAGAAAAGACTATTCAAATTGGTTAGAGTTTTTATTGGCTAAGGGAAATAGTGGTGTTGGTTGATTTGGTCAAGGATAAAACAGAATGTTTTCTGAGAAACTTTGAACACCTAATCATAGAGTGTTTTTTCCCCCACTTTCAAATCCTTGAGAATTTTGTGTAGACAGTATTTCTCCACAAACACCTAATAAAAAAGGAAATAGGAAGGAGAGGTAGGGAATTTTAAATAGACTTTTGAGCTGCCACCTGGTTTTTATTAAACTCACACTCTGATATTCGTTAGCCTGCCTTGATGTCTTTTCATTCTCGTGAACATAAGATAGTGCTTATTTTAATGACTACTGAAAATACGCTTGGATTTGAAGTCAGTAATAGTTTTGAATCACTTAACTTGGATCTCATGTCTTCTCTGAAAACAATTAAGATTTGCTCTATTTGGCCCTTTGCCATTTATATGAACCTGTGGATTATGGTCACAAAGAGATGCAGAAATAACAAACTAAGGTAAAAAAAAAAAAAACATTGAAAGTGTCATATTCCTCCCTTCATGCAAAATAACAATTGTAGTTATTCTGCATAAACTGTACTTTTGCAATTTGTAATGACTGCATTCACAGGCTTTATATTGAATAATAATTTATGTGGTAAATATCTTAGGTATAGCTAATATTTTAATGAGATAAGTAATATTTCTTATTTCTTTTCAGGTATGCCTAGATATTTTACAAAGAGGTTCAATCTGCTCTGCTTGCAAAGCATATTATCAAAATTATAGTTTGTATCAAAAAAGTTTTTATCAAAAATTAAATTCTAAAATTTAGGATTTTAAAAAGAATCTCCAATTTAATTGTGGCACTGGATATAATTAAAACATATTTGTTGAGATAATATACTCTTATAAGAGTTTGATTGAGTGTTACAATAGGGTTACATTCAAGGTATGATCAAAATGTAGAATAAGAAAGGGAGAGGATCTAGTCAAGGAGGTGCTTGAAGAATAAATTGGGATAAGCTAGCTGGACAAGAAGGTAGGGAAGAAGGGGAAGGGCAGAGGTGTGCCAGAAAGAAGAAATGCCCAAGATAGAGGAATTGAGCCACTGAATAGCTTGAGATTCCTTAAGAACCCTTAGAATGGAAAGGCTCTAGTGCTGGAGAGTAGAGTAGTCAACACTGGAGGAGCAATTGAAGATAGTGCTGAAGTTAAAATGAGGCAGGCAGGGACAAGACACAGAGAAAGCCTTTGCTAAAGTTTGGATATTTGTTCTCCAAAACTTCATGTTATTAATAAAATTTGATTCCAATGTTGGACGTGGGGCCCAATGGGAAATATTTGGGTCATGGTGGTGGATCTCTCGTGAATAGATTAATATCCTCCCTGAAGGAAATGTGGTGAGTGAGTTTTCACTCTTTGTTCCTGACAGAACTGGTTGTTAAAGGGTCTGTTACTTCCCCTCCCTCTCTCTTGCTTCCTCTCTCACTATGTGATCTGCACACACCAGCTCCTCTTCACCCTCTGCCAAGAGTGACAGCAGCCCGAGGTCCTCACCTGATGTAGATGGTGGGGCCATACTTCTTGAACAACCTGCAGAACTGTGAGACAAATAAACCTCTTCTTTATAAGTAACCCAGCCTCACGTATTCCTTTGTAGCAACACAGACTGGTAGGCCATGTTTTAACCCATTTTATTTTCTTAGAGAGATGAATAAGGAGAGAGAGATGTTGACTATAAATCTCTGAATTATGTGATCATATCCTGTCAGACTTCTTCTAAAGGCATTTAATGGTGCTTTTTTCTTTGGACAAAATAAAGTCTAAACCCTGAGATCAAAGTGAATTCTTTCTGTTCCCCATTATGTTCCCTCAGGGACAGCATGCTCCTCAACTTACTGTTTCTCCAACAATACTGGATTTTTATTTTTCTGTGCCCTCTGCCTAGAATATTTTCCTCCCCATTTCTGCCCATAGGTCCATACCCAGTTCTAAAGACAAATGTCACCTTCTCCATAAAGGTTTTGCTAATTTTGACTACATCTTCATCTTGCCTCACAGGGAAAACATGTTCCCTCTCAGTTGTGCTTCTAAACCACTTTCTTTTTTCTATCTTTCTCACGGCATTTTTCATTTTCTTTCTTGAATTATGAATATGTGCATGTGTGTATATATACATATATATATATATATATATACACACACATGCACATCCATAATACACGATATATGTACATAAACATCCATAATGCATAATATATATTTGTGTGGGCCTGTACATATGTGTGTATATATTTAAATCCCGTTACTAAATTTTCAGATTCTAGACAACAGGGATTGTCCACACATTTTCTTAATTCTTCTTTTAGTAGCATTTAGCACAGTGCTTTGTACTTAGCTGTAGTTGACAGAGGCAGGGGACGCTGTGTCATCATGAGAGAGTATAGACAGATATGCCTTACAAGCAGATTTTTCAGGGAGATCACCAACCTGAAAGAGCCAGTTCAGATTTTTCAGAATGATGTGAAATAGATCAATTAGTAAGGCAATTTTGAAGTTACTTTTGAGCAGTGGCCAGAACAAAACAATGGACCTTTGTAAACCATTTTTTGAATTGCAAACCCTTCAGAGTTTGCTCTAAAGAAAGGTCTCACTTGGGTAAGAATTTATTTGGTCAAATGGGGTGGGAAAAAGTATATGATAGAACTAATGGCTTTCAATAACTGTTACCTCAACTTTGAAAAGCTTGATGAATCCAACATGGTTGTTTCTGAATGAATTAGTAAAATTTGATCAAGCCAAGTGTCTATGCATCTCAAATTTTATTACACATTGCCCACATTTTCTTGGGTTGCTGAAGTTCATAATATATTTTATCTCTTAAGCCATAATATATTTTATCTTTTAAGCCTATAAGGTATATTTCAATTTCTCTGCTGGTGCCAGAAGAAAAAGTGCTTTGGCAGTAACGTTCAATGGAAAATCCATTCTCGGATATGCTAGGACGCAGCAGACACAGGGGGCATGTGTGAGTTTAAAAGAGAGATTTAGTGGGCTGTTCAGCAGCACAGAGATTAATAAGTTGAACTCAGTAGTTTCATAGACGCTGACGTTATTCGACTTCTGGTAAAAAGCATTGCATATGTTAAAAGTCTGGTCTGTTTTTAACCATGTATGGTAATTTAGGCACTTTAATTTTCAACAGTGCTGTATAATCATAACCATATTCTCTGAACAGTTGGAAAAGTTTATCAGAAGATAAACATTCAACCTGATCAGATACTTTCATCCACAAAACAAAACAATTTTATGAATTCCATGGATTAAAATATGAAAGAGAGCAAAGCATTTACTATTACTTTAAAAACTATTTACTTTGATTTTTGAAAATAAATATTTTTGGACAACTGTTGGGGACACATTATCAAAGTTCTATATTATCTTTAAGAAATGTCGCTGGTCCTACTGCCTGATTTGATGTCAGTTGCTATGACAGTTTTCTCAACTGCAACAGCTTCCTCCTTTCCTTGGTCTTCATTCCCTTTCCGCTTTCTAATTTTCTGTCCTTTCCTTATTTTATTCTTCTACTCGTCTGATTTAACTCATTTTCCTCTCCTCCTCTTCCTACTCTGACCTGAGTCAGTAACAGTTAAATACTACTTATATGAGTTCTGTTGGAAATTTTGAAAAGCAAAGGATTTTTTTGACATTTCAATTTTATCCCTCTTCTTCCCTTTCTGTGTTTCCTTCAACTATTCCTTTTTTGTTTCCTCCCTTCTTTCTTTATATTTAAGAAAATCTGATAATATTCTTCATAGATTTAATAATTTAAGTCAGAAGAAACTTCTGACTGAATCCCAATAAAAATTATGGAAACAAAGAATTTGCTTTCAAACATTATTTAAAATATATGTAATCTGAATATTTTAATTTCTTTAGTTTCTTGAGGTTGGAGAGGACATAAAAGATTTCATTCAATGTTTGAATCCTTTGATACAAGATTTGCTTCTTTTCTACCACCAGTTGATAAACCTAATAACTCATTTGTTGGAAATCTACTACCCTCCACAAGAAGGACCTTCCTTTCTTATATTGGGGTACTATGTGTATTTGTCTCCTGTCTATGAATCCTATTTTTCCTGCTTTTCTTCCTGCAGCCATTTAGAAGAGGCATTATTTATTTATTTATTTATTTATTTTTGTGACAGAGTCTTGCTCTGTCACCCAGGCTGGAGTGCAGTGGTGCGATCTTGGCTCACTGCAGGCTCTGCCTCCCGGGTTCACGCCATTCTCCTGCCTCAGCCTCCCGAGTAGCTGGGACTACAGGTGCCCACCACCACGCCCGGCTAATTTTTTTGTCTTTTTTAATAGAGATGGGGTTTCACCATGTTAGCCAGAATGGTCTCGATCTCCTGAACTTGTGATCCACCTACCTCGGCCTCCCAAAATGCTGGGATTACAGGCGTGAGCCACAGCACCCAGCCAGAAGAGGCGTTTTTTAAAAATAAGAAAACACTTCAGATGTTTTTAATATGCCATCATAAAATGTCCTGGAAGGGTGCACTAAAACTGTTTAAAAATGACAACTTTTGTGAAGTGGGACTAGGGGATAAGGGAGATAATTCTAGAAGTTAAGACTCATACTGGATTTAAAATATACTCATTCATGTATTAATTTAATAGCAGTAATAATTATTATTTTAAAATAACATTATGTCCTCTATGAGTCTCCTCTTAAAAATGCAAATGTTTACAGCTAATTTTTTTTCTCAAATAATAATTACTTTTAGGCCTCACTTCTGTCTTTTCATTTTCTCTGCTCATGGCTCTATCCTTTTGAAAGGTATTTGAGTGTGGCAGCCAAATAGAACCAAAATGACGAATTTATTGAATGGTGATTTAGTTGTGTGTATGTGTACAGGTGTCCACATGTATGTTGATATGCACAGATTAGACATTGTTTAGTATACAACCCTTAGTTTAGCATATAGAACTTCATAGATATATAGAGAAAATTATTACAGTCACTAAAAATGGAAGAAAAAAGGATTTTAATAGAAAAAAACATAATATATTATTTTCCACACAGGACAGAAATGACATGATCTTTATTTTTGTGTCGTGGGTTTTCCTACCTGTCTTAACTACAGAAAAATAACCCGGCATATACTCTTCTAATTAACAGGTCAAAAAGCATGCATTGAAGGATATTTATTAGTTTTCAAATACACTATTGTTTTGTACTGTCTTTATAATAAAATTGTGTATTTTTCTTAGGCAACATCTTATTTGTTTAATGTTTTAATTTTACCACTTAAATTTTTCAATTTTTTCTTTAATCATGATATGTCCAAAATTGTAGTATCTTAGGGAGTCAAGAAAGTGCTTTCTTTCCAACCCCCTCCAACCAGAAGACTAATGTTTTATGATAAAATATGGCAAAAGCAGAGTATTTATAAAAGCAATGTGAGAAAAGTAATGTGAGTCACAAAGGTAAAGAACAATGATGCCCTGTCAGCTCAAGTTAGGGAATCGATATCTTCATAAGTTAATGACACTGAAGTAAGCAAGTTCTTGGATCTGGCAAGAGGGTGTTGTATGGCAGGATGTTGCAAGGTATGGCTTTTGTGCTATTGTTGACGCTATGAGTCAATTCTCTGAGTCAACTCATGACAAGTTGATACGGAATCTAGTGAGAGTGCAGAATAGAATGGAATTATCCTTGGAGAAGTTGTTGATGCAGGAACTCTGAATCTTGAGTTTTGGTTCCAGTTCTAGCCCTGAAACTAATTACCTGAGTGTAAGTTAACTTCTCTGTGCCCCAGTTTCTTCACCTATAAAATGTGAATATTAAACTACATCAGTAGGCGGTTTCATGCTTTTGACCTTTTATGGATGTAGGGAATCACTGTGGAAAATCTGAAGGACTACATCCAGGAGGAAAACAAGACAAAATATTCTATGATGGGACAGCAGCTAGCTTTGGGTTATCAACATTTTCTGAAAAAATGTTAGTAACCATTGTTACAAGCATATTTCTTCTGTCTGTCATAGTAGGGAAGAAGCAGTACTTCATGTAAGATGTAAAGTGATTAGCGATCAGCCATGTCAACAGTTCAGAGCACTCAACCATTCCTGTCTCCTTTTTACTAAATAAGTATAATCTATCATAACATGGTTCAACTTGAAAAATTTTTCTTATAGCATCTGCAGAAAAATGTAGACAGAGAGCTAAGAATGATTAGCCTATAAATAATTAGTATTGAAAGTGAATAAAAACAGTTCTAAAGATCCAATAATTCAATTTGCTGTTTTAAAAATAATTGGAAATTGTCAGTTATTTCTAAAACAAAATGGGGCATTGATTCTTAATGGGTTTGTTTTAAATGCATAGCATTTTCCATTCACTTCAGCATTTCCACTAATTTGGTTTCATTATTAGTAATAAAATTGATATACATTATGCATGGAAGTAGTAGCTATCAAAGGAAGTAACATATAGAACCAACAGCTACCTCTCTCTATTATGATTCAAAAATAGTATGCTACAAAATAAAATGCTTCAGAATATAACTTTTTCATATTATTAAACATGAGACATTCTTATTCTTATATCTGAATTCTATTGGCTATGGAAAAAATTTCAGGAAAAAATAAAGTTTTGAGATTCTTGGGATATAATCATCCTTTGTATTTTCAAATTAAAGTGAATAGTAATTAGCAAGTTAAATTTATTGAAGCTAAGTTTATAAACGTTGAGAGGGAAATCTATTTTCTATAAAATTCTTGTAGAAAATTGAAAATTTGAGGAATTATTAAGAAACCAAATTCAAATAAACAGAATTAAACAAATGACTTGATGGACAATGACCCAAATTATGGGGGACAGTCTTTTGGAATTAAAATCTGTTTCTTCATTTAACCTACAGAATAATACAACTGATTTTATCATTTTGTGTTATTAGTGAATTCTTCATAATGGAAATTGTTCTGAACTAACAGTTGAAGAATTTGCTGTGACGTGATTTGCATCCTTTCCCACCCTCATAGTTTAAATAAGGCTGGCAAGCTCATGAGATTAGGCATTCCCATAACACTGTAAGAGCTTCCTGGCTTTATGCCTTCCAGAAGTAACAGCATAGAGTGTTTTTATAATAATCCTACTTTGGGGTAAAAACAGGAAGGGAGAGGCATGTTAAATTACATTTTTTATAAGATGAACAGAACCAAAAGAAAATAGAACAGTATCCTTTTCAGTTTTGGGAAAGTTAAAATGGACTCTGATTATTCAGATTATTTACTTATTTGTTTTTGAATAGAAAAAGTGTCTTGATATGCTGTTAAAATGTTATAAAATTTCTGTCTATTTTTTTCCTGAAACTGAGCTACCAAGCTAAGGTGACAATATTTAATTCACTTGTCTGCCTTACTTAGAAAACACACTTTGTTGGACAGATACATATTGTCTGCTGACATCAGTTCTTAAGATCAGGTTTAATACTGGTGCATTATGGAATTTTTCTAATCTTTCCTAGGATCGAATAGGTTATTAATACTTTTTAATTTTGTTATGATATCTCTTATCATCAGCAATTGACATTTACTGAATGTTTTATTCGGTAATAACTGCATATGCAATTCTAAATTTCTAGTTCTAATACTTTCTAAATGATAGGAAAGAACACAACTATTGTTAATAAATACAATAGTATTTCTCAAATTTTGAAGGGAAGAAAATTATTATCTAAATAAACTCTCAGGAACAGATGATCTTTTGCTATTTTGTGTTTTCCTTTTGGGTATCTGTTATCAGGGATGATGATAAACATATTTCTTGTATCTGACTACCATGATATTTTTCTCTATTCCTTTGGAAATGGCATTAGTTTTCTTCTGACACTATTGTTATTCTTTCCAGCATGGCAACCTTGGGCTAACAGCATACGTTAGTAAATGCTATGCTTTTTCTTTAAGGCTTTTCTAATTTTTAATTAAAAAGAAAAGATAGATTCTTGCTGATCACCTACAGGAGTGTGACTCTCCATGGTTACCTGTCACTCAAAGAACTCCAGCTCTGAGGAATGCTAATTAGCCCTGTTAAAGCACCATAATTGAACTGGAGAGATGACTGCCGAAGGTGCAGGTCTGCCTTCATTCAGAACAGTCCTGCCATCTGAATGGATGGAGCCATCCTGACAATGTGAGGGAATAAAGGAAGACGAGGAGAAAAAAGAAAAACAACATTCCATCTGCCTTTTTTTTGCTCAGTTTTAAAGTGATTATCAAGATGTAACCTGGATACCATGTGGATATTTTAAAAAAATGTTTTCTTTAGCCATAAGAGAATGAGCCATAGCACCTGCTTGACAATGATCTCTATGGTGACTACAGCATTTGAACTGTATAAAAATGAATATTGAAACAAATGGACATATTGGGACATCAGTGCGGATAATCATAATGATGATAATAGATGTATATTTTGGGAAGAGTAGTCAGTCTTTATTTAAATGACGATGGTATTTGGGCACAGACAACTGACCACACAGGAATGTTTCTTGGTTATTTTTTGGTGGGCAAGAGAGAAAGTTCTGGATATTGCAATGCCTCTCAAACATGTACATTGGCATTTAGAAATTTAAAGGAGAATATAACATCTAGTGGAGAAAATCTCAGACCATCACTTATAGTAAAAGAAAGAAAACTAAGATAATTGTGTTCCAAAAAATATTTCATTTTTCAACTTAGTTCTAAATATTAATGTGGGAAATAAATAATTGTAAAATTGTAAAATGATGATATACTTGACATAATAAGACAGTAGGATGTTCCATATAATCATGAAATCATAGTATTCTATAACTATAGGGACCTTAGATGTGTTAAAAGAAATTAGACAAATTTAACAGTTTGTTTGAACAAGAAATGATTTGCTAATTGGGAAGCTCTTAGAGACAGAAGAGTTCAGGGAGCTCTAATTAGCATTGTGGGCAGGCAACGTTTATGGACAGAAAATGAGAGTGAGATACAGAAACAGCTTGATATTTGCCTTGTTTGAATATGGCCTGATCACTTGACAGCCTGTGATTGACTGAAGATTGGCTGATGTGATTGGCTGAGACTCAGTTACTTGTTACAAAAGTATATTCCTATATTAGGCTTTAAGTAAGTTACTTGGTTGTAGTACATTATATTGGGCCTATTAAGTACGGAGGCATCCTCAGGCCAAATATAGTTTAATTTAACAGCAATAACCATGTACAATGCCTTGGAAATTAACATTTAGAGAAGCTGTCACTAGCCCCAAACCACATAATAAATGATAGGTAGAGGTCAGAACAGAATCCAAGACCTCTGACCCCATGTTTACCATGTGGGGTAAAGAGTAGGAGGACGAAATGTGATTTGATTCTAAGGTGACGTGGTGCAAAATCCATAACATCAGAGATTTTTATCTTAGCCTTTGTTATAATATAGTATTCGTAGCACCTCAGAGTGTCTAATGCCTCACATCTCTTTATGAACAGACACATTCTTATATAAGTTGAATTTTAAAAATTACTTTCAGATATTTAAAAGGCTGGACCACCCAATAAGATAATTCTGCACTCCTTGCCTTTGTTCCCTCCCTCCTTCCTACCTTCCTCCCTCCCTCCTTCCTACCTTCCTCCTTCCCTCCCTCCCCCTTTCCTTTCCCTTTCCCTTTCCCTTCCCTTCTTTCCTTTCCTCTCTCTCCTCCCTCCCTCCCTCTCTTCTTTCCTCCCTCTCTCCCTCCCTTCCTTCCTCCCTCCCTCCCTCCCTTTCTCTTCCTTCTCTTCCTCCTTCCCTCCCTCCTTCCTTCCTACCATCCTTCCCTCATTTATTCCTTCTTGTTCATGTTGGTGTGAATCCGTCTAGAAGTTAAATTGAATGTGGTGACTTTGACATGTGTATTACTGGAATAACTGGAAATCACTGTTATCCTAACTTACTTAGATGTGTTGTAGACTACTTACTTCTTCCTTCAGAGAAGTAAATACAGCATACTTAACCAACAGACATTGAAAGCCTAATATGAGAATAAAAGAAACAGATGAAACCAAAAAACCAGTTCCATTAGGTAACTACTGTATTCTAGGCACACATATTATTTTATGTGATTCTTGCAGCAAACCCATACTTTTGATACTATGTATATATTTTATAGATAGGAAACCAAGTTTCAGAACGTGTTAAGTAATTTTCTCAAGGTAATAAAAGTAGTAAATGAAAGAGCTAGGATTTAAACCCAAATAGTTTTTCTCCAAATCCATGCTTTTTCACAATACTGTGCTTTATTATGACTTCAAACTATAATTGCCTAGTCTCTTCAACATGCAGTCCACACAACTGAAAATCAATTTTCTTTACAGTTCTCACAGAGCTATGATAATTGGTATTATATAGTGGGCAGCCTTATCTTTAGAGTGTGATTATTCCAACTCTTGTCCATCCTATTTTGGCTGGGGTGTTCAGAGAAGACTTCTCAGAGATGGTGACCTTAGAGCTGAGACCCAAAGGAGGAAATGAGGCCAGCCAGGTCACCATCTTGAGGGGGAATAAGTCAGGCAGAGGAAATAAAGGTGCAAAGTCCCCATGAAAGAAATAAGCTTTGTCTGAATACTTAGAATAAACTGAATGGGATGAGGGAGGGGTACAAAAGATGAGGTTGGAAAGACAGGGGTCAGTCAGTTTTTGCAGAATCTTGTAAACAAAGTAAAAAAATTAGCATTTTATTCCAATTGTAGCAGGAAAGGACTGCAGGATTTTTAGCACAGATGTGCCATGATACCATTTATGCTTTAGAAAGATTATCAAGAGCATAATAAATTATTGGGAGCAAGAGTGGAAGGGGCCTGCTGGGAAGGCCTAGGAGTTTCAGATAAGAGAGCAGGGTTTCAGCAGTGCAGAGGGTGAGAAATCATCAGCTTTGGGATACATATCAGGGGTTATGCCAGCCTGATTTTTGGATGATGGGAGGTGGATAATGGGAGGTGGATGTGAAGGAAAGAGAGGACTTAAGGTTGTCTGTGGTGCTTTTGTCCTGAGAAGGGTCCAATGAGACAGTGCTATTTACCCAAGGATAACTGAGGAAGGAACAATTTTATGAGGGACATGTTAAGATAGTGCTTTTTGCATAGAAAACTCTTAAAACACAGTTTTATAATGAATGAAGGATAAAGATTTAGACTGTTTTATTTGTGGTTACTCAATAAATACTTCACTGAGACAGTTTAAAAAATGATATAACCTAGCCTAAAGTAAGAATACAATTTTAAACAAAAACAAACAAAGCAGTCATTATAGCTAATGATAAAGTATATCACTGTACCATAGAAGAAGCACCATATATTCAGAGAAAAAAAGCTAAATGGTTGTGAAATTTCCTCTCAAGGTCATTTGGAAAGGCTATAATAAAAAGAAAAGAAAAGCAAGAAATAACAGCATGTCAAGTGGGCTGTTTACCACACCTTTTTCCACCACATAGGTAAGAAGTCACATCTTGTCAAATCTGCATAGTTCATGAGAATGGAATGCTTCAAGGAGACCAACCCTTTTCCACACCCTTAACTCTTTTTCTTTCATCCTAGAGTAAAAATAAAAATGAAACTTGACTTTCAGTAAGAAGAAACTGACCACAGGATTAAAGATATAAAGACAATTATTATAAAGATACTCTGATTTTTGACATCCTGTTTACAATGTGAGTGTGTATCTGTGTGCATAAAAGTTTTCTTGCCTTCTAATAGTGGTTTTTATTATTTTTATTAGACACAGTGGGTAGAAATTTTTAACTGCTTTATTGAACGTGAGCACCAACACATATAATTTTGAATAACAACCAATAATATCAGAATTTTAAGTTTGTCCTAAAATTAGTGAAAGACCTTTTGCTGAGCTTACTTATTAAGAACGTCCTCTTCAGCACTAGAAGTTTTACTCTTGGTGTTTTGCCAGAGAATTGTATAACCATTGCTCACATTCATCTCTCTTATCTAACTGATTGTAATTTCCTTTTTCTCACTTTTAAAACTTTAGTGTTTACTTTCTACTATATTCATTTTTCTTTTTTGATATTTTGTTTGATAAGTATTCTTTATATATATTATTTCTTTAACCTGTTTTCAAGCCTCTTCAAGTATTTTCTAGACATTTATTTGGGGTGAAGCATGGGGATGCAGGAAGAAAGTTAAATAGTAGACAAGTACATGAATAAATATTACATTGGCATGTGTGTTTTCTCTATTTTTATGACTCACATGTTGAGACCCACAGCTAGGTCATATGCATTCATGGAGTTCATGTCATTTCTCCAGGGTTGAGTGTGTACAGAGCACGGGGCTAGGTATGAGCAACAGGTTGTTCTGTATTCAAGATGTATACCCAGTGGATCATTCCATCATTTGTTATTTATTTACATGTTGAATAGTCTATTATCCTTTCATATTGGACTGTTTCTCTGATCTTCACTATTAGAAATTAGGACCCAATAAAGTAAGGGATACTCCTATGAATGGGGGGCTGAGAAGCACAAGTAACACCAAAACATTAGTTCAGTGCCATTGAGAGAAATACAACAACATTTCTGGTTTTTGAAATCAAGAATATTTAGTATAACCACTTATTATCTTCATGTATTCCATTTTCATTATGTTTCACACTAAAAGAAAGTGAATACTTATCGAAATACCTTTAAAATGCATTTATTTTGAGTGACATTTATCTCTTCACATTTAAAATTACAGTCATGCTGAGTAGCAGACACTGTGGTTGTCCCTTGATATCTTCACATTTTTCATTGTAATAGTTAAGATGATGTTTCCAGCCTCCCCTGCGGGCTGAGTGACCATGTAACTAAGTTCTGGTGAGTGAGACGTAAAGAGATATAAAAATGTGTGCAATTTCTAGGTCTAAGGAGATGAGGCATGTTGTCTTCTTCTTCCTTACCCCCTCCCTGTTGGCAGGGATGGGGATCTAGTGGTGAGTCTACTGGACCATTCAAATGAAGTCAACTGCCTAGGACTAGCAAAGCATCATGATAGAAAAGGGTCAGCATTTCTTATGACATTGCAGAATAGAGCCACAAAGTAACTCAGACTCATATATTATATTAGAATATCTCATTGACACATTATATTAGATATTATATTAGAATATCTCATTGACAGTATAATATCTGGACAAATTGATTTTCAAAATTATGTCTAAAAGGTTTTTTTTAAAAAAAACCCTATAACATGTTACATTCAGTCCTACCTATTTGTGTAAGTAGTCCTAGCTTGAGCTATACTGATTTTGTTACATATGAGAGGTGCATTTCTATTGAGATGAGCAAGAAATGTCTCAGCTATACTTATAGGCGAGTATACATTGTATATTACACAATTGTCAGTAAATGGACATCTACATAAAAACAATATATATGCATGAAGATGGAGAGAGAACACTAAAGGATGCTGACATTACTGTGAGGCTCACCTTGCTAGTTAAGCCACTCATTCCTACATATCATACTCAAAGAGTATCAGAGTGAGCAAATCTGTGCTGTAGAAAAATCACAGGTTGCGTCATGTCAAAGATATTAGAAGTTTCTTGAGAGTTAAAGCCTTGAATCTTAGGTTTTTGAAGGCCCAGTGTCTGCTCTATGGCATTTTATAGTTTTGCTATTTGATCATCTGGGGAGCATTTTTATGGCAGATGTTACCTAATGACTCCTTTAGTGATTAATCGAGGCATGCCTAGGAACTACTAAGGGGAAGAAACAGCTTTGTAAATATATGAGACAAATATGATAGGAGCTGGTTACATGCACTGGGATGATCCTATAGCAACTTGTGTGATTTCTTAGTTGGTTGCTCACAGCCTTTACATGCGTTGCTTGCAAAGTATTTAGTGCTAAAGCTGGTAACACAAAACTAAAAGGCTCACTGCAAACATTTTGCTTACGAATAAAACATTTTCAGTAATTCTGGGAACTTACAGGTTCGTTGTAACTGCTAATTGGAATCCTCATATGTTGACCAGAAAATCATAGTGAATAAGAAATGTGGTGATCATTTAACAATAAACTGCAGAAACGTAAGCCGAGCATTGTTATATGTTAATCAAAAGGCTTCAAATGGAATTATTGTGTGAAAGAACTCTTTCAAAAGGGATTGCTATAGGTCTCCGATAGTAGCTATCATTTATGTAGTACTTATCATGGTTCAAATATGTGCTAAGTACTTTCTATAGATTATCTTGTTGAATCTTTAGTGTAACTCTATGAAGTAGTTACTATTATTGATTTGAAAAGGAAACTGAGATTTAGAATGTTTAAGCACATTGTCCCAAATAACAGAATTAATAATTGGTAGTACAAGGATATAAACCCAGGTTTGTCTGACTTCAAAGTTCATTCCCTTAATATGAAGCATGGATCTATTTATTGACAGAAAAAACAACCATATTCCATTTATGATAAGAAGTTGAATCAGTGTAATACATATGTTAAGACAAAGTAAAACAGTATCTAGTATAGTAAAGATCTTCCCAAATAAGCAGTTGAATCTATTTAATATATATTTATCCTCTTTGAATCTCTTCTTCCAAGTCTCTGTTCTTGTTATGGAGGTTTTCAGCAAAATGCACTTGGTCTTCCAACAACACATTGTTGAATATCCTTCCACACACATTGCTTTTCTGTTCCCATGGAGGTATTCAAACACTCTTTATAATGCTCCTTTTAGCAGCAGAGCACCTTCTAGAGCCTCAGACAGCTATGTGATGTCATTGAGTGGCTGCAAGCATCTAAAAGGAAAAAAAATGCAACTGGTTTCATCTTGTCCTCTACTTGGACCAACATATAAATGACCAGGAGTTAAATCCATATTTGGAGCACTTGGAAATGAAATCTTATCTCTGGAAGTTGAAATAATGTAGTTAAGTCAATGTTTAAAATAAAATTTATTTGCAGGATTAAAATGTTTAGAAAAAAAACAGTTGGAGAAAGACAGCAAGAGGAATCTTCACTTTATAGAATGTTTTGGCACTTATAAATTATTCTGAAAAATATTAGATGAAAAAGATTTTTTTGACAATTTGTAGTTGTATGAGGAACGTCCATCAACAACAAATTGTTTAAAATGCAATCAAATGGTATTAATGTATCACATTTTTGCCTCTCTCAAGCATTTCTTACAAATTCACATTTATTTGTGGACTGGATTCTAACACTTTTTCATTTAAAAGTCATTTGAGAAATTTTAGGATCAAGTGCAAAGGAATGTTATGGAGTTGAGATGATAAGTATGACAGTAATTGAGCTTCACCAAAGAAGAATCTTATGAAATTGAAAGCAGAACATATTTAATTATTAAAAATATTTCATTACTTTATAACACTTAGAATGTAAAATATTTAGTCTCTATCCATGACACATTTATTTTAAGATCATGTAGTATTTGACAGTTTCAGAACAATGAATCTGAACGTTCCTTATAGGATTTTGGATCTGCATTTATTCTCATTCTGTTGATGTTCTGGGGAAAATATGTTGTCCTGGTGTATTGAGGTGGATACACTGTTCTACCCCTTCCACATTCTCTCTCTAATGAAGCCAATGGTATACCCTAGATAATAATAGATTTCTTTTAAACTTGTACATGGCCTCTGGTAGATTTTCAAATACAACAAAAACAAAAATAAGACAAAAATAAACCTCAAAAATAGTTTACAAATATCTCTCTAAAGAAAAAAAATCCAAAAAGAAAAAAACTAGAGAGAACTGCCTTAGAAATAAGGTGTATTATCCAAAAGCAATGGCAATAAAAGCCAAAATTGACAAATGGTATCTAATTAAACTGAAGAGCTTCTGCACAGCAAAAGAAACTACCATCAGAGTGAACCGGCAACCTAAAGAATGGGAGAACATTTTTGCAATCTACTCATCTGACAAAGGGCCAATATCCAGAATCTACAATGAACTCAAACAAATTTACAAGAAAAAAACAAACAACCCCATCAAAAAGTGGGCGAAGGATATGAACAGACACTTCTCAAAAGAAGACATTTATGCAGCCAAAAAACACATGAAAAAATGCTCATCATCACTGGCCAACAGAGAAATGCAAATCAAAACCACGATGAAATACCATCTCACACCAGTTAGAATGAACATCATTAAAAAGTCAGGAAACAACAGGTGCTGGAGAGGATGTGGAGAAATAGGAACACTTTTACACTGTTGGTGGGACTGTAAACTAGTTCAACCATTGTGGAAGTCAGTGTGGCGATCCCTCAGGGATCTAGAACTAGACATACCATTTGACCCAGCCATCCCATTACTGGGTATATACCCAAAGGATTATAAATCATGCTGCTATAAAGAAACATGCACACATATGTTTATTGCAGCACTATTCACAATAGGAAAGACTTGGAACCAAGCCATATGTCCAACAATGATAGACTGGATTAAGAAAATGTGGCACATATACACCATGGATTACTATGCAGCCATAAAAAATGATGAGTTCATGTCGTTTGTAGGGACATGGATGAAGTTGAAAACCATCATTCTCAGCAAACTATCGCAGGGACAAAAAACCAAACACCGCATGTTCTCACTCATAGGTGGGAATTGAACAATGAGAACACATGGACACAGGAAGGGGAACCTCACACACCGGGGCCTGTTGTGGGGTGGGGGAGGGGGGAGGGATAGCATTAGGAGATATACCTAATGTTAAATGACAAGATAATGGGTGCAGCACACCAACATGGCACATGTATACAAATGTAACAAACATGCACATTGTGCACATGTACCCTAAAACTTAAAGTATAATAATAAAAAAATAAATAAGGTGTATTATTATCCCATTAGCTGATGACATAGTAAAAATTCAGTGTCATCTGAGATACTGCCATAGGGAACAGCAGAGATTATTTCCATTGAATGTAGATAAACAAATTGATACCCCAAAGTCTGATTTTTTTTCTTATAGTTTCTCATTAGAGTCAATAAAACAAAAACCAAATCACAGTTGTCTTGAACAACCACTAGGAGTTCTATCCTTGTTAGGCTAGGCTGCCTCCATAAAAATGACACTGTTCCATGTGGCAGTCACTCATTTTACAAATCAAGCACTAAGAAGCTGAGGTAGAGCCTATGCTATTCACGTAGAACTGCATTCCAGCTAAAAGCAGGGATAGGAGACAAGTGGTCTGGTGTTTACTTCAGCTTTCCACAGAGCAGTCATTAAATTTATAAATGCACATCCTCAGAATCTTCCATCCTTGTTGATTACTTTTTTAAAAACCTTCCATGTGGGTCTGTAGGAAAATTGTCCATAATTATATTATGTTGCAAACCTGGCCTAGCTGAATGCATTATGTTATATGGTGTGAGAAGGAAAAACCTGCTTAGGTAATAAAATTCTTGCCTATAAGAATTTCTCTGGCATCTTTATCTCATTGAATAATGTCCATTAACTTCTGCTACTTAGAAATTTGAAACAGCTCCCCAATTTCAAAATATTGCCTATGATTTTCATGCCAGCATCCAACACAATATTATTAAGGCTATATTTAATTCTGGATTATGATCATTTTTACTCACCTACATGGGGAAAAATACATACACAGACATATATTCATTTATTCGTAAATAAATATGTACAAATATATGAAAATACATTCCCAAAAGTTAATCATTATATGGCATATAATAAGTAATAATGGTTTTCAAAGGAAAAATAAATTTTATTTCTAGATTGAACGTATGTTATAAAAAATGATAACATTTGAACTTAAAATTCACAATTTTTTAAGATTCTTCATTCTTCAAATTGCCATGTTACTACTATCTTTTCCCTTGTACAGAATTAATCTAGAAGTGGAAATGTTTTGACTGGGTTCACACTGGGAGGGACTGAATTTGGAGGAAACATCCAACACTGGCAGTAGGCAAATTGGAAACCCAGAACTCACTTTAGTCTCCTAACACTCGCAGTATTTGTGTCATGGAGCCAGCTGTTGAGTGTATGCTGGTGTTATGGCCAATAGGTGGGCTTCTCTGGAGAAATTCTGAGAATCTCACCTAGTATAAATCTATGTAGTGACACAAGGAAGTAATTCAGTCATTTAATTGACAGGGAACTGTTAACTCAACCAAAATGGTGGAATCAGTTGTGTGGTCAGGAAAAGTTGAGACACTCGACGGAAATTTATGTTTCAAAGGAAGTTGTGGGCTCCACCATCACTGAAGCTGCCACGTTTTTGCATAGATATGGCAATGGGAAGAAATGGCAGAAAGAAAGTAAATAAATAAAAGATCTTCTGCAAAATAGGAAAAATATTTAATTGATGTTGATAAGTACCATTGGCTTTATTTTCTGAAAATGAAGAAGATGCCTTTCAAAGTCATTGTCGTTCCATTAGGAATTCTTTTTGTCTGAAATGTTATACATCTAGGGTATGCAGCATGCTTGGAAATTAATCATATTTTGCTTTGTGACAACTCTTGAATAATTTTCTTGATTGTTATTTGACTTCTGTGTTTTTATTTAATTTTTCATAATTGGTATTGACTTTGTATTGAAAATTGCTCTAGTTGTTAGACTTTGCCTTAAAATTGTATTTCCTGCAGCACCTTCCAAGAGCCTTCACAGAGTAGGAGTTCAGCTAAGTATTTTATAAATTTATGATTTGATGTATTTCTGTAGGCTTAAGAATTGAAATTAATTAAAATATATTTGTAAAGTTTCAGATATAGTGTGTGGCTAAAACTAGCATGCGGCACACTTGTTCAAAATTAGATAGACAAGGAGCACACACAGGATAAGAAGCCCGAGATATTTATGTACTCGGAAAAGAACTGTGTTTTAAATTAAAACTGAAATTCTATGTAAGTGTATTAATAGATATTTAGGAAACAGGGTAATATAATATGTTTAAAGAATAGAAACATAAGAAAAGGGTTTGGGCCATCAAAATTGAGTGTCATTTACAGCGTTACTTTTGTTTTTATGAGAAACCTTTGGTAGGAAGTGTAAAGACTACTTATTGTTCCATTTGGATAAGTACATCTTCTTATCAATAGAGTTGTGACATATCCATAAGAATCTCACACATTTGTTAAAAGCAATTAATGTAAAGCGAGTCTCTGAATTTTAAAATAGCTTGCTAACACACATTAAGTGTCTTAGTCTGTTTCTATTGCTTAGAATACTTGAAACTGGATAATTTATTTTAAAAAGGAACTTATTTCTTATAGTTATGAGCTATGGAGGCTAGAAGTTCAAGGCTAGGGTGTCACTTCTGGGGAGGGCCTTCTTGCTGGTGGGGATTCTGGAGAGTCCTGAGGTGGCTCAGGGCATCACATGGTGAGCGGGCTGAGTGTGCTAGCTCAGGTCTCTCTTCCTCTTCTTATAAAACCACTAGTCCTACTCCCATAAAAGTTTATTAATTTATTAATCCACAAATGGATTAATTCATTAATAGGAGCAGAGGCTTCATGACCTAGTTATCTCTTGAAGGCACCACCTTTCAATACTGCTACATTGGGGATTAAATTTCAACATGCATTTTGGAGGGGACAGATATTCAATCCATAGTAGTGGGTTCTCTAAAAACACTAAACATAAATGAAGAGATGAATAGATCATTATTAAAAATCATCTTGAATAAAGGATCTCTAATTATAAGGCCTGGGCTGATAAGTTAAAAAGTACAACTCAGTCGAAAGTGTTTTCATCAGTAGCTATTAGAAAAGAGAATATCTCTTCCACATTTATTCTTTTAATACAGTATTTGATAAATGAAATAGGGTGTGAAAGTCTTACATCTCTATATATGGCTAGAAAGGAAAATTTGGGATACATAAAATAGAAAGATAGATGATAGATAGGTAGACAGACAGATAGGTGAGTGTGTGTTTGTGTATGTGTTACACCAGGTGGCTCAAATTCTAGCCATAGCAGAATCTTTGTAATTTTATAAACATGTCATTAACTTCCATAGTTTCAGGTGTCTGATCATGGTTCTCTCTCTGCCCTAGATGTTTTCTTTGCCTGTCTACGTGGAAAGCTCCCATTTCTCCTTAAAGTCCAACTCAAATGTAGTCTCTTTTCTGAAGTCTTTTCTGACCCTCTAGGGAGAATTAGCAACTTCTGTGAGTATATTCCCATACCAAACTTTACAAGCGTTTGATAACATACTCTTCATTTTGTATCATGCTTCTTGTTGCATGTCTGCATCTCCCACTGCACTACAGGCTTCTCAAGGACAGAATGATAATCCCCAGACTATTACTTTGATGTTTTGAAATAGAGAAATACAAGATTTGATTAGGATTAATAGTGAACTCAGAAAAAGGATATAAATGTTCAAGAGACAGCTTTCTAAAGAAAGCTTAGAAAGGTTACAAACAATTCACGAAAAAAATAAAAGCCAATAAACATGTTTAAAATGCTTGATCTCACACAAATCAAAGATTATTGTAACAAGTAAGAACACAAATTGAAAATATTTTTTAAAATTGTAGTAGCCTATACAAAAGAGTTGTGGAGAAAGTGGCTCTACCAAACTCTTTTTGTGGGAGTAAAAATGACTACAATACATCTAGAGAACATGTTGGTGATAAATATTGTGATCTTATAAATGTTTTCTGTTCCAAAAATTCCACATCCTAAGAAATCATCATAAACATACATAAACATGCATTATGTGTATTTACATGCATAAACACACATTATGTATGTTTACATACATAAACATACTTTATGTAAAGTATACATTTCGTGTATGATAGGATAACATTGGCTACATCTTCAATGTCCAAAAATTTCAGATCAGTTAAATAAATTAACATGAAATATAATATGCAGACATTAAAATGATACCAACAAAAGGATGTTTATTGGTATAAAAATTTAGGAAATATTTAGAGAAACTGATTATATTATTTAATAATGCAAGATATGGGCACTATGATCCCATTCATAACATCTTTCTACCCATTAGGAATAACACAGAAAATTATAGGTATTTATCATAACTAAAATGCAACAATTTTGGATGGTACTTTCCATGTATTACAGTCTCTCCAGTATACATTTGTTTTCATCTGTTAGCAGAAACATTTGATGAAACTAAAATTAAAATAAAAATTGCTGAAGTTAATGTAACTTGGGATAGGAGGTAGAGCATCTTTTTCCCTGGAGGAAGCAGTAGGGCTGAGGACCAATGGGACTCTGAAACTGAGAATATAATGGCAGAGCTGGGGCCAATCAAGTGGCCATGATACTTGGGAGATTGGGTATATACAGAGAGATTGAGCGAATAAGTAAATATATTGGGTCTTTCTAATGATTAGATTCAACTTTTGCACCTTTGGCAGAAATGAAACAGAAATGACAGAATTCTTCCCATTGCCTGCTATCAGGGGCTCACAGTATCAACTGGTCTCATTAATGTTAATTTGAATTTCTTTGATTAAAGTGGAACTTTGGGTCTTCTCCACAGGAAAGTTATATTCTCCTCTTTGAAAGATTCATCAGGAACAAGATATTTACAGAGTTTCAAAATATGGCCCCACAAAATATCCTTATTAATCAATTTAATGTAATCAAATTAATTTACTTAATTGATTAATGTCAGTATGGATTCATAAATTCCCATTTTATTCAATGCATTATTATCTACTACTGTCATGTTTTCATATTTATATTATCTTGGATTTTGCCATTGGAAACCCTTTCATGCCGATTTCTGTGTTCTTATGACATGACATGTCATCATCATTCTTTGAGCACTTCCTTACTTTCTGGCAAAACCAAATGTTCTGACTTACCTACTACTTCTGTTGTGCCAAGCCTAGAATCAACCATTCTGCAGGTAACCATGGAGGAACATGGTATTTACTTATTTAATTATTATTATTATTATTTTTTTTTTTTGGAGATGGAGTCTTGCTCTGTTGCCCAGGCTGGACTGTAGTAGCATGATCTTGGCTCACTGCAACCTCCACCTCCTGGGTTCAAGCAATTCTCCTGCGTCAGCCTCCTGAGTAGCTGGATTACAGGTGTCAGCCACCATGCCCAGCAAAATTTTTCTGTATTTTTAGTAGAGACAGGGTTTTACCAGGTTGGCCATGTTCGTCTCAAACTCCTGACCTCATGATCCGCCTGCCTCGGCCTCCCAAAGTGCTGGGATTTCAGGCGTGAGCCACCATGCCCGGCCCAGAACATGGTATTTAGAAACCAGTCTGACTGCTAGATATGTTCTTTGCTACAAGGACACTGTTGTTCGTTTTGCCATCTCAGTTAACAGATCAAGAAAATAGGTGTAGGTGTATACATACATGCATTCATACACATATACACATTTATTTTTTATTTATTTATTTTTTAATTATACTTTAAGTTTTAGGGTACATGTGCACATTGTGCAGGTTAGTTACATATGTTTATATGTGCCATGCTGGTGCGCTGCACCCACTAACTCATCATCTAGCATGAGGTATATCTCCCAATGCTATCCCTCCCCCCTCCCCCCACCCCACCACAGTCCCCAGAGCACATATACACATTTATATCTGTATTTATTTTCTATATCTTGCTACTTACACTAAAAAACTGAATTCACACACCAATATTTTCAATTCCAATTCACTACCAAATTGTCCATTCTATTCTCCCTTTCCTTATTTGTAATTCCTTCTCCAACGTTACCCTCATTATTCCTAATGCATTTTTTCATTTCAAGTTCTTATATATAACCAGACTCTTATTGCTAGCCCTCATCCTTGCACAGATACCTTTCTCATTCCGCTCAGAACTAAAGCATCTTGTTAAAGAGTGCTTCTGTGTACATCATCATCCCCACCTTGAATATGGCTGTTTTCCTCTTCTTACTCCAGCTCCAGTATCTCACCCTGGGCTGCTGTGGCCCCTGCAGACCTATCCCTCACCTCGGGCAGATGCCTACCTTCCTGGGCCCCTTGGCTTTTGAATTAAAATATTTGGGAAGGAAAGGAGGAAGATAGAGAATGGAAGGAATAGTAAAAAGACAGAATAGAAGAGAAGAGAGGTTGAAAGCAGAAAAGGAAGAGAGAAGTTTAGAAATTCTTATCTTGAAACTCTGAAGCATTAGTTTTTGGAATTTTCATCTGAAAGCAAATCAAGACTCAAGTTTGTGTCGAAGACAAGAATCACATAGATTTAATCTATAGTTTGTTGTAACTTACATGTATTTATTAGTATTGATAGTCCTTCCAGTCATTTTACAATATATTTCTGAACAAAGTATATTACACAATTAGGATCCATGTCATTTAGCAATTTTTATAAAATCAAAATGAATTGACATGTATTATATTAACTAATGGTTATTAAATTACATTTTAGAATATTTAGTATACTAGCATTTTGAGGCATTCTGTAAAATACTATTTCCAAAGTTAAGGCAATTGTTTGAAACTTTTTTAGGGCTGGGCGTGGTGGCTCACACCTGTAATCCCAGCACTTTGGGAGGCTGTGGCGGGTGGATTGCCTAAGGTCAGGAGTTTGAGACCAGCCTAGCCAACATGGTGAAACCCCGTGTCTACTAAAAATACAAAAATTAGCCAGGCGTGGTGGTGGGCACCTGTAATCCCAGCTACTTGGGAGGCTGAGGCAGGACAGTTGCTTGAACCTGGGAGGCCTAGGTTATAGTGAGCAGAGATTGTACCACTGTACTCCAGTCTGAGTGACAGAGCAAGACTCCATCTCAAAAAACAAACACACAAACACAAAAAACAAACAAAAAAAAACCTGTTTAGATTTATAAAATTTTGCTAATGACATATTTAGCATCATTTTTAGATAATACAAACTCTGTATCTAAGGCATGTTAAAATTATTTAGTTGGCTATCAAAGTGTTCAATCATTTAACTTAGAAAGTTCATTCATTTATTTTATTCAATAAAATGCTTTACAAACTTAAATATATACCTAGCATTATTTAGTATTGTTAGTATAAAACCTAATATATAAAATATTTTTTTAAAAATATAGCATTTTAGCCTGGTAGTGGCATGGGGGGTATATTTTGTGAATTAATATTCAAGGAGATATTCTTTAAACTAAGTCACGACATGATCATTGTGAGTCTAAGTCAGCACTTAATAATGAATGACAATAGAATCAAAGAGAATATGAGTAATTGCACAAAGGAATCATTTGTATTTACATGTTCTGTGAAATATTTATTTTAGTTAAATGTGTGCTATGCTTCTTTGAATCTATCTACTGGATCACTATGTAAAATATTTCTTAGTGCTCACTGCCAAAATAATTGAAAACTACTGACTCAAAGGCTAATCAAAATTTTCAATATGATATCTAAGATGAAAGAAACTTTCCAACAGATAAAGAAATAAATACCAAGTAGGTAGACAAATTGAATAACATAAATGTACTGAAAGCAATAATAAATAGTAGTTCAACATTTTTCTCAGTATTAAGGAACTGTCACTGAGCATTGCTCAGTAGGTATTGCTAGAAATGAATGCATTTCCCCCCAATTGCTGACTCAGAAATGCATCATGATTTTGCCCTTGGGTGGTGCACTGATGGTATTCTTACTTCCAGTGTAAGTTGCAGAGTGAGCAAAAAAGAATCTAGAAAAAAAATGCTTTTTTGCAATAATAAAATATGTCACTGAATGCATGGGTGTCAGAACACTCCCACATATTTTTAGTTCTTATCCAGTTGTCCCTAATGAGGAACAAGTAAACAGAATTAGAATTCAAAAGATCTGGATTTGGTATGACCTCTGCAATTCTACCAGATGGTACAACTCCAAGGGACACCATTCGCATAGAACACAATGTACAGGGAATACATTTTGCAGTACAGGCCCTGAGGCCACTGTTCCTCTGCCACTGCCACAACTGTGGAAGCAATGGTTCTGAACCTTCATTTCATCATCTGGAAATATGTGAACTGAGTTTGTCTTGTTCATATTCATTAAGTATAATGGGCCATGTTGGCTCATGAAGAAAGAGTAATCACTCTTGGAAGCTTTACAATTCTCCTTTTCATTATGTTTCTTCCCTGTCTCTGGTGCAGTTTTAGGTTCATAGCAAAATTGAGAGAAATGTGCAGAGATTTCCCATGTGCCTGTTACCCACACACAAGCATAGCCTTCAGCATTATCTCCCATCAGAGTGACACATTTGTTATAATTTATGAACTACATTGACACACCTTTATCACGAAAAGTCCATAATATGTGTAAGAGTTTATCTTGGTGTTGACTATTCTATGAGTTTGGACAAATACATAATGACAGGTATCCACCGTTGTAGTATCATACACAATAGTTTCACTGCCCTAAAATCCTCTGTGCTCTGCCTATTCATTCCCTCCCTGCCCCAATCCCTGACAACTACTGATCTTTTTGTCGTCCATAGTTTGCTTTTTCTACAGAATGTCATATAGTAGGAATCATACATAGCCTTTTCAGATAGGCTCCTATCACTTAGTAATGTATTTCAGTTTCTTCTATGTCTTTTTATGGCTTGATAGCTCACTTCTTTTTAGTGCAGAGTAATATTCCATTGTCTGGATGTATTTTTTGAAAAATAGTATGTTAATTTTATTCAAAATGACAATTTTTGACTCAGATTTTTTTAGAACAGCTTTATATTTGCAGAAAAAATGTAAAGATAGTACAGGAAGGTCTCATATATCTCATACTCTGTGTCTCCTATTATCAACATCATATATTGGTATGGTACATTTGTCACAATTAATGAATGAATATTGCTACATTATTAAGTAAAGTCCTTGTTTTATTCAGATTTCCTTGGTTTTTAACTTACTGCTTTTTTTCTTTTCTGGGATCCTATCCAGATTGTCATATATAGGTTAACTGTCATGTTTTCTTAGGTTCCACTTGACTGTGACAATTTTTGATGACTATGAAAATTTTGAGATGTAGTTGCATTTAAAAAAATAAGTATATTTAAATCTGTTTTTTTTTTTTACATAGTAATGGGGTCTTGATGTACTGCCTTAGACTGGCCTCAAACTCCTGAGCTTAAGCAATCCTCCTGCCTCACCCTTCTGAGTAGCTAGGACCAAAGGCATGTGCCATCATGCCTAGCTAAGGAGTACTGGTATCTTGTCCAATGTACCTCAGTTGGGATTTGCCTGATATCATGGTTAGGTTGGGTTTATGAGTTTTGGGGAGGAAGACCATAGCCATAAAGTACAATCAAAATGACTTATCACTATTAATGTTAACCTTGATCACCTGGCTGAGGTGTGTTTGTCAAGTTTGTCTATGGTAAAGTTATTCCTCCCCACTTTTTCTGAATTGTGCCGTTTAGAAGGAAGTCACCGTATGACTTACATGGAGTGAGGAGTTATGCTCCACCTTCTTGGGTGGGGTGACTTTTCTGCATAATTTGGGATTCTTTGGACAAAAGATGTGTCTAATCTCCCCCCATTTTCTTATTTAATCAATTGTTTTTATTAGCAGGAACTCCTGAATATTTATTTTAGACTTTGGATTTCATAAAGTTTTTAGGTTATGGAAAACTCCCTTGATTTTATTTAGATCTCTTATCTTACCAGCTCAGCTCTTGCCACTTCTTACCACATACTCAAAATTCTAGGCACAGGAAACACTTCTCTGTTTGCAGACATGCCACTCAGACATCTCTCTGTCTTCACACACTATTTCTTCACCTGGAATTCCCTTTTCCATATACTGTAGTTGAATTCATGTCAGTTCTTTGAGATCTAGCTCATATAACTGCCTGGAAATTAGACTTTATTTTCCCTTCCTTGGAAGTTTATGTATATACCTTTATAGTAGTATTTATCACATTATCTAATATTTGTTTGCTTGTTTATCTTCCTCACTATATTGTGAAGTCATTGTGATACAGGCTATTCCTTACTCTATTCTCCAGTAGCTAGCTCTCTGCCTAAGCAAGTTCTTGACAATATACAATATTTGAATGGATGGACAAGAAATAGAATTTCGCTAGTTAATGAAGCTGATTTTAGAAGGACTCTCTTGAGTCCTTTCTTTAGAAAAATGACATCGTGGTTCTGCTGTTAATACAATATACAATTTGAGTTGTTTTTATCTTCTTATAATGATGTGTTTATTCTGATCATGTAGACTTCCATATGCAGTAATCTTTTAAGATCAGGCATTTGTGAGATGGCTGTCCAGAGTGAAGAATGCAGTTCCTAGCCAAAGAGCAGCCTTTCCCTCTGTGAGGAGAACATATCCCCCAAGGCAGGAATGGAAACCAGAGTGACCTTGGCCTCATTAGTAGACTGCCTTAACCAGCTGAGCTAACCAGCCAGACTACAAAGATGGCAGGAAAGAAATCTAACAAACATAGACATTCACTTTGTAACATATAAAGTACAGTCTGTATTGACACACACAAACTGGCTTGACTGTTTTGACTGTCAAGTAGTCAAGAAAATATTTAAGTCAGTCAAAAAGCAGTCAAGTTGCCCAACAAGCATGTCTGACTTTCTTTTTTTCTCTGACTAGATTTTGAGTGCTGATTTGACTGGTTTGTGTTTGTAGAAACAGTCACATTTTCCTTGCCAAAAGAGAATGCTTTTTTTCACTGAGACTTAATGAAATAACTGTTACATCATATAAATTCATTTCCTTAAGCATATGTGTCAGACTATCAAATCAGTTAAGGAAAAGTCTCATCTTTTTTTCTCTTTGAAATTATGGATGGGCTAGTTTGGTTCCAAATTAAGTGAATTCATAGTGCCATCTAGTGCTTCAAAACAGAATTATCGGAGCAACTGTGGAGATACCTTAAATCAGGCATTGGCTTTAACACATTATCTTCAATTCTATGTTTAAAAGAGTCACCTAGCTGATCCAGGCTAGCATTTTCTTTTTTGGATTATTACAAGTTGATTGGGTATTGAAGTTTTATCACATTTACTGATGTGAGAAGTCATTGATTAAAGTATAGCTTGAAAAGAACCCCCAAAACATAACCAAAAACATATATCCCTTTTATTTTTAAGAGTATTAAGGATGAAACTAACCCACAAATAAAACCAAACGGTGCTTCATAAGATAGATGATGAAAATCACAACCATATATAAATTAAATCTCCTCCCACCCAAACAAGATGAAGTAAAACAGAGGATCGATGTGATTTTATTTCATGTGCTTTTGAAATATACGTTCTCAGAGAGGCTTTAGAACCGAGATACAAAGAGGAAAATGTTCACTGAAGAGAATAAACAACACATAGATGAGAGAATTGTTTCCACCTCAAGTAAACAAACAAACCTCTATTTTCCAAACAGTTTCTGCCTTGATTGCCGTCCATTCCTTTATAAAATGGTGGCAATATTTTCAGAACTTTATGTAAAATTTATGAGGGAAACAGGCATAGTTAAGACACTCTTGATTTGGAACCATTGCTGATCAAGGGACAAAATGTGACATATTTACATATTTTTCTTCAGAATTGAAATAGAATAATGTTTTCTATTTCTCTGCACATTAAAATTTTAAAAGCCCTTGCATGTGTTATTTCATCTCCCAACCACACTGTGCAGTATCATTAGCCTCATTTTAGAGTGGGTAGCCGAATTAGCATTCAAACCCTGTCTCATACCCTCCAATGCACTGACAAAGCTACATGTGCCTTTGCCTTTTTTTTTCCTTAGGGGTTTTTGAGAGCTTAGATCTGAAACAGTAAGAAGAGGAGTAGGGTTAGGAAGTGAGTGTAAGGGGAGGAAGAATTAAATGCATACATAGGGAGAGAGGGTCACTCACACTGCCTGCAAGAGAGGCAAGCAGGGAAAGCCTTATGCAAAGTTTCATACAGAGCGTCATCACCCATGGTGTCAGAGTTATCTAGAGAATGGGACAATAATTACGACTGTTGTAAACAATCCAGCCTTAATGAAATATCCTTAAATACAATATTCAGAAGTATCAAACACTAAATGAGAATTCCTAAAGAGTGGATGAAAATTCAGTACAGAGATCCATTAACGTATTGAGTAGCTTTATATCAATTGCTGCTAGTCATATGTAATCAATTTCTTTTTCCTACCCATTCTTGTTCATTTCAGATAATTCACTTTGGTTTTGATGTTACTAGAGATGCAAAGTTGTATTTTATAAATATTTTTCAGTTAAAAATTGTTTCATAGTATAGGTTTTAAAATGTGATAATAAAGCTTCATTTTGAATAGAGTTTTGCTTTAATCATTGTAGATCAGCCTTAATGTACTCAATTAAAAGTAGTTTTCTCATTATCATAAATGTTCTAATATGCATTTCCACCTATCCCTAATTGCCTATCCTAGGGGAAAGTCCTTTGCCATTGCAGCACTAAGTCACCGTAAATGAAAAAGCATGCTTAAATACTAAAATATTTATGATCTAGTCTACTTGCATTATCAACTCATCACAACTTATTGGTAAGCAATTGCAGTGCCTCTTGGCTAAAAAAGCAATGCCAGAAGTGGTAAGGCTCATGCTGACAGCTGTGTCTGGGCTGTTGCTAGCTACTTCAGTACTCTTTGCCCTTGGCAAAGAACTTAGCGAGAGAACAATAAAACATATTGTTGTAAAACAGTAAAAGGTACCCAGTTTGCCAGTTTGCATATTTCTCTGCAGCTACCCATGATACAGGTAGCTATGGGCAGAGCTTGCAGCTTTGCCAGACTTGCTGGCTTTGAACAAAAGTATTTTGTTTCAGGCCATTCTATTGGGTGGGTTCCTGTGGGTATTTTGAGGAAGACTAGGGAAAGAGGTGTTTGTGTGTTTGTGTGTGTGTGTGTGTGTTTTACTTTGTTTTTACTGTTTTTTAACAACAAATCATGAATTAATTTACCCCATACGAAACCTAAACAAAGGAAAAAAGCCTTTGGGAATCATCTTTGAAAAGAGCTGGCAGCCAGGAGAAAGAAAGAAGTTTGCTACAGCAGTTAGGAGAACATATTTGTTTGACTGAATTTATTTTTTATCATCCACTGTAAGCTTTCATTTGACTTAGCTGTTGTGCTTTGTGCCACAAAGCTAGGTCTGTCCATGTCATGGAGGCCCTCCTTCCTGGAATCTCAGTCCACCAGCACAGTATAAACTTCCATTTACAGTGAACGCGTGGAATACCTTGGCTGTGCTGGCAGAAAAAGGGAGCTGATGCCAAGTGAGCTGCAACCACAAAAAAATCATCCAGAAAAAATTTGCAACTCAGAATGAGCTAATAAAGAAATCTGTTTTTTGATGTTTCTGGAACAAAAGCATGAATTATTTTAAATTTTATTTTATTTTATTTATTTATTTATTTTTTGCTTTCCTGAAAATATCAGCCTTCTGTCTTGTCTAAACTTTTGCAGGGTATTACCAAAAACCATCTTTGGTATTGAACATGTTTAAACTTTATTATCCTCTTGTAAATCTGGCATCTGTGGGTAGATTCCAGAAATCAACCATCTCTGCATCATCTAGAGGACAGCACAGAGCCTTGCATGCAGTATCTGTGGATGGTCATTTGTTGAATGCATGAATTTACAAAACATACTAGCCATTTATAAAAAGATTTTTTGAAATTAAATTAAGGTGAAAACAGTAAAAGATAATGTTATATATTAAACAAGCATCTTCTAGAAGTGGCATAACATAGGTAAATATGTAATTTGTGCAAGTATCAGTGAAAGTACCCAACCAAGTTTCATACCTATGTATCTGTTCTCCCTTAATTATATTTTAGTTTTTCTGTGGGCCATCAAAAACAGCCAACTTTCTCTATTTTTAAAAAATATAATTTTAAAAAATTATTCTCTTTGTTACAAAATGAAAGTCCAATCTAAAAGCAGATAATGACTTTGAAAGGAAATAAAAATTAACATTGGTTTAAGTCTAACTATGTTCAAGGAACTTAATTTTGTGTGTGCTTGTATTGTCTATAAATTGGCATGCAATGATGAAACAGCAAATTCAAATTAATTAGTACATGGACTTCTTTAACTATAGCTGCTGTAAGTGTAGGAAACATTTGATTGTATAAAAAAGTAGATAATTGCAGGCTTGCTTTTTTTTCTTCTTGCCTCCCTCTCTCTTTTTTAAATAGAGATTTAAGAGAACAGAAGTTTTTCTCCTATCAAAATTCATGGCAGCATATAAAATCCTGCTCAAAATAGTCATGTGTGATGAGGTGATTCCCAGTGCATGTTTGGAAGGATGTTCCATCTTCTCAGGTACCATATTTGCACAGATCTATGTTGCTAAAGCTATGGAAATATCATAGTTGAAGAACGTTGATAATTGCAGACTGAAGAATTGACAGCACTCTGTAATTAACACATTCAGTTCAGGTAGGCATAGATACCCAGTTGAGAACAACCACCACAGGACGTTGTCTAGCATAAAATACATAGCAGAACTCATGTATGGATACACGCACATGTGCACACACACAAACAAATAAGCTACAAAAGAGGAGCTAGACAACCAAGACCAAAACATTTTTTTAGATGTATCTGGCTAAGGTTTTCATGTCATTGAGTAAGAACTGACATCTAAGAATAGTACTACAATACAGTTTATACCTAGACAGTTAAAATACAACTATTATTTGGTTGGCATGTGTTATGGACTTAATGTTTGTGTCTCCCCAGAGTTCATATGTTGAAATCCTGTCTACCAATGTGATGGTGTTTGGAGGTGAGGGCTTAGAGTTGGATTAGGCCATGAGGGTGGGACCGTCATGATGAGGTTAATGCTCTCAACGACATTATGCTAAGTGAGATAAGCCAGGCACAAAAAAGACAAATACTGCATGATCTCACTTATACGTGGAATCTAAAAAAATCAGTCTCAGAAACAGAGTAGAAAGTTGGTTGCTAGAGGCTAATTAAGTGGGGAGAGCAGAGAAGAGTGGGATGGGAAAAAAGGACATATTGGTTAAAGACTACAAAGTTTCAGTTCAGTTAGAATGAAGGAATACATTTTTGTGATCTATTGTACTATATAGTGACTATACTTAATAATAAGGTATTGTATATTTTTTAATTGATTATAAATAGATTTTAAACATTCTCACCACAATGTAAGGGATAAACTGGCTTGATTTAATCTTTCTACAATGTATACATGGATCAAAAGATAACATTGTATCCCATATACAATTATCATGTGTCAATTTGAAAATGATAAAAAAATTAGATGAAACAAACAAAAAAAAAAGAGGCATAGATCTCTCTCTCTCTCTCTGCCATGTAAGAATACAACAAGAAGGTGGCCATTTGTGAGCCAGGAAGAGCCCTCACCACACACTTGGTTTGCAGGTACCTTGATCTTGGATTTTCTAGCCTCCAAAACTGTGAGAAATAAATGTTTGCTGTTTAAGCCAACCAGTCTATGATAATTTGTTATAGAAGACCAAACTGACTGCTGCATATGAACCGATAGCATATGAACATATATTTAGGCTTACCGTTAATAAGCATTCTGTTGTGTGAATTAAGTTGCTCTATACAAAACTGCTTTAAAATTTCCAAATTTAGCAAACAACAAAAACTAATGCCCAGGTACACTTTTTAGAAAGTGCCCTGAACTCAATATCAG
This sequence comes from Homo sapiens, assembly GCF_000001405.40. NCBI lineage: Eukaryota > Metazoa > Chordata > Mammalia > Primates > Hominidae > Homo > Homo sapiens. Next base: position 198,470,584 of record NC_000001.11, read on the forward strand.
GATCCAACCGATAATTTCAGTAAAAACTGTTGCACTCCGAGTGGGAAAGCAAGTTAACCAGTGCTTATTGGTTGCTCCGTATGTGGCACTTTTTAACGCAGTTGTCTCTACATTGATCTATGCCATGCACATCTCCTGACTCTTTCTCCTTCTCTCTTCCCTATATTTGCACTGCCTTGCCTCAGGTTCTCTTCATCTTCCATTTGTTACAAAATAATGAAAATTACTATAATTTGGATGATCTCCAGTACTCTTCTGACATCAATTTTATACTTTATTCTCTCACATTCCCTCATAATATCCAGTATTTTTACTTATTGTGGAAACACTTCTTTCCTTCATCATACAAATATCATTCAGAGTCATCTTCTCATTATTTCTTCTACAGATGTTTAGCCTTCCAGTGAAGAGGAATGAATATAAGTTTCAGTGTTAGAAAGACATGAGTTTGAATGATATTTTTTTTTCTTACTGTGAGAACATTCCAGTTTTCTTTTCTGCAGAATGGGAATAATAATATCTACCTGACAGGCTAGTTTCAAAATGAAATTGGAAAGTGCGTTATGTAAAGTTCTTAGACTGGTGACAGGTAGAGAAAAAGTTCCAAGTAAGTGCTAGTTTCTTTTATAAATGTGCCTGATCTTTAAGATATTTTGTTGATGCTCTGTACAAATTAGTTATATAAATCACATTTATTATTTATTACTGAAACTCAATTATTGGTGAGAGAGGAGAAAATAAACAAGAGTATGGTTTGTCAATTATGATGGTGGTCATTCTTTCTTACAAAAACAAAAATAACCTTATGTTGTAGGCCAACTCTCTGATAAGAGAATTTGTGGAATATTCATCCTTGTAAATGAAGAATTTATCATGGGTAAAATAAGAGCTGAAATGTGCTAATTACCTTAATCTGATTATTATACATCATATAGTTCAAAACATCACAAAATATCTTAGGACTATCTACAATTATTACTTGTCAATTAAAAAAATAAAATTCGATTGTTTTTAGCCCACCTGAAAGCAGCTGCAGAAAGAGCCACTGTTTTTAAAACAGCTGAATTAAGTGATATAAACAGGAGGAGGCAGTGCAAGATGGCTGACTAGAAGCCTGCACCAATTGTCTTCCCCACAGGACTACCAAGCTGAACAACTATCCACACAAAAAAGCACCTTCATAAGAACCAAGAATCAACTCAGGTACTAGCTTGGCTACAGTGGGGTAGAGTGCATGGCAGGCTCTTCAGGTCCCTGATTCTAGGCCTTGGCTCTTGGATGGCATTTCTGGACCTGTCCTGGGCCAGAGGAGAACCACTGCTCGGAAAAGTGAGTCCCATGTCTGGCAGCATTCACAACAAGCTGACTGAAGAACCCTTGGACCTTGAATGAACATCGATGGTTTCCAGGCAGTACTCACCATGGGCTTGGGGCAGGGGTGGCCACAGAAAGAGATACCTCTGCTTGTGAAAAGGGAAAAGAAGGTTGCAACCGACTTTTTCCTGTGGCTTCGGTGCCAACTCAGCCTCAGTAGAATAGAGCACCAGGTAGATTTCTAAAGTTTCTGACTCCAGACCCTGGCTGCTGTACAGCATCTATGGACCTGCCTGGAACCAGGAGGAACTTGTCACCCTAAAGGGAAGAACACAAGCCTGGCTGGCTTCACTGCCTGCTGATTGTAGAGCCCTAGGGCTTTAAGCAAATGTGAGCAGTAGCCAGTCAGTAGTTGCTATGGACCTTGGATGAGATCCAGTACTTTGCTGACTTCTGGCCTGCCCAGTGCAGTTTCAGTGGCGATGGCCACAGGGGTGCTTGGTGAGCCATCCCCCAGCTCCAGGCAGCTCAGCACACAGAGGGAACTGATGTTTGGTGGGAGAAAGTAAGGGAAGAGAACAAGAGTCTCTGCCTGGTATTCCAGGTAATTCTCCCAGATCTTAGCCAAGACAACCAAGGCAGTACTTCAACAAGTCTTCAAGAGCCACAGTGTTTCTGGGTTTGGGATGCCCCCTAATGCAGATATGGCTGCAGAGACCAAAAACTTAGATCACAACACTCGAGTCCCTTCTAATACCTAGAAAGTCTTCCCAAAAAAGATGGGTACAAACGAGCCCAGATTGCAAAGACAAAAATAAATACCTAACCCTTCAATGCCCAGACATTGACAAACACCCACAAATATCAAGACTATCCAGGAAAACATGACCTCACCAAATGAACTAAATAAGGCACCATTGACCAATCCTGGAGAGACAAGGATATGTGACCTTTCAGACAGATAATTTAAAATAGTTGTTTTGAGGAAATTCAATGAATCTTAAGATAACAGACAAAGAATTCAGAATCTTACCAGAGAAATTTAACAAAGAAATTGAACTAATTAAAAAGAATCAGGCAGAAATTCTGAAGTTGAAAAATGCAACTGACATACTGAATAACACATCAGAATTGCTTAACAGCAGAATTGGCCAAGAAAAAGAAAGAATTAGTGAGCTTGAAGGTAGGCTATTTGAAAATGCACAGTCAGAAGTGACAAAAAGAAAAAGGAATAAAAAAGAATGAAGGCTGCCTACAAGATGTAGAAAATAGCCTCAAAAGGGCAAATCTAACAGTTATTGGCCATAAAGAGGAAGTGGAGAGATAGATTGGGGTAGAAAGTTTATTCGAAAGGATAATAACAGAGAACTTCCCAAACCTAGAGAAATATATCAATATTCAAATACAAGGTTTATAGAACATCAAACATATTTAACCTAAATAAGACTGTACCTCAAGACATTTAATAATCAAACTCCCAAACGTCAAGGATAAAGAAAGTATCCCAACAGTAGCAATAGAAAAGAAACAAATAACATACAATGGAGTGCCAACAAAATAAAATCAAAAGGAAATAAAGACTTAAATCTAAGACCTTAAACTAAGACCTCAAACTAAGAGTAAATCTAAGACCTCCACAATATTTAAATTTTAGAAAACATTGAGGAATCTCTCCAGGATACTGGTCTGGGCAAAGGTTTCTTGAGTAATACTCCACAAGAATAGGTTATCAAAGCCAGAATTCACAAATGGGATCACATCAAGTTAAAAAGCTTTTGCACTGCGAAGGAAACGATCAACTAAGTGAAGAAACAACCCACAGAATGGGAGAAAATATTTACAGTCTATCCATCTGACAAGGAATTCTTTTACTTACTATTACACTTTAAGTTCTGGGGTACATGTGCAGAATGTGCAGTTTTGTTACATAGGTATACACGTGCCATGGTGGTTTGCTACACCCATCAACCCGTTACCTACATTAGGTTTTTCTCCTAATGCTATTCCTCCCCTGGCCCCCCACCTCCTGACAGGCCCCAGTGTGTGATGTTCCCCTCCTGTGTCCATGTGTTCTCATTGTTCAACTCCCATTTATGAATGAGAACATGCGGTGTTTGGTTTTCTGTTCTTGTGATAGTTTGCTGAGAATGATGGTTTCCAGCTTTATCCATGTCCCTGCAAAGGACAAGAACTCATCCTTTCTTATGGCTGTGTAGTATTCCATGGTGTATATGTGCCACATTTTCTTCCAGTCTATTATTGGTGGACATTTGTGTTGGTTTTAAGTCTTTGCTATTGTGAATAGTGCCGCAATAAACATACGTGTGCAGTGTGCATGTGTCTTCATACTAGAATGATTCATAATCCTTTGGGTATATACCCAGTAATGGGATTGCTGTGTCAAGTGGTATTTCTACCTCTAGATAATTGAGGAATCACCACACTGTCTTCCACAATGGTTGAACTAATTTACACTCCCACCAACAGTGTAAAAGTGTTCCTATTTCTCCACATCCTCTCCAGGAAAAAAGTCATTGTTTCCTGACTTTTTAATGATCGGCATTCTAACTGGTGTGAGATGGTATATCACTGTGGTTTTGATTTGCATTTCTCTAATGACAAGTGATGATGAGCATTTGTTCATGTGTCTGTTGGCTGCATAAATGTCTTCTTTTGAGAAGTGTCTGTTCATAACCTTTGCCCACTTTTTGATGGGGTTGTTTTTTTCTTGTAAATTTGTTTAAGTTCTTTGTAGACTCTGGATATTAGCCCTTTGTCAGATGGATAGATTGCAAAAATTTTCTCCCATTCTGTAGGTTGTCTGTTCACTCTGATGGTAGTTTCTTTTGCTGTGCAGAAGCTCTTTAGTTTAATTAGATCCCATTTGTCAATTTTGGCTTTTGTTGCCATTGCTTTTGGTGTTTTAGACATGAAGTCTTCGCCCATGCCTATGTCCTGAATGGTACTGCCTAGGTTTTTCTTCTAGGATTTTTATGGTTTTAGGTCTTAGGTTTAAGTCTTTAATCCATCTTAAGTTGATTTTTTGTATAAGGTGTAAGGAAGGGGTCCAGTTTCAGTTTTCTGCATATGGCTAGCCAGTTTTCCTAACACTATTTATTAAATAGGGAATGTTTTCCCCATTGCCTGCTTGTGTCAGGTTTGTCAAAGATCAGATGGTTGTAGATGTGTGGTGTTATTTCTGAGGCCTCTATTCTGTTCCATTGGTCTGTATCTCTGTTTTGTTACCAGTACCATGCTGTTTTGGTTACTGTAGCCTTGTAGTATAGTTTGAAGTCAGGTAGTGTGATGCCACCAGCTTTGTTCTTTTTGCTTAGGATTGTCTTGACTATGTGGGCTCTTTTTTGGTTACATACAAAGTTTAAAGTAGTTTTTTCCAATTCTGTGAAGAAAGTCAATGGTAGCTTGATGGGGATAGCATTGAATCTATAAATTACTTTGGGCAGTATGGCCATTTTCACAATATTGATTCTTCCTATCCATGAACATGGGTTGTTTTTCTATTTGTTTGTATCCTATCTTATTTCCTTGAGCAGTGGTTTGTAGTTCTCCTTGAAGAGTTCCTTCACATCCCTTGTAAGTTGTATTCCTAGGTATTTTATTCTCTTAGTAGCAATTGTGAATGGGAGTTCACTCATGATTTGGCTCTCTGTTTGTCTGTTATTGGTGTATAGGAATGCTTGTGATTTTTGCACACTGATTTTATATCCTGAGACTTTGCTGAAGTTGGTTATCAGCTTAAGGAGATGTTGGGCTGAGATGATGGGGTTTTCTAAAGATACAATCATGTCATCTGCAAACAGAGACAATTTGCCTTCCTCTCTCCCTATTTGAATACCCTTCATTTCTTCCTTTTGCCTGATTGTCCTGGACAGAACTTCCAATACTATATTGAACAGGAGTGGTGAGAGAGGGCATTCTTGTCTTGTGCTGGTTTATAAAGGGAATGCTTCCGGTTTTTGCCCATTCAGTATGATATTGACTGTGGGTTTGTCATAAATAGCTCTTATTATTTTGAGATATGTTCCATTGATACCTAGTTTATTGAGAGTTTTTAGCATGAAGGGTTGTTGAATTTTGTTGAAAGGTTTTCTGCCTCTCTTGAGATAATTATGTGGTTTTTGTCATTGGTTTTGTTTATATAATGTTTACGTTTATTGGTTTGTGTTTGTTGAAGCAGCCTTGCATGCCAGGGATGAAGCTGACTTGATCGTGGTGGATAAGCTTTTTGATGTGCTGCTGGGATTCAATTTGCCTGTATTTTATTAAGGATTTTTGCATCAGTGTTCTTCAGGGATATTGGCCTGAAATTTTCTTTTTTTGTTGTGTCCTGCCAGGTTTTGGTATTAGGATGATGCTGGCCTCATGAAATGAGTTAGGGAGGATTCCCTCCTTTTCTTTTGATTGGAATAGTTTCAGAAGGAATGGTACCAGCTCCTCTTTGTACCTCTGGTAGAATTTGGCTGTGAATCCATCTGGTCCTGGATTTTTTTGGTTGGTAAGCTATTAATTGCTGCCAATTCAGAACTTGTTATTGGTCTATTCAGGGATTTGACTTCTTTCTAGTTTAGTCTTGGGAGGGTGTATATGTCCAGGAATTTATCCATTTATTGTAGATTTAGGTGTTTATAGTATTCTCTGATGGTAGTTTGTATTTCTGCGAGATCGGTGGTGATAACCCCTTTAGCATTTTTTGTTGCATCTATTTGATTCTTCTCTCTTTTCTTCTTTATTAGTCTGGCTAGAGGTCTATTTTGTTGATCTTTTCAAAAAGCCAGTTCCTGGATTCATTGATTTTTTTTGAAGGGTTTTAAGTGTCTTTGTCTCCTTTAGTTCTGCTCTGTTCTTATTTATTTCTTGTCTTCTGCTGGCTTTTGAATTTGTTTGCCGTTGCTTCTCTAGTTCTTTTAATTGTGATGTTAGGGTGTCAATTTCAGATCTTCCCTGCTTTCTCTTGTGGGCATTCAGTGCTATAAATTTCCATCTACACACCTGCTTTAAATGTGTCCCAGAGATTCTGGTATGTTGTGTCTTTGTTCTCATTAGTTTCAAAGAACATCTTTATTTCTGCCTTCATTTCATTATTTACCCAGTGGTCATTCAGGAGCAGGTTGTTCAGTTTCCATGTAGTTGTGCAGTTTTGAGTGAGTTTCTTAATCCTGAGTTCTAGTTTGATTACACTGTGGTCTGAGAGACTGTTTGTTATAATTTCTGTGTTTTTTTTTGTTTTTTTTTTTATTTTTATTTTTTTTTGCATTTTCTGAGGAGTGTTTTACCTTCAATTATGTGGTCAATTTTAGAATAAGTGTGATTTGGTGCTGAGAAGAATGTATATTCTGTTCATTTGGGGTGGAGAATTCTGTAGATGTCTATTAGGTCTGCTTGGTCCAGAACTGAGTTCACGTCCTGAATATCCTTGTTAATTTTCTGTCTGATTGATCTGTCTAATATTGACAATGGGGTGTTAAAGTCTCCCACTATTATTGTATGGGAGTCTAAGTCTCTTTGTAGGTTTCTAAGAACTTGCTTTATGAATCTGGGTGCTCCTGTGTTGGGTGCATATTTATTTAGGATAGTTAGCTCTTCTTGTTGCATTGATCCCTTTACCATTATGTAATGCCCTTCTTTGTCTCTTTTGATCTTTGTTAGTTTAAAGTTTGTTTTTTCAGAGATTAGGATTGCAACTCTTGCTTTTTTTTGCTTTCCATTTGCTTGGTAAATATTCCTCCATCCTGACAAGGGATTCTTACCTGGAATATACAAGGAGCTCAAACAAGTCTACAGGAAAAAAATCAAATAATCTTATTAAATAATGGGCAAAAAATCATAATAAACACATCTCAAAAGAAAACATTCAAACAGAAAACAGGCATATGGAAAAGAGCTCAACATTACTGATCATCAGAGAAATGAAAATCAAAAGTACAATGAGATATCATTTCATCCCAGTAAAAATGGCTTTTATCAAAAGGATAAGCAATAATGAATAATGGGGCTGACGTGGAGAAAAGGGAACCCTCATACATTGTTGGTGGAATGTAAATTAGTACAACCACTATGGAGAACTGTATGGAGTTTCTTCAAAAATCTGAAGATAGAACTATTACATGTTCTAGCAATTCCACTACTGGATATTTATCCAAAGGAAATAAATCAGTATGTGGAAGAGATATCTGCACTCCCATGTTTATTGCAGCACCATTCGCACTAGCCAAGATTTGGAAGCAACCTACATGTTCATTGACAGAAACGTGGATAAAGTGGATAAAGAAAATGTGGTACATATACACAAGGGAGTACTTATTCAGCCATAAAAAGAATGAGATCCTGTCATTTGCAACAACATGGTTGGAACTGGAGGACATTATGTTAAGTGAAATAAGCTAGGCACAGAAAGACAAATTTTGCATGTTCTCAGTCATTTATGGGAGTAAATTTTAAAATAATTGAACTCATGCATATAGAGAGTAGAAAGAAGGTGATCAGAGGCTGGGAAGGGTAGTGGTTGGGGGTGGGAAGTGGGGGTGATTAACAGGTACAAAAATATAGTTAAATAGGATGAATAAACTTTAGTATTTGATAACACAACAGGGTGACTACAGTCAACAGTAAACCAACGTGCATTTTAAAATATAGAGCATAATTGGAATGTTTGTAACAAAGAGAAAGGATAAATGCTTGAGATGATGGATACTCCATTTACCCTGATGTGATTATTATGCATTGTATTCCTGTATCAAAATATGTCAGTTACCCCTTAAATATGTATGACTACTATGTATGCACAGAAATTTTTTACAAAATTAAATTTTAAAAAAGAACTCAAGCCAAGTAAACAGATTCAAGGAAACTTTAGTGAATTATTAGCTCTATGTAAGAGGACAATAGTCTAGTCTCTAAAATACCTTGTGAATTGAATGTAGAACAGAGAGTGGGTATTTTGAAAATAAGATATCATTAGGTCACTTTTTTGATAACTTTTATTTTAACTTTGGGGGTACATGTACAGGTTTGTTACATAGGTAAACTTGTGTCATGTGGGGTTGTTGTCCAGATTATTTAATCACTCAGGTATTAAGCCTAGTTCCCATTAGTTATTTTTCTTGATTCTTTTCCTTCTCCCACCCTCCACTCTCGGATAGGCTCCAGTGTGTGTTGTTCCCCTCTATGTGCCTATGTATTCTTATCATTTAGCTCCCACCTATAAGTGAGAACATGCAGTATTTGGCTTTCTGTTCTGACATTAGTTTGCTAAGAATAATGGCCTCCAGCTCCATTCATGTCCCTGCAAAAGACATGATCTTATTCTTTTTTATGGCAGCATAGTATTCCATACTACAGTATAACCTGTATGGAAGGACCATGAACCTAAAAATAATCATTTTATAAGTATAATCTGTAAGTTCACTCGCTAACTGTTCTTATCTCTGCACATTCAGGGCTGAAGTTAGAGTGATCATGAAAGATTTAAAGTTGTGATCTGGCGATTGCTTGAGTACTGGTCCTCGCTATCCCTGTTTCATGTAGTGTAACCTGGGTGAGTTGATTAACCTTTTTGTGCCTTGATTCCCTAATCTACAAAATAAGAATATCAATGATTTCTACTTCAAAGATCGTGGTGAAGATTAAATTAGATATCAATTAAAGTGTTTACACAGTGCCTGTCATATGGCAAGAGCTCAGTAAATATTAGCCAAAATAAATACCATAAATTCTGGTTAATGAATGTTATTAGAAGAAGAATCAACTATGAAAAAAACATACTTAGGGTTTAGAGTTAAAACCAAATAAAGTTTACTGGAGGTCTATGAATGCTTTTAATAATACTCATGCTTGTTTCTATAGGGCCTATGGGTAAGTGCCTGATATAAATGACACAGTCATGTTGATATGACCAAATTAAATACCTTTAGCTTTTCTTTTTTGGTCTCTGAAGCTTTTCCAACATCTTAACTCACTATCATGTGTAGTTTTTTTCATAATACAGTTCAATACTTTTTATAAACATACATGCAAATTAAGACAACAGCCTCAATGTGTTCCCAGCAGCCAATTTTCTTTTCCTTTCATTGTATTCATTGCATTTAAGACAGTAACCTGCTGAAATGGGTGCATACAAAGTATATTAGCCAATAACCATCTCTTCTCTGAAGGAGGGAGGTTAAAAGCAAGAAAAACTATTCCAAGGTAGGAATGTTGAGTTTTATTGCCACTACTTTGATTAACTTGGACTCTTGTAGAAAGAGTAGCTCTTGTAGTGAAGCAATTATTCCCCCTGATGGAAGGTGCTCATAAGTACCTCCCTAAGCAAAGTGGCACCTGTCCCGTGGAATGCCCCATACTAAGAAGAATACCAAAAGTGGAATCCAGACAACTGGGCTGTAGTTAAGCTTCTTTGCATGTGATCTCTGTAAGGAAGTGTTTCTCCACCTGTAAGATAGCATAAAAATTACTATATATCAGGGTTATCTGTGTCATCTAAAGACATATAAGTAAAATACTTGGTAAATTATAAATAATTATACAAATAGAAGGGATTAAATTATTGCAAATTTTTATTTTTACATAATGTTCACATTCCTTCTTTTTGTGACAAAACCTTGGTGTTGTAAAGCAAACAGGGAGAGCACTTTGGTAGGAGCAAGGTAAAGAGATGCTTGTTTGTCTAAGTGCCTTGCCATGTTTCACTTGGCTTCTGTCCTCCTTAGTGACAGAAACAATTTTTGGATAGGTAGTAAGTGGGTACCCTAAGGAAGCTGGCTGGGCATATGGCCAGATAAGTTTCAGCTGTGGAATGAAGCAAGTACATGGCTACTCAGTATATGTCTTTCATTTATTCACCCATTCACCTGCTTACTCACTCATCTATTCATTGATTTATTTATCTAGACATCATTCATCAAATATTTATTAAATACTAGCCCAGATGCTCGGGATCAGAGTGCTGACATATAAGATGGTTGTAATACATTGCTGAATTTGGGATTAAAAAATAGATCTAGTCTTTGCCCACTTTTTCACCATTCTCTCTCCCACCCCCTACCTACCCACCGCTGTCCCTGTCTCTCTCTGTTACAGCCATACACATCCTATTTCTATCACTTAATCATAGCACTCTTGTTCCTGACTGAGGAACTTTGCACTTCCTCTTACCCAGGTTTTCACCTGCTGAATCATTCCACCACTTAGGCTGTAGATCCAGACTCCCCTCTTTGGAGGCTTCTTTCCTTATTGCTCTAGCTAAAGTAGCACCTTCCAACCTCTTACCTATACTTTTCTATTTCCTAGCCTTCGTAGTTCTTATCACTAGCTGAAATTACATACATTTGTTCAGCTTCCCTCAACTAGAACATAAGCTTCAGGAGCTCAGGGATGAAGTTATCACCAGTGCCCCGAGCAGCACCTGGCTCAGTTCTTCACATGCTTACCTGGCATATAAGCTCAAAAATATTTATTAAAAGGATAAATGAAAAGGGAAGATGAAAAATGATAGACATTCTGTGTCCATCATCCTTCCACAAAACACTACTTATATTACAGATAAATATTATACTGTCCTTCTCAGGAAATTTCAGAAGGCAAGAAAGCTATATTCATGGGATTTTAAAGGATAAGAAAGCTGCATTTTTTCACCAGTTCATGTAGCTACATCTTAGCTGTATTTTGGGTAAGTGTAAGTGACATCTAAAGTCTACTAGCACGTATTTTTAAATAGTGGACATAGACACTTGTCTCCCACCTACCTCCTGACCAGGATAGTTTAAATGCTCCTTATCTGTTCTGTCACACTGGGAATATCTCTAGGGCTATACTTTCTATATGTACTACTTAGTGATTGCTTTTACTGCTGGATCCACCCTAGACACTAAGCTCTCTTTCTTATATACTTTGCTTTCCTAGAATCAAACATGGGCCCTGTACAAAGCAGATAAAGGGCAATTGTTTCTTGACCATTCCTTTGCGCAATAGAAAGAGGAACTTTTATGTATTAGAGATTGTGGTAGTTGCAGAGAATAAAACTGTAAAGAAGATGGGCATGGTTCCTGCACTTATAGGGTAAATAAAGCACATGGGTAAACACAGGCTAAATATTTTTAGTAGTTACACCATTAACAACAATATGGATAGAGCTATTGTTCATGTCCAACTGTCAGATAACAACAAATAGATTGGCAAAGGAGCTGTAAGTGGATGAGAAGGGCCTTTATTTGATTCCAGCAGTTTGTGTCAGGCTAGATGATACATTTATTTCTAAATTGATTTTGACTAGCCATAAGCATCAAAATTCTCATTAGGAATTTGAAGTCATAATGTGATGCCTCTTACAACTAACTGTGTCACTTCTATGTATTCTTATTGGAAAATTATTCTCTTTGAATATTAAAATTGACATTACTACCTTTTGAAATATTAAAAGGATCTAAATATTTCTAGTGAAAGATTTGACATATAGAAAAAATTCTGCCAGAAACAAAAATCAAGCCTATAGTGTAATTTGAGATTTCCTTAAAGCCCTCCCTGACCCTTATATATCTTTTCCATATTTGACAAAGAGCAGATTCTTTCTACTATTAGCCTGAATTCAACACAAGTCTTTCATTGCACATGAAAGCTTAGATTCAATCATCCATTAATTTATCCAACAAGTATTTTTTGAGAACCTACTATGTGCCTGGCACTGTTTTATACTTTGAGAATAACAGTAATAGTGGAGATGAAATCAGGCAGTGCAAATAAGCAGAGATGTGACTGAGATAATTTTACATAATGAAATAATATTTAAAAAGATGGTGGTTAGGGATAGGAGATACATTAGATGGGGTGGTCAAAAAAGATCTCCCTGGCATGTTGATTCTGGAAAAGAATAGCCCGTATGATTTAACAATGAGGGAAAATAGGAGATAAATCAGCATGTAGATGATATAAAAATAGAGCCACAGATGATAGTACATTTACCATGAGAAAAAGTCAGCATAGATTTCTATAAGTGAATCTTGGACACCATTGACAAGGAAGAATGGAATTTCCCCAAATATAAACTAACAAGTTGGCATAGAATTCTGCATGTGACAGTGTCCTATAAGTGTTATACTAATTATCATTAATATTTCAATGTCATATTTACTGGAATTTTGCAGTAATGAAGTTTGGGTCTTGTAATCACAGCCAATGTTAGCATTTCTTAAGGAAATCCATATGACTTGAATTATCTTTACTACTGTAAAATGAAGGACAATAAAAGTCATAAAGCAAAAGCAACTGTAATACTAACTAAATAATATGACTGTCATCTTGTGTAAAAGGAAGTTGCTTGACTTTGTGTAAATAAGAATTACTGAACTGGTACTGAAACATAAAAAGCCAAAGTCTACTACCTAATAGTTTCACCAAGAAGATAAGAGAAAACTCACGATTTAGGAAATGTAAGGTGAATTGTACCTACAAAGTGAAAAGATATTAATACAGATTAATCTTACAAGATTAATCAACTATAAATTAGATCATTAGAACTTTAAAATTTAATTGGATTCATTACTTTCTAGTAATGGTATGAAATTTAATTATAAGACACACTACAAAATTTCTTGAAAAATTAAATTAGGACGTGGAAAAGTTTACTGCAGTTTGTCTGTGGGCAGTTCAGCTCCTGGAACATTGCACTTGAAAGAATATGGATTTTGAAAAGCACAAAAAAAAAAGGAGAGGTCAACTACACTATAAACTGTAGGTAGACAGAGATCCTACCTCTTATTTCATTTAAAATCCATGTGCCCCATATTAAGCACATGTCTAATAGGCCAAGAAATCAGTCTCCCACAAAATGTTTATTTGCCCCATTTTATAGGCAAGGCACTATGATACATACCAGATATTGAAGTTGGCTTTCATCTTACTACCTAATTGGAGGACAGAACACACACACACACACACACACACCCACACACACCCACCTTGTGATGTAATACTGTATAATGTAATAAGGCACCAGCAAAACTCCAGCAAATGTATAGTTATCCCACTTGATTTATTTAGACATGGATTCATATTGTCAAGGCACCATTCTTTAAAAAGTATTCCTTTGCAGATTTTCCTATTCTGTGGACTAGATTCTTGACTAAAATTATACATGAGTTGTAAAATACATGATGAGGCCCACATATTTCAGGGACTGATCTTTTAATGGAGTGATGAATGTAAAGACAATCAAATGGAGCTGGGAAGATTGGATATCAGTATGCACAACAATGAAACTAGATCCCTATCTTTCACCATCTACAAAAATCGACTCAAAATCGATTAATGACATAAATGTAAGTACTGAAATGATAAAAGTACTGGAAAAAATGCTGAAAAACACTCCAAGATATTAGTCTAGATAAAGATTCTACAGCTAAGACTTCCAAAACATATGCAACAAAAATAGACAAAAGAGACTATATTAAACTAAAAATCTTCTGCACAGCAAAGGAAACAATCAACAGAGTGAAGAGACAACTTGTTTAATGGGAAAAATATTTGCAAACTATCCATCCATCAAGGTATTAATATCTAGAATATACAAGGAACTCAAATAACTCAACAGCAGAAAACCAAATAACCAAATGATTAAAATGTGGACAAAGCATCTGAATACACATTTCTCAAAAGAAGACATACAAATAACCAACAAATATATGGAAAAATGCTCAACATCACTAATCATCAGAGAGTGCAAATCAAAACCACAGTGAGATACTATCTTACCCCAGTTAGGATGGCTATTACAAAAATAACAAAACAAATAACAAATGCTGGAAAAGATGTAGAGAAAAGAGAACATTTATGCACTGTTGGTGAGAATGTAGATTAGTAGAGCATTTACGGAAAATAGTGTATGGGTTTCTCAAACTAAAAATAGAACTACCATATAATCCAGACATTCCACCACTGGGTATTTTTCCAAAGGAAAGGAAGTCAGTATATTAAAGGGATACCTGCATCCCTGTGTTTATTGCAGCACTACTCACAATAGCTAAGATATGAAATCAACCTAAAAGTCCATCAACAGATGAGTGAATAAATAAAATGTTATACACAATGGAATACTTTTCAACCATAAAAAGAATGAAATCTTGTCATTCACGGCAACATGAATACATCTGGAGGACATTATGTTAAGCAAAATATGTCAGGCACAGACAGATAAACACTATATATTCTCACTCACATGTAGGAACTAAAAACAAATTGAGCTTATGGAAACAGTAGAATTGTGGGTAATAGTGGATGTGAAGGAGAGAGAAAGGGGAGGATGAGGAAAAGTTGATTAACAGATACAAAATTATAGTTAGATAGGAGGAATGAGCTCCAGTATTCTGCAGGACTGTAGGGTGAAAGAATATGATCAATGATGAGTTAATGTATATTTTCAAAAGGCTAGAAGAGAGGATTTTGAATGTTTACAACACAAAGAAATGATACATGTTTGAAGTGATTGATATGCTTACTCTGATTTGATCATTGCACATTGCACACACATATTGAAATACCACTCTGTATCCCATAAATATGCACCATTATTAGATGTTAACTGAAAATAAAAGAAAAAATAAGGACATGTTTATATAATAAGTTAAAAATCCTTTTTATAACCATCAAAAAAAGATTAGTTTAGAATCCCACATTGTGAAATTAAATTTGTGCAGTTTACCAAACAACTAACATATACAAAAAAACAATAAATGCATGCTATGTGATCCTTATGTTGACAGTATCTCTTCACTTAAAAACTGCTGAAACTCTTAGCTAGCTCTGGTCAAGGGACATTTTCTCCACATTATTAAATCACTTTCTTTTAGATCTGTGATTCTGATTATTATTCTGCAGTATTGCACTTTCTGTGCTCTGTGTATCATACCACAACGTAATGTTTTAGACCATGGACAGTAGAGTTACACATCCTACCCTTGACTATGGCTCTACCCTCACTTTATAGTTGTGTGACCATAGGTAAGTTGCTAAGCCTCTCCAGGCTTCCGTTTATTTTCTGTATGATGTAGATGACTATAGTACTATAGTGAGCTGAATGGTAACCTCCAAAGAGTATTCCCTTGTTGTAATTTCTGGAACCTATGAATGTGATCTTATTTGGTTACAGGGTCTTTGTAATGTAATTAAATTGAGGATCTCGAGGTAAAATCCTCCCAGATTCTCTAGGTGGATACCAAATTCAATGACAAATGTCTTTATAAGAAGCGGAAGAGAAGAATATGTGGACAGGAGAGGGGAGTTGATGTGAAGTCAAGAGGCAGAGGTAGGAGTCACGTGGCCACAAACCCAGGACACCATGGAATCCCAACAACTGCCGGAAGCTGGAAAAGGCAAGGAGGGTTCTGCCATAGAGCCTCCAGCCCTGCTGGAATCCTGATTTCTGACTACTGGTCTCCAGAACTGTGAGAAAATAAACCCAATCTATGGGAATTTGTTACAGCAGCCATAGGAAACCGATTACAAGTATTCACATTAGAAATCTGTTGTGAGGATGTAAATCAATTGGTACGATGCCTGGCATTGAGTAAGCACTCAATAAAGTTTAGCTGTTATTGGTACTGGAATGATTGTCTTTTGTAGTGATGTCTGTTGGTTTTGTGCCTGGTATTGTTTCATCCAACTTCTATAATATCACATTGATTTACCTTTGGGCAAACTAATGATTTTTTAAAACTTAAATGACACACATGCATACAAAATGATTGGTACCAATTCATCTAGAAGTACTAAAGTGATTCTACATTTTCTCCTGCCATCAGACTCAGATGTGTCCCATTTCTTGGCCTTTGTTCCGTGTGGTAGAGTGTACGATAGCCTTTTTTCCTCTTAAGTTATACCAAATACTTATTCATCGACACATACTAGGAGCTATAAAATAATAACTACTCATATTATCTCCAGTCTTAATCTCCAGCTAATTTTCAGGCTACATTTCCTCATTGCTTATTGTATTATTGCTACTTGATTGTTTTCAGGTGATTTCACTTCAGCATGATTAAAAGAAAACTGTTTCTATTCTTCAAAAGCTCTTTTTTAGACCCCTCCTTCTATGATAATTTTCTTTTTTAATCAGACTCCAAGTCTTAGTCATCTTTAACTTATTTCTATCTGTCATAACTAATAACCTATTAATGCCATGTACTATTATTCAACATTTCTTAATGTCTTTTTATTGCTCAATACTCAGCCTTGTTTTGATTTATGATGTTTCAGACTGAGATTACTGAGATAAATATTTAGCTGGATGCAAGATTTTTTCAACACCCTTTATTTAGAATTCAAGCTTCTAAAGATAAACTTTCTTAAATATTGTTCAAAATGTATATTTTCCTACTAAAAATTACAGTTCTACTTATTTAATCTAACAATAGGAAATTACAAAATAATTGATCCAGTAGTCATATAGTGAAATACTCATAGTGATTAACAATGTGTTGATGTGCTAAATAAGAAAACAGGATATAAAACTGTAGAAAATATGACATCAATTTTGTTAAATACAAGTACTCACACTAAAGCTGATGAAATGTGTTCATATGAAAACAGCAATCATATTTAAGTGGTGATATTGGAAGTAATTTTATTTTCCTTTTATATGTTATTTTCTTCTGATTTTTCTTCAATGGGTAGGTAAATCTTTTAAAATTAGATACAGTAAATGTTCTATGTTTAAAATATATATGTAGTGGCTCCTCATGCTCTGTAATAAAATTTGTGTCTCCTTGGCTATTCTTCAAGACCTGCAATCTAGCCCAGCTGACCTTATTTCCCACTCTATCCAAGCACAAATCTCTGTGCTTTAGTCATAGCTGCACTGACCCATAGGTACCCTATGGCCATTCCTGGCCTTGTGCATTCATCGTGTTCCGTTCAATGTGGTCTACCTTGCATCCAAATTCCACCCATCTCTTAAGGCCCAGAGATACTCTGTCCAAGATACCATGTCCGTTCATAGTGAGACAGCTGTATTTGTTCTCTCTTTTCCATTAAACATCTTTGTGTCTTCTTCAGTATTAAATAACTTAGCTCTGAATTCTATCCTGCCTCAATGCCATAAACTACCATTTTGCAAATCATAACACTTTAAGAATAATGTGGCTCAGTGCAGTGGCTCACACCTGTAATCCCAGCACTTTGGGAGGCCAAGGTGGGCAGATCACTTGAGGCCAAGAGTTTGAGACCAGCCTGTCCAACATGGCAAAACCCTGTCTCTACTAAAAATACAAAAATTAGCCAGGCAAGGTGGCACATGCCTGTAATTCCACTTACTTGGGAGGCTGAGGCAGGAGAATCGCTTGAACCCAGGAGGTGGAGGTTACAGGGACCAGAGATCACGCCACTGCACTCCAGCCTGGGCAACAGAGTAAGACTGTCTCCAAATAATGATAATAATAATAATAATAATAATAATAATAATAATAATAATAATGCATACTTCCTGAGAGTGGGCACCATGTAGTCCTTATGGTCTCCCTAGATGAATTCTAAGGACATCAGAGATGTCTCAAAGAAATATTTAAGCTGTAAATAAGAGAAACCAAACTCAAGCCAGTTTTTTTTAAAAGGGGCATTGTGGCTCAAATAAATGGAAATCTAGTGGTAGGGCAAGGCTCAAAGTGGCTTTGGCCTGTTTCTCTGAGGATCTCTAGGTTTTACTCTCTTTTCTGTGCTTTATTCTCAGGCGCTCTTGCCTCACAGTAGCAAAGTGCTTGCAGTGATTTTAGGGATTATGTCCGCTCAACATACACTGTTCAAAAAATCCCAAGATTCACTCTGATGGGAGAGGATTAGGCCACATGACTATCTTATACCAGTATCTGTGGCCAAGGATTGAAGGCACTGGTTGGCTGTCTTGGGTACGTTTCTTCATACCTGAAGTTGGGTCTGTAAGGACTTCTCTCAACCACATAAATTTCTTACAAAAAGAAGGGGTTTGCAGGGAGGGAGAGGGGATGTTAGGGAGACATGAGGTGCCTATGCTTATAGAAATTCTTTGATACTAGCTGTTTGAATGACCTGATTCCTGCAAAATTGGTTAATGCCATCAGTTAATCCGTACTTCCAGCCATGAAATACAACCAAAATGTTTCAGTTACATTACTAAAGGAAAGCTTAAATGACTGAAATGTTTGATATATCAAAGAAGTATCTAATATATTTTCAGAACATTTCCTTCAACAGGTGTTTCAGAATGAGACTGACTATACCTAAACATCCATTTGTTAAGCCAATTAACTGCTTTCAGATCACTTCATTGACACATTGCGTATTAAATTATGATGATTTGTAAGCTTTTATTAACTGTAACCTGACATGTATTAAGAAGCAATCTTGTGCTCAAAACTTTTCCAAAATGATAATCTGCCAGAATTCTATCTTAAAGATTTAATACTTTTTATTTTAAAAAGGTATCACAGAAATACAAGTAAAAATAATTATCAAAATTATAGTACAAGTTAGAAAACATAGTTTACATTTTAATGTTTTAATTTTACCAATTTTAGTATTTTCAAATTCCTGTGCTGGTATTTTCTATAAGCTTTAATAGTTGTTGCCATGTTCAAAGAAAGTATTATTAGGCTGGGCATGGCATGGTGGCTCATGCCTATAATCCCAACATTTTGAGAGGCCAAGGTGGGTGGATCACCCGAGGTCAGGAGTCCGAGACCAATCTGGCTAACATGACGAAACCCTCTCTCTACTACAAATAACAAAAATTAGCTGGACATGGTGGCAGGTGCCTGTAATCCCAGCTACTCGGGAGGCTGAGGCAGGAGAATCGCTTGAACCCAGGAAGCAGGGGTTGCAGTGAGCTGAGATTACACTACTGCACTCCAGCCTGGGTGACAGGGTGAGACTCCATCAAAAACAATAACAACAACAACAAGAAGAAAGTATTATTAAATTATAAACAAGAATACTCTTCTTGTTGAATTTCTGTTTTCTAATATATAGTCTCTTTAAAATATTATCCTACTATATTATTACAGAATAATGTTGTATTTTGGGGTGAAATTTGCATCTTTGCAAGCCACCATACTGTCAAGAAACATTTTGGAGTGAAATATAAAACCTATGAATTTTTACTCTAAAATGAGCTCATCAGAAATGTTGTTTCTCAGAAACAATAAAGAGCCCTGTTAACTGAAAAAAACTAAACTCTGTCTTTCAACTTCTGTGCTGCTATCTGTCCTCCTCTTCTCCTTCCCTGCCCTTGTCCTGCACTAGAACTACACTAGAGACTCTTATTTGATCAGTCACAATTCTTGGTTCAAATCTTCCTTATTTTTTATACTAGCCAAGTCCTGAGAGATATGGGTAGATGCCAAATGAAAAGAAGAGGCTGTAGACAGTGCAGCTCCACTGCTTGGCAGGCAGGAGACCCCATGAGTATATACCAGTCCCAAAAACATGGCAAGACAATTGTTCAGTTCTTATTCTGGATCGTAGAGACAATTTGGCCAACCAGTTCCTCTTTTAGATTTCAAAAGCCCTCAAGATTGATTAAATCCAACTTATACACAGCTATTATCATCTGTAACCCAGGAATGTAGAGGGAAATTCTGCAGTAGGAGTACAAGTCTGAGAATGTAGAGAAATTTTCATGGACTAAGGTACTGGGTTTGTTGGGGACCAGGGAGAGAAAACATCAAGTGGGGAGAGTTCTTAAGAAAGAGAGGAAAAAGAAGCATTAGCAAAGGGAGAGGAATTAAGCCAAACATTTAATAACTAATCACAAGTAACTTTTCTGGTAAGAAAATAGAAGAGTTCTGCCTTTTATAGGGTAGAGCCAAAAATCTCCTATACATGTGAGTGAGGCTATTATCATTTTACTTGCTGTGCTGTGGAGAAGTGATTTGGGTTTGGAGAGTAAGGACATAGTAGAGGTCCTCATTCAGAGTGATACTTTGTAACCTCTATGGTGAAAAAGGACAAATTTCCCCATAGCTTGTTATAATAAAAGGGATTCAGAAGCAGCTGTGCCCTCCTAGGCCCTGGAATGAAAGGGTCTGCTAGAAAGCACTGGAGCAAGTCTGATCAGCCCACCTGAATGCAGGGAGGCTCCTGGGGCTGAGGCCGGGAGGGGAGAGAACGCGGAAAGAGGAGGCTTTTTGAAGTGCGGGAGAAAAATAAAGAATATAGAATTCTGGTTGCAGTAGGAAAACAAAGGAAAACAGATACAATAGCTGAGGGTAAATAAGAGGTTGTACCAAGAGAGCAGCAGGAAGAAGATGGCTCATGAAGATAGAGAGCACTTCATGAGAGGGAGCTTTGTCTGAATCCCAGGATGAAAAGCCAAGAGGAGGAAAAGCATCATAGAACTGAATGGAGGGAAAAGCAAAGGAAAATGAGAACAATAGGCCTTCTGTAGACGGGACCTAGGCCCAGGACAGACAGAGGGAGGGCCATCTAGCCAGAGCCAAGGCTAAAGCTTCACACCTAAGAAGTAAGAAAGGAAACGAGCCTTCGAAGAATTCAACATAAAATTTTACAAAATTGGAGCCAGTACAGCTTAAAGTAGAAATATATTTTGATACTTTACTATATAGCCACTAGAGATGCAGCATATGAAACTCGGAAAGCAGAAAAACATGGTCTTCATTTAATATGAATCAAAAGGCTGAATATAAGGAGTAAAATTTATTTTAGACCCAGGTCCTGGATTTAGGATTTATAAGTGGCCAAAAATAAAAGATGCCTTCTGGACAAGATTATCATCAGAATAAAGATTTTCAAACTGTGCATATGTAAGGCATTTAAAGGATAACAGAATGGGTATTCTAACTTCTAGCATATGTCAAACACTGAATCTTACCAACTGTAGGAAGCAGGCAGGAAGCTCCTCCGGTGGTTGCCAGTTTTCCAAACAAGAAAAAGGAAATCACAAGGTCACATAACAAATGAGGCAATTTAGGCGATGTTCTTTGGAATTATGCACACTTATGTTTGAGTCCCTGTTTTAAAGTTGCTAGTTCTGTGACATTGAACGAATTATCTAATCTCTCTGGACTTTAGCTTTGTCACCTCAAAAATGGGAAGAATGGTACTTTTCTATATGATTGCTATGAAGATTGAAAAATGTGTATAAAGAACTTACTAAAGTGTAGGATTATACTATTGTTGCTTTATAAATATTGTTGAAAATGTGGAGTCAGACTAGGACCTGGAACTTCAGATTCCTACTCCAGGTTCTTTCAACCAAACTCTGCAGCTCAATATGAGACACAGATTGAAAACATGCTTATGGTTATGATAAAAAGATGAAAGAAGATCAGAAAGAAAATGTAGGAAATAGTTTTATAAAAGATACGAGAAGGTGTTTCAACTGAGACACAGGAAAAGATGATAGGAATAGTCCTAAAAATAACCAAAATGTGATCTGTGGATTTAAATATTTCCAAATGTATGAAATAGGATTGATCACTACTTATTTACATATGTATGTTAAAAGTACAATTCTATAATCATTACAAATTACTCAACCGATTTCGTGTTTGTGTTTATTAAGACAAGCCAAAAGGTGTATGTTGTGGGGAGTGGTGGGGAACTTATGCAAAATGCATCATGAGTGTTACAAACAGACAATGAAATTTTGCCCAGGTTGCCAAATTTTTAATAACAAAACAATTGGAAGACAATTACTATTTAAAATGTGAGCAGTTATTACAATGTAAATATAGGTTTTCTATATTTACATTGTATATTTATTACAATGTAAATATAGCCTATATTTACATTGTATATTTATTACAATGTAAATATAGCCTATATTTACATTGTATATTTATTACAATGTAAATATAGGCTATATTTACATTGTATATTCTATATTTACATAATATATTCTATATTTACATTGCATAGACCTCTACTTATAAGAAATTTAATAATATCCATTTTATTTTAACACTCAGAATACTTGTAGCACCCATCATTCTTTTGATTCTTCTCAACCTTCTGGACAAACATTCTCAAAACTTGCTTTTAAATTCCTAATCTAAGCATCCCTAATTCATCTTTTTAGTTACGTCTGTAGTGAGACATAAAAGACAAGACAACCACCAACATCCCTGGTATCCCAGATCATATAAATCACAGTTGAAAACTCAAAGCCAAGTTTGTGATTCATTAGATGTGCACAGAAACATCCAAGTTACTAGTTTCTTTGGAATTTACTAGAGGTTTTAAGGAAATGCTTAAGCTGAGCTATTGCACACACACCAAAGAAACTCAATATTTCAAGCTTTTGAAAAAGACATTGTGTTTCAAAGTGAAATTGTTATGGGATCCTTGGGGGTATTGCTTTTCTGGTCAGAAACCTCTGTGGATGGTGGCACCTTCACCCAAATTTTGCTTGGGCCCACTGGGCTTACTTGTTTTGGCAGGCTGTGCTTGGCTCACACTACTGTCCTGGATCCCATGCCTCTGAAGAGGCTAGAGCAGAGCAGCAAGGGTATCCGAGCGAGTGAGCATGGGGTCCGGCCACTGCGCACAGTCAGACACGGCTGCTGCAGTGAGGCGGGCAGCTCTAGGTGCCACCATAGGTGCTGGCTCATTGCAAGGCTACAGCAGGACCAGGCGCACCGCAAGCAGCATCCATGGCTGGCACTGTGGAATGTGGTGATGCCTGGATGCTTGGAGACTCCAGGAACCACAGAGCCCCAAAGGGGGAGTCACAGCCCTGGCTTGGGGAGCTCCCAGGTCTAGGCCCCTGAAGGGCCGCAGCACTTCTCTCCTTCTTGTTGCCCACAGATGTGGTGAGCAAGGGGCGTGTTTCAGCCCTGTTTGTGTTATAGCTCTTTTACCCTGCCATTCGGCAGGTCCCAAGTTCTTGTCCTGTACCCAGGAAGAGTGAGGTACAGCAGACAAGTGGTGGGTGAGCAAGATGAAGAGGAACTTTATTGATCAATAGAACAGCTCAGAGGAGACCCACAGTGGGCAGCTCCTCTCCATAGCCAGGGTGTCCTGACAAGTGTTTGGCTCTCAGCAGAGAGGGTTGCTCCTCTCTACTAGGCAGGTCATCCAACAAGAGTCCAGCTCTCAGCAGAGAGGTTAGTTTCTCTTTGCAGCTGGTCAGCCAATTGTCTCCCCATTGTCTCCCTATTGACTCTCCATCCTCTGCTTGAGCCTGGCTGAGTCTGGGGATTTGTGGACCTCAGAGGGGAGGAAGTACATGCCCATGGGCAGCCATGGGCAGACCCAGGGAAAAGGACCACAAGTTCCCCTCCTGGTCTCTGAAGACTGGTGCCCTGGACCCCAGGCTTCAGGCCCTCCCTGGTTTGAAGGTGGGGCTTCACTGGGGACCAACCCCCTTCTGCCCAGGAGCCTATCTGCCTCCTGCTCCTGTTTATGGCGCCCAGGCTGTTCATGCCAAGGGGTGCCTGCAGGCCAGCAACATGCTGTTCTCAACACCCCCTTGGCCTCCTTCCTGTGCTTGTTGTCGGCCAAAGTCTGGAGCGGGTTGAGGTGGCAATGAGCTGGCATATCAGTGTAGCCCCTAGCATGTGCATACCCAATCAGGCAGCAACAGTGCCTGCGCTACCCCCGAGTTTGCTTTGCTCTGAGATTGAAGCCAGCCTCAACAGCTGAGGAAGCCAGGCAGCAGGAGCAGGCACTTTTGAGCCTCTACAGGGTTAGGGGTGGGAGACTTCCTGGTTCCCAAGTGCACAGAGATGCCTGGGTCTGGAGCCAGCATGGCGGCTGTAGCTGCGCTGGGGAGCTCCCGCCCTGCGAACTTGGAAGCGGCAGAGCTACCGGCTCCATGGAGCCTGCAGCCCCAGCCGTGCCTCCTTGCTGCCTGGGGCAGGGGCTCCATGTCCTCGCTGGTCCCTTCTCTGCCTGTTCCTCTGTGCCAGACCAAGCTGCTGTCCCGCCGGTGGGTGGCTCGGCCCAGCCCCAACATGGCAGCTCTCAGGGCAGCAGGATCTCAGGGGTGACCTCCGGTGACTGTCTACCTCCTCCCTGCACCCTCCCCACAGCAGTGGCAGGCAAGAGTGGTGTCATGGGGCCAGGGTCCAAAGAGGCAGAGGCTCCGGTTCTGGGAGAGGGTCCCCCTGGCCACACGAGGGTTGGGATGGCGCAGGTGGATGCCTCAGGGACAGAGGGCACAGGGGTTCCAGTGCTGCCACTGCTGCTCTCACACCTGGTCCTGCTGCCACGGCCTACGCCTCCCCACTGCAGTCGGTGTGATGGCAGTGGCCACTTTGAATGGCCCGCCGCTGCCATAAAGATGTACTGGTAAAAGAAAACTTCCTATGATTTGGTTCCTGTAGAAATGCTAACAATGAGGTTCACAGTGAAAGGCTAAGATTTATTCTTTTTACCAATGGGAAAAAGGGGCCCATTTAATGGATAAGGGTAGTGAACCAAAGGAAGAGAGATGGTAAACAAAGTGAAAGATTTCTTCTTCTCTAACATTAATGTCTTAAAAACTTAGAAACTTGGCAGAAATCTATAGAAGATGAGCAAATTACTGATAAAAAAAGGATGGTATTAGAAATACATAACCCAGAAATCAGAAGTCTTGCTCATTTTTTCATGATACCAGAGAATAGTGATAGAGAATGCGATGCTGTAAAATATGAAGATAGAAAACATTCTAAAAAGGAGGAAAGTTGACCATAAAGAACAAAATAAATATGAATAGCTGCTGAAATGATTGATAGTGTGGATGGATTTAAAACACTCAATGTATAAATTGTATTAAAAATAGTAAAATGAGATAAGCTTTTGTAAGACAAGGTTAAGGTGACATATGGAGATAAAAAATTTGAACAAGGATAAAAGCACAGCTTTCAGACATCCTTAAGTATTTGTGGTGGTCGGTTTATAGGATTAAAGCTGACAGATTAGGAAAGAGAAGTTGTGAATAATGTCTTTAGAACGTTGCTCCAGAGAGAGAAAAGGTGCTCAGAGAGAGGAAAGAATGTGGGTTAATGCCACATGAAAGCCTGGAGAAGCCAATGCATTAACAGCAGACTGGTCTGGAAGTAAGGACCATGGTGGGATTGATGGAGTGGGAATGTTCTCTGGTCCAAAGTTCTCACTTTAGATTCTATGCACTTTTAAGCACCTATGCGGAAAATTTTGGTTTCTTGTTTCAGTGACAAGTAAATAGGGAAAGGTGAAATAATTCATCCAATTGATAAAGACTATAGTACTTATAAAAGATGATATAGAGAATTTAAAATTGGATGTCGATGACATGACAAAATATTAGTTTTCAGTTTTCAATTGGATCTTGTTTATAAAATTTTTACCAAAAAGAGCTAACAAAATGACATGGCCTAACCTAGACATTTATTCTGTTTTCTGGTTTTACATACCTCCCATCCCTTTTATTAGCAAATTCCTCCTTAACCTTTGAGGTCTGCTCAATTGCTACCTTCCTGGAGATGCCTTTCCCCTCTTGCTGCCGTGTCTCCACCTCTCCACTGCTGCAGCACTGCATCCACAGCGTTCCTATACTTCCATCATATTGTGGTACCATTTTCCATTCCCATGCTGGTTTCACATTTGATGAAGAATTTTTCAAGATAGGTAGACATGTTGTATTTTCTTGTTTATGTTTTTAATTCCAGCTCCTAGACTGGGTTCTAATTATCGTTGGTGTTTAATACTTGTTAACTGAATGAATAATTGTAAGAGAAATCATGAGCTTTGTGAAGAAGAATGCTTAAGAGATATTTATTTTATTTGCGGTTAGACAACTAAGGATGAGTCATACCAAATCAGCTTTTTTTTATGTTTTAATTTTTTTTTTTTTTTTTAAGCCATGGTCTTGCTCTTGCTCAGGCTGCAGTGCAGGTTTGACCTCCTGGGTTCAAGTGATCCTTCCACCTAAGCCTCCCTAGTACTACAGGTGTAGGCCACTGAGCCCAGCTTATTTTTTATTTTTTGCAGGGATGGCATCTCACCATGTTGCCCAGGCTGATCTTGGACTCCTGTACTCAAGCAATCTCCCTGCCTTGGCCTCCCAAACTGCTGGGATTACAAGCATGAGCCACCATGCCCAGAGTCCAAGTCAGCTTTGACAACCCCAGCTGCTGGCATAGGCACAGGAATTTTCCGTGATCCAGAGCAGCCAAGGTAGAATCTGGAGCTTTTGTAACTATGGCATCTTAGCATCTGTGGAATACATGAGTCCTGATAGGGGTTGTTAACTCCTAGTGGGCGTAGGTGAATCTTTGGGTATAAAGTACGTCCTGGGGCAACTATATGCCTCTGAGTATGGCTTTTCTTTAGTTCTCAAAATATGTGACAGTTCAATTCCTCGACACTTATTCTGGTTTCTGGTTACAATTTTGTTTTTTATTTGTCCCAAAATTACTCTAAGCCCTGGACTGTCTGCCTTGTGTTTGCTCTGAGCCCTAGACTGTCTGCTTTGTCTTTGTTGCCTCTTCACTGTGTCCACATACATACACATGCATACATACACATACACATACACATACACATACACATACACATACACATACACAAATGAGTTACTGCTTTATTCAGTCCTCACAGACAGAGCCCTGGGAGCATGACAGCTAGTGCCCAGAATCTCCAGCTGCCACCCTCCACTGAGCAGATTAGATTTTCAGAATCTAACTTCTCATCATGACCTCTGCTACTGCTGGTACCCTCATCCTTGCTGCCACCATCATCTCTTGCCGATAGCCTCCCAAGATTTCTACCAATAACTGTCCTTATCATGCTTTAGTTTATTTTCAATAGAGCAAAGTGATCCTTTGAACACTGAAATCAGACCATTTCACTCTTCTACTTAGATCGGATGACTCATCAGTTTATTCAGTGTGAAAGCCAAATTTCCTACCATGGGCTACATGCTGTAGTTTTATTTTTGAATGTCTCTCCTGCTAATCTCCCACTTCTCACTCTACTTCTACTTTTCTGACCTGTTTCTGTTCCTCAATCACACTAGGCATGCTCCCGCCTCAGGGCCTTTGCTTAAGTTGTTTCCTCTTCCTGAAAGCTCTTGTGTAGGCATGAGGGAGCTTAGAAGAATCCCAAATCTTCATGGCACATAAAAACAAAGATTTATATTTTGCCAAAGTTTCACCACCAATAGCTTTCCAAATTGTGCTAGGATTGTACCCAGGCCAAAGGATGAGCCCTTATCTGGACATTAAAAATCTAGTGGCAGATAAAAAGGAAATGTGGGAAAACATGAAAGAATGTGGCTCTTAAAGCTTCTTGGAAATGGATACATCATCCCAATCACATTTCTTTAGCTAAAAAAGTTGTGGGCAGGAATTTATGTCAATTGGTCAGGAATTTATAATCTCAAAAAGAGAGGCATGATATGTTTTAGACAAAATTGCAATCTATCATATGCCAAAAATCGCCTTGACCTCCTCTTCTTCAAGTTTTGCATGAATGTCACCTACACAATGAGGCCAACCATACTGAATAATACATCCTGCTCTACAACTTCTAGGAATTCTCATAACATTCATCACCTTCTAACTTGAAAATATAACTTAGTTTTTTACATTTTTTAAAACCTTGTCTTGTCTTCCTGCTAGAATATAAACTCAATGAGGTGAGGGATCTGGGACTGTTTTCCACTGTTGTATCTCAAGTAACTATGATCAAATACCTGGCAATATCTGTGGAATTAGTAAAGGAATAGATTTGAATATGAATATGACTGCTAAACTTAGATTGTCTTCAGTTTGTGGAGCCTGTTGGGATATGAAAATTTATGCCTGTGGCTGCATTTCCAAACAAAAAGTTACAGAAAAAGGAAAATTGCAAGAAATAAATTTAATTTTATCTAAGTCAAAAAGAGGTGTGAATCTTTTCTGATATGTTTCTGGAAGCCAGATTTTATGTGCCCAGAATCATGAATATTCTAAGGTTCACAGTAGGTTGACTAGAGCCATAGTTTCTATTTTCTGTTTTTTTATGGTGCTTACTTCTTCCATTTAAAATGACTCTAGCTCTTTCTCAAAAGTTTCAAGAAGCTGCTATGCCTGGCTATCAGCCCTGACCTGAACTCAGTAAATGAATAATCTCTAAGATAAGGTGTTGCACATTCTTCATTTTCATGTAGATGCTTTAGAAACCCTTCTGGGAACAGCATTCCTCTTTACCTGTGCCCCAGGCTTGCTTTAGGTGGAGTTGCCTGTCTGAGGCTGTTTAGTGTAGTAGATACTGGGTTATGAAATCCACAGGCATGAGCTTAAATTCCAGCTCCACAAATTTAGCTATGTAATCTTGGGAAAGTTTTTTCTAACCTTTTGAGGCCTCAATTTTTTGTTCTGTAAAATAGTGAAAATAATAACTTTGTAAGTAGAAGATTACGTTTCTTTAACAAAAATAGAAGATGAGGTGCAAACATGTAAAGCTGTTAAGAGGAAATAAAGAAAATCTAGTAAATATATAAAACCAAATAAATGGTGGAAAATAAAAAAGTTATTAAAATTATACTTGACTGTTAAAGTTATATATTGTATTATTAAAGGCATGAAAATGGGGAGAAATGGAATTATCCTAATAAAGGTATCTGTGGAGGCATTTAGTGAGACTTATGACCATTTGAATTAGGGGGAAATAAGATGCAAAAGGAAATTAGGAAATTAAAATAAAGCAAGTATATATTACTTCTATAATCAGGAGAAAGCTCCAGGGATTTAAAACCAATATAAGATGAATACAGTTTTAAAAAAGGAAAAAAATAACAAGATGAAACTAAAAAATAGAAAATAAAAAAACAATTGCTCTTTTTTGTGCGATGAAGGGGGAGATTTTCCTGTAAATTTTTTTGTGGCTGGCTCCTACTATTGTTACATCTGATGTAGGGATGGGAATATGTTGGTAATCCTACATAGCCACAGGAATGTCTGAGTGAGAAAATGGAATACAAATCTGGAAGAAATGATGAGCAGGACTAATCTACAATTGCCTTATGTTATAATGTGGTTCTTGAAGAAAGGAGAGGATCCCAGCAAACCAAGGTTGAATTTTGTATTTTATTTCCTATGTTATATGATCAGTGGAAATACAGTATTCCATTGAAACAAAAATGATATTATAAAAAAGAAAAGAATACTTGGCAACCCAAGAAAAGGACACGGTAATGAAGATGGCAGAGTGGAAGATGAAAGTCAACAACTTAAAAAGGAAAACCTGGAGACCCATATACAATTATCAAGGAACTCTGTATGTAGGACTTGAGAATTTCAAGATACTTGAAAGGTTCCCAGAAATAGAACTTGGAGAAAACAGAACTGTCTTGTGGAATATCTTATGTAAATTGCTCTTATGTAAACCAGCAGAGCTCTAAAGTAGAAGAAAAGTTGCTTCCTCAATGGAGATCATACTAGGCTCTTTATTTAGTTTTTGCTTTATATTTATAGAAAAATTGTGAGTTAGGCATTATTTATTCTGTTTTTTAAAATGAGTCAGTTCAATTTTGGAGAAGTATGGTGACTTGCAGAGGGCTAGCTTGTGTGATGTGACAGAGCCTGGATTTCAACTAAGAGATGTCTGACTTAAACATCTACTTTGCTTCCCAGTCCTCTACCCTGGCCTTTTAATAGACTATGAGAAAGGCCTCTGGAACCACCAAGGATGAAAAGAAAAACTGTTTGCAAATATATAGTAAAGAGATACTGTAAAGGATCTGTGAAGAGGAAGAAAAATGGCAAATACTGAGAATATTAAGAGTAGAGATATGGTCAAAAATAAAGACACACACACACACACACACATGAATAACTGACCAAAGGATAAAAATATACTGTAGAAGAAGAGGAATCAACTAGTAGGCCTTGCCTGTGAAAATTTTATTGGTTTTATTTGGTCAGTGATATGGTTTGGCTGTGTCTCCACCCAAATCTCATCTTGAATTTTAGTTCCCAGAATGCCCACATGTTGTGGGAGGGATCCAGTGGGAGATAATTGAATCATGGGAGCGAATACCCCATATTACTGTTCTCATGGTAGTGAATAAGTCTCACAAGATCTAATGGTTTTATAAAAGGTTTCCCCTTTCACTTGGCTCCCATTTGTTCTTGTCTGCCACCATGTAAGACATGCCTTTTGCCTTCTGCCATGATTGTGAGGCCTCCCCAGCCATGTGTAACTGTGAGTCCATTAAACCTCTCTTTCTTTACAAATTATCCAGTCTCAGGTATGTCTTTATCAGCAGCATGAAAATGGATTGATACAGTCAGAAAGGAAACATATGTAAGAATAGTTTATAATAAATCTTAGTAGTAATATTTTTAATAGTAGGAAATTTTAAGCTTTAAAATATAAAAGTTGTGCTACTTATTTTATAATTAATAATTCAGTAGAATCTACATGTATAGTGTCATCTCAATTTCATTCTTATGCAATTTTCTCCTTTCAGTGTCCCATACAGGACATACTCACATCTGACATGATCTCCTGTACTTTTTTTTCTGTCTCAAAAAGCACAAAAATATCCACCTTCACCAAAGTGTCTTAAACTTTTTATGTTATGATTGTGGTTAAAAATACATATCACTGGGCTGGGCATGGTGACTCACACGTGTAATCCTAGCACTTTGGGAGGCTGAGGCGGGCGGATTGCCTGAGCTCAGGAGTTCAAGACCATCCTGGGCAACAGGGTGAAACCCCGTCTCTACTAAAATACAAAAAATAGCCGAGCAGAGAGCATGCTCCTGTAGTCCCAGTTACTTGGGAGGCTGAGGCAGGAGAATTCCTTGAACCCAGGAGGTGGAGGTTGCAGTGAGCCGAGATTGTGTCACTGCACTCCAGCCTGGGTGACAGAATGAGACTCCATCTCAAAAAAAATAAATACATATCATGAAATTTACTCTCTTTAAACATTGTTAAGTACAGAATTGTTATCTATGTGCACATTGTTGTACAGCAGATTTCTAGAACTTTTTCATCTTGCATGACTGAAACTCTATGCCATTTGAATAGCAAATGCCCATTTCCCCCTTCCCCAGACCCTGGCAACTACCATTCTACTTTTCATTTCTATGAGTTTGACCTCTTTGATTACTTCATATAAGTGGAACCACGCAGTATTTGCCCTTCTGTGACTGGCTTATTTCACTGTGCATAATGCCCTGAAGGTTCAGCCATGGTGTAGCATATGACAGCATTACCTTCTTTTCTAAGGCTAATTAGTATTCCATTGGTGGTACATAATACATGTTGTTTATCCCTTTATCCACCAATGGACATTTAGGTTGTTTATACATCTTGGCTATTGTGAAGGATACTGCAATGAATATGAAAGTACAAATATTGCTTCAAGATCCTGTTTTCAATTTTTTGGATAAATACCAAGAAGTGAGAGTGCTGGATCATATTTTGGTTCTTTTAAAAATTTTTCGAGTAACCTCCATACAGTTTTCTATGGTGGCCACACCATTTTACATTCCCACTAACAATCCTCATCAACACTTTTTATTTTCAGTTTTTTTTTTGTTTCATTCTAACAAGTGTGGTGTGATATCTGATTGTGGTTTTGTTTGCAGTTTCTTAATACTTTATGATGTTGGAATTCTTTCCATATACCTGGTAATCATTTGTATGTAGTCTCAGAAAAATGTCTATTTAAATCCTTTGTGCATTTTTAAATTGGCTTTTTTTCCTGCTATTGAGTTGTAGGCATTCCTTATATATTTTGGATATTAACCCCTTATCAGATATATGATGTGATGTTTAATTTTAGATGCCAACTTGACTGAATTAAGGAATACCCAAGTAGTTAGTAAAGCATTATTTCTGGGTATGTCTATGAGGGTGTTTTTAGAAGAGATTAGTATGCCAATTAATGAATTGAATAAAGAAGATCTGAACTCGCCCAGCATTGGCAGGCACCATCCAATTTAGGCTGAGGCCACCTAGATAAACAAAGAAGCAGAGGAAGGCAAGTTCATGCTCTCTCTCTTCTGAAACTGAACACCCATCTTCTTCAGCCCTAGATACTAGAAGTTAAGGTTCTCTAACCTTAGGTTTCTGGAGCTTGCACTGGAGACCCCAGTTTCTCAGGGCTTTGGTCTCAGACTGAGAGTTATACCATTGGCTCCTCTTGTTCTCAGGCATTTGGACTTGAATGGAGCCATGCTACTGGCTTCCGTGACTCTCCAGCTTTCAGGCCAGAATACTGTGGGACTTCACAGCCTCCTTAATTACGTGAGCTAATTCCTGTAACAAATCCCTTTTCAAATATCTATCTATAGATTTCCTATTGATTCTGTTTCTCTGGAGAACCATGACTAATACATATGGTTTGCAAATGTTTCCCCTCATTCCATAGGTTGCCTTTTCTCTCTGTTGATGGTTTTCCTTGTGTAGACGCTCTTTAGTTTGATATAGTCCCACTTGTTTATTTCTTCTTGTTGTTGTCTGTACTTCTAGTGACATATCTAAGAAATTCTTACCAAGAACAATGTTATGAAGTTTTCTCCTATGTTTTCTTTTAGGAGATTTATAGTTGCAGCTCTTACATTTAAGTCTTTAATCCTTTTTTGAGTTTTTTTTGTGTGTGTGTGGTATGAGTCCAAATGTATTGTTTTGCATATGAATATCCAGTTTCTCCAACACCATTTGTTGAAGAGACTGCCCTTTCTCCATTGTGTAATCTTGGCTTCCTTGCAAAAATATCTTTTGATTGTATATGTGTGAGTTTGTTTTTGGGCTTGTATTCAGTTCCATTAATCTAATGTCTGCATTTTTGCTGGTGTCATACTGCTTTGATTACTGTAGCTTTGTAATGTGTTTTGAGTCAGGAAGTATTAGTCTGCCAGCTTCATTCTTCTTTCTCAAGATTGTTTTGACTATTCAGGGGTCTTTTGTGATTCCATATGAATTTTAAGATGGGGTTTTCTACGAAAAAAAACACTGGAATTTTGAATAAGACAGCATTACTGTGTAGATCAGTTTGAATAGTATTGATATTTTAACAATATTTAGTCTTCCAATCCAAGAACATGGGATATCTTTCCATTTATTTGTGTCTTTAATTTTTCAGCAGTGTTGTGTAGTTCTCAGTATACAAGTCTTTTTCCTCATTGACTGAGTTTATTCTTAAGTATTTTAGTCTTTTTAATGCTATTGTGAATAAGATTGTTTTCATTTCCTTTTTGAACTGCTCAGTGTTAGTGTATAGAAATGCAATTGATTTTTGTATGCTGATTTTGTATTCTGCAACTTTGATGAATTTTTTTATTATTTCTAACAGGTTTTTGGTGTGATTTTTAGCATTTTCTACGTATAAGACCATGTCATCTGCAAACAAAGGTAATTTTACTTCTTTATTTTGAATTTGAATGCATTTTATTTATTTTTGTTGCCTAATTGCTCTAGTTAAGACTACTAGTACTATGTTGAATACAAATGGTAAGATGGGCATGCTTACCTTGTTTCTAATCTTAGAGGAAAAGCTTTCAGTTTTTCACCACTGAGTATAGTGTTAGCTATGAGATTTTTATATATGGTTTTTAATTACACTGAGATAATTTACTTCTATTCATAGTTTAGTGAGTATTTTATCATAAAAGTGTGTGAAATTTTGTCCAATGTTTTCTCTGCATCAATTGAGGTGATCATGTAATTTTTATCCTTCGTTCTGTTAAGATGGTATATAACATCGATTGGTTTTTGTATGCTGAATTATCCCTGCATTCCAGGAATAAATCCCACTTGGTCATGGTGCATGATACTTTCAATATACTTTTGGATTTCATTTGCTATTAATAATACTTTGTTGATGATCATTTGCATCTATATTCATCAGGGATATTGGCCTGTAATTTTCTTTTCTTGTAGTGTCTTTGTCTTAGTTTGGTATCAGGGTAATGCTGGCTTCATAAAACACATTTGAAAATATTCCCTCCTCTTTAATTTTTTTGGAAAAGTTTGAGAAGGATTTTCATTAATTTTTATTTAAATGTTCAACAGAATTCTCAGTGAAGCTATCTGCTCCTGGGCTTTAGTTTTTTGAGAGCTTTTGGAAAACTTATTCAATCTTACTAGTCATAGGTCTGTTCAGATTTTCTATTTCTTCATCATTCTGTCATGGTGGTTTGTATGTTTCCAGGAGTTTATTTCTTCTAGGTTATCCAATATATTGGTATATTATTTACAGTCATCTCTAATAACCCTCTTTATCTCTATGGTATCAGTTGCAATGTCTTCTTTTTAAATTTCTGATTATATTTATTTGAGTCTTCTGTTTTACTTTCAGTCCAGCTAAACTTTGACAATCTGGTGATCTTTTGGAAAGAATCAAGTCTTAGTTATGAATTTTTCTGTTGCTTTTCTTTTCTTTTGTTTGTTTCACATATTCCTAATCTTTTTCATTTTCTCCCTTCTGCTACTTTGGGCTTATTGTCTTCTTCTTTCTAGTTCCTTGAGATATAAAATTAGGTTGCTTATTTGAACTCTTTCTTCCTTTTTACCGTAGGCATTACTGCTATAAATTTGCCTTTTAGTATTGTTTTTGGTGCTTCCTATATGTTTTGATATGTTGTGTTTTCATTTTTATCTTAGCTATTTTCCAATTTCCCTTTTGATTTCTTCTTTGACTGGTTGCTTACTCCAGAGTGTGTTGTTTAATTTTCATATATTTGTGATTTTTTTTAAGTTTTCCTTTTGCTCTTGATTTTTAGTTTTAGTTCATTACGGTTGGAAAAGAAATTTGGTATGATTTCTACCTTCTTAAGTTTATTAAGATGTGTTTTGTGAGCTAACACGTGATATTTCTTGAAGAATGTTACATGTGCACTTCAGAATAATGTGTATTCTGCTGCTGTTGGATGGTTTGCTCTGTATATATTCATTAGATCCATTTGGTATACTGCTAAGTCCTGTGTTTCCTTAATGATCTCTACCCTTGATGTTCTATTCATTATTAAAAGAGGGGTATTGGAATCTCCTACTGTTATTGTGTTGTTATCTATTTTTCCTATCAATTCTGTGAATGTTTGCTTCATATATTTGAGTGTTCTGATATTGAGGGCATATATATTTATAGTTGTTTTATATTCCTGGTGAGTTTACCCTTTTATCATTATATAATTCCTTCCTCTGCCTCTTGTACAGTTTTTGACTTAAAGTCTATTTTGTTGGATATAAGCATGGCCACTCCTTCCCTCTTTTGGTTATTATTTGCATAGAATCTTGTTCCATCCTTTCACTTTCAGCCTATATGTCCTTAAATTTAAAGTGAGATTTTTGTAGACAACATTTACAGTAAAAGCATCTCCAATTCAAAAATTCAAAATTTGAAATGCTCCAAAATACTCAACTATTTTAGGGCTGATATGATGTTGCAAGAAGATGCTAATTGGAGCATTAAAGACTTTGTATTTTCAAATTTTAGATGCTTACCTGGTAAGTATAATGTAAATATTCCAAAATCCAAAATAATCTGAAATTGAAAACACTTCTGGTCTTGAGCATTTTGGATACAGGATACTCAACCTGTAGTTTCATCTTGTTTATTTTATTTTATTATCTATTTAGTCATTGTCTTTTAATTGGCTAGTTGAACCTATTGTCATCTAAAAGAACTGCTGATAAAGAAGGACTTATATTGCTATTTTGTTAATTGTTTTCTCTCTGTCTTGTACTTTTTTGTTCCTCTTTTTCTTTCTTGCCATCTTCCTTTATATTTTGTTAATTTTTTGTAGTGACATGCTTTGATTCATCTCTTGTATTATTTTGTAAATCTTCTATAGGTATTTTCTTTGTGATTACCATGGGGCTTCCAGAAAACATAACAATCCCCATAGCTTAGCTCCCACTTATAAGTGAGAACATACAATGTTTGGTTTTTCATTCCTGAGTTACCTCACTTAGAATAATAGTCTCCAACTCCATCTAGGTTGCTATGAATGCCATTATTTCCTTCCTTTTTATGGCTGAGTAGCATTCCATGGAGTATATATACCACATTTTCTTTATCGACTTGGTTGATGCACATTTAGGCTGGTTCTGTATTTTTACAGTTGTGAATTATGCTGTTATAAACATGAAGTACAAGTGTCTTGTCTTTTTCATTTAATGACTTATTTTCCTTTGGGTAGATACCCAGTAGTGAGATTGCTGGATTGAATGGTAGTTCTAATTTTAGTTCTTTAAGAAACATCCATACAGTTTTCTGTAGTGATTGTAGTAGTTTCCATTTCTATCAGCAGTGTAAAATGGCTCCCTTTCCACTGCATCCACTCCAATATCTTTTTTTTAAATTTTTAAATTATGGAGTAATGTGGTATCTCATTGTGGTTTTGATTTGCATTTTCCTAATAATTAGTGACATTGATCATTTGTGCATATGTTTGTTGGCCATTTATATATCTTCTTTTGAGAATTTTTTATTTACGTCCTTTGCCCACTTTTTGATGGGATTTTTTTTTTTCTTGCTGATTTGTTTGAATTCCTTGTGGATTCTGGATATTAGTCCTTTGTTAGATGCATACTTTGCAGATATTTTCTCCCACTTTGTGGGTTGTCTGTTTACTCTGCTGATAATTTCTTCTATTGTGCAGAAGCTTTTAGGTTAATTACATCCCATTTATTTATTTTTGTATTTGTCACATTTGCTTTTGGTTCTTGTTCATAAACTCCTTGCTTAAGCCAATGTCTAGAATAGTTATTCTTATGTTATCTTCTGGAATTTTTACAGTTTCAGGTCTTAAATTTAAGTCTTTGATCCATCTTCAGTTGATTTTTGTATAAGGTGAGAGATGAAGATCCAGTTTCATTCTCCTACATGTGGCTTGCCAGTTATCCCAGCACCATTTGTTGATTAGGGTGTCTTTCCCCACTTTGTGTTTTTGTTTGCTTTGTTGAAGATCAGTTGGCTATAAGTATTTGGCTTTATTTCTGGTTTCTCTATCCTGTTCCATTTGGTCTATGTGTTTATTTTTATGCTAGCACCATGATGTTTTGTTAACTATAGCCTTGTAATATAGCTTGAAGTGAGGTAATGTGATATATCCAGGTTTGTTCTTTTTGCTTAGTCTTGCTTTAGCTATGTGGGCTCTTTTTTGGTTCCATATGAATTTTGGGATTGTTTTTTCTAGTTTTGTGAGAAATGATGATGGCATTTTGATGAGAATTGCATTGAATCTGTAGATTGCTTTTTGCAGTATCATCATTGTATTAGTCAGGGCTCCCAAGAGGGACAGAACTGATAGGAGATATATATATATATATAAATATATATATATATATATATATATAGATATATATATATCCCGTTATATATCATATAATGATATATATATATATCCCGTTATATATCATATAATGATATATATATATCCCGTTATATATCATATAATGATATATATATCCCGTTATATATCATATAATGATATATATATATCCCGTTATATATCATATAATGATATATATATCCCGTTATATATCATATAATGATATATATATCCCATTATATATTATATAATGATATATGTGTGTGTGTGTATGTGTGTGTATTTACTAATACCTATGAGTTTTCTACCTCAAATGATTTCTTATTGCTTGTTAACATCCTTTTCTTTCAGACTGAAGAACTCTCCTTAGAATTTCTTGTAGGACAGATCTGGTGTTAATGATTATCTATCTATCTATCTATCTAGATATATAGTTTTGTCATTAATTTAAAATAATGGGTTATAAGATGTTACTTACCTCAAATGATGCACCCGCTTCAGCCTCCCAAAGTGCTGGCATTTCAGGTAAGTACCACCACGCCTGGCTAATTTTTTATTTTTAGTAGAGGTGTGGTTTCACCATGTTGGTCAGGCCGGGCATGGTGGCTCACGCCTGTAATTTCAGCACTTTGGGAAGCCAAGGTGGACAGATCATTTGAGGTAAGTAACATCTTACAGTGCATTATTTTAAATTAATGACAAAACTGATTGCAAAAACACACTAATGAACAAACAAAAATAAAATTAATAAAATCTCTACACTTTAATTTCCTCTCCCCCACTTTTTAACTTTTTGTTGTTTCTGTTTATATCTTGTTATACTGTCTATGTTTTCAAATTGTTGTAGTTATTATTTTTGATATGCTCATTTTTAGTCTTTCTACTCAATGTGTGAGTAGATTGTACTCTAGTTACAGTGTTATAATATTCTATGTTTGTCTGCATATTTACTAGTACCTATGATTTTTGTACCTCAGATGATTTCTTATTGCTTGTTAACATCCTTTTCTTTCAGACTGAAGAACTCTCTTTAGTATTTCTTGTAGGACAGGTCTGGTGTTAATGAAATACCTCAGTTTTTGTTTTTCTGGAGAAATCTTTATTTCTTCTTCATGTTTGAGGGATAGTTTTGCTGGATATACTATCCTAGGATAAAAGTTTTTTTTTTTTTTTTTCTTTTAGCATTTTAAATATGTCATTCCACTCTCTCCTGGCCTGGAAGGTTTCCACTGAGAAGTCTGCTGCCAGATGTATTTCAGCTCCTTTGTATGTTACTTGTTTATTTTCTCTTGCTGCTTTTAGATCCTTCCTTTGTCCTTGACCTTTGGGAGTTTGCTTATTAACTACTTTGAGGTAGTCTTATTTGAATTAAATCTGCTTGGTGTTTTATAAACCTCCTGTACTTGAATATTGATATCTTTCTCTAGGTTTGGGAAGTTCTCTGTTATTATTTGAATATTTTTATATATGCTGTCGTATATATTATACGGCTTTTTCCTGATCCTAGT
This sequence comes from Homo sapiens, assembly GCF_000001405.40. Lineage (NCBI taxonomy): Eukaryota > Metazoa > Chordata > Mammalia > Primates > Hominidae > Homo > Homo sapiens. The sequence continues at coordinate 198,509,639 of NC_000001.11, forward strand.
CTTTAGCAAAATTTCTTTTTTCTTAATTGTCAGTTTTTATTTTTAATAAACTATAAGCTCTGTGAGGACATGAACCATGCCAGGCTTGGTGAATAATAATGACTATTAAAAAATTATTTCAATCTCTGTTAAATTTATCTGATGGGATTCTGAATTTCTTCTCTGTGATATCTTGAATTTTGCTGAGCTTCCTCAAAGCAGCTATTTTGAATTCTTTTTATGAAAGGTCACACATCTGTCACTCTAGGATTGGGCACTGGTACCTTATTTGGTTTGTTTGATGAGGTAATGTGTTACTGGATGGTCTTAATTCTTGTGGACATTTGTTAATGTCTGGGCATTGAAGAGTTAGGTATTCATTATTGTCTTTGCAGTCTGGGCTTTTTATATCCATTCTTCCTGGGAAAAATTTCTAATTATTCAAAGGGAATTGAATGTTGTGATCTAAATCTTTGGTCATTGCAGCCATATCTACATTTGGGGCATCCCATACCCAGCAACACTGTGATATTTGTCAACTCATAGAGGTATTTCCTTGGTTGTCTTGGCTAAGATCTGGGAGAAGTCCCTAGATTACCAGGAAGAAACCCTTGTTCTCTTCCCTTAGTTTCTGCCAATGAAACAGATTCTCTCTCTGCTGAGCTGCCTGGAACTAGTGGAAAGGTGACACAAACACCCCCATTGGCCACCAACACTGGGATTGCATGAGGTGATATCCAAAGCCAGCACTGCAGTGGGTCTTGGCCAAGGCCTGTAATGACCCCTTGTTGGGCACCACCTTGGTTCACTCAAGGCTCAAGCACTCTTCATTCAGCAGGTAATAAATCCTGCCAGGCTTGTGTCCTATCCTTCAGCATGATGAACTCTGACTGGCCCAGAGCAGGTCCTGGAATGTTGTCCAGGATCCAGTGCCTAGAGTTGGGAACATTAGGAATCTACTTGGTGCTCTGTTCTACTGCAGCTGAGCTGGCACCCTAACTGCAAGACAAGTCCTACCCACTCTTCTTCCCTCTCCTTTCCTCATGCAGAAAGAGTCTCACTCCATGGCCACTACTGCTACAGGTTTATGGCACTTACTACTCGACTACCACTGATGTCCACTTAAGGCCTAAGGGCTCTTCAGACATTCTGGTGAATGCTGCCAGGCCTGAGTCTCCCCCTTCAGGGAAGTGGACTCCCATCTGGCCCAGGGTAGGTCCAGAAATGCCATCCAGGACCCAAGCCTGGAATTGGGAATCCCAGGAGCCTGGCTGGTGCTCTATACCCCGTGGCTGTGCTGGTGCCCAAGCTGCAGAGCAAAGTCCCCTTTACTCTTCCCTCTCCTTTCCTCAAACAGAATGCATCTCTCCCTTTGGCTATCATAGCTGATAATGATGCACTGGATCATACCTGAATCCAGCATTATCCTGAGTCTCACCCAAGGCCTGTGGTGATAACTGCCTGGGTACCACTGATATTTACTCATGGTCCAAGGGCTCTTTAGTCAGCAGGTGATGAATCCTGCCAGGACTTGGTCCTTCTTTTCAAGGCAGTGGGTTCCCTTCTGACCCAGGGTATGTCTAGAAATGTCAGTGAGGAGCTAGAGCCTGGAAGAGGAGCCTTAGGACTCTGCCTGGTGCTCTATTCTACTGTAGCTGAAATGGTACCAAGTTATAAGGCAAAGTCCTCTTTATACTTCCTTCTCTCCTCAAGCAGAGGAAAGAAATGCCTCCCAGAGCTGTGGTCTGTGCTGCCTGGGGTTGGGGGAGGAGTGATGCAAGCACTTGCTTGGCCACCCCACCTGGTGTCTCACTAGGTCATGTGTACTCCAAGTCCACTGTCTCTGAGCCCAGCATAGCACCAGGACTTGCCCAGGAATTGCAGTCCTTGTGGCCTTGATACGTTTCAAGAGCGTGTTAGCCTGCATTGCTGGGGCTAGTCAGAACTTGGGTTCTGACCCCTGAGGTGGGTGATGCACCTGCAGCTAGGGTTGGTTTAAATGCTCCCTCCATGAGCACTGGCTGAATTCTGCCCCATATTGGTTTCTGCTGTGACAGAGCAGCACTGAGTTCCAATGCAATGCTTCACAATAACTGTGCTCTCTCTCCCCCAAGCACACAAATTCTCTCTCTGCACTGTGTGGCCCCTCCGGAGGGATGGTGAGGGGGTTGGTGTCAGCAATTTAAGACTGTTTTCAACCATCTTTAGTGCCTCTTAACTTGATATGATGTTAAAACCAGGTAGTGTAATTGCTTATTTTAGTTTTGGTTATTATGAAGATGCTTTCTCGTGTGGATAGTTATTCAGTCTGGTGTTCCTGCAGGGGAGGTGATGGTCAGAGGCTTCTATTTGATCATCTTGCTCTACCTCCTTATGCATCTATGTTTTTTACGTTAAAATATCTGAAAGGTAGTTTTATAGCTTAATTTAGACCCTCATGTCTTTGTGGGAAATCAGTGACCTGGAAAATGTTTAGAAACTGTGCTTATGTGCACTGGCTAAGTATATAAAAAGCAGCCTATCCAAATATTTATTTAGTTTCACTGCTTTTGGGCTTTTCTCTCTCCTACCTATTTGGTGAAGCAAGTGAAATTATGTGTGTGCACAAGCATTTGTTCATTAACTTAGTCATTTGTTCATTCAATAAATATTTTCTATATTTACAATAAATACTATGTTAGGCTCTGTTCTGAGGGGTACTAGGTACCTAATCATAAGGGCTAATTTTTATTTGCTGCATACAATGTATGACACTTTGCTGAGTGTATTACATGTATAATTATCTTTCACAAAAAATCTGTAAAGTAAATACTATTTTCCCCATTTTTATAAGGAGAAAGAGAGTTAGAGATTGTATGGAAATAGAAAAATGGTAAATCTGGTCTTGGTAACTGGAAACCAGGTCTTGATGTCATCACTGGATCAAGCTTCATCTAAACTGAGTTCAACTGCTGGAAATTTTAGTTATATTGGGCCAACAAGTCCCTTTTATCATTTGAACCAGTTTGAATGGGATTTAATGCCACCAAACCAAAGCATTATAACTGATACCCTTCAAATTCTATGTCATCCTGCTTCAAGTATAACCAAAGCTATATTATATTGCTTCACATTTCACGAAGCCTGACATGGTTCATGTCCTCATGGAGCTTATAGTTTATTAAATAAAAAACTGACAAATAAGAAAAAAGATTGTTGAAGACTAGGATCAGGAAAGAGAAAGATAATGTATATGACAGTACATATAAAAACTATTCAAATTGGTATAAAATGAGGTGGCCCACTAGGAGGTGAACAAGAATAGGCAAACACAGATTTTATACATCTCCAGTTTTTATCATCATTTTTTCCTCTTTCCTTTCCATCTTGTCATTTTGTTGAAAATTTCTATGACATTTAATTAAAATGAAAAGTTAAGGGAAAGCCCATCTTCCTAATTTTCCAAATTGTAAACCATTCTTGTCCCATCCTTGTTGAAGGAGCCCTTTATTCAACTAGCATGCACAGCTCATGTAAAAATTAAATAAACAACACATTTTCATACTTTTTTTTTTGTTTTTTGAGATGGAGTCTCACTCCGTTGCCCAGGCTGGAGTGCAGTGATGCAATCTTGTTTCGCCACAACCTCTGCCTCCTGGGTTCAAGTGATTCTCGTGTCTCAGCCTCCCGAGTAGCTGGGATTACAGGCACCTACAACCATACCCAGCTAATTTTTGTATTTTAGTAGAGATGGGATTTCCCCATGTTGGCCAGGCTGGTTTAGAACTCCTGACCTCAGATGATCTGCCCGCCTCGGCCTCCCAAAGTGATGGGATTGCAGGTGTAAGCCACCGCACCCAGCCTCACTTTTCCATACTTCTGCTAAGCAGAGAAACTATTGGACTTCTGACTTGAGAAGCCCTTGGGAAATGAGCCCTTGTGGTATCCAAGGAGACAGTAAAATTTTTCCAAAAGCTTCTTACCATAGCTATTACCACATTCTGTAGGTGCTCAGATTATTTATGGTTTTCCCTCTAATTCCGTAATCTCTACCCATTTAACTTACTTTTTATTTTGCTACACTCCTTTCCTTACATTAGTCAAATAAAGATATTCAAAACATGCTCATCTTTTTAATATTAATAGCTATCATTTATCAAATTAAAGGGCATTTTATGGTTCAGGCACTATCTAAGTACCTTAAATGCAATAACTCATCATAACAGTCTTACAAAGCACATCATTAGCCCTATTTTATAAATAAAAGACCCAAAGGATTATGTTCTGATTGTTTTAGGTGTTGGATCTGAGAATTGAATGCAAAGTCCAGCTCCAGAGTGTACATTCCCAGCATTACTCACTTTATTTAGATCTCATGTATCTAGATATTAAGGAGAATTATCCTTGTTCAGTTTAAACAAAATCAACAAAACGTGTCTTTGTTTTCAGTCCACTTTCACAAAAATTTGTATCTGATCTATGATTTTTTAATTATTTACTCGGATATCATATGCTGTCTAATTTTCCTTTAATTTATTCTTCTTTTTAAGATGACAACTCTTAGTGTTATGATGTAAAAAATTAATCCTGGTATACATTTTCCATGAACTAAAATTGCTCGATATAGAGAAATCTTCCATATGAGATTGACTTCCCCTTCCACTTTTAGACTGAAGGTATTTATTTCCTTTCTACTGGTCCTCTGTAGTGTTCTATGTTCTTAAACCTGAACCTTCTTTACTTAAGTTAGAAATGTTTCTAGCCTATTCACTTCTCTTCCTCCTACCTCTGATGCACAGAAATCCTGCTGCCATTGTTCTGGCCTGATACAGGGAAAGGGAAGAACTTATTGCCATATCTGTAGGGCTGGATTTGTTGAGACTGTTTCTAGCATCTCGAGTTGGAATTCAAATTCTTCACTTAAATGATGTTATATTATTGAGTCTTAACAATCATTTCTCAAAGCATGGATTCCTGCATCAGAATCACCAAGGGTGCTTATTAAGGAAGCAGGTTCATAGGCCTCACCCCAGATCTACTCAGTTAAAATCTCTATGGATGTTGTTCCTAAATCTACATTTTTAAGAAGATAAATATAAAACCCAGTGTTTCCATTCCTTCCTAGAATTTAAGAATAGCTTCAGCAGAAGGGGAGTTTTGTAGATTATCCTGAGAACTTGTGTAGTATTAAGTAGTTTAAAGTTAGGAGTTGGTTATTTAAAATCCCCCACTGCCTTATTAAAAGTTGAATTCTGGTAGCTGGATAATTCTTTGTTTGCTGAGAAAAATGATGGATATGGAAATGTTAGTTTTGGAGATAGAAGCTGGTGCTACATTTAATTATCCTTCTGATACAGGGCATATATTGGGGTGTGAAGTAGGCAGGGAAAGAGGGAAAGGAAGATAATTCTCCAAGAGGAAAGAGAGTAGGTGGCCGGTCTCTGTGTTATTGAGGGTAGCAAAGAATGACTGCTTGATGGAACAGCCGAAGAGATTCGGGGGACTGGGGAGAGGCTGTTGCAAAAGGGTACTTTCAAGTGAAATGCTGCATGTTACAGTATGAATAATTGCTTTGACCCCATCAATATTCAGAAAAAGTATAAAGCCCATAATTCACTTGAAGAGGTAAGCTCTTTTGAGAAAGCTGATGATGGTGTAAGATTCCTTCCAGGTTGTTACAGGTCAAAACAGAGTCCACCTACGTATGCGAGTTGGCAGCTGTACATCCTGGGGGATGATCAATATATAGAAGCTATGAGAATATTTCATACACCTACCAACCCTTCCAGATCTCCAAGCTATCTGTATTGTTTTGTATTTTAAGGGTGGGGAATGAGGAGAAGGAGATAATGGCCTGGACTAGAAGGTATAAAAGGATTGAGATGGAGACAACTGAACAGAAATTGGGAGCTATGGTCAAAATTCTGGTGGGAAGAAGAGGTGTTTATTGTGTCAGGTAGAAGCAGAGACAAGATTGAATTCGGTAAGATTTCATTCATGTTAAATTAAAGACATGTCAATTTAGTTTTGGTTTCTGCAGAGGATAACAACTGTAAAATGAAAGATGGAACTAATAATAGTTGGACCAAAGAAACGGATACAAACTGGACTGGCTGCTGGTGTGAGCAGACCAAGATGTAAGCTCAGCCTGCTTCTGCAAGACAGCTGACTTCTGGTTCTCTCTTTGTCCTCTAGGACTCTTTCTTCAGAGTGCCCACAGTCTTTTTTTTCCTATTTTTCATTCATATTTTATATTCTTCAGCCTTCTATGAGGTTCTCTTTTCTTTTTACATCCAGCCAGTTCTCAGTCAGGTCAGTTCCACCACTTTATTACCTCCTTCTACTCTCTTATCTCCATTCCTTCTGTAGATAAAGACCTACTCATTGCCCACTTGGGTTACTAAAATAGGTCCTAACAGATTCCCTTCTCTCCAGTCTAGTCCTTCTTTCTCTCCACTGGATGGTGTCTGATCATTGCATGCACAATTGTCTTAATGTCAATTTGCTGCGTAAAGTCGATCAATGGCTTCCCACTCATTTCAATTAAGTAACAAACTTCTTAGCATGACATAAAGGGCTTTTCATAAGTCACTCTTCTAACCTCTCCAACAGCAATTTTAGTCTTCTCCCTAAATGCAATCCTCTAACTTCCCACATCTGCATCATATTCTCTCCACCTCTCAGCCTTTGTGCATGTTCTCCTGGCTGGTTGTAAACACACCCCCTTCTCCATCATTCAACAGGAGAACCCCTAGCCTCATATTTTGGGTTCTTTTGCCTTTTTGGCAAACCAACAGGAGATTCTAAGAAATGTGTTAAGTTCTAACTCTGTGAGATTCTATTGGCATGTTTATGGGAAGCTAGTCTTATATTATAATAACTATTGATTACTGTTAACATTAAGTTTGTTAATTAATCATTAACCAATACAGTGTGCTCAGCATTGAGTTAGGCCTTGGAGAAAAAGATGAGCAAGAGATAGCTTCTGCCTTTGTGGAAATCACAGTAGAAAGGGGTGATGAATATGACTAAAAGCCACGCAACATGATAGGGGCTACAACAGGGCTCTAAAATCACGCAGGAGGAAATGGCCAGGTTTCCTAGGGAGTTGGATATGACTTCACAAGCACTTATACCCCTTAGACAAGCCCTTATACCCCACTATATTAGTTAGGGTTCTTTTAGAGGGACAGAACTAGTTGTGTGTGTATACACACACACACACACACACACACACACACATATTGGAGTTTAAATATTAACTTACACGATCACAAGTTTATTAACTTACACGATCACAAGTACTATTCATATATGTATATATACTAATAGTATATTGTATATATATGGGAGTTTATTAAGTATTAACTTACATGATCACAAGAGCTATTAGTATATTTACATACACTGATAGTATATATATATATACACACTAATAGTATATATATACTCATAGTATAGATATATACACTAATAGTATATATATACTCATAGTATAGATATATACACTAATAGTATATATATACTCATTATATATATATATAGAGAGAGTTTATTAAGTATTAACTTACATGATCACAAGTTCCCACAATAGGCTGTCGGCAAGCTGAGGAGCAAGGAGAGCCAATTTGAGTCCCAAAACTGAAGAATGTGGAGTCCGATGTTCCAGGGCAAGAAGTATCCAGCACGGGAGAAAGATGTAGGCTGGCAGGATAGGCCCGTCTGTCCTTTTCACGTTTTTTCTGCCTGCTTCATATTTTCTGGCAGCTGATTAGATGGTGCCCACCAGATTAAGGGTGGGTCTGCCTTCCCCAGCCCACTGACTCAAATGTTAATCTCTTTTGGCAACACCCTCACAGACACACCCAGGATCAATACTTGGATTCCTCAATCCAGTCAAGTTGACACTCAAGTTAACCATCACACCTGCCTTAAAAAACTAGTAGGGTTTGTCAGGCAGAGAAGGAAGAAAGGAAACTTCAGGCAAAGGGAATTAGCATATTGTAAAAATCAGCCTTAATATTATTATTTTATTTTTGAATGCTGCTGCTAACACTGTTGTTTCAACTTTCTCACCATTATTAGCAAGCCCTTCACTTGACTTAATGGGAGTGGTGTTTGTTCATTTTTACTAGACACATTTACTCATTTCATGGCTGGTGTTGTGTTGGTTTATATTCACTGCCTGCTGGTCCCTCTTTACTTTCTGTGTGGTCACACACAATTTTGAAAGTCTTTTCATGAGCAGTGGTCTATACAAGTTTCAATCAGCAAAATCACAGCTCTATTAAACCTTGCTGATTCTAGTTTGTCACCATGAAAAGCTTCTTGCTTCCTTTGTAGATGTAAATGTATATAACATTCAGTGCTTGTGGTTTTATTTGGAGTGTTTGGATATATTTACATTTTTGCTTAGGAAAGCATCTTTCTGAACTGTGACTACAAACTGTGAATTCCACTAGGAAACAGGTCTTCAGAATATTGGCAAGGCTCTCATATTCACTGTTATCTCTATTTAAATATCTTTGGGATTTGTCTGTGGAACACATATGTTCTTATTAATTGATTACACATTAATAAAAATGATAACAAGTTAACAGTTACAGATACTTTTTCAGTGGAAGTGCTAGCATGATAAAACAGGCTCAGTGAAACTTCTGTTCCATTGGATTCTACTTAACTGAACATGAAGAAACAGTTTAGTTACTCTAGTTTAAAAATAAGGGAATTTCATAATGGTCTATTTAAACTGTCTGCAAAAGAAGTTACAGTGATTTTTCTGGCATTCTCTCCCTCGTAACCTCCTTCCACACTCATTTTGTCTTTATGTCAGCCTATTTGGTTTAGTTTTTTTCAACTATAATAATAATTACCATTATTATAGACACTTATATTTGCTACTTATATATGAATCCAAATAGTCTAGTCTGAGGGATGGTGATCTTAATTACTGTGTTAAACTACACAGTATTAAATATTCTTTATGTTCACAATACCTATTGCAGGAGTTTAGTTTATTAGATGGCACAGAGAACCCCAGTTCACTCAAAATGTACCTTATCTTAAACTGGACTTGAGGAGCTGGGTCACTGGAAGTGGTAGGAGTAAGAATACAGGACTTGTCACTTTTGGTAATAGCCATGTCTGTATTTCTACTACCAATCTCAAATGTATGTTATCACATAATTCAATAATTATGGCTGAATAAGTGAGTGAGTAAATGAATAGTTAACATTGCACGGGACATAAGGTCCTCCAGTCATTTATGTCATTGATAAGTAGCTTTTTCAGGTGACTCTTGGAAGTAAGCAAACTCACTACACTAGTAACTCCTTGCATTGCCAATATTAGGCAGTCCCAAGAGAGCTGAGATGGAAGAACAGGAAATAGGAGAAGCATGCAGTTATCACAGTTATATTTCTTCAAGTTGATAAAATGGAATCATTATTTTTGTAATGAGCTCTATGCTTAGATTTCTATCTTTCTTTTAAGTGGTTTATTTCCAATAATTTTCTTTTCTTTAAGTTTAGGGACACAGTAGTCTTTCAAGAAGAATTATTTCAGTTCAACTTTAGAGTTAAAAGACACAGGACAAGGGAGCTAATCTCAAGTCTTTGATGATGAATTTAGAGGTGAAATCAGACTACCTGCCTACTCTCTTCCTGCAGTTGAGCAACTCACCATGACCAGAGGAAAACACACAACTGACTTAATCTCATTTTAAAACTATGACAATAAGCCTCATTTAGACATACAGTGCTGCTTGATAATCCTATTACACTTTCCTAGCATAGTAATCTTCTTACTTTCTAAAATGACCATTTTACCCTTTCTCGTGTTTGATAAGTCCCCTAAAATTACTCCTCATTCTCAGCTGATCATTGTCCTCGAATTTAGTTTGAAATTAGTGGTAAATAGGAACTTTCTCATCTTCCTACCACTAGATCTACTTACCTACTATGTTTGTCAATCCATGCCCATGGTCATCTTCCTGTTGAAGGCCAATTCTTCTACTTCGGATCTGAATTCTAGGCTTCCTGCCTTCTCAAGGACTTTGCTTCTGCAATAGTTCCCCTCTCTATTCGTCATAGAGATTCTTTCTCCTCTAGAGGAATTTCAATCAGCATATGAATATGCGATAACATTTCCTAGTCCAGACAAGAAACACGTGCTTGACACACATCTGTCTCAAGCTGCAGCCCCATTTCTCTGATCATTTTTATAGTTTTGTAGTTATCTATAACTGCTATCTCTAGCTTTCTCACCACACTTTCTCTCCTCAAACTCCTCCTCCACATATGTAAATCTAACAGTCACATCTCTGTCCTATTTTACTTGAACACTAAGCAGCATTCAAGACAGTTGGTCACCCTCTCCTTTTTAAGGCAATATTCAATCGGTATAGCAGTTAGCTATTGCTTCATAACGCATCACCCTAAAACTCAGTGGCTTAAAATGTTTATTATTGCTCATGAGTCTATGAGTTTTCCGGGTGGCTCATACGATGTCCTCTTTGCTCATGCCTGCATTCATGGTCGGTGGCAGGTAATGTGGCTGTGCTGATTTAGGCTGGACTCTGACATGTTGGGGGTTGGCTAGACCTAGAATGGCCTCAGCTGGGATATTTCAAAGGTGGCAGCTTTCTGCACACTCTGGCCAACTCTCTTCTACTAGCTCTATCCATCTAGAAAGTAATGGCTGTGATGCATTGATGACAATTCCTGACTTTGTGTGTATTTGTGTGCTAACATCGAGAATAAAAACCGAAATCCTTGCATTCCTTTGCAAGCCTGTAAATTGCATGGTTTTGTTTTTAAGTGCAATGGAAATGAGTAAGAACTCAATGGAATAATTTTTCATTTTGTAGTTTCTGATTGTGCAAAGGATCAAAACAAGGGTAAAGACCAATTAAAAACATGCTAACACTATTCTATTTCTGTGTGAAGATCTATCGGAACAGAAAAAGCCTTTTAGTATAAGTATACGTACAAAAAAGTCAACTTTTTTTCTGTGACTGAGAAAGCTCTCACAGATAAGTGAGCTAGCTCTGAAATACATAAAACCTTTTCATATGTAAATAAAGTAAAACCTGGCAGCTCTACCATCTGTGAAGGTGTGAGAGTTCTTAGAAAATGACTCATTCAGTTAGGCAAAGATGTGAAACCATATTTGAATGTAAAAATATGCAAACTACACAGAATCTAGGATATTGGGGGCAGCAACAGCACATACTCTTAACAATACAGTGTTTAGAATAAACGTGAGATTGTTGAGAAATTGACAAATACTACAGTAGTGAATGAAAAAACTAAAAGTAATAAATACTGCTTTTGAAAAATTGGTCTGACTTAGTATGTAAAAATAAGTGTTAAAGGGCCTACAGAGATCATTTATTTCAACACCATTTTCAGATTACAGCACTAAAAAAGAATCGTAGGCCCAGAGAGGTTGAGTGAGTTGCCAATAGGACATAGAAAGCTTGTGGCGCTGGCAGGACTGGATGTACAGTGTGCTGATGCCTAAGTCTCATCTCTTTCTTCTAGACCTGGCTCCTCTTTACTTCTGAGAAAAATCCTCTACTGACTTTAATGTGTTTCTATAGTATTTAGGGCCTAAAAGATATCCTTTCTCTTGTGCTGGCTCAGGAATTTATTATTAACTTGAGTGTTCCATATAACATATTCAAGCTTTCACATCCAGAAAACTGGCGTCTTGATGGTTTTCATGAGACAAGACAGAAAACTGCATCTTATGATATAAGGCAAATCACAATGCTATCTTTTTCAGAATTATCTTTTCACGTGATAACTCCCAAAATGTGCAATTTTACTCATTATTTTATTTATCTAAGCTTTGCAGAATAGAGTAATTGAATTCTCCAAATCTGTGTTGAGTAGAAATCCTCCAACACTGTCCTAATGTCAGGGAGACACAACTTTAATTGATGCCTTCTCCTCCACCCCCCTCAAAAAATGGGAGCCAGTGTTCCTAGGAATATTTGATATCTTTCTCTTCTTTAATTGGCAATCAGTTCTCATTCTAATAAATGGGGAAATATACCACATAAAACCAATCAACTGGTTTGGTTTTCCTTGCCCCCAAAGTTGGGAAAATGGAGAAACAAATAGAATTCAAATTTTGCTCCATTTACCTAACATGCATATAAAATTGACTATTTCCGAGGTACTAAGATATGTGGTAAAATTTTAACTTTTTCTCCTAAAAAGAAACAATGATACTAGTGATCTAAAACAGGGGTCCCCAGTGCCTGGGCCACAGACTGGTACCTGTCTGTGGCTTGTTAGGAACCGGGCCACACAGCAGAAGGTGAGTGGTAGTTGAGCAAGCATTACCACCTGAGCATGGCCTCCTGTCAAATCAGCAGCGGCATTAGATTATCATAGGAGCGCGAATCCTATTGTGAACTGCACATGTGAGGGATTTAGGTTGCATGTCCCTTATGAGACTCTAATGCCTGATGATCTGAGGTGGAACAATTTCATCCCAAAACTATCTTACCCCACTACCCCTCCATTCTTGGAAAAATTGTCTTCCACGAAACTGGTCCCTGGTGCTAAAAAGGTTGGGGACCACTGATCTAAAACAATGATCAATTAAAACCATTTCAGTTTATGATTTTAATTCCAGTCTAAACAAAAGTTAATTATTGTTACCAAACTATACATATAATCAGAGATTCATATAATTGAAGATTATATGAATAGTTTGGTGACAATAATTAACTTTTGTTTAGACTGGAATTAAAATTTGTCTGCATATATTACTGGAAAATCAAAGACTTTATAGCACCCATGCTTCTTACTAATGCAAATATAGGAGCTGTGCAGGTAAGCAGTTTGGTAAGAAGTAAAGGGTGTGAACATTGGAGTCACATTGCCCAGTTCAAAGCTCAGTGCTGCCACTGTTATCCAAACAACTCCAGATAAGTTCCTTCATCTTTGCATCTCATTTTGTAAAACAAGAGCACTAATACTGCTTACAAGGTAGGATTGAGATGATATATACATTGCACTAACAAAATACTTAGTATTTAACAAGAGTTTAGCTTAGCTGTAACTAGGAGACTGGGCTAGTGGCACACTAACCTAGTATATCTCCTGGGAGTTTTCTTTGTATTTCTTTTTTTTTTTTTTCAAAGCTCCAAAATCTATGTTATTAGCTTATTTATCATTTACTTTTTTCTTTTAAAAATAATATCTGTTTAGTTGAGGTCAGACAGACAGAATGATTATAAACCCCATCTATGTTTAAAAGTGGCTATATAACCCATCATTCTTTGTCTCTATCTCTCTGTTTTACTGGTTTCCCATTGATTACTGAATTAAATAAGACCCTTGACATGTTCATTTTTAGATCTGTTGAAGAGTCATAATTATATCTTGCTTAAAGATTATCTTTTAGCAAATTACCATTTAATACAATTAAGAGCACATTTTCTAAATCGATGAAAAGGAGAAGAAATAAAAAACCCATGCCCACTAAAAAGCTGTCATGACCATGTTTTTCTTTCAAGTGTTAAAAAACATGTTACTATTTTGCATTCTTGACTTACTCCAAGTTAAGTGACAAGGTCATAATTATTACTAGAAAAGATATAGCAACAGTTGTATTTTGTTTTGTTTAATTCAGTGCCGATGTATGAGTTATGTCACATTTCCTGTAAATGTAAATTTAAGGTTCTCATTTCAAATTTCTCAACATAAAAATACGAAGCCATAAGCAACCAGGTGGCACTCACACACCTTTTTTTTTCTTGAAAACTGTGATGTACATTTAGTTGGTGGCTCTGTAGTTCACATGGATTTCTGGTTTCATGTCACAGACCATGCTCAAGAGCTGGTTCATCACACTTTCCATATACTTATTGTAGTGTCCATTAAGTTCTTGTATCTTCCCTAGTGTTTGTTCTTCTATTTCATCTGAGAGATTATTCTGAGAGCCCATTATCTACCAAAACAAAACAGACAGAATTCACATCATAATACAATTGTTTTACAAGTTAAATTTGTCCTAGCCTGTTTACTGATGATTGTCCTACAATGCACAATTATGTACTCCTTTTCTAGATTTTTTCAGAGAACCAACAAGATCATCAATGCCATGAGTGGGAAGGATGAACTTTCATAAAATATTGAAACTGGTCATAGCAGATTACTTTCACTTTTAACCAACCTCCACATGGTACAAATTGAATACACATTTATAATCATTAAACCATGCCCAGAAGTTCTTTTCCATCACATTTTTCATGTATTTATGACAGTTTCCATTTAGTTCCCATATATTCCCTATTGTTTATTTTCTGAATTATAAGTCTGGAAAACAGAGTTGAAAGACACCATTAAACTCACTTTTGCTGTTTTTTAAAGAGTGTTTAAAAGTTTTAAACAGTTGCTGGTTTTTAAAGAGTGTTTTTCTATTTTTAAAATACATTATCTGAACTGTATCTTGCTTTTATCAGGAAGACAGTCACAATGTGCGCTCTAAGATACTTTTATATGCACAATTTTTTTTTTTTTTTTTTTTAGATGGGTTCTCACTGTGTCGCCCAGGCTGGAGTGCAATAGCGTAGTCTTGGCTCACTGCAACCTTCGCCTCCCAGGTTCAAGCGATTCTCCCACCTCAGCCTCACAAGTAGCTGGGACTACAGGCGTGTGCCATGATACCCTGCTAATTTTTGTATTTTTAGTAGAGACCGGGTTTCACTTTGTTGGCCAGGCTGGTCTCGAACTCCTGACCTGGTAATCCGCCTTCCTCAGCCTCCCAAAGTGCTGGGATTACAAGTGTGAGTCACAGCGCCTGGCTGCCGAAGTGTGTTTCTTTGGGTAATAGATATTATCTTGAACACTTAGTGTAAGTTGTACTTCTTTAAAATTGAGTGTGCTTGTTCATTTAGTTACATCATAATTGTAGACACAGTTTAATATATCTTTCTAATTGCTCTTTAATTGGCAGTGATTCCCAGTATTTTCTATTATCTCCTCTTTCCTCATAGCTTCTTTATCAAGGAATGATTTGACCAAAATATAATTTCACCAGAGGAGTTAACAATTTAAAGGAATTCTGCAGTGAAACACTTTGAAAGTTAGCCTTTACTAAAGCAAAAAAAATCAACTCCTAACGTATCTCCTTTGTAAACTTAGTCTTTCCTACACATGGCATTTTAAAGGCAAGAAGACTGTTTTATGTTTGTTTGCTTTTTCCGTCTGAGAGTGTTTAGGAAAAGTATGCATTTAATTTAATCCAAGATACTCCAGTAATGATTGACTTCTACTTCAGGGTTGTTAGACTATTCTAAATTCTAAAATCTGCATGATCTTTTTGAGTCCTAGGCTTGAAATCAAATGCCACTGAGGCGCTTGGGTTCAAGTTCTTTCTGTTTACAGTCCAGGCAATGGGGTCTTCTCAGTTCAAAGAAAATAATTTTGAAAAGTTACAGTTTCTAAGACATCAAATAACTTTTGCAGAATAACATTTTGATAAGTGAGTATACAAGAAGCAGAAACATATGGATCGAATTTCCCTTGCTAAGAAGAAATTTTAAAATAGAAGAGAACTACTTATTAAAATGGCTCTACCAAGCTCAAAATTTTTCCTCTAAATTTAGTGTCTTAAGTGTGATTCTACCAAATTAAAAAAATAATTCTCTAAATTCAGTGTCTTCTAGTGGTAAAAAATTAAAAACAAACTGTTGTGAAACTATTACCTACTTTTCTTTGGAACAGCATTAAAAATAGTTGTCATTGGGTTGGTTTAGTGTAACTGTTGTGAATGACTTTGGAAAAGTTAATCTCAAGCTTAGGTTCTCTATTTTTTTATAGGGATAATATCATCCATTTGATAAGATACTGTAAAATGCAAACCAGATTCATTGGTAAGTGTGCAGAGCAGTTGTGTCTAACAAAAGTGTAATATGAGCCACAAAGGCAACTCATATATATGTAATTATAAGTTTTCTAGAAGCCACATCAAAAGTGTAAAAGAAGTAGGTGCAGTTATTTTAGTAATATATTTAATCTAATAATATTCATATTTTAACATACAATCAATATAAAAATTATTACATTCTTTTATTTCATACTAAGTCTTTGGAATCTGGTATGTAGTTTACACTTATAGCACATCTTGATTGGGACTAGCTACACTTCAAGTGCTTAGTAGCCACATGTGAAGTGGTCACCATTTTGGACAGTGCAGCAATAAATGGCAGCTGTTAATATTAGTTGAATTCTTAATGTGGCTTTTCAAGACACCATAATCATTTTCCAGAGAGACTTATAAAGATGACTCTTAGCTCAGTTTAACTCTGAACAAGTAATCAGTACATGTTAGTGATTATTACTATAATTTTCACTGATTGTTTTACTTGTACTTTTCAAA
Organism: Homo sapiens; assembly: GCF_000001405.40. NCBI lineage: Eukaryota > Metazoa > Chordata > Mammalia > Primates > Hominidae > Homo > Homo sapiens. The sequence goes on from NC_000001.11 coordinate 198,525,998, forward strand.
TTTTTCCAATATGTTCTGTATTTTCAGAAACATTGTAATACCCTTGTAATACCCCATAATCACGTCTCATCCTGCATAATTAAACAAAATATTATTTCTGAATTTATTTGATGCCCAGTGATTTGAGTTTCTGCAGTGTTTCCTATGCAGTACTATAACAATGACTAGTCATACACTATTTTAAATGGTTTTCCTAGGGAAGAATTCCATATCTTGATATCTGCAGACAGAGTATTGATTTAACCCATGTAGGAGTTTCAGTGAATGAATGTAAGTGGCACAAAGACAAGAATCATGTTCCTTGATGTATTATAAATGCCTTGAACACTGTCTGGCACTTAGTAGATGCTCAATACACATTTGTATTGAGTAGAATGATTAGATATCTTGGATATTACAGAGAACTCATTACTGTGTTCTGTTGCTCATGTTGATGGAAACCTGTTACCTGAATGTTTGGGAGAATGTATAAGTTAGTAGTTGATAATTCTGTAACATGTCATGATACATTTGGTCTAAGGGTGACATGTGAGGACTTCTCCATGTTAATTTTCAAAATGTCAGTGTTGAAACTGATGTATAGCTTTACAGCATAATGACTGATGGTGATGGAAGAACTTTAAACATTCAATATGTTTTTTTACAAGTTGTTTAAATGTTCCAGTTTAAGGTAAAGCAGAGCTTCAGGTCCCATCACCGCAAGAAAAACAGTTTTATGCTCTCAATTTGTGATTGCCTCCAGCAAACAAAATGCTCTTGGGATATAAATTCAGGAAGAAAGACTAAAGATATAAAGGTCTTCAATATGCCCAAGGCAACCATTTTCAGGTTTTCTACTTAGATTCATGATCTATCTGACTTTTACTTGTATTAACAACATATTTAATTTTTCTACTGTAGTCCAGATTTCTTTTTAGCAATATAATATTTTCTTTAGATAGGGTAGCACTAAGGAAGGGATAAATAGATTTTTGATGAAGCAATATTTGCTAACGTACAGCCCACATTGGGATACCTGCTTCCGTTGATAAGTCAGGGGACTTGAAAAATCACATATATTAACAAGAGCTAAAAAGCAACAAAAAGTAACATCAAGATACAACACCCACGGCACACAGGAGGCTGGTTTCTTGGGTCTCCTCCCAGACCTCCTAATTGCCCTGGGTTAATGAGGATAAGATTTAAGTGGAATAGCAATATGCCTGACATATGGAGGTCATGCCAAGGAGAGAAGATCTGTGCTAATGGTTTTACAAAATGCTCGAAGTAGCTGAGGCTTAAATATGCTGACCTTTCTATGTGAGCTTTTGATCAAATAACTGTAAAATTGGCTTGGAGCGCTAATTATGAGAGAGATGAGGAGTTTTGATTATTTAATTATTAACCAAAGCAGAAAACAAATAACCTGAACAAGATATATATATCTGATAAGATTCTTCTGGAGAAATGATATTTGAAGAGATTTAACACAAGCACTTTCTGAAATTGTGATTAGTTTTGTTATTACTTAAAAAACGGAAATAATTATATCAGAAATATCCTATATAAGATAATCAAAGCTGAATAATGTTAAAGATGATTGTTTTCTCAGGTCCTAATAGATCATGGTTATGACAGGATTCAATAAGAAAGAAAATCAAAGAAAAAAATGTTATTCATTCTTTCAACAAATATTTATTGCATGTCTACTGTGTGGCAGGCACTGTTCTAATGTCTAGGAAAACAGAGAACAAAACAAAGAAATGATTCTTTTGGTGTTTAAAGTCCCAGAAGGAAAGATAGGCAATATGCAAAAAACAATATAAAATATATCAGATAATGCTAAGTGCTATGAGGAAAAAGAGTGGACTACAATAGGTATGTGTTTATGACAGACACAATTTTAGATAAAGTGATCAGGAAAAGGTGCTAACAATTGAATAGAGATCAAAGAAAGATGAATATATCTAAAGAAAAGAATTGTAGGGCGTGAGAATGGTACATGTGAAGGCCTCATGGTAGGGGCATGTTCTAGCTGCTTGAGGAAGAGCAAAAGACCAATATGGCTAGAACAGAACTAATAGAGACTAGGGTGGTAGAAAATGTGGTGAGAGAGATAGCCAAAGGCCAATCATGGAGTGTTGTATGAACTTAGGACTTTAGGATTTCTTGTTTGCAAACATTGATAAAAATTTTTATGTTTGCTGAGTGGTCCATTTAATTCTAGAAAGGACCTTTTTTATTTGATGAAAAAGGTTTTGTTATTATGTGGTCCAATTTATCTGATCCTACATGAACTCCTTATCCATTACCATTAAAATAGAAGTTGTAAATAAAGATTTCCAAATTGCTAATAATTTATTGGCAGTGTCAGGCTTCTGCACAGAGCTTTACTTATATTTTTATTGAGGCCAAAATAAAATATCATATAAAATTTAGTTATAATACATGGAGTTAAGCACTTTCTTTTAGCCCATGTTGCAACATGGAAAGGAGGGTGTCCGCTCCAAAGGTTTCATGCATTTATAATTTACAGTAAACTGCAGATATTTAAAAATGTGCCAATGTAGGAAAAAGCATTTCTTTATCTCTAAATGAAAGATTTATTGAATGAGTCAGCCAGTTGCAAAGGAAATCATCAGGAAATACCAGAAGGCTTTTCAGAAATTTGCAACAATATCTACTTTGGTCATTTGTAAATCTTGGAAATATTAGTTATTTATGTAACTAACCATATATATTTATATAAAAACATGTTCTCTGAAGTTATTTTACTAAAACATGTAGTCAATAATCAGTGGTAGGAATGAGACTTTAAGCAATCCCTTCAGCTTGTATATTTGTGAATATGATTTTTAATATATACTATATATTACATAATAACTACTGATGGACCCTTTATGTGAGAAATTAAAAATGCCTTGAAAGTGAAAATGTAAAATCAGTAATTATTATGTTTAAGATTTTGCTTGATGTTCAGCTTGATTGAACTATATCTGCTCAATTGCAGCATATTTTTTTCTGTCAATATCCTATATTAAACCTTATAAATATGAAGATCTTATCTATTCTGCATAAGAAACAGTGCTGACTTTCTTACTCACCTTAGATTGTTTTAGTCGAAACTCTTTATCTCTCTGCATTCTGTACTGGTCAATTTCTACCATTGCTTCCTCCTTGGCTTGCTTCAATCGCTTTCCTTTTCCTGAAAATTAACAAATATATATATATATATATATAATTATATATATCAATATATAAATATTTATTATATATATCTCAACAAGGATATATATATTAACAACTGTACATATATGTTACACACGTATGCATATGGAGCTGCAAACTTAGTTTTTTTAAAATAGATACATTCTTCCTTATTTTTGATGATTTTTTCTAGAATGGCAAACTTTGCTAAAAAAATAGATATTGAAAATTTTATTATTTTTTATTGGATTCTTTAGGACACGTAAATGACAACTTTTTTTTGCACTTACATGTTTAAATAAAATATCTGCCCATTTACTCACAGCAGTAATGCCAGAGAACAGATTTTAGCTGTCACTTACTCAAAAAGACATTATTTGGTCAGATTTTCAGTCTTGATTTGCTGCCAGAATCCTTCAGTCCACACCAACTGGATCCTATTTAACACTGGCAGATCTCCAAAATCACTACAAACATGCAACTCAGACTCTATCAAACTAACTTACAATTTTTAAAAACGTTTTATTGGGATTTTTCCTTACCATTTGTTGACTCTACAATGTCTGATTAAGCCTCAATACATCAAAGCAATTTTTTTTTTTTGTAACTTTCTCTGAGGGGAACTTGCTTGAAAGTGGCTATAAAACCAATTGTTTTTAATGATTAGGAGATTTAGTTAAGTAGCCTTTTTTCTTTTATTAAGAGCAAAGGTGTAAGCCTTAAGCTAGCAGACAACATAAACGAAAGTTTTAGACGAATACAATGCTGTGGTAATCATTAGCTGAGCACATGACTTTTTTTGACAACCAGAGTAAGTTTGGGGGGGGTTACAGACAAATATTAATTGGTGCTTTGCTCTCTCCACCCACCACCTTGGGGCTTAGCTACTAATGCTTCATGATCATTAAAACTTTAAAGAAATTCTGAACTACATTAAAATTCTTTTTTTCTATGAATCTATTGTCTTTCAATTTCAGTAAAATGCCTCCATTCTTTTACCCATTTTATAGTTTTTTTCCTCTGATAATGTTTCTTAAGTATTGTTTACAATTTCTGTCAACCATTTGTTATATTGTAAAGACTTTGAACTAAAGAATAATGTGTTCTCAGGTAGCATGAAAGAAAATCTTAGTGTAAACTTTTATCTGTCTCCCATTTACCTATGCATGTATCTACCTTTGCAGCATTTGCACAGAGATTGTTTCTCAATTTCTTTCCCTTCTAAGTATGAGTTGCTTCACTAGTCTCTGTATGTATATGGGATAAAAATAGAGTCACTGAGTTACAAACTGAAATGTGTCTCTTTTAATATCTACCACCCTTGAATGGAACTGGGAAGTCCTCATTCAGAACAGATATTTAGCTCTGCCTACACTTTCTTTAAAATCTGAGATCTGCTGAAAACTACTGCTCTTCTGTTGCTTGAGGCTTAATGGAACATTAATAGCAATGCTTATCTTTATATTAATTAATGCTCATTACCATTTTGTATATACTGATTCCTTCATTCTCTATAGTTGTAACCATTTTGTGACAACTACATATATATTATTCACAGAGATTCTCTGTGAGCAGAATAAATCGATGATATGTTGGTAGGAAAAACTATTCCTTGATCTCCAACCCACTTTCTTCTATCTGTTTGTCATTTACATCAGAACAAAAATACAGAATGTTAATGTATTGATTTTTTTTAGTAATAATGGGTTGTAGGATACATAATTATTTTACAAAATAAATCACATGCCTCACTACTCTCCATCTTAATTGCATAATATCTAAAAATAGTGGTTTTAAAGTTATGCCTCTCTAGCACATTAAAAAAAAAATCATAGGAAAGGGTCTGTGTGCCCTACCCTTGAGTGGAATTCAGCACTCCACTAAGAGGCTGTATATTAGCTCCATCACACGGTGACAGGCTCAGAGCGTGTCTGTGATTCCCTTGTCATGGCACCAGTCACCTGCTGGTTCTCATTCAATTAAATGGGAGAGCCACAGGGAAATCGTTGCTGGCACAGCAATTTTCTTGATAGACTCAGCAGCTGCTGCTGTGTAAGAGCCTGCATATGCTCCACCTGATTTAATCCAGTGGAAAAAACTGGAGCCTAAAGCCTACTGTTCTGTTAGAGGTGAAACAAAATGCACACTTCAAATCCACTCATATTAACCTCTAACTTGCTTCTCTCTGTGTGTAAGAATTTGGCAATTCTAAAATTATACTTATTTCTTTGTATGCATTAAAAACATGGCTGCTGTGACCAAAAGCGGGGAGAAAAGACATTTGGACTGATTTTCAGGTGGTTTGTGGGAAAAGGATTAATAAAATCAATTTTGGGCAGGTTAAAACAACTCTGTGTCGGAGACAAAGGGTAATGCTTGAAGATGGACTCTTCCTGGCCTTCTCATTAGGACAGGCCAGGTGAACTGACTGTCCCCAGATGCGATAAGTTCTTGAGGTACAGAGAAACCTAATTCTGTTGGATTGCTAAATTTGTTCTAGGCTCTTTTCCCAATGGAGAAGATAGGATTTCATTTATCATCTAAGGCAATCAGAATCATGCACTAGGCATCATGGCAATAAAACATTAGAAGCTTTGTAACTTTGAGCAGGTTATTGAGTTTTCTCATCTATAAGACAGATTTAATAATCTACCATAAAAAGTTATTGGAGGGATTAGAAAAAAATGTATATAAAATGATTGACAAAAGTAGTTGTTTAATTATTTTAAATAATTATTAGGAAAACGGGTCCAATTCCTAGGGGCCTTTTGCTAAAAAAGAAGTCAAGGAGAAAAAAAAAGGCAAGGGGTAAAGCGTGAGTTTGAGGAGAAGTCCTCAGGCTGTCACTAGAGAAGCCTCTGTAAGCTTTCCTGAGGATATTTAATTGGAGGTATGCAGACGACAGCTGGGGAGACAAAATTGGGATGCAGGAGGAAGGTCTGAAATGAAGACAGAGATTTGCATATTAGTCATTGGGGCCTGTATATATGCTAGTTATAGCAATGGGATTTAGACAGAAATCAAGGGAGAGTATACAGAATGAGGAGAAAAGAAGGCTAAGGTCTCAGCTTGGGGGAATATTAACACTCAACCTTTAAGAAAAGAAGGAGGAAGGTTGGAAGGAGCCAGTAGTAGTCAGAGAAGTTGGAGAAACCAAAAGACAGAAGAGAACATTCCAAGAAGGATATGGCCAGCAGTATCAAAAGACACAGAGAACTGAAATAAGAGATATTTAATCAACATAACTAGATGTCTATTCTGTGCCACACACTATTGTAGATCTATGGATATAGCAGTGAAAGCCACAAACTTTTTGTTTCATGGAGTTTGTGTTCTGAATGTAGTTGGGGAGATAAAAATAGAAAATGGACAATAAGTATATAATATGACAGGGATGATGGTGAAGAAGAAAGGAGAATAAGGGGTAAAGAAAGATGGTGGATTCTACTTTAGACAGATCAGGCCTCTCAGATGAAACAATATGTGAACAGAGGCCTAAAGGAATAAGGCAACTAGTCATGCAGATATCTGAAGGGGGAGAGTCTTCCAGGCAGGGGGAAGGGTCCTCCAGGCAGAGGGAACAGCAAGTGCAGAGGCCCTGAGGTGGGAGGATATTTGCCATGCTGAAGGAAGAGCAAAAACACCATCATGGCTGGAGCAAAGAGAACAGGATATTCAATCATGAATGTTAGGAGATGGTATTAGAAAGATAGTAGCACGACCAGGTCATATTGATCTCACAGGGCACGGTAAGAATTTTGGTCTTTGGAATACTAAATTCATGAAGGGTTCTTAGCCAAGGCATGACATAATACTACTTGTAATTTAAAAGGATTTCTTGGCTAGGCACGGTGGCTCATGCCTGTAATTGCAGCACTTTGGGAGGCTGAGGCAGGTGGATCATGAGGTCAAGAGATCGAGACTATCCTGGCCAACATGGTGAAACCCGGTCTCTACTAAAAATACAAAAATTAGGTGGACATGGTGGTGCGTGCCTGTAGTTCCAGCTATTTGGGAGGCTGAGGCAGGAGAATCGCTTGAACCCAGGAGGCAGAGGCTCAGTGAGCCAAGATCACGCCATTGTATTCCAGCCTAGCAACAGAGTGAGACTCTGTCTAAAAAAAAAAAAAAAAAATTTCTTTGGCTGGTGTGGTGAAAATAGAAAATACACTATAGGGGTAAAGGAGAATCAAGAAGATCAGTCTGAAATTTGTTGCAATTGTTCAGGCAAATTTAATAATTGCTGGAAATGGTAAAGTAGTAGTGGAGTTAGCAAGAAGAGGGTAGATATATTTTGGAGGTGGAATTGATACATGAGCATGAGAGACAGATATGAGTCAATGATGGCACCAACATTTTATTTTGGGGATGGAGTCAATACTGCAATTTCGTTGATATGCCTATTCAACATCCAATAGTGATGCTGAGACAGCTGGTGTTTATATGAACTTAGAGATCAGGGAAGCAACGAGTGCTGGGAATATCAAGTTTGGGAGTCATCAACTTGAAGCTGGTCTGTAAAGCCATGAGATCAGATGAGAGCACCTCAGAAGTATCTGCTGATAACCAAGAGAACAGGTCCAAATTGGGGTCCGACTTTAAGGATTGAGAAGACAACAGGAAGCCAACCATGAGAGTAGTGTTCCAAAGTCAAATGAAGAAAGAGTTTCAAAGAGGAAAGAGGGATCTAATTATGAATGAGATATTGAATTAATATTGGGTTTAGCAAGACTGGTGATCTGGGCAAGAGGAACTATTGGTGGAGTTATAGGAAGAAGTGTTCAATAGAAAATGGAATGAAACATTGTAGACACAGGGAACATAGGCAACTTCTCTGAGAAGTTTTAACCAACAAAGGGGAACAAAGAAAATAAAATAAGGGCTCAAGGTGGTCAAGTGGATTTGACAGCTAGAGGATTTAATTGTGCCCCCCGAAAACATATGTTGGAGTCCTAACTCCTGGTACCTCTGATGTAACCTTACTTGGAAATAGGGTCTTTGCAGATGTAATCAGGTTAAAATGAGGTATAAGGGATTAAGACAGGTCCTAAATCCAACAACTGGTTCTCTTATAAGGGAAATTTGAATACAGAGGCACAGAGTCAGAGCAGACACACAGGGAGGAAGGCCATGTATTGATGGAGGTATACATTAAAATGATGCAGCTGCGAGACAAGGAGTGCCAAGGATGGCTGGCTACCACCAGTGACCAGGAAGGAGGCATGGGGGTTTCTCCCTCGGTGCTTCCAGAAGGATCCAACCCTGCTGGCACCTTCTGTTTGGACTTCTGGCCTCCAGAATGGTGAGATAATCAATTTCTGTTTAAAGCCACCTAGTATATGGTAATTTGTTACAGCGTCTCTAGGAAACAAATGCAGAGAATCAGCAAGGAGCATAGAGAAAACAATGCTAGTTGAGCATTGGAGACAAAGCCAGATACCCTAGTGTGGTGAAAATAGTAGGTATTGAAATGAATGTGCCACCTGACAAAAATATGCATAAACAGTTCAGAAGCCATTTTTATTTGCTGTATAAACAAAGGGTACTTTGGTAATGTTTGAAGATTTCTGTTAGTAATAACAACTTTTGATCTATTCTACCACTCAGAAAACAAAGCAAAACCAAACCAAACAAAACTTCTTGGCTTTGGGCGATTGTCAATATTGTGATAAAACCAACCTGATTCAAAGAATGCTATTATTTTTCCCAGTGACTACAAACATTGGGAAAGAAATGTCACCAGAAAAACAAAGAGGCAGCCTCTCCTTTGGTGACTGTCACTGCTAGAGCTTCTCTTACACTAAATTTATTTCCTGTCAGATCTCTGCTTCCTGAATGTTTTCTTTTGCTTTTCTTCTACTTGTATTTTCCTTATTAAAAATACAATAAATAGTTTTGTGTAGCTCCTGGACTGAATATAACCAAATGCTATTAATAGATGAAAATGCTCTGTGGTTATTATTTTAATATTACCCACCTGAAGAAATGAAAGCCCAATACACTTACAAATACCCTGTTAGTCTGTGGACTATAAAGGAAGAGGAAGTATTTACAAGCCTACAAAACATGCAAGACAGGGCCATGAAATTCTTATATAACAACTTTTATTTTATTAGTTTATTAAAAGTCTTGTCTTTATGAACAAAAACATCCACTTGCATAGTGAAGAATTTATTAAATTGAGGTGCTTGTTTAAATAATTCAGAATATATGCATATTTGGAAGCAAATAGGAAATTTGCTGATTTAAAAAAATTATTGATGGTTGGCATCCTATAGACTCACAAAAATAAATCTGAATTACAGTATTATCTGATGTATTATCTAGAATGCAGAAATATTTTCTTAAGTATGTATTTTGCCTCATAGTGGACCATGCTTAAGAAATCTCCAGGACTTTTTTGCTGTTTTTGCAACAAAATTCTTTTTATTGGATATTAAAATAATATTAACAGCTAAAATTTCTTGAGCACCTTCTATATGCCAAGTGGTGTTTTAAGTCTTTTATAAGAGTTAACTCAGTTAATCATGACAACTCCATGAGGTAGGTACTGTTAGTATCTCCATTTTGAGGCTGAGGAAACAGGCACAGCAAGGTTAAGAGGTAACCCACCCAAGGTCACACAGCTAATAAGAAGCAGAAGTTAGACTGGCATCCAGGCAGAGCAGCTGTAGGGGGTGAGTACTGACCATACTATTTTGGGAGAAAGCTAGAGCAGTGTGTTCTTCACTTGTATTACAATTGTCTGTAGCTTTTAGACATTTTTAATATAGCTATTTGTTCCATTTTTCTCATATCCAGATTAGAAAATTTACATTTTTTTTTGCTATTTCTTTCAATCTATATCCTGTAATGCAATTTGTAATTTTTAGTTAAGCACAAATGCTACTTTCTGCAGCTTCCAAAGTAAATAAATTGAGTGTTTATTTCTAGGAGAGTATGCCATGTATGTTCAGAAATGATTTGGGAATATGAGTTCTTTATGTGATGTTGAATTGCATGCATTTGAGTATTTCAGAACAATGTTAATGCAGAGCTATAGGGTTTTAAAAGTTTGCAATGGGTGTAAGTGAAGTAAATACTTCTCTTAAAAAAGGTCATGACTAAAAGTAAAAATGCAACATATTTCAGAGAAACACAAGTCTCTGTTCCTCCTGTTGATAATGGTACTTTGAATTTCTAATCTAATTCTGATTGAAGTTTCAGTTCAATACCCCAAACCTGGAGCTCCATGGCAGATCTCTGATGTTTAGGTAACTTGTCTTGGACCAACACACCCACTTTTATGTTTTGATTAATGAACAATTTATTAAGTAAAGAGCATTGAATCTAGGTAAGATAATTTAAAGTAGTGCAAACTACTGTGATTTCATCTAAATTCAACCAAAATAGTAAGGCAGTTTTGCACATAAAAATGAGTGAGAGCTTTAACTAATAAATATAACCTGTAATCAGTGAATACAGGAAAGTATCTGAACATTTCTAGTCATCTTACCAGAAGCAGTCCCAGTCTCTTCGTTTTAGGAAAAGTAGATGCAGAACTTACAGCAGGGGTAAAAACAAATGGAATGAGATCATTCTAGTCTATATCATTCTTCTATCATTATTACTTACAGTAACATACAAAAATACATGACATATATTAAAAATAAAAATAACTCTAGTGTGTATTTTGCTTTACTATCTTACACATATTTTTCTGATTCTTACAACCTCTTGGTCATATGTGTGTGTGTGTGCGTGTATTATAACTTCTATTTTTATTTACAGAAAGAAAGTCTGAAACTTGGAGATGTTAAATGACATTAAGAATTGTAGGTTTTCAACTCAAGCCAATGCTTTTATACTCTACTACTTCCCAGTCTGACTTCCGAAGCCTGTCCACATTCCTGCCCATGTCCCTGTCAGATTTCATCTCTCTCAGTAGCTGGTGGATGTCTTGAGAGCAGAGACTTGCATATTCAATTTCTATAGACCGCGTGGCCTTCTGGAGAGTTCTTGATACATCAGGTTCATAATCCCTTATCAGTATCCCTAAAGGCAAAACACTTAGACCATATACTGTATCATGTAGCAACTGCACCAGGATCTGAGGCTGTTCTCCTTAATGGAATATATTAATATTTTTTCAGCATAATATAAAAATAACCATATTAATCTTGTATTTTCCTGAAATGATTAACATGTGAATTGCTGTTTTCTTTCTCTTTCCCTCTTTCTCGCCCTTCCTTCTTCCTGTCTTTCTTTTTCTTAAAAATAATACACTCAAGAGTCTTGTTCTAGCACTTTATGCCCAAGTTTCTGAGAGTCTTGCAAATAAATGGATTTAAGAAAGAGAAAATGACCATAGACCTTCTACAATGGTGTTCACTATTGTGACTTCTTGGTCCTCATTCTGAATATCATTCTGCCTTAATATGTCAGAATTTCAAATGAATCTTTGTATGAAAAAATAAAGCAAAAGTATATGGGTTTACTAAAATGATAACTATCTTTACCTCTCCTGTCATCATGCCTCCTTTCCCTTTTTAAAATAGTCATTTGTGCATTTATCTCACTGGGAAGTTCTTTAAGGAAGAACTAGGTCTTATTTATCAGTGTAAACATCAAAGTGGCCTGGAATTAGTAGATACCCAATAAACACTTATTGAATTAAATAAATGAAACAAAAACCACTGAAACATTAGGGAAGTTATAACATACTGGTATATAAGGTAATATTTCTATTTTGCCATAGATCGCTTATGTGAGTAAGCTGTTGTAACTATAAACTTTAATACCTGCTGATAGCTTTAAGAAAACAGTTTCTATCCAGTTAAAACTGACCTCAACGCCTGTGGCTTCTGAGGCAAAGAGGACAGGCTGACATTCTCCATAAAACTGAGTGCAGAGGTTAGTTGTTGAAAGTCAAAATATTTTCCAGAATGTCTTTAAAGCCTGGGTATTTACTATTACTGGTTGAATATCCCCTTGAATATTCATGAACAAAGACATGGTAGATTAAGAAAAAAATATGCAGGTATTTTAAGTTACTGGCAAATGAAATGAACATTTTTGTATAGAAATAAGACAGTATGTACTTTTCAATACTGAATTCTGAGGAAAGATTGCCCAAGGACAGCATATTCACTAGAGAAAAGCAAAAGAAATTGGACTTTTATCTTTATTCTGAAATTTGAAGCCAGGTTGCCCTTAGCGGCTCCCACCCCAAAACAGCTTGCATGTATAGCAATTCTTTTATTCTTTAATGACTCGAAAAAAGGAGAAATAGTTGGTAAAAATTATTTGAGTCATACAATAATATTGATTAATCTATACTCAATATTTCATTTTGTATCCTCCATAATGAGAAAGCAAAGGCAACATAACTATCACATCTTTAAATTATCTGGTCTTCTGTTCTGAAAGTTTTAAATATTGTTAAAGAAGTTTTTAAAAAGGCCTGGCACAGTAGCTCACTCCTGTAATTGCAGTAATTTGGGAGGCAGAGGCAGGTGGATCTCTTGAGCTCAGGAGTTTGAGACCAGCTGAACAACATGGCGAAACCCCGTCTCTACAAAAATACAAAAATTGGCCGGGTGTGGTGGCGTGTGTCTGTGGTCCCAGCTACTCTAGAGGCTGAGGTATGGCTTGAGCCTGAGAGATGGAGGTGGCAAGGAGCCCAGATCATCTGCATTTCAGCCTGGGAACAGAAGCAGACCCTGTCTCAAAAAAAAAAAAAAAGAAGAAGAAGAAAAGAAAACCCTGAAATTTTTAAAAAGGGAAAATTCTCTATGCCGCTTCAACCACAGGTCCTGAACTGCTTTGTTTTCTATAAAACTACTCTACATTCATATCATCTTGCAACTATTTCCACACTTCGTTGTAGAAAAAGAAATTGAGAAATAGGTAAAGTTTGCCTTCACTATCTTTCTTCTTCCTTTCCTCTTCTATCATCTCCACCTGGAGTCATTCCTTTTATGTTGTTGATGCCCACATTGCTGAGTGTTCAGGAAATCTATTTATCTTAAGAAAAGGAAATGATTTTACCTGTGGTTGAAAACTTTAGTGTACCTGCCTTATTTCTGACTGACTTTCTTATGTTGTAATATATTCCTTCATTTCATTCATTACGTTTAAATAATTCAGTACCTACTCCAATCCCATCACTACATTCATCCAAAGAGTTACATAAGTAACATTTTGAAAATATGGCCCCTGTTTTGCCAGACTGAATCTAATTGCAGAGGCAGGACACACAAGGAGAGTGAATGACACTACAAATTATTGTAGATTGAATAATGAGGTGATATGAAATGGGATAGTGAAAAAAATGTCTTGGCCTTGGGAATCTGAATTCCAGTTGTAGATCTGAGACATATTAATTTTTTTATTATGCAAATTGTGTAAATTTTGTAAAGCACAGTGGTTAAGATCTGGGCTTGGAAATTATAGCTCATCTAAATCTTGTCTCTACCATTTACCCTCTGTGTGACCTTAGACAAGTTGTATAATTTCTCTAAGCATCACTTTTGCTTTTTCAGTAAAGGTTGTGAGGAATAAAGATAAGCAATGAGCATGGTGCCTGGCACAATATTTTCTATTTTTAAAATATAACCTTGAACAAATCAGTGACTCCATTTCTGCATACATTGGGAATAATGTTAATATCCTATTCATTTGGCTGTTGTATCAAAGAGAATAGAAAAGGTGTTGAAGTTCATTGAGGACATTCTATATGTAAGTACATGAATGCATGACCAAATGAAAAGAGAGCTGAGTACAGTGGCAAGTGCCTGTAGTCCCAGCTACTTGGCAGGCTGAGGCAGCAGGATCTCTTGAGTCCAGGAGTTGGAGTTCAGCCAGGGCAACATAGTGAGACCCTCATCTCTTAAAAAATAAATTAATAAAAATAAAAAGAGAGGTAGAAAATGAGAATAAAATGAAAATATTTTAAAATATTAGATGTTAAAAAGCTACCAAGAGAGGGATGAGAATGAGCCATTATTATTCTGATTTTATGGAAATGAAAACTGATGCTTATAAAAAATAAGTAATTTGCTCAGGTTTACTCACTAATAAGTAGATTCAATCCAGAGGTTTTCTACCCCCTAACAATGTTGAGAAAACAGGCATGGCATAGCCAAGGCTTAAGCCCACATCTCTATAATCTTAATGTCCATGAACACATGACCTCTCAAAAGGATCTGAATGAGGAAACTTCATCCCTGCTCTAGAAATAAGGAACATATGGCTGGGTAATTTTAATGAATGGGTGAAGGTCTCACAGGGAGTACAGTAAACCAAAGTTTGAAACAAGGTCTGCCTAATCCAAAAGTCTATGCTTATCCCTGCATTCCACTGCTTTGTTTATTTCGTGACAGACCCCTCACAGGTGAGACTTACTCTTCTTGGCTTCCTCTAGCTTGTCCTTGGCCCGTTTTTCTGCCTGAAGAAGCTGGTGGATCCCCTGAGACTGGCTTGTCATGGTAGTCTGCTCCAAGCAAGTGGCTTCTGTGAAATCTGGGAAGTAATGGGTTCATTTATTCTTTTAGAAATTAACATATAACTCAGATTATTGTGTCAACAGCAAGTTCCAAATGCAGCTGTTTCAAACTGGCTTTATTGGGCTGGATAGCTGGGTCCCAAGGAAAGCCCAAGGTGGAATCTAGAAAAACAAGTTAAACCAATGTGCATAAATTGAGAACTTACCATTTCTGCCAATCTTAGCTCTTCTGTATGAGATAAGGAGGTATAAATGAGGTGTTGCATCTACTTATAAATAATGAATAAGAGACCTTTTAAGAATGTTGGTTTCCCTAATCTTCCAAGAAACATTGACATGTTTACTGAGTTTTTCTTTTAAGTAACAAGATCTTTGCTCTTTGTACCTGCAGTACTTTGTTTCAGGTCTTTTTCTTTATTTGTTTCTAGTGATTCAGTTATCTGCTTGGAGAAAACGTGTTAATCTTTTGTTAGGAAAGAGATTCCCTAGCTTTGTGCATAGATGGTGGACTAAGGATTTTTTTCCCCCAAGGTCTCAGGTGACTGGAATAAAAAGATTTCTTTTGGGCATTGTGCTGCTCTTAAGTAATGCTGTAGGTTGAAGTTCCAGGAAGATCTTACTATGGTGACTAAACAATTAGTAATTTTAGTAGTAGTAATCATGATAGAAATAGACTATAACTGTAGGTTTTGGGATTAAGTTAAAATAATTTAAACATGCATTTTATATTATTCAGTGTTTGTGGTGAGTATTGTCCTAAGATAATACAATAAAATCCATCATACTTGATTTGATTCGATCCAGTAGCAATTGGACAAATCAGAATATTGGTCACAGAGAAGAACCACAAAGTATCATTTATATGTATCTAAAATTTTTATTTGAAGTGAAAAGCTAATCTGTTGACTTAGAATAAGGCTTTCCCCCCGATACGATTTGCAGATTGGGGTTTCACGTATTATTGCTTTCATAAACTATACCTCTATTGCCTCATATGTAAGTGCCAGGTTCATTTTCTTTAATAAGGTGTCTGGATTTAAAGACAATTGTAAAACAATCTGGGCACTAAATCTTTTAAGGCTTTAATGATTATTTTCTCCTAATCTTTTCAAGTTGTCTCATCCATATCTGCATGCCTACATTATGTGTGCATTTTCAGCAAATATTTTCAAAAGGAAAAACTTTTCCACAGGATCACTTTTACTTTTTTTTTTTTTTTTGAAGTCACATTTAATCAGCTTATAAAGTACTTAATTTGTATTGCGTAATTAAATACCTGGTGTAACTGGGATAAACCGATTTTCGAACAAGCACAACTCTTGTATGATCCCTCCAGACAAAAAGATACAAGGTGGCTTAACAGGAAGAAGTCCTAGAGAGGAAAAAGCCTTTGGGAATAACCCAAAATGGAGACTTAGAATGAATTTCATCCTCTCCTGACCCTCAAAAAATTACTCTCTCAGTGAAAAGGAGGGATAGAAAAATCTACCCAGAAGCAGAGAAAGATGACAAAGAAGAAGCTTCTCATCTCAATCTGGACTCTGGATGGAAAAAAAAAAAAAAGAAGTAATCACAGTCCCAAACTTATGTGGGTTTGAACTGCCACAGCCTCTGCAGAGATAAAACCATACTGAACACACTTTTACAATCTAAATTGCAAAACAAATGAGAAAGTAAAGTTGAGGAGAGGTAGATAGTGTAGCAGTAGATAGAGGTAAAAGCCTGGCTGGAGAATTTGAACTTTATTATATATCCAATGGATTATTATCATACAAATGGTTTACTTGCTATAAGAGTTATTCCTTTGTTTTAATCAAAGCTGATTCCTAATGTGACTTTTCACTTACAAACTCAAACATTGAAGGATAATAACACTTTAAAAAATTCTATTATAGCCAAGATTTTGAATTTATTCTTTAAATGTTTTGTATTACTGAGCATCAATGGGACAAGCTTTTCTCCTTCTATTCACTAATAAAATATCAGCTAGGTTCCAGAAACTGGGTATGATACTTTACAATTATGCATATTTCCATATTTAACTAATTTGATTCTTACATAGGTGTTATTATTACAAAGCACAGCAATTTTATCAGTAAAGAAACTAAAGCCCCTATAAAATAAGCAAGACGAGTGGTCAGGGAACTGTGGCTCAGAAAACCTGAGTGACAGGCCCAAGGTCAGGTGGCTTCTGAGTAGAAGAATTGTTCTCATGGTCAGTGTTCTTGCTGCTGAACAATGCTCTCTTTCTTTCCAGGAAAATTTTCTTCCAGGTTTCTCTTCTTTTCCTAATAAAAAATATGGAAGAAAACAAAGAATACCAATTGACATTTCACTCTGTGTAAAATTATTAAATATATGAATCAATTTAAATGCTGTGTGCTTGAATAATTAATAGGAAAAATATCAAAACAAAGTGAAATTTGACTTAATCTAAGTCTCCTTGATTGGAATTAACATTTTAAACACCTAGCGTTTTTCCTATACCATTTATTTGGTACTACTTGTTCTGGCCTTACTATTTATTATATTCTACTTTATTTTGTATATTTATATACCTAGAAGTAAAAAAAAAATAAGATTTCCTTCTAATTTGAGCACTTATACGTCACTTTTTATTTCTAAGTTAATTAAATGGCAATGTTGATGGTTTCTATGTGTTAGTATATAAGAAACACAATTTATCAGTATTATTACTTATTGTATATTATTGGTGTTATTTTATTATTATTTAAGTTTCAGTGATAAACTGAGAATTAAGTTATATATTTTTATAAAAATCTCACAATGTACAAAGGATTTGTTTTATCAGATAAGATAGAGAAATGGATGTTAGTCACAGTAGCTTTATAAAAAGGAAGTGTAAGAATCAGTATAGTGTATATTTAGGTCACTGCTCTTTGATTCTCTTTCCTAAATTATTTCATATTTCATTTTTATCAGTGAAAATGTAAAAATGTTACTAACAATGATAAAACCTTGAGAAACAAAATCTGTGCCATTTGGAAAAATTTTGAATGTTGAATGTTAAAAGATCACAGTGAAATATACCTCTTATTTTTGTGTGTCCTTAACTTGACAACTTATCCTCGAGTGTTTTGAATAGCTGTAATTATAAATTTAGCATGTGTTCAGTGTATACTTTTCTGGTTTCTAAGTTTCATTTCTGCTCAGACTTCCTCTTATTATCTATTCTGTCATTGTTCCTGTATATTTCAGCTCATCATATGATCCTTCCTTCTTTTGCTCACGTTGGTTTAGCATTTGAGTCTGAATAGTAGGGAAAAGTAGATTAAATACTGGTTTTCTGGAGGCCTGGAACTTCTGGGTATCTCAAAACTACAAACTTCAACCTTTAAACAAAACCCTAAGACTTGGTCTGGGTGTGTCTACTGAGCATGGTATTCTTCTTCACTTCACTTACTCATTTTAGCTGAGCAGTAATGCATAAAAGAAATATACATTAAATATTGAACATTTTAAATTTTCTTATACATAAAATAAATATACATCAAATATTGAACATTTATTTTCTTTCATTTCCATTTTAAATGAAGAAATAAATCTCCTTATTTTTGCCTCTCATCCTCTGATTTTCTCCCTCTTTTCCTCCAGCCATTCACTATACTATTTATTCTCTTTAATATCAGAAACTTGTGTCTATGCCTTTATTCAGACACTTCCTTATCTCTGGAACACCTGTCTGATTCTTGCTTGCCTAGAAAATAAATCATTCAAAATCCATTTCCAATGCCTACTTTAAAGGATGAAACTCTCTGGATCCTCTCAGACCTGATGGATTCCTTATCTTATACATCTCAAAACCTTTTATGTATATCTGTCATAGGGCATTTCTCAAGCATCACTTGTGCCTTTTTACTCACAAACTACGAGTTCTTTGAGGATAAATATTGTGCTTTGCTTGTGGTTGTCCCTGGAACAGTGCTTTGCACATAGTGGGCAACAAATCATTTTTTAAAATTACATTGATTCTTTCAGCTGAAGGACAACAAAGAACTCCATTTGCCGTGAGAAACTTAAATGAGGATTCTGCTATATCTCAAACTGTCATTTTGAAAAGCAAGGCACTTCTTCTGTCTAAGAACAGGGATGTATTTAGCAATTAGTGTGGTACAAAAATAATAACAGTGAAAATATTTTAGTTAAATATAGTAGCTGCTTAGAGATGAAAGAAAATATTTCTAGCTATTCTGAGGTTATGCAGCTTATTTTCTAGATAGATCCTACCATTGTCTGTTCCCATTATTGGGTTATGCAGACTTCCATTTTTCTTATACTTTTCTTGAAGAACACATTGCATCTTCATTCAGTGTATTTTTTCTCAGTACCTGCAAAACCTACCACTCATTTATGCATTCTACAAAAAGTTTTAAATACCTAAAATATGCTGGATAACTAGTAATTATGAACTTGGTTAAGACTTCCCATCATTGCCTTCAACTTGAAGTGTTATAAAATAACTGTAATGAAATGTACACTATAGGGATTACAAGAGGCATTCCAAATGTAATAGAAATGTTGGACTGGGATTGCGGGCATGATTGCACCTGGCTGATTTTTGTGTTTTTGGTGGAGATGGGGTTTTACCGTGTTGGCTGGCCTTGTCTCAAGCTCCTGACTTCAGGTGGTCTGCCCGCCTCGGCCTCCTGGGGTGCTGGGATTGCAGGTGTGAGCCACCATGCGCAGCCAATTCATTCCTTTTTAGTGGCTGTGTAGTATTCCATCATATATATATACACACACGCACACACACACACACATACCTACACACACACACACATACACACCACACCAACTATTCTCTGTTATGGATGGTTATTTCATTTGACTATTTCAGTTTCTTTGGGGTTGATTCTGGAAAGAAATTGCTGAAAAGTCATATAAATTGTGTGTTTTAATGTCACATTGCCTTTCCAAAATGCTATACGAATATATACTCCTACCAGCATGTAAAAAGAAAAGAAAAGAAACGTTGGACTGTGCAAGTGATAGAGAGATTCCACTTCAACTGACAATATTTCCTCATTATTTTCATAAAGTGAGAGAATTCTGTCACTTTAGGTGCTAGTTTTGTGTTTCTTTTATAGTAATTAATGGCTTCCTCGTCTCTGATGAATACTAATATTGCTTTTTGGGATATGGATTCTATGAGAAATCTGTATAGATCTATCCTAAGGAAGTTGTTCAGAGATTTTCGTCTAATTGCATACCTTTTTTTTCTACTCCCTGTTCTACCAAATTTGCTACAAAAAGTTCCACTGAGGTTTCTGGGTATTTATTCAAGAGAATGGATATGTAATCCTAGACATACAATGTTGTTTTGAAGGGTAGTCATGAGCATCTCTGGAGTTTCTGTTATTCCATATAATGTGTCCACTTCTTTTTTTTTTTTTTTATTATACTTTAAGTTTTAGGGTACATGTGCACATTGTGCAGGTTAGTTACATATGTATACATGTGCCATGCTGGTGCGCTGCACCCATTAACTCGTCATCTAGCATTAGGTATATCTCCCAATGCTATCCCTCCCCCCTCCCCCCACCCCACCACAGTCCCCAGAGTGTGATATTCCCCTTCCTGTGTCCATGTGATCTCATTGTTCAATTCCCACCTGTGAGTGAGAATATGCGGTGTTTGGTTTTTTGTTCTTGCGATAGTTTACTGAGAATGATGGTTTCCAGTTTCATCCATGTCCCTACAAAGGACATGAACTCATCATTTTTTATGGCTGCATAGTATTCCATGGTGTATATGTGCCACATTTTCTTAATCCAGTCTATCATTGTTGGACATTTGGGTTGGTTCCAAGTCTTTGCTATTGTGAATAATGCCGCAATAAACATACGTGTGCATGTGTCCACTTCTAGTTGATTCACTTGCAAGGCTTCTTTCACATACATTGCAGAACACCAACATATTTTATTTTCCTTCTACTTCTCTGGCTGCTCCTATTCAGTCTACTTTTCTGGTTCTTCATAATTATCTTGTGTGTGGCAAATTTTGAAGTTGCCCAGGATGTAGTCTATGGATCACTCCCATTTTTAATCTAAATTTACTCCCTCAGTAATCTCATCCTGGCTCAAGGGTTCCAATGCAACCTACGTGCTGATGATTCACAAATTAAATCTCCATTTTGTACCTCTGCCCTGAATGTCAGATTCATATCCACCTGGAGATGTGAAAGGCATCTTGAACTTTCCCAGTCTCAATTCCTGAACACCAACACATTGGTTCATCTCACGGTTTTCCCCAATTTCAGGAAATAGTAGCTGCATTCATACACTTGTTCAAAGTGAAAACCTTAAAGTTATTCTGTTTCTTATTCCTTATAGCCAATCTTTCAGAAAATCCTGTTGACTTTTCCTTCAAAATAAATTCAGAATTTTATTTCTCACCATCTTCTTGTTACCACCCTGGTCAAAGCTACTATCATCTCTTGAGTAGATGATTTTCCATAGTTTTCTAACCCGTGTTCTATTTTAATTCTTGTTCTAGTTTAATCTTTTTTCATTGTAGCAGTGAGGATACTCTTTTTAAAACAGTCAAAACAATGTCACTCCTCTGTTCAAGTCTTATCATGATTGCCCAGGCCACTTATGGTAACAGCCAGGTAGATCCTTACCAAGGCATCAAAGGTTGCCACTGTTCATTCCACTCAAGTCACTCTGGCTCCTGGCTCTTTTTCCAACACACCCGGCACACTACTGCCTCAAAACTTGTGGACTTCTCTCTGGCGGCAATGCTTTTCTCTAATATCAACGCAGCCTGTTTCCTCCCCTGCACTGTGTCCTAACTCAGAGAGGGCATCTCTGACCATCTCATGCATGAGGATAATACTTTAACCTCATTTGTGAAATGTTACAGACAAAACTGTATGTATGTCAAGGTATGTTATGAAGATTAAATTGGATCAAATATGAAAAATATTATATATTATATAGTAAATATAAGTTGTAGGTGCTTAATTGATGTTAGCTATTGTTAGACATTATATAAAGCTGAGATCATACCAGAAATGATTATGTAATCTTCTTGTATTTTATATGGCACCAATTCCTGAGTAATTTTTTTCTATTACCCTCTGAATTGTGCAGTTGTTTTTCCCTTAAGTCAATGACCTATAGTCTAAAATCATTTGTGATGTTACATTCTGTTAAACAGAAGAAAATTCCTACTGGGCCAGTAAAGATTTTTCCTGTTAAACACTTCATTTTTTCATATTGACCATGTAACTATCTGATCAGTTCTTGCTAGAAGGCTGTGAGGGGCACCACCAAAAACTTTAACCTCTTTTTTTTTTTTTTTTGGTTTAGAATGCTTTTACTTTGTCTATGATTAAAAGACAGCAAAAGCATAAATCAGTCAAGATAAATCTGTGTTAAAGGGCACACAGTGTGTAAAGATGCATTCTGTGACAATAACTATGTAAAGGGGAAGGCATGGAGATGTATGGGAGCAGGATGTTTGCAACTGAAACTAAGTTGGTATTGGTTAAACTAGGTTGTCATAAGTTTAAGATATTAATTTTAATCCCTAAGGTAACAACTAAGAAAATAACTAAAAATTATATAGAAATGAGAAATAAAAAAGGTCTGAAATGGATGAAGTGAAGAACAAATAACATAAAACATACAGAAAATATATAGATAAATAGCAGAAGTCTGTCCCTCCTTCTCAGTAATTACTTTAAATGTAAATGTATTAAAATCCTCCAATTAAAAGGTAGGTGTTGCAGAAAAGATAAACAACATGATCTATCTATATGCTATATGCTGTCTACTGGAGACTTGCTCTAGATCTATAGACCAAAAAAGGTTGAAAGTAAAATGATAGAATAAGCTATTCCATGCAAGTGGTAACAAAAAGAGAACCAGAGTGACTTAATATTATTGGATCAAAGAGATTTTAAGGAAAAAAGGTTACGGGAGATAAAGAAGGACACTATATATATTGATAAGTAATATAATCCATAAGGAATATATAACAATTATTAACACATGAATATCTAATAATAGATGCCAAAACATGTGAAGCAAAATTGACAAAACTAAAGGGAGAAATAGAGTTTACAGTCATACCTAGGTACTTCAATACCTCACTTTCAATAATGGATATAACAACGAGCAGAAGATCAATGAGGAAATAGAAGACTTGAACAACACCATAAATCAATTGATTATATGAAATATATACAAAACACTCTACATAACAACAGAAAAATATGTATTCTCAAGTTCATATGAAACCTTTTTCAGGATAAACCATATGTTAGGCCTTAATCATTGCCAGTATAATTATAAACACAATCCTCTAACAAATATGGCTCTCATGCTTTCAGGCCCAGTTATCTCTTTAATCAGGCAAATAAACAGAAAACACTACAAGTCTGGATCCAGTTATCACAGGAGAGGTTTCTTTTTGAAGATTCTACTGAGATAATCATTACTGTGGTGCATCATGGTGAAAAGGCACTTATGTTGGATTCACTTTGGGTTTAGGATTTGACTACATTGCACTGTAGACACATAACCTCCAAAATGTTGCTTACTTTGTCTTGAGCCTGTTTCTTCATCTTCATTGGTTATAGTTATACCTACCTTTTTAAATTTTTTGTCAGTATCAAAGATAATAAATAAAACATGTCTATTGCAATAACTGGAATAGTGAAAATTCCCAATAAATGGTAGTTATTAATGCCAGTTTTTGGAGTGGTGGAAGTGAAGAAACTAATAGGAGCAGCTATAGGTAGTCTTACTGATAGTCCTGGGGTCAACTTACAACCTATGAAGCCATATTAGGTTCTGAAGTCTATAGCTTGCCTATGTGAAGATACAAGTGAAAACCCTTAGCAGCTCTGTAAAGTCTGATTTACCTCTATTTGCTTATAAAAATCTGTATGCAGTAATTTTATGCGTTTTAAAGTTTGAGAACAACTTACACAGACTGAAGAAACAAATTCGGCCCTTCAGGCTTTCAGACAACTATCAATGCCTTAAGAAGTTTAAGAATAAAGGATCTATAGATTTTCTCAGAAAAATACTGGATATTCTGCAGTTAGTTTGGATTGTTTCTACCTACATGGTAGGGGTGGTTGGAGGTGAGCCATGGTATCCAAATTTTTTTGTGGTTGTCCATCATAATTAGCTACTGGAGTTATCTTCTCCCTGCTTTTTTACTACCTCTCTCAAAGCTAAGAACTCAGAGCATAAGCTTGAAATAGAATCTGAAACTGCATAAACTCAGAGATGGTTCCTATAGGTAAAGTGAAATTGAGACATCCCAGTGCCAGAATCATTGTTAAGGTATCATTGAAGCAGTCCACTGGGCACCATGCCCTTGAACTGGAGAAAAAGCTGCTCCTTGGTGACTTAGGTCATCAAGTGAGACCTAAGTCTCACACCCTGGTGAGAAGAGGGTGTTTTCCAGATTGTCTTTATAGAGAACTGAGATTGCTTGACTATGACCTTCTTTCCATAACCTCCCTCACTAGAAACTCTTTCAGGGAGGGAAGGAGGGGGTAGTGTTCCTCTTTCCTTTCACCCTTCCCCCAGGCTACCCTTTTATGAGCCTTTATATCTTTTAGGACAGCTCAAAATTCTCCCTTAACCTAGTTATTTTTTATGGGTATATGGGAAAGGGAAAGAGGGAACATTCAGTTGAACTACCCATTGATGACCCTGGAGAATATTCAGGAAATGTCAATAAAAGGGAGATAAGGTATCAAAGAGAAGGTGCTAAGAGCCAGACCTAGTGCAGCCTTTCCCTGGGATAAGCCCTGTCCTCATATACTCTTTCTATGTTCTGGGATTCTTTCTGTTTTGTGACTTTAGCCTCAAAGATGCCACCTCCTCATGGCCAAAGAACACCTCATAGCAGTGGATGTAAGAAAGCATACTAGGGCCAGGCACGGTGGCTCATGCCTGTAATCCCAGCACTCTAGGTGGCCGAGGCCAGGGGGATCACGAGGTCAAGAGATCGAGACCATCCTGGCCAACAAGGTGAACCCCATCTCTACTACAAATACAAAAATTAGCTAGGTTTGGTGGCGTGTGCCTGCAGTCCCAGCTACTCGGGAGGCTGAGGCAGGAGAATCGCTTGAACCGGGGAGGTGGAGGTTGCAGCGAGCCAAGATCTCGCCACTGCACTCCAGCCTGGTGACAGGGTGAGACTCCGTCTAATTAAAAAAAAGAAGAAAAAAAGCATACTAGGAGAACGGAGAACATTCAGAGCCACTTTAAGCTCAAGAGAGTCTGCTTCAGGAGCTCAAACAAAAAGGCTGGTAGAAGAACAGCCTGGAGCAGGGGGGGCTGCACATCCAAGCAGATGGAAATGGGTAGTAGTGGGAGAAGGAGGAGGAAGGGAACCTGACGTTGCAGAGTGAAATGATGGTATGTGGTGAAATGTCGGCGGCCAGAGCAGGGCTGGGCTCATCTGTGTGAACCTAGTTCCCAGTCTTGTCAAAGGCAGGCAATCGTTAATTATCAGCTTGTGCTTATGATGCACCTTCTGAAGTCAAGATAGACATAAATATGTGCATTTTTATTCAGACCTGATGTGTATTTGTATAACAAATGTCCACTATGTCAATAAGCAACAGTCATCATCTTAAAGCTTGAGATTGATTAATGTCAGGCACACACATACAAAAATGCTCATGCTCCAAGGCTGTGTTATACAAGATAGTAGCTGCTAGTAACATCTGCATACTGAGCTCCTGAAATGCAGCTGGCTGGTGCAAAATTACATGTTCTATAAGGTGTAAAGAGACACTGAATTTTTAAAATGTAGCATGCATAGAAGAATGTAAAAATATCTCATTAATTTTTTAAATTAGTTACATGTTGAAATACTAATATGTTAGATACGTTAGGCTAAATAAATGAATTGTAAATCAGTTCAACCCTTCAATTTATTTGTTTAGTATGACTACTATTAAGTTTAAAATCACATATGTGGCCCGTACTGTATATGTCTTGGACAGTTCTGCTCTTAAGCCTGATTCTGCCATTTATCCTGCATCTTTGTGGAAGTGACTTAACTTCTCTGTATCTATGATTCCTGAACTTTAAAGTAATTGAGTTGTGAAGATGAAATTATTTGACATATGAAAAGCACTTAGAAAAATATATGGAATATAAGACATTTAGCTATTATCTATCTATCTTTCTAGCCGCCTGTCCATCTAGCCATATAATTAACAGCTGTAGCAAATATTGTATATTACAGTAGCATCAAAGTGACATACAAAAATATTGGCTATGATAAAGTGTTCTTATCAGGGGTTTTTTTCTTCCTTTCTTTATTTAGAAAAAAACATTTCAGTGAACTACGGTTACAAACCAGAGACAAACCTTAAGAAAATAGTTGAATAAAGATGTGTTTCTGTACTTCTAGCCAACTCTTGTAACTATGAAAAACTTCTGAAGTGTTTTGCTGACAGTTGAAATAATAATTTAATATTTTTAGAGAACAATATCATAATCTTTTAGAATTCTGAACTCCCATAAAGCATCTTTATTTTTTGACTGCCAAGGCAAGAAATGCACAATGCAGGTAGGGCAAGTATTTTTGTATAAATAGATAAATGTTGTTGGTTGTGTACTATAAATAAGAAGGAAATACATCAGAATTAGTGATTTGTTTAATTAGACAGTGCAGCTTGTGTGTTTGCTTTTCTAGTTTCTTATACTAAACTATTTTTGATTTTCTAAGAAGTGAACCTAAAATCTATAACATGCGAACACTTCTAAAGACAGGGAAAATCTGAAAGCTGTGATGAGACTGGAGGACTGTGATTAAAAAGAGAAAGAGGAAATAGAAAAATTATACTTGCTGTAATTTATGGGATTGCTAAGGCATCAAAAATATTGTATGTGATTCAAGAATTGCTTGTACAAATAGCAATTCATTCACATAACCCCAGGATACATAAACAGGAGTAGAATGGTGGGAGAGTTCCCCTTTTATGTGATATGTATAGTTGTTCCAATGCTTTTTACAGAACTGCTTCTAATTTGGGATTCCATAATTTAAAGTGAATGTGATGGATATACAGGGAACAACAAAAATGATCAAAAGATTGGAAAATGAATGGTCTGAGAATAGAGGATTTCAACACAGAATTTTTTAAACCTGAAACAAAACCACAGTTTTTAACCTGAAAAAGGGATGAATGACAGCTTACCAGGATTGGAAATGACAAATGAGAGTGGGGCAATGAGTATAATACATGAGTAAAGACATTATCATTTGATAATCTCAGTTGAATCTCTGTGTGAGAATCCATCAGAGTACTTTCAGCCTTGTGTCATTTTAATTCATATTATTTGTTTGATATTTTTGGAGAAAGAGGGATATAGATCTCCTCTGACTGCATGTCCATAATACCATGTACATCTACCTAAAAGGGTGCTAAGCCCTCTGTGTTATGATTATTAATTTATGGGTGGGCCTTGCCAGCTTTTTAAGGATAGGAACTCATGTCTTATTTTTCTGTATCATCCCAGAACCTGGCAATACCCTTGACATACAGTAGTAGGCGCTTAATAAATATGTGGTGCCTGAATGCAGGAATAAACATAGGACAGTTTAATTTCATGACCGTTGGAGCCATTATCAAACAGTTCCTTAATAGCCCTTGATTTTGAGACTGAGGATGAGGTGGAATGAAAGTGCATAACTATAAGAGTTTTAGAATCAAACAATTCTATTTCTTGCATGGGCAAATTGTGCAGCCTTTCCGGGGCTCATCTTCTTATCTGTAAACTGGGTAGTGTGATATCTAAACTACAGAGTGATTGTAAACTTTTAATTTAAATGCAGTGATATACAAAAAGTAGTTAAGTGTCTATCACAATGTAAGCACCACATTTATTCATTCTTTCAACAGGTATTTATTACAACACAACAGGCACTGTTCTAAGTGTTAAGAATGTAACAGAGAATGAGGTCCTTATCATAATTGTAACATAAAGAGTCTTCAGATAAAACTACCTGCCCTTATTCTTCTGTCTCCAATTACCAGGAGGCCAATTTCTGGGGCTGCTGTTAGGGACCAGTAAACACCTATCTAATGTAAAGTGTCGGGACTGCAGGTGACTCTGTCCATTTATCTGAAATCTGAGGGATTAATGAAAACAGTGTGGTCTTGAGCCTGACTTGAGAATGTGAGTTCATGCTTTAGAAGTCTCCCTGTGAACCCTGAGCTTCCACTGTTGAAAAGCCTTCCTGATTCCAAAAAGCTTCTACACTATTCTACCAGAAATTCCTAGCTTTGGTTTCAGCAAGGAAATTCTTATAAAAATTTAACTTTGCCATTTCTACAATCTGCCATTTTTCTTAGAATTTAGATTTATTAAAGGAAGCTAAATATTTATTTGCTAAATGAAAACAGACTTCTTGACTGTGGTATATGTATCAGTGGTTTTGCTTTCACAACCCTTAGTTCCTTTGTAAATTCTGGGTCTGTTACCAGAATGGACCTTAATTTCTTTTTAATTTTTTTTTCAACTGTGATCCCAGCAGGGACAAGGAAGCAAACTGAAACACATGATAACCTTCATCACTCAATCTGGAAAATTCAATAAGCCCAAGTTAAAAAGCTAAGAACCTAAAAAAACCCAACAAGTCCTCTAAACTAACATGTTAGAAAAAGTAGCAGGCCTAAAGGCAAGATGGTCCTATTCTTTATTTCTTTTCATATCTTTCCTGGATTTCTTATTCATATGAGTCTATCTGGAGGGCTATCTCTGAATATTTTCTTCTTGCAGAGATTTTTCTTTCTCAATTTCAAGGAAAGAAGAGCTGTAAGAAGAAATGGTCACAGGCAGAAAAGAGAGAGGTTGCATTAAAAAATGTGATCAAAGGCAGATTCTGATTTTCTAGCTCAATTAGAAAGTTTAAGTTTGGTAACTTTGAAAGACTAATGAAGTCTAAGTTGAATAGCAGAAATAATATTATTTGCTAGGGAGCTTTGTGTCTCTATGGATTAATGATTTCATTCGATGTGTAATACAGGATTCGAGATTGCCAGAGGTTGAACATCAACAAAAGGGATTTTTTCCCCTTTCCTCCTGGGGATTCTCTTCTGTTCTGTTCTCTTCCTTTCTCTCTTTCTTTCTTTTATGAGATTCAGCTCTAGGGTGAGAGATATCCTGAGTCTTGACTGTTCTTTGATTGAAAGGAACCTGAAGAAGCTTCTTTCTTTCCTCCCTCCCTTCCTCCTTTCTTTCCTCTTTTCTTTCCTCCTTCCTTTCCTCCTTCCCTCCCTCCCTCCCTTCCTTCCTTCCTTCCTTCCTTCCTTCCTTCCTTCCTTCCTTCCTTCTTTTTTTCTTGAGGAAGTTTCGCTGTTGTTACCCAGGCTCAAGTGCAGTAGTGTGATCTTGGCTCACTGCAACCTCCACCTCCCGGGTTCAAGCAATTCTCCTGCCTCAGCCTCCCAAGTTGCTGGGATTACAGCTGCCCACCACCATGCCTAGTTAATTTTTGTATTTTTACTAGAGACAGGGTTTCACCTTGTTGGCCAGGCTGGTCTCGAACTCCTGACCTCAGGTGATCCGCTCACCTCGTCCTCCCAAAGTGCTGGGATTACAGGTGTGAGCCACTGCCCCCAGCCGGAATTTCTTTCTTATTCAAGAAAATCTGGTTGATTGTAAGACCAGTTGGATATCTGAATCCGCCCCCCAAGTTAGGCCTAATAAATGCTAGTGCAATTGGAATGCTAGACCATGCATAGAAAATCATCGGAATTATTAGGCAGTGAGTACATATTTCTCTCTAAACAATTTGAGAGACAGGTTTGTTCATTTGAACTTAGGCTGCAGATGTGCTAATATTATGGCTGACATCTGACAGATGAAAAGATAGTCACTCCCAAATGGAAGGCACAGAGGGAAAGAAGTAAATGACCACGTGTCACTGCCAGTCACTGTTCTGGGAACTATGTGCTCACTGTTTCCTTAGCACTTCAAAACAACTGTATTAGGCGATTATAATTCCATTTTTTTGGTTAAAGAATTAACATTCAAATAAGTTAGGTAATTTTCTGAAGGTCATACAGCCTTTTAAAAAGTGACACTGAAGGAATTTGATTGCAGGTCTGTCTGACCCAGAGTTAGGTTCATTCCTTTCCCTGCTAACACCTTCTCAGCATATATATATATATATATATATACACACACACATATATTCCAAGATATATATATATTCCAAGATATATATATATATGCCAAGATATATATATATATTCCAATATATATATATTCCAAGATATAGATATTCCAAGATATAGATATATATATTCCAAGCATATATATGATGTTTTATATATAATGTATAAATAACACATGTTTTATATATACAATGTGTGTATACATATATAATATATGTTATATATTATATATGTATACATGTTATATATGTATATACTATATATATAAAATAGATATATATATCTCCCTGTATACACTATCTTAGTTTCCTTCAAGATCATGAGTATGTTTTGTATGTGGACTACATTTTACAGATTAAATGATGCAGGGAACCACAGAATTGAAGCTAAATGATTTAGGAAAGCAAATTCAAAGTTAAGTCAGAGAACCTTGAGTACCAAATCTAGGGAAACTCATCCAATTGAAGCTAAAATGAAACTGAAATTGGAGATCTGCAGCTTAAACAAAACAAATTTGCCTTTCCAAGGACCAACATAACTAAAGAAAAAATCTTTGTCTTTGGATGAGGCAGGATAAACCATCCAAAATGGAGTAAGACTCAAAGAGCTAGGATTAGTAGAAGGAAAAAAACGATTTAAAAAATAGTTCATAAAAAGATTGAGCAATCTATACACTGGTTGTACCTGTTCCTGAATTTAAATTAGATGTTTTAAAATTAGCCAATCTCATGTGCTGTGCTGTGGTGGACAAGGAACTGGAATTGTAGATAGCAGAAATTGCTAGAGGAGTATAAGCAAAAATGCCTGTGGATTCAAGACAATGGTCTTTGGGAGAGAACCCCAATAGCTTGGATAGTGGCATTGGTAAATTACTCAGAGAAACATTACTAAAATTTGGTTAGGGGATCATCAGTTGTCCCTTTGTCAAATCACACCCCCAGAGCTGGATGGAAAATAAACTTATGTTTATTAATGTGTTTTATTGGAAGTGAAGATGGGATGGGAAGATGGAGGCAGGAGAGGGAAACTGGAATTATTCAAGAGGAACTTTTTCTGGCTTAAATTGGCCTTCCCAATACATTTACCTGTTCCAAAGCCGACCATGTGAAAACAAAGGGCACAGTCAAAACTGTCCAGAGTCATGCAGAAATGTTCAGAGATGCAAGGGGTGTGGTTGCCTATGTTAATGGTATTTAGGGCTTCCTGTCAGCTTAAGAAAAAGGAAGTGCAGAAGTGAGAATGTGTGTGTGCTAGTGTGTGAGTTTCTCACTGTATGTGTGAGTTTTGTTGTGTGTTTCCGGGAGAGGGAAGGGAGGCTGGGGGGAGGGTGCAGACATGAAGGAAGTGCAGTAGATGTGGCAGTTTGGTCTATCTTGGAATCAGTTTGTGATGCTTCCGTGGTGCTGAATATCGCTCTCCATTTCTTCAGGTCTGGGAATGATTGTCTTTAATTACCTGTTTGGTTTTACTCTCGTATTTCTGGGATACCACATCTGTTTTTAATTTTCTCTCAATTACAAAAGCAATATATATTGAATGAAGAAAATTTGGAAAATATAGAAGACAGGGAAAATAAAATAAAACTGGCTCATAATTCTGTCATCCTGCAATAACGACTATTAACATTTTGTTGTGTATCCTTCCAAGTATTACTGAGATTTACAAAACTGGGCTATTACTCCACCTATTGCTTTATATCGTGTTCTTTTCCCTGGACTTTTATCTCTGTTTTCTTTCTGTGCCAAACCCTCAAATATTCTTTGTACTTTAGTGTCTCACTCGGGCAATTCTCCACCTTCATGTTACTCCCTGTCCATTGCCTTCAACCCATGTTCTGTCCCAGTGACTTCCTCCATGTCTTTCTTTAGAGTCCATGATTCTTCCATAAAAATCCCTTCTTTGCTTTATACATTCAAAGCCCTTTTTGTAATCACCCTGATAAACCTCAACCTTCATAAAATCTAACTACCTTTCTTTTCCATGTTAACCACATTGCTGGAGAAAACCATGCAACTGTGCTGACTCCTCAAAATGCTATTCCTCAAACATAATGTCCCCATAAGAAATGAAGTGTGCTTCTACCTCCAGGCCTCTTAGTGTTCCCTCTGCCCAGACTTCTCTTTCTTGAGCTGTCTTCTGAGGCTTATTCCTCTACATTCAGGTTTTTCCTCAAATGTTATCACTCAACTCAGCACAAACACCTATCAGTGGCCTCAGTGCACTCTATTGAAGTGATCGAATCACTGCAGTCTCCTTTATTTCAGCACGTAGACTCCTTGAAGAGAAGAGTCATACTTAGTGAAGTCTTGTCACAGAGTCAGTGCTCAATAAATGTCTGCTAAATAAAATAATAAATGGAAAAAATCCACTTTTTTCTTCTTCTTCAGGTGGCAAAGGAATTTCAGCCACATTATCATATTTGATTCTTTCAAAAAACCCGCGATATTGATTTGATGACAGTATTTTGGATATTATATATGTGTGTGTATATATATATGTGTGTATATATATGTGTATATATGTGTGTATATATATGTGTGTATATATTTGTGTATATGTGTGTATATATAAGTGTGTATATATATGTGCATATATATGTGTATATATGTGCATATATATGTGTGTATATATGCGTGTATATATATGTGTGTGTATATATATATACACACACACATTTTTAACAGGACTTCAAGTTCACAACACTAGCAAGGGGGAAAGATCAAGCTTGGTGTTACTTTCACTCTACCACACGTCTCATACTTCTGTATCAAAGTAGTCCTAAAAACAGAAAAAACTGTCTAGCCTGGATGCTATGTATTGCTGTAGCTGAATACATTCTGCTGAAGCATGACATTTATATTAAGTGTCCAAAATTCATTTATCTCACTATTATCTTTAACTTGGTACAAATTAGTGTACTATTATCCTGTTACATGTTTGCTGCAATATTATCTGTTTTATAACTTACAAATTAAATTAAATTTTTTGACTCTTTTCCTCCTTCAAGAAAAGATGCCACTCCAAAGGATGCCTCCTATTCATCCCATGACTTCCCAGAACTTCTTGCATACGTTAAATGTCTCCAGACATCTGTATAAACCCAATCTGGGAAATAACATGCTTTACCACACAGTCTTTCCCCATTGTGGATTAAAGGCAGGACTTGATAATGTTGCTATTTGTATGTCAGTGAGTATAATGAGAAACACCAACTCAGTTAAATGGCATATACTTCCAATGCAAAATTGTTGATCAATATCCTGGCTCAAAGGGTTATCAGAGATGTATGATATCTGGACATGTTTTTGAGACATTTTACAACATAGATGTAAAGAAACTCTTCTTGACTCTCCTAGATATATAGCCAGACTTCACTCTTCCCTCATCTGAACAACTAATGAACCTCATGTGGATAACTATAAAATTTATTGCAAATATTTGGAAGATATAATGTCCCCAAGAGAGAAAAAAATTAATAAAAGCTTATATATCTGGAATGAAAAAAACATAACTAGGGAAGACAAAGTTTCATGTTACTTGATTCCTAGATACACCTGCTCAACCTTACAGAGTTCTGAGTCATAATAGAGGGATAAAAAATGCAATATGAGAAATACCAATGCATATTTTGATTGGACTACCAAGAGATTTTCATTTCACAAAGTAGAATGGAACAGAAAATCTTCAATGATTTATGACAGATTATTTATAGTGGATAGAATTCTCAAAAATCTGGCTTTCTGCTTTATAAAATTATCTCCAAATGCAATAAGTGCTCTACTTCCTATTGCTACTTATAATAGCCTTTTTGATTAATGCTTTCTTCTATCACCAAAATATATAAATAACCTATTTGGATTTATTTATAAAAAATTATAAAATAGCAAGAATACTGTATTCTTGTGAGGACATAAAATACATGAAGCAGGAAAGAAAGCTCTAAAGATACAATTCAGAAATGGAATATATAATTGAGTTCCTTGTAATAGTCATTTTAGCTTAACTATTTTTTGTTTTCTTGGATTTTGATATTTAAAACACGGATCTCTCTCTGCTGGTGACATTGCACACACTGCAAAATTGCCAAGGTGTAGAGAATTCCAAAATTATAGAATACAATAAAAATTTAAATCCATAAACCAAATGTTTGAAATCTAAGAAATCCCAATCTGGGACTCTACCTCTTTTTAGCTTGTGATACACACATAGGGAGATTCAGGAGTTCAAGCAAGGATTTTTAAATCAGAATTGTCCTCTAGAATAAAGCCATATTCTAAGCATTCTGACCTGAGGGGCTCTAAATTTATAGGTGTCTTTCAAAATACTGATTGTATAGCAAAATATACAAATACACAGACTCCAGAGAGGAAACAGCATTTACTCCCTTCCTCCAGTATCAGCTTCCTTACACCACCCTCCTACGATGGTGGCTGCAAGCCAATTCCTGTGGCAAGACATTTAAAAACAACTGTGTGGCTCCATATTGATTGGCAACACGCAATTTGGCTCCATAAAGTCTGCAAAATGAATCATGATCCAATGCTGTTACCTGCTTGACTTCAATGTATCTTCTCTTACCACAGGAAAAGCAATTTAATAACAGGCAATTTACAGTCCTGATTATAATGGGCCAGTGAGGTTCAGTTCTAGATGCACTGGCAAAACTCAGCCAACAGATTTGGTGGTCTTATTTATTTATTTAATTATTTATTTTATAAAGTTAGCTTTTAATGGCCCATTTGTGATTGAATCCAGAATTACATAGTCTATATAATACTGACCTATGGTATACCTAGGAGCCCTGAATTTTTGCCAAGAATTCCTGGCTGTGTCTATAAGACAACAACATGTCCAGATGAAAAATGTAACATGCTAGCTATTTTGTCTGTATAAGAATTATAGTGTTAATTGTTTTTAAGTGAACCTGTCAATTTAACACAAACAGGGAGTGAACATAGATACAAGCTCCAAGTGTGTGGTGTGCCTTTTTATACAAGTTCTTTTGGAAAAAAATTACTTGTTTGTGTTAACTTGCAAGAATTACATTAGAGAATAATATCCATCTCACTTGAAATTAAATTATTGAATTTGTTGGAATAAGTAGACTTACTAATGATTATTGTAGTATGGCTCATGATAATTGAAAATAT
The DNA here is from genome assembly GCF_000001405.40 of Homo sapiens. Lineage (NCBI taxonomy): Eukaryota > Metazoa > Chordata > Mammalia > Primates > Hominidae > Homo > Homo sapiens. The sequence goes on from NC_000001.11 coordinate 198,561,009, forward strand.
CAATTTATAAATTGTCATTTAACATTAGGCTTTTACTACTATTTTAGCTTATTATGTTCATATATTTCTATTGAATTCAGACTGTGACTGACTTTCTTGTTGTTGGAAGATATTGGAGGGAAGAGATTACCTTTTTATTCTGTGTGTTGGGGGGCTTTGAAAGAAATTAGAATCATTTAAAGCAATTTTGTTTCTTTATTTTGATAATGTTTTTATCCTAGTCAAAGGCACAATGACTATTTCTGAATCAGTAGAAAGCAAATAATCTAATTTGTACCAGGATTTGGGAGCATTTATTACACCATAATAAAAAATGAAATAGAAGTAAGACATAAAACATAGGGACATTCAGAAACCTACTCCTTCAGTTTCCAAGTGTTTCATTTCCCAGGCTCTGGTCTGCCTTTCTTCCTGTGACTCTTTAAATCACCTCAAGTTCCTTGGCTTTCTGCCATGTTTTCTTTCTTTCACACCAAAAGCATCTATATTTTAACACCAGCCTCTGGTTCTACTTGCATTTTTCTGTCTTTTAAATATCTTTTTGCATTAAAAAAAAGAACAAAAGTTCAGTGATATGTAATTATCATCTGCCTTTTTCTTTCTTTTTCCTTGCCTTGCCTCCTCCACTCCCTAGAGAAAAGAAGTTCAGATGGTTAAGATCAACATGCATTTTTAACCCAGATATGATTCTGAGTTTTCTACTCTGATTTGGAAGAATGATATCAGATATTCTTGTCTCATTTGGGAGCCAAGAAGGAAAGCTTTTAATATCTAACCATAAAATATAATGCTCGCTGTCATTTAAAAGAATCCAATTAATGAAATTCCCTTTTAGCCCTACTTTAGAAAGAGAAGGCCGGGCACAGTGACTCACGGCTGTAATCCCAGCACTTGGGGAAACCGAGGTGGGCGGATGACCTGAGATCAGGAGTTCAAGACCAGCCTGACCAACATGGTGAAACCCCATCTCTACTAAAAATACAAAACTTAGCCAAGTGTGATGGTGCATGCCTGCTGTCCCAGCTACTTGAGAGGCTGAGGCATGGGAATCGCTTGAACCTGGGAGGCAGAGGTTGCAGTGAGCTGAGATTACACCACTGTACTCCAGCCTGGACGACAGAGTGAGACTCTGCAACCCCATCCCCCAAAAAAAGCAATAGTACTGCACAGATGTTGAATTTTATCAAATGCTTTTTCTGTATCTATTGAAATGATCACATAACCATTTTTTCCTTTATTATGTCAGTAAGGTGAATTACTCTAATTGACCTTTGAGTATAAATTCCTTTCTGGAATAAACATCTATAGTGATAAGCTCTTTCGTTCCTGATCTAAGTTATTTTTGCCACTTAAAAATATATATTAATATAGTTTTATCCCTTTTTATATGTCTTTTAAAAAATAACATTTGGATTTATTTGTTCTACAGTACATTTGCTTCCTTTCATTTCTTCACACTTTTATATTTATTTCCTTTTTTCTACTTTCTTTAAATTTAATTTGCTGTTATTTTTAAATTTCTTAAAATGGATTCTTAGATCAATAAAAATCATTCATTAATTATTTACTCTTTCTGCTTTTGTGACATATGCCTTCCTGCTATACATCTTCCTCTAAGCATGGCTTTAGCTACTTCCCAAAGTTTTGATATGCCATACTGTGATTCTCATTGACAACATTATTATTTTTTTCTCTTTTTGAGAGAAGGTCTCACTGTGTAGCCCAGGCTGTAGTGCAGTGGCACAATCATGGCTCACTGCAGCCTGGATCTCCCAGGCTCAAGCCATTCTCCTACCTCAGTCTTCTGAGTAGCTGAGAATACAGGCATGCATCATCACACATGGCTAATTTTTTTTTTTTTTTTTTTTTTTTTTTTTTTTTTTGAGATAGGGTCTTGCTATGTTGCTCAGGCTGGTCTCAAACTGCTGATCTCAAGAGATCTTCCCACCTCAGCCTCCCAAAGTGCTGCGATTATGGGCCTGAGCCACTGCACTTGCCAACATTGCCATTTTGATTACTTATTTACCTTATGGATTATTTAAAAATATATTGTCTAACTCTTGAATATTTAGGTATTTTCTAGTTCTCTTTTGATTATTGACTTTTAGTTTTGCACTGTAATTGAAGGACATACTCCACCTGCTTTATAAATTTTGCAATTTGTCCAGTTTCTCTACTTGGTCCCTTGTGAAGTTTGCTCTGTAACCACCTATCTGCTATTATAGAAGCAAATTATCACTGTGCTTTTATGTGAATTTTCTTGATTACTGAAGCAATTGGTCATCTTTTGGGGTGTTTATCTTTTGTTCAGAAATTTTAAATTTTGACAAAGTGTAATTTAGTACTTTTTCTTTAAAATTTGTGTATTTTATTTCATGTTTCAAAATACTATTTCATAACTTGACATCCAACAGAATTCTTAGGCATTTTATTTTTAGTTTTTATAATAACAAAACAGCATATTACACCAAGGTACCAGGATAAAATATAAATCATGACTGGTCTAAGTAAACTGATATATACTATACCCTATCAATAAGTCATTTTTTTAACTTCTCATTTTACTTCGTTTGTTCAGATTGATTGAGGACCTCCTAACAACAATAGCCACATTTTATTTAATTCTCACAATAACCCTATGAGGTAGGTATTATCATCCTTGGTTTAAATGAGGAAAGTGTCATGTAAAGGTAAGGAATCTGTAAGCAATAGAACCAGTATTAGAATTCAGGCAACCTTGTTCCAGGATGTAAGTCTTAGTCACTATGGAATGCTAAGGTCATTAGCAGCACACGAATAACTGTAGTAATTACTCCCTTTGCCTTAGGGATTTCTCTTGGTTCTGCTCCTCTTCCTTTTCTTTCATCTAGTTTTTCTTGTTTCCATTTCTCTGTTTTTTACTTAGATTCTGACTTTTTGCTTAGGTCCTCTGGATTGACAGTTCTATTTTAATGATCTGCTTAGCTTTGATTTAGTACTAACTTTTTATTGCTGCCTACTAAATTCGGCTCCAATACATGGCCATTCCTTGAGCTTTCACTCCATACAAGGCTAAGGCTGAGTCTACTGCTTGCTTAACGTGGATTACTAAATGAGAACTATGCTATACTCTTCTCAGAACTTTAATAACAACTAGCAACACATCCAGTGCCTTCTCTAAACATAACTTGTTCATTCATTTATCCATTCATTTAATCTTTCCCTCTTTCCTTCTTCTTTCTTTCCCTTTTTTCCTTTCTTTCTCCTCCTTCCTTCTTTCTTTTCCTTCTTTCCCACTTCCATTCCTTTCCCTTCCCTTCCCTTCCTTTTCCCTTCCCTCCCCTCCCCTCTCCTCCCTTCCCTTCCCCTCCCCTTCCTTTTTCTATTTGTCAGGCATTTATCAATGTTGAACTGATCTGTTATAAGCATTGGACATATGGAGAGGAATAAAGTATGTGCCTTGCCTTGTAGGCCTCATACTCCAACTGAGAAGATAGGTTTTAAACATAAGATAATCAGTGTGCTAACATTACATAAAGTATTCTATATTCCTTATGGATGTTGTCACAGAAGAGGTAAGATATGAGCTGGATCTTCAAGGATAAGTTTTTCAGATAGATAGGAATGAAGTGCTAGGAGCTAAGACTTAATTTAGAATGCAAGATCTCCATATATTCCTTTAAATAGAATAAAATTAGCTTGAGGAAAAGTGCTTTGATGATGCTGGAAGAGGTGCTTATGGTCCCCAAAAAAGGACAGAAAACAGTAAATTTATGACATTAAAATACTTCATTTGGGCCTCTACTTTTGTGCTCTCTCCCTCCTTTACTTCTTCATATTTCTCAAGGTGGTTTAGGTAACCACAATACTTGCGACAATTTATCAGTACCTCATATAGCAAGTGCAAAATACAATAGAGGTCCATATTCAAGTCTGAAACCCTAAGAAGCCACAACATCCCCTGCAAGATCTGAGAGCATTCAGGCCCAGGGCTCATTTATCCTGCACAATCTGCTGTCACTGTAGAGTAATTCAGTGAGCCATTTGAAAGCTTTTCCCTTTCTTCACTTTATAGAGAGTTTTCTTGATAAGCATTAATAAAGGTAGTTATTTTAGAAAGTGCAATTACTTTAGGCAGGTTAAAAACAGCCCAATATATATGTTGTTTTTCTGTCTATACATCATTTATATTGTGTCTCTCTTTCTTAGAAAAATGACGTCCAACAATTTCGATTCCTAAAACATTTTTGTTTATTATAATTTGCCTATAAAATATGGCCTAGTCATGATATTGAGAATCATTTTCATTTGTTACAAAGTTATAACAAATAATAATCTATGTCTTTCCTAAGTTAAAGAAGACTTTTATCTTTTTATTATTGGGATGGATTGCTACTGCTCAAATGATCACATTTATGCATATTACTAACCTCTAAATTCATGTGATTTCTAGTCCAATTTATTTCTTTTCAGGTCTTCAAGAATTCACAGCACTTTTTTTAAATTTTAGTTTACGTTCAGGGATACACATACAGATTACTTCATCACCCAAGTATTAAGCCTAGTGCCCATTAGTTATTTTTCCCGATCCTCTCCCTCCTCCCACCCTCTATGGTCTAGTAGGCCTCAGTGTCTGTTGTTTCCCTCTGTGTCCACATGTTTTCATCATTTAGCTCACTTATAAGTGAGAACATACAGTATTTGGTTTTCTGTTACTGCATTAGTTTGCTAAGGATAATGAACTCCATCTCCATCCATGTTCCTGCGTAGGACATGATTTCATTCTTTTTTTATGGTTGCATAGTATTCCATGGTGTATATGTACCACATTTTCTTTATCAAATCTACCACTGATAGACATTTAGGTTGATTCCATGTCTTTGCTATTGTGAATAGTGCTGCAATGAACATACACATACATGTGTCTTTATAATAGAATGATTTATATTTTTAGGTATATACCCAGTAATGGCATTGCTAGATCAAATGGTAGTTCTGTTTTTAGATCTTTGATAAATCGCCACACTGCTTTTCACAGTGGGTGAACTAATTTACACTGCCACCAAAAGTGTATAAGCATTCCTTTTTCTCTTTTATTTTTTGACTTTTTAATAATAGTCATTCTGACTGGTATGAGATGGTATCTCATTGTGGCTTTGATTTACATTTCTCTAATGATTGATGATGTTGAGCTTTTTTTCTTACACTTTTTGGCTGCATGTATGTCTTTTTCGTTTTGAAACGGAGTTTCGCTGTTGTTTCCCAGGCTAGAGTGCAATGGCGTGATGTCAGCCCACCACAACCTCTGCCTCCTGGATTCAAGCGATTCTCCTGCCTCAGCCTCCCGAGTAGCTGGAATTACAGGTGTCCACCACCACAACTGGCTAATTTTTTGTTTAGTAGAGACAGGGTTTCACCAGGTTGGCTAGGCTCGTCTCGAACTCCTGACCTCAGGTGATCCACCTGCCTCGGCCTCCCAAAGTGCTGGGATTACAGGCATGAGCCACTGCGCCCAGCTGTATGTTTTCTTTTGAAAAGTGTCAGTTCATGTCCTTTGCCCACTTTTTAATGGTATTTGGATTTTTTTTTTTCTCGTAAATTGTTTAAGTTCATTATAGATGCTGGATATTAGGCTTTTGTTGGTTGCATAGTTTGCAAAATTTTTCTCCCATTCTGTAGGTTATTTATTTACTCTCTTGATAATTTCTTTTGCTGTGCAAAAGCTCTTTAGTTTAATTAGATCCCATTTGTCAAGTTTTGCTTTTGTTGCAATGCTTTTGCCATCTTTATCATGAAATCTTTGCCCATTCCTATGTCCAGAATGGTATTGCTTAGTTTTCTTCCGGCCTTTTTATAGTTTACATTTTTACATTTAAGTATTTAATCCATCTTGAGTTGATTTTTGTATATGGTGTAAGGAAGGGGTCCAATTTCAATCGTCTGCATATGGCTGTCTAGTTATCCCAGCACCATTTATTGGATAGGGAGCCTTTTCCTCTTTGTTTGTTTTTGTCTGCTTTGTTAAAGATCAGATGATTGTAGGTGTATGGCCTTATTTCTGGGCTATCTATTCTGTTCCATTGGCCAATGTGTCTATTTTGGTACTCGTGCCATGCTGTTTTGGTTACTGTAGGCCTGTAGTACAGATTGAAGTTGGATAGTGTGATGCCTCCAGCTTTGTTCTTTTTGCTTAGGATTGCCTTGGCTATTCAGGCTCTTTTTTGATTCCGTATGAATTTTAAAGTAGATTTTTCTAGTTCTGTGAAGAATGTCATTGGTAGTTTGACAGAAATAGTATTGAATCTATAAATTGCTTTGGTCAGTATGGCCATTTTAATGATTTTTTTCTTCCTATTTATGAGCATGGATTATTTTTCCATTTGTTTGTGTCATCCGTGATTTTCTTGAGCAGTATTTTGTATTTTTCATTGCAGAGATCTTTTACCTTCCTAGTTAGCTGTATTCCTAGATATTGTATTTTGATTGTGGAAGTTGTGAATGGGATTGCCTTCTTGATTTGGCTCTCTACTTGTCTATTGTTGAGGTATAAGAATGCTAGTGATTTTTGAACATTGATTTTGTATCCTGAGACTTCACTGAAGTTGCAAATCAGCTGAAGGAGCTTTTGGACTGAGACTATGGGGTTTTCTAATATAGAATCATGTCATCTGCAAACAGAGAGAGTTTGAAGTCCTCTCTTCCTATTTGGATACTGTATAGTCCATTCTCACATAGCTATAAAGAACTACCTGAGACTGGATAATTTATGAAGAAAAGAAGTTTAATTGACTCATATTTCCGCAGGTTGTACAAGAAGCATGGCTGGGAGTCCTCAGGAAACTCACAACCATGATGGAAGGTGGAGGCAGGAAAGAGAGAGCAGAGCGGGGAAGTGCTACACACTTTCAAACAACCAAATTTCAGGAGAACTCACTTACCATCATGAGAAGAGCATGGGGGAAGCTGCCCCCATGATTCAGTCACCCCCTACCAGGCCCCTGCTCCAACATGTGGGGATTACAATTTGACATGAGATTTGGGTGGGGACACAGAGCCAAACCATATCAGGTGCCCTTTATTTCTTTCTGTTGCCTGATTTCTTTGGCCGGAACTTCCAGTGTTATGTTGAATAGGAGTGGTGAGAGAAGGCATCTTTGTCTTGTGCTGGTTTTCAAGGGAAATGCTTCCAGCTTTTGCCCATTCAGTATGACGTTAGCTGTGGGTTTGTCATAGATAGCTTGCATTATTTTGAGGTATGTTCCTTTGAAACCTAGTTTATTGAGAGTTTTGTTTTTTTTTTTAACATGAAGGGGGTGTTGAATTTTATCAAAAGCCTTTTTCTGCATCTATTGAGAGAGCCATGTGGCTATTGTCTTTAGTTCAAATAAAGCTTACTTGATCAGGCTGGGCACAGTGGCTCATGACTGTAATCCTAGCACTTTGGGAGGTCGAGGCGGGTGGATCACCTGAGGTTAGGAGTTCAAGACCAGCCTGGCCAACATGTTGAAACCCTGTCTCTACTAAAAAATACACACACACAAAAAAAATTAGCTGGGCATGGTGGCGAGCACCATAATCTCAGCTGCTCAGGAGGCTGAGACAGGAGAATCGCTTGAACCCAGCAGGTGGAGTTTGCAGTGAGCCAAGATCACAGCACTTCACTCCAGCCTGGGCGAAAGAGCAAAAGTCTGACTCAAAAAAAAAAAAAAAAAGTTACTTGGTCATGGTGGATAAGCTTTTTGATGGGATTCACAGCAATTTTAAGCAACTCTAAGTTATCCACTTTCTATTTTTTCCTACATCTAATATTTTCTAAATGTATTGGCTAACTCCTTTTTCCAAAGTACAAAATAAAATGATTATTTAAAAAACTGATTGCTCCACAAATGCACTAATACAAAAAGTAGACAAGTTAACAAAAAGGAGAGAAAGAATAGATAACATTTTTTAAAATCAAATTATAAATGACAAAATTATGTTTTACAGATAAGGATCTAGCAATCATATTCAAGTTCAGAGTCATATGTATTTTATCAATGTTTAATAAGAGGAAATAGGTTTAATCTATAGTAGAAGTTATTAAATTAGATATTAACAGTGGTGCTCATCTCCCACTAAATTTTGAAGCAAAAAAGCAATTTAAGAATAGTTCTGGCCTGGGTTTCCAAATTAAACTTTATTTACAAAAACAGGAGAGTTACGACTCCTCCAAAAGAAAGAGTAGTTTTACCTGGAATAATGTAGAATTGCTGCAAATAATAAACTTAGGATGGTAAAAAAAAAAAACAAACAAAAACACAATGACAAGTCATAGAGCTTATTTAGAATAAGTCTTCAACCGATTTAGGTATGTTCTCAGTGCCTCCAATAGATAGTTGTGCAGGCCACTGAATATGCATTTTAGTACACAACAATCAGTAGAAATTTTCATACCTTCACCTCTGATTTCTGAATGTTATTGGTTTATAAATTATATAAATTTTAAATGTAATCAAATATAAAATATTTACAAAATTGGAGATTAAAGGATAAGGCAAATATTAAACAAATATAATTTATAATATGTTTCATTTCATTTATGAATGATTCAAAACATTTCAATTTCCCTGAAATATTTTTATGTAAAGTAAAATATCAAAAATGTTTTTTTATTGATATGTAAGAATATTTTCTTATGAGAAAATTATTAAGAATATATTTCATTATTGTTAAAAATTTATATCATAAAACAATTCTGATACTTAGTTTTAATTATTGTCATAACTCAAACATGTAAGCTACATTAATATATATATATCCAAAAGAAGAAATATATTATTATCTGTGCTTATTAAATCATGGTATATTTTATCTACCAACTATGCAAAAGTTTTTGTTTAAATGTTTCCATTAAATTCCTGGCACTTCCGATGTCCATCGGGTATTGCTGCATAATAACTGGAAGATTTTACAGTTTTATATTTTTAAAAATTAGTTCACACCCTGCAGAAATTTCACGGTAAAATTTAAGTTTAGAAAATGATGCTTTAAAGTTTTTTAAAGGTACTGCATCCTATGTGGCAAAACAAAGCTCAGAAATGAAAAATATTTTTATTCATCTGTTTTAATAGTGCAGAAAATGAATATATGCATTTCTCTGTTGAACCCTTGTGTTGTGAAACTGTCACAGGTCCTTCCGAATATCTTTACCTCCTGACAGAGGACCAGGCTCAATTTCTCTATTAATTTATAGCAAAGTACTTCCTTCTTTTTAAAAAAAATTACATGTTCTCATTTTTGCTTCCTTCACTTCAATGGGTTGCCATGAGTATTTCCTGTGGGAAGGCATTCCGCACTTTGTAGACCATTGGTCTAGCCTCTATATTAGCGAATACTGTGGTCTGTGGATGGGGTTCTGATCAAATGGATTGTGCTTGGGTCCACAATTGATAGCTTTGCTTGATAAACAGATTTCTTCTATTGAGTCACTATCTTCCCTCCTTCAAATTCTACTGTTTGGTCTTAGTTTAGTTTACTGGAAATGGTAAAAATCATATCACAATTGAGTATTTCAGGGCTAGAGGGGACTTTAGAAGCCATATGGCTTGGTTTCCCACTCAGCATAGGTATAGGTTTCCTAGATTTAGCAAATAAAAATACAGGGCATACACTTCTTGAATCTCAAATAAACAACACATTTTAAAGTATACATATGTTGGAAATATTTGCAAATACTTAGCATTCTGTGTTTTTTATCCAGCAACTCTGTATATGTGGCCTCTCTATCAGATTTTTAGCATGTGGGTAGCTAGCCTCACCCTTCTCTGAATAGAAAATAATATATTTTGGTACAAAAGGAGGTAATTGATTATAAATGGAGTATATATGTATAAACACTGAAATTGGCTAGGGTGACAGTTTTATTTTCATTTGCTCTTTGTTTTGCGTATAAATTATCCAACATCTAGTCACGATAGATCCTTAGAAGCTTTATGTAATGGCAACAAACATAATACAAAAAGTGAACTTCAGATTTTTTTTTTCTTCCTGAGACAGTCTCTCTCTGTCACCCAAGTTGGAGTGTAGTGGCGCGATCTTGGCTCACTGCAACCTCTGCCTCCCAGGTTCAAGCGATTCTCATGCTTCAGCCTCCTGAGTAGCTGGGACTACAGGTGCATGTCACCATACCCGACTAATTTTTGTATTCTTTTTTTTTGTTTTAGTAGAGATGGGGTTTCACTATGTTGGCCAGGCTGGTCTCGAACTTCTGACCTCAAGTGATCCACCAGCCTCAGCCTCCCAAAGTGCTTGGATTACAGGCGTGAGCCACTGTGCCTGGCCTTAAATTTCAGATCTTGAAGATCCAGGTCTCATGTGTCATCAGTGAGGAAGATGTACTACAAAATGTTGAGTTGATTAAAGGCACAAAATAATGGTGGCTGAACTGCACAGACAGCATATGTTTCCGGACTTCTGGTCAGAGAAAGTCTTCTTCACTGACTGCAGGATATTCTCCAAGATTCCTGGTAGGTTTGATCTTCTAGGACATCCACAGATCTCTAAAGAAACACCAGCCTTGGAGCACAGTTTGCTGTCTGAAACTTCGGTGTTTGCATTCATTTTCAAAGAAACTCCCAAAATGCACTTGTCAAATGATGCAGAGAAAAACTCACCTCCAAAATTCATTCTCAGTCATGGACAATGCATATTGCCATTCTGCTATAATCTTAAATGTGAGTTAGGATAAGGAAAAAAAAGAAAACCTCCTTTAAGCTGAAATCACTACTGAAATACAGCTGTTGTGTCTATGTAGCAGATTTGGAGACTACAAAAAAATGGGCTGTGGAGGTAAATTAAGAAGTTTGGACTCTAAGAAAAAGGTTCCTTATTATAGACATACTAAAGCTAGTACATGAGCTGGAGATGGAGCAGGGTCAGATTCAGGGTCATGTGATTTGTGCAGTCACACAAGGTCCAGCACCTAGAAATGCCCTATGCTTGGTTTAATGCTTTACTTTCATTGTCTTGAAATTCTTAATCATTTTGAGCAACAGGGGGCGGGGGGGTCCTGCATGTTCATTTGGCAGTGGGTCCTGGAAATTATGTAGCTGCTCCTGGATGACCACTTTGGCCAAGGCTGTGGTTTGTGGCCAGAGAGCAGAGCTTTCTCATATACTATATTCTCTTCAGCGACAGCTCTGTGTCCACAAGGTTTGCCATTATTCATTGGGGTCTATCACATGTACACTGTCCATTCAAGTCATGTCCATGCTTTGGACTTCCATTATCATTTCCTTTTGTATTCAATTGGTCGTAAGATCTATGGTTTCTACCTCTTGTATATATTTAAATTCTATTCCCTTTTCTATCTCCTCTGCGAATGACTCCCTTCAATCCTCTTCATTTCTTACTTGGTCAATTACACTAACTATGTTATTGGAATATCTGACTCTAGCTTAGTCTTATCTTCTCCAGTTCATTCTCTATAGCAGGTTCAAATTCTGCTTATTACAACTGACAGCTTTTGTAAGTAAAGTTTTCTTAGAATACACTTATATCCCTTAATTCACATGCTATCTATGGCTGCTTTCGTGCTCGAGCTGCAGAGTTAACACAGACTGGTATGGCCTGCAAAAGCTCTAGTTCTAGCTGCAGTTGCAACACAGACTGGTATGCCCTGCAAAAGCTAAAATACTACTTGGCCATTTACAGAAAGTTTGCTAACCCTTACTTTATAATTATGACAGAATCATCTTCTAACATGCACATTTATTATTATTATTATTTTACATTCTGGCTTAATTATTCTATTGTTTCAACTTAAACTCTAAGCTATTCAGCTTGGCATATTGATTTCTAAAGCAGTCTTCTGCCTACTTTAGCCTCTATACTAACGCACCTCAATATCAAGCGATGCCTTGACCATTGGTCCCTACGGGGTGGAGAGGAGTAGGTGGGTGGGAGGGAGGTGGAGGAAAAGTTTAGGGCAAGGTTGATCAGATTAACTTTAGAAGATTTTTCAAATGTCCCCTATTAAATGGCTGTCTTAGTCTTCTTGGGCTGCTATAACAAAATACCATATAATGGGTGGCTTAAACAACAGACACTTACTTCTCACAGTTCTAGAGGCTGGGAAGTCTAAGATCAAGTTGCTGGCAGATTCAATGTCTGGTGAAGGCTTTCTTTCTGGCTGGCGGACAGCCACGTTCTTATTATGTTCTCACATGGCAGAGTAAGAGAGCGAGCTCAGGCCTTACTTCCTCTTACTAATCCCATCATGGGGACCCCACTCTCATGACCTGATGCAAACCAAAGGCCCCAAATACAAATGCCACCACACTGAGGGTTAGGGGTTCAGCATATGAAGTTCAGAGAGACACAAACCTTCATTTCATTACAATGGCCCTTTGTGGGACCATATAAAAATGGGAAAACGGGGAGGACACATGTAGTTTGAAAAAAAAAAAAAAGAAACTCATGATCTCTTTTTGCTTCTCCTAATTCCTCCCCCCTTGAGAACCAATTATCTAGACATACCAAACCACTTTTGCTTCTCTCACCTCTGTGATTTTGCACATGCTGCTCCTCTCTCTGGAACACTCTCCCCCACCATGCGTCTCAGGCTAACTCCTAACAGCCTTTCAGGACCCTGTTTCAACCCTGTTGACATGACCTCAGATTCTCAGACTGAGCTAGATATCTCTTCTCTGTGTTCCCTTAGAATCAGTTTGTACTAGTTTTAGTATTTATTAACAGCATTTTAGTTGTGGCTCTCTTTCTAGTTGTTAGCCATTATATAATGATATATGTTTATATCATTAATTCTGGAAAAATGATTAGCACACAGTAGACATTCAATAAATGCTTGTTGAACTGATTGATGGAAGTTTTTGTCACTTGGCCAATAAATGGGAATGCATATATGTAAACCGTATTCAAGATACTGACATGTTTTTGTTCAGTTTTTAAAAATCAGTTAGGATTTTGATTTTATCATGAAGATTTTTTCTTCAGAATCTAAAATTGACTAATAAAGTTAAGTTTCTCTTTAAAAATAACCTTTCTCATCAATTTTATAAACAAAGATGAATATATATCCTCTAACCCTCTTCCTTTTTGTGATTATTTCTTATTTAAACATTCAAGTGATAGAAGAGCCCTAATCTACTCTCCAGAATTTGGTGGTGAGTTGTTGTTGTTATTGTTGCTGTGAACAATAAATTATTATAGCAAAATGCCACACAGGCTGGGCTGCCTGCTACAGATCATTAGTTACTTCTTTGCCTTCTAGAGCCTCATGGATTTAAAAAGACAAGACCAGGAAAAATATAGAGGATTTCCTTCTGCCCCTTGTTTGGAAAGCATGGCTTTTTCAAGGAGATTAAAACTAATTTTTATTCAGGCTGTAAATATAATATATAATTATCCAAACAGAAGAGATCTTCACTGATAAAAAAATACCCCAAATTCAGCATATTTCTATAAAGATTAACATTCACTGCTTACTATGTGTCAGATGTTATCATAAGCATATTCTATGCATATGCACACTAAAATTTTAACAGTGCTATATTACTGATGAGAAAAGGAGGCTTAGAGGGATTATGCTGTACTTAGTAGGCAGTGAGGTCAGAATTAAAACTCAGGTGTTCTGATTCCAGAAACTTCATACTTATCTGCTATATTCTAGTCCTTCTGAAACAAAGCACCCCTTTTCCTTGATGTGCAGTCAGGCTCCCTGGAATATATCGTGTAGTTACATAGCATGAAATTTTATTTCTAAAATAAAACTCTGCATAGTGTTTAGAGTGACCTACATAATATCAGAGGGGCAGTGGCTGCCTCTGTGACAGAGGAGGCATAAGAAGTCAGTCAAATGACTTTGTCAGCTTCATATGCTGGAAATTAAGAGTGACTGCAGGACTCTACTAGTTTGAGCTCCCAAGGTATAGAGGATTGGCCGTTGACTTTGAGCTTTCTCAATCATTTATTCTCATCTACTGATGGGAATAGCATATTTTGTCTTGGATTAAAAGAAAAACAACTTTGCAAGCCTCATTAAGCCAAGGATAATATCATCTCTAGAGATAAAATAACATGCCAGTCATTCAATCTACAAGCAAATAAAGTACATTTATAAGTATATTTGATTTTTACCATGTTAGACCTCAATGGACCTGTACGATGAATGCTGGGGCTTAGTGAGGCAAAGCATCAAATCCGAGGCCATGTGACAGAATTGGAACTAGAACCAAGAGGTATTATCTTTTTACCAATGTATCTAATGGTCACATTCCTTATTTCATGGTTGTGCATTTGGTCATTGATTGCTTGTAGCTCTTGGCATTAGGATAATTATTTATTATAAATGAAATAAATTTGAGTCAGTGATAATATGTTGTCAGGTATGTGAGGTTGCAATATACTTTATATCTTTAAATTCTTCAACCAACATACATATAGCACGTCACTTATGTGATAATATCTAACTCTTGATAATTCAAATTGGTTCTCATTCTTCTGATGTCATCAGTGCCAGTCTAGTTCTCTTTCTGATTATGACTATGGTGCTTACTTTAGTGTAGTTGCAGCCATAGGATACCAGGATTCTCAACTTTCCTTCTCTTGTCCTCCCTCTTCCTTTTCTTGTTTTTTATATTTTTCATTCCAGCTTTCTTAAAACATAAGGTCTTTGGTATTTTCTAAGACTTCCATCTGTGTTTTATTTCCTATCCTCTTTTATTTCTTTCAAAACTTGGCTTTGAAAGAGTTCACTTAGTCTTTTTTAAGTTTTTCTGTCCCCTCACCTAGGCCTGAAAACATGCTCAGGTACTCCCTAACACTGGAAATACCCTCTTAGCCCTGCCTGGAGCTAATAATCTTATTGTTCTTCTTCTATGCATCTCTAAGTTTCTTGAAAAGTGGTGTGCGTTAATTGCTACACTGCCTAACCACTAATTCATAGCCCCATACCATGTGTCTTGCTTCCCCATCCCTCTGATGAAATTGCTGTCTCAAAGGACAACATGAATTCATTATTGCCAAATCCAATGGCCTTTTCTTATGTTTGAGCTTCTTTTTCATGGCTGCAGCATTTGAGAATTTTTCTTTTCTTGAAAATATTTCCTCTTATACTCTGTGACCCCACCATTTCCTACTTTCCTCCCACCTTTGTATCACTTCTCAGTTTTCTTATCTAGTTCCTCTTCCATCTCTTTCCTCTTAAGCTCAGACATTCCCCCAAGGTTCTGTTCTCATTTATTTCCTCTACCTTTCACTCTGTCTTTGAGTCACTCATTCTCTTCCATAGCTTCAATTATCAGAGAAGTTGCTGACTTTCTGAGTCATAGACTTTAAGTAGCTGACCAAAGCAATGAAACTCCTCCTTCAAATATTGACATAATAATAAACCATTTTATAACATGTGCTCGTAACATTTATTGAGCACTTACTATTTGATCTATTAAATCCTCACAACAACTCCATGAAGCTGGATAAGAAAACTTGCCAAAGAGCCACACTTTCCAACTTAATATAGCTGGGATTCAATCCCCAGCAGTTGACTATAAATAACCTAGGGCACTCAAATTCTGCATATATTAGAAGAATTGTGGCACCTTGAATTTATTTGCAGGAACTCCTAAGCTATCACCACTAGGATGGTAGCTACAAAATCTTTCTGTCTAGCTACAGCCTGAATTCCATATAACTCTCTTTCTAGAATCGATTTTATTGAGGCAAATTGATGTAATATAAACTGCATATATTTAAAGTGTTCAATTTCATAAGTTTTGGCATATATACATATATGTATCTCTATAAAACCTTTACACTTTCAAGATAGTAAACACATCAATTTTCTGCAAACGTTTCCTGAATACCCTTCTCATTCCTTCTTACTTGCCCTCATTTCATTTGCCCAGAGGCAATTACTGATCTGCTTTCTGTTACAGGGAAATTTGCATCTTCTGGAGTTTTATAATTAATGGAATCATATCGTTTAGCCTTTTTATCTATCTTCATTCACTCAGCTTAATTATTCTGAGATTTATTCATGTAGCTGTATGTAACAACACTTTGTTCTTATTTACTGCTGAGTAGTATTTCATTATATGGATATACTAAAATTTATCCATTAACCTGTTTTTATATATATATTTATATATATATATAATACTTTAAGTTCTAGGGTACATGTGCATAACGTGCAGGTTTGTTACATATGTATATATGTGCCATGTTGGTGTGCTGTGCCCACTAACTCGTCATTTACATTAGGTATATCTCCTAATGCTATCCCTCCCCCTTCCCCCCACCCCACAACAGGCCCCGGTGTGTGATGTTCCCCTTCCTTTGTCCAAGTGTTCTCGTTGTTCAATTCCCACCTATGAGTGAGAACATGCGGTGTAACCTGTTGATGGACATATTGGGTTGTTTCCATTTTGGGATTATTGAAAACAATCCTGCTACAAATTTTTTGTGTCTTTGTTTGGACATATTCTTTTATTTTTATTGGGTAAATAACTAGGAGTGGACTTGCTAGGTATATAATACATATACTTTTACAACTTTTAAATGATGGCAAACAGTTTTGCAAAGTGACTGCACCATTTTACATTTCCATCCTCATTGTCTGAGAATTCTAGTGCTCCACATCCTTGGCAACACTTGGTATGGCCAGCATTTTTAATTTTAGCTGTTCTAATAGGAATGTACTGTAATCTTGCGGTTTTAATTTTCATTTACCCAATGACTAATACATTTGAGCATCTGTTCATGTGCCTCTTGGCCATACACTTGTATTCTTTTGTGATGTGTCTCTTCAAATAATTTTTCCATTTTAACAATTGAATTTTTTTCTTACTCTTAAGTTTTGAGAGTTCTTTATATTATCTGAAGAACTCTCAAATAATACAAATAATATCTGTAACAATTGCCTTATTACAGATATTATTTGCAAATATTTTCTCCCAGTCTGTGATTTATCTTTGCATTTTTTAACAGTAACTTTTAAAGGTCACACATTTTAATTTTTATAAAATACAATTTATTAACTTTTAATGGATTATTCTTTCAGTTTCATATCAATTAAATCTTTGTTTAATGCAAAGTCACAAAAAATTTCTATGTGTTTTACAAGTGTTAATGCTTTTGGTTTTGCATTTAGGTCTAGGATCAATTTTTAGCTAATTTTTGTATATGATGTGAGGTGCGAACCAAAGTTTATATTTTGCATGCCATTATCCAATTGTTCTAGCACCATTTGTCAAAAGACTATCTTTTCTCCACTGAATTGCCTTTTCACTGTTGCCAAAAAATCAGTTGTCTCTATATGTATGGGCCTGTTTCTGGACTCTGGTTTGGTCCATTGATCTATTTGTCTATTTTTTTTTTTTTTTGATGGAGTCTTGCTCTGTTGCCCAGGCTGGAGTGCAGTGGCGCGATCTCGGCTCACTACAAGCTCCGCCTCCCAGGTTCACACCATTCTCCTGCCTCAGCCTCCCAAGAAGCTGGGACTACAGGCACCCATCACCACACCTGGCTAATTTTTTGTATTTTTTTTTTTTTTTTTTTAGTAGAGACAGGTTTCACCGTGTTAGCCAGGATGGTCTCGATCTCCTGACCTTGTGATCTGCCAGCCTCGGCCTCCCAAAATGCTGGGATTACAGGAGTGAGCCACCGCGCCCAGCCTATTTGTCTATCTTAATACCAATACCACACTGTCTTTATTACTTTAACCTTAGTCTCGAAGTTAGGTAGAGCTAATCCTCTTTGTTTTTCTTTTATAAAATTGCTTTGGCTTTTCTAGGTCCCTTAAATTTCCAGCAAATTTTAGAATCAGCTTATCAATTTGTACATAAAAGCTTGATGAAATTTTGACTGGGAATACATTGAATCTATATATTAATTTGCAGCATATCTGCATTACAAAATATTGAGTCTCCTCATCCATGAACAGAAACAGTTCTGTACTTATTTAGGTTTTCTTTAATTTTTCTCAGTAATATTTTACAGTTTTCAGTTTGCATGGCTTGAGCATCTTTTGTCAGACTCATATGTAAGTAGTTGGTATTAATTGACGGTATTTTCATAGTTTTAAAAATTTCAATTTGTAACGTTCATTGGGAACAGTTAGAAATACAATTGAATTTTTATATTGATCTTTTATTCTGCAGCCTTGCTAACTCACTTAGCTTTTTTTATTAGCTTATTGTTCATTGAAGTTTTTACAGAAGTGATCACACTGCCATCAGATAAAGACAATTGTACTTTTCTCTTACCAATCAGGATGTGTTTTGTATAACTACTCTTGGCTTAGTAGCTAAAATATCTTGCACAATGTTGAAAGGAAGAGATAAAAGTAGACATCATTATCTCATTCCCCTTTTTAAGGGGAAAGCATTCAGTTTTCACTACTGAAAATAATATTAGCCATAGAATTTCCATAGGTGATGATTATTAGGTTAAGGAAATTCCCTTCTATTCCTAGTGTGCTGAGAGTTTTATCAGGAATAAATGTTGGATTTTGTCAGATGCTTCCCTCTGTATCAACCGAGAAGATCATAATAGATTTTCTTTTTTAGTTTTTTACCATGATAAATTACATTTATCAATTTTTAAATGTTAAACAAATCTTGCATTTCTGGGACAAAACTTGATTTGGATTCAATTTGCTAAATTTTATTTAATATTTTTGTATCTATTTTCATGAAGGATATTGCTCTGTTCTTTTCTTTTTTTTTAACGTCTTTTTCCAGATTTTGTATCTAATAGAAAGTGAGGAATAATTTCTTCAATTATTTGGACTAGTTTTTTTAGAATTGGTATGAATTTTTCCTTAAACATTTCATAGAATTTACCAGCAAAACTATGTGGACCTAAAGTTTTCTTTTTTGGGGATAATTTTTTCCCATTTTTTTATTCAGATAAAATATGCATAACATAAAGTTTATTATATTAACCTTTTTTCTATTTTTAAAAATTATTTTTATAGACTTTATTTTTAGAGCCGGTTTAGATTCATAGCAAAATTGTACAGGAGGTATGGAGATTTCCCAGACCAATATATTTGTTACAAATGATAAACCTACATTGACACATCATTATCACCCAGAGCCCAGTGTTAATATTGTTAAAAATTGCTTTTTTTTTTTTTTTTTTTTTTTGAGACAGAGTCTTGCTCTGTCCCCTAGGCTGGAGTGCAGCGGTGTGATCTCAGCTCACTGCAACCTCCGCCAGCTGGGTTCAAGCAATTCTCCTGCCTCAGCCTCCTGAGTATCTGGGATTACAGGCACCCACCACCATGCCCAGCTAATTTTTGTATTTTTAGTAGAGACAGGGTTTCACCATGTTGGCCAGGCTGGTCTTGAACTCCTGACTTCAGGTGATCCGCCAGCCTTGGCCTCCCGAAGTGCTGGGATTACAGGCATGAGCCACTGCACCCAGCCCCTCTCTGTCTTTTTTAACTGCTGTTGCTTTAAAGTTTGTTTTGTCTGATATAAGAATAGCTACTCCTGATTGTTTTTGGTGTTTATTTGCATGAAATATCTTTTTCTACCCCTTTACTTTAAGTTCATGTGAGTTCTTATATGTTAGATGAGTCTCCTGAAGACAGCAGAAACTCGATTGGTGAATTCTTACCCATTCTACCATTCTGTATATATATATGTGTGTGTGTGTGTGTATATATAGATATAGATATAGATATTTTTTTTTTGAGATGGAGACTCGCTCTGTCACCCAGGCTGGAGTGCAGTGGGGCAATCTCGGCTCAGTGCAAGCTCCACCTCCTGGGTTCATGCCATTTTCCTGCCTCAGCCTCCCAAGTAGCTGGGACTACAGGTGCCTGCCACCACGCCTGGCCAATTTTTTTTTTTATTTTTAGTAGAGACAGGGTTTCACCATGTTGGCCAGGATGGTCTCGATCCCTGACCTGGTGATCCGCCTGCCTTGGCCTCCCAAAGTGCTGGGATTACAGGTGTGAGCCACCGCACCCAGCCATTCTGTATCTTTTAAGTGGAGCATTTAGGCCATTTATATTCAATACTAGTATTGCAATGTGAGGTACTATCCTATACATTGTTGTCTGAATACCTTGGGTTTTTTTGTATTGTGTTATTGTTATATTGGTCTTATGAGATTTATGCTTTAAGGCGGTTCTATTTTGGTGTATTTCAAGAATTTGTTTCAAGATTTAGAGCTCCTTTTAGCAGTTCTTGCAGTGCTGGCTTGGTAGTGGTGAATTCTCTCATCATTTGTTTGTCTGGAAAAGACTGTATCTTTCCTTTATTTATGAAACTTAGTTTCAATGGATACAAAATTCTTGGCTTATAATTGTTTTGTTTAAGGAAGCTAAAAATAGGACCCCAATCTCTTCTAGCTTGTAGGGTTTCTACTGATAAATCTGCTATTAATCTGATATGTTTTCCTTTATAAGTTACCTCATGCTTCTGCCTCACAGCTCTTAAGATTCCTTCCTTTGTCTTGACTTTAGATAACCTGATGACTCTGTACCTAGACAATGACCTTTTTGTGATGAATTTCCCAGGTGTTCTTTGGGCTTCTTTTATTTGGATGTCTAGATCTCTAGCAAGGCTGGGGAAGTTTCCCTCAATTATTCCCTCACATATGTTTTCCACACTTTTAGATTTCTCTTCTTCCTTGGGAACACTAATTATTCTTAGGTTTGGATGTTTAACATAGTTTTTGATTTCTTTAAGTTGAACTTCACCTTTCTCTGGTGCCTCTTTGTTTAGCTTAATACTTGACTTTCTGAATTCTTTTTCTGGTAATTCGGAGATTTTTGTCTTGATCTGGATCCATTGCTGGTGAGCTGGTATGATCTTTTGGGGATGTTGAAGAACCTTGTTTTGTCATATAACCAGAATTTCTTTTCTGGTCCCTTCTCATTTGGGTAGACTGTTAGAGTCTGGGATTCAAATGCTGCTGTTTAGATTCTTTTGTCTCACAGGGTTCCCTTGTTGTGGTGTTCTCCCGCTTCGCCTAGAAATGGGGCTTCCTGAGAGCCAAACTGTAGTGATTGTTTTTGCTCTTCTGGGTCTAGCCACCCAGCAGAGCAGCTGGGCTCTGGGCTGGTACTGGGGAGTGTCTACAAATAGTCTTGTGATGTGATCCGTCTTCAGGTCTTATAGCCGTAGATACCAGCACCTGCTCTGGTAGAGGTAACAGGGAAGTGAAGTGGACTCTGTGAGGATCCATGGTTGTGTAAAATGTTTAGTGCGCTGGTTTTGTATTAGTTGGCCTCTAGCCAGGAGGTGGCACTTTCAAGAGTGCCTCAGCAGCCGGGCGTGGTGGCTCACGTCTGTAATCCCAGCATTTTGGGAGGCCGAGGCGGGCGGATCATGAGGTCAGGAGATTGAGACCATCCTGGCTAACACAGTGAAACCCCGTCTCTACTAAAAATACAAAAACTACCTGAGCGTGGTGGTGTGCACCTATACGCTACTTGGGAGGCTGAGGCAGGAGAATGGTGTGAACCCGGGAGGCGGAGCTTGCAGTGAGCCGAGATTGTGCCACTGCACTCCAGCCTGGGCGACAGAGCAAGACTCTGTCTCAAAAAAAAAAAAAAAAAGAAAGAAAAAAAAAAAACAGTGCATCATCTGGCCACCTATAGGGAAGATGTAAACTTGCCCTAGGGAAACCTGGTTAAGTATTCAGGTTTCTCAGGCCATGGATAGGGCCATAGAGCTCCCAAGAGATTATGACCTTTGTCTTTGGCTACCAGGGTGAGTAGAAAAAGACCAACAGATGGGGGCAGGGTTAGGTGTGTTTGAGCTCAGCCTCTCCTTAGGCAATGCTTGCTTTGGCTGCTGTGGGGCATGGAGGTGTGGTTCCCAGTCCAATGGAGTTATATTCCCAGAGGGATTATGGCTGCCTCTGCTGAGTCATGCAGGTAACTAGGTAAGTGGGGGAAAGCTGGCAGTCACGGACCTCACCCTGCTCCCATGCAGCCTGCAGTCCTAAAGGCCAGTCTCACTCCCAACAGCACTGAGTCTATTTCCAGGAAGTTGGTGACCAGAGCTAAGAACTTGACACAGACCATGAGCCTCCCCATTGAGAAAGCAAGTAAACTGGCAGGTTTTTGGCATCTCAGGGAGCCTGAAGGGGTGATCCATTTCCTACAAAGCGTCCGTGGATTCTCTTGGCTTTCCTGGTGTGTTCCTGTGGTCACTCTTGGATCAAAAATTTATGGTGTGAGTCTCCACACGCTGCTCTGTCCGTCCGAGTAGGAGCTGCAGGTTAGTCCTGCCTCCTATCTGCCATCTTGCCCAGAGTTAATATTCAGATTCACTCTTGGTGTTATACAGTCTATGGGTTTGGACAGATGTATAATGACTTATATACACCATTATAATGTTATACAAAGTAGTTTCACCATTTTAAAGTAAACAATTCAATGGCATTATGCACATTCACACTATTGTGCAACCATCACCACCTCTCACCTCCAGAACTCTTTGCAAAACTCTATGCCGTTGGACAATAAATTCCCATTCCCTCTCCTCCCAGCCCTAGCAACTACCATTCTACTTTCTGTCTCTATGATCTTGACTACTCTAAGTACTTCATGTAAGTGGAATAATACAGTATTTTTATTTTTTTATTTTTTATTTTTATTTTTATTTATTTATTTATTTATTTATTTATTTAGTATTTATTGATCATTATTGGGTGTTTCTCAGAGAGGGGGATGTGGCAGGGTCATAGGATAATAGTGGAGAGAAGGTCAGCAGATAAACACGTGAACAAAGGTCTCTGGTTTTCCTAGGCAGAGGTCCCCGCGGCCTTCAGCAGTGTTTGTGTTCCTGGGTACTTGAGATTAGGGAGTAGTGATGACTCTTAAGGAGCATGCTGCCTTCAAGCATCTGTTTAACAAAGCACATCTTGCACGGCCCTTAATCCATTTAACCCTGAGTTGACACAGCACATGTTTCAGAGAGCAGGGGGTTGGGGGTAAGTTTATAGATTAACAGCATCCCAAGGCAGAATAATTTTTCTTAGTACAGAACAAAATGGAGTCTCCTATGTCTACATCTTTCTACACAGACACAGTAACAATCTGATCTCTCTCTTTTCCCCACTTTTCCTCCTTTTCTTTTCGACAAAACCGCCATCGTCATCATGGCCCGTTCTCGATGGTCGCTGTCTTTTCGGAGCTGTTGGGTACACTTACCAGACGGGGCGGCCTGGCAGAGGTGCTCCCCACCTCCCAGACGGGGCGGCCGGGCGGAAGCGCTCCCCACCTCCCAGACGGAGCGGCCGGGCAGAGGCGCCCCCCACCTCCCAGACGGAGCGGCCTGGCAGAGGCGCCCCTCACCTCCCAGACGGGGCGGCCAGGCAGAGGCGCCCCTCACCTACCAGGTGGGGTGGCTGGGCAGAGACGCTCCTCACTTCCCAGACAGGGTGGCCAGGCAGGGGCGCTCCTCGCTTCCCAGATGGGGGCGCCGGGCAGAGGCGCTTCTCACTTCCCAGACGGAGCGGCCAGGTAGAGGCGCTGTTTAAATAATGCTGCCATGAACATGGCTATCTCTTTGAGACTCTTCAATTCTTTTGGGTGTATACCAAGAAGTGGAATTACTGGGTAATATGGTAATTCTGTTATTAAATTTTTAGAGAACTACCATACTGTTTTCCACAGAGCCTACACTATTTAACATTTTCACAAACAGTTCACAAATATTCCAGTTGCTCCACAATCTTGCCAACACTTATTTTCCAGTTTTGTTGTCACTGTTTTTAGAAATCATGGCTTGTTAATTAGGTAAACTTGTATTGTGGGGGTTTGTTGTACAGATTATTTCATTATCCAGGTATGAAGCTTAGTGCCTATTAGTTATTTTTCCTAGTCCTCTCCCTCCTTCCACCTTCCATTCTCCACCCTCCAATAGGCCCCAGTGTGTGTTGTTCCCCTCTATGTGTCCATGTGTTCTCATCATTAGTTCCCACATATAAGTGAAAACATGCAGTATTTGGTTTTCTGTTCCTGTGTTAGTTTGCTAAGGATAATGACCTCTAGCTCTACCCATGTACCTGCAAAGGACATTATCTCATACTTTTTTTATGGCTGCATAGTGTTCCATTGTGTATATATACCACATTTTCCTTACCCAGTCCCTCACTGATGGGCATTTAGGTTGATTCTTTGCCTTTGCTGTTGTGAATAATGCTGCAATGAATATACACATGCATGTGTCTTTATAATAGAATGATTTATGTTTCTTTTGGTATATACTCAGTAATGAGATTGCTGGGTCGAATGGTATTTCTGTTCCCTGAACTTTAAATAAAAGTTAAAAAAAGATAATCTCTTGCAGTTCTATATTGGCAAACAGAGGTCTGTAAATAGTACATCCTAAATATATCTTAGCTTATTTTTTTTTTTTTGGAAAAGCACCAAATTCAGGTTTACTTAAAGAAAAAAAATTGTGTGCATCTCATTTAATAAATCTTAATAAAATTTTCTACCATCTAAAGGCATTATGGTCATCCTAATGAACTTGAGGTGGTATCTCATTATAGTTTTGAATTGTGTTTCCCTAATGATTAGTGATCTTGAGTATCTTTTTATTTGTTTACCAGTGATTTGCATATATTCCTTGGAGAAATGTCTATTCAAGTCCTCTGCCCATGTTTGAATTGGGTTGCTTGTGTTTTTGTTGTTGAGTTTTTAAGGGGTTCTCTCTATATTCTGGATATTAATTCCTTATCAGATATATATTTTGCAAATATTTTCTTGCATTCTGTTGCCTTTAACTCTGTTGGTAGTGTTTTTTGATGAATAAAAATTTTAAATTTTCATAAAGTATACTTTATCATTTTTGCTTTTGTTGCCTGTCCGTTGGAATCACACCAAATAAACTATTGCCAGATCCAGTGTCATGAAGTTTTTGCCCTATGTTTCCTTCTAAGAGTTTTATCATTTTAGATCTTATATTTGGTAATGGATCCATTTTGAATTAATTTTTGTATATGGTGTTAGATGAGAACTGAACTTTATTATTTTGCATGTAGATATCCAATTTTCATAGTGTCATTTGTTTAAAAGACTGTAATTTCCTCATTGGATGGTCTTGGCACCTCCTCAAAAACCATTTGACCATATATCTGAGATTTTATTTCTGGATTATCTATTCTATTCCATTGGGTTTTGTGTCTATCACTATGCCAGTTCCACATTATTTTGATCGCTATAGATTTGCAGTAAATTTTAAAATCAGAAAGTGTGAATCCTTCAGTTTTGTTCTTATTTTTCATGATTGTTTTGGCTACTCATCATACCTTGAAACTCCATATGAATTTTAAGATGGATTTTTCTATTTCTGCAAAACATGTCATTGCAGTTTTAATAGGGGTTGCATTGAATCTGTAGTCACTCTGGGTAGCATCGGCATCTTAACAACATGGTTGTTCAAGCTGTTAACATGGGATTTGCTTTTATTTATTTGTCTTTAATTTCTTTCTGAGATGTTTTGTAGTTTTCATTGTACAGGTCTTTCACCTTTATGTTTAAGTTTAATCCTAAATATTTTATTTTTCATGTTATTGTAAATAAAATTTTCTGAATTTCTTTTTCAGATTGTTCATTTTTAGTGTATAGAAGTTCAACTGTGCCAGGTGTGGTGGCTCAGACCTATGTTCTCAGCAATTTACGAGGCTAAGAAAGGAGGATCTTATGAGGTCAGGAGTTAGAGACAAGCCTGGACAAAATAGCTAGACCTCTGTCTCTACAAAACAAAAAAAAAAAGTTAAAAAAAATAGCTAGGCATGTTGGCACCCTCCTGTGGTCCTAGCTACTCAGGAGGCTGAGGCAAGAGGATCCCTAAAGCTCAGGAATTCAAGGCTGTAGTGAGCTGTGATCATGCCACTGCACTCTAGCCTGGGCTACAGAGCAAGACCTCATCTCTGAAGAAAAGCAACTGATTTTTATGTGATATCATTGTATCTTGCTACTTTGCTGAGTTTGTTTATTGGTTCTAATAGATTTTTTGCAAATTTTTTACTTTTTTTTCCTATAAGATAATATTATCTGGTTGCAGATGATGTGCAACCAGATGATATAATCCTCTTTTAAATTTACTAAATTTCTTCCAATTTAGATGCCTTTTATTTATTTTTCTTTCCTGATTACTGTGGCTAAGACTTCCAGTACTACCTTAAATAGAAGTGGCAAAAATGGTCATTCTTGCATTGTCTTAGAGAAAAACTATCAGTCTTTTATCACTGAGTAAAATGTTCATTGTGGGATTTTCATATATGGCTTTTATTATGTTGAGATAATTTTCTTTTACACTTTATTTAGTGTTTTTATCATGAAAAAATGTTGAATTTTTCAAATGCTTTTCTGCCTCAATTGAGAGGATCATATGGTTTGTTTTCCTTCATTCTGTTAATGTGGTATATTATATTGATTTTCATATGTTGAACTACCTTTGCATTCCAGAAATAAATCCCATTTCCTCACTTTGTATACTTTATTTAATGTGCAGCTGAATTTGGTTTGCTTGCGTTTGTGGAGGATTTTTGCATCAATACTCATAAAGGATATTTGTCTGTATTTTTTTTTTCTTATAGTATCTTTGTCTGGTTTTGATATTGGGTTAATGCTGGCCTTATCAAATGAATTAGAGAGTGTTCTCTTGTCTTCAATGTTTTGGAAAAATTTGAGAGGGACTGCTATTAATTTTTCTTTAAGTGTTTGGTAGAATTCACTAGTGAAGCCATCAGTTCTAGAGCTTTCCTTTGTTGAAAAAATTTTAAATTACTGATTCAATCTTCTTGGTAGTTATATGTCCATTCAGATTTTCTATTTATTTGTAGTTTAGTCTTTGTAGGTTTTGTGTTGCTAGAAGTTTTTCCATTTTCACCTATGTATTTGTCATTGTACAATTTTTTATTGTACTCTCTTAGAATCCTTCTTTTCATTTCTATAGAATCAGTAGTAATGTTCCCAATTTCATTTTTGATTTCATTGATTTGTTTTTATCTTATTATTAATTTCTTATCTATCTTATTGTTTACTTTGCTAAAGATTTGCAATTTTCTTAATATTTTCAAGTAATAAATTTTGCTTTCATTGATTCTCCATTATTTTTCTATTCTCTTTCTTATCTCTGCTCTAATCTTTATTATTCCTTTCCTTCTGCTAGCTTTGGGATTTTTTTTTTTTCTAGTTTCTCAAGTAGTAAAGGTTGATTGATAATCTGAGATCTTTCTTTTTTTAATGCAAGCATTTACAGCTACTATTTTCCCCTTAGCACTGCTTTCACCATGTTTTGGTATGTTGTGTTTTCATTTTCACTTGTTTCTAAGTATTTGCTAATTTCCCTAATGATTTCTTCTTTTAACCATTGTTTGTCAAAAAAAAGTGTTGTTTGATTTCCACAAATTTGTGAATTTTCTAGTGTTTCTCCTGTTATTGATTTCTAATTTCATCCATTTGTGACTGATGAAGATATTGTACATTGTCACTGAAAATTCACTGAGACTCAACTTGTGGCCTAAGAGATTGTCTATTCTGGAAAATGTGTGCACTAGAGAAGAATGTGTATTTCATTGCTGTTGGGTAGGGTGTTTTGTATACGTCTGTTAGATCTAGTTGGTTTATTGTGTTATTCAATTGCTCTGTTCCATTACTTATCTTCTGTATGGTTGTTATATCTATTATTTAGAGTGGAATGTTGAAATCAACAATTATTATAGAATTATTTACTCCTATTTTGACTGTGTTAATTTTTGCTTCATATATTTTGATAGTCTGTTATTAGGTGTATAATGTTTATAATCATTATATCCTCATACCATATTGAAGCTTTTATTAAAATATAATGTCCTAATTTATGTCTCGTGAAATTTTTTGATTTATAGTCTATTTTGTCTGATATTGGTACAGTCACCCCTGTTCTCTCTTGGTTACTATTTGCATGGAATATCTTTTCCACTCTTTTACTTTTCACCTATTTGTGTCTTTGAATCTAAAATTAGTCCCTTTTAGATAGCATATAGTTACATCATGCTTTTTAATCCATTCTTCCAATCTCTGTCTTTTGATTGGGGAGATTAATACATTTACATTTAATGTAATTACAGTTATGCATACTTAACAATGGGGAAACATGCTGAGAAATGCATTTTAAGGCAATTTCATTGTTGTTTGTGAACATAGTTGAGAGTACTTATGCAAACCTATATAGTATAGCCTGCTATACACCTAATCTACATGGTATTGCCTATTGCTCCTAGGCTACAAACCTGTACAGCATGTCGCTGTATTGAATACTGTAGGCTATGTAACACAATGGTAAGTATTTGTATATCTAAACATACATAAACATAGAGAAGGTAATGCATTACACTATGATGTTATAATGGCTATAACGTCACTAGGTGTTAGATATTTTTCAGCTCAATTTTAATCATATAGAACCAGTGTCATATATGTGGTTCAACATTGACTAAAATGGCATTATGCATGACTGTACTAATAAAGAGGGACTTACTTTCTTCATTTGGCTACTTGTTTTCTATGTGCCCTAAGGCATTTTCGTTTCTTATTTCCCAAATTATTGTCTTTTTTTGTGTTTAGCTGATTTTTTATAGTGAAGTGTTTAAATTTATTTCTCACTTCCTTTTGTTAATATTCTTCAGCTATTTTCTTTGTGGTTATCATAAGTATTACATTTAACATCTTAAAGTCACAACAGTATTATTACATTTAACTTATACCAGCTTTACATTAATAGCATGCAACAGCTTTTCTCCTTTAACAGCTTCATCTCCATGCTTTTTAGTTGTTGACATCACAAAATTACGTCTTCATACCTTATGTGTCCAGAATCTAAACTTACAATTTTTAAATTCCTTAGTTTCATGAATTATGTAAAAAACAAAGAGTGGAGTTAGAAATCAAAGGTAGAATAATGTTAGCTTTTTGATTTGATAATTGTTTCTTTAAAAAGTATTAGTCTTTTAAATCACACAGAAAACAAAAAGTGAAGTTACACACCATTGTTACAACAATACCTGCTTTTACAATTGCTTGTATATTTACCTTTACTGAGATATTTATTTTTTCATATGGCTTTGAGTTACTGTTTGGTATGTTTTCATTTCAACCTGTGGGGCAGTTCTCAACTTTTGTGTATCTGGGAAGGTCTTAATTTCTTTCTCACTTTTGAAGTAATGTTTTGCCTAACATAGGATTCTTGGTAGTTTGTTTCTTTTAGCACTTTAAATGTTAGCTCACTGCCTTTTGACTTCCAATGTTTCTGATGAGAAATCTGCTGATACTTTCATTGAGGATCCCTTGTGAGTGTGTGCTGAGTCACTTCTTTCTTATTGCTGTTAGATTGTCTTTAGGGGGTTTGATTACATGTCACAGAGTGGGTCTCTTTGAGTTCATCCCACTTGGAGTTCAATGAGTTTCTTGGATGATGTTTACATTTATGTCTTTCATCAAATTTGGGAAGTTTTTGGCCATTATTTCTTCAAATAAGTTTTCTGCCACTTTCTCTCCATTCTCCCTGAAACTTCTGCAATGCATATGTCAGTGTGCTTGATGGTGTTGCACAGGTCTCTTAGGATTTGTTCACTCCTTTTCAACCTTTTTTTTTTTTTCTGGTTCTCACACTTGATAATTTCCAATTTTCTGTTTTCAAGTTTGTAGATTCTTTCTTCTGCCTGCTCAAATTTGCCTTTGAATCTTGCTAGTGAACTTCTTATTTTATTTATTGTGCTTTTCAGTTCCAGAATTGTTTTTTATTTCTACTTTTTAGGTTTTCTATCTCTTTATTGATATTTCTATTTTATTCATACATCTTTGTTTACTTTCTATTTTTTTCCTTTAGTTCTTTGAGCACCTTTAAAACAGTTGTTTTGAAGCCTTTGTCCAGTAGATCAGACATCAGGTCTTTTCCAGGGGCAGTTTTTGTTAATTTATTTTTTCCTTTGAATGGGCAATACTTTCCTCTTTTATTGAAAACTTGACATTTAAATCTAATAATGTGGTAACTCTAGAAATCAGATTCTCCCCATTCCTCCATATTTACTGTTTATTTATTTATTTATTTATTTATTTATTTATTTATTCATTCATTTATTTTTCTAATGTTGTAGGGTGTCTATGTGTTGAGGATCAGATTTAGGTTTAAACTTAAGGTCTCCTTAGGTCTTCTCTGAGCTTTTTCTGTATATTCCCTGTAAATATACAGTAACTTTCTTATTTCCCCTGTATATGTAGTTGCCTTTGAACTTCATTGTTTTCAATAACTGGTTCCCAAAAGGAGAAAAAAGAACATTGAAGGGAGGAAAAAATGTGCCAGCCCTTTACATCTTCTCAAAGTCACCCCAGCCAGAGTGGAAGGGGCTTGCAATAATTAAGGGAGATGTGGCAACAATGGTCGCCACCTCTTTATCAGCACCTTTATGTTTAGAGTAACAATCAGCAATATGAGCACAGATCTCTAACATTGGGAAGACAGCATCCTTTTTGCCCACCCTCACCCTCTTAAGTTGTACGAAAGCTGCTCCAGGAACATATGCAAAGTTCCCTGCCATGTGGCTAAATGACGAGGTGAGGCATGGGTAGCTGCTACTGTGCTGAGTTAAAATTGACCAAAATTAGGCTGGGCGCAGTGGCTCACGCCTGTAATCCCAGGACTTTGGGAGGCCAAGGCGTGTGGATCACGAGGTCAGGAGATCGAGACCATCCTTGCTAACACAGTGAAAGCCCGTCTATACTAAAAATACAAAAAATTAGCCGGGCGTGGTGGTGGGCACCTGTAGTCCCAGCTACTAGGGAGGCTGAGGTAGGAGAATGGCGTGAACCCAAGAGGCAGAGCTTGCAGTGAGCTGAGATTGCACCACTGCACTCCAGCCTAGGTGACAGAACGAGACTGTGTCTCAAAAATAATAATAATTGACCAAAATTAATCACCATTTACCATTCTAGTCTCCCCCTAAAAGCTTCAATTCTTCAGTAGATTCCAGAGTTCCAAAATACTTATATCAGACAAATTCTGCCAGTGCAGTTATTATCTTGGGAGTGACGGAAGGCCGATTTCTGATTATTTCTTCTCCACCATCTTCCCAGAGTTCTCTCTTTTCTAAGAAGGTTCTTAACTTCAAGTTTCATTTATTTATTGATATAGTGCTATTCTGGAAATCTATTTTTTCTTGAACATGTTTCATTGCTTGTGTCTTTCAAGAAATCTGTCCATTTTATCTAAGTTGCACACTTATTGGCTTAAAAGTTTTTAAAATAATAATTCCTTAAATATCCTTTAAAGATTTATGTGTTCTGTAGTGATATTATTTCTTTTATTTCTATTCTTTTATTTTGTACCATCTCTCTCTCTTTTTTCATGATCAGACTGGCCATGAGAACTTCATTAATTTTATTGACTTTTTCAAGGAATTAACTCTTGATTTCATTAACCTTCTTTATTATTTTTCCATTTTCTAGTTTAGTAATTTCTGTTCAGATATTTACTAATTTCTTCCTCCACCTATCTTGGGTTTAATTTACTGTTCTCTTTCTAGTTTTTAAAGGTTAAAGTCATTGGTTTGAGATGTTTTTAAATTTTTGGATATACATATTTAGTGTTACAAATACTTCCACATAGTGCTTTACTGGTATCCCTAAAATTTTGATATGCTGTGTTTTAATATTCATTCAGATCTTCTATAAGTCCATTTTCATTTCAAAATAATTTCTAATTTTTCTTTTGATTTCCTTGATTTATAAGTTTTATAAGAGTATTATTTAGTTTCAAAATAAATGAGGATTTTCCAAAGATATTTCTGTTATTTTTTTTTCCAGTTTAGTTTTATGGTATTCGGAAATTATGCTTTATAAGAATTGACTTCTTTTAAGTATTGAGACTTGTTTTATGGCTTGGATTATGATTTATATTGATAAGTGTCCTACATACATTTGGGAAAAAAAAGTGTGATTTTTGTTTATGGGTAAAGTGTGCTATAAATGTCAACCAGGTCAGTTTAGTTGATAGTGTCATCCAAGTATTCTATATACTTAATGATTTCTGTCTACTTTTATCAGTCATGGACAGAAAGAAATTAAAATCTCTAACTATAGTTGCAGATTTCTCTCTTTTTTATTGTAATTCTATCAGTTTTTGCTCTATGCATTTTGAAGCTCTTGAACCAGATCGTCATATTCTCTTAAACAACAAACCACTTTAGCACTGTGAAATGATCAGCTTTATCTTTGGTAATATTTGTTGTTCTAAAATCAATTGTTTTGATCGTAGCTTTCTTTCCACTGGTTTCATCATGGTGTCTATTTTTCATTTTATTATTTTTAAACTGTGTATGTTTAAAGTTTATTGCTTATCAACAGTATATAGTTGGGTCTTGTTTCTATATCCATTATGACAGTATCTGCCATTAAGTGGTATGTTTAGACCATTTGCATTTAATATGGCTTTTAATATTGTTAGATTTAAATCTATCATTTTGCCATTTGTTTTCCATTTGTCCATTTTTTTCTTTCACCTCTTTCCTTCTTTTGTCTGCCTTCTTTTTGATTAACTTTTTGTTTCTATTACATTTTCTTATTGGCTTATTAGCTATCATACTTTGTATTACTCATTGTTCAGGATTTAGAGTATACATTTTTAACTTAGTCTATTTTCAAGTGACATTACTTTACATATTGTATAAGAGCCTTGCAACAGTACATTACCAGACTTTACAATTGATACTTCCATTTACCCTTCCCTGCCCTTTTTATTATTGTCATACATTTTACTTTTATATGTTATAAATTTCATAATATATTTTTATTTTTTTCCAAACAGTGCAGATCTGAAATGGTGATGAATTCTTTCAGCTTTTGTCTTTCCAAAAAATATTTTTTTATTTTTTTTGAAATGGGGTCTTGCTCTTTCACCCAGGCTGAAGCACAATGGTGTAATTATGTTTCACTGCAGCCTTGAACTCTTGGGCTTAAACAATTCTCATGCGTCAGCCTCCTAAGTAGCTGGAACTATAGGTGTGCACACCCATTCCAGCCCAATTTTTAAATTTTTAGTGGAAAGGAGGTTTTTCTATGTTGCCCAGTCTGGTCTTGAACTCCTAGCTTCAAATGATCCTCCTGCCTTATCCCCCAAAGTGTTGGGATTACAGGGATGCACCACCATGTCTGGCAAAAAAAAAAAAAAAAAAAAAAAAAAAAACTGCTTTGGCTCTATTTTATTTATTTTATTTTTTATTTTTTAAGAGATGTTGTTTTGCTATGTTGCTTAGGATGGCCTCAAATTTCTGGGCTGAAGTAATTATTTTGCCTCAATCTCCCAAGTACCTGGGACTACCAGTATGTGCCACTGTGCCCAGCTTACCTTTACTCTTGAAACACATTTTCACTGGAATAGAATTATAGAATGATGCTTTTTTCTCTCAATAGTTTAAAGATGCTGTTTTCTTACCTGCATTGTTTCTAGTAAGAAATCTGCTGTCATCCTCATCTTTGTTCTTCTTTATGTAAAGTTCTTTTTTTCTTAAACTGGTTTTGATATTTAATTTTTAGCACTGGTTTTGTTTTGATCAATTTGTTTTTGATGTGCCTTGCTGTAGTTTTCTTCATTTTTTTGTCCTTGGGTTTCATGGAACTACTTGTATATGTGTGGTTTTATAGTTTTAATCAGGTTTGGAAATTTTTCATTCATTATTTCTTCATATGTATTTTCTATCCACCCCTTTCTAGAGACTCCAATTAAATGCATATTAGGCTACTTAAAGTTGTTCCATAGTTCATTTATGACATTTTTGAAAATTATTTTAGATGTTTTGTTTTGGATAGTTTTAATTGTTATGTGTTCAAAATCACTAAAGCTTAATAATCAGATAATCTTATATGGTGTATTTTTTAAATCACATACATTGTACTTTTTATCTCTGAATATTTGATTTGGGTCTTTCTTATACCATTCTTATGTTGTTACTTATTTGTTTGAATATATGGAATGCAGTATTCTTTTTTTATGCTTTTATTCTATTATCTGCTTATGTTCTGGGTCAGTTTCAATTGATTGACATTTTTCTCATTATGAGTCATATTTTCCTACTTCTTTGCGTACCTGGTAAGCTTTTATTTGATGCCAGACACTTTGAATTTGCATTGTTGAATACTGCATGTTATTTGTATTCCTACAGCTTTTTGAGCTTTGTTGTAGAATGCAGCTACTTAAAAACAATTTCATATTTTTGTGTTTTGCTTTTATGATTCATTATGTGGGACCAGAATAGTGTTTAGTCTAGGGCTAATTGTTTTCCACTATTGAGGCAAGACCCTTCTGAGTACTCTACTAATGCCCTGTGAATTAAATGGTTGTGCATTCTGGCTGGTGAGAGCTCAGTGTTAATGCTAGACACTGCTTTCTCTAATTTTTTGAGTGTTTTTTTTTCCCCTGGCTTTGGATGGATTCCTCACATGCATGTGTTGATCAGTATTCTGCTGAAAAAAGGACCTTCTTCTGCAGGTCTCTGGAGTTGTTTTTTTTGTTTTGTTTTTTTTTGGGTTTTTTTGGTGCAGCTTTCTATTTTCATATACTATATCCTGAAAACTCCAGCTGTGTTGGCCTCCCCAGACTCTTGGTTTCATCTCCTCAACTCAGGAAGTTCTCTAGGCTGTACTTGCATTCCTCTTCCCTGTTCTGAGGTCTGGATTATTTTTTTAAATCAATAAGCTGAGGAAAATTAGAGATCACCTTGATTGACTCCAGTCTTTCAGAAATTATTGTTTTTTATTGTTTGATGTCCAATGTATCGAAGATCATTGTCTCATTTTTTTACTTGTTTTTGGTGACCATGAAGAAAAATTGAGCAGGGTAGGGGATAAAGGAGAGTGTGGAATAGATTTGGTTACATTACTTGAGACCCTCTTTGAATGATTAATGTGAAGATACACTGAAGGAATTGAGGGAGTGAGCCATGAGGCTATCTTGAGGAAGAACATTTGAGGCAGAAAGATAAGCAAATTTAAGAAGAGCAATAGGAGCATGACTGACTTGCCAAAAAACACTGTGGGGGTCACTGTAGCTTGAGACAGTTCACAGGACTGAGAGGATGAGACTGGAGAGAGAACCAAGTGCTCAAATAATACGAACCTTTTAGGAAGAAAGCACTGTGGTTTTATTCTAAGTGTGATGAGAAGCTATTGTAAGATTTTCAGCAATAGTGTATGTGTCAAAGAAAAATATTTAACATTTTAAAGAATAACATGTTGGATGCTGTGTAGAAAATTGATTGCAAGGGGTCAAGAGTAAACGTAGATTTGGACAAGGGTAGTAACAAATGATACAATTATAGAATATCTTAAGGGAAGTGCTGATAAAATTTGATGGATTGGGTGGATATGAGGGAAAAAAAGGAATAAAGATTTATTTCCAAGTTTTTTGCCCAAATCATGGTCTCATATACTAACATGGATAACAATGGAGAGGAAAGTTTTATTGAGGAAAATTGAGTTATGTTAAGTTTGAGATGCAAGTTGAAATGTCAGGTAGGCAGTTATTCAAGTCTGGACACCAAGGAAGAGACGGAATATTTTAGAGTCCTCAGCATACACATGGCGTTGTGTGGAGATCAGTAGGAAGAGTGAGGCTAAATAAGTCCATGGACTGGTTCTGGTGCATTTTAAACTTCAGAGGCTGGAGAATTGAGACTGAATCAACAAAAGACAAAGGAGTAGAAGCCAATGATATGGGAAAAAAATCAGGAAAGTATGGCATCCTGGGAGCCAAGCACAGAAAATACTTCAAGAAATAGGAAGGGGTCAACCATGTCTAATGTTGCTGAGAGATTGAGTAAGATAAAAAGCAAAAATTGACGTTGGATTATTCAAAGTGCAGGTCTTCCGTGATTGTTTCTTATTATCCCACAAAGCCTCAAATCTTGGAGGCATTTCATGTATTAAATTAAATTTATAAGACTAAGATTCTGCCTTCATCCACTATCCCTGAGGTTGAATGATAATTTTACTTTTCTTATGTGTCTGTGATTAAATCCAGAGATACTCGCTGTTTTTCATTTTTCACTCACTAGATTGTTAAAACTTAATATGGGAGCCAGTGCCTTATCATCTGAGGAATGATAGAGGATGTTCCTATAAGGTTTGCCCTCATAAATCTGCATCTGTCTAGCAAGGTGAGGGGTAACCTAGTAGCATATGGGCTCACCTTGTGTCCAGGAACAAATCAACTTGTCTTGATCATAACCTAACGTAAAAAGCCAGACTTATATGCAGAATTCATTTCTCTGTTTACTTTCAAATGTTGGCACACTATGTATGTACCCCAAAAGATACTGGGAATTCACAAAAACCCAAATATACAGTTTGGTAAAGACAATCTACTTTTACCCAGTTAAAGATACTTCGCCACTTCTTGAGAGTAAAAACAATAAGAATAAAACTTCAAAAGAAAATAATTAACTGTAAAGCCTATTTTCCTGTTTGTGCTTTTTACTTTAGATTATTATTTATTTAAACACTAAAGAGGAATTTCTAAAGTAATGTCTATAAGGAAGCAAATGAATTTAGCCAATACTTTATGTGCCTGATTCAACATGTTGGTTAAGTTTTAATTTTACAAGTACAGTTGGCTCACTAAAGCCATTACATTCTTTGTATCTGAGTTGACTGTACACTACACAACAAATTTCTTACTATATCATCTAGATGTCATTTAGGGGAGTTTAAATAATCCACAGGTAATACAACTTCTAAGTGAAACAATGTCTTTATTTTTCAGACTTGACAGTAGCCTTAGTGAAAAAGTACTGTGAAAGTTTTCAAGTGTTAGAGAGAAAGTGGAAGTGGGTGCTTGGTAT
This sequence comes from Homo sapiens, assembly GCF_000001405.40. Taxonomy (NCBI): domain Eukaryota; kingdom Metazoa; phylum Chordata; class Mammalia; order Primates; family Hominidae; genus Homo; species Homo sapiens. The sequence continues at coordinate 198,597,834 of NC_000001.11, forward strand.
AAATGTGCCACTCTGTCCCCAGTGCCAAGGGCCCTGTGGTGAAGCTCTTCACAGAGGAAGTTTAGCTCTTCCACAGAGGTGCAAGGAGCTAGCTACCCACTTGATCGTCCTTCTTCCCAACCTTACAAAGGGAACATTCCAATTATCTGACTGAAAAGTGAGAAAAGGAAGAAAATGGAAGAAAAATCTGTTACTTTTCAACCATACAACTTCATATTTTTAAAGTCAGTAGGGGCCAGGCATGGTGGCTCACGCCAGTAATCCCGGCACTTTGTGAGGCTGAGGTAGGCAGATCACTTGAGGTCAAAAGTTTGAGACCACCCTGGCCAACATGTTGAAACCTAATTTCTACTAAAAAACACAAAAATTAACCAAGGATGGTGATATGCAGCTGTAATCCCAGCTACTCAGTAGGCTGAGGCAGGCGAATCGTTTGAACCCAAGAGGTCACACCACTGCACTCGAGCCTGACTCCGTCTCAAAGAAAAGAAAAACATCAGTAGGATTGAAGTATGAAAAGAGCCAGGGTTTTAAATGATAGCTTCTCTCACACAAGAGTGAAGGGAATAGGTTAAGAACCTCTCCCCTACTTTAACACTCTATTTTAAGCATCTTAAAAAATATTACTTTCTTTGCTATCCTTGACTTTAATAAATCATAAAATGAGACTAAAACATGACCCATTCTATTGGGCCTTCAAAAAACCCATATTTTGTTATTGGACATTTTGTATTCAATTAGAGAATCTTTACTGAACATCTCCAGGATGGCTAGTCCTGATCTAGATCCCCAAGTTCTTTAAATAGTGGAGAGGAGCTCAGGCTCTGCTTTAATGAGGGTTTTTGTCAAGAAAAGTAGGTTATACAATGGAAAACAACAACCAACATCTCAGAGACTTAACAGAACAAAAGTTAATTTCTTGCTTGTACTACCTGTCCACAAGGTTTGGCAGGAGTCTTTCTTTCTTTGTTCACTGTAGTCACTCAGAGATCAGCTATCCATCTGCCCCCAGGATCATGTGGCAGGGAATAGGTCGCTTGGTGAATCATACCCGGGCTTTTAACCCTGCCACCCAGAAGTCACACATCACTTGCGTTCACATTTCATTGGGCCAAGCAAGCGTGATGGTGGAACTATTCAGGCTTGAATAGAGAACAACAAAGCCACATCGTTAAACCAGATGGTGGTGGTCAAAGTTCATGGTTGGGTTATCAAGCCATGGTTAGAAACACAGCTGCCGATATCTGGGGCTGTAACAACTGCAGGTCTAATGATCCAAGGCCAGGAACAAAGATTAAGGGAGCACTCTAGGGATGGGAGAACCCATGGTGAGACTTAGCTGCATTGTAACAGAACAGACTTAGAGAGGCAGATAGCAGAGCCTCCCTACAGTATCTAGAATGTGCATCTAGAAGCTTTCCATGCTCACTTCCTGTTTCCCCTGGTATTTATTCAAATGTCAATTACAAAGAACACAAAATGTCTAGTACTTTATAGCCTCCTTATGTTTAGGTTTCACTCCTGACCTCAAAGACCTTAAAACTAAGTAGATTCTGAATTTTTCAAATTATTTCAGGGTATTGCAACAATGGACATTTTATTTGATTGTATACTTATTTTTCTACTGGAAACTGTACTTGAAAACAGTTAACTAAACATCTATTTACCCTCTCACAGTAAAATTTCTATGGCTATTGTTCTGGAGGTGGAGTGGCTAATATTTACTGAGCCCTTTCTCTCTGCTAGACATTTGATAGGCATTGTAATACAGTAGTGGCCCTTTATCTACAGAAGATACATTCCAAGACTCCCAGTGGATACTGAAACCTTGAATAGTACCAAACAAATTGACATCAATTGAAATATATTTCTGTTCATGTCCTCCACCCACAATTTTTTTTTTTTAAACAGCGTCTTGCTGTGTCACCTAGGCTGGAATGCAGTGACCTGATCATGGCTTACTGCAGCCTTGACCTGCAAGGCTCAAGCAATCTCCTGCTTCAGCCTCCCAAGGAGCTGGAACTATAGGTGTTTACCACTACATCCAGCTAATTTTTTTGTTGGAGCCCACACACAGAATCCCCACTGGGGTGCTGCCTAGTGGAGCTGTGAGAAGAGGGCCATGGTTCTCCAGACCCCAAAATGGTAGAGCAACTGACAACTTGCACTGTGTGCCTGAAAAAGCCACAGGCACTCAACGTCAGGCCATGAAAGCAACCATGGGGGCTGTACCCTGCAGATCCACAGGGCCGGAGCTGCTCAAGGCCTTGGGAGTCTACCCCTTGCATCAGTATGCTCTGGATGTGAGATATGGAGTCAAAGGAGATTATTTTAGACCTTTGAGATTTAATGACTGCATTCCTGGGTTTTAGGCTTGCATGGGGCCTGTAGCCCCCTTGTTTTGGCAATTTCTCACATTTGGAATGGGAGCATTTGCCCAATGCCTCTACCTTCATTATATCTTGGAAGTAACTAGATTGTTTTTGATTTTGTGGACTCATAAGCAGAAGGGACTTGCCTTGTCTCAGATTACACTTTGAACTTGGACTTTTGAGTTAATGCTGGAATTAGTTTAGACTTTCAGGGACTGTTAGGAAGGCATGATTGTGTTTTGAATTGTGAGAAGGACATCAGATTGGGAAGGGACCAGGGGAGGAATGATGTGGTTTTGCTCTGTGTCCCATCCCCAAATCTCATGTTGAATTGTAATTCCCGACATTGGGGGAGGGACCTGGTGGGAGGTGATTGGATCACAGGGTAGGATTTCACTCATGCTGTTCTCTGATAATGAGTCAGTTCTCACGAGATCTGATGGCTTAAAGTGTGTGGAACATCTCCCTTCACTCTGTCTCTGTCCTGCCACCATGTGAAGAAGGTATTTGCTTCACTTTTACCCTCCACCATAATTGTAAGTTTCTTGAGGCTTCCCAGTCATGCTTCCTGTTAAGCCTGAAGAACTGTGTAAGCTCCTTTTCTTTGTAATTACCCAGTCTCAGGTAGTATTTTACAGCTGTGTGAGAATGGACTCCATGTGGGCTCCAACTCCACATTTCCCCTCATTGCTGCCCTAGTAGAGGTTCTCTATGAAGGCCCCTCCACTGCATCAGACTTCTGCCTGGACACCCAGGTGTTTCCATACATCCCCTGAAATTTAGGAGGAGGTTCTCAAACCTCAATTCCTGCCTTCTGCGCAACTGTAGGCCAAACACCACTTGGGGCTTGCATCCTCTGAAGCAATGGCCCTGGGCCTGGCCCACAAAACCATTTTTTCCTCCTAGCCATGGGCCTGTAATGGGAGGGGCTGCTGAGAAGGTTTCTGAAATGCCCTGAGACATTTTTCCCATTGTCTTTGCTATTAACATTTGACTCCTCTTTACTTATGCAAATTTCTGCAGCTGGCTTGAATTTTTCCCAAAACATGGGTTTTTCTTTTCTACTGCATGGCCAGGCTGCAAATTTTCTAAACTTCTATGCTCTGCTTCTCTTTTAAATATAAGTTCAAGATTCAGATAATCTATGTTCATGCATATGAGCATATATTTTAGAAACAGCCAGGTCACATCTTGAATGCTTTGCTGCTTAGAAATTTCTCCCGCCAGATACCCTAAATCATCTCTCTCAGGTTCAAAGTTCCACAGATCTCTAGTGCAGAGGCAAATGACACCAGTCTGTTTGCTTAAAGGATAGCAAGAGTGACCTTTACTCCAGTTCCCAGTATGTTCTTCATCTCCATTTGAGAACACCTCAGCTTGGACTTCATTGTCCATATCACTATTGGCATTTTGGTCAAAACCATTCAACAAGTCTCTAGGAAGTTCTAAACTTTCCCACATATTCCTATCTTCTGAGCTTTCAAAACTTTTCTAACTTCTGCCTATTACCCAGTTCCAAAGTCAGTTGCACATTTTCAGGTATCTTTATAGCAATACCCCACCCTTCTGTTACCAATTTTCTGTATTAGTGTGTCCTCACACTGCTATAAAGAACTACCTGAGACTGGGTAATTTATGAAGAAAAAAGGTTTAATTGACTCATAGTTCTTCAGGCTTAACAAGAAGCATGAATGGGAAGCCTCAGGAAACTTACAATCATGGCAGAAGGTGAAGGGGAAGCAAACACTTTATTCACATGGTGGCAGGAGAGAGAGAGTGAGCAAAAGTGGAAGTCCCACACACTTTTAAACCATCAGATCTTGTGAGAATTCACTTGCTATCATGAGAACAGCATGGGGGAAATCCAGCCCCTGTGAGTCAATCATCTCCCAAGAGGTTCTTCCCCCAACTTTGGGAATTACAATTCAACATGAGATTTGGGTGGGGGCAGAGCCAAACCACATCAATATTTATTGCCTTCTTAACAAGATGTCTGGAGTAGGATATTTCAGTTTTGATTTATCAGAATTCTGGGTGAATATTTAGTGATTTATAGGACTTCTTAACACTGCTACCCAGAAATGACACCTCACTTGCATTCCCATTTTATTGGTCCAAGCAACTATGATGACAAGACTATTCAGGCATGAGGAGAGACAGCCAAATCACATTATTAAACCAAGTTGTGGCTCATGGCTCACATGTCAGAGAACACAAGGAGAAAGTGAAGCGACATCTACAGTAGAGCAAGGGAAAGACTAGGGAGAACAGGATAAGGGAGAGAGTGAGGAAAGAGCGAGACAAGAGGTGGTATATCTGACTCTCTTCTTTTATCAGATAAGAAACATCTTTCTAGGAACACATGCAGCAGAAGCATGCTTTCACTCACTTCTTGTTGGCAATAACAAGTCTACCTGGCACTCCCTAGCTATAAGGGAAGTTGAAAAAGGAAGTATCTGACTTTTTAAAAATTTGTTGTGAAAAGAGAGAGGAGTTAGGGAACCCCCATTAGATAATTTAGTCAACTATGACTTCCATATTCCTCCCACTCAATGGTAAATGATTAAAAAGTAGTTTAGTAGGTCAGCCCCAGAATTCACTTCATTACCCAGCTTCATCATCAAAACTATACTTTAATTCAAAATTCAAAATATTATGTCATCCAGTTTATCAAGAAGCCCATATAGTTTTGATATTTTCTTTTGATTTCTGTATGAATTTGTCATGAAACTTTTAATTTCTTTACAAACAGGTTTCTGATTTTGAACCTTTCCACCTTCAAATTTCACCCTCACCCTCATCACCCTCTTCAAATTCAAAGCCTCAAGTCTTGTCAATCTTACCTCAAAACTATATCTGGATCCTGTTGATTTTTCTCCATCTCTTTCTTTCCATTCTTTTTTCCAAGCATCAAGCATCATTAATTTTCATTTTGACCAATGCGCTAGCTCCCTGGCTGATATCCTTACATCAGTTCTTGGATCTCCATAGTACATGCATCATATTATGCAAAGTTTTTAAAGGAGAGCTTTTAAAAATGTAAGTCAGATTAATTTTTTTTTGAAAAATAGCAAAAAAAAAGGAATAAAAATGTAAGTTAGATTTTGTAACTCCTTGCTTAAAACTTTTGATAATCTTCCCATTGTGCAACTCCTAAACTCCTTAGGGTGGACCACACCCCACTGAGAATTACTTGAGTAAAGGGACTGTAACTGTTTTGCTAACATCATACATATAGCAAAAGGAAAATAGGACAGTGCCTGTTATTTATATGTATGCGTGTGTGTAAGTGTGTGCATGCATAGGTGTGCAGGTGTGTGTGTTACATGAAAAAATAAATGATAGAATTGTAATTATTATTATAGTTTCTATAAGATTTATAGTAGAAACTCTTTAAACAAGCTCCTCACTTTTACCAAAGGCCGCTTTCATATACAATTGGATAATGTGATCATCTAGCCAAGGAGGTAAAATAATATTGATTAAAGCCATGTAAATACTGAGATAATGTATATAAATATGTAAATACCTAACAGACTATTATCAATTCTGTAATTTTATAGGACCCTCCTACATTAAGCATTGAAATTTTGTCTAAAAATATTAGTTGGATCCACCATTTCACCAATTTGAAACGATACTTGAAGGCTATTCTTTTAACATTTGACTACATAAAGCTAATAAAATATCTAGTGATGAAAAAAGAAACTGCTATATGAAATAATATATCTGGTTTACTCTACAGATACACCTAAGTATGAAGACATAAATATGATCTAGAAGTAACATAAAATATTAACGATGTTTTTGTATTAGTTTCCATTTATTCTCACTAGATGATTAACGAGACTTTTAGTCAGAAGCAACTAATGGATTTTTGTTGTTGTTGTTCCTGACCCTGTATGATGCTCTTCTTTTGACATTTCCTTTTTCATCTTTTGTGTCTTACTCTGATCTATAACCCATGCTAAGCCAAAATAATCCACGTGGATGGTAATTTACCTCAAAATTGATGCACTAATTGGAGATAATCCCTTCTCCACACTCACTGCAAGGTCAGTTGTTTAAAGTACAATGTCTTAATTAACCTTGAACTGTACAATTAGAGTTCTGCTGTTTCTATCCATGTTTGGCACCTCATAGATCCAGGCAATAACATCTCTCCAATTGCAGTTGCCAGTTACATAATGCCTGCAAGCAAGCTTGCCTTCCTTTTGAAATCACACAGCAGGAAAGATTTTATAGAGATCAGCATGTATTTCTGAGCTACCTGGAAGATCTCTCCAAAATTACTGAGAAGCCCTTCATCATACTGTATTCCACCTATTGCATGACAAAATTTATACTCCATATCCCATTCCTGCTTCTAGTAACAGTAAGAATAAGTAAAAATTATTTATTTGCCTTTTGTTCACTGAGGTCTCATTATTTAATTTGTATACATTATGGTGTAATAGCAAAAGTGTCCTCTAAACTGCAAAGCTATTAAGTATAAAATGTCACTGCATTTTACAGTGCCACTATTTTTTGTGCTTCTTTATTTTTCCATTTTTGTAATTATTCCACTTGTTACATACTTCTTTGCTCATCACCAGAGTTTTTCTTATGGATTATAGCAAATAGCCTTTATTTAAAGTTTATGTGTCAAGGATAATGCTTGTAAAGTGCAATAGATATGCTCTATTTTAATTCCTTACTTGAGATAAGTCAGAAACTACACAGTTGCATAGATATTGATCCATTTTATAAAATTAAAATTAAAAATATTAATAACAACTGTACCTCATGTACTAGTGATATCAAAACTACATTAATTAAATTAATTTTTAATAATTCTATTTGGTAAAACTTGGCACTTGCTGCTTTGATAATATCTTCTTAGTGAAAAATGTTAAGTCACTTTGTTCCCTATTATTCAATCACAAATGCATGAATAACAACAGGTTCAACTTATCTCATGGCCCAGCTTTCCCCTGAAGACTCTACAATACAGAGGTTCTGGACCTGATCCAAGGAAATTGGGAAGTCCACATGAAACCGGTATATAACTGCCAGAGAGAATTGTCATATTTCTCTTGACTATGAAAATGTACACTTATTACTTAAACCCCTCACAAAAAAATGAAAAACTATGGCTTCCTAATAAATGGGTTTCTCTCCATTTCATATCTATCAAGATATTTGGTAAAAAAGTTTTTTGAAAATTAAATTCTTAAGGATTTTCCTTATTGGGGAAAAAAGGGCTATCTGTAACTGTACGTGTTTCTAGTAGTAAATGTCTAACAGTCCTAAAGTTCCAGCACATAATCAAATGACAGATACTTACTCTGTGCCACATTAGATCAGTGGTTCTCAATCAGGGGTGGTTTTACCCCCAGGGGATATCTGCCAATGTCTGGAGACATTTTTGGTTGTCAAAACTGTGGGGGAGGGGCGGGGGCTGCTACTGGCATCTAGTGGGTAAATGACAGAGGTATTGCTGAACATCCTGCAATGCCTAGGACAGACCTCACAACAAAGAATTACCGGACACAAAACTGTCAATAATGAGAAAACTTAGATTGTATAAAACCTGCCACTTTAAGTCGTCAGAATGTGAAATTTCTGTATAAAAAGTTAATTCTATGAATGATTATTTTTGTTTTCAGAGGTAGCTAAAAATTTCAATTGTCAAAATTCAGATTAAAAGCTACTCTTAGTGATCAAGTCTCATAAATAGAAAATAATTTGGTGGAGGTGGCCGCATAAGGGGTGATTTGTGGTGACTTTGGTAGTGCACAAACACAAAGCACCCCTATGAGCTGCCTTTTGAAGAGGGAAAAAGCTGTCTATCAAGCAGTGTATGTAGCTCATTAGTTACCTAACTGGACTCTCTGTTCTTTGCAAGAGAAACTTCCTCTGGGGTTGGGAATGGGGGTGGGGGACCCTCAAGGGATGGGAGGAGGGGTGAGCAGTTTGCAAGTCTGAGAAATACAAATCTTTGAGGTGACTAAATTAAAAACATGCTATGAAGCTATAAACTCACTCCTGAATCTGTGGCCTCAGGTCAAAATCCCTGCAGGAGAGCTGTTTCCTCAATGCCTGTGCTTGTTAACATTTTCTGTAAGGAGCAGCCCAGAGCTAAGTCAGCTCTGAGCAGGACTCTACAAGGCCACATCAAAAATGACAACAGGCGGGCCAGTGTGATGAGGCATCGGTGGGAGGTTCACCCCGGGTGAGGATTCTGTCATGGCACACTCCGGGAAAATAGCAAGGACAAATGTAAATGTTCTGTTTCATTGAAAATCACTTTGGAGTATACAAAGCCTATTCTTTTTTACTTGAAAAGCTACCAATTTCTGCATTTATATGTGTCAGAGATGGAGATTTTGATGGACCACAGAACAACCTAGTAACAATTCCTATGCATGTGTTCTCCACACAGTTTAGATGGTACAATTTGGCATTACTCCATCTCCTTCTCTCCTGATAACACCTCACCTTTCTTCATTTCTCTTGTAACTGTTTCATAGCTATGGAAGAAGGAGAGAAAAACTGCCATGATTACTCCGTGTTAATTGAAAGTGGTTTTAAACCAATCAAAGGTAAAAGATATAGCTCATTTCTGTTGTTTCCCTAACTTATTTTAAAAAATATACAGGGGTTTCAACTTGTGGCAGTTTTATACCCCAGAGGACATTGGCAATATCTGGACACATTTTTGGTTGTTGAAAATTTTGGTTTGGTTGAAAACTAGATGTTAATGACATCTAGTGAGTAGAGGTCGGGAGTGCTTCTGAGTATCTAATAATATCCAGGACAGATCCCTACAACAAAGAATTATCTGATCAAAATGTCAGTAGTGGCAGGGACTAAGAAATCCTGGCATAATATAATGTCAGGAGTACCATATGTCATAATCAATGCTTATCATTTATTGAACTATTACTATGTCAAGTAAACATTCTATCTACTTAAGGAAACTCAATAATCCTGAGAGTCAAAAGATTATGCCTCAAACTTTCTGGGCCTTTTGAAGATAATTATTTTATAGATTTTGAATATGAAATTAGTTGAGAACAATTTCCAACATAGTTGTACTCAGACATAACCTGTTAAGAATACTTCGTCCAAAACAGAAAATTTGTTTAATTATAATAAGGTTATGAATAATACATAAAGCCCTACAATATCAACCACAATATACAAACAAAGTAATCACAGTAGATCATGAATGAATGAGTTATTCTATGTAAACCAGATCTGGCAGTTTTAATTATAATGTCAGCAGTCACATTTAAACCTGTTTATATCATTATTAACATTGTTAAACTTAAAAGTCTCAAAGCTTCAAAGACACCTAGACTATTACAATTTCAGGAGCTTAATTCAAACCCAAGAAAATAAATACTACCTTAAAAATATAAGTGAATATTATATTAGTTTATTTTTGTTATTTTCTATTTTCTTTTTAATTATCTGCCTGCATTTTCATATTACAAGATTAAGTATAGAAAAGCAAAAGGCTTGAATTGAAAATTATTTACAAAAATACATATCCTAAATCATTTTGACTTGAGGTTCCTACGCTGTTTTCTTGAGCTAAATTGAGGGTCTTGATCCTATAAAATATAAAACTCAGCTATATGGCTGGATTTATTATAAATTATATAAGTGCCCTGTTGTTGCTACTGCTTAGGTGGTCACCACTGGTTACATGATATAGTGTTCAAAATATGTGCTTTATGTGAGTCATCATGCTTTTGGCATTTTCTTACCTTTATGTATTTTTATTTTCTTCTATACTTGGAAGTGATAAAAATAAATGGGGTACTTTTTTTTTTGACAAATTTAGCAAGGTCCCAAATAACAGCGTCTGTTACACTATGTAAATAAAGTCTTTGTGCCAATGGGAGATTTACCTGGCAACTTTCAGATTTCTACAGGTAAAAGCACATTACTTAATAGGATATTTTGAAATCCTCAAATCTGTCACATCAACACAAGTCATGTTGTGTAAAATACATGACAACATTTGCCTTGAAAACCAAAGAGCTATTTTTTAATATTATTTTTACAAACAAACTTTGTTTTTAAAGCCCTTTAGGATGCATTGTTTCATTCGGTAAATGAAGGAACAGCCGATGAGCTATGACAATTGGCTGCCTCTACTTGCCATTGGGTCAAAATTGTGACCATCTTTACTCCAAGTGCTCTTACCCTCCATTAAGAGGCATAGGCTACTCTAATTCAGTCAGATTAAATGAAAAAACTAAATTATAAATTTTTTTAGATACTTCCTAGAAATGGGACCCTAGAAGTGTGATTCAACTTCTAGATCTCATGATAATTAGCCAATAGCCACGTGCTTCAGGGGAAAATAAACAATGGGCTTCAGTGGCGTCCTATGTAAAATGACGCTGGATGAATATGGCAACTTAATTCATTAAGTGTATTCCTCAGAAAATCTTATGTTTTTAAAATGAGTTTTTGGAATAGCTGTTTTAAATGTGATGAAATTATTGGCATTCTTGCTGTTATTATGTATCAAAGTACATTGATATCTAACAGATAATCTCCATAATTAAACCATTATAATGGTTAAATACCTTTTTAAAAAAACACTGCTACTATTTAAAATTTTAGGGCTTCTGTCATATACCTCAAAGATCAAGGAAATATATGCGCCAAGTAAACATTATTTGTGTTCATTTCTAAAAAGAAAAATTGCATTGATTTATTTACTAATAAAATGTAAGCAACTAATTCATTAGTCTGTAGTATTTACATTTGAGCTGCTAAGATAACTTAATTAATTGTGAATAATAAGAGAATTTTTATCTTTTCTGTTTTTGAACAAGAATCCAATGATTACTATTTTATATTATTAGTAATTTATTAATAATGAATTAGCAGGTATTACCAAACACAGCACTGCTTCTTGAGAATCACTATATGTTATTGTATCATAAAGACAGAACCAAAAACCAATGTCCAAATAAAACCAAAAACAAAAGCCAAAACCATCAAACAAATAAACAAAACTGAGGCAACTTCAGGGGCTTTGAGTCTGGTTGGAAAGGACTTCTATTGCAACAAATGCTGATATTTGTTAAATCATTAAGATTATTTTATTTACAGAAGAACATAAAAAATAAGAATCTGTGTGTAATGCATGGTTTGTTGAGGTCTTGTCTTTTGATCCCATGGTGCCTGTAGCTTGTCTTTTGATCCCATGGTGCCTGTAGCTCTCCCTTACCACCTGTGTGCCCAAGAGGAATTGTCAGCTAGCTTGAATTGGCCTCACTCTACCTCTTACACACATCACATCCAGACACTGCTCTTGCTCCAGAGGATTCAACTACCATCTTTGTCCATGTGGAATTCCAAGTGGCAGACAATGAATAGGCCAAAGCACCTCATCCGCTGGATTCGAAAAAATAATGTGGTAGGTGAAATCTCCATTCTTGTTATACTGTTCTTTTAGCTTCTATAGCACATTCATTTTGTGAAAGTCAAGGGGACTCTCACAGGAAATTCGGATGAAGGAAAGATAAAAGCTAAAGTTCTAGCCAACTTCAACAACCCCATAGGCCTCATAGAGTAAATCTTTTAAAAGCTAGCTCCTCCAGAACAGGAGTGGAGTGGGGCCCATAAAAAGCCAGCCCAGGTCATCTGCCTCCAATGCACATCTGCACACTCCCAAATCTGTCTATCCCTTGCCAGTCTCATGCTTCCATCCTTTACTGAAGGTAAAAGCTTCAGTAAAACTCTACGCCTTCACAAAGTAAGAGAGATCATTCCCAGGATCCTTCAGAATTCCAGCAGGCTTGAGGATGTCCTTTATATCCCCTTTCATATTAGAGGTTTGCATACATTACAAAACATTTAAATTAACCTTTACTGACTGCTTTTTCTGTATATCCCCATACCTGAACCCACTTGGGGTTACACTTAATGAATGTTATTATTTTAATTTAGAAACTTTTAGAAATAAGGAGGTTTGGACAAAGGGTTGTCATTTCCTTCTGCCACATGCCCTAACATATTTATAATAATAAAATGAACAAGTTACATATAAATAACGATTTATGCATGTTTGCTGAAATATTTCAGTATGTCAGAGCAAAATAATATTCATATTGTACTTTCATATTTTATAATTTAAGCTCCTAAATTCTTAAAATTTGCCAATTTCAAAAACATTCTGTTTTCAAAAGATGGTACCTAACATTGTAATGATTATGCTATTTTCTTTTTAGCTGTCAGTATTTAATTGTGTGAAATAAATTATGTGGAAGAAAAGCAGATGTACTGGTGAACTATTTTCTGACAGGTTTTTTTAGTTAAATGTCAAGAATTTAGGTCATTTGGGTAACTGAAGTTTTCTATTACTTGGCAGGAATTTGAAGAAAATTCTAAGAATTGTAGTAGCTATTTTTGGAAAGTGTCTACTTTCATATGAAAATCCTGTCTTTAGAACATGCATAAATTCAGTGACACTCTTCCACACTTTCTTGCTCCCTTGCTATTTCTTTTTTTCGTTTCATAGCAGGAGCCTAAAGCTTTTATGATTTAGCTGGTCTTCTTCATCGAAAGGAATACAGAAAGATCTTACTTTTGCAAATTTTATAAAAACAAAACCACCTAAATATCTTCTAGGACTTTGAAAAGGGCTCATATAAGCCAGAGACCTTGAAATACTTCAATAGCTTCCAGGTAACTTTACCTCTGTTTCATTTCTGAGCTCTTGAACAGTGGAATCCAGTATCTGCCTTTATTTCTTCAACATGAGATCATGTTCTTGGACAGGACCCTTACATAGCTGCACACATTTACTGAGAGAGAACCAAAGAAAGGGATTCTGATTTAAAGTGTCTAGATTGTAGGGTTGACTCTCCCTTCTGCTTGTCCTTCACCAGAACAATTTACCTCTGGCCGAGTGATCTATTTAGTTTGTTGGGAATAGACATAAAGGAGTCTGGCCAGGCAGGAGCTTCTTTATTTTGCAATGTGTTCTTGAGTCTCAGATGGTTCAGTTCGGATTCAACCTTGATATGTGTTATGAAAATACAATTAAAACCAAAATCATCTCCTAACCCAGAAATTCTCTCCACAAAGGTACTAGAGCTAAGCATTAGAAGACAAGCATTAAGCCAGACTATGTTGCACTTCACAAGCAATCTGCTAAGAGAGTACCAAGGCGGAAAGGACTCTCGCCCCCATATGTATAGCCAAGGAGATGTAACCCATTGCATGCACGTTTTCAATAAAAACAATAACTAGTCTTCAAGTAAGAAGACTTAACACTCACACATAATTTGTCATAACTTTCCCATGGTGATTAAGGTCAACATTTCCGTTAGCTGATTGACTTTATCCAGGGGAGAAACAAACTTATCATGTCTCTGTGACAAGAGGTAGTTTTACAACTTGGAGCAACATGCCCATGGAGGAAGTTAGAATTCTACCCTCCCACAGAAACTGAGAGATAGGGATGCTATGTGTACATATCAAAAAATGGCTCCTAGGTTCTTGAGAAGGACAGCCCTTGGTCATGAAGCTGATAAAAGGCCCCCGCACACATCTTAAAGAGAAAAGAAAGTGCTTACAGTTACAATTTTTCTGAGGCGAATGCACTAAGAAGGAAAATCTTTTCCTATATTTTCAACAGGGAGAATTAAGTCTCTTAATGATAATTTGTATTGCCGTCATAGTGTCATAGAGGAAAGACCTAGGTCAATGAGAGGATTTTGTCTCAAATGTTTCATTAATCATCTTTGTGCAATGACTTACTTGTCCTATTAAATCTTGCCTTATCTAGATATGATGTTGTTTCTTTTAGATTTTCTTTTTCTTTTTTTTTTTTTTTAATTATACTTTAAGTTTTAGGGTACATGTGCACATTGTGCAGGTTAGTTACATATGTATACATGTGCCATGCTGGTGCACTGCACCCACTAATCCGTCATCTAGCATTAGGTATATCTCCCGATGCCATCCCTCCCCCCTCCCTCCACCCCACAACAGTCCCCAGAGTGTGATATTCCCGTTCCTGTGTCCATGTGATCTCATTTTCCAGATAGTTTTTGATGATAAAACCTAAGTGAATCTGTTCTTTTTTTTTTTTTTCTATTCATGATCTTTCTTGATTGATTTTATCCTGTGCCCAAACCAAAACAGCACAGCACCATGGCTATGAGAAAGAGGTCTCAGAAAACTGAGTGTCGTTATCTGGCTTTTAAAGTTTGCCCTATCTAGATATGATGCTGTTTCTTTTAGATTTTTTTACACCAACTTTTGTCAGATAGTTTTTGATGATAAAACCTAAATTAATCTGTCCTTTTTTTTCTATTCATGATCTTTCTTGATTGATTTTTATCCTGTGCCCAAACCAAAACAGCACTGTAACTATGAGAAAGAGGACTCAGGAAACTCAGTCAATATCTGGCTAACAAAAGTCTATGCGTGGTTCCTCCTAGCCCTGCTATGACTTTTCCCAAATGTCAAATGTTGTTGATGTCTCGTCTCACAGATTTCCCTGTCTACTTGAGAAAGGCATAAAACCCATTTTATCTTAAAAATGCTCGTAATTGGGATCGCACTTTAAGTATAATGCTTACTTGATTACTAAATTTATTGTCTTTTTCTTAAACTATGTTTTTTAACCTCTCTGCAACATTTAACATCATTAATCATCATTTCTTCTTTGAAACTCAGCTGTTATAGTGGAGAAAAACCTTGGAAATAGTTAGTTCATGTTTCTTGTTTTACAGATGAAGAAACAGTGATCTCGGAATCTGGAAGGACTTGTCTAAGGCTCCACAATTAGGAAGTCTCTAGACATAACTCTCTTGGTTCTCCTGTTCCTTCTCTATTTCCTCCAGAAGCTGCTCTGTACTTGACAAGAAGTAGATATTAGTCAAGATTCATTTCTTTTACTTTTGCTTTCTTTTTTGTTTTTTTTTTTTTTTTTTTTTTTTTTTGGTGGGGGGATATCATCTACTTCCTGGCTTATATGATCAACTTTATATGAATAGGAAAGACCGTGGACTTAGTTGTCAGACAGTCCTGGATTAGAATATTTGATCATTCACTTTGTATAACTTATAAACATGTCACACTGATCTTAGATAAGTTAATGGTCATTTATTTTATTTTATTATTTTTATTTTTTTCAAAATGGAGTTTTGCTCCTTTTGCCTAGGCTAGAGTGCAATGGTATGATCTTGGCTCACTGCAACCTCTGTTTCCTGGGTTCAAGTGATTCTCCCACCTCAGCCTCCCAAGTACCTGGGATTACAGACACGCCCCACTATGCTCAACTAATTTTGTATTTTCAGTAGAGACGGGGTTTCACCATGTCGGCCAAGCTGGTCTCAAACTCCTGACCTCAGGTGATCTGCCCGCCTTGGCCTCCCTAAGTTCTGGGATTACAGGTGTGAGCCACTGAGACTGGCCAGTTAATGGTCATTTAAATGATCTGTGAACCCAAATGGCTTCAGAGATGAAGGAGTTAAGATTGTAACATATGAAAATATTGAACATTAAAAATCAATGACCGAAGCTTTCAATTCAAGAAACTAAAAATAGAATAGCAAATCAAACCAAGATAATGTACAAGAAAGGAAATAAGATTGATAGGAATAAAAAATCAATGAAATATAAATTAAATTTATAAGAGAAAATTAAGAAAACATAGAACCCTGTTATTGGAAGAAATCAATAAATCTCTGGGAAAACAAACGAACAAAAAAAGATGGAATATATAAAATGCCAATACCAGGACTTGAAAGGTGGTATTGTTACTCATCTTGTAAACTTTGAAGAGTTAGTAAAATTATATTAAGAGTAACATTGTGTCAATAAAGTTGTTAATTCGTATTAAATTAATAACTTTTTTGAAAACATGGCTTATCAAAACTACCTCAAGAAGACTTAGAAAGTTTAAAAGTTTTTTTACTTACAAATTGATTTTTTTTTAAAATCAAAAACCTTTGCTCTTCTTCCCCCTCAAAAATCCTCCAGGCCCAAATGCTTTTTGTAATTTTGGGGTTTAGAACATCATACCCCAAAGTATCGTGCCTTGCCATGCTGACTGTCTTTGAGCTCAAGAAAACAAAAGGCCTCAGAAGTGAGGTCTCTCTGACCTTCTTCCATCCTTCTGCCTCCTGCCCCAATTTCTCCCCCAAAGCAAGCCATAAAACCTAGAAAGAACAGTCTATGACCTACTTTTCCTGAAAGTAGGTCATAAGACCCTCCTGTGACAGATGCCCTGCACTGTGCCAAGAAGAAAGAAATGTTGCACAGATAGGCCAAGAAGCCTGAACACACAGGCCTTGCTCAGTTTATTCCCGTTAGAGCATATGTTTTTGTCCAATCATATTTCTATAAAATTACCGGCTTCTTTTATTAGATTTAGCAAAGAAACAGATGGTCTTCCCTGGGTCTTTAGGTTTTCATTTCTGAAGGATCCCATGTCACATAAAACCTTCATTATATATAAATTTCACCTGTGAATCTTGAAATGGGTGAGAAAAACATACAACTTTTTTCTCCTCTACTGTAAGAAGTAACATTCACTTGTATAAACTGTTCTTGGGAACTCAGAAAAGGAAACACTTCCGTTTTATTTTAAGAGGTTAGCATAATCTTTTTTTCTTCTTTTTTTTTTTTTTTTTTTTTTGTGACAGAGTCTTGCTCTGTCACCCAGGCTGGAGTGCAGTGGTGCGATCTCAGCTCACTGGAACCTCTGCCACCCGGGTTCAAGCAATTCTCCTGCCTCAGCCTCCTGAGTAGCTGGGATTATAAGCGTAAGCCACCAGGTTCAGCCAATTTTTGTATTTTTGGTAGAGACAGGGTTTCACCGTGTTGGCCAGACTGGTCTCAAGCTCCTGACCTCAAATGATCCACCTGTCTTGGCCTCCCAAAGTGCTGGGATTACAGGTGTGAGCCACTGTGCCTGGCCTAGCAGGATCTTGTTATCAAAAATTTACTGTTAGCAAATTACAGAAAAAATGCAAAAATACTAAGTAAAATATGAGTACATAAAACTAGTGAAATGTAAAAAGAATAATAGACCTACCTAGTACCATATATTGTGACCAAGTGGACTTTATTCCAAGAATGAAAGGGAAAGTTTACTATTCAAAAACAATCAATGCAATTTTACCACGTAATTTAAAAAAAGAGACAGATAATGAGAGAGAGAAATCCTATAATCATCTCCTCAGGTGCAGGAAAATATAAACACATTTATGATTCAAAAAAAGAAAAACACCTTAGAGAGTTGGGAAGAGAAAGGTAGTTTCTTAATCTGACAAAGAGCTTCTGTAAAAACCTACAGAAGATCCTATAGTAAATGTGATATTATTGAAAGCTTTTTGTCTGTATTTGGGACTGAGAAGTCCAGTGTCATCACTGCTTCCCAACAAGATACTGAAGGCCCATCCTAGTAGACTAATGCAAGAAAAAGAAATAAAAGGCATAAGGCAAAGAATGGCAGAAATATGGCCATGTACATAGAAAATCCAAATTAATCTGCAAATTACTGATATTTGTAAGTGATTTTAGCAGCATTGAATTACAATAGCATGTGGTCATTAAACAAAAATCAATTACGTTTCTTTTTTCCTTTTCTTCTTCTTCTTCTTTTTTTTTTGTTTGTTTATTTGTTTGTTTGTTTGAGATAGAGTTTTGCTCTTGTTGCCCAGGCTGGAGTACAATGCCTGATTTTGGCTCACTGCAACCTCTGCCTCCTGGATTCAAGTGATTCCCCTATCTCAGCCTCCCAAGTAGCTGGGATTACAGGTGTGTTCCACCATACCCAGCTAATTTTGTATTTTTAGTAGAGACATGGTTTCACCATGTTCGTCAGGCTGGTCTCGAACTCCTGATCTCAAGTGATCCACTTGCCTCAGCCTCCCAGAGTGCTCAGATTACAGGTGTGAGCCACCACAACTGGCCTACATTTCTTTATATCAGGAACAAACAAATTGGAAATGAAAGTAAAAATAGAATGCAATTTATAATAGTATCCAAAAACAGAACTATTGGCTGGGCACAGTTCACTTGAACTTGAGAGGCAGAGGTGGCAGTAAGCTAAGATTGTTTCACTGCACTACAGCCTGAGTGACAGAGTGAGACTCTGTCTCAAAAAAACAAAAACAAAGACAAAAAAACAAAAACAACATCAACTATTTAAGAATACATCTAATAAAAGTATGTAACACATCTACAATTAAAGCAATAAAACTTTCCCAAGAAAAATGAAAGAATACCTGAATAAATGGAAGTGTATACCATATTAATAGTTTGAAAGACAAGTAATATAAATAAATTATCTCTAAATTGCTGTATCTAATACAATCTCAATAAAAATCTCAGGAGATATTTTGAGAACATTGCCAAGCTGTTTCCAAAATGTATAAAGAAATGCAAAGGACCAAGATTAGCCAAGATGATGTTGAGGAGCCATGCTGGGGGGCTTACATTTTTATATATCAATATATAAAAGCAAGAAAGAGAGAGTAAAATCCTATAATAATCAGTAATTATGAGTATTAATAAAGGTAAAGTAATTTTGAGTGTTGGTGTAAAAATAGATAAACTAAAGAGCTGAATAGAATCCAGAAACAAACCTAAACATAAATTGTTTTACAATTTATGACAAAGATACCACTACAGTTCACCAGAGGAAGGGGTGTTTTTTTTTGTTGTTGTTGTTGTTTTTTCTTCAGTAAATGGTGCTGGGTCAGCTGGATAAACTATGTGGAAATACATATCCCGACCCATACCTCAACATCACGGACAGATATCAATTCCAGATGGATTGTATATCTGAATATGAATGCTCAAATAATAAATGTTCAAAAAGAAATCATAGCAGAATATCTTCGTGAACTTCAGATGGCCAACAATTTTCTGTACAGGGTACAAAAATTACTCTTCTTAGAAGGAAAAATCTTAAAAAGGCAAATTAGACCACATTAAAATTGAGAACTTTTGATCATGAAAAACCATATTAGAGGTGAAAAGTCATGCCCACATGTGGGAGAAAATAATTTGCAAGTCTGACAAAGTCTTGTATTTAGAATATATAAAGAATTTCTACAAATCAATTAGGAAAGGAGGGAAAACTCAAAAGAAAAGAAAATGGACAAAGGACTTTGACAGGCACTTCACAAAATAGGATATCCAAATGGCCAATGGACTTGTGAAAAGTATTCAACTTCATTCATAATCAGTGAAATACAGATTAAAACTATGATGTGATACTATTACACCACATTGGAATAACAATAGATAAGGCAAGGTAGAGAGAAGAAAGTGGTGGTAAGAAAGTGGAGCAGTTGGAATGATCATACACTACTGGTGGAAGTGCAAATTGGTACAATCACTTTGGAAATATTTTTGGCATTATCTAACTAAAGCTGAATATATGCATACCATATGACCCAGCAATTCTATTCTTAGGTGAATTCTTATGAGAAATGGTATATACATTCACCAAAAGATATTCATCAGCAGAATATTCACAGCAGCACTATTTGCAACTTAAATTAGAAAGAAGGCAGATGTATAGCAAAATCAAATGAATAAATAAAATTGATATATGTTCATGAATAGAATCTATACAACAACGAGAATGAACAAGCTTCAAATATGCAGTGCAACATGAATGAATCTCACAAACAAAATGATGTGGAACAGAAGCCACACACAAGAAAGAAATTGTGTATCACTTATGTAAAGCTCGAAAACAAGCAAAAATGGCTGGGTGTGGTGGTTGGCCGGGTGTGGTTGTTGGAGGCCGAGGCAGGGGGATCTCCTGAGGTCAGTAGTTCAAGACCAGCCTGGCCAACATGGCGAAACCCTGTCTCTACTAAAAATACAAAAAATTAGCTAGGCATGGTGGTGAACACCTGCATTCCCAGCTACTCCAGAGACTGAGGCAGGCAGGAGAATTGCTTGAACCCAGGGAACAGAGGTTGCAGTGAGCCGAGATTGTGCCACTTCACTCCAGCTTGGGCGAAAGAGCGACACTCCATCTCAAAACAAAACAAAACAAAACAAAAAAAACACAAAAATAACCTATGGTGTAAGGAATCAAGATAGTGGGGTGATGTTTGGTGGTGGGAGTCATTTGGAAGGAACACAAGCGGGGCTTTGAAGTGTTAATAATGTTCTATTTCTTGATTTGGGTATTTCTTGATGTAAAAATTAACTTTGTGTTAACTTTATAAAAATAATCTTTTTTTCTTTGCATTTTTCCATATGTGTATTACATATTAATTACATCTTTAACAAAAAACATATTGGTGACTAGTTGGGTGCCTTGTTTAAAGGAACATACATTATTCAACATCAGCATATTATTGTCATGCTAAGAATGTGGACTCTGGTGTTGTACAATATCCTTGTTTTTAAAGGGAAGTTTATATAAATTTTTATGTAAATTCTTCTTGTTTTTGAATACTGCTAATTCAGATTAAAAGAGCCACAGCAATAATGTGAGTCAAAAAGAAAAAAAAAACAGCCATAAGTTTGCAATCATTGTTTTGAAATCCCTCTACCTGCTCTATAATGGAGATAACACACTACTTAGTATTGATTCTCACATTTAAATAAAGTAATGTATGTAGGAGTTTTATGAAAACAGCAACCAATAAATAAGGGTTATTAATATGGTATCATCATTTTTCTATTGTTGTTTGGAATCATGCTCTCTCCAAATTTATCTTAATTATTCTTAATTTTGATGTACATTTTTACTGGATCATTATTATACCGTCACTATAATAACATCACATTGAACTAATAAAGGGTAAACGTTTAATGCAAATTTGTGGGTTAAATAAATGTGGATCAGTTGATTAATAATACCCTATATTTTACACTTTCGAGTTTCAGTGTATTTGACATGTTATTCCAATAGCATATACCACAACATGGAACATTGTATTAGTGTTAAGATTCTGGAAATTGTGGAAAATATAGATGCTAACTATAAATGATTTAGATTGGCCATAAATGATTTGCAGACAGTTGGAGTTTAAAAAGTGTCTTATTAAAATATGTGCCAAATATGTTTCCTATTCCATTCTCAATAGATAAGAATAGGTTCACAATATCCCTTCTGCCATTTGTGAACTCCAGCCTTCTTCACATTTCTCTCAAGTAGTTTTGAGTATCACCTATGAGGTGGGAGGAGATAGTTTCACGTATGCTACCTTTGACTCATCCTCATGCCACCCCTCACCATCCTTGGTCTTTCTTTTTTACAGCTCTGATGGCATCTCTCATTCCAAAACTTGCTGAAGGTGCCAATACTACTCCCACTTGCCCCTGCTGCTGAAATCTGATATGCACAGCAAGGTAGCTGAGGTGCACTGTTGAGGACATTAATGTCTACATTAAGGACCATACATCTTTTGACAGAATTATCTACACCATATCCTGTTGTTGCAGAAGCTACCTGCAGCAGTGCTCTGATACCTTGTACCAAAACACTTCTAGATTTCGGTTGCATGTTTAATTGTAATCCTCTTACCAGTTACAGAAGCTAGATCTGAGATATTATGCAGAGAGGCAAAAACTGGCTGCAGAGAGAAGGAAAGATACAGGAGTACCAGAAACAGAGAGGGATGGAAAACCTCATAAGCTGCTAGGAGGAGAAACAATTTCAAATGGAGACGGAAGTCATACCTTAATGTGCTGATTTCAACCAGGCTACTTATGTAACTGATGCAAATGACCACGGAGGAGGGATCCTTGAGTTTTTTCGGGTACTGATATAGAAGAAGACACCTTACAGTGTCAAAGGAAGTTGATGGATTCACCTTGGCTGGTAAACAGCTCCAGAACCTGGCTGTGCTGTTATTGTCTTTGTGCATTATATGCCTTCATTCAGGGGAAATGGGCCCTTACACTAAGATAATGTTTTCCATATTTAAATATTGGCATATATGAACCTTAGAGATTCTGAAGTTTAAATCATTTGTTTTGGCAATTACAAAACTGAGACTTGCTAACTTGATTAGAAAGTCAAGCAATTTGTAGAACACCACTCAGCTAATTAATAGCAGTAAAAAGACTAGATCCTAGATCTTTGATTTTTAGTTCTACCATTCACTATATCACTACTAGTGAATTTTTCTGATGCTTTCTTGAGAGTATGGTCTTTATAGTATGTCAACAATTGTAAACTTGCAGCTAAAATAGCTGATCATATCCGTCTACAGGGAGGCACTACACATTTGCGTGAATACTTCCTCTTCTATTTGAAAAGTGTAGATTTACTTACATTCTTTTAAATATATCAGCACAGACTATCAGGCCGAGGATCACTGTCTTCCAACACAGTAAACATGGACCTGGTTCTTGTGCTCCAGAGAAACAAATGAAAGAGCAGGCCTCAAGGAATTTTGTTCATTGGGATCAGTGGGATCACAAGTATAGATCTAAAGAATGGAGTTCCTTCAGAGCTCACTTCAGGTGGCCAAGATGAAAATATGTACTTTCCTTCATAATATACTTAAGAAGATAAGGTCAGTTTTGTCATTGATCTGGTCCTATTCACCTTGTTTTTCTCTCTTAAATTATTTCTTTACCATTGTGGAGATAATCAACCGCATGGTGTCATCACTCATTTATCTCTAAGCATAACAGACATTTTCAACCCATTTCAGGTGTCCTCAAATTATTCATTTTTTATTTAAATGAAGAATTGTCCAGAGTTAGCATGTAAATATTAGCTAAGGGCAGGATGTGTGTGTGTCATGGAGGGGAGGACCTCTCCTGTTTAGGAGGAACTGCTGGCCCTAATATGCATGTCACATACATATGAACCTTGATCGGCTGTCATGCGGAAGGAATTACACTTCCGCTGGCCTCCCCTACCACAACCACAGGTGGAATCTAAGCTAGGCACTGAACTTGGCTCACACAGCTGTGAGCTTGCGCTGAGTCTCATCCTTTGCTGTGGAACTCCCTCTGCTGCTTCCTGCCCCAGCAAACTCCCCTCTACCCAGCCACTGGAAAGGAGTCCCACAGGAGGGGAGGGACAGTAGAGTAGAGCCCAGCTTCTCTGTCCAACACATAAAAGCTCTGAAAGGCAGTTATAAAAGGCTGAACTGGGAGCAGGTATTGTTAAAAAGGGAACCACTGACTTCCTGTGAGCACATGTTCCTGTCTCACTCTTGCTCTGCAGCACAGTAGAGGCTGTTTAGTTCATCACAAAGGAAGTGCATCAGCACTCCTGAAGATGCTACTCTAAGGGCACCTTTGAGTTGTGGGCCAGGAAGGCATTCCATAGTAAGACGAAGGAAAGGCCAAGTTCCTATTGTTAGCGTCACTATGCTTCTGGTTTTATAGTTTCCTAAGTTATTGCCACAGGTCATGGATCTGTGGCGCTCAAATGTTCGCTCACAAGGTTCACAGCACATTCTTTGCAGTTGCACCACCCAGCTAGGAGGGGCGAAACCAATGGAGCATTTTAGGCAGAGCTCATTTCCGCCCACATCAAAAGTAAGAGAGAAGTTTGTGGAGAGCTACATTTGAGCCCTCCATTAGCTGTTTTACATCTTGTAGGCCAAGGTGACACTTTCTACACTATGTGCTGGTGAGATACCACATGGACAAAATGTTGTAGAGGACCCAGCCTGAAAAATGCTCAGGCTTTAAGTCTGAGCAATCTCCACCACATCTCTACTCCACATCCCACCCCTCCTGGAATTTTAAGTCAGGAGACACATTGTGAGTGCATGGACAAAATAAAGAAAAGAAAGAGAGAGAGAAGAGGGAGGGAGGGGGAGAGAGAGAAAAAGTATATCAATTAAAAGTTTGCTGAAAGAGTCATGACATAAAGAAGATGAAAGAAAAAAACAAATTAGATTGTTACCAAGCTGTACATTCTTTGTTGAGGGAGAATAGAGATGAATTGGTAGCAGAGAGGAAGAAAAAGGAAGCATTTTAAGATGCAAAACAGGAGAAATCAGACTTAAGCAAGAATGGAGAAATAACTACATTTATCCACATCAGCTGTATCTTACCAGTTTGACTACTCTAAATGCTTGGGGATAATCTGGGAGTTTTTCACTGCTCCCCTCCTGCTGACAGTCCCAAACATATTGATGAGGCATTTTTAATAGCTTTCACCTCTGGCTCCTACTACAGCTTCATGTCTTTTTCCTTGGTTCTTATCCTCATCGTGGTGTCATGATTATTGTCCTCTCAGTCAAGCCCATCCTGTGCTACTGACTGAATGATTTTTATTAAAAATAAATTTTCCCCTATGCCTCTCCTGCTTACAATGCCTTATGATCCTTGATTGCTCACAGATTGAAATCCAAATCTTTGAGGATCCCATTCAAGATCTTTCAGTGCCTGAGTATAGCTCGTCTCTCCAAATTCTTCTTCTGCATATTATGTGCCTGCTAAAGAAAGTACTTACAGTTGTTCAAATGAGATGTTTCTTTTGGAAACCTCCCTGCATTCCTACCTGCTAACCCCCTATTTGGAAGTTAATTGTTGTCTTCCCCCACTCAGCTCACAGGTGTCCCCTGTGCACCTTCTACTGCCCACTCAAGCATAGTTGATCACTTCCTCCTTTAGGTCTCAATGCCATGACAATTTAATCACACTCCATTTTCATTATTTTTTATAAGTCTGTTTCACTACTTGGTACTGAGCTTCTGCTTGTAGAATGTGCACTTTGTTCTTACTTATTTTTGTGTTCTTGGGTCCTATTGCCAGTGCCTTGAATATACTAGATATAAGTCTAAAAATATTTGTTAAAGAATAAGTAAATGAATATTTCAGTGGAAGAAACTCTTTTCCCATGTGGGGACTTTGCACTTTCTGTCACAAAATTTGACTTAATCTAACTTAGGCAAAGATGTAATTTATTGGCTAAGAGAAAACGTTTAGGGATATAACTAGATTAGACATACTAGATTGAGTATGCAAACAATATCATATTTCTCTACATCCCTTAGTTCCCATTCCCATGGTTGAATTTAAGCTGCTTTGGCTTTAGACTTAGACTTTCTATGGTAGCAAGGGAAGACTCAAACCCCAGCCTTTCCAATTTTCAGTCCAGCAAACACACATGTACACACACACACACACACACACACACACACACACACACACCCAACAACAAAAAACAGAAGTGAGAATCTCTTTCTGCAAAATGCCACTTAAAATTGCCCAGACTACAATGACTACAATTGGGGTATATGTCCATTGTAGAACCAATTTTTCTGGTCAGGTAAATGCTGTATCCTTATGGGCTTAGACCTGTGCCCCACCTCTATAAACAACTTTTCTGGAATTACAGGGAATGAGAGTGGCAGAGGAGGATGTATTCAAAGGGTTACCAGAAGAGAGAGGAATTGCAGTTGAAATGGCACAAATGAATAGGTCAGTTATAGAGTAGATTACTCTTTATTCCTTTAAATCTAGATTTGAGACATTGAGAGCTTCATTTATTACCTAATTTCTAATGGCAAACTCAGAAAATTCATCTCCTATTTGGTTTTACTATGACTTACACCTTTCAATATGATTTGTAACAAAACTTTGCTGATTTTGATAATGGCATGTATCAATGACACCAAGAAAATCAATTACTAACCAAAATTATTTTATATATTACATGTATATTTATAAAGGCTGAGAGGTAATACTAGTGATGTGGTCACAGAGTTAAAACTAAATGTAGCTTTTCATTGTTGTGTTTGCTTTAAGAGTTGTTTCAGTTATCTACTGTTGCTCAATAAACGACTCCCAAAATTAGGGCTTAAAATAATTTATTATTATTATATCTGATGATTCTTGGGGCTAAGAATTTAGATAGTACCCAGTGCAGATGACTCATCTTGTTCTGATGCTCGGGACCTCAGCTGAGATGACATAAATGTCCATAGGCTGGAACAATTGAGGGCTGGCTGAGTATCTCTTTTCTCTCGTTTTCTCTCTCATTTTCTGCCAAAACCCATCTGCAGCCTGTGGTTGTGCAGACCACAAACAAAAAGGTTTTCAAATTTTTTAATGTTTAAACAAATCTAAAGAAGAAGACTGCTTCTTCATGAGGTGTGAAACATATGAAATTCAAATTTGTGTCTATAAAGATTTATTGGAAGATAGCCACATATGTTTGTTTAAATACCCTATCATCTCTGTAATTGCAGGGTTGAAAAGTTGCAACAAAAACCATATATGATGCAAAACCTAAAATACTTACCATTTGGCCCTTTACAGAAAAATTTGCTGATCTCTACTTTACATGACTTCTCCTTGTGGCTATCTTGGGCTCCCTCACAGCGTGGAAGCCACAGTGTAGTTGGATTTCTTAGTTGAAGGTTCAAGGCTTCAAGAATGAGTATGCAAGAGACAGGACATATAAGCTGCCACTTTTGTTTATAATTGAAACATAATAATTGTACCTGTTTATAAGGTATAGTGTGATTGTATAACAATCAAACCAAGGTGGTTAGCATGTCCACCACCTCAAGCATATCCTTTCCTTATGGAAAGCTGCCATTTTCTCAAGTCTCTTTCTATCGTTCAAGTCTTGTCAAAGAATGTGTGGCCATCCTTAACCTCACACACTTTACCCACAGCAGGAAATTCTGGAGGGCAGAGGGTTTTGTTGAATTGTTTTCCTCCAAGTCAGTGGACCTTTTAACAATTAGGGTTCAATTATCAATATGATAAAATTTATGTCTTTATTTCAAACTTGGGGGAAAAATGCTAGTTTTATCTAATTTACACCTTTAGTTTAAAAATGAGGATCAAATGAGAACTGAAGATTTTAGAATGCTAATAGCTCTTAGTGTCCTAGATTTATTATTCAACTAGATGTTTCCAAACTAGGATAAACTGATGGTTCATCTAGTGAAGAAGTTATTTGTTATTAAATAGCCATCCCCTTGATTTTCTAGTTTATGCCAAATTACACAATATGAAATATTATTAGCTGGTAACTCTTCTTGTGTTCAGGCTGGAGAATGAAGCACCTGTGTGATTATTAGCCAGTGTGCTGACCATAAAGTGGAATGGTCAGCTTCTTTTGACCATTTCCCCAAAACACCATGTGTCTCTCAAAGGAAACAAAGGTCTCAAACCCCTAACAGTTAGTTTAAGCCAACTGCTTACATATGAAAGCAAAGTCCATTGATCCAAAACAAGTGTAACCTGCAGGCATGATGGCAGGGTCCTTCATGTAGGTGATTCTCACGGGCTTGTAACTGGTTATCAAATTGTTAAGTAAGGGGCTGGAAAAGATGGGCTTGTAGTTTTTTGAAACTCATGTTCAAAAATAGCTAAAAATTATAGATTGGAATATTTTGGAAATTGGAGTAGGATATCATTTGAAAAAAGTTAGCATTTTAATTTTTCCCCTTTAGTTGCTATTAAAGTTCAAAAAGACACTATCTTAAATTTTTCTGGTTGAGGCAATGACAGATTGTCCAATCATTAGCTGAGGAAGCTAATGTGAGAGAGAATTTTGTAGGTAGGAAGAGGTAGAGAATTTTCCTTAAATAGGGAAATAAAAAGAGTGGTTAAGTGGTCAGAGAAAAATTAAGTGGCAAGACCAGCAACAGAAATAAGTTCCCCTTGCTTCTTGCTTCAATGTCTAGATCACAGCCTATGTTCTACAAGGGGCTAAGATTTCTTGAGCTCCTTCTACATATAAAACACTGTGCTAGATGCTTGATATGTCATTTAATTTAACTCACTTCTAATGTTGTAAAATACTATCTGCCATCTTATATTTGAGGATATTGTGCCAAGAAAATGTAAATTGTTTGTATAAGGGTCTCAAAACTTAGTGGCAGGAGTTAAATTTTTACTGTTTCTCTAACAAAATCATTCATGTTAGAGATTCCTCTCACAAGAAAAAAGAAATGCACATCTTTTATTTATCTACTTACTCATTTATACCATCACTATCTTCTTTGCTAACAGATATTTATTGGGCATCTTGTTAAAAAAAAAAAGGCACCGTTCCTGGCACAAGTGATTTGATGGACAAGATAAGCAAGGCCCTTGCTCTTATGGAGTTTACTGTTAAGTGGGAAGATGGAAAAAAGGTTAGTAAATAAAGTGAAAAATAAAAATTCACAATTATTGAAAAATGTTATGAAATAAATGGGAGTTGAGATGAGATAGAGAATAGTTGGGGGTGCTCTTTAGAAAGGATGATCAAGGAAAACGTTGCTGAGAAGGTGAGAGTGAAGCAGTGATGTAAAACTGAGAAGGATTCAGTGATGAGAAGTAGTAGGGAAAGATAACTGTTGAAGTAACAGCGTATGTAATGGGATGAAGACAAATGTGGAAAAGTCATGCAGGATCAGGTGTGAGAACCAGGTTAAGGCTAGAACTCGCGGGAATTTATGGGCTCTGATAAGGAGTTTGAATTTTATTTAAATTGCAAATAAAACCTTTGAACAGATTTTATGCAAGGAAATAGCATGGACTTGTTTACATTTTAAGAAACTCTTTTCTGCTGCAGTGTGGGAACGGCTTAGAGGAGCGTGAGAGTGGAAGCAGGGAGACAGGTTAGGAGGCTGCACCAGTCTCCAGAAGAGAAATGGTGCTGCCTGGACATGGAGGTATTGGATATGGGAAGGAGAAGATGAAATTGATAAACATTTTAGAGGACAGAATGGAGAGAACTTGGTTCTGGATTGGGCTTGGATGCTTCAAATGAGAATGGGGAATGAGGACAAAGGAGGATCCAAGATGACATCAAGGTATCTGGCTTGAGTAGCTGTGTCCTCATCAAGGTAGGGGAGTGTGCTGGGGCAGGAAAGCAGGTGAGAAAAGTGAGAAAACCAAGAGTTTAGATTTGGATATGGTTGTCCTTGAAACACCCAAGTGCCTTTTCATTTTAGGCAGTAGAAAATAGGGGCATTGAGGTTGGGGCTAAGGGTAGAAAATATTGTTGGATATTTGAATCCCTAGAAACCTATAGTATTTCAGTTGGTGGGAATCAATAAAATCTTAAGAGAAAATGTGGAGAAAGAAGAGGGCCCCAAATGGTAATTTTTAGAAGTTAGATAGAAGAGATTAGATATCAACTCCCTAAAAATATTTCTTTTTGTATTGCATGTGTTTACACTGTTTATTCTTAGAGATAGGAAGTATGTTTGATTTAGAATGTTATTCGATTCTGTGTCATTTCGGTGGCCATTTGAGTTACATAGAGTTTGATCTATTTGTCAGTGAAAACTCCTCATGGTAGAATATTTAGGGTTCATATTATTGAACGTGGGACTTGGGTTTAAACATAAGTTCTGTTTCTTATAGTATAAATAAGCTATGGGAAGTTTCTTTACTAATTTGGACCCGTTCACTCATCTGCAAAAATGATGATGCTAACAGTACCTCCCTCATCCTGGTGCTATGATTAAGGGAGAAAATTCATGTGAATGCTCAGCACAGTGCCTGAAATGTAGTGAGCACTATACTACCACTAGTAGTAGTTTTTGAGAAAAACACAAGTAATTAAAACTGAAACTCCTCTTTTGGTACTTTAAATGGTAAGTGAGTCCCATAGAATTGTGCAAGCACATGATATTTTTCTATTTTCACTTCAGTTCACTTCTGTGATGTCTTTGTTATATTGTTTACTTTACAAGATTTTTTGTAACATGAAAAATTACTACCTTACACAGTAACAGTCCATAAAAATGAAAGTAACAAGATTATTTGGCAGGAAATAAGGTATCACAAATGCTGCACGTCTATAAAACAAGTAACATTTTAAAAGTAATATCCCTTTGGCACCAACAAAACCCAATGCTTGGCATTCATC
The DNA here is from genome assembly GCF_000001405.40 of Homo sapiens. Classification (NCBI taxonomy): domain Eukaryota; kingdom Metazoa; phylum Chordata; class Mammalia; order Primates; family Hominidae; genus Homo; species Homo sapiens. The sequence continues at coordinate 198,628,011 of NC_000001.11, forward strand.
TAAGAGAAAACAAAGGAAATGTTAAAGATCTAAGCAAATCCTGAAGGCTCAAACAGACTTATATTTTATCAAAACTTGAACATACATACACATATATTTGTTTATACATCTATCACATATAATATTATATTACAGGTAGTTGTGCTTTTGTCATTTTCCTCCCTGGACTGAACTCCTTGACAACACAGATAAGGTATTACTTATTTTTATTCCCACTGTACTCTACATTATAGTAGAATGATTCAGCACTTTCTTGTTTCTACTATCAAGTTCTCTTGGACAATTTTTTTCTTGTTCAAACTCAAGTTATTTTTGGCAGAAATGCTACTTGTCCCCCAAAACTCATATTTATGCTTCCCTTCCACAGTTTAGAGTTGTGATTGGCTAGTGAATGCCCAAATGGAGAATACATTTCCCATCACCTCCATCCCCTGGTATCTGGGTCTGGACAATGTGAGTAGTTATTGCCAGTGGAATGGGTGGCAAGTTGATGTGTGTCACTTCCAGTCCTAGGCCTTTAAGAATTGTGTGTGCCTTATGCACACATTCCTTCTTCTTCTGCCGCTAAATGCAGACAACAGAAAAGCCAAGAGATTACAGAGTCTCAGAATGAAACATACTATTAATTGAATCCCTATATGGAGAAGATCAGCTGCCGACCTTGGAACGCCACTTTGAACTGTTTCGTGAGGGAAGAAATAAGTTTCTGCTATGTTTGAGTCATTGTAAATTTGAGGATTTAATTGTTCCAGCAGATAACATTAACCCTCGTTAACAGTGTTTAGAGAAATAGGATCTTCCATTAAAATAGAACTATATCTTTGGGAGATAACTTTTGTTGTACATGCACATTTTGTTTCTTCCTGCATGCAGGGTAGAAAATGAATTTATAAGTAGGAAGAATAAAGGTGCTCTACTAAACAAGTTAGCAGATAAAGTTTTGTAACCTCAATTCAGGTGTTCAGAAATTATCATACTCCTTTATTTTCTACAACTCAAATTAATTCTAACCCTCTTCCCAGGAAATTTATTCTCTATGTCAGAGTTGTGAAAAGATCTAAGAGTCTTAGGTAGCCCCAAAGCATCAGCAAATATTTTGTGGTTATTCATTCAACTCAACAACTAATTGTAGTACACCTCTGCCTATGGGCTAGAGTATTAGACTTCATGGAATGTATGATTTTCTGAAAGCAACAAAAATTAATCAAACAATCCCCCAATTAATCTGACAAGTGCCGTAAAGAAAATGAAAAAAAAAAAGCTAGGAGACCCATGGTAGGGTATTTGGTCTAATCAGAGAAGTACAAGGAGGACTTCTTGGGGACAGGAACAACTGAGCTCATACCTGAAGGATTGGAAGAATATTACTAGATGATTATGGGTGGTAGGGGCAGAGTTTTTAAGGTGAAGAAGGCACTAGACAGAAAATCAATTACCTTCCTAGGACCATGGTAAAAATCAGGGTCTAAGCCAACACCTGTGTGACAGGGATGAGGAGCCAAGAAATATGGTGAAAGTTGGGGCTTCACTGAGAGTTCAGCATTGATGCAGACCCTTTGAGGTCCTCTTAGGCATTTTTCTTTTAATCCTAAATTCGATGGAATGGGGTATGGTACACACTATATGATTTTATTTAGAAAAGACTTCTTAGGATGAAGGTGGATAATGGATTGGCTAGTGAGAAATAATATTAGAGGAAATATGGGCAAAACTGTTAAGAGGCTGTTTCAGTTGTTTATTTGAGATGTTGGTAACTTGGTCTAAGATAGTGATGGTCTAGACAGGAAGAAGTTCATAAACTTAAGATATGTTTAGAAAGTAACATGAAGAGGTATTAGTGATAAATTGGAGGAAGTAAGTTTCAAGAATGATACAGAGTGATGAAAAGAGAGTTGAAATAGCTGCAAGAACCTACCTAACTCAGCATACTGGCTGCTGCTTTTAAGAATAAAATGGGTAAGAAAACCTCCTTGTTACATTGCATTTTGTCAACCCAGAGACAGACTCAAGATCATATCGAACTAAAGCCAGCATAATCAGAATTTATATGATAAAAACTTTAGGCAAATCAGAGTAGACAATGAATCTTTTTAATGTGTTTATTGGCTAAAGCAATATATAATGACTTTGAGATGTCAAGAGTGTGATCGTTGAGACTTGCAACAAATTGAAGTTCTAGGAATACATTATATCAAAATTATACATTCTTACATGTGTTTGGCTCTCATTTTATTTAGTTCATTCTTATTTACCTTTTTTTTTTTTTTTTGAGACAGATTCTTGTTCTGTTGCCCAGGCTATAGTGAAGTGGCATGATCAATCTCGGCTCACTGCAACCTCTACATCCTGGGTTCAAGCGATTCTCATGCCTCGGCCTCCCCAGTAGTTGGGATTACAGGTGTGCGCCACCATGCCTGGCTATTTTTTTGTATTTTTAGTAGAGACAGGGTTTCGCCATGTTGCCCAGGCAGGTCTTGAACTCCTGATCTGAGGCATTCTGCCTGCCTAGGCCTCCCAAAGTGCTAGGATTACAGGCGTGAGCCACTGTGCCTGGCCAGTTTTATTTACTTTAGATTAGTAGGGTTCAATCCATAAGTAACCTGTCACTGTTTACCTTGTGACTCTGTTACAAACTTGGAACATCAGTACATCTATGTTCTTTCAATTTTGAGATTCGCTTTAGCTTTTTCAAAGAAGCTTTTGTTTTTTTGTGTGTGTGTGTGTGTGTGTGTGTGATCATTTTCTATTGGAATTAATTACAAGATGAATGCCGAAATTTTAATTTGAAAGTACACCCTTTGCAGCATTGGTAACACTGTCCACTGATTAGTTATTGATGTTATGTTGCTGTTCCACAGTGTACTCAAACCACTGTGTGATTCAGAGATGGACTTCTAGAAATTTTTTTTTTGTGGATAAAAAAAAAAACAACAAAAAACACAGACCATTATATTTTCAAGTAATCAGAGCTACCAAAGAAGAAACCACTATGAAATACAGCTTCACATCAAATTGATGACAAAGAGTATGTGAGTTGTATGACAAGTGATGAAAAACTGCACATGAAGGTAAACAAATTCATGCAGGTGAGCAGAACACCAGCTGGGTAGACATGGTGTGAGAAAAACATCACTGACAGCAGAGATACAGTGAAGTGTGCATGATGTTTTGTTTTTATTTTCTATTATGTTGAAAAGGCAATAATACTATCTTAGCATTGTCGTGAAATCTAAATTAGTTAATTAATCAAGCATTCGATAAATGGTTTAAACACACTAGGTTATAATTAAGCATATATAATAGACCATGGATGGATTTATGACATCTATTTTATACTGTTACATTTTCCAACATTATGTATCCTCATAGAATTTGGAAGCTATTTTAAACCCTCTGCTATACTTGCTCCATGCTGTCTTTATGCATCAAGATATGCAAATGGCAGAACCCAGACAGGAAAGTCATTGCCAAAAGCCAGTGCAGAAAGAGATGCAGAGACAGAGAGAGACAGAGAGACAGAGGTTTCAGCAACCTGCAGCCATCAAAGGAATCGACAAATGTTATACATGGCTTGTAACACTGAATGTGAGGCCTGAAGTAAAACACATACATCTCAGCTTAGACCTCATGGAACAAGAAAAATATGAAATCCACAGAAGGCCACTCCAGAGTGGAAGACTCCCTTCATGTGTGAAAAGTTACAAGACTTTCTCAGTAAGATGGATTTGGAAACTGGTCTCAGAGTTCATTACCTATGCTGTATAGTTCTTTGTATTTATTACTGGCTTATTAAGCAGTCTGGATTCAATCAGGTATAAATATTAAACATCATATATTATCTTGCCACTGGTCAGCTATGCTTCTGTATTTCATTGATTCTAAGATGCACATTTTATAAAACATATTTTAGGGTTGCCGAAGTCAGGATGCATCTTGAAACCAACAAGTATCTTTAAGTTAATAAAGCTAAGAATATTTAATTTCCTCTTTCCATCTTTTAACAATATATATGGCAGGTCCCACAACTTCCTAGTAACTTTTGAGTAAAAACAACCCAAAGTTCATTTCAGGCCAGTTGAATACTTTACTTTCATATCTAGTTTAACTCTTTCACCTCTTCTTTATCTTTAGTACCCATCAGGACTTTGCCTGTGACATCTGCAGAAGGGAACACATATTTCTTTTCTACTTATCTTTGTATTTGCATTTTACACAAAGGCAGAGAGATATGTTTTATCAAGTACTACATATTTCTTTTCTCAATGCCTAAATTTTCAAAATACAAAATGGCAGAACGCAAAAATGTTTCCTGGTCGGGTCCTAGGGGAACTCTTCTCCCTCCCTATATTTCTTCTGTTGGGGTTAGAAAGAGGAATAGGATGTATGCTATGTTGGTGTATGTTTAATTATAACCAAGTGTGTTTACTTTATACCATTTATTGAATGTTTGCTTAATATGCTTAGTTCTCATGGCAACACTTAAAAGTATTATTATCTCCATATTAGAGAGATGAGATCATTGCTAGAACTAGGATTTAACCATGTTTCTTGGCCACTAGGAAAAATATTTTCTTAAAACACCATATTAAAGAACTACAGTGTTGGCATTGATCATTGAGACATAGGTATATATGCACTGGGTGTATCTAAGATGACCAGGAAAGTTAAGATTCTAGTGCTCAAAATGAGAAAAACTTTCAAAGCAGCACCACCTCCCACCTTGGTCAATTTGCCAGTGGTAAGACTTGTCTTTGTCTGTATTTGCATTTTACCCAAACACGGTACCACATATTTCTTTCCTCAATGCCTATGTTTTCTTTTCTTTTTTCTTTTCTTTTTTTTTAGATGGAGTCTAACTCTGTTGCCGAGGCTAGAATGCAGTGGCATGGTCTTGGCTCACCATAACTCCGCCTCCTGGGTCCAAGTGATTCTTGTGCCTCAGCCTCCTGAGTAGCTGGGATTTTGGGGACATACCACCACACCCTGCTAATTTTTGTATTTTTAATAGAGACGGGGTTTCACCATGTTGGCCAGGCTGGTCTCGTACTCCCAACTTCAAGTGATCTGCTTGCCTTGGCCTCCTAAAGTGCTGGGATTATAGGCGTGAGCCACCACGCCCAGCCCTCAATGCCTAAATTTTCAAAAGACAAAATGACAGAATGCAAAAAATGTATTTCTAGAACAAATCTTAGAGATGTAGAAGTAGTCTCTCCTTTGTGCTCCTATATTTTCATTCATTGATAAGGATGTGTATACAATTTTGTAATTGCTAGAGTTAAGTAATTTGGTAATTTATTTAACTGGTAAACACTTCTACTGTCATCATTCTTTGCCTGTGCAACAGCACAAGCTTCTCCACCGTTCTCCCAATTCTTACTCTTGCCAACCCCCAATATGTTGACCACGCCACAGCTTCATGTGTAAATCTTCTCATTCATTCTTCCATTTATTTAACATGTATCACATATGGCAACCATTATATTAAGTACTGCCTAAGCCTCATGGTCTATCATCCGGAACAGTGGTCCCCGACCTTTTTGGCACTGGGGACCGGTTTCATGGAAGACAATTTTTTCATGGGCTGGGTCAGGGGATAGTTTTCAGATGAAACTACCCCACCTCAGATCATCAGGCATTAGTTAGATTCTCATAAGGGGCATGCAACATAGTTCCCTTTCCTGTGCAGTTCAGAATAGGGTTTGCACTCCTTAGTGAATCTAATGCCACCGCTGATCTGACAGGAGGTGGAGCTCAAGCAGTAATGCGCAATGGCTTGCAACTCACCTCCTGCTGTGTGGCCTGGTTCCTAATAGGCCACAGATGGATACCAGTCCACAGCCCTGGGGTTGGAGACCCCTTATCTAGAGGACAGGCTTGTGTTCTTGGCAGGGAGTTGGATATGAACATACAGATATATCCCAGAATTTGGAGAAAACAAACAAGGTTCTGAGAAAGAAAGTAACTTAGAGAGGCTTCTTTTATGTAGGATGGTCAGGGAAACTCCATTGAGGAAGTGACATTTATGCTGTTACCAGAAGGAAGTTATGTAGAGTGGTTGGTGGGGGTGAACCAGAAAAGCATCTTGGGAAGAATGAAGAGCTAAAGCCCTGAAATAGGAAAGCATGACATTTCTAGGAATAGAAAAAAATCAGTGTGGCCAGATCATAACGTGAACCAGGTGGAAGTGTATTAAATGGGTTGAGAAATAATACAGAGGTTGGATTTTATTAAAAATGCAAATAAGAAAAATACTGATAGATTTTAAGTAGGGACTTATCCCAGCTTGATTTGTATGGACAGAAATCGGTTTGATTTCTCTTTGGAGGAAATACTGAAGGAAGATAAGATGGAGGCTTGGAAGTTAGTCAAAAGCCTGAACAGTGATGATGGTTTGATTCTAAGTGGTACAATTGTAAACAGAACACAAGATAGATGGTGGAGAGAGTATGAATGGGATTTGTTAATGATTTAGTAGTTGTAACAGGAAAGAAGAAATAAAAAATAAAAATTAGGCTTCTGTTGCAAGTTACTGTGTGTATACTGGTGCATTTACAGATATAAATAAGATTGAGAATTGGGATGGGTTTAAAGAAAGGATGGGTCAAGACTTCTATGTTCTGTTGAGTTGGCTCTGAGACAATCTAGTAGACTAGTTAAGAATGTGGTAGCAAAATGTGAATCTAGAGATCTCAAATATATCATAGATCTGATTGGAAATATAAATTCGTTAGTTATTCCCACGAAGGAGCTCACACAGAAAGAGAGAGGTGGGTACAGAATTGAGCTTGTAATGTATCTTAGTAGTACTTAAAAGTTAGGTAGAGACTGGGCAAGGTAGCCCACACGTCTGTAATCCCAGCACTTTGGGAGGCTGAGGCAGGTGGATTTCTTGAGTCCAGGAGTTCGAGACCAGCCTGGGCAACATGGCAAAACTCTGTTTCTACAAAAAATTGAGCTGGGTGTGTTGGTGTACGCCTATAGTCCCAACTTCTCAGGAGGCTGAGGTGGGAGGATCGCTTGAGCACTGGAGGTAGAAGCTGCAGTGAGCCCTGATCGCACCACTGCAGTCCAGCCTGGGTAACAGAGAGAGACCCTGGTTAAAAAAAAAAAAAAAAAAAAAAAGTCGTCTGGGAGCGGTGGCTCACACCTGTAACCCTAGCACTTTGGGAGGCCAAGGTGGGCAGATTGCCTGAGCTCAAGGAGCTCAGACCAGCCTGGACAACATGGTGAAACCCCATCTTTACTAAAATACAAAAAGTTAGCTGGGCATGGTGGTGCGTGCCTGTAGTCCCAGCTTCTGGGGAGGCTGAGGCAGAAGAATCACTTGAACCCAGCAGGCGGAGGTTGCAGTGAGCTGAGATCGTGCCACTGCACTCCAGCCTGGGCGACAGAGCTGAGACTGTCTCAAAGAGACAAAAAGGGCAGACAGAGGAAGAGGACCCAATATGGCAACTGTTGAGGAAAAGCCAATAAGGGTTAAGGAAATTTAAATTTGTAGGTAATGATGTTTTGGAAGCTGACAAAACATAATGGTTAGAGAAGGAAAGATTTTGTTTAATGCTACTAAGAAGTCACATAATATGAGGGTAGAGAAACAAATGATGGTATAAAATCTGGCAACATGGAGACGATTGGTAAGAAAATTCAAGAACAATGTTTATAATGCTTCATAACTTCCTCATAGCTCTTAGGGTAAATACATATTCTTGGAACCTGCAAGGCCTGGCAAGATTTGGCCATCATCTCCCTCTGAAACCTCCTTATTTTCCAGGCTCTGCTTCTTTCTACATCAGCCTCACATCTCTTCCTGTTCCTTGAACACAGTCTCCTCCTTTAAATTTATTATTTCTGCCTAGAATACTTTCCTTCTCCTCATACTCATTTAACTTATTTTCTTCAGGTCTAGCTCCATTGCTTTTTATTCCAGGAAAACTTCCCAACCTCCAGAATAGACCAAATATCCTATTATATGCTTAAATCACAGTGTGGAAGTATTGCCTTTGTGATGAAAGTGTCATGATGACTGGATAATTAATTATTGTGTCTTCCACTAAAGTGTAGATAGGAAAGAAAGCATGCCTGTTTTTGCTCACCATTTTTTCCTCATGTCAGGTAAAATGACTGGATTACATTAGGAACTTGCTCTGTATTTGTTGAATGAATGAGTGAATGAATGCATGAACAAATGAGTAACATCTGCCTCTGTAGTTAACTTGTAATCTGTTTCTGTCTTTATATAACCTCTACTGTAGGTAGCCTTAAAAATCTGGAAAATGACTTTATTGATTTAAGTAAATATTAAGTTTTTAAGCTTTTAAAAATCTATTGTAAGTTGATTAACTATGATTATTTTGAAATTTTCTTCATCAAAATTTGAGATGACTTTGGATACATACTGTTTTCAGCTACTCAACAAGTGCCATTGTATTTACTATGTATGAAATCTGGTGTTACTTCCTGCCCATTTCCTAGACTCAGTTGTTCTTTGCAAAATACCCATTTATCAGCAACCAGCCCACCCTCCCTCTGGGAATCAGTGAGAGTGGATCACATCAGTATGTCATAAATACTCCTCCTGTTTTCTTTGAGAGTTTTCTGCTGATGCAAGCGGAAGGCTTGGATGCCAGGCCTGTATGTGATACAGTAGAAATTTCCCCAGATGCCCTGTGGAAAGACAAGCTGCTACCCGGAGTCCTTCCTGGATGTCTGGCTTAGTGTAGTATACCATCAAGGACAACCTGGCTCTGTCTCCTAACAAGCTGCTAGGGCCTTCCCTCTTGCCTACCCTCCTGACAGCCTGGACCTCAGGCTAACAAACCTCTGGGTTGCCACTGTCTCCATTCTGAGCCATCAGAATTGTATATACATTCATCTGCTGATGTCTCTGTATTTCAAGCTGTATGTCTTTACACCTTTATAATACACAGTACAGATTTTGCTGCTTAAAATTCTAGTATTTCCTATAGACACTAAACTCAATTTTAACACAATGAATATGTTAAAACATTATATATGTGTTGGATTAACACATATAATGCAACTCATTTGTTGCTAATCTATCTTGGATTCCTTGGGTAGAATCTGTCTTCTCACCTGTCTGAAATGGAATTGAATCTCCTAACTTCTTACTATTTTTTTAAAGCCACAAATCCCTTTTAAAATGTCCGTTTAAGGCTGCTAAACTCACATTGTTATAGAGTATATTTTATATACTTTTCTTCCTTTTAAAAGATCATATACACTTTTCTCCTGGCCTCTAATTTTGCCAAATATTCTGCCATAACAGCAAGCTCACAGAACACAAGTATTTGCTTAAAGATATTTAAAGCAAATCCCCAAAGAGTTTTCTGTTGCAAATGTATTTTAAGACATAGGCTGAGGAGCTGAGTATTCAAATCCATGAGTTCTGACACTGATGTTTTATTAGGCCTACCCACATGAAAATTAGTGCTTACTTGCACAGTTATCTTATTTAAAAATACATTTGCAAAAAGAGAATAATTTCATTTTCACTGATTCAAAGGTCTATCTTTTCGAGTATTATAAACTTACATAGTACAAAAAGATTGGTAAAAGGGATGAGAAAAATAAAGGGCAATAGTAAGGTGAGTAAGGAAAGCAAAATTAAACTTGGAGACTTGGGTTCTAAATATAGCTTGTCTACATCCTAGCTGCAAGATCTTAGGCAACTCAACTAACCTCTCTGAACATCACAGATAAAATGGGGAATAATAACATTATCTAGCTCAAGGGTATCGTACAAATTATACAATATATGTAAAGTGCAAAGCATAGTTCCTGCACATAGTAAGTGCTCCATAAGTTAAATATAATAATAATCATAGTAAAATAATATTCTTAACTACAATCTTATTAAAAGGTTATTACCTAGAGTTTAAGCTGTGGGGTTATTTCCATTTGCACAAAGTGTGATAGAAATTTGGCTCTGTAGTTCCTAGCAGCCAATGTAAGAGTAAAACAAAAAAGTTTGTAAGTATCAAAAGATTTATTTACTTAAATATAAGAACCCTACAATAATGCTTCCAAACTAGGGTTTGCAGAATTACCACAAGGGCTCTGTCTGTCTAAAAGTCCCCCAAGCATTATCTATTGTTCAAATAAATGAGTTGCACATGTGTGTACTTTTATTTTTAAAGGCATATAGATATTGTATTAATAAAACCAATTCATCTAATTGTATTGTTGAATTTATACTTTTTGCCAGTAAGCATTTTCCTAATAGATGGACTTAACTAAGAACATCAGAATGGTGAAGAGCATTGTGTTAATACAATTCATTGTCTTATTTGTTAAAAAAGTTGAAAAAGTATTGCTGAGAAAAAGGAAACAAGTTAACTTTTGTTAAAGGTATCTCTTGGTTTTCACTGTCCTTTCCCTCATCAGTAGCGCCAAGAACATCTTAAGTCACAGAAACATTAGTTTTTGGAAGCAGGGTTTGCTGTAACTATAGTAGAAATGACATTCTGATTCCACTCCTAGCTTCACAAGGATATCTGTGAAAGATTTGGGGCAAAACTGTTAAGCTGTCTGAAAGTGCTTTTGCATAAGAAATGGGTTTTACTGCTAAAACTGTCATATTGCTGAGTTTTGAATGCCCTAATGGTAAATGATACTGGGTTGCCAAAAATAACCAGATTAGTAGTTTTTTCATTCATTTGGCCGTCTCAGTAAGTCAAATATTGATACTTTCTACTAAGTCATCTTGCCAACACCCATTTTGTTATACTTATGCTGAATCTGTTTGTCATCTCTTAAGTAAGAAAATTATTGATTATTTTGTGGGGATTTAATTTAAAAAAAATGGTAATGGATACTGTAAAGGAGCATTATTTGGATGGTTTAAAAACATCTTCCTTGATGGGAAAATCTTTTAAAAGGCTTTCTAACTTGGTGTAATTACTTGAATTAAGGAAGTGCAATGCCATTCTACTGACTTAGAACAACTTTTTTGACTTCCTGCAAAGAGGACCCTTACAGTATTTTTGGAGAAGTTAGTAAAACCGAATCTGACATCATCACCTAGCAGTTCATGCAGCTAGCAAGTGGTTTGTTCTTAGGGTAACAGAGGAGGAAATTGTTCCTCGTCTGATAAGACAACAGTGGAGAGTATGCATTTATTTATTTACTTTTACATTTTTGATTCGTTTTTACAGAGAAAAACTTCTACAGAGATAACAATTATTTTGCTTTTCAGAAGGACGCATGCTGTTTCTTAGGGACACGGCTGACTTCCAGATATGACCATGTATTTGTGGCTTAAACTCTTGGCATTTGGCTTTGCCTTTCTGGACACAGAAGTATTTGTGACAGGTAAGTACAAGGATATTAATATTTTTTAAATTATTTTTTCTCTTTTGGAGGAATGTTTGAAATAGACATAAAAATAATTTAAATGTGTTGGTAACTGGAAGTGAGAAGCCTGCTGTAAACCATCAAGATTGTTGTCTCAGGGAGACATAGCTAGTTGTGTGACAGAATACATTGTTTCTGTTTACAAAGACATAAATGTTTCGGGACAAAAAATACAATTTTAAAAGGAAAGCAATGTCTATCTGTATCTTTATTTACAACTGTTCAAAGATATTACAAAAGCAACATTATTACTTAACTTCCAAAGTGACAATAACACACATTTATAAAAGCCTGAGAATTTTTTAATGATAAAATAAGTGAGTTTTTATTCTTTTAACAAATTTGATCTTTTAAAAAGTCATAAAACAGCTTTGGTTGTATGTAAGCCACTCCCTCTTTTCAGACCTGAAGTTTGCTTCCTCAAATTTTGAATTTAATTGACATATTTTATTGAATACTTGGGTATATAATAGTTCAAAAATATATTGAGATATTTAGTAAAATATTAACTTTCTGCAATTTTTATCACAGAATGTATTTTAAATCAAGTTTTTAGTTTCTTGTTAATAGTTTTAATACATTTTTGCTTTAGAAATTCTTGTGGAGCCACCGCCCTTCCTGGGTGGTGGGTAAATATTACAGCCTTGATGAGATAGAAATATTTAAACTCTTAAAAATCATGCAAATGCTGTATTCAGTAGGAAAATGCAACTAGTTGGACTTCCAGTGCCTATTAAAGTTTGAAATCTTTGCACATTTATGGTCTATTCAATGGATAGTTCTTGAGCGGCGTCAATATGAATCATGAGTACATTTCAATAGATTATAGAATGTAACTAATAATTAATATTTAATATTTCTCTTTATGATGTAGTATCTAAAAGGACATTGAAAATAAAATTTTTGTAGAAATTCCAAAAAGTATAAAAAGTATTTTAAAACAACTTGCTTATTACAATTCACTTTGAAGTCTTTTTTTGACTTTTACCGTTCTTCTTTCCTCTGAAAGTCAGGGAAGTAGCTACCTCTTGAGCATGTTACATTGACAATTTCTATTTGGAGAGGAAAGAAAGAGGAAAGAAAAACAACATAAGATTTTTGTTGTTGTTGTTGTGGCTGTTTTGCTTTTTATTGCAAAGGTGAATTTTTTAAAAATCTATATATTTGCAGCATTTGTCTTAGTACAGAAAATGTTTATCAAGTTACCATCCCTTTAAAGCTTATGATAATAAAAAGTAAATTATAAAGAATAATAATCTCAATGAAGTGATATATGTATATTATCACAAATCAGAACAGATTTTCATTTAAAATTCCCACTCAGGAAATGTCGAAAAGCATTTTTAAATGAGCATAAAGAAATACTGAGACATTTTGTAAGCCAGAATATTTTTCTTCTCTTCATATTCATTTAACTTCTATTATTTTCTTCAGGTCTAGCTCCATTGCTTTTTATTCCAGGCAAACTTCCCAACCTCCTGAATAGACCAAATATCCTATTATATGCTTAAATCAGAGTGTGAAATATTTCCTTTGTGAATAAAAATTCAACTCATTCTATTACAGGATGTTTTTTTAACCATAAGACACATCTTTGAATTTATAATTGAAATAATATGATGGGGTCTAGAAACCTTTATATCAACTTTGCTGAATGATTTATACCATAGCAAATAAATGGATATACATAAATTTATTTTGAAAACTCAACTTTATCTTCAGTTGCTCACATAAATATTGAGAGCAAACATTTTTCTAAAAGACATTTGTAGACTCCCTGAGATATATGCTTATTTGTGGAAAAACATATACAGATATAATCATTTGTATCTGCAAATATTGTTTATAATCCTTTCAAGTTGCAAGAAACATTTTGTGATTTAATGTATAATTTGGAAAATTCTTAATGCTTTAAATTATTTATTTTTCTTTTTTAGCAACAAATGAGTTGGATTCTATGTTTCATTTTAACGTGTTAAAATTAGTTTAGTGCCTACAGGAAATAATAAACTTTTGGGGAACAAAATTTATATTGTATGCTGTAAAGGCATAAAGAAATAGAGCCAAATGTAGAGAGCCATCAATGGTAACTCTATGCATAATTCAAATATTTTATTTAATATCTAAAATGCACACACGGACAAGGCCAAAGTTAATCTTTGCCACGGCAACAACCAGGCAGGGTTCAGTTTTACTCAAGACTTCCTAATCCTCTTGCTCTGTGCCTCTTTGCCATGGCAACTGGAAGCCAAACTTTGTTTAGAATTTCTAAATAATGTTAGGGGACAATGATGGTTTTAAGAAGGCAGGTGAAGGTGAGTGTTCTCTGGTTCTAATAAAGTTGTAATGCCAGGCAGATCTACCACACTATAGCATGGCAGTTAGGAGTATATGAGTTATGGTATGTGAGGTATATGATGAGTTTTGTTATGAGTCATAACAGTTAAGACTCATTTCCTGGACATAATTCTTCATTTTTCCATCTGTATTAAAAATATATATCTCATGTTATAAACATGGACTGTGCCTTGCACATCACAGACATTCAATGAAAATTATTTAATTGAATTTGGTAAGCAGTCCTATTAAGTTCTAAATACTCCATAATTTAGAGATTTGGGAATGTGATTAGAATTACTTATTAATTTGAAAAAAAATGTCCTACTAAAAACCTGCCTGTGACCTTTATCATTGCTAAAGTTTGAAATGTACTTTGTTACAGGAAAGACTACGGCTAGGGCCTATATTATCTTTTTCTCTTTTGTTCTGTGTAAGTAAGTATAGGGGCAGAGTAGTTAGCTTGAACTTAGTTCTTTCTTTGTTCTGGACTATTTGCTATCCTCTCACCAGTGACAATTAACCAGTATAGAAATATAGATGTTTCTACATTGTTCATATACTTGAACATATATTTCTTTATGTAGATACTCACACATAAACTAGTTATATATTTGTGGGTTATATATACTAGTCAATCTATCTATCTGTCTATCTATCTATCTATCTATCTATCTATCAGTTCTCCATGTTTGTCTATTTGGCGTTCCCATGAACTTCAGACCTTCGCCTGTGTTCTCTTTTCTCCATTTGGTTACGTATCATTGCCTACTATGTGTTGATCACTCTGATTCTCCATCTCTAGACTCATCCCTCAGAAACACGGAACTTACTACCTTTCCTAAATCCAGACATTAACATGCTCCCCAAGTCCTGAAATTTTGCTTTGTAATAATCTCTAATAACTTCTTGCTTTGACACCTCCATTGCCATCATCTTAATTCATGGCTTTATTATTTCTCACCTGTAAAATTGTAATAGTTTTTTTAATCAGTCTGAAGTCTCATCCTTTTTTTAATGTAATCTACAGCTTAAAAAGTAAAATAAAAAGTGAAGGGTTACTGATTTCTTCTCATTGCCTTTGGTATAAATTCTAATCTTTTTTGCCAGAGAAACTGGTTCCACTAATGATCTGGGGGCTAGGCCTGGAGCTGGGAAGGGATCTTTTTTCTTTTCTTTCTTTCTTCCTTTCTTTCTTTCTTTCTTTCTTTCTTTCTTTCTTTCTTTCTTTCTTTCTTTCTTTCTTTCTTTTTTCTTTCTTTTTCTTCTATGATTGATTAAAAGAAAACAAACAGGAGGTAGTTTTAACACCCACCTCTATACTTTCTCAAGGTGTTTAAGGTTCTGGGCAAATCCTACTTCTTCTATTATGTTCTCTTATGTCACTTTTGCCACAAAATATTTCCATTGAATTGCACACTTTTTATCACCTTTTCTTGGCATTTTTCAAGTCATTTCAATCTGCTCTTTTTTGTGATGATGATTGATGATGATGATGACATGTGAATTAGTGGATTTCTTGACATTGTAACCTACATGAAATCAGGTATAGGAGACACAAAAGGCATAAACTCATAGTTCCCATACCTAATTTTTCACCAGACACTGAATAAATCATAGATTAAAAAAATAAAACTGCATATTGTAGTGACAAAGGAAAGGAAAATTTTCAAAGAGGGAAGTCAAAAAGAGGGAGAATATGAGATAAAAAAATTAACCAGAGGCGAAGTGGGAGGATGAAGACAGCAGGACTATTTTGTCCAGATTAAATTAAGTTGATTTTGGATCTAGATGTTTACAGTCTTGCCTTTTTGTTTTTGTTTGTTTGTTTGTTTGTTTTTTCTTTGCTCCCTTTCTTACTCTCCTTATCTCACCTCTCGTCTGGAAAGAGCCTCCTGACTTCCTAAAAGTTCATAGTTTGAGAATGTTTTTCCTAAATTTTCTTTGATCTGCTCTTTGGACATTCTAGGTAATGTAATTTGGAGGGTCAATTTTATTTTTCAGATACACATACCCATAGGAGAAAAAGCAAGGAATGGGAGGGAAATACAAATGTAGCGGAGTGATAACACAAACAGATCAGGTCCAGTCATGGCAATTGCTGGTTTGAACACTGATGCTAGTGCTCTGGGATTGCTTGCAAGGGCAGATGGAATATGGTGCACCCTAGGTGTTGCATTATTTGCACGACAAAAGTTTGTAGAGAGCTGGGAATAATTTCTTTACAGACAGTGTGGTGATGAATGTCAATCTGAGTAGGTAAGGGGCAGAGATTTGTACTGAGGTTGATTCATTCTCTTGGTAAATACACAATGTTCACAAAGGCAAGGTTTCATCTTCAGACCATGTGTGTATATGTCACCTTGGTGCAGAGAGAGAAATTTTTCATCAGTGCTGACCTTTGATTTTTTTTTCTAGACATCTTATAGATTTATGTAGTTATTTACATGGGAAACAATTAGAATGGAAATTTAACATATCTTCAGTTTAAAATTAATTTCTGTCTAGTCTAAATATCTTTGTAAGTACTAGATACTCAATCCCATAGCAGTGGCCTTTTACCAAAGGCTTAGTGCTATGACTTTTGCATACATAAAGACCTCACTTTTTAAGATATGATACACCAGAAAAAAAATATGGCAAGACTTTAGCAATATGATTTGATGCCTATTTCTATATAATACCCAAATATACAGGAATAAAAATTATGGCAATCACTGGATTTTGTGTACCTGGCTCTAACCAATATTTATATTAGAAAATATCTAATTATTGTCTAAAATATTTAATCTTCATTCCTGTTTGTATGTCAGTGTGCTACTTCAATATCAGTCTGTTAAAAGAGTCTAGGAATGACTACTATAAGCAGAGAATTATATGTTCAGGAATCACAACAAAAAACAAGAACAAATAGAGAAACAAAAGCTTTCCTACTCTTTCATCTAGGACAAGAATAAATACACATAAAGTCAATATTAGTGAAGTAAACAAGCATCTTCTATATCCATTCATAGTACCTTCAATTGATTGATTTCTTAACAGACAATCAGCAAAATTATCAGTTTTTATTAGAGATTTTAGTAGAGACCGAGCTTAAACAAATATATTCTATGGTGCTTAACTCTATAGTATTTAAAGATTCAATATTTATTTCCTCTAAAAATGAGTCAAGTGTCTGAAAGGAAAAAGCCACCTAACTGAAACTTCAGTTTCTACTATACAGGGTATTTATTATAAAACTGTAATTACAATGCAATTATATTGAAGTATAAATGATCATCATTCATTTATTTAAGAATATAATCAAAATTTGCATACCTGGAAGAAAACCATCCACCCTCCAAAATAGGGATTTGCTAATGTAGGAGTAGAAGGCAAAAGTTGAGGGTAACTCAGGTAACACACTCATACGTATTAGGATATGAACAGCTGGTATAGCAAACTTGATAGAAATCACTGATAGACAAGAAGACATTCTCTGCATTTTAAATTAAAGTACAATTTGTCTGTGGTCATTCAAGAGATAGTTTAGAGAAACCTATACAAATAACAATGATGCTAAGAGACAATATCAAAATCACAATAAATATCATGGCAATACAGTGTGGCCACTATATTTTAAACACATCCACTTGATGAAAAATATAATAATTTACTGATAAAACATATTAAGCATAATAGAAAATGAGGCAGAAACCACTCCAAGCTGGGAAACATCATGACATCTGTAGTGATAAATATTTTGAAAATCTAACTCTATGAATCTTGTGATTTTTAGCTAAATCAATTTTCACCCTTGAGACCCAATTTCCTCATCTATAAAGTGTTGTAAGCATTAAAAGTTATAATATTTGTGAAAATGCTTTGAAATTATGTGATACTCTGAGAAGTAAATTTTTTCATGTGAGCCCATGAAATCAGAGCACATAGCCTTTTAGCATAAACTTGATTCCAAATGATATCTCTTCCTTTCAGACACTGTGAGCAGATAAAGGGATAGTTTAAGGTTAAGTGATAGAGGCATAATCCCTTATAGGCCTTTGAATTCTTTTAACTTTGCATTCTTTATTTCAGAGATTTTTCAGGCTTCTCCAGATTCTACAGTCTAAATAGTTTGTAAATCCACACACTTCTACTTTGCCAGGGATTTCTTAGTGTAAAAATATCCTGAAGTCTCACCTGCCTTCAATCCTTACTGTGTCCATACCCACCATTACCAGGATAATCTTTGTAAAAGGCAGAACTTACCTTTGTCCATTCCTCTTTTAAAAGCTCCTATTGGTAGAAAATATACTGAACCCGTGATTTGATACCAAGTATGTTTTGGCTCAACTTTTATGAAAACAAATATTTAATTAGAATATACCAACATTTATGAGTTTTCCTTAAAGATAAATTTTGGAGGAAAAAAACTCCATTAGACCAATTTAATTCCCTGATGATTATATATATATTACCTAGTGAAATCCTTGGCAGTTTTTCCATTTTAATTTTAATTTTACTGAACTAATGTTTAGCAGCATCACTTTCATTTAATTTTTACAATAACTATTAGATTCATGAATCCATTTTACCCATGTCAAGTTCTACTGAATATAGCTTATGCTTGGAATTTTCCTTTGTGATTATTACTTTTCTAAAGGTAATTCTTCTTTTCAAACAATACAGATCTAAATTTTCCAAAACCATTTAAATTCTTCTCTTTGGCCAGAAACATTTTCTGTGTGTAGTTTTGGCTACCGCTAGTTTAGTTTTTTTAATTGGTTTTGTGTCTCAATGCTACAAAAAATATAATTTATGTAATTTTTCATTTTTGTCAAACTTAAATCGGGCAATATTAACCATTCTCAATTTTTTGTTGTGTTGAAATTTCTATCAGTGACATTAATGTGGAGATTGACAGCTCTTTGAGCTAGATTCATTTTGAAATTTTAAGACTTTCGATTATTTCTTATCTAGCCAATAGAAACTTTAGAAACACTTTTAAGACTGCTTGATAGCCTGGAATTATTATGTTTGAATTCTCATTCATTTGTATGGTATTCCTCTTATTAGCTTTCACACTTAGTACCAATTTCTTATTCATTATTGGAGCAAAAAGTAAAGAGAAGAATCAAGGTGATAAGTTTAAAATCTTCTCAATGTAAAATAGTGTGTGGGGAAAGTGTCAAATCATCCTACTTTGGTCTTTGTGCATTTAGGAAAAATAAAAGCAATTAGCATTGCACACACATATGTAATTGAATCTCTTCAGATTTGTCTGGCTTTATCTCTAACCACTTTGTGACTCTTTTTGTAACTTGCATTTTTCTAAAAATGTGACCTTGTTTGGTCTTCCTACTGTTGGCCATGCTGTTTTTCCTTCTCTCCACATCTTTTTATCAATGGTGCAAATTATAAATTGTATTCAAATTTACTGTAAAGATCATGTCCTCTAGACAGCCCCTATCCCACTTGTATAACCCTTGCTCTTCAGCCCCTTTCACACCTGCATAGGTATTCTTCTGCTGTGATGATCCTTTGAATAATTCTCTTGGAGTTCTCTTTACCAGGCTCTCTTGCAGCAACTGGTGAGCTCATGTAGGCTATCACTGGGTCTCTGCTTATTTGCCAGTGCCTGCAGGTCCTCAGTACCTGTTTGCTGAACAAACGAATGGTCTGTCAGCTTAACCCAACTCTGTATGTAGAAGGCACTTAATAATTCTTAAAAACAATTTTGATTCTGTCCTTTTATTGTTATTTATGGGAATTATTTATGGTAAAAATTTCTACATAATAGAAAATTTGGAAAATGTCAAGAAATAGAAGGAAAAAGAAATTGCTTAGAGCCCATGCTAACATTTTGTTTTTCTTCCTCTATCTTTTGATCACATGCTGTGTATGAAATTTCATGTTCAATTTTTTCCCAAGTAAACCTTGATTATTCTAGACAATTTGAAAAATATAGAAATGAATAGAAAAATAAGAATTTCAGGTTTCCAGTTCTCAGGATCTAAAAACTTTTTGAGTATTTCATTTGACTAGGACAACTAGATCTATTCAGTTATTTATTAACTTATTAGTTCATTTGATAAACAACTATTTTGTGAGTGTTTTCCATGTAATTTGGGCTGAGGACACCTATCCCATGAAGCCCGTATTTTCTATCAGTGGCTTCTTGGAGATGGTGTTTTAAATCTTCCAAAATCTTCATCAGCACCCCAAAACTTCCTCCTCAAAGTAACAACATACCTTGCTACAGATAATTATTGGTGTTATCAATGTTTTATAAATTATAAATTTAAAAATCACTATCTTAAGATCTATATATAACATATTAAGTAAAACTTATATTCTTACAAGACTTCCTCCAGGTCCCTGTTACAACCAGATTTTCTTTGCAGACTTTTAAATTATGGAAGTTCTGGTGCTGCCACTGAGTTGTGTAGATTATTATTAGATATTCAATAAATAAAGTTGGTAGATGTGAAGAGGTACTAGACAATAGTCCTATTTTGTTTTGGTTTGTTTGTTTTGTAATTTATTCTGAAAAAATGTTTATGTGGAGAGAAAAGGGAAAACATACAGAAATACACAGCACACAAACAAATTCTTACTTTTTTTTGGTAGTCTTTCTAATTTTCCAAGGTCACCAGCTAATAGCAAATGAGAGTTGTAGGGGGTGGGGTGAAGGCTGGGGTCTTAATCGGGGTCTATCTGATTCTAGATAGACCAGATTCTAGATTTTCCACTCGGTTACTCAATCTTCTTAGTGGTCAGTTTAATAACCTGGAATTTAAGACATGACTGTGTGATGATGGGCAAATCACAGCAGGACTGAATGGGAGCTGGTAATTTCTCAGAGGTTGTTTGTGTGACATATGCATGTAAGTTCATTCACCTGATTTAGCTACTTACATGAACCATTGTGCACTGAGCTGCTTCTATATCTTTAGCATATTCTGTATCTATGTAAAATTCACATAAGATTGTATGACTTTTATAAAAAACAAAAAGACATCTTTGATTAATTTGTCTTCACTATGAATACTGATGTGATGTGTTACAATCATCCTGAAAAGGAGGCTAACAAAGGACAGGACTGAGTCTGTCTTGAGGTGAGTGATATGATGGAAAGAATGGATTTTCCCCCACCCAACTCATTTTTGATATTACATAAAGTGAAAAACATTAAATAATTCACCAAAGTATCTAGATTTTTTTTTGTTTTTGAAGTGCAAGGGAAGTAACTTGACCTTTGTTAAACACTTTGATCATGGAAAACACATAAGGTTCTCATCTTATTCCAGGAAGTGTAGACACTAGATAATCTTTTCATAGTCATCCAAAAAGCATATTAAGTGAACCAGGTAAATCCATCCTACACTTTTTATTCCAGAGACAAGTTGGCTAAACTTTGAGGAGACTAAAACAAAACAAAAAAAAATTATTGTTTGGTTCATTTGATAAATGTGGATTCCAATCATATAATTTAGGCCAAATATTATACTTTGACTTCTTAGACTTAGATTTCCAGATAGTCTGGTTTATAAAATAAGATTTTAACTATGCTTACTAAACTCTATGTATTTCTACTTTCCAATGACCCATGTTCTTATTTTCTGAATTTACTTATTGATGCTTTAGGTATGATAAAGGTATGTAATGGCTAAGGAAACATAAATGAAGCATAAGACATCAGTTGAGAGTTTTGACGGAAAGGAAGTGGTGATATGAAGGAAACAGATAAACCAAAGAAAAAGGAAAAGGTCAGGGAGCTGATAAAAGTAACTTGAAGAAACTTTAGTGCAAATGTTGGATTCAGACAATCGCTACTTTTAAAGTACTTAAAGAAGTCAGTCTTTGAAATCTTGCCCGGATTCCATTCCAGTTTCATCATTGGAGACTTCCAATGATGAAAAATTGGGGAAGAATTACCTTCCAAAGCCTCAGTTTCCTCGTGTGTAAAATGGAAATAATAGCAAGAGATATTAAATGAGATGATTCACTCATCGATTCATCAATTGTTTATAGAGCCCCTGCTAAGCTAAAAACTGTTTTAAGTGTTGACACAGTGGTAAAGAAAGCAGAAAGTGTAACTACTTTTATGAAACTGACTTCCTAGTGGTGAGAGATAACAAGAAAACAAACAACAAATTGAGATAACTTCAGTTATAGATAAATGCTGTGAAGAAAATTAAGTAGTGTAATATGGTAGAGTTTAATCTGGCCAGACCCAGATTTAGGGGTGAATGCACTTTTAGACAGAGTGATCGGGGAAGATCCTTATGAAGAAGAATCATTGAGCTACCTGTTGGCTGACAAGAATATGGGGATCCATGTGAGGGAGACTGGCAAGAGTAAAGGTTATCTGGCAAAACCAAACAAATTGGTAGGTTCGAGGCACAGAAAGGTCAGGCATCTGTAGTATGGTGAGTAAGAACTGAGCAGGTTGTGGTGAGGCTAGAAAGATAAGCAGAAGGCAGGTCCCACAGGGCCTTGATGGAAATGGAAAGAGCTTGAATTTTACCTGAAGTATAAAGGGAAGGAACCATTTTAAGTTCTTAAGTACAGAATAACCTAATCTTCTTTCTGTGTTGAAGAGATCACTTTGACTGTTATGAAGAGAATAGATTGGAAGTAAGGCAAAGCCTGGAAGCAGTTATGAGGAGACTGAATGGGAGGATGGAGAAAGGGGATGGTGATCTGGACCAAGTGTTGGCAGTGCAGGTGGAAAGAAAGGAAAGACTGACATAGAATTAAGAGAAGTGGCTGCATGGAAAAGACAAAGACATTTTAGAGAATGACTTTTTTTCCCCATGAGCACTGGGATGGGAAAGAGCCAAATTAGGGGGTCAGAAATCCAGAGTTATGTTTGGGCTGTTATTGATGTCTGATTTTCATTAGGTGGTAGAGAGGTCAAGAAATCCGTTGGAGATAAGAGGCTGAGGCCCATTCAGTAGGTCTCAACTGGAGACATAAACATAGGAGTCATTGCATTCAGATGGAGCTTAAAGCTAAGGGACTGCATGTGACAGTGTAAATAAACATGTAGAGAGTAGCAGATGACTGGTTTCTGAGCCTTGGGAAACTTCATATTTGGAAGAGACACAAGGAGGAGCTAGGAAAAGATAGTGAGAAGAGGTAGCCAGTGAAAAAAAGTAGAACTATACTTTGCTTTGAATGTTGAAAAGGGTTGGCATTATAGTGAGAATTCAGTAAATTCCACATAAAAATCTGAATTTATGTCTCCCCTAGAAAGGTTGGTTGTGAACATGCAATTGGTAAATATCTCTATTAACTTTAATATTGTTACAAAAGTAATATTAAGGAATTTATAATATTTGGAAGAATTAGATGTCTTTACCTAATATATCCCTTGCTAGCTTAACAATTAGAAAAAGAAAGAGGTACATCTTAACATAATTTGTTTTAATAAAAACTACAGAATATATTGAGAGACTAAAGAATTAGAAATTTAACTGAAAATTTCATGCAAAGGTAATGCTCTGTTGAACCATTTTGTAGCTTATGTTTTGTTTTGATACATATTTTAAAATATTGTTTAAGACAATACTTG
Source organism: Homo sapiens (assembly GCF_000001405.40). Classification (NCBI taxonomy): domain Eukaryota; kingdom Metazoa; phylum Chordata; class Mammalia; order Primates; family Hominidae; genus Homo; species Homo sapiens. The sequence continues at coordinate 198,651,280 of NC_000001.11, forward strand.
AACAGATTGGGATTGTGTGTGTGTGTGTGTGTGTGTGTGTGTGTATTGGTTAAATAACTGGTTTATTTTTAAACTGAAATTAAACCTTCCATTTCTTTGAGAAATTTAAAAAGTAGTTGTTATCAATGTGGCAGATATTAGGTAGAATCTAATATCGTGAAAATTAAACTGCACATAAATAGATATAAATCCTTTTGTCAGTGTGTGTATATCTCTGTGTGTAATTTTGATCTCAGGCTTGGCAGGTTTCCTTAAAACTTTTTTTTAGAGCTACTTAATTTTGTACTTACTGGTGGTTAGCTAATAAGAAAAAGCTAATAAAAAATAGTGCTTACTCTGTGCCAGGCACTTCTGTTAACATTTTATAAATGTTATCTCATTTAACAAGCTCATGTCATTGTATAGTCTAGCTTATACTTGTCTTTAACATAAGCAAATTTGTTAATTTGTGTTTCCTGATATTATCATAAAATTTACTGGTTGTCATATCCTAAAAGGGAATAGTTCAATTTAATTTTCCTTGTTCTAATTTTAAATACAGTACTAAGGTTGAGAAAGAAGGGGTCAGGAAAGGGAAGTAACATTGAGTGTCTCGTGTGCCTGGCACTCCATATGATGCTTCAATGCACACCAGGCTATTCAGCCTCAGATTTGTTTCTACATTGCTTCTAGTTCTACAGATTATTCAACGAATGTACAATCCTTGGTCACTAGTCTTAATAGGGAAAACAGAATTATGGTTAAAACAAAAGAGTAAGTAACTTAAATATGATCTATCGGTATTTATTTTGTATTATGATATTTTGCTTAAGTTGAAAAAAGGGCGCATCAGGTGTTTTGGCAGTTTACTGTGATCTCAATAGTGAGAATGTATTGAAAAATCTCAGTACAGGAGAAAGCTGTGCAGCTTTCTCTTCCTGTCGCTGCTTAATTTTCATGTAGATATAAAGCCGCAGTTTAAGCACATCTGCTTAATCCTTATTTAAAAGACTAGGAGAGAACTAGAAAGGGAGGGAGGGAGAGGAGGGGAAGGGGGAAGAGATTGAGAGAAATCTCTCCCATATAACACAAACACTGTATTAGTGTGTGAGAAGCAGATAATCGTGCATGTAGGCACTATCATTTGTGAAATCAGAAAGCATAATTTACTCCCAATGCTGAATAATCTAGTTGTGTGTAAGCACCAGAGAGATATTTAAATACCTATCCAATAAAAGATAATAAAAGCCTAGCAAACCTAAGTAATCCATTTTCAGATGTTAATCCAATTACGTAAACAAATATTACCCTTTTTTTTTTTTGGTCATTGTTTCAAGGATAAAGTGTAAATGAAAGAAATAGCATTCCATCTAGGTAAAAGAGGAATCAGCATCATTGAAATGTGAATAGCTGTGATTCCTCCTTGCTGAATGGTAACTTTAGAAGAGAGGGAACCCAGGAGTCCATCCAGAGGCTCAAGGAATAAGAGGTTCTCACCCATAGGAAGATGAAAAATACTTTCAGGGTGACCCATGAGGGAAAATCACCAAAGCCTTTGAAATAAAAGATTTTCCCTTTTCTAAGAATAAAAGATGGTGTTATGTCAAGGGCGGCTCGATGGTGTGGATGAAAGAACTATTGGGAATGGCTACTGAAAGATCAAAGGCAAGTGGAACCTCAAAATTCTGGAAGTAGAACGAGTCAGATACAATATAAGAAGTACTTCAAAGGCAAGAAAATAAGAATAATAAAAATACCTTTAGTTGTCAAATGTAAAATTTGTGCCAGTTTTGTCACATTCCATTTTTCAGGAACACTGTAAAGGTATTTTCTATTAATATCAATTTAACTGTACATATCTTCCCATCTATCTTAATTAGTCACTTTTCAAGAACAAATGTGTTATGCTCAAAGCATCCAAAGGACTTTTTTGTTAGCCTTAATAAAATGCTTTCTCTTAAACTAAATTTTAATTTAGTTTACATGTCTACGTATAAGGTGGTTATAGAAAATGAATGTAAAATCACTTCATTAAGTGTAACAAAACAAAATAATATGAGGAATTGTTATACTGTTTAAGCATTTGAAAAACGATAAAGGAGTATAGAAATTTTGTTACCACTACTATGATTAGTTTCTCATTTGGTTTTTCACTTTAAGAATTGGAATAAAAGTTGAAATCTTGATTAAAAAAACAAGAAATGATTCACAAATTATTTTACAAATTGAAATACTGAAATACAGAATGTTCAACCACTGTCAACATGAACTCCTATTCTGTAATTAATCTATTCTATAAACATCTGTATTTGCTAAAGAGCAACAGATCAAGGAAAAGAAAAAATAATCCTTGCCATCCATAGAGCCATGATTTTTGTGGAATCTTCGCTCCAGTTTAAGTTTTGTCAGTGTCTGGAAGAAAATACTTCCCATGGATCATCTTTTTGCTAAAGAGTATTCTTTACATTTTAAAACATATGAATATTTACATAAAGGTGTTTGTGGAAAAGGAAATTATGTGCCTTTTATTTTAATTCACCCATTATTCTATTCCACATGTAAAGTAGAAAATACTACTTTAAGACAAAAGTAAAGCATTATTTATTTAAAGATCTATTTTGTCCATGAATTTTATCAGAGGTAACGCTTCTTAATGTTATTCAGTGCCATAACTTGCCTTTTTTCTAGGCCTCCATTTTATGAACTGAACATCTGGATTTGATGGCAAGAAAACATTTCCTTCCGCTGGCTTTTCTAATAACTCCCTCTTACAGATATGCATGCCTCATGTTTGTTAATAAAATTGACGTGATTTTAATATCTGGTATTTTAACACACTGTGAATTATGGAATTTTCAGTGGCTTTATTTAATTAAATGCATTTTAAAATCCTTACAAAAAAATATTAAGAGTAACTCTAAAATGTATTAGAGCCACAGATGTTTTCCTTTATAGTGTTAATTGATTTAAGGTCCATCAAAATGCTGTTAAAATGTCTAGAGGTTAACAATAACAGTGGCACATGGGTCAGATTAAAATTCTTTTTGAGTAAAATAAATAAATAAATGACAGCTTATTTTCTTCTGATTTAAAAAAATTAGCTAGTGGATTGAAACAACAATGTGATAGCTAAGATTTCATTCTCTCACTTTATAATGAAAGGAGATTTAAAATTAGGGATTATATGGTACACGAAAAATTTATATACACAGATTACAAGTACTAGTTTTTTTAGTGAAGAAAAGACAACTATATATTTTCTCTTTTTATCTGTTGTCCTATTTTACAATTGTAGCAATTAATCTGCCAAACTCTTTAATCAATAAAATATGGTATTTAACAACCAAATTTGGCCCCTCCCTCCCCTTAAATATATTTCCAATGCTCCTTGCTCCATTTTAAACCTGCTGTCCTTTATAAGAGAATAATATATTTTGTAATTTGAGAAAATCATGCAAAGGAAAGTTTCTCAAAATTCACATTAATATGTAATAATAGTAATAAATATGTATAACCATAATATCTTAGAATTTTACAATATTTTATAGAAAACATGAATATTAAAGTGAAAATTTAAACACATCAATTTTTCATGTTAAAATTACTAAGAATGAACTACAGATTCATGAATACTAAGGGCAACTTTTATCTCAGGAAATATATCAGTGGACTGAAAATGTCAAATCAATTCAATTAAATCAGTAATAACACTTTGCTGTTTATGTGGCTGTTTTTTCTTCTATTTTTATTGTCTTAGATTGCATGGATACAATCAAAATAAGTTAATTTGTATACAGGATATAAATGGACCAGAGAATGTGTCTTCTATTAAATAATAACAAATAAGAATACCTTTTATTTTGTGATGGTCTTTACTATTTACTGAGAGACAAGTATTGTTCAAGTTGCCGGTTTTTTTTAATTAGCTGACATATTTCCTGCTTTTATTTGAGTTAGAATTCCTGTACCAAACATTTTAAAAAGAGAAAAAAAATTAAAGAAAGAGAAAAGGAATTTGGAAACTACTATAATGTAAAGTAGCATTATTTATACAACAATTAATTTTAGAGAAGCAAGAGACCTTAGAAATAATCTATTTCAACGCATCTATTTTACAAAAAAGAAAATTGAAACTCATAGATATTTAGTGACTTGTCCTTTGTTACACCAAAAATGAGGGAACTTGGTCTAGAATTCCTCCAGCATATTATGAGGTATTTGTTCTGTGGCCTGATACAATGAAATGAATGTTGGATTAGGCATTTTGGGACAAGTTTTGAATCCTAACTCTATTACTAATTCCTCTTCACTAGACTGAGATTCTGGTATGTGGTATTCAATAAGTGACTTGACTTCTTTAAGCCTGGTTTCTTTTTCAGTGAGATTTACAGCTTAGACTAGTTTCTGAATCTTGACCCTGTGGACAATCTAGTTGGAGAACTGAGATGACCTGGGCATTGTAGGATGTTTAGCAACATTCCTGCCTCTGTAAACTAGACACAGCAGCACATTTACCCAACCTGCTCTGACTGTGACAACCAGAAATGTCTCCAGGCATTGCCAAATGTCAACTGAGGGCAAAATTGCCTACCCTAGCCACCTTAACTGAAAACTACAAACTTCATTGAAATAATTTCTTTATGGCTCCCAGCAGTAACACTGTGCTATTCTAGACCAGTTGGTTAAACTACTGGATGCTTCATCAGAAAGCACCCACTAAGCATCACTCACCATGAAGTTCGTTGGGTACTCTATACAATGAACAAAGGAGATATCACATAATTTTTAAAAAACTTAAAAGATTCACAGGTGAGAATTTTGTAGTAACAATTAAGTATTAACTATTAGAAAAATTTAAGAAGTTTTAACAAAATGATATAAAAATATATTCACTATAAGTAGGATGTAATTTTTGTCCTGTAAGAGTTATCCATGTATTTACGAATTGTACCTACCAGAGGTTACAAAAATTTGGTCATTATTTGAAAGATTAACAGGGACTTATTTCCAATCATAGATGTTCACTATACTATTCTAAGACATTTGCAACTGTGTAAGGCAGTCATTTCCAGTAAGAATTGCTAGAACAAACATTAAGCATTTCACAGTGAAAAGGGTCATAGGTATATTTTCATCCTTTGCATATAGAAGAAATAGCAATCTATTATTCTCAGTTTTTGACTTAAAAGGTATTGTTGCTTCCCTTTCTTTCCCTCCCCTACTCAAGTTTTTGCCCATGGATCCAGATACCTACAAGGGCCTAATACAGGGAAAGTGCACTGTGTATGAGCTATGAAGGCACAATGGAAGCTTGCCTGGCAATCAGTGCCAGAACAGACAGCTAGTCTGATGAATTCTGCTACACATCACAGGGCTACTAGTTTTTTGTTTTTTGTTTTTTTTTTTTTTGTCATACATTACTGCAAGTTCCCTGAGGAAGTTTACTGATCTGTAGTTTTACGAGAAATGCACGTCATGGAGGTGGCGTGGGGGAGCGGGTGAACAAGGAAACTTTAGTTGCTATAAAACAGGAGCTGAGAGCTCAAGCAGGTTGGTTATGTTCTGCCAGATGGAGATAAAACTGTGGCAGCCACATCCTGTGACTAGAAATTGTTTAAGTAGGCAGACCTGTTGGAGGACTAAAGAACATTAGGCAAGGAGATTAAATTAGTGTAGGAAAAAAAATCAGTTTTGTTTAAAACGAAATATCTACTTGTGTTAATAGAACATTCTAACTCCACCATAGGATGGAATCAAGAGGTTTTTTTTTTAATACATATAGTGTATATATATAAATATATATATACACACACACACACTGTATGTATTCCTATGTAGATTAAATATTTTGATTTACCTCTTTCTAGTAAAGCAAAGTTCATTCTGAAATCCAAAATATTCACTTACTAGAGCAGAAAAAAATTAGCTGTGCATTTATGCTGATCACAGTGTAGATAATTAATCTTTAAGAAAGTAGGTTTTTATGTTTATAGTTGATAAAGTGTTAGTGGCAAGAACTTTTTCTGTTATTGAATATTATCATCAGATTACTCGTGCTTTCCATTTTATTCCTTTAAAAAAATCCAACTTTTGTAAGCCACCACTATTTTCTGAAGATTTTATTTCTCTCTAAGCTAAGAAAGGATGTCAAGAATAAACCATTTTCTCCTTTTAAATAAAAATGCATTCACTATAGATATTCATTTGAAATCTCAAACATACCTGAATTAAGTATACTCAGTTTTGTGAGTGAAAATTAATTATTATTTAAAACAAAACAAAACAAAAAAAATGTTCAGTGTTTTCATTTTACTTCTCTTGCTGCTTTTGGGCTCTGACTGGGCCCGGAAGCAGAAGTTGCAAAACATTATGAGAAAACTTTTGCTCTTTTCTTTTTTTTCTTCAATCTCCACCCATATGGAAATACCAGAAATCTGAAACCCCATTCTTGCTAAATATTCTTCTCAGGATTGTATCTCTACTGCAGGTCTTCTATGACGTTTTACAGCTGGCCTCTTTCCATTCAGAATTGCTGTTCATCTTTGAATGTCTCTGCTTTACTCCTGAATGAACACAAACACATTTTTTTTAGGTTTCTTGTTGACATTGGCTTTCTTTATAGCCCATAAAAAATGCATTTGTGGCATCTCTTCCACAGACAAAAATAGTATAATTATGATTCAATACTCGATGAATGTGTGTTAAACTAAACTGTGCCCAAGCTCTGTGCAACAGTACAGGTTTTTCACCTTTCCAGGGGAGAGATGTGGAGCACATATACATTTCAGCCATCCTACATGCCCACAGGGACATCTTTCTGGTCTGTCTCATTGGAATACCCTTCCTTATTTGGTTTTTAGTTTCTTTCTGCTTTAAGCACCTTTCAGAGAGAGAGAGATGTTTTCCTTTGTCTTTGTATAGGCAGTGCCTATCGTTACAGAGTAGCCTTTAAATACATATTTGTTGAATTAATAATGATACACATGAACTGATGAGGCTCTATAATTCTATGAGATAATCTGGTATCGTGGGAATATTTTAGCATGTTTTGTATAGATAGACTGACACTATGACTGGTAATCTGATAGTAAAAATGGCAAAATATTGAGCCTGAGTATTATTTTATTATGTTGCTTTCTTATACAAGGAGGGAATAAAATAAAGTGATGTGGACTGTAATTGTGCTCATGAAAGACACAATGTATACATACCTCCTTGAGACGGAATGATAAGGATAACGTAGAATGTTTACCATGATTTATCAGTCTCTCCTATATAAGAAAAATATTTCTTGTCCTGAAGTGGTAACTTTGGTGAAGTCTTTTGCTTGCTCTTTTACAGACTAATTAACAAGTTTTCTATGCCGGCTCTGTCCTTTCCTCTCCTCTCACCCCTGAAAAGTGGTTAAAAGTTTGGCATTTGTTACCCAGAATACTAAATGTAACACATATGTGGCAAGATTTGATGGAATTGCACTTCTGTTCTTATTATGTTCCTTTCTGGAAAATTATGACAATTTGTGTCCCCTTAGAGAGTGTAGCACAGTTTTCTGGTTGCTCCTCATGATAATCCAAAAAAAAAAATCCAGCTAACCCTTACCTTTTAGAGTAAGAATCTTTAGAAGAAAGAGTGCTTTCATCAAATCATTTGAGAACGTTAAGTTGAATAACTGATACGGTACTACCCTACAGACATGCGCAGGAAGTATCTGCATTTCTGTGGCGTTCTGCTAAGGAAAAGAATTTTCTTTCCAGACAAGATTTTTCAAAATCATATTTTAAAAATATCTTAATGATGAATTTGAAGTTGAGAACCAACTTATTTCAAGTAAAATTAAAATTTTGAGAGATAAGAGAATATACTTTTTTTAAGGTTAGAACTCAGAGGCCATTATGACAATTAATGGGCTAGTGGAGACACCTGGTCTCTAAGAAGGAGACACCAGCTTCTTCATGTTTTGATTTCTGCCTTGTTCTCTTGTCTGTCACCACTAGACACATACTATTTTATAGTAATTACTTGCATATTTTGTAGAAAAGGCAGCTGTGTTTTCTACAAATATTTCACAAATGTTAGTATTGCTCTATGCCAAGGAACAGAAGACAAATTTGTGGAAAAGATACATGTGGCCCCTCCCCAGGTGGGATTTCTTGTGTAGGCCCCATGCAGTGGAGGGACAGAGGGGGCCAGTGCTCATTTTGAGGACACGATAGTTCGGACTGTCTGAGGAAATCGACAGTGTGTGTTTAATGACCAAACCAACATGGCTTTGAAGAATACATATATATTTTTTTTTTTGCTTTTTTTTTTTCATTGCCCAGGCTGGAGTTCAATGGCATGATCTCAGCTCACTGCAACCTACGCTTCCCAGGTTCAAAGAATTCTCCTGCCTCGGACTTCTGAGTAGCTGGGATTACAGGCATGCACCACCATGCCTTGCTAATTTTGTATTTTTAGTAGAGACAGGGATTTTCTATGTTGTTCAGGCTGGTCTCGAGCTCCCAACCTCAGGACCTCAGGTGATCTGCCCGCCTTGGCCTCCCAAAGTATTGGGATTACAGGCGTGAGCCACTGTGCCTGACCAAGAATATTTTTCTTAATTTTTCTGTAAAACTAGTTGTTTTAGTTTTCAAAGAAAGATATTTTGGTAGTTTTTCTTTAAAATGCATATCATCATACAGAAATCATTGTCCACGTATATGGACATATATATCTATATAAATAGATTATATCTATATAAATATATAGATATATTTGTCCATATATATGTCCATATATATATATATATATATATATATATATATATATATGATCTTTTTTTTGATATAGTGTCCTAGACCTGGAATTCCTGTGTTAAAAAATGAAAACATTTTCAGTCTCTTCATATATATTGACAAATGGCTTTCAGAAAAGTTGTTTCCTCTATTCTCTTCCTAACATTGTATGAGTTTCCTTTCACATACTTTTGTCAGAGTTTAATTTTATCATTTTCAAAAGTGTTACTTTTATAAAAACTGGTATTTCTTCAATTTACCATTTTGTGATTAATTTAATTTTTACTGTGTTCAGGGTTTTATCATATGCTTATTATTTACATTTCCTTTGTGAATTGTGTTCCTATGATTTGCACATTTATCTTTTGTGCAGCTGTGTTTAAATTTTGAATATAAAGTTATATGAAAGAGGAAATATGTAATTTACATAAACACACCCAAATATATGTGTGTGTGTGTGTGTGTGTGTGGTGTGTGTGTGTATTCTGTGTTGAAATAAATGGTAGAACCAGGACAACAGGTAGAGGTTATGAGGTTGTCATCTGTGACACAGTCTAGAGGAGAAACTGTGTGGGCATCTATCAACTTACCTTTTTGAAAGAATCTTAACTATTAGTTTCTGGAATATTCAGAGAAGACTTGTAAGGCCAACATGGACTCTAGTTTCCATCCTCCTGAGAAGACATTCCATTATGAAATCTAAGTAACTTTGACAGCAAACCCTTCAGTCTTATCATTTTCATTAGATAATCTACCACCAACACAATGATCCAAAAATGCATTATATTCTTGCACTGGAGTTCTTCACTTTTTGCTTCACCCCAAAACTGCCGCTCCTAACCACATGCTTAGCTGCTAACTTTCACACCAGGCTTATGAGAACAGTATTTTCAGTAAGCTCTCTTTTCAATTCCTTTCACAATGGAGCTGCAGAATCTTTGAGTTGAAAGAAGCCTTAGAGGTGACTAGGATCAATGTATATATATCCCTCTTACCACACACACTCACTGAATATTTTCTAAAAACTACATTAAGAAAAAAAGAAAAGCCTAATTTAGTGCTGAACTGCTGAAATATTTTGAAATTTGTGGTTTCAAAATCTTAACACTGTTAATTGAAACCAATGTTTCTCATGCCTTTTAGTCTCTGGACTCCTTTTTAAACATTCTTAAACATAAACCTAATTTTTAGCATAATTGTGGAATATAAAGAGGTTTTGTCTATGTGGGTTATATATATTTATTGTAAAATAAACTAGATAGAATTTTAAAATATTTAATTATTTATTAAATAATAATAAATCAATATATTAATATAAATAGCACATATTGTATGAAAAACAACCAGATATTATAAAACAAAGATTTAATAGGAATAGTGTCACTTTTTTGCATTTTTACAAATCTTTTAAATGTCTGTCTGAATAATAGATAGCTGGATTCTCATATATGCTTTAATATTCTCTATCTGTTGTAATATTATATACCATATAGTTTCTGGAAACATTAATTTTCTACTAATGAGAGAATGAGAGAGAAGAAGAAAAATAACTTCTTAGTACTGTTAGGTAAATAATAATACTCATAACACTTAATTAATATTATTTTGACCTTGAAGAATCTTTAAAAGGTTCTTGGGGACTATCTTGAGTCTCCAGAAAACACTGAGAACCACTGATACGCCAACAAGATAAAATTCTTATCCTTACCGCAGCATGGAATAGGACCATACTTTCTTCCTTATAATAATACTTCAAGTATTTGAATGTATTTATTGTATTTTCATCTATACTATTATTTTTTAGGACAAAATAGACTTCTTTAAGTTTTCCGTATTTGACACATTATCTTGCTCCCTTCCCCACTACCTACCTCCGGTTAGCCTCCTCTGAATACTCTTGGATTTCAATTTCATTTATAATGTGTGATATTCTGGACTGGACACAGCACTTCAGGGACCTGGTATCTTGAATCAACAAAGACTTGTCTTCCAAACGATGGTGATTAAGAAGCCACCATGTCCAACTGGTCAGCCAGTTTTTATATTGTACAAATCAGCAATCTCAGAGTCAACCTAACCAGATTTAGGCAAGGCACTTCCATGATGTATTGATGTATTGGCTATTTTATTAATAGTAATATCAATAAAAATAATCATTAAGATAACTGATAATATTCAGGACTTCATATGTGCTAGATGCTATGTTTAATGCATACATTTATTCACTCTTCTAATTCTTAACAACTTTATAATGTATATGTATTTCTTATTCTTATTTTATAGATAAAGAATCTGAGGCATGGAAAATGTAGGCAATTTATTTGAGATTACAGAGCTAATAAGAGGCAGAGCCAATGTTTGATCTGAACAACTTGATTCTAGGATCATTTTGGCTGGGAATTTTCTGAGAGCTGTGTGTGTGTGTGTGTGTGTGTGTGTGTGTGTGAGAGTGTGTGTGTATAAACATGAGACCATATTAGTATATACACAAATGTCAATATATATTTTAAACTGGAATGTTTTAATAGAGTGGCTTATATGATAGAAATAAGAGAAATAGAGGAGGATGGAAAGGGACAAAAAAAGGGAAAAGTAATTAGGAATATTGAAAAACCTAAAATGTAGTTCTCTCCATATTCTGGATACTCCTGCCTTTTTCTTCCACTTTCCACACATTGACCAGTATTCCTTTCTCCTTTCCTAAAATAGTTTTACAGATACTATAGATACCCTTAGCTATTTGACAGTTATGTTTCTGTTCTTTTAACATGTCTGCTTCTATAACTGTCACACTTAAATGTTTTCATAGGAATCATGAAAACTATAGTTTTTCCTCCAACGTAAGGATCTCATATCACGCTTTCATTCTGAACTAACCATTCCCTCTCTGCAGTTGATGTAACTGTGCCATGTGACCATTGTACACATGTGGGAGGGAGGAGCTGAATTACGCCTGACCCCTGGCCAGAGCAAGAGCTACTGGCCAAAGGGGAGATTGAGCATCTGTGTTGTACTTCCCACGTCTCTTCACCTAGGAAGTGCAATAGATTTCTGACGAGTCTATGATTACCCACTGATGAATAAAGACAATCTCCCTGCACAATTGCACTGCAGGCAAGACTGAACTTATGACCACCACTTCTGTGTAATTTTGAATTTCTTAGACCTGAACCCTGCTGAGTACACCTGCTTCCCTCTATTCCTTGCTGAAGTTCATTCTTTTCAGTGCGTTAATGGAGCCAAACCAAGCTGGTGGTGGTAACAATTTGAATAATAATAGTCTTTAACTTTTTATCTTTTGAAAAATAGAATTCTCAGGAGCACTTTTAGCTATAAGATTCCTTCATCCAATTAAATAAGCTTTAAGCTTCATGAAAAGTGTAAAAGGGCACAGGTGCATTTGTGGAAATAGAAGGAAGCAATCTTGAGCCTGAATACATTGAGGTACTGGCAAGCTTCTGGAAGTAGTTGAAGAAGACTTCAGTTAGAAGCTTGGTCAAATGGACAAAGCCCTGACCTGGACATTGGAGACCTGTAGCCACCTTCTGAATCCACAGCTGACCTAGTGGCCTTGATATATAATATTGATTGCAGGATAGTTTTGTGATGGTTAAGATTGCAGGCTTTAATAACTAGATTTCTTGGATTTAAATCCCAACTCTGCCACTTACTGCTTTTCTCTGGGAAGAGTGATTAACCGCTTTGTGCCTCAGTTTCCTTATCTTTAAATGAAAATAATTTGAGTGCATACCTCACAGGTACTAAAGAATAAATGATTGGAAAATAAACATTATTGAATATATGTTAGTAATTATTATTTTCATTGTTATGCTATTATTATTTTTATTATTAATGTATGACATCATGTTACCTGCCTAACAACAGAGTATTGAGACAAAAGCAAAATATTTTTTCTATATTAATAATCATAATAAACACCACTAATGTTTCCAAACTATACTTTTTTTTAACCCTACATGCCTTTAGTTCATGGAAAGAAAAGTATGTTAAAGATGCTATGGGGGTGAAGAGAATGATAAATATTATTATTTAAGACAATGTTTGCTATAATTTTTATATATCAAATAAGTTTATATGTTCTCAGAAAATTGGTCTTTGAATAATTGAGGACAGTGTGGGTTTTTATTCTGTTTCTGGAAGGCGGTGCCTGTGGCTGTGAGAAATAAGGAACAGACCATCTTCCCACATTTGAGAGGGAACTATACAAAAATGGGAAAATATTTGTTTTAAATATCTTTTGGATGTGAATTTTGTCATAATTGCAAACTGTTTTGGCAGCAAAACGAATTATTTCGGTAGCAAGAAGAGACTTAACGATGCTATGTGGGAGAAAAACTAAGTCCCTACTATCTTTCTGAGAGCACGTCTCAGAGGACATGATGTGATCCTGTAAGTTTGTAGCAATCTTATTGTGCCCCAGTGCAGACACTCCTTCCTACTTCCCTGTAGAAAACAGAACTGTTTTTTTAAAATTCTTTCTCAACTACCATTTTTAATAGTCATGTTACTTGATGACAAAATCTGATACAGTGGCCTTTAATACTATATAGTGAATGATTTTTGAAAATTTGGAAAACTCTAACCGAAATATACCAGGAACTGCTCTCCTCTTCATCTCAGATGTCTACTTCCTCTTCAGACCTGTGTGTGAAGCTCTAGAATAGGCTGTTTGGGAAGACTACAAAATCTCCTCTCCGAGGTCCCTTATAACCCTGATAGTTGCTAGATTTGAAATCAAGGATTTATTCTCCCCCTGCCCTGAGCCTCTCCCTTATGTCCACATAGGCTCTAGCATTGGAAGAAATATTTTAAGATCTCTTTCTTTTTGACTTTGTGATACTCCCATATTAAAAATGGCTTATGACAGGAAAAGGACAAATATGCTATATTTTTTCCCTTAAGGCTAATGTTCTCGGGACTACCATGAAAAATCCAGGTATCCTAATCTGGAGGGTTACCCTTTGGATCTGAATGGGATTGGAGTCAGTACAAGGGGTGGGGAGTGTTTTTAGAACATCCCGGCAGCATTTTTTTTTTTTTTTTTTTTTTTTTTTGAGACGGAGTCTCGCTCTGTCGCCCAGGCTGGAGTGCAGTGGTGCAATCGCGGCTCACTGCAAGCTCCGCCTCCCGGGTTCACGCCATTCTCCTGCCTCAGCCTCCCGAGTAGGGGGGACTACAGGCGCCCGCCGCCACGCCTGGCTAATTTTTCTTTTTTTTTTTTTGTATTCTTAGTAGAGACGGGGTTTCACCGCCCTGCTGCCTTTTAAAGCAATTTAATACATGAGTTAAATATCATATTTTAAAAATAGATTTTATTTTTTATTATAATTTTGATGAATGCATTTTTGTCAAAGTTGTCAAAGTCAAGAAGTCATTATTGAGACCCTGAGGGTAAGGCAGGAGCCAAGTGAGAACAAGCAGATGTCAAAGATGGTGAAAAACTAGAACAGCCAGGTCCCCCAGGCATATACAGAGAAGTTTTGCAATGGCAGGTCCCCGTGGTTGTCTGACCCAGACTTCCACCTTGAGGTAACTGGGGTAACTATAACGATATTTTCATCCTGATCTCTTCATGCAGTTATATGTTTCCAAGAACAGATAAACTGTGAACTTAATACAAGTGTCTCCTTTCCTTGGATTCTCACCATCTGGGTGGTAAACATGACAGAAACATTCAAGTATGTTCAATGTAGTACATGGTAACAAATGCTTTAGCACAGACTAGGGAGCATGTCTGGCAACATGTTGGCAAATAATTAAATTGGCACATTCAGGATAAAATGAGAACATGGAAAAACAGAATATGATTCTCTTTCCAGCCCTGGAAAGACATCCCAAGTGTACGTATTGTTTATATTATGTTATTAGTATATCTTTACCAGCAAAGGGCAGGTCATCATCATTCAATATGCTCAAATACTCACATTTAAAGACATAGGCACTTTGAGAGGCCAAGGGGGGAGAATCACTTGAGCCTAAGAGTTCAAGACCGGCCTGGGCAACATGGCAAATCCCATCTCTACAAAAAATACAAAAATTAGCTGGGTATAGTGCCTGTGGTCCCAGCTACTTGAGAGGCTGAGGTGAAAAGATTGTTTGAGTCGAGGAAATGGATGCTGCAGTGAGCCATGGTCACACCACTGCACTCCAGCATTCTAGCCTGGGCAACAGAGCAAGACCCTGTCTCAAAAAAAAAAAAAAAAAAAAGAGAGATGTAGGGAGCATTGTGGACATCTATTCATGGAGGGTTAAACAATAGAATTAGACAACCATGTGTATGTGTGGAATCATGTGTTTTTTCCACACATGTAGGAAGGAGAAGGTAGGAACAATGAAAAGATTCTTTTAGTGATCATAGTGGCTCCAAAACAGATGCTTTGGTATATGTAATACCCATTTATCTTATAAAGAAAATAAAGAAATAATAAAAGCATTTGCTAACCATGTTAGATGCTATAGTAAATGTAAAAATAAAGGGTCTGTTAATCTATTAACTGAGCTTAATATATGATGTGATATAACAGCAGCCTTCAAATATGCGGAGGGCTATAACAGAGATCATGATGAACAGACTTTTATTCTGGCTTAGAAAGACTAGACACAGAAATTAAAGGCATAAATTACTCTACAAGCAAAGCAATCTTAACATAACACTCCTTTCAAGGTAGACTATGAATATTTCCACCAATAATATATTTATTAAAATAGATTCCTTTTCATTTGTCTTTTTAAGTTAAACATAATCTTGCTTGAATGAGGATGAGTATAAGATACCTCAGTCATGACCTTGTAGATCACTGCATCAGCCAGCTTTGTATTCAGCTATCAAACAAAATAAAATGTGATCACTAGTGGTTCAAATACATTGGAGTTCTACAACTAAAGATCTAAAGGAATGAAATCCATGACTAGTACAAAGACATAATAATGCCCTAAGCAACTTACGATATTTTGATGTTTCTTTTCTGACACCCCATTCGATAGGCTTTTGTCTTCATGCTCAGCATCTCCTATCTCATTTGGGATGCTATGCGTCCACACCTTTCATCACATTCCAGCAAAAAGAAAGGGAAGGCAAAGTGGTAATATATTTTTCCTAGTGAGGTTTTGCCTCTTTATTCAGGGATGGAAACCTTCCCCAGAAGCTTTTGTCTACACTTATTGGCCAGAAATTTAACATATAACCATTCATTGCTGTCAGAGGTGGGAAGGAGTCCCTGAGAAAGAAATTATTCTTGTTTTCCAGCCTCTATTGTAGCATTTAACAAGGAAGAATGGGATTATGAATAGCTTTGGAATGTTTATCATGTCTTCTAGTTGCCATAGCTCATAGTCATTTTATATGATTGAATCTATATTAGGCCTTTTATCTGACAAGTTTCCCAATGTACAAAGACTGAAAAAAAATAATTTTCCTCAGATGGGAATAAAGAATGTCAACTGGTCTGGCCAAGTGAGTTTGGAAAGCTAAGATTTAGCCTTGGGTGCATTATTGATGGACAATAAAGGAGTAGGTGGCACTCATCCATTCATTCAGTTATTCTAGCTGTGCTATTGAATACTTGCTAACTGCAAAGCACAGAGCTAGATCCTAGTAAGAATATAGAAAAGAAAGTCACAGTCTCTGCCTTGAAAACATATTTATTTTATTTCTAGGACAAGACATCTACACATATACAAACTGTCAATTCATAACATGTCATGGAAACATAAAAGAAGGTATCAGTGAAAGTGGAGTGTTTAAGGAAATTTCCATGCAGTTGATAGAATTTTAATCCTATAATTTCAATAGGTAGTAGCTGTGTCTCAGGCATTCTAGGCAGTGCACAGCAAGAGAAAAGATTGAGATAAAGATAAAAACTGGAAAGAAGTAGGCAATCAGTCATATTTCTGCAAAGCAATGTTAGAAAATTGCATGTGTTAGCTTGTATACACAACTTAGCTTACAATGTTAGCTTGTAGCTAACTGAATACAGATGTGAGAGTTAAAATATACTCTCCTAACAGTAGAATAATGATTGTTAGAGTGGCAGGGATGA
This sequence comes from Homo sapiens, assembly GCF_000001405.40. Taxonomy (NCBI): domain Eukaryota; kingdom Metazoa; phylum Chordata; class Mammalia; order Primates; family Hominidae; genus Homo; species Homo sapiens. The sequence goes on from NC_000001.11 coordinate 198,668,093, forward strand.
TCTTATAGAAATAAACATTGGACAACCAGCAAAAACAGTGAAAGCCAGCCATATGGCTATCTGGAGGAAGAGCATTCCAGCTACTCAAATCCAAAGTGGTATCATGGTGTGATGTCTTTTTTTTTATTTTTGTTTTAGAGACAGGGTCTCACTATATTCCCCAGGCTGGTTTCAAACTCCTGAGCTCCTGTGATTCTCCTGCCTCAGCCTCCTGAGTATAGTCACATGCCACCATGCCCAGCTAAGTTATATATAAACATAAGCACAGAGTAACATGGTAGCAAAAAATAATGTCACCCAAATTAGGGTTTTGAAGACAATACAGGAGTTAGATAGATAAAGAAGAGAGGGAAGGGCATAACACAAAGGAACAGGAAGTATTAAAATGTGCGTGTTATGGACTTGCATACAAATTGAGTGCTTTAATTTTGCCAAGCATCTTTCATAACACTATAAGGAATTAACAGTATGAGATAGCATAAGTAAGGGGGCCTGAGAACTTACATAAACACCCTTGGTACATGGAAAGTAAATATAAAATGGTGCTGATAATTCTAATTACATAGTTTATAGAAAAGATACATGACCAAGCTTGAAGCAAGAATGATTGATAAGGAATTAGGTAGGTTCTGTATAAGGAAAGGTGATTTCAGATCCCAAAAGGGCATGGCTGAATGTTTAGCCTTTCAGAGTTGGGGAATCCATTTCTTCCTGTGGAAGGATTAGTCTTTAGGTGAATAGATATGTATCGAAGGGAAATTAAGAGAGCATAAGAAAACCCCACTTTACCTGCCATCTATCCATGGAAGCAGCAATAAGACCACCTGAGAGCTATGGTACAATTAAATTGAAGATATTTGAACACATAAAGTAGGTGTAATGTAACATATAGGCTCAAACATTTGAAAGTGATGATATTTGGTCATTGCTGGCCTACAAAAGAAATGATTTTATGTGATTCAGTCTAATGGTAATAGTTACAAAGGATTGACTTCTTCGCAAATAAAATGGTTGAAATAGTACCCAAAACTAGCAGATTGGGCAAAAATTACAAAGAAATATCTAAGTGGTTGCATAGTAACCACAAAAATGAACACACTTATTTTCAGAGTTCAAACCGTGGTAGATTTGAGAGTATGTTTGGAAATGACTAATGCTTAGTGTTGTTTACCCTGTCACCACATTCCTGCATAAGGCTCTTTATCTCTGACTGGTCATGCTCACATCTGTTTTCTGCCAGCCTTTTCTGGTGCCCGCAGGCACCCACCTGCACCCAATGTCCTCCTTTTATGCTTTCTGGCCTCCTTTCATGTACTGTGTGGTCCACCATACTACCTAATCTGCTATATACTCACAAAACTATTTACTTCTTTTGAAAAAAATGTATTATTAGATTTAAATATATGTATTTATATTTCCCTTCACTTTTTAAAGTTTTCACTTTATTTTTATACTATGTTTTAAGCTTCCCTAATATCCCACTGCTGAATCCCACCGACATGGAATCCACGGCATGGTGAATCCCTGACTTACCCATTCCTACTAGAAGTAGAGCCAGAATCTAATCCAGACCTCCTGCCAGCCACTCCCAGACCCCTTCTTTCCCCCAAAGAAAATGAAGAACATATTTTTTGTGCAAAGAGATACAATCAGGAAATTTTTTTAAAATCAGCTTTTATTTTAACTGAATAGCTTACTTAGTCCTGGGGCTGTAAAGTCAACTGAATGATGGAGTCATTTTTTTCAAAATGCGACATCTTCTTACCCACTTCTCTTATTACTCTCATCATTATGAAAATCACATTTGTGAAAGGAAATGAATTTATATCAGGTTTTCTTTGGCATCACCCAAAGGACCTTAGTAAAGAAAATTAATACTAATTTTATTTTCTATTGTGAGCACCTTAATACGGAACTGTAAGAATAATTACTATTTTTAATGCCAAATGAAGCATGTAAGTATTACTAGCTTCTTTTTTGTATTAACTTCTATACTTATCTCAGGAGTTTTTATAGTGATATAGACATTTTGTGAAATAGATCATGAGTGAAACATAGACCTGGTATAGCTTGACTGGGGCCTACTTTACAGATTTGTCCTTAAGTACTGAATATAAATGTTTCTGCTTCTTATTTTCCTTAGCATTTTTAAAGAAAGTCCTGGAAGCCAAAAATCTCCATGATGAAATATTTATAATTATTAATCACTGTTATATGACCTTATTATGTATGAAAACTATATTCAACATCCTAAATATGAAATGTGATTAGTTCTGATTTTAAAGATTTGTGATAAAACAAGACACCATTGATGAAATACATAGAAAAAGGAAGACAAAATAGCTTGGGACACATTAATAACTTACACAAAAAATTTTAAAAATTAAATCTTCTAATAGATTTGATATATAATATACCCCAGAAATATTTACATTATATTTTCAAAGTCTAGAGCATTTCTTCCATAGACTCCAAAACTATTTGTATATATTATCATCGAAACACAATTTTGAGAGAAGTTGGAATGGCAGTGCAGTTAGCAGATAAAAAAAATACCCACTTTTCTTTACAAGTCTCTATCTAATTCATACTCCCTATTGCTCTTTCCTGCTTCACAAACTTCTTAAAAGATTTTTTCATGTGGTGTGAATATTTAAAATCTGTCTTAGCAATTTTCAAATATACAATATAGCTGGCCATCTGTATTTGTGGGTTTTGCATCCTCTGATTCAGCCAACCATGGATTGAAAATATTAGGAAAAAATGACGAAATACAACAATACATCATAAAAATAATACAACTTAAAAGACAATACAGTATAACAACTATTTACATAGCATTTATTTTGCATTAAGTATTATAAGTAATCTAAAGATGATTTAAGGTATATGGGAAAATATACTTAGGTGATGTACAAAAACTTTAATCATTTCATAGTGTATACATATATCAAAATGTCACATTGTACCTTATAAATACTCATAATCATTTGTCAATTAAAAATAATTTAAATTTTTTGAAATGTAAAAAAAAAAAATTTTTCTAGCCTCCCAGTCTACACTCTCACTTTTCACTAACCCATTTACTGCTTTCTTGCTTGTTCTCCCAGCACACCACAAAAACAACTTCCATGCATACACCAGTATCACCCCCCTCACCCCCCTGTTTCCAATAAATTAAACCCAATGGACCAAGCTAAAGCATTTATTATACTTCACCTCTCAGAGGCATTTAACGCTATTGACAACTTCCTTCTTTTCAAAACCCTGTCCTCCCCTAATTTTCATGAAACATGAAACTACCTTCTAGTTCTCTTATTTATCTCAGCCATCTGGCTCCTCTTTCTCTATTCCCTTGTTACCTATTGGTGTTGGTATGTATTCCATTCTAGAACTTTGTCTCCTCTACTGTGATGCTATCATTTAGGGTGAAATCAACTACTCCCATTGCTTAATTTGTCTTTTATAAATTTGTGACTTCTACATCTATAGCTCCAGTTCTGCTGTCTTTTTTGTATTAAAGACCAATTTCTCCAACTATGCACTAGACACTTCCAACTAGTATCCCACTGGTATCTCAAATTCAACATTATTGAACTCAAAAACTTCTTTTGTTAACTTGCCTTGCTGTCATATTTCCTGTATTGGTGAATTATATCAGCTTCCATAGACTTGCCTGAGCCAATATAACCTAGGACATATTCTCCTTTTCCCTTAACTCAGCATTGACTGACAAAGAACATGCTAGGAAGTCTGTATTCTTCATGTCTTAAAATATTCACCTCTGCTTCCATTGCCACAGCTTTGATTTGGGCCACTCACATTTCTGCAGTAGTCTCTGAGATTGTTATCATCCATATCTCTGCATTTTTCTTGCTAATGAGACCTTCATTAAAATTATTTTGTAAGTATTTAATTATTTAGCAGTTCATGCCTTTCCATATGACTTAAAATTCCATTGGGTTTTGCTTTTTTCCTGTAACCTAAAGTTACATCTGGGTTGGTCAAAGTGAAGCATAGTAACTACATTCCCTTTGATAGTGCTGCAATTAAGACCAATGAAATGTGAAGGAGTTTTAGGGAAGCTTTTTCCTCAGTCTTAAAAAGAGACAAAAGGAAACAATACCCCTCTCCTGTCTCTGGTTCATATTTGATGAGAATGTGGCACCTAGTCTTTTTGAGACCAGTGGGGTAGTTAGGCCCACACCCTGTGGATGTCAGAGCAAAAATATGGAAGGAATCTGGGTCCTGATACCATCATCAAACCATTGAGCTAATTCCGTTTTGTAAGATAATAAATTCCTTACTGTTTACTCTGTTCGAGTTCCTTTTTTTTCTGTTAGTTGTAGCTGAAACCATTTTAACTGTTGTTTTTTGTTTGGTTTGGTTTTGTTTAATACGGAGTCTTGCTCTGTTGCCCAGGCTGGAGTGCAGAGGCGCCATCTGGGCTCCCTGCAACCTCCACCTCCAGGGTTCAAGCGACTCTCCTGTCTCAGTCTCCCAAGTAGCTGGGATTACAGGTGCACGCCACCATGCCCAGCTATTTTTTTTTTTTTTGTATTTTTTTGCATTTTTAGTAGAGATGGGGTTTCACCATGTTGGCCAGGCTAGTCTAGAATTCCTGATCTCTGGTGATCTACCAATCTTGGCTACCCAAAGTGCTGGGATTACAACCCACTGTGCCCAGCACCATTTTAACTGTATTCTAAAAGCATTTTACAGCCTGCTAATACATAACCTCATCTCCAACCTTGCTTCCTAAGTTCCACTCTGTGTTCCACAAATGGGATTAATCACCTACTGAAAGCTCTATAATAATTCCTGTCACCTGAGGATATTGTTAAAACTTCTCAGTTTGTAGAAGAGGGCCTTCATTATCAGCATCACATTTATTTTCCAGAAAGATATCTAGCACCCCTCTACCTTACATCTTGCTTTTCAGCCAGGAAGAACAACTTTTTCTTTCTGAAATGTACTAGAATCTCAGTGTTGGGCCACATTGCTTTTTTTTTTCTAAAAGACTAATCGTCTTCCTTTCCCACCTAACTCAAACATATCCCTCTTAACTTAGACATTACTTATTTTGGGGAAGTCTTCCATGATTACCCTAAGAATAGGGTAGGCATTCTTTCTCTCTGCTTCCATAGAAAGTAGGAAACTATTGCACTTACTCATTGTAATGTGGCTATATTTTGATCAAAATAATTAAAAAATACTGTGTGGATTCAAATTTTTCTCAGCTACTCACAAGCTGAATGATCTCACACAAGTTATTTATTGCACCTTATTGTGCTTTCTTTTTCTCTGAAATAGAGGTAATAATTATACATACTTCATATTATTACAATGATTCAGGAAGCTAATGTATATGGTATACTTACATATATATATGACCTAGTATAACGCATGATACATAATAAGTGCTGTGTACATGCTCAGTCAAATAATGGTCATTTGAAAACATTTATTGAGTAAATGAAGAGGAAAGTGTTTATTTTCAATACATTCAAAGATATTGTTTTGGTTATTTCCATTACAGAGGCATAATCAGTTTACTATTCAGAAAAATGCAAGAGTACATTTTTACTGCTCCTCCAGTGATACTATGGAAAACAATGTTTTAGAAAAATAAAGAAGGTGTGAATAATGATTAAAGAATCATACACTCTCAAAGTGAAACAATTTCCCAAGAAATGCGGTAGAATAAGCCTTTTGGTTTCTGATTTTTTTTCTTAACTTTGCTTGTATGTTGTAGAAAGCTAATCTAAATTTAAGAAATTGAAATTTTGAAGTATTAATAATGTACTTCTCTCCCAAAATTGTTTTAATGTAATGATTTTTGCCATATGGATGAATTATATATGCATCTAGAGGCTAAAAACCATAAAAACAAGCTTCTTCTTAGTAGACTTTTGTTGTTTATTTTGTACAGCATAAAGCAGCAGTCAAAAAGTTTTCCAAACAAATTATCTTATGTATTTTGACTAAACCCAGATTTATCTTCTTAAAATGAAGACCTTTGTTGTAGTTGCATTTGTTCCTCATATGCAGTAGAATGACCCAGCCTCTTTGGCTTAGAGGTAGTGCCTCCTTTTTACGACACTTGGAGCGGCATCTGATGCTCATCACTTCAGTTGGATAAGGAATGCTGTCCAGTCACAGAGACTCATGAGATCATGTCCAATGAAGGCATTTAACAATAAATTCACAACTAGTGAGTGAGAATTTTATAAAGCAGTTTCAAGTATTAAGTAGATAGGTAGGTAAGCTTTATTATATTTTTTAAATGTGAAATTTTACAATTGTGAAAATTTACAATTTTACAATTTTACAATGTCAGGATGGATAACATTGCCTTTTTAGTAATGGTAGCCTTCACTATCTGCATTATGACTGTACAATAATAACATATAATAATATATATAGCATATATATTTTATATATATAACATAATATATAACATATATAATAACATATAATTATAACATAATAACTGGGGCTATGATTGCAAACATTTATAAGATGTGGTATGAAAATGTCCCAATCACAAAAACACTCAATTTAAAAATGAAAGAAAATGAATCTATGCTATGCTTTGCTTCATCTTTCTCTGAACTAGTTACAAACAAACCTTTTAAAAATAAGCTTTCAATTTGGGAATAATTTTAGATTTACAGAAAAGTTGCAAAGATAGTAAGGAAAGTCCCCATTTGCTCTTCATTTGGCTTCCTCTAATATTAACATTTGCCAAGGTTACATTTGTTAAAACTAAGAAGTAACCATGGGTACAATGCTATTAACCAAATTACAGCTTTCATTTGAATTTTGCCCATTTTTCCAATATTGTTCTTTTCCTGCTACAGCATCCAATCTAGGACCTCATGTTGCATTTATTTCTTATGCATCTTTAGTCCCCTAGGATTTGTGACGGTTTTCTGTCTTTTTTCTTTTGAAGACTGTTCATTGCCTCTGTTAGTTTAATGATCCTCTGAGATGTTATTCACAGTAAAATAGCATGTGAATTTCACCTAACTAAAAAGTTTATTTGATCCAAAGCCCTGATTTTAAGAATTTGAAAGAAAAAAATGACTCTATTTTTCCCAGTTCTAAACATTTTACTAGAATAATAATTGTATTCTTTCAACATGGAATTAATGTTGATGAGAAGCAAACATCTAAATTTAAAAGAAAATATAGTTTGTTGAGGGAGGTAATAGACAATAAAATGTATTTATTATAGAAAAAATTCCCAAAACTTTCTCATTAAATGTGCTTTATCTTTACTTCATTACTAATATTTAGCTTTTATTCTTTTAAAAAGCATATGCCAATGATAATATCTCATTAATAATAAGAATCCATCTAATTTTAGCTTGATCTTCCCCCTGACTAGGTTTGATTGGATTAAATCATCATAAAGAGACAAAATAATGCAAAAAGTGATAAATCTATAAGCCTCCCCTAAGGTTTCCCATAGAATGATCAACCCAAATGTGCTCTTTATTTTATGCCATGAAATGACATACTGTGTCAAGAACTGAATTTCATCATACATGAGACGTAAGACTATTTTTATATCTCTGTAAATTGGGTATGAATTATAAAAGTATGCTGGTAAACTGATCACTTGAGAACATAAAGTCAACTTTCCCTGGAAGAGTTTCTCATTATAAAAGAAAGGCAAGCATCTTCTTCCTAATATCTAGCTTTATCAGGTCAGGGGCTATATTCTCGGAAGGGATAAGTAATTTCTGTTGTATCTACTAATTTCATTTAAAAAGATAACTAGAGAATATTGGAAGCATTATTGTAGAACTGTGTCAAAGACCGAAATATCATTCCTACCTTAGACTGTACCTCAAGATCGAAGCTCTGGATGCTATCTGGAATTAAAATGTTTGCATTAAGTTTAAAACTCAGTAAAATAAATGTTTGAAATGAAAACCAGACCAATAATGAATAATTTTACTTAGACCTACTCTCCAAATGTGCTAAAAGACTTGTAAAAGTTGTTGTTGTTTTAATAACTAAGTCAAGCCAGTTTTATTTAATTCAATACATGGAGTATTAATGCGCTGTATGAATGCCGAAGGTAGTATTGGACGCCACAATCTTTAGGAACCATGCTTCTGAGTTTTAAAATGGTGACTAGTTTAGCATAGATTCAACATAAGCATTAGGTGTTCTTTTGACATTTGGGAATCAGCCAATCAACAGGAGGAATAGTAAATTGAATACGAACTTGAAAGAGACCATGTCTTTTTTTCATCCAACTGTGAAAAACTTTCTTTGTACAATTGTTAAACTTAAGAAACAGATGGTAGATCTGTATCAGTCAGTGAGGGGTTTCTGAAGTACTTTTCTGGATGAATGCCAAGAAAATGGGTTTCTGAGACTTGCATGGCTCTGGATTTGTTCTGAGCTGTTTAGTGAAGTGAGGGCTGGCATTCAGAACCCAGGGGAGGGGGAGTAGTCATTCCCATTGCCTTGCATAGAGATAGAATCACAGGTGACAGGTCATTGGAAAATCACTTCTTGAGAGTGGGTATCTTTATTTTGAGTTGGTATCTTTTTGAGAGTTGGCCACTCATAAGCCTTGCTTTTGATAACATTTCTTTAAATTCCTCCAAGGAACAAGGGGAAGTGCAAAAGGAATACGATAAAGTGCAGCATTGAATGAGATAAGCATATTCAACTTAAGGGGCACACTAAATACTGTAATCTGGGAGCATAACTCAGATTTCTTTTCTTCTTTGCTCAGTATAAGTTGCATGATCATAGAAGATTTATGTAGAAGTCAGAAATCAAGGTCAAGAGGGTAGGCATATTTAGATTCTTACCCTATTCATAATTAACAATAAAATAAGATTTTGTGTCCTGATTCAGAGAATGGATGGCTCAGTCCTTATAACCTCTTAAATTAGTTTTATCTATAACTGGATTTCTGAATCTCTTTTGAAAATTACTACCATTGATGGTCACTGAGTGAAAAAAGCAGAAGGATAGACTGGTGTTAACTGTAATGAACATTTATCCAACATTACCCGTGGGCCTGCTATCCATTTTAAATTCTAAAAGCACTTTACAGCTTGCTAATACATAGCCTCATCTCCAACCTTGCATTCCTAAGTTCCACTCTGCATTCCACAAATGGGATTAATCACCTACTGAAAGCTCTATAATAATTCCTGTCACCTGGGGATAATGTTAAAACTTCTCAGTTTGTGAGAGAGGGCCTTCATTATCAGTGTCACATTTATTTTCCAGAAAGATTTCTAGCACCCCTCTACCTTACATCTTGCTTTTCAGCCAGGAAGAACAACTTTTACTTTCTGAAATGTACTAGATTCTCAATGTTGGGCCACATTGCTATTTTTTTTTTTTCTAAAAGACTCATCATCTTCCTTTCCTACCTAACTCAAACATATCCCTCTTAACTTAGACATTACTTATTTTGGGGGAGTCTTCCATGATTACCCTAAGAATAGGGTAAGCATTCTTCCTCCCTGCTTCCATAGAAAGTAGGAAACTATTGCACTTACACATTGTAATGTGGCTATAGTATGATCAAAATAATTAAATCTAAACAATACTGTGTGGATTCAAATTTTTCTCAGCTACTCACAAGCTGCTATCCATTTTACCAAGCCTCCTGCATGTATTACTATGTCTAATCCTCATATCAACTCATATATAAACTAGATTTTATGATTATGGCTCTAAAAACAAGGAGACTAAACCTCGGAAATATCATTTAACCTGTACAAGACCTTACTTGGCTGAGCTAGGATTCAAAACTAGGTCATTCCGAGGAGAATATAAAGTCCAGCTTTTTTTTTTCCACACAGGGATGTATATTTCCAGGTACAGTTTTACATTTTGTTCTTTATTGTATGAACATAAATATAGATACATATGAAAATTCGAAAGCACATGAAAGTGCCAAGAGGAAATGCAATACCATCTTATGAAATGAGAAATTACACATATCTTACAGTGAGTTTCAAAATTATATTGCTCAAAGTATTTTTACTGTGGAACCATAGGCACAAACTATAGCAAGAGTAAATCCAAAAATGTTTATTGTTCTTCTATAAACTAACTACTGTGTAGGATACAAGGGATGCTGATTTCACCAGTGCCTTTAAGAAGGACAAATCAAATTAAAAAGTCAAAATGACTGAAGGTGATAATCCAGATGGTGGTAACAATAATGACTACCATTTATAGAACTTTTTGATGTTGTTCACTCAACGTTTCTATTTTTATTCAATTATAAGCAAACAGCAGAATTAACCCAACATTCAGCAACTCCAGATCAGCTTTTCTTACCCCCATGAAGAGCTATCAATTTAACAACCACAGTTGTAAGGATTCTTAATAAGCTGTCAATGAGCACTGCTGCCGGTCTAGATGGCCATGCCCCAACAAAAGCAAAGCCACTCTCCCTAATGCTTTTTCCAGGATTGCTTTTTAAAGGCACCAGAGCGAGATACTGACGCCTATTAAGGCATCTGAGATGCACCGTGTTGGGGTTTAGCCTCCATGCCAGCCAGCCTCTGGTTGTCTAGGTGAGCGACAGCACCATAAAAACACGCTGCGTACAATTCTGGTATTAGGATCACAAAGGCAGAGAGGTGACAAATCCTTTTTCTTTTTCTTTTTTTTTTTGTAACCTCCCTTAAAGATTCTTTGATGCTTTGCTCTATTACTGTGGGCCTGGTCTTTTTTTCCCCCCCAGTTTTTTCTTCTTTAAACTCTGGATTGCTATTTTCATATTAATTTGATGACCCCATCACAGTACCAGAATATTCCTGAAAATAGAGTTCCAATTTGATCAAAACATAAACCAGAGTGAGTGAGTGAGTGACTAGAATTATAAAGGCCAGGCAGCAGGAAAAGTTACCCTAAACCATCTGACTGCTCAGGTCTTGCATGTGCAAAGGGGAGCCGGAAGAGGAGAAATCTATTATACATGCAACACTGAACTGGAGAACACGGCTTGGGGCCTCTGGGACAGTTCAGGTCCCTGAGCTGCCCCCTACTTCCCAGACAGCTGCTCCTGCAGTTTGGGCACATAGTCGTCCCACTCAGCCTGGTAACGCTTTCTGGCCACTGGGGCCACGAGCACGAGCTCGTACTTTTTTTTTTTTTTTTTTGAGACGGAGTCTCGCCTTGTCGCCAGGCTGGAGTGCAGTGGCCTGATCTCGCCTCACTGCAACCTCTGCCTCCCGGGTTCAAGCAATTCTCCTGCTTCAGCCTCCCGAGTAGCTGGGACTAAAGCCGTGCCACCACGCCCAGCTATTTTTTTTTTTTTTTTTTTTGTATTTTTGTATTTTTAGTAGAGACGGGGTTTTACCATGTTGGCCAGCATGGTCTTGATTTCCTGACCTCGTGATCCACCCGCCCCCGTGATCCACCCGCCCCAGCCTCCCAAAGTGCTGGGATTACAGGAGTGAGCCACCTTGCCCGGCCAAGCTCGAACTTTTGACAGAAGGATGCCATTTTGAATTTGCCACTGTGGCCTCCAGATCCATTGCTGAGGATGGGCTCGTCACACTTCAGCAGCCTGTCCTGTTTGTAAACCAGCCAGACATAGCGGTGGAGATCTGTGCCCTCCGGAGGCCCGAGCCCACGTAATGGAGATGACTGGGCCACTGCTAACGTCATTACCCTTCATGTTGACCACCAGGAAATGACGCCATTCAGTGTATTGGGGCTTCTTCCTGCCGGGAGCGTCCGGGTCTGTTAGGACCAAGGTGTAGAGTTTCCTTGACTCAAGATCATCCCATGAAATGCTGGTGGGTCTGTTAACCTAGGTGGGCGTCAGCACTTTGCCCAGCTCGTCCACCGTCGCCCTGGCGTAGGCGACATGCAGCGAGTGCTGCGGCTGCCCGTCCACTTCCTGCAGGCTCAAGGGCCTGGACCGCTTGCTGAGGTCCCTGGCATGGCTGTGCAAGAACGCAGCGCGCAGCTGGGAGTGCCACTAGGCAAGGCGCAGGCGCAGCGGCGACTCGGCAGCCTCTGAAAACTAGCCAGGGAAGCCGGGGCTCATTTATAGGATTTTAAAAATATTATTAAAGGCTTCACAAACTGTCTTGTTTAATAGCCACAACATTGGGAGGCCGAGGCAGGCGGATTACCTAAGGACGGAGTTCGAGACCAGCCTGGACAACATGGTGAAGCCCCGTCTCTACTGAAAATACAAATATTAGCCGGGTGTAGTGGCGCATGTTTGTAATCCCATATACTCAGGAGGCTGAGGCAGGAGAACCGCGTGAACCCGGCAGGCGGAGGTTGCAGTGAGCTGAGATAGTGCCACGGCACTCCAGCCTGGGCCACAGAGCAAAACTCTCTCAGAAAAAAAAAAAAAAATAGATACAACAATCTCCTTTTAACTGAAGAGGAATGATGTAAAGTTATATAAAGTTCAGAGGAATTGATGTAAAGTGAATCGTAAAGACTTTGGAATCTCCTACTAAAATATTTTAACAGGAAAGAGACACATCAGTGCATTTTACAAGCAGATCAATGTGGCGGTATCTAGCATGCATGGGGAAGGGATGGAGGAAGTTGTCAGTTTAGAAACTGAGTATAAACATTATTGAAATAGGACATGATAAGTACCTGGACCAGGGTAAAGGCAATGGAAAGGAAAAGGAAGCCACAGACCACAGATAGGAGGAATTCAAGGACTGTGTACCGAAATTCAGGAGAATGATGTGAAATAGATGCTCTGAATCCTCTATTCCCAGGAGGCAGCATTATGGAGTTAGGAGAAAATGCAGGAGCTTTGGATTCTAGTAGACCTGGGATTGAGTTTTTACACTGTTACTCTATATTCGAAGCAATATATTTAAACCAGCTGTGTCTTCCTTTTGTCCTTTATAAAACAAGAATAATAATGCTTATCACATAGAGATATTATGAGGATTGTATAAGACAATGTATCAAATAGTAGGTATTCGGTAAATGTTCCTTCTTTACTAAAGATAGAGAAACCATTTTCTGATGTACAAAGGGATGAAGAGCTGGCCCAATATGAATTTTCCCAAAGAAGTTAAATGAAAAGGATCTCATGATCCTTTTCAGGATTTATTATTTACGAATGTTAATATATTATTTTAATATTTTCTATCTTATGAAATAATTATTTGGTCAAAACATAAGACAATTGATAGGAATATACAGCATGGAAAATGGTTACCAACTAGAGCTGCAGGGTATCAGGGAATGTGACAAGGCAGCAAAATGTTTCTACACATGTCTGTTTTTTCAGGCATTATCTTTCTTGAGACTATCAAGTGTGTATTTAAGGAGCCATTCAACTTACTTCAGTGCATTTGCTTGCAAAGGGTGCAATGTGATGTTTCCTACTGGTAGGGTCGTATTTCATATGTGGTGATAGTGTTGCTGAACAAATAGGAAATATCCTTGCCTAGACTATATTTTATCATTTCATTATCTAGTGGTAAAGGAATGTGAGTTCTATTTACAAATAAACATTTTGTCTTACTTTTTTCTTTGTGATCTATTTTCTCCAAGTTGCATAATGTAATGAATTAATAAAGCTTAGTTGCTGGCCAAATCAATGGTGACTTTTTATGTTTTTAAATATAATATTAGGTTTAACTTATTTTTGTCATTAAAATATCATTTGTGAGTGCTTTTCAAAATGAAGTGCTTCTGAAATAAATCACATAATAAAACTAACCTTACTTTTGAAATACATTTTTATTGAAGCAAACACAAATCAATCTGAAATTCAGCATTTTGTAGCAGTTAAATGTATAGTCAGGCAGCTTCAACGTCAACTAGAGAAGTTGTGGTTTTAACCCCGAGATAGGGCTGATTATGCTGGTGCTATGGCAACCTATTGCACCATTTGGTAGCGCCTGTGTGCTTAACCGCATGAGCTGCGCCTCTTCCTTTCCTATAAAGACTCAGAATAAGAAAAACAGAAGTACACCGAAGAGAAGAAACCACAAGAGCAGTAAAGACACTGCTGTTAGCTTTTAGCTGTGCAAACAGCAGTCTTATGAGAACAACACATTGAAAACCTCTTCTATTTGAAAGTGTAGCTTTTCCCATTATGCCTGGGTTCCTTTAATGATTTTGAAAGTAAGCCAAGTGTTTCTGTTCAGAGTTTTCATTAAAGGGAAATAAGAAGAAATAAGCAGTGCATTTATCAGCCTTTGCTTTTATTGTCCTCAGCTTTAGGAGTGGGAGGCTTTTGTGCAGCCTCAGCAGACATTTTATTCTGTTTGTGAGATGGGAGATTAGTTTCTATTAGGTGGACTCCCTATAATCTAGCATTTATTTTCTGCTTTTTTTTATTATATTGTAGTTAGTTCACAAAAAAAAGTACAATTTTAATTCATCTCCTGGCTCATTTAGAAAGGGTTGTGGTTGGTGCTGTAAACACGTTTCTACATAACTAGATTAAATTCACAGACACTCACTGTCCTAGCACTGTTTATTTTCTATGGGGAGCTTCATTTACCTATTCTTTCCCTCACCCCACTTCTTTTACAAGGTATAGGTTGATCAGCAAAGGCTTTTGTATGTTTTCCTTTGTTTCAAAGTACAGACATAATATAATCATAACTTTTTTTTGCATGTTCTACTATTTTTCCTTCCTTAAAGATTTGGGTAAAAATACTGAAGGACAGACAAGTTCATGCTACCATTTTTGTTAGGCATAGGCCTGTTCACTTTTCTTCCCATTTTTCTGAAAAATAAGAATCTACCCCTTTTGTAGTCATTGTCCAGCAATTTACACTTTTTAACAATAAGTTTTAATGTGTGGTACTCTGAATCCCATTTTGATGGTTATACATAATATTTACTCATTTTTGAGTCCCTAATAGCTCTTTAGCACAAATACTGGATTTAGCATTAAATATTTTTTCCTTACAGTGCAATGCAGTTGAACAAGCATGGGGGTTTTTACAGTCAGACAGATCTGCATTTAAATCTAGACTCATTTTGCTACAAGTTCTTTATTTAGCCTTGCATACACGTTTTTATGATTTTGAGCTTTCATCTGTGAAAAGAAGAGAATACCATCTACTTTGTAGGATTTCTATAATGATTAGATAAAATAATATGTAACAGTATTTAGGACAGTGCCATTCACATAGTACCCGCTTATTAAATAGTAAACACTGTTGATAGCACCAAATACACTAATAAAAGATTTCACCACTTATGCAAACATCTTTTGATGATTCTTTGTTCTTTAATGATGATCGTAACCTATCCTAGAGGAAGCAAAGAGCTACAAAAACATACACTTACTAAGGGATTAATATAATTAAATGGTTTTTGCTATCTGAAGTATATTGCATAAATCAGGTATATATCCCTGGATTTAGGTAAATGAAAACAGACATTTTCATAAGAAGCAAAAAGATAATTAATATGGGAACAAACCTATTCTGGAAAATGTTTAAAAAGAGAATATGGGTAAGGAAGCATCTTTCTCAGTTGTTCTTAACCCTTGTTTCCATCATAATCACCATCAGAGCTTTAAGAAAATACCAGTGCACAGATCACGTTACCCCACAAACCTACTAAATCAGATTTTCCAGCGCTGGAGCCCAGAAATAGTCACCTTTAATCTAATTCCCAGTCAGGATTAATACAAATAAAGGATTGATATTTTTTCTTCCTCAGGATAATAATACTGGTTACACACACATAAATATACATAACTGATAACAAGCCAGAATTTTGTAAACTATGTTCTCAGAAACATTGCAGTTACATTGTACAAATGTCCTATAGTATGTCCATGGGAAAAAAATGGGTTTGTGGCAAATACTTTTAGGAGATCTTGAGCTAAACGAAGTGACATAAGTTTCTATGCTTTTAATATATTAACACACTTTATAAATATCTCAAAAGGGCATGTAGCATGAATTACTTCTGAAACAAATTTGACTATGGGACATTTAAAGGCACACAAATCTAAATCAAAGACTTCAATTTGACCATCATTGCACAGGAAGCGATAAAATTTTCCCCCTGACTTGTAGATAAATAGTTTAAGACAGAAAAAAAGCAGTGTAACTGATTGTTCTTAAATGGTTATCTAGTAGCCTTTATTAATTTTTTTGTCATTAATTGTTTCGTTAATCAACATGCCTGAAATATATAACATGATGTTTTAAACCAAATATAAAATACCTACAAATGCATTCCTAGTTTTGAGGTGTGTGTTTGCAAAGTCATATGTATTCACAAGCAAAAAACATTATTGTAAATATTGGACACCATAAGTCATTGGGAGACAGCTAGATATGGTTGCTATCTTTAAAATTTTTTAATTATTTGATTTTATTCCTCTCATGGCCACAAAAATTTGCCTTCTTTATCCTCAATACTGCTTTACATACTGATATTTTTCTTTATTATTTGCATTATTATTTAAAAGTGTGTATATAATTTGAAAGTTTAAATAGTACCATAAGGCCTAGAGTAAGTAAGAACAGTCTTTTGCTCCCACGACTCTCCCCTCCCTTGATATTTTGTGATTTTTAAATGTTATCTTTTATTGTAGTGCTGTTTCTTTAAAACAAAAAAAAAGATTTTTGCCAGTATCTATTGACTTCTTCTCTTGATCTTGAGATGTTGCTTTTTATAACCTCTTGCTCTTTGTTCATGGGTGCAATGTTTTCTCATTTCTGAAAATATGAATTGTAGTTGGTTATCCTCTCTTTTGCTCCTTGCATTGCCTCATTCTCCCAAGTGCCTCTTTTGTTTATTTGAGCTCTATCTTTCTTTCTTATTAGAGGCTTTGTTCTAGTGTTTCTTGGATGTCCATTTGTATTTAATAAAAGGCCTCAATAAAGGGATGTTGAAATTCTTTGGACATTGGTGGAGCTCATAAATTCATGTGCTTTAACTAGATTGAATGAAATCAGAAAGGCACTACACTCACTGAGTCTTAGTTTCCTTATATATCAAATGAACTGCATGTCAATAATCACTAAAATCCTTTGCTTCTGTCTGAGTAGAAATCTTTGGAATTATTTTCTGATGATAAGCAGAAAGTCCTTTACTCATGAGATTCCAAAAATAATATTAATATACCCAATATTTTAACATAACGTCTACATAAAGAATAAGAAAATTATTAAATAGACACTATTTCAAATCTAGCACTTTCCTCGTGTGTGCCTGTGAGCAATTTACTAAACTCTTTTAGGTCCCAGTTTCATTCCCTATAAAAAAGGATAAATAATGCTAACTCATTGGCTTACTGGGATGCTTAAAAGAAAAAAAATACATATATATTATATAAAGAGGTGTGCATAGTGTCTGCTACATAACATTTCAGTAAACTGTTGCCATCATTATTATATTTACTGATAAGCTAATGGAGGGTAGAAAAGACTGTTTCCTGTGGTTCTCTGAAATCATAATACCTGGCTTGTCGCTGCCCAGAGTGCTTACTCCATAAATACTTAATAATTTAATATGATTTGTTAGATTTATTGTCTGTGGACCATATAGCAGATTTCTAGCATAAAAAAAGTGCAATTCTCTTATTTTTATTGTGCACTTTATTATTATCATGCATTGCTAAGAAAGGAAAGCCATACATATCTGTTTTAGCTGACCCTTATTTTTTGTCTTGATTTGCTTTTTTCCACTTTTGTACAGGCTTTATGTTTATGGAGGTCAAGTATGCATTCTCAACCTTCAAAACATGCTATCATTCATTTTAGGGCAGATGCTGAGAATAAGTATTTATTTAATCTATTCTATTTTACCCTTCTGCCCTTGTACTTTTCCCAGATTTGCAGAACTAGACAGGTTTAAATTCCCTAGGAAATAGCATCCCATTTTTTTTTCTTTTTTTTTTAGCGGGGAGGGAGAACGGGTGATATTTAAAGCCCAAGTATGTCTTTTGAAATGCCGT
Organism: Homo sapiens; assembly: GCF_000001405.40. Taxonomy (NCBI): domain Eukaryota; kingdom Metazoa; phylum Chordata; class Mammalia; order Primates; family Hominidae; genus Homo; species Homo sapiens. The sequence continues at coordinate 198,686,022 of NC_000001.11, forward strand.
TTTCACTCAAATTGATTCCTAGTTTTTGCTGAAATCTCTGATCAGGGACTTAGGGGTGTGACTTCAAGGTAACTTTGATTTGTGATCATTTAAACATTTTGAGTTGTAAAAGAAACATATTGGGAAAGGTAAATTCAGTAACAATACATGTGTTAGAATAACACAGCTTTGAAGATCAAGTGTTCTGTTATCTACATTTTCATCTGTTTAATGTATCTAGTCAATTCCATTGGTGATTCACAACAGGATTATAATGGGAAAAAGAGCTCTTAGATAATTTACAGTTTTTTAGTGCTATGGTGCCACCTACTGAAATATTACTAAATACTCCTTTGACTAAATAATGAAAACACAAGACATTTAAGTTTTAAAAAATGTAGAAAATTTCATCCCTAGAAGATAAAAGTCAAAGTGTAGAATGTAGTAACTGTAATATGTGGAACACTAGATATATTACTGTGTTTTATTTTATATTTATTTGATGTGTTTATAGAATTTGAGAGAAAGCTCAATGCAGTTCTTACTTTGAGAAATAGTGATGCCTTCTCTTTATTGTCACACACCTACACATGTGCCCTCTTAATTTCCATTGCTATGTCACATATTTTGCTTTACCTATTTTCCACACTTTCCCAGTATTGTTCATAAAGAATGTTTACATATATTGTAGTGTAATTTGTATTAAACAATCTCCAAATATTAAATATTTATTGTGCACTGGTTATAAAATACTTTATGCAAAAATTTTGTTTGCTTTTCCCAGATCTATTTGACTCCACTAAGAATATATTGTTGCTTTTAAGTAATACAGGAAATAGGGTAGAGTACAAGGCTGTCTACATACATAAAACAACTTAGGTAACTACATCAGTTCATTTGTTTTGCATTGGACAAGCACAGTAATATTTAACCATATACTCCAGTCTAAATGGATAGGTCATGAAGTAGTTAAATATGTTATACAACCAATCTTTTGTTGTTGTTGTTGTTGTTGTTGTTTTTGAGTCAGGGTCTCACCCTGTCACCCAGGCTGGAGTACAGTGGCACCATCACATCTCACTACAGCCTCAACACACACTCATGGGCGTAGCCTCCCAAGTAGCTGGGACTATAGGTGTGCACCACCCTACCCGGATAATTTTTGTATTTTAAGTAGAGACGAGGTTTTGCATGTTTCCCAGACTGGATTGCTTGGTTCAAGCGATCCAGCTGCCTCTCCCTCCCAAAGTTCTGGGATTACAGGTGTGAACCATTGCACCTGGCCACAACCAATCTCATCAGGTCTTTTTTTTCTATCAGTGAAGATTCAGCACAGTGGCTTCTATCTATGATTTTGGTAATGTTTAATAATGTTTGCACATATGAAGTGCAACAGACAATTGAAGTCATTGCTCATGTAATTTAGGAAGAATTAAAATATGATAGAGAATTAATAAATTATTGCAGATATTTGGTTTTATAGTTTTCTCTAAATAGTTAAGTACCTTCACCTACTCCCTACCTTGTTTCATATATAAAGGCATTCTCCACCAAAGTATTTGTTAGTGTTCTGCTAACGTTGATGTAAAAATCATTAGATGACTGGGGGGGCGGGGTGTGGGGAATGTCCTTTAGATGTTACGTAGGTGTTTTAACTAAGCTATTTTATATAGGTCACATTTAGCGTGTTCCTACTTTAAGACTGGTAAAATGTTTAACATTAAAAAGACTGAAAAATAGATTTATGTAATCTAGTGCACATGGCTTATTAAAATTGATATGTTGCTTTAAGTTGCATCACTCTAGTGCATACCTTATTTCCTTAGGGGCATTGGCTTAAATTTTAAAGTAGTTTTTAATTTAAAATTTTTATTTTAAATAGATTCTATGTGTTTTTTTCAGGCACGAAAACATTTTTATGTCATTTATCATGTTGACTAAAAGTGTTACCAAAACTAAAAATCTGTTTATAGGGATTTTATGACCATGAGAACAAGCAAGTTGAGTCTTACACTAAGTCTAAACAGTGATGCTGAAGTCTTGGAATTTTCTTTTAAAAAGATAAAATGGTGTGTGGGGTGTGTGTGTGTGTGTGTGTCTGTGTGTGTGTGCACGCACATATTTGAAATAGTATATAAAAATGAAATAAAACATAGATTACAATGTTTTAGTGTCACCTAAAAATCACTCAGTGGAGGAATTTAGAATCATATCCAGTGATAAATCAGTGTACAAGCAAACACATATTCAATTCAAGAGGCCTTTATGGGAAGTAAGCATGAACATAGAAGAAAGGAAAATGTTGGCTCTTTAGATATTATACTGTTTTCCAGGATATTAAATTTTGCTGCATTAAAGATGAAAAGATTCGAGGAAATTTTGAATATGGAGCGATGATGAGATCAGAAAAAAATGTATATGTATGCCCATTATTCTGTCCTCTAGCTCCAGAAACCTCTTAACATCTAAACAAAAGGTCTGTAAATTTTAATAATTGTGCTTGATATTAGTGTAGTTTGGTTGACTTTCCTGTCAAAATAGTATTCTGTAATAAATTAACTTGACACACCTCTAAATTTTCTCTAATATTTGTTTGTACCATTATAGAGCATTCACTCAGCACATTGTGATTTAATCTGCATATCTATTTTTAGGGTCAAGGTTATTTTAGCATTTGTAGCACTACTAGTAATTTACTTGCAGCCAAATTATGATTAAGATGCATTTTTACTTAGCTCATGAGTTTTTAATAAACACCTTCTGTAAAAGAATTCTCATGCTTAAAATTTCATATGAAGAGGAAAGGCTGTAAGGACAAGTTGATGGGAAAAGGGGACGCCTGATGAATGAGAGCATGGCCTGTAAAGTCAGACAGGCTCAGGTTCAAGTCTGGCTCACATATACTAGACTGGCCTTGTGAACTTGGCCAAGACACTTGACTTTTCTAAGCTTCTTAGGGTTTTTGTGGTGCTTAAGAAAGAAAACATAAGCAAAAGACTTAGTATAGTGCCTGGCACCCAGTAAACACTCAATAAATATTAACAATTAATAACAATAAAATATTATTTCTAAATTATTCTTTAAAAAAGTAAATCATTAGAAACAGTCTTCTCCGTTTTGGTAATTTACCTCTTGTCCTTCTTTTCAGAAGTTAGATTAAAATAATATACATCATGTATTTCTTTTAAAAAACGTATTGCCTTTGGACCACTTGGAAGTTTATTAATCTCTCTGAGACATGGAACATATACGTAGTCTGATGAATAGTGTACTGGTTGGAAACAGTTCTAGTATATTTACTCAGGCATTCACAGTTCTTTTGTTAAAAAACAAATAGCTTCACATAGTGTCCCAGCATTTTTCTTCTCATTTCTGTGGTAAACAGATGATGAATTATAATTTTCTTTTATGAAACTCTATCTATAGTTGGTGCTACACATTTTGGTGACAACAAAGTAGTAAATCAGAACAACAGAATATAGGGGTCTGTGGAATTAGTGGTGCAGGTAACATTAAGATTTCTCTTTTCTCTGTCATCAAATTTGCTTTCTGATTTCTCCTCTGTATTAACTGATCCAATGGCTTCCGTCATTCTGAGGAAAAAGTTCAAGCTCCTTTTCAAGGCCTACAGTGCTTGCTCCTTGGCTCTTCTCCTAAAGCTGTTATCATCAGATCTGTTTGATTTCTCCTTTGCACTTACTCATGCTTAAAAGAATCCAGCAATTACTTATCAATCACTTCTTATACACAAGACTCTTTGCTACAGCTATTTCTCTTTCTTCTCCTCCTCTTCCTCATCTTATTATGTGATTCATGCTGATGTTGATGCGAGAAATTTTGATTATTAGTCTTAATCAGGTGTATCCATGACTAAAATGTCATTGCAGATGACTAGATATATGTGTTTTATGGGTTATAAGCTTATCCAGGGCAAGGGTCATGCTTTTATCATGTTTGAACCTAGTCTCCAACAGCATACCAGCAAAACAATGTATGTTTCTTGAACCTAAGTGAACTAAATTAACTTGTTTCAAGTTCCAAGGAATGAGGTGCTTGCATGAGAAGGGGCATATCAACCTAATTTTAGATATGTAAGAGCTCATGTATTTCTCAGATAAAGAAGAGATATGTGTTGTATAAAGTATGTTCACACACTCAAAAACAATTTGAATATTTTAAATTTGGTGATATGTTTTGTTCTTCACAAACAATGAAGGACACTTTTCCTTTCACTTCAAACATGAGAGCTATTAGTTATTGCTATACTAATATTTTTTTCTTATTACCTCTTTTGCAAATCAACACAATTCTAAGACTGTAATTTACAAGGAAATAAGAACAAATAAGGAGAGCGGAATGCTGTTAATGGGAACATAAACATAACAATAGTTTACATGAAACAGAAAGATAAAAGCTAACTAGATAAGAAAAGGGACAAAAGTACAAACAATATCAATTAAAAACAATATTTAAGTATGAATTATTAAGAAAAAGAGAAATGTAATGAGAAAACAAGAAAGTCATTATGTTAATAATTATGTATCACCCATCAATGATATAAAAATATATATATCAAAAATGCATTTTACTTCAAGGAATAAGCCAGGGAATGTCATTGAAGAATACGGGGTGATGCTCCTTGGATGGCAACTCTGAAGGAAGAAAATGTTTTCACATCAGTTTGTTCTCAGAAGATAAAATATAAAGGCAGAAAGTCACCTTAAGTACCAGCTAATTCACTTTCCCATCTGATCTCTGATTCTCTTTAACAACCTGAGTTTACAGTCATTTGGAAAAGAACTTTACAATCTTTTAAATAGGCATTTACTAAGATGAGGGATGAAAACATTGCACTTCACTGTAGACTGAATCTAGTTCCCATCATGCCAAGAAAGCTGCTCTTTTCAACATTTCCACAAACCCAGATGATAAATCCAGTTGACCCATGTTAATGCACCATGTTTATCCTGCATGTGAATCCCCATATTATTTGACTTCAACCATTTCCTTCTCGAAACACCCTCTACTCTTTATTCTTGTTTGCTACAGTTTTCCTCTTACTTGGAAAATTTGATTACCTATGCTGGCTCTCTCCTTAATATTCACTGAACTTCAGGATTCTATCCTGGACACTTCTCTTTTATGTAGTTCGGTGATCTCCTTCACCTCTGTAGCTGCAAAATGTATCTATATGCTGATCTATAGCATCAGCCCAGATGTATGTCATGAGCTACAAACCTCTATATTCAAATGCTATTATACATTTTCACATGAAATCTCAAGCAAATTCTGATTCACCTCTCTACTCACTGTTTATTACTCTCAAGTTCAGTGAAACTATAACTCACTAGCATGTTAAACTATCAATCTAGATATTTTCCTTATTACTCTTTCTCCTTTATTCTCACTTGAAAGGATTTACAAAGTCTTGGTGATTCTTGAGTGTTTCATAGGTCCTTTTCCCCCAACCTTTCTTTTGGGGTATACTCTTCCTACGTAGGACATCATCTCTGTCTGTTTTGCTTTGGTTTTGGTCTCCTGATTTTCCTGCCCCCACCTTTGCTCTTTAATAATCCATTTTCCATTTCCTGAAAGGTTGATCTAAAATTCAAATGTTTCTCCTTTAGGCCTCCCTTTAAAGACATCCCTTTAATGGATATCTAAAGCCTGTAAGATAAATCCCAGCTTCTTATTCTTCTGGGACCAAGCTAGCTATATGCAATCCTTTAGGTTGTAGCTTAAATACATCCAAGAAACCCTCTGTATCAACTCCTTTACCAGCCAACCACCAACTCTGGAAATATAAATAAGATGATCCTGTTATGTTCTCCTTTAGCACATTCTGTATCACCTGTCATCACACTGTATTGATTGATTGTTTTTGTTTATATCTCACACTAAATTGAGCTCATTGAGGGCAGGGAATTTTTATATGTTGGTCATATTATATCCCTAGCATGTGGCATAATGTCTAGCACAAAATAGGTGCTCAATTAATCATCATTATCTAAATAAATAATGCATTTGGGAAAAAAAAGTTTCAAAAGTTTTTCAAAAGTCTTTTGCAGGCTTGAAATTAATCCCAATAGTGATCCTTTAGTCTGTTATGTTTCTGATTTAGCCTGGGGATTCAAAAAATAAATAACATAATTTTGATATATTTGGGCTTTGTAAACATGGTACTAAGAGAGGAAATATAGTTTCATTAGGGTAAAAGCTACTGAAAATTGCCACTTGGTGAATGTTCTATCATAGACTTGAGGTACATATAAAAATCTAATATATGTTTACATTAATATGAATGAAATTTGAAATTTTCTAAGAGATTTTTGTTTCTTCTTTGCAGGGCAAAGCCCAACACCTTCCCCCACTGGTAAGAATTAATATTTATATTTTTACTAATTTTATTTTCTTGTTGCAAAGTTTATATATTTAACTACAATTTTCTATTATTAACACTGAAATTATTTTTAAGGATAAATTTTATAATCATGAGTGATTCTTGACATTCACTTGTTCTTAAACTTTCTGCTTATACGTTATAGAGTTTAATAACTACCTAAACATGTTATTAAATTTGTATATATATTTTGTGTATAAATAGTAACTTTTCCCAAACTTGACAGTAAATCACACAACAGGTTTCTACTCTCTTTTAATATTTTAAGACTATAAAAAAATGCATTTAAATTAGATAACAAAATTTTATAGTCTGAAAGCAGGTTAACAGCTGTCTATGTATGTTATAGATATGTAGATAACAGATTTGCATATGTCTATATTTCTTTAAGAGTATGTTGCTTTTTTCAATGGTATGCAAAACCTTTGAGACTATTGAGATATTTTTAAATAATAATTTTCAAATTCTACTGAACACTTCAATAGTCCTTATAAATGTCTTAATCATGAGATAAATTTAAAACACAGAGATGCTGCAAATAAATTCATACATAGTACATACAAAATAAGAGAAAAAATTAAATTGCAGATGGTTAAATATCACATCACTTAACTGATGTTACTGAAAATGTATTTTCCTGCATAATCATATGGTTGACAGTATGCATTAAGAAGGTAAGTAAAACAATGAAGACAATTTTGATTTAATATGGTAATGCACAATTCCAACTAACGTACATTCAACAGATCATGAAATTGGGTTATTAAAATGAATATTTTTGTCATTAAATAAAAATTCCGTCCAAATGAAGAAAACAAATAACCATGAAAATAGTAACAAAAACACTTCTGAATCTGCATAAGAACTATATTTCCTTATTTTTAAAGAAGGTCTAACACAATTTTACAGCGTTTAGCATGGCAGTGATGTTTTATAAATAAATAAAAGTCATTCTTGCATAGTAGATTGTGATTGGTTTATGCCAGCTACTCAAATGCAACTTAGTATCTCCAACTTTTACAGAAGATAGATTCATCTCAACCATACCAGATGGTTATTTTTGCAGGAAAGGGATAGGTATAAGGTAGAATGGGGAGTGATTCTTTAAAATGACACATGACTCATCACCTTATTGAGGGAGTTTCTGTTATCTCTGAATTGACTCTATTATGACAAGCCTCCAAGTGATGAAACCAGGTAAGTTAAAACTGTTAACCAAAATGCAAAGGAAAATGGTCTCTCCCAAATATTGGCCACAACAATGTCATCAATGGAAACCAGGAGAATTTGCAAAGTGGAGGTTCAAGAACAATGTGGAATTGGCAATTGAGTCAGGTTTTCTAATTTTAAATTCTTATTTGTGAAAGGGAATGTGAACTGAACTTAAGATGTGTGCAAAGATATGAAGGAGAGTAGTTCTCTGAAAACCTTTCTCCCTACCCCTGGGACTGAATTTGCTTGGCTAGAAGTAATCTTTAGGAATGCTACTCATCAAAATAGCGTGGTACTATGTATTAGTCTGGGTTCTCTAGAGGGACAGAACTAATAGGTTAGATGTGTATATGAGGGGTAGTTTATGTGATTGACACACAATCACGAGGTGAATTCCCACAATAGGCCATCTGCAAGCTGAGGAGCAAGGAAGCCAATCCAAGTCACCAAACCTCAAAAGTAGGGAAGCTGACAGTTCAGCCTTCAGTTGGTGGCCAAAGGCCCGAGAGCCCCTCACAAACCACTGGAGTAAGTCCAAGAGTCCAAAAGCTGAGGAACTTGGAGTCTGATGTTCAAGAGCAGGAAGCAGCCAGCACGAGAGAAAGATGAAGACCAGAAGACTCAGCAAGCTCACTTCTCCTACCTTCTTGTGCCTGCTTTTTCTAGCCGTGCTGGCAGTTGCTTGGATGATGCCCACTCATATTGGGTGGGGGTGGGGGGGTTGGGGAGGGTCTGCCTCCCCCAGTCCACTGACTCAAATGTTAATCTCCCTTGGCAATACGCTCACAGGCACACCCAGGAACAATACTTTGCATCCTTCAATCCAATCAAGTTGACACTCAATATTAACCATCAAATACTATTATAAGGAGAATGTTGCATGATTTTCCTTCTAGTCTGTTTGTAATTCACATCTAATGAAAGAGTGAGAGTGGACGATAAAGGGAACTTGTTGAAACATTTCTCTCAAAGCAAAAGGGATCATTGGAAGCAGGCAGACACCAGAATTGGTTTAACCTAAAAATAACAAATTAATAATTATCAAGTCTATAATGATGACAGTGACTTAATGTGAATAGAAAGAATTCTAAACTCTCTCCTTCCTTCCTCCCTCCCTTCTTTCCTACTTTCTTTCCACTCCCTTTCTCCCACCCCCTTTTCTTTTCCTTTCTTTTCTCCCACCCTCTCTCCCTCCCTTTCTTTTATTCAATGCATAGTAGTTGAAAAAATCTAAAGTTAGACCTGATTTTACACTGAAGACTAGAGGTAGTTACTATCCTATTACTGTACTTAGTTGGCTATGCTGGCATGTCATTATGGGTAAAAGTTTGATGGATTTATTTGTGAGTTATTTGGTTATGAAAATCTAGAGATTGAAGTTTTTCATTAGAAAATAACACACATAACAAGTCTATGATCATTTTGCATTTCTGTAATCACAGAATAGTTCTGCAATATTTCATGTATATTGGAATTGAAGTTCAATTGAATTTTATCTGTATTTAGTAAAAATTAACTTTAGCTTTGATACTAATGAATAAAGCTGGGTTTTTTATTTATCATACTATTTCCATTTTCTTCTCTAGTAATATTGCAATTTTCATTCTTAACTCTTTCCTGTCCTATCATTTCTACTCCTTTTCTAGTTTCTCTCATTCTCTCCCTTTTTCCATATTTGTGCCATTGTCTTTTGCCCAATCTTGTTGAACTGATTTAATTATTTTTTGTTGTGTGATATAGTTCAGTTTTTACCTAATTAAATATTTAAATTTTTTTTTTTGCTTTTCAAAAAGTAAATATATGTTAAGCAAAAAAAAAAAAAAAAATTAAATACATCTTTATAATTCCAACCTCCAGAGATCACATGAGCTTTTTTTTTTTTAACACATTTGGTATATTTTTCTATTCTTTTATTAAGAAAATCACTTTTTTCAGTAAAAGAGCATTAAAAAAACTTTAAAGGACTTTAATCAACAGTGCTGATTTGCCCTGCAGAATTTTTTTTACCATTGTACACTCATGTCAACTGTGCATAAACTTATTTCACTACTACTTTGTCACATATTTTCCTCTTCTTAAAGTAAACTTGAGCTGTGGATATTATTTCAGTATTTTAAATTGTATCTCTTTGTTATCATGACGTCAAAGACATTTTTGTAGACTTTGGTTGTTTGTAAACCTAGTTGTGAGTTTTGTTTTTCAGTCCTTTACACACATTTTCATTGCTTTGTTTGCTTTTAATTTATTTTTTAAAAAATCCATGAATAGGCCAGGCGTGGTGGCTCACGCCTGTAATCCCAGCACTTTGGGAGGCCGAGGCGGGTGGATCACGAGGTCAGGAGATCGAGACCATCCTGGCCAACATGGTGAAACCCCATCTCTACTAAAAGTACAAAAATTAGCTGGATGTGGTGGTGTATGCCTGTAATCCCAGCTACTTGGGTGGCTGAGGCAAGAGAATCGCTTGAACCAGGGAGTCGGAGGTTGCAGTGAGCCAAGATCGTGCCACTGCACTCCAGCCTGGTGACAGAGTGAGACTCTGTCTCAAAAAGAAAATATATATATATATATATAGATAGATATTTTTTCATGGATATATATATATCCATGAGTAAATGGAAGTTTTGTCTTTTTTTTCCCCTGGAACCCTAGCCCTGCTAAAAACCTTCTAACTTTACCTTTCTCTATCCTTTTCTTTATCTACAACTTTTTAATTTTTTTAATCATCTTTACCATTATGCTTCATCCTTCTGAACTCAATTGCTTTGGATAGGCGAGAAGCTGCTTTCAATTTCATTTCCCCATTTTTATCTTTAGCTAATGTTCTGTAGCTTGTTTTAGATCTGTGTCTACATATTATATGTATCTCTGTATGCATCAATATTTGTATATATGCATGCATATATGTGTATGTATATTTATGAATACATATACACACCATATACATACACTTATGTATGGTGTGTGCATATGTATGTGTAGATATATGTACATACACACTATAGTGGACTGGGGAGTTAGTATACTGGGAGGAGCATACATTTAGGGTATGATTCACATATTTATTTTGTCCTTCTCCCATTTTCCATTAATTAACAGGATTGACTACAGCAAAGATGCCCAGTGTTCCACTTTCAAGTGACCCCTTACCTACTCACACCACTGCATTCTCACCCGCAAGCACCTTTGAAAGAGAAAATGACTTCTCAGAGACCACAACTTCTCTTAGTCCAGACAATACTTCCACCCAAGTATCCCCGGACTCTTTGGATAATGCTAGTGCTTTTAATACCACAGGTTGGCACACAAAAGTTGTTAACTTAAATATCAGGGAATGTCATTTAGAAAATTCTACAGTTATCAGTACAACTTGTCTTTAAATTATTTGCACAGTTTCTAAGTATGTGATTTTATTCAAGTGCAGAAATTGCAGGAAATTAGTATCTGTGAAATATAGATCGACTGAAGTAATTAATGCATGTTGTTAGGGAGTGGAGAGAGAAAAGAAGGGAAGCAAGATCTCCAAGGACAATCAGGAGGGGAAATTTGTTCTAGTATCCTCTGATCTATACACACTCGCCATGATTCTCCCGCTTGGCTTCCCGCCACCTGGACAGATGAGAATTTCCCTAGTTCAGAGATTATCAGTTCTACTCTCCTTGGAAGGTGTCTTAAATGGGAGTCTTCCCATTTCTTTGTTTCACTCTAGATTCTCTTTATCCAAAAATTGTTGAAGATAGAGAATGTATTATTTTTAAATCCACTCTGAGAATCGACAACCCAATTTTGTTATTTGAGTTTCTTTTAAGAGCATTTGCATCATTGAAAACATTTTTAATTAAGGTTGTGAGTTCTACTGGTAAATTAAAGGCAATGTAGCCATGTTCCCGGGAAAAATCAGATTGATGCAAGAGATATTTTTGCCAAGGAGGGGCACTATGCTCCTTAGAATACTGATATATGTATATGCTCATTTAATGTTTAGCAATAGGTCTGCCAGTGTATTCAGACTCAGATTTACCATCAGTAGAGTGTTCATGCTTTTCTGAAATAATGTGTTATGTTGACTTTTTTGTGGGCAAACAGGTTTATAGACATACTCTGATAAAAGATACTAAGCTATTTGAACTGTTTAACAATGCCATTTATCTTCGTTTGAAAAACAAGCATATATAATACCATCACAGAAATTTTGTTTAGGGTACATCAAAGTATTTTGAGTACCTTACTGATGAAGTTTATTGGATATAGTAAGCAGTTAAATAAATGGTCAGTGCCTTCCTACAGCAAGTACAAGACTGTGTATTTAATCTTCCATTTGTTTCCCTGTCACCATAGCAGAGTAGTAACTAGGACCTGTCTAAACACTGTAAAAATTTGAACACATTGCCCAAAATTTTTACAAAAGGAATGCAAGGATGAAGGTGCTGATGACTAGGTGGAACATCTCATGCTATTTTATTATTTTGTTTATTGCCTGAGTAGTGTCACATTGAGTTTTCCTTTTGAAGGTTCTGTATTTCACGTCACATGCACAAATAAAAACATGCAACATTCTTTTCATTCCCACATTTTTAAAACCTAAAACCACTTAAGCCATAAATTTACAGGTAGAGCAAAGTATGAGAAAGGTTTAAAGTTGAATAGATTGAAAATAAGGATGAATAATTTTAAAATACTGATTTGTTCTAGCAAAATAATACTGATGTTGAAATTACCTTGAAAAGTTCATGCTTTCAAATAAAAACACACTTTCTTTTCTAGAAAATAATCTTTTCATCAGGTGATACTTCAATTATCTATTGGAATAAAGTCTATATGAGTTATTTAATTTATGATTATGATTGATTTATACTGCTGAATGCAGTCAATTTTTTTCATTTACTGATATAATTGGGGGAAAATCCTTTAATCTGCATTTCTAAGAATATTATTACACACTATTCAAAATTGTTCATTTTTGAAAATGGCTACAATGACCATCCATGTGCATAACATTAAATTTAATTATGTAATTTTATTTTATAAAGATAGTTTATGACTATTTCAAAGCATTTTCAATATAGATGGGTATGTGTGTATATATATATTTGTATATACTGTTAAGTATATATAAAGTATATGTATGTGTTGTGTGTATATATTTTAATCCTATGTATACATACATATACATATATACATATAGGATTAAAGTATATAAAATGTATACTTTATATGTACTTAAAAGACACACAATGAAAATACCCTTTAAATTCTGTTCCTTAAAGATACCTTTTTAACCATTGTTGTATATCCTCCAGGCTCTCAACATATGATTTTGTGAGTATGCAAGAGACCGTGTATGTAAGCATGGACATGTGAGATTGTTTCCACATGTTTTCAAACACTAGATATTATCAACCTTTTAAAACTCTGCCAGTATGCTAGTTAGAAATATTTCATGTTGATTTACATTTAAAAAATTGTTCTTAACACTGAACACTTTTTCATATACCTTTTGGCCCTTCTGTATATTAGGTAGATGTCTGTCACATCTCTTGTCCATTTTTAAATTTCTTCTTTTCTTTGTAATTTGTAAGAGATACTAGTACATTGGAAGATTCCTTTCTTATTCTCCCTACAAAGAAATGTCCCATCTGTCAGTTTGTAGAGTTGATGGAGAATTCAGAAAGCTCATAGTGATGTGAAAGTCAATAAAGCCACCTGGAAACACGAATTCTCTATGGCTGCATCCAGCTCAGGAAACCTCCCAAGGCTATGTAAATAGAGGACTCAGGTGCCTGTCACTTTCCAGCCAAGCAAATTTAAATACTGACAGACACATTTTAACAGATTCAGTTACTTCACAGTTTGGTAAACTATAATCGCAATTTGCTCCTTATAACCTCTTAGTAAATTATTCATCTCCAGTGGGGGAAGACTGATGTAATGATCTCACTTTCCTACCTTAGGTGTTTCATCAGTACAGACGCCTCACCTTCCCACGCACGCAGACTCGCAGACGCCCTCTGCTGGAACTGACACGCAGACATTCAGCGGCTCCGCCGCCAATGCAAAACTCAACCCTACCCCAGGCAGCAATGCTATCTCAGGTTTGCGGGTCCTTTAGACTTGTGCAAATATGAAAAGTACATGACGACTACCTGTATTTAAGAATGGTGTGAGGAAATCTAACCACTTATTCAATGTGCAGCTATTGCTAGTTGATGAATTTGGAATTTCAGTCACTCTTAGGAATATGAAACCACAGAACAAATGTCCTTTTAACAGAGATGAAATAATAGTGAGAATTGTGAGACTACAGCAAAAATCTGCTCAGGAGGAAAGAGTTATTCAGAATAGTCTATTTTTTATATATTTCAGGCAATTACCATTCTACAGGGAAAACTTTTTGTTAGAAGTAAGAAATAATATGCATAAATCTTTACTTAAAGACTTTGTACCAACAAACAAAAGGGTGAAGAGTGATTCCTATTATCAGTGAAGGGCAGTGAGAAATTGTAACCACAATGAAACTGTTATTTAAAGAATGAGAAAAAAAGAAAGGAATGGGTTTATTTCCCATTCAAACATTAAGAATCTTTCAGGATGGCATCTCTGTGTTTATAACAACAATGCAGAATATTTCCTCCCTTTTCTTTTCAAAATTAGTGTCCAAATCACTTCTTGGTGTCCTTTTATATGCAAGAAAAACAAGTATGTCTTTTGTCAGATCACAAATCCACACAGTCTCGTATATAATTTCAGTGATCTGAGTGCTTGAAAGTTAAAGATATAAATGGTAGACCTATGTAGCTGGTAGGAACATGGTCTTGCTTTAGGTAGGAATCAAACACATCAAATAGAATAATTATTATTTTGCAGTATTAAAACTGTGCCCTTGGCATAAAAATCATTCCAGGCAATCCACACTCTTTAAACAAGTGGGAGAAGAGCCGCCCTCACCTTCCTCATTCCATCTAGTCCAGCTGCCATGGGAACCACAATAAAAATATTTGGAGCTTTTAGCAAACCCACAGATCCAGAAATAGTGGAGGGGCAGAAACTGTAAAACAACAAAAGGGGACTGACCCCTGGGGCTGGTTGTCACACAGACTAGTCTGCTCTGTCCTGATCAAGGAATTCTTCTTCTCAAAGAAGTGGCTAATTCCACTGATGAAAAATCTATTAGGATTAATCAACCTAATTAAAATTGTAAATGCCGTCCATAACCACCACTGAGAGTACCTACATAACAAGGGAAACGAAGTTTTCAAGTGAGGAGGAGGGAAGGTAGGAAGTTTCGGGAGGTTGAGAGTGGAAGCCTCAAAACAGCTTGGGAGCAGGGTCTGCTAGAGAGGGGAGAACAGATCAAGTGAGTGAGAGGAGTGTGGAAAAGAAGGTGGAAAAAAGCTGATTTCAAAACTCTGCAGAGGGCCAGTTCTATGTCTGAATGAGTTTTTTAAAGGATGAATAAATGAGCTTTCCTCACTCTTCTACATATTCTGCTGGAGCCCTCCTCTGGGGATCCAGAGTGGAAAACCTCATGTTTATGTTGTTTATTCTATTCTATGGTTTAGTTAAATTTCGTGGTTTAGTGGCTTTTGAAGACTGAGCTGAGAACCCATGCTCAATTATTTGGAAGATGCATTTTCAATTCTAATGGAATGTATGTGTGAAATTATAGACTGTACTGCATTTGTAATTGGTAGACACCTGCAAGCTCAAATCAAAGCCATGTTCAGAACGTGCATGCATGTATCACTGCAGAAATACAGACTCTGCCTGCAAATGTGAGACTAATCTCACATCATTGAACTGATGACCCCAGGGATCTTGACAGAAAATAACCCAACAAGCTCTTGAATAGAGGGCAGCTCATATTTCTTTTGCTTTTTCCATGGCAACTAGCATAGTGCTAGTCATCTAGTAGGAACCAAATGAATATACATTGATTGCCTGTGCTGTAATTCTGGATGTGATGTTGGGCAAAGGTGTAAAATACATTAGGTAATTTGAAGCCTGAAAATGGAAAGTTCTAACCTAGTACAATGTGCAGTTTCTTTGGCTACAACACTAGATTCTATACCAATTAGCAACTATGTGATTGAAAAATAAGAGAATGATGCCACTGTAATGTGGAGTTTGTTGGATTTCAAGCCAATTTGATTTTTCCTGGCCAGGGAAGCCTGAATTGTGAAAGTAGAATTGTAACCTTCAGCTGGAAAGGAAGAAAAAGAAAACCTTTGAGCTCATGCTGTGGCCCAGGCAGGATCCCATTCAGCTCTATTTTAAGAAAATTAAAACTGAGCACCTGCACCCAGGGATCCCTCCCCAGAGAGGTGTGTGCCTGCAAGGCTCTCAGCATGTATCAAGTTGCACTTCCTCCTGTGCCAACCTTTTACACTCAGAGCTCTACCTCCATCTACATGGTCTCAGCACCACTAAGACAGCACCAGTCTCTACTGCTTTGATGCATTTTTTATATTGCCTAAGGCAGCCTGCAGCCCAGAGTCTTAGGCTTCTTGGGCTGTCCAAACTATATATTTTTTTAAGTTGTGCTCTGATTATGAAGCTGCATAGGTTTCCAGTTGTCTGCCCCTAAATGCATCTTTCCCATAAGCCCTGGTATTTTTGGTACAGTTCTGTAGAATGCATGTGTCGTGGTATAGCAGAAGTGCTTGAAGATTTGTTTCTCTGCCTTATCTTTAGTAATTGTGTTTATGTTGGCTATCTGGCTATTGCCCTTGCGTGACAGACACAAGTGACAGTGCTGATGGCCCTTCTGATTGCAGATGTCCCAGGAGAGAGGAGTACAGCCAGCACCTTTCCTACAGACCCAGTTTCCCCATTGACAACCACCCTCAGCCTTGCACACCACAGCTCTGCTGCCTTACCTGCACGCACCTCCAACACCACCATCACAGCGAACACCTCAGGTCTGACTATGCTGCTCTAGTAGTGTCTTCAGTTATAGATAATGAAATGGAAACTCAAAACTTTAATGTAGCTCTTTTATTTTGTGCCAGATATTATTTGTAGGTTTCCCATTTTACAAATGTTCACGTATCAACACCAAATTATGCAAAAGAAACTTGCCAGTAAGCTTTTTCTGGGCATATTTTATTTTACTATTAATATTATAAAAGTCCATGGCAAAGAAGAATCAATAATAGGCCTTAATGTCATATAGCTCTGGGATCAAATCCAATTTCTTCAACTTCGTAGCTGATTACAGGGCAAATTACTAATACTTTCTGCATATCAGATTTGCTTTCTGTAAAAATGGACATAATAACACTCCTTTTTTAATTATGTCAAAATAATTAACGTGATGTCTGAATATGTAAAAATCTGGTATGTAATAAATATTTTAAAAGAGTAATTGTGACGCTTATTAGAATCCAAGTATGGAAAGCCGTGAATGAAAGGGAAATGAATAGTCTGAGGAAGATTGCATATCATCAACTAAGAATTATATCAAGGAATGAATAGTTTTCCCTCAATTTATACAATGTTTAGTTTAAATAACTTGAAATAAATCTTTGATTCACTTTATTATTTTAAAAACAAGCGAATGTCAAATCAAACGAGGACTCCTAGAGCAAAGATGCCAATAGGAAATTATCTTTGCTAAAGAGTTTTTCTTTCACCTTTTAATATAACGAATTAATTAGCTTTTATTCTTCTATTCATTTTCTTGCAGATGCCTACCTTAATGCCTCTGAAACAACCACTCTGAGCCCTTCTGGAAGCGCTGTCATTTCAACCACAACAATAGGTGATATTACCCTCAGTCAGGCAGCCACACCATCCCCATGTGCCTGGTGATGTGCTCTCACAAGGGCCTTCCACCCACTCTACCTCGGGCTCCTTTCTTTAAGTTGCATTAAGTGTTTGAATCCTGAGGGTGATGGAACAGCAGGAAGATATTTCTCTGCTTAGCAGTGCAACAGCTGATGAGATCAGGATGTAATTGTTACTGTCATAATTCATCAGAAAGCATGTGTGAGAAACAACCACATCTACTAGAACTTTTTCTCACAGGGGTTTAGGTCTTAGTAAGGAAAAGAACAAGCCCATCAAAGGGGCTGTCCATTGCAAGTGGTGAGCATCAGACGGCTGATGGCAGAGTTCCCGTTAAGCAGTGAGAGGGCGTGGAGATAAAGGAAAGAGAAACTGAGGAATGGCTGCAGCAATGGTGGTATCTGTGAATCAGCAAGTAAGCTGATCAGAGCTTGCAAGCCCACAATTCTCCTCAAATTCTTCCAACCCAAAATCAAGATGAGCAGAGATCTCTTAGCTTACACAAAGCACATGTTCTCCCAATTATTCAACTTAAATGCCTACACTCACACAAGATACTGCTAAATTTGTTGACAGAGCAATTTGTTACCCTGGATCTAGTAGATGTGCAAAGAGCTTACAAAAGTTAATCTAGAGAATGAAGCAGTCTTTGCATTTTCTCTGACTTTTTTTTATGTAAATGAAAAGTATAAACTTCGTACTATGGGGGTTATAATTATATAAATTAACATTGAGATTAATCAAAATATGAAGACCTTTAAAATATTTTTGGCTGTGTGAATCTTCAGCCATGTTGCCATACCGCCAATTAGATGCGTACCTAAAAGTCTTAATATTGTTAATTGTATTTATTGGGTATATTTATGAAAAATTTTATAGAATTAGCTCATTCCTTTATAATGCTTTAAGTTTTGAAATGAAAACCTGTACTAGGCAAATCCTTCATATTCTGTTAAATCTAACTAGATAGACTTTATGAAGTAGAAGTATTGTAAATCAGCTTTCCCAAAAATGACATGGCAGATATTCTAAAGCAAAATTTTAATAATTTACATTTTTTTTCTCCATTACAGCTACTACTCCATCTAAGCCAACATGTGGTAAGTTTATTTACTTAGAATCAGCATACCTCACTTTGGAATAGCACTTTAATTACATCTTTCTTTATTCCAAGCTTTCAGGACCCACTAGTAAGCTAAACTCACTGGCTCTAATTTCTCACCGATGACTAGTCTCAAATTAGTAAAAAATTACTAGCTACACATGGACATAGAGTTGGGAATGATAGACACTGGGAAATACAAGAGCGATGATGGAGGGAGGAAGACAAGGGTTGGGAAACTACCTATATTGGGAACTGTGCCTACTTGCTGGGCGTCGAATTCAATTTTACTGCAAACCTCAGCATCCTGCAATATACCTTTGTAACAAACTTGCACATATAACCCTGGAATCCAAAATAAAAGTTGAAAACTAAGTTTTCCAGTTAGACAACTTTGGTAAAGCCACTTAATTTAATTTAGGTATTTGAAAAAAAAATGGAATAACAGCAAGTTTGTTGGTGAGGGGGAGGGGGACAAGGATTCAGTGTGATGATAAATATAAAATGTGGATAATACCTTCAAAGCTTATCAAGAAGAAAAATCTCTCTTTTTCTCTCTCTTTCTGTCTTGCTTGTTAGGGGCTGGCTCAAAGCAGATACTTGAAAACAGTTTGTCTCTCTTTTTTTTTTTCTCATTTTCTTCCTTGATTCTCAGTTGAAGCAAAGCGGTTCTTCATGGTCAGGGCTTATTCCTCCATTCATTTCTAAGTCTAACCACTGGAGTCACTGCCTTCAGTAGCTTTCCATACATTTAGTGTAAAGAGTGGCCTTCATATGTCTGTTTAATTAATATGATCTTTTGTAATCCGGTTGTCATTCATCTCTCCTCCCGCCTCTTGAATCATTGCCTCCTTATGTTCTTCACTTAAGTAATATGGAACCACTTTCAGTTTTCTTTTCTTTCTTTCTTTCATTCGTTAGTTCTTTCTTTCTTTTTTTTTTTTTTTTCTCACTCTGTTGCCCGGGCTGGAGTGCAGTGGTACAATCTCAGCTTACTGCAACCTCTGCCTCCTGGGTTCAAGTGATTCTCCTGCCTCAGCCTCCCAAGTAGCTGGGACTATAGGCACATGCCACCGAGCCCAGCTGATTTTTGTATTTTTAGTAGAGATTGGGATTCACCATGTTGCCCACGCTGGTCTTGAACTCCTGACCTCAGGTGATCAACCTGACTCGGCCTTCCAAAATGCTAGGATTACAGGCATGATCCACCACGCCTGGCCCACTTACAGATTTGTAAACACATACTGTTCCTTCCTGCCTCTGTGGCCACTCCTGCTCTTCCTCTACAATTGGAATTCTGCTCCAACCTCATCCCCCAAACCCCATGTCTATTTTTCTATTTCCTGCTCATATTTTAAAACACAAACTAAGTCACTTTCTCTGGAAATCCTGTCCTATACCTCCAAATGGAACAGATCTCTCTCTTTCTAGTGCCACATTATTTCCTGCATAATCTTATTTTAGAGGTTTGTATGTCTCCTGCAATTCATGCTTGTGTCTGCCTCCACACTGGATTATACATTTCTAAAAGCTGATTATATCTAACTTGCCTTTGAATTCCTAGTATTGGTGACCATGTCTTACATATGACAAGGGCTTAATAATTTTTGTTGAATAAAAACAAATGAATAAATTTATATTTGTTGTAAAGATATTTTTATCAGTCAGCAGAAATTGTTGACACTAAACAAAGGTGCTTTGGAGGTATATTATCAATCATAATTTTACCCAAGTTAAGGAAAGAATGAGGGCTTCTGATCCCTGAGTAATTAATGCCCCACATATATCAAGAAACAGGTGGTTAATAACTACGTTTTAGAAAACAAGAAAATTATAAAGCAAGAATAAATTTCTCAAATGCATCATTTATTTGTGCATCAAGTCAACAAGTAACTAGTGAGTTCCCATTAATGATACATATTATGCATACTCCTGAATTTACAGTGATAATAAAAATAGCCTAGACTTTGCTCTCATGGAAGTTCCAAGTCCAGCTAGGAAGACAGACACTTATCTGGTAATCATCCAAATATAAATTTACAAGCTGAGGTCCTTGTTAGGGCAGTAAAGCACAGATAATTACGAAAAAAATGATATGGAGGCACCTAATGTGTTTTTTCTTTTTCATGTTTTTTGGGGATATTTGGTTAGTTGATTTGATATTTTGGCATTTGCATTAATGTAGTTTTATTTATTCTGGAAAAATAACACTCAATGTTCTATTTTCTTTTAGATGAAAAATATGCAAACATCACTGTGGATTACTTATATAACAAGGAAACTAAATTATTTACAGCAAAGCTAAATGTTAATGAGAATGTGGAATGTGGAAACAATACTTGCACAAACAATGAGGTGCATAACCTTACAGAATGTAAAAATGCGTCTGTTTCCATATCTCATAATTCATGTACTGCTCCTGATAAGACATTAATATTAGATGTGCCACCAGGTAAATATCAATTTATTTCTTTTAATAAATTTATAAAAACAGTACACTTTTGTGTGTGGTGTTCTCCAGTGGTCACAGGAGCTAGTCTGGTGAGAGAACAGGGCTGAGGGAAAGGAAATTCCTTGGAAACAAGTGGGTGAACTTTCTGCTGTCTTAACCAAGTAAAAATGATAGAGTCAAATAAGCCTTCTGTTTACATCCATTAATCACCACTTCTACTTATTTAACAGGGAGATGTTTATGTGCACTAAATATAGTTTATCCTGCTAAGTGATTGTCTGCAAGCTTTCTTTATTCTCCTCTACTTAAATGAAGTATTAATTATATATGTACATATATTTATTCTTTTAAGTACAAATTTATCTGAAATATATTAGGGAGAAACATAAAGGATTTGATGTGTATGGGAAGAACCAAAATACATTCATAAAAAGGAAGGTTATGGTCATGTTAGTGAGATCAAGTTGGTTTTGTCAGCTAAGCTACTGCTTGGAAAGAGGAGGGGGTGACAGGCGTCGGGCAGACTCTGGGGAAGCATCTCTTAGCCAAATGCATTCTGGAAAAGGGATTCCAGAGCCGTGTAATTTTTTTAAAAAGTCATATCATTTAATAATTCAAGACTATTAATAAATTTGTTAACATTTAAATATGTTAACATCAAATGTATTTTGAAAATAAAATCCATTTAATTTATTCATTTTCCCTAAATATTACTGAGATAAATTACCAATTAAACACAGAAGATGACAATACTTAAAAATGCATTTCCCAATAGGGAAACTCCCAATACACTTTATAATAATCATTCAATTAAAAGTAAGTAAAGAGTAAACAAAAAATTTAAGATAAAAACAAAAATACAAAATGGAATGAGTGTTTTTTAAAATGTGCGAAAGCTACAATTTTATCAATATGTTTGCTTGCATTTCATTTTTTAACGTGGTATAACTTATAAATGAAACACTACCAAAATATATGGTGCTAAAAATAATAAAGTAAATAATAAAAGAAACAAATCCCTAGAGTTATTAGACTTTTCCCATAGCAATCTCAATCCTTGCCAAATTCTATGTCATTAGCATAATTTCAGTGGCTTTAACTGACATGTTAGGAATGAATGAGGGCTTAGGATACACATTATGAAATACTAATCAAGTTTATTTCTGTATCTTCTTGTCAGGGGTTGAAAAGTTTCAGTTACATGATTGTACACAAGTTGAAAAAGCAGATACTACTATTTGTTTAAAATGGAAAAATATTGAAACCTTTACTTGTGATACACAGAATATTACCTACAGATTTCAGTGTGGTAAGAATATAACATTGACCAGAGAATTTTTTTTTGTGGCACAATGTTGTTCTAGATATTATTTAATCTTACTCTCTGCCCTTTCTCTCTTCCTCCCTGCCTCTCTTGTTCTCCCTCTGTTTGTCTTTTTTCTTTCTTGTCTTTTTCTTGGTCTGTGGTATATTTAGAGTCAAATAATTAAATTACCTATACAATTCAAACAAATTCACAAAATAAATGAATACTTTTCATGAAAAATAAATATCTAAAAATTGAAAGTCAATTAATTTACAATAATTTTCTTGGCAATTGTTATACACAGGCATTGTTGAAGAGATCATGAAAGAAGGGTGTTATAAGGAAATGATAATACACAAACTCTGTTATGAAGTAAGGAAAAAAAATACAGGATTGTATGGTTCAAGAGTTTACTTTTTCCATCCTGCATCAACAAAATTCATACACAAGTTCAAGAACACTTAAATAAGAAGAAAGCAGAAAAAGAACAGCAAGTGCATCTAGGGATATGTTTGGATTTGAATTGAGGCAACTAATAATTGAGATAGTATTTTTAAAGTGTATTTGAATTTAATGAGGTGAACTCTCCCACCCTTTGACTTAAAGCCATCTGCCAGGCCATAGCTGGCATGACAGACAGATGTGCTCAGGTGTGCATGCGCATGCACGCATATCCACAGCTACACACATAGAGGATGGAGCATTGCGCTGGGTGTAATCATCACCTAATCACCATAGTATAGATTCATGGCCATCAGGCAAGCAGACAAGGAAAGGAAGAGCAATCATGACAGACCAATGATAAAATGTTCTCTCTAGACAATCTATTAGATGAAGACTAGGTGAGGTGCAATTTCAACTTTAAGTTGTATTTGCTATATACAGATTGGGCATCCCTAATCTGAAAATCCAGAATCCAAAATGTTCTCAGAATCCAGTACTTTTTGAGTGCCAACATGATGCGGCTCAAACAAGTGAAAAATTTTACACGTGACCTAAAGTGACTGGTCATAGTCAAAATGCAGAAACATAACACAGAATTTAGTCAGCATCCCCAGAGAAAAATAAATGACCTCAAGCTATGTATATGAGGTATATATGAAACATAAATGAATTTTGCATTTGAACTTGTGTCCTCTTCCCAATATATTGTATCATCTAAATGCAAATATTCCAAAATCTGAAAAAAAAAACTAAATCCAAAACACTTCTGGTGCCAGGAATTTTGAATAAGGGAAACTCAGCCTGTATTTTCATAAAAGTTGAATGTAAAAATTATTTTTAGGGTTTTTTATTATTTTGGTAATTTCCACAGATGTTTCAATCTGATAAATATTAAATAGAGAATTATAAATGTGAAATTAGAAAATAAATGTGTGCGTGAAATATTGCATCGATATATTCATTCGAAATATTTCTTTATTTCAGGTAATATGATATTTGATAATAAAGAAATTAAATTAGAAAACCTTGAACCCGAACATGAGTATAAGTGTGACTCAGAAATACTCTATAATAACCACAAGTTTACTAACGCAAGTAAAATTATTAAAACAGATTTTGGGAGTGAGTATGTTACTTGCATTTATATGTAAAATTGCTTCTCTCTTCATGTTCTTATAATTATTTGAGAATCATAGGAAATGAATTGTCTTTTTGCTGTTTTTGATACTTTTTAAGCATATGCTTTTTATTTCAATGAAGCGCAATTTATCTATTTTTACTTCTTTTGCTTATGTTTTTGGTGTCGTATATGAAAGTCCATTGCCAAGTCATGCAGATTTATCCATATGTTTTGTTCTAAAAATTTTATAGCATTGGCTCTTAAATTTAGCTCTGTTACCCACTTTGAGTTAATATTTGTATATGGTGTGAGGTAACAGTCTAATTTCATTTTGTTGCATATGGCCATCTAATTTTTCCAGCGC
The DNA here is from genome assembly GCF_000001405.40 of Homo sapiens. NCBI lineage: Eukaryota > Metazoa > Chordata > Mammalia > Primates > Hominidae > Homo > Homo sapiens. The sequence continues at coordinate 198,710,187 of NC_000001.11, forward strand.
CATTTGCTGAAAATACTATTTATTCCCCCACTGAATAGTCTTGCCATTCTTATCAAAAATTAGTTGACCATAATGATGGGTTTATTTCTGAACTTTCAGTTTTATTTTATTGATTTATATGTCATACTTACACTGTCGATTACTGCTGCTTTGTAGTAAATTTTGAAACTGGAAACTGTAAGTTCCCCCAAATTGTTACTTTTCCTCAAGATTGTTTAGAATATCTAAGGGAACTTGGAATTCTGTATGAATTTTAGGATCAACTTTTCAATTTTTATAAAGAAGCCATCTGGGATTCTTTCAGGGATTGCATTGAATCTGTGGATAAATTTGGGAAATATTGCCATCTTAACCATGTTAGTCTTCCAGTTCATGAACACAAGATATCTTTCCATTAATTTATGTCTTCTTTAATTTATTTTCAAAATGTTTTGTAGTTTTCAGTGCATTAGTGTTATAATTCTTCTGTTAAATTTATTTCTAGTTTAAGTTTATTCCTGGTTATAATGCTGTTGTTTTCTTAATCACATTTTCAGGTTTGTTACTAATGTACAAAAGTACAATTGATTTTTCTGTATTGATCTTGCAGTCTGTCACATTACTGAATTTGTTTATTAATGATAATATTGAGAAATTTTTGACAAAACTTATAAATGTAATTCTAAATTTTGTTTTGTTTTGATTTTGAGACGGAGTCTCGCTCTGTTGCCCAGGCTGGAGTGCAGTGGCGTGATCTCGGCTCACTGCAACCTCTGACTCCTGGGTTCAAGCAATTCTCCTGCCTCGGCCTCCCAAGTAGCTGGGACTACAGGTGCGTGCCACCACGCCCTGCTAATTTTCTGTATTTTTAGTAGAGATCAATCTCCTGACCTCATGATCCGCCCACCTTGGCCTCCCAAAGTGCTGGAATTACAGGCATGAGCCACCATGCCCGGCCCGTGATTCTAAGTTTTATGTAAAAAGGATAGTTGAAGGCTAAAGAGGCTGCCTAAATCCTTGTCTCCTCATACTTCTCCAAAATAATATATAGCTACAAGAACAGCAAATAAAACTATGTAAAAACTATATCCTCAGCATAACTAGAAAATTTTAATGTATTTTTATTAGTACCACAATTATTACATTCTTTATAATCAATGCAACAAAATAGAAATCCCAGAAAACTATGTTTTATATTTGAAAACAGCACAAAATGTTTTCAGTGGGGGAAAAATAGTCTTTTCAACTAATGATCCTGGTATCTCTGTAGAAAAAAAATGAACATCAGCTCTCACCTCTCAACAAACACAAAAATTAATTCAAAATGGATTCCAGACCTAAATACTAAAGCTATAATTTAAAAAATTCTAATCAAAGACATAGGAGAAAATGTGTAGCTTTAGCAAAGATTTCCTAGGGCACAAAAGCAAGAAACATAAAACTTTTTTGATGAATTGGAGTGCATAAAAATTGAATATTCCTGCTCTTTGGATGAGGCCACTAAGGAAATAAAAAAGCAATAAATAGTTTGTAAAAAATCAAAATTAATTTTTTCAACAACAGAAGTTTTTCCAGAATATACAGAGAGCTCTTTCAGCTGCAAAATAAGGACTAAAACAGCTCAATTGAAAATGGACAAACATTTTTAATATATACTTCACAAAAGAGGATACACAGGTGGTTAATAAGCACATTAAATGATGCTCAGCATCATTAGTTAACTGAGAAATACAAATTAAAACAACACTGAGATGATAATACTATACATCCATTAAAATGGCTAAACTTAAGAATACGGATACTACTAACTATTGGTCAGGATGTGCAGCCATGACCCAGGAATTTCACTCCAGGTATTTACCAAAGAGGAAACATGACAAAGCAGATGCATTCATAGTAGCCAAAACCTGGAAACAGCCCAAATGTGTATTCACTGTTGAATCCTAGGTAAAATGTGGTGTATCTTTACAATAACTACTGATAATTTTTTAAAATTCTAACTATGACACATGCAACTAAGTGAATGAATCTTCAGAACATTACATTGAGTGCAATATGTTAGGAGTGAAAAAGTACTTACTGTTTGTTTCATTTTATTTACATGCAATGGGTAAAAAGACAAACTTAATCTGTAGTTAACAGAAAGTTGATCAGAAGGTACGTGAGTCTGGTCAAAGGAGCTGAGTTGACTGGGAAGTACCACAGAAGGACATTTTGGGATCACAGAAATTTTCTTTATCTTGATTGTGGTGTTGGTTATGTGGATGTATACATTTGTTAAAAATGCATTAAACTGTATCTCAAATGGGTACATTTTAATGTAAATTTTACTTCAGACATTTTATTTAAACATTTATCAGTTTTTCTCAGTTTCAAATGACTAGTTACTGGAAGCAATGACAAGTGCTACTCAATGACTGCTAAATTTATTGGTGCTATGAATGCCAGATTTTTAGCACAGCAAAATCTACAAATTCCAGGATTTTTAGGTAGTATCTGGGCAAGAATATATATGAATAATGTATATGAAAGGAAGAGGGGGTTCTTAGATATCTTCAAGTCAGTGGAATGCTTAGGTTTCACAGTGCCAATCTGGTGTGACATTTACTTTGTTAAAGGAATTTACTCTAAAACAAATTAAATGAGCCCAGATGCATTTCTTTAAATTTTATTTTGAATTCATCATTTGTCAAAATATGGTTATCAATAATGCATGCTTATAATATGAAGAATGCTTTATCCATGTCTTATTTTTCATATTACATAACATTCTTATTCTTTTAACAGGTCCAGGAGAGCCTCAGATTATTTTTTGTAGAAGTGAAGCTGCACATCAAGGAGTAATTACCTGGAATCCCCCTCAAAGATCATTTCATAATTTTACCCTCTGTTATATAAAAGAGACAGGTAATTTGTGTAGAATTTAATTTCATCAGAAAAGAGAAATCAAGAATTTGAAAGTACTAGAAATTTTTATTGAGCCAGTGAGTCACAAAGCTCTCTGCTTAGAGACTGCATAGGCATAGTATACTCCCTGATCTTAGAATTGCTTCCACTCATTCAAAGCTTTCCAGCCCCAGAAATGACTAAAATCCAGAACATTCTAAATATTTGCTTGTCCTTCTTGGTCTTAGTTTAAATCTTTGTGCTCCAAAGCCTAGAGACAGAAAACCTCTGGATGACAACACTCATTTCTGTCTTGCAAGTATTATGTAAGTGATTTGACTCACTTTGAACTCATCATTCAGCCTCCTAAACAAACCAACAAACAAGCAAACCCCTTGTAAAACTTGTTTCAGCTAATAATACAGACAAAATGTTGGGTGAATAAAAATGAACATGGGCCCATGTAGCCGCTGGGGCCAGTTTGGTGTAATCTTGGGAGCATAGTTCTAAGTTTAGAATTAGACTTCTGCAGAAGTAATGCAATTAAAAAAAAAAAGAAGAAGAAAGAAATGTGCTATGACTAGTTCACTCATGAAATGTTCAAATGAGATGCTATTTAAGAGAACAAATATCTTCTGGACAATTTAAAGTATCTAAATTGTTTGTAGAAAGTAACATCAGTGGAGTATCTCAGAGCAGCCTCAATGCCTGGGATAGCCCTTTCTCTATTCTTTTATCCATAGGTTAAAATAGGAATGAAGTGAACCTCATAGAATTCTGTCACTCTGTGCTGTGGGGAAGGAACCAGACATACACTTCAAAACTTGAAAAGTGAAAGGCTATTTTTCTTCATTATGTTATTTTATATTTTAATGGCCTTTTCTTGCTAGTGTCTTTAGGTCTTAATAATCAGACTACTAAAGCAAAGTTAAATATGCATGTAGTTTTCAAATTAACATTCAAAGGCCAAGGAAAATAAATATATACTATATATTTGAGGTTATGATAAATTTAAAAGTTAAGTCTATGTGGAAGGAAAAATGGAAATTCCAGGAAGATAAAACAGCAGAGGTACTGTCTGCCTCATTGGACACCTCTTTTACAAACACTTTGTGTAGCTTCTATGGGAACACATTGTTCATTTTTTTTTTCTCTTCTCTGAATCTTCTATTCACTATCCCTTTCTGCATTCCTCAATGTCTACACTCTCTCTACTAGAGAGTATTGTCGATGTCAGAGTATATGGTAGACATTTTATGCATTTATGGCTCTTTTATATTTTTACAGTTTTTTTAAACTGTATTTCCACTGTATTTGCATAATTAGGGTAAAAAGGATGTAATGAGTTAGTAGCAACTCATTACAGCAACTAGCATGGGTCCTTCTTATTGGGCAACTAAATAGTGTTACCCAAATTTAACAGCTGTCCACATAGAACACTTAAACGGGATTGAATGGCTGAGAAGGGGAGGCTAGCTATCAGGCTGTGTGTTTTCTTTTCTCCAAAGCTGCCGATTGGTGACTGAATGCAGCTTTGGACCATGCCCTGACACTGCATAAAGGGCTCTTTGGAGCCAGCTCTACTCTAAACAGCGTGCTCCGCTTTTGTTTTCTCCTTCATCTCAAACATATACCTGTCTCCTCTCCCATGTTACCTAAGGCAAAGAGAGTTGATAGGATTATAGTATCGTTAAGGCAACTTAACTTTTCTCACCATTTTAAATAAAATTACTATTAAAAATCCACAGGAAGAAAGTCTATGAAATTTGCAGTTTACTTTTTAATCAGATATTAAATTTCACTTCATTACTTCACAATTTAATTTTTTCAGTGTCTCTAAAAGAGAGGGATTAAAAGAGGAGAAAAAATGCAATTGACATTAATTTAGTTTTATTGGTTTAGCAGGTTTTTTTAATTATGTATTATTTAAAGATTTTATCAACTATTTTAATAACTCAGTGGAGATGTGCATACATATCTTCATAGTTCATATGATGAAACTGAGGTTAACAGAAAATGTGATAGATGTTCAAGTTCAGTAGCTTGATCTGTTTCCTTTCTGCTCTTGGTTTTGTTTGTTTGTTTGTTTGAGAGGGAGTCTCCCTCTGTCGCCCAGGCTGGAGTGCAGTCATGCGATCTCGGCTCACTGCAAGCTCCGCCTCCCAGGTTCACGCCATTCTCCCGCCTCAGCCTCCCTAGTAGCTGGGACTACAGGCGCCCGCCACCACGCCCGGCTAATTTTTTTGTATTTTTAGTAGAGACGGGGTTTCACTGTGTTAGCCAGGATAGTCTGGATCTCCTGATCTCGTGTGATCCGATCCGCCCGCCTCGGCCTCCCAAAGTGTGTTTGTTTATTTTTCCTCACATTTTTAGCTTAAGATATTTTGGAGAACTGCAGTTTTATCTCGTTAACTTAATGATGGCAAGTGACAGTGAAGCTTCTTGGTAATTGGGGAATTGGGGAAGAGATCTTTTGTGCTTTATTGGATTTAAAGGATTATTTTTCAAAAGTTACTGAAAGCAATAGGCACCTTTCAAGACCACCATGATGTTGCTGGAAATTATTTTGTGTAATGCCTTTTATTTTTTTAAGAAAAAAAAAACAGAACAAATTGCTTAATCTCTCTGTGGCTCAGTTTTGTCATCTGTAAAATCAGATGATAGTGAGTACCAACTAATAGTTGCAGTGATGGTTAAATTAATTATTTCATGTATACCCCTTGAAACAGTGCTTGGCACATACAGTGAGTTATTATTTTTAAAAATCGTTATTGATATTATTATTACTGTTGCTGCTATCCAGAAACATGTTGCCACTCTAATCATCCTCTTTCCTGATGTCACTTGGCTACTCAAAAATAGCAGCAGCTGGTGATTTTTTTACTTAACAAGTGCTAAGTCTTCTGCCTGAGTGTGAAAACACACTTAGACACTGTCCTACCTCTCATATGCCTCCCCAGCCAGAGCTGTTGTCCTGATCAGGTTTGTCACTAAACTCAAAAACATTCCTTCTTCCGTTTGTAATATTTTCTTTTCTCCCTTACATGTATTCAGTTCCACTTACCTTTCAATGAACAGCTGAATTCCACTTCCGGCATGAAACTCCCTCATTCTCACAGCTCCCGTTAATTACTGTAGTGTCCAAATTACTATGATAGAATCAACCCAATGACTGATGATCAAATGGATTCTGCATCTAACATTCAAAACAGTAGCTAATACCGATGTTCAAAGTTTGGAGGTTACATATCAGAAAAGGTTTTCTAAAAAAGAATCATTCTGAAACATGCAACTCAAGACTTACAGTATACACTGGGGGCTGTGTTTTCTCAGAAACAAAAGAGATCGTCTTCACAAATGAATCTGAACTTATTAAATATTTTATGTACCAAATTAATGATATAAAACCATAATTTTTCAATATTTAATTTTACCAATGATAATTGAGTTTGTTCAATACACTGGCTGATAATTGTAGGTACTTTTGAGTATCAAGGATGTACTTATTTTTCAATCACTCAATAGTTTGGAGTTCACTTGGAACAATGTGATGTAGAGACCAAATTAATTAGGTACGTGGTAGTACTGACTTTTAACGACTTACTAATTTTTTTTCACATTTTTCCTCAGAAAAAGATTGCCTCAATCTGGATAAAAACCTGATCAAATATGATTTGCAAAATTTAAAACCTTATACGAAATATGTTTTATCATTACATGCCTACATCATTGCAAAAGTGCAACGTAATGGAAGTGCTGCAATGTGTCATTTCACAACTAAAAGTGCTCGTAAGTTATATGTTTTAATGCTTCTTTCCATAAATGGTAAAAAGCAAGGTATGAACTTTTTAGCCTACAATATTTCTATCTTTATTCTAGCAAGCACATTTACCTGGCACATTTGTTAACATCTAGGGCTTATAAACACGTAAAATCTAAAAGTTTAAAAACCGTTATCCTGGATTCTCTCTCTTCTTCAGATATAGTCATAGAATTTTAAGGACAAAGCATAAAAGCATCTTAATTGGCATCAGTTTGTGCAATTTCATGCAGTTAAGTACTTAACCAACTTAGATTAAAACATTCACTGTTTGCTGTTGTCTTTACTATCTGGAAATATTAATTGTAATCAGAAACCTAACAATGTCTCATAAAGCATTAGCCTACTAACCTCTGTTCATCTGATAAAACATTTCATAAAATGTAATATTTTATTAGCATTTTCTTCTCTTCGTTACCCTCAACTACTTACTATTCTATTTTATGTCACATTATCCATTTAAGGTTTCCTTTCAATGGCATTTGGCTCTTGCCACTAGTATAATCTCTCCATAGTTTCCAGGCCCAAAGTTAGATCTGCTTCTGGGGCACATGTTAACCTCCATCGAGGACAGGGAAGAAGAAATGCCGTGTTTTAAGGCAGCATCTATAGCTCCAGAGACCCTAACGGGCACTAGACTTGTGAAGAAATATTGTGCTATTTGGGGCTGAATATAAGACACTTTTAAGGTCATTTAGGTTTTGGTTTGAAAAGTTCTGGTCCTGGAGCTCTATGCTTTTGTTGTTTTCCTGAGTTTCTGTATCACAGAAAAAGAAGACAATTTGTTTCTGTTCCTGAAGAACCCATCTAGGTGTTTACCAGGATAACATTAGCACTCCGGGAAAGAAGGGTCTAGATTGTGTAATAGGACTTGGAGGTTTCCCAATCAACAACATTTTTCCTCTCCTCTCCCCAAACTTCCCCCTCTTCCCCACTCCCTTCCCTTTTTCTCTATTCTCTAATTCTACACAGTCTCCTTCAGGGATTGCAATAACTCTCATGGCTTCATGTACAACCTATATGCTAATACTTACTGAATAAATGAGTGATTTATTCTTCAGGGTTTTGATATTGTTTTTTAATTTATGTACTATCATAACTTCCTTATTTATAACCCCCAAGCTAACACTTAAAATACTTTATACTATATCCAAGTATTGTCAAGTAATTTACATATGCATCTATTAAATTATTAATAACAAATCTTTCTTCATTTTGATAGCTCCAAGCCAGGTCTGGAACATGACTGTCTCCATGACATCAGATAATAGTATGCATGTCAAGTGTAGGCCTCCCAGGGACCGTAATGGCCCCCATGAACGTTACCATTTGGAAGTTGAAGCTGGAAATACTCTGGTTAGAAATGAGTCGCATAAGAATTGCGATTTCCGTGTAAAAGATCTTCAATATTCAACAGACTACACTTTTAAGGTAAAAGTATGCTCTCTACATTACTATAGTACCAACTACATTATAATGATTGATTCATAGTACTTAAATAACTTTAAGACCACTGCTCACATGAGATTGAGAAGCTCTGATGTGTAATGGAATCACACTTAAAGAGTCTCAAATATTTGACTCTAAAATTTTTATTCCTATAGCTCAAGTCAGTGGTTTAAAGCAAATGTTTCATTGGAATATTTTAGAACTTCAATATGACTTAATTATAGCTAAATTATTGCTTCTGTGTTAAGAAGCACAACACTTTATGCACAACAGATTATTACTTTACCAAATCTACCTTTTCTTTACTTTGGCTTTTTATCTTTATTAATGTGGAATTTTTCAATTGCAAAATTTCACAGGTACCTTGAGGTTAGGAAATATTTGAAATAAACACTAGACAATACTAGTGAGCATACAGAATTTAAAACACTCATTATCTCACTGTCTACTGATCGTATTTTGTACATGTAACTTCATAATATACACATTTATATGCACTTAACACGTATTATCAACATTCTGAGTACACAGTTTTCAAAATACAGTTTTAAAACTGTATTTTTAATATATCACTATATCACACACACCTTTCTATGTTAAATATTTAACTACTATGTAGTTTTTAATGCCTGTATAATATTCTATGTATGGCTTTATCACATTCTATTAACTATAACTATGTTGGTCTCTAATATAAACAACATTCCGATAACACACTTATTGGTAAAGCAAAATTTTTGAATGTCTTTAATAATTTATGTTTCATAAATTCCTAAAAATGCATTTATTGGGTCAAAATGTATTTTGAGGCTTTTTGGATATGTAACTTTTTTTTTCTATAAAATTTACCAAATTGCCCTGGTGTATCAGTGTATGAAATGACTGCTTCTTGAGAGGCTCACCAACACTGAATACGCCTTTCTTTTTCTTTATTTGGTGGTTGAAATATGGTATTGATATCTTTCTTTTAATGAAGTTTCTTTACTTATTGTTCTTTGTGTTATTCTTTGCCTCTTTTATCCAGTTTTCTCCGGAGAAATGCCTTGAATATTAATGATATTAAACTCTTTGTCACATGCGTAAAAATGTTATCAGTTTATAATTTGCCTTTTAGTTTTCTTCACAGCACTTTGTCTTACATAATTCCCCTTTTTATTTTTAAACAAATGTATCTGTCACTTTTATTCCTGTTAAATAGAAATTTCCATAGTTAATTTTTTAATATGATGTTGACAAACGGCCTCATATTCTTTTTTTGTTTTGTTTTGTTTTGTTTTGTTTGTTTGTTTTGTTGTTGTTTTTTGTTTTGAGAGGGAGTCCTGCTCTGTCACCCAGGCTGGAGTGTGGTGGCGTGATCTCGGCTCACTGCAACCTCCGCCTCCCGGGTTCAAATGATTCTCCTGCCTCAGCCTCCTGAGTAGCTGGGATTACAGGCACCTGCCACCACACCTGGCAAATTTTTGTATTTTCAGTAGAGATAGGTTTTCACCATGTTGGCCAGGCTGGTCTGGAACTCCTGACCTCAAGTAATCCGCCTGCCTCAGCCTCCCAAATTGTTGGGATTACAGGTGTGAGCCACCGTGCCCGGCCCATATTCTTTATCACTTAAAGAAGTGTTTTCATATTTATAAACTTTTTGATTTTGTTTTTGAACTGGAAATGTCGGTTGGATTTTATCGATTTTTAGGGCATTATGATAGATGATGCCATAGTTGTGATGCCCTGGTGTGATTAGTTTAAATGATGCAAAACCATTGTCACATTCTAAGAGAAAAACCCCTGCTCTGTCATTGTGTGTTATTCTCTCAGAGTATTATTGAAATCAACAGCCTATTATTGTCTTTATTAGTAGATATTCAAAAAGGAGATCATTCAGTGAGTAGAGACGGTGTTGGCATAGGCGTTGGATGACATCATTCTTATTAAATTTGGTATAAAGGTTACACTGATCTGATAAAACACATTGCTTATATGTTCCTGTTTTTCTGTATCATATAACTTTTTAAAAAAATTTTATTATTATTTTTTGAGAAAGAGTCTCGCTTTGTCACCCAGGCTGGAGTGAAGTGGCGTGATCTCGGCTCCTGCAACCTCCGCCTCCCAGGTTCAAGCGATTCTCCTGCCTCAGCCTCCCAAGAAGCTGGGATTACAGGCATGCACCACCATGCCTGGCTAATTTTTGTATTTTTAGTAGAGACGGGGGTTCACCATGTTGGCCAGGCTGGCCTAGAACTCCTGATCTCAAGTGATCTGCCCACCTTACCTCCCAAAGTGCTGGGATTACAGGCGTGAGCTACTGTGCCAGGCCTATATTATATAACTTTAAATAGTATAGGAGTGATTTGTTCCTGAAAAATTTGTCTTCATTCCTTTCATGCAGAGAAATTCTTTAAGACTCATTTATATCTTCTTTCAATAGGATTAGTCTTTTCAGATATTTTACTCTTTTTGAGTGAGTGTGCTATATATATTTTTTCAAAGAATAGTCAACCTAAAAGAAATATTTTCTTATTGTCACATCATTGTGTATTATACTTCATTCCCCACTGCTTCTCCAGTGCCCATTAAGCTCCAGGTGCACTGGTTTCTCTATAATTTCTCAGAGGCACCTAGGTGTTACTCTTTTTAGCCACCTCCCTCCACGCTCTTCCCACTTCCTAGAATATGCCTCTCCCACTCTTCAAATCGTATAAGTTACTATGGAAAAATATAGGTGTACATCATATTAAAATACAACCTTAACGTTCAAAGTAGGAGATAATTATTCAGTTTCGAATTCTCTTCCCCCAATCTTCAAAAGATGGTTTTTGTTTTCTTTATTATACTTGCCATACCTTCTTATTATGCTTATTTCTGTCTCCACTATCATGTTTTGTGTTCACTCCTTCATGAGAGAGCAGTCATTTCAGCTTTTTCACCATTGTGATCTCTGGTTAATAAATTAATGAAGTTGATTTATTAGTATTACTTTTCCATAGATTTATTTTGATGCTCTTCAGGTGGCTTTCGGATTAAAAGTGTTTTCTTCCTTGTAATTTTTTTTCATTTTTATAAACTAAAGGGAAAAAAAAGGCTATGGATTGTACTTTGGTAAAATTTTGACTGTAACCCATGTCTATATCGTTTGTCACTAATTTCTGAAGGCCTTCACATGAAATGTAATCAATGATTCTTAAAGTAAAACATTTTGATTATTGATGATTTCTAATGAGTCTGTAGTTATAATTTGGAAGAGTTTTTAATATATCCATTATTTAAGAGAGTTTTTCTACATTTCTGGTGCTTTAATTTCTTATTGCTACTAATTATTAGCTGATAAAAGTTAATTGGCTTTTACAATTTCTGCCTTTTAGGATTTGTAGAATAATTTTTACAGCTCTATGTGTGATATTTATGAATATTCTGTGAATATTGGGTAAATTATATATTCTCCATAGGATAAAAGCTTAGATATATATTTGTCAGATTTATTATATTTATTATTATTCTCTTTTAATGATATTATTCAAATATATTTTACTTAAATTTTTTTGGTCAAGGATTCTTACTGCTCTTTTGCTCTTTTCATTTTCCCTGTATATGTAAATTGTTTTCACTTCATTTGTATTACATTTTATGAGACACAGGTGTTTATGCATTATGCCTATATAGTAAATTTTACTATATATCCATTTGCCCTTAAAAAAATGTATGTGCATTTTATGCATAATTCTAGTAAACAGCTTATGGTTGAATTTCCTTTTTTAATTAAATATTAGCCTATTAATAGGGAATTTTAACTTTATGAATATTTTGATGTATTGGATTTTATTTCTTCATCCAGTTTCATTATTTTAAATAATTATTTAATAATTGTTTAATAACTATAAATATTTTTATTGCTAAGTGAGATAAGATATCTTTTTGATTGTCTTTTCAAATATATTTGACAACATACTGACATAACCTTGAAGTTTAAAGCAAATCAGCATACTTTTATTGTATGCATGGTATGAAAGATAATATAAATGTTTTACATTGTGATATATAATATATATATATATATAAATTCACATTAGCAAACTAATTATTTTATTTTTTGTTACTGAAATTCAGGCCTATTTTCACAATGGAGACTATCCTGGAGAACCCTTTATTTTACATCATTCAACATCTTGTAAGTTATCACTGGGCTATTTATTATATATATTAAGATATATATTAATGCTTATAAAGCTATATTATTTTACACTTATAATCACATTTGATTGTTAAATGCTTAAATAATATCTCTTCCGTAAATGTAATATTTTTAATTGTCAGTAAAACCATACATATATATGTAAATATATTTAAATACAATATCTTAAATTCAAGTTAGGAGATTCAATTATTAAAGGTTTGTTGAATTCATAAGAGGATTTATATACCCAAACTATTAAATTATGTTTATGTTTATGAAATATCGTCATGTTAGTAACATTTTTCGTGTACTATTTTAGATTATCTATTTTATTCTGTCTCTTCAGCATATGTTTAGCAGAAGTGGGCCTTAGATACAAGTCTGTCTTGATTTACTTAATGGAAGCTAATATAAGCACTCCCTAATAACAATATACTTATGTAAATATTTATCACTGATATTTAAAATATTTTCATCAAAGTAAAGGTGTACATGAAAAATTACTTAGAATTAAATTTCATTATAATAATGAAAATAACAGCTGCATGTTACATTCCCCACCCACAATTCTGTTTGCCAGGCAACCACTTTTAACCATTTCTATTTTTGGGTCTCCTTATAGTTTCCTTCATATATATATATATATATATAAACAATATTGTATACTGCTCTTTCTAGAGTTACTAACATTACCAATTGATCTGAGCCTATGGAGGAAGGAGACCTAGTACTCTACTTTGGGCTTTCTCTACTGGTTAACATTGTAAATAGAATTATTTAAGCCTGTATGTACTTTGTTGTCAGCAACTTCTAGGTCTTTCTATCTTTGCCACTTCTAGTTCTTCCTCTCTTACATATGTTACATATGCACATATGCATGTGCACAATCACTGGTATGAATGCAAAGTCAAAAGAGAAAATATAAAAACAGCTTATTTTCCAAACTGCTTTACTAAGCCCTCTGCAAAGTTTTAGTTCTTTCTGCTCAGATTTATGAAATAAAAACTCCCTGTGTTAAATGTCAAAAAAGTCCAGCAAGATAGCTTTGATTTTATTTCCACATTACCTTTTTCTTTTATAATATCTTTATAATAAAAATGACTTCATTGACTCTTTCCTATTAAATTGTAAATAATTTATAGCAGTCATAGACTCAGCTGAACATTCACACTCACATCTTAATAGGCCAGATCTGAAACATTTCACCTGGAAAGACACAGAACAAAAAGCACAGCATGCTAGCAAGGGAGCCTGGCAGTGGGAATCCTTGCAGCGGGAATCCTTGCAGCAGTGCACACAGCAATCCAGCTACTTTTCTTATGACACTCTCAAAGACAACTGAGATATGAGAGAATGAGACCACATGTGTAGGTGTAGGAGCTGCATTCCAAAAGGAATCAGTATCTCTTATACTATTTCCATGGGCATAGCTTCCAGACATGCCAACAGGGGTGTGCTCAGTTATGAGCGGGCACTGCACTCAGGGAAACCCAAAGCTGGTACTTCCCATGAGGACAATAGAGTTCACATATAGCACTCCCTGTTCAGGTGTAGTTTAGCAATCAAGGGTCATTTTGCCATTAGCAATGTTGTCTGGTAACCAGCTAATATTCCACTTTTATCAGGTTTCCAGGTCAACGGAGCCAAAAAATTAGCCCTCATCTTTTTCCACAAAGGAGACAACATTGTATTCACTCTCTGCTCACAATATCATTATCCTAAGAGATAAATAATATAGTTTCTTTTAAAATAGTGATATCTGTTCCAGGAAAGGACTTGGGCTGTGAATTGCTAGGGTACAGCTACTAGGGATGTGTTGTTGGGTTTCCCCGGCATAATATTCCACCACCTGTACTTTGACATCATTGTCAATTGAACTCCTGGGGACCCTTTCTTCTTGCTCTGATCTGGACTCTCACATGCCATCTTGAAATATTCCCCCATCAGTTTTCTGGTTTAGATTTGCTGTATCACACATAGTTATTTTTTTTTCTGTCTGAGTTCACTGATATATGTTCTCTAGTGTAAGAAAAATAATTCTAATTCTCCCATACAAAAAAAATTTTTATTCTGCTCTGGCACTTGTTCAGTGTATCGACTTGGTATAAAATTCTAAGTTAAAAATTTTAGAATTTAAAAATTATTTCTGTCTTATTTTCCTGAATCCAATTTTACTTTCTAATTCCATCCTGATTCTCTCTCTCTCTCTCTCTCTCTCTCTTTTTTTGGTCTGTTCCCAAGTTTTCCTCCCCTGGAAATGCTAGGTTTCTGTCTTTATTCTTGGTCTTACCTGAATTTTTTGTTTGTTTTGTTTTGTTTGTTTTTGTTTTTGTTTTTAGAGGGAGTTTCGCTCTTGTTGCCCAGGCTGGAGTGCAGTGGCATAATCTCGGCTCACTGCAACTTCTGCCTCCTGGGTTCAAGTGATTCTCCTGCTTCAGCTTCCTGAGTAGCTGGGATTACAGGCAGGCACCACCACACCTGGCTAATTTTTGTATTTTTAGTAGAGAAGGGATTTCACCATGTTGGTTAGGCTAGTCTTGAACTCTTGATCTCAAATGATCCACCTGCCTTGGCCTCCCAAAGTGCTGGGATTACAGGTGTGATCCACTGTGCCTGGCCCTGAATCTTTTTCATTCATTTTTTCTGGATGCTATTGACCTTTGTAACCTGAAGATTTATATATCTGAGAATTCTTTGCTCCATTTTCTTCCCATAGTCTTTGGTTGAGTCTATTAGTCATAAAACTCATAAGTTGACTTATTATTTTGGCATTCCCCTTTGGTGTTGATGTTTTCCTTAAAAGCTTGGTTCTTATTGGTAGTCTAGTCATAGTCACAGTGAGACAACAGGAAAGGTTGATTAGATGTTCTGTGGTCCTTAGAAGATCTTGGTGACTGAGGAGATTTCCTATGATATTGCTGATTTATTTTTTTCTGATATCATTCATTATCACCAAAAACTAATTAATCCCCAGAAATTAATCTCCAGAATTACCCTACTCCTTGTTGTGTGGTAAAGTGTGAAAAAGTGGTTCTTCTCACAGTAGGACAGGAAGATAGGTGTCCAACTATTGCATATGTGGACAATTACATTGTCCTCCTAATTTTAGTCCTGTGCCTCATCCCTTCCCTGTACTGAGCCTGACTTTATTCTCAGTCTCTCACTGCTTTCATTTAATTTTCCTTTTGTCTTCTCCTCCCTGGTAGTATTTTTTCAAGAAGATATTTTTTGTTATTGTTGTTGTTGTTGTTATTGTTTTTGTAAATAGACATTTGACTTCCATGTTCTGACCCATGATTCACATTTACTGCATATGTCACTTTCAAACCTGAGACTCAGGCATTCTGAGTAAATGGAATCTATTCCTTTGATTTAGGCTGTGGCCTCCTTTCTTTTGTTTTCTACCTTCTACAACTTGTTGAAATTGCTCTACTTCTAATTTCCCTTCTCTCATTTTCACTGTCATTATAAATCTATGGCATTTTCAGTTTTTTAATATTAGCAGGGTTCCTGGAAAGAAGGGGGAAACACATGTGTGCTTAGAATGCAAGCTTTATCTGAAGACTTGGCTATTTTATTAAGTTTGTTGAGAAAAGTCTGATGCTGCTTAATATTTTTGTAGAACTTAATCTAATTATTATGGATTGGAATGCTAACTTACAGTCATTTGCAGTTTCTTGCAAAATCTTACTTCAGAGTATTCTAGAAGTTAGATGTTGCCTCTGATGAGGTTTTTATTCACAAAATCTGGAAACAATCATGCTGATTGATATATGTATACTAGTAATCACTGGTATGGATTGACAATTTCAGTGAAAGGAATTTCAGATAGAGATAAGACAAGGAACACTTTGGGTCATTTTAGGAGCCTATTGCAATAAGAACTTCTTCCCTAAAAATGTTCACTGCAATCCACCTATATATTCACATTCATGTATCCCATCCATTTTTATATATGCCGGCAGTATAAATACCCCTTTAAAGGAGATAAAATTATTTCTATTTTATATATGAGGAAACTCAAGTTTGGATAATTTAATCTATTTGCCCTATGAGTCAAAGAAATGACAGAGCCTGAATTCAAGCTCAGGTCTTACAGTCTGTATCTGAAATTACTTTCAATATTCCTGTTTGTATGAGTTTCCAGTTACAGAAATTTTGATCATGAGATGAACTGTTTCTGGCAGCTGTTTGCTTGATAGAGTCATTTCCTTCTTTCCAGTTGTAGAAAAACTGTCTCATGCTCAAGGCCTCCACTTGCCATACAGAAAATACATCCCCTCTACTTCCTTATCACCCTACTTATTTTTTTCAGAGTATATGAAAAAATGCATAATTATTTCATTTGTTCACTTACCTTTCTTTTTTCTTTTCTTTTCTTTCCTTTTTTTTTTTTTCTTGACAGAGTCTTGCTCTGTCGTCCAGGTTGGAGTACAGTGGTGCAATCTTGGCTCACTGCAACCTCTGCCTCCTCGGTTCAAGTGATTCTCATCCCTTAGCCTCCCAAGTAGTTGGCATTACAGACACACACCATGCCTGGCTAATTTTTTGTATATTTAGTAGAGATGAGGTTTCACCATGTTGGCCAGGCTGCTCTCAAACTCCTGGCCTCAAGTGATCCACACGCCTCGGCCTCCCAAAGTGCTGGGGTTACAGGGGTAAGCCACTGCGCCTGTCTGTTCAGTTACCTTTCTAGTGTCTGTTTCCCCCAAAGAGAATGCAAATTTCCTGAAAACTAATATTATCTCTGCCTTATATTCTATAGCATTTCCACGGACTGTCTTCCTTTTTATCTTCACAGCCCTTATATCTTCTCACCTACATGACCATTTACTTATTTCTTCTGTTCATTATTAATTATCTATTTTTCTTCACTAGAGAGTAAGTTCCATGAGGACAGGACCCTTGTTTTTCTTTATGTAGATATCCTAAGTACCTAGAGCTGAGTTTGGCAGATGACCAAAAGCCAAAAATATTTTTTTTGTGAATAGTGAATAATTAGTACTTACTACTTCCCAGCCACCGTGCTACGTGTTTACTGTGAATCAACACCTTTAGCCACATTTTAGGATTTTGGGAAAGGAGGGACAAAGATAATAAGGAATCTGGCCAAGTTCCCAACTAAGAAGTGGTAGAGCTAGGATTGGAAGCTAAGCAGTCGGGCTCTGGAGCTGAGGCTCTTAAGTCACCGCATTATTTTGCTGCATTTTCACTACATAAGAAAAGGTGAATATACTGGAGATATTTCCAACACACCCTCTCTTCTATGCCCTTTCCCTAGGAAAGGGCAGGATTTCACATTAAACTTAGTGAATATTTAAGTCAGGGTAAGTCTTATCCTAACTATAGAATGAAACCATTTTTGTCTCTTAGTGAATGGATTTTACACCTCAGTGAACAGGTAAGAGGGTTTATCTTTGTGAAGTAGAAGTCTTTCTCATCCCCTTAAGAGGCTACCCACTTCTGCATATAAAGTTAAACTATATGAGTTTGTCTCCAAAATTTATAATAACTGGATTACCTCCTTGATCCCTTCAAAATGAAGTGTCTGATAAAAAAAGAGAATTAAATTTAAATGTGTCTTATGAAAGAACATTATTTAATCAAAAGAAAGATAATTATTCTTCTATTCTTACTCTCCTTAAATATAAAATGTTTTCATTGGTTCAGAACAATATAGCCAAAATCACAGAATTAGAAATTTATTGTATTTGACCTTATTCTAAAATGTTTATTTTTTAAAACCTCACAATAAATTTAAAAATATTAAAATATAAATACTTTGGAGGTGATTATTCAACCAGTCTAGCAAGTTATTTGACAATCGTTCTCTGAATGTATTATTTTTCATTTCTAGATAATTCTAAGGCACTGATAGCATTTCTGGCATTTCTGATTATTGTGACATCAATAGCCCTGCTTGTTGTTCTCTACAAAATCTATGATCTACATAAGAAAAGATCCTGGTAAGAGTTGATTTTAAATTTTTAAATAATAATGGTATTAGTAATGGTGCAAACGCATATCCATATGGCAGTGATGGAACCAGTTAAATGAAATATGTGAACTAGAGAGAAGACAGCATACAGCCCACTTCATGACACAACTTTTAATCAAAAACTTTTAGTATGGTTTTATTGGTTTGAATTAAACATTAATATTATTTTCTAAATTTACTAATAATGTTGTGGACTTGTTTAATAATAACCAGTGAAAAGAATGTGTGTGGTTTTTAGTACAAAGTGGGTCAGAGGGATCTAGGAGTGTCAAAAGAAAAAGAAAGGAGGGAGATGTCTGGGGAAGTTAATGTGTTTCTTTGGTCAGAAACAACCACATCTTATGAAAAACAGAAGATTTAAAATAAAATCATTTAGCTACTTATGTGAGTTTAGCAGACAATTCTTGGTTGTTTTCTTTCCTCCCTCACCCTCCTCTCTCCTCTCTGACTCTGCTTTCTCCCATCCTTCTGTCCTCCCTCTGCTCAAGGCTCTTCCTCCCTTCCCTCCTTTCCTCTTCTCCTCTCCTCTCTTCCCCTTTTCTTATCCCTGACTTCCTTCCTTTGTTCCTTCAATATATTCATTAAATATAAGTAAAATACCAATTGAATTTTGTGCTTCTTGAGAATATAGAAACTTATTTTTCCTATTTTCACAGCAATTTAGATGAACAGCAGGAGCTTGTTGAAAGGGGTAAGTATGTATATTTTTGCTGATGACTATTCCTTCCCCTGCATTTGAATCCATTCATTTTATTTATTTATTTATTTATATTTATTTTAAGACAGAGTCTCATTCTGTCTCCCAGGCTGAAGTGTGGTGGTGCAATCTCTGCTTATTGCAGCCTCCGCCTCCCTGTTGAAGCAATTCTCATGTGCCTCAGCTTCCCAAGTATCTGGGATTACAGACACACATCACCAGGCCCAGCTAATTTTTGTATTTTTAGTAGAGATGGGATATCACCATGCTGCCCAAGCTGGTCTTGAACTGCTGGTCTCAAGTAATCCACCCACCTTGGCCTCCCAAAGTGCTGGGATTATAGGCATGAACCATTGCGCCCGTCCCCATTCATTTTAAATAAGAATTGGGCATTTTTAGTTTAACTTGGACTTTTGTTGATACAGTGATAAAACTTAAATTCCTTTACTCACTCAGCACCTGTGAAGTTCCCAGTGTACGCCAAGCATTGTGCCAGGTACTGAGAGTACTACAGTGACAGGCACAGACTCTGCCCTTAAAGGGTTTAGAATCTAATAGAGGAAAGCAGATATCTCAACAAATATGACGGTAATTTGATACATGCCCTAGTAGTTGAATGTGTATAGTTCTATAGATATATGGAAGATAGAAAACTGTGTGCAAGGGCAGAAATCTGGTCTGTTAAGATTGTGGGGAACCAATGGACAAATGAGGGAGTGGTGGAGGGACGAGTGGATGGAAGTCACAGAGATGGGGAGATGGGATGTCTCCTCAAGTCCCTGCCAGGGTGGAATGGTGGCTGCTCCCACTAAAGACACATTTATGGATTGGACAAAGAACAGCAATTTGACTTGGGAGAAGAAAACACATTTGTTTATCTTTTTTTTCAACATTTATATTCTTTAATTTTTTAAAAATGTGATTTCTGATCCAGTAAAAGGGGACAAAGTTTCAGAAATTGAACCTTTGTTTACAATAAAGAAATGTACTTGCTTTCTCATGCTTAAGACAGGAATAATTTCAGAACTCCTTTGTCTGTGTTAATCTGTGTTGGAAGTGTTTCCCTCTGGTAATAGCAGGTACCAGGTCTCTATGCAGAAACTTTAGGGCTGAATCTTTGGAGCTCCTTAAAAGGCTTTATTTTTCTTTGCAGAATGTAACACTATCTGATCCCTTATTACATATTTATTCATTTGGTCATTGACTATCCTCTCCTAACTAGAATGTAAGCTTTGTGAAAGCGTGGAGGCTTTTTTCTTATTCACTGCTTTATGCCCAGTACCAAAGTGAGTACCTAGGATTTGATAAATATTAGTGAATAAATAACACTGACATAGGGTATCGTGAGGATTCATTTTGATAGGCTGAGGGAGGAATGAAGAGTACAATCAGTAATAAACACCTGAGCAGAACAGGAAAATCCATCTCAAGGAGTTAAGGTGGACTTGGAAAGTGTCAATGAAATATTTTATCTCAAAATTGGTACCGATTGCACCTTGGAACGCAGTAGAATTTACTCACTCAGACCCCATGAAACCCTGAATGTGGCCCTCAGTTCAGAATGAATGAATACCAGGCATTCCCAACAACCTAAAGAAACAATTGCACATAGCCAGTTTGAGAGCTGTGATTGTATAGAAAGTTTCCATGGGCAATAAGATAAATGGGTCACCCTCATGGATAACTTCTTTCTTTATCTGATAAACTGGTAAAATTAATATGATTACTGAAAGAAACACTATCAGTAGTACATGGAAGAGTAGGAGAAACATAATTTTACATATGCGACAGCTTAAATTCTCTTACCTTTCTAAAGCTGTTGGTTTTCAAGTTCCATATGCAATTGTAGCTTTTTATGGTTAGTATACTTTTTAATCTTCAGTAAGTTATTTCACAAACATGGTATATAATGTGTTTCATATACTTGAAGCATAACAAATTAATACAACTTGTTTCACCATTTAGTGTAAACAGATGATCAAATTAAGCTGAGTCATGGGTATAAGGGTATTAATCATATTGTCTTATTTCATTTGCATGTTTACAGTATTTCACAAGTTGAAAATGAAAATACAAAGAAAAATAATATTGTATTATAAATAAATAATTATAGTAATTGCTATAAAATGCATATAGTCAAACGTGAATGTCCTTATAATGGTGATGTTTGGTCTGGGATCCCTTCTCTTAAGCATAGAAAATGGGGAAGAACATTCTAGTAGAGAGAACAATATAAAGCCCAGAAGAGATCTGAAGTACAAGATTGAAAAGTCATTGATTTATAGGTAAATGTTTGTATGTGAGTGAGATTTCTCAGATGAAATGTGTACGAGGAGGAAAGAAGCTAAAGGATTGAGTACACGGTGTAAATTTAATGAAATGTGTATGCCCACCTGAAAGACACATGTAACTAGTATTGAATCTTTAATATGTTTCCAGATGATGAAAAACAACTGATGAATGTGGAGCCAATCCATGCAGATATTTTGTTGGAAACTTATAAGAGGAAGATTGCTGATGAAGGAAGACTTTTTCTGGCTGAATTTCAGGTGTGTGTTGCTTTTGTTATATGATGATAAATTCGACATCAAGACAGTTCCACTTTAAGTGTATTTATATTGCCATTTGCCTTTATAATTTATCCCACTTGATATTGCAACATAAGCAAAGTAGATATTATTAGCAGATCTCTATGAACCAGAAGAGAGACTCATAGAGGTTGACGGGATTATAGTGTAGAGCTAGTAAATATTTTAATGTAGTGCTTTATTGTATTATGAAGTTGTGTCACAAAATGTATTTGGCTGATTTTGTAGTTGTACTCTAGATACTCATCCAAGTATCTGTTTTTAAATGAATTTGATAGTGACACAACAACTAATCCTAAATTTGTCCCCACTCAAGAGATTTGTTCTGAAAGTTGTCAATCATTAATTTGTAAGAAAAAAGTTTTTTTTTTAACATAATTCCTGATCTTAATTTTGATTACTCTAAGCAAATTTTTTTATCAATATGAAGAAAATATTTTACAGGATATCTCATTTACTCAAAACGGTCATTGGTAAGGGGGAAATTATTTTTCCTGAATCTGCTGTGATCCAAGAAATCGTTGTTTCTTTCAGAGCATCCCGCGGGTGTTCAGCAAGTTTCCTATAAAGGAAGCTCGAAAGCCCTTTAACCAGAATAAAAACCGTTATGTTGACATTCTTCCTTGTGAGTATTTATTGAGTGCTGAATTCCCATATATTAGGCTACTTGATTATTCACTATTTCACTTGTTTATTTTTCTTTTCCTTAAACAGATGATTATAACCGTGTTGAACTCTCTGAGATAAACGGAGATGCAGGGTCAAACTACATAAATGCCAGCTATATTGATGTGAGTAAAAATTTGCATTTTTCTTATACCTACATATTTCATTCAGCTCCTTGTTTGTCTTGGTAAAATTTTAGAAATATTATTAAAAATATTTTGAAGTGAGCCCATATGTCACTGATATAAACAAAAAATTATCAATATTAGCAAGGATAGTTATTTATTATGTGACTATTGGTATTAGGTATAACATAGAATTTTCCTCTACAAACAAAATTATATTAAGAATTAATTTAATATACTCTGGTGTCTATTATGTGCTAGATATTAGACTAAATATTCTATGCATATATTTCTCACAAGAAGTCCACATTTGCCTCAGCCATGTGCCGTATAGGTGAGGACTGGGAGGCTCAGTTTAGTTAATTACCTTGTTGTTGTTCACACAATTGGTAAATATTTGAGTTGAAATTCAACCAGAGTCTGACTGACTCCAAAATGTTATGCTTTAATTTCATCACACTAAATTTCAGCAGACATTCCTCATCAACATGATCATCTATCCATTGGATTTATGCAGAAATGTAAATGTCCGTACGTGGTTAATTTATTTAAAATATTTTAAAATTTAATTTATTATACAAATGTTAATTAATGTATTACATAGGTTAAATAATTTTAAACAGTATAAAAATATATACAGACTGAAAAAATTCTTTTTGTCTCCCCAAATCTGCCATTTTCCCAGTGTCCTCACCTACCAGAAATAACTATATTTTCTATTCAAATATATATGGTAATTATGGTATCAGGTTACTTATGTTTCCCCAATGGAACTTAGAGCTCCCTGAAAGCATGTGTCTTCTGCTTTTAGATAGGTGATTGACATATTGTAGCTATTCAATAAATACTTATTAAATAAATGAATGTATGCGCAATAATGTGTCATGAGATAGAAGTTTCAGGAAGTTACTTAAATTAATGTTGAATTCTTGTGACCCATGTTTCAAATTTAATCCAATGGCAAAGGTCATCCCTCTCTGAAGAGCTCCTTTAGTTACTGAGGTGAATTTAGGAGTCTGAGATAATTCTGGAAGAAGCCAGTATAATATTTTATCTGCCTCTGTACTCCTTTATCTTGGTAACAGGAGCAGAGAAAGCAGACATAGTAGGTAATGAAATGAAAGTTATTATATCTCTTATCTGAAATGGCAAAGAAGTCTAGGGAATCATATTCCAGCAGAAGTTAAGAGGTGAAAATGCGGGTAAAATCTAAGAATGATTTGTTTAAAGAAATTGAGTAAAAATCCCAAAAGTAACTACATGGCTGGTGAGCTTGTTTAAATAGTGGTAGATGATCCTATAAGAGTTGGCAGGATATAAAATGTTGAAATGTCTAGAGCACTCTTGTAAATTACCACAGCATCGCAGATGAAGATGAAACCTAGTATTAAAATTGTTTGAAGTTTACAGCAAAGATACATGAAAGTCATGAATATTCTTTGCAAATGCTAACATGTTTAGCACAATTAAATGCCTGACCACCAATTAATAAGATTCCCTTAATACTTTGAAACTGCCCAGAGAAATTCACAATCACAAAATGATGGATCTGAAGCAATTCCTCTAACTCACAATTTTTCCTGTTAATGAGTAATTGAATGTTCAGCAAATGACATATCTCTGCATGTGTTTTCAATAGGGTTTCAAAGAACCCAGGAAATACATTGCTGCACAAGGTAATTTCTTTGATAATCCAATATTCTTTTTGAAAAATTTTTATAGCACTTTTAAGAAAATTTTTCTTATCAGCTTTTATTTGTTTACCTCCTAGGTCCCAGGGATGAAACTGTTGATGATTTCTGGAGGATGATTTGGGAACAGAAAGCCACAGTTATTGTCATGGTCACTCGATGTGAAGAAGGAAACAGGGTAAGAACCAAGAAGATTCATAGTGTGGGTCTTGGGGTTAGGAAAACAAGGTGTTGAATGGCATTTTGAAAAGCCACATGTATCTGCCTGATGACTAAAACAGAGAGTTCTCTATTTTAATCAGTGTTAACATTTAATTTAAAATTTTCATACATGTAGAAAACTAAAACTTTTAACATACAAATATATGTCTATATGCATAAAATTTCAATGCTTCTGATTAATTGCTAGACTCTTAACTTGATTCCTGTTTCTTTGCAGTATTGTTATAAGTTCAGTATATTTCACTGTTTTAACTTCACAAGACCTTAATACTCGAAACAAAACTGACCTTGGGCAGATAGGTGGTGAGTCATGTAATGTGACTTTAGGAATAAAAGCCTCTCTGTCCCCCTACCTAAAATTAACCACAAGCAATCATATCCTTTTTGCTGACAACTGATTATGTCCTCTCTTAACATGCATCTAAGCCTGGAAAGATCATCCTGCTAAAAAGTATGAAGGAAATTCTTCAGGACA
The DNA here is from genome assembly GCF_000001405.40 of Homo sapiens. Taxonomy (NCBI): domain Eukaryota; kingdom Metazoa; phylum Chordata; class Mammalia; order Primates; family Hominidae; genus Homo; species Homo sapiens. The sequence goes on from NC_000001.11 coordinate 198,734,945, forward strand.
CATTAGTGGGAAATAGAATATATTTCAAGCATCACAGCTTAAGGTTTATATGTGCTTAAACTATACAACTGTTTTGAGAATTTCAAATGAGTATAGGTTTTGTTTTCACTGTTTAAAGAAAGTTTGATAAAAAATTGGCTTAAATTAAAAATTAAAATACTTAATAATTTTTTAAAATGTAGAACAAGTGTGCAGAATACTGGCCGTCAATGGAAGAGGGCACTCGGGCTTTTGGAGATGTTGTTGTAAAGATCAACCAGCACAAAAGATGTCCAGATTACATCATTCAGAAATTGAACATTGTAAATGTGAGTTTGCTTTTTACATAATTTTTGTTTTGATACTTTTTTATAAAAATATAATTATGGAATATTAAAAGTGAGAAAATAAAATATATCAGGAAAAATTATTTTTGATAACCTTTAGGATGAAAGCTGTGGTTAGAACAATGACAAAAATCAATAGGGTCAAATTTAAGTCACTGGTCAAGACGTTTTTGTCCAACTCAAATCGAAAGAATTATACTGTATTAATTAATTATCTGTTTTAATTATTAAAAAAAGAGGGAAGGTCCATTAAATGTGTTGAAAATATAATCAAATTATTAAAAGAATAAGCAATTTGTCTTCATTGTCAGTGAGTTCCTACTTTTATGAAAAAAAATTATATTATTTCCATAAGAGAAATGACAGCATTAGAGAACACTGTAAGAAGTATAAAGTTCTAACTATGCAGCAGAGATAGAATGTTTAGTTCAGAAAATAAGGAGGTCATTGTGGCCTTAGATAATAGTTAAAATAGAGATCGTCATGCATGTTATATAATTCCATTATATGAAAAATCCACAATAGGCAAGTCAATAAAGACAGAAAGTAGATCAGTGGTTGCCTGGAGCTGAGGAGGTCAAACAGAAATGGGGAGTGGCTGCAAATAAGAACAGGCTTTCATTTTGTGATGGTGAAAATGTTCTATAATTAGATATTGGTGATGGTTGTACTATTTAGTGAATGTAATATGAATACCAAATTGTACATTTTAAACTGGTGAACTTTATGGTATGTAAAATGTGTATCTCTTATTTCCAACAAATGAATTTTATTTTTAATTTTTTGGGGTACATGGTAGGTGTGTATATTCATGGGGTAAATGAGATGTTTTGATTGAGGCATACAATGCATAACAATCACATCAGGGTAAATGGGGCATCCATCATCCCAAGCATTTATCTTTTCTTTGTGTTACAAACAACCCAGTTATACTCTTTTGGTTATTTTGAAATGTATAATAAATTATTGTTGAATAGTCACCCTGTTGTGCTATCAAATACAAGGTCTTATTCATTTTATCTAATTATATTTTTGTACACATTAACCATCACCATTTCCACCCCTGCCATACCCTTCCAATCCTTTGGTAACCATCATTCTACTCTGTATATCCAAGAGTTCAGTTATTTTAAATTTTGGCTCCCACAAATAAGTAACAACATATGAAGTTTGTATTTCTGTGTCTGGCTTATTTCACTTAACGTAAGTCCTCCAGGTCCATCCATGTTGTTGCAAATGACTAGATCTTACCCCTTTTTATGGCTGAATAATACTTCATTGTATATATGTACTACATTTTGTTTATCCATTCATCAGTCAACTGATGCTTAGGTTGTTTCCAAAAGTTGACTACTATGAATAGTGCTCCAATAAACGTGGGAGTGCAGATTATCTCTTCAATCTACTGTTTCCTTTCTTTGCGGTATATACCTAGCAGTGGGATTGCTGGATCATATGGTAGTGCTATTTTTAGTTTTTTTGAGAAACCTCCAAACAGTTCTACATAGTTGTTGTACTAATTTACTTTCTCACCAACATTGTCTGAGGGTTTTCTTTCCTTCACATCCTTGCAAGCATTCATTCTTGGCTATCTTTTATATATAAGTTGTTATAACTGGAGCATAGTGATAACTTAATGTAGTTTTGATTTGCATTTCTCTGATAGTAAATAATGTTGACCACCTTTTTATTTATCTGTTTACCATTTGTATGTCTTCTTTTGAGAAATGTCTATTCAGATCTTTTGCCTATTTAAAAATCAGATTATTAGATTTTTCATTATAAAGTTCTGTAAGCTTCTTATGTATTCTGGATATTAATGCTTTGTCAGATGGATAGTTGGCAAATATTTTCCCTCATTCTGTGGCTTGTCTCTTCACTTTGTTGATTGTTTTCTTTGCTATACAGAAGCTTTCTAACTTGATGTAATTCTACTTGTTCATTTTTGCTATGGTTGCCTGTGCTTGTGGGGTATTGTTGAATAAAACTTTGCACAAACCAATGCCCTGGAGAGTTTCCCCAACATTTTCTTTTAGTAGTTTCATAGATTAAGGTCTTAGATCTAAGTCTAATCCATTTTTTTTATTTAATGTTTGTATACAGCAAGAGATAGGGCTTTAGTTTCATTCTTCCACATATGAATATCCAGTTTTCACAGTACAATCTATTGTGGAGACTGTCCTTTCCCCAATGCATATTCTGGGTACCTGTATCAAAAATGAGTCCACTGTAGAGTTGTTTCATTGCTCTATGTATGTTTTTATGCCAGTACCATGCTGTTCTGGTTACTATAGCTCTGAAGTATAATTTCAAATTAGGTATTGTGATTCCTCTAGTTTTGTTCTTTTCACTCAGGATGGCTTTGGCTATTCTGGGTCTTTTGTGGTTTCATATAAATATTAGGATTATTTTTTCTATTTGTAAAGAACATTATTGGTATTTTGATAGATATTGCATTGAATCTGTAGATAGTTTTGAGTAGTATGGACATTTTAATAATACTGAGTCTTTCAATTCATGAACATGGAATAGCTTTCCATTTTTTATGTCCTCTTCAATTTCTTGCATCAATGTTTCATAGTTTTCATTGTAGAGATCTTTCACTTCTTTGGTTAAGTTTATTCCTAGGTATTTATGTTGTTTTTATCTATTGCAAACGAGATTACTTTCTTGATTTCTTTTTCAGATTGTTCAATGTTAGCATATAAAAACACTGCTTGTTTTAATGTTGATTTTATATCTCATGACCTTACTGAATTTGTTAATCAGTTCTAATAGTTTTTTGGTGGAGTATTTAGGTTTTTCCAAATATAAGATAATGGAATGTGCAAACAAGTATAATTGGACTTCTTCCTTTCCAATTTGGATGCCTTGTGTTTCTTTCTCTTGTCTGATGGCTCTAGCTGGGACTTCCAGTTGAACAACAGTGGTGAAAGTGGGCATCCTTGTCTTTATCCAGATCTTAGAAGAAAGGCTTTCAGTTTTTTCTCATTTAATATGATGCTAGCTGTGGGTGTGTCATATATGACTTTCATTCTGTTGAGGTATATTCCTTCGTTACCCTGTTTTTTGAGGTTTCTTATTATGAAGAGATGTTGAATTTTATGGCATAATTTTTCAGCATCAATTGAAATGATCATGTCTTTTGTCCTTCATTCTGTTGATATAATGTATCACAATAATTGATTTGTGTATGTTGAACCATCCTTGCATCCCTTGGATAAATGCCACTTGATCAGGATGAATGATCTTTTTAAAGTGTTGTTGAATTCAGTTTGCTAGTATTTTGTTGAGGATTTTTGCATCAGTATTCATCAGGGATATTGACCGGTAGTTTTCTTTTTTTTGATGTGTCTTTGTCTGGTTTTGGTATCAGAGTAATACTGGCCTTGCAGAATGAGTTTGGAAGAATTCCTTTCTCTTCCATTTTTTGGAATAGTTAGAGTAGAATTGGTACTAGTTCTTCTTTAAATGTTTGGTAAAATGTGGTAGTGAAGCCATTAGGTCCCGGGCTTTTCTTTGCTGGGAAACTTTTCATGACAACCTCCGTTTCATTACTTGTTGTCTGTTCAGGTTTTGGGTACCAAAAATAATGGCAACAACAACTTTTCAAGACATGGAGAGCAAAATAACACATGAATTGAAACAAGAAAATGGCAAAATGTGGAGGAATGAAGTTAAAATATAGCATTTTCATTATATTACACTTTGCTTGTTAGTTTGTTTACACAATGTCTGTTGTCTTCAGTGTAAAATAATGCATTATAAGATATGATAACCCCAAATCCAAAAGCATTCAACAGATACATAAAAATAAAAAGCAAGAAATTAAAACAGACCACCAGAGAAAATCACCTTCACTTAAAGGAAGACAGGAAGAAAAGAAAGAAGGAAGAGGAGGCCACAAAACAACCATAAAAGACATAACAAAATGGCAGGAGTAAGTCTTTATTTATCAGTAATAACATTGAATATCAGTAGACTAAACTCTCTAAACAAAATACATAGAGTGGCTGAATAGATATTAATAAAACAAGACCCAACAATCTGTTGCTTACAAGAAACATTCTTCACCTGTAAAGACACAAATAGACTTAAAATAAGAGATGGAAAATTATATTCTTTGTAAATGGAAACCTAAAAAGAGAAGGAGTACCTATACTTATATAACACAGGTATATTTCAACACAAAAACTAATAAAAGAGACACCGATTGTCTCTACATAATGATAAAGGAGTCAATTCAGCAAGAGGATATAACAATTGTAAATATATATGCAACTAATACTGGAGCACACAGATATATAAAGCAAATATTGTTAGAGCTAAAGAGAGAGATAGACTCCAATACAATAATAGTTGGAGACTTCAACACTCTACTTTCAGCATTAGGCAGATCACCCAGGAAGAAAATCAACAAAGAAACATTGGTCTTAATGTGCATTGTAGACCAAATGAACCTAATAGACATTTATAGAACACTTCAACCAATGGCTGAAGAATACACATTCTTCTCCTCAGCCCATGGATCATTCTCAGGGACATACCTTATGTTATGCTACAAAACAAGTCTTACAAAATTAAAAAAAAATTATATAAACTTTTCTTTGACTACAGTAGAACTAGAAATCAATAACAAGAATAAGTTTGGAAACTATACAAACTCATGGAGAGTGAACAATATATTCCTCAATGACCACTGATTCAATGAGGAAATCACTAAGGAAATTTTAAAATTTTTCAAAACAAATGAAAATGGAAACACAACAAACCAAATCCTGTGTGATACAGTGAAAGCAGTACTAAGAGAAAAGTTTGTAAGAGTAAGCACCTACATTAAAAAAGAAAAATTTCAAATAAACAACATAATGATACATTTCAAAGAACTAGAAAAGCAAGAGCAAACTGAACTGTAAATTAGAAGAAAAAATAATAAAGATCAAAGTAGAAATAAATGAAACTGAAATAAAAAAATACAAAGCATCAATGAAATAAAATGTTGTTTTTAAAAAGAGAAAATTGACAGGCCAGGTGCAGTGGCTCATGCCTGTAATCCCAGTACTTTAAGAGGACAAGTCGGGTGTATCATTTGAGGTCAGGAGTTTGAGACCAGCCTGGCCAATATGGTGAAACCCCGTCTCTACTAAAAATACAAAAAAATATTAGCCAGGTGTGGTGGCATGCACCTGTAATCCCAGTTACTTGGGAGACTGAGGCAGTAGAATCACTTGAACCTGGGAAGCCGAGGTTGCAGTGAGCCAAGATTGCATCATTACACTCAAGCCTGGGCTTTGCAGTGAGACTTTATCTCAAAAAAAAAGATAAAATTGACAAACCTTTAGTCAGACTAAGGAAAAAAGAGTGGAGACTCAAATGCGTACAGTCAGAGATGAAAAAAGAGACATTGCCACTGATACTTCAGAAATTTAAAAGATTATGAGATGCTACTATGAGCAGTTATATGCTAATGAATTGGAAAACTTAGAAGAAATGGATAAATTCCTAGATACATGCAACCTATCAAGATTGTAAAATGTCTCTTGATAGAGCTGTTTAAAAAACTACAAGTCTTTACATGGGGGTTAAGATTTTCTCTTAATTTCATTTATTGTAGGGCTTTTAGTAATCTAAATTTTATTTTTGTATAGTCTAGCTATATTTTCTACAGGAGAAACAGACTTAGTCTATATATCTCCGTAGGTCTTCTTAGGTTTCCATGGTATTACTAATTGTTATGTCTATAGAGTGCTGTGAAACAATCCTATCAATAGTTTCTGGCCAAACACTTGTTTGACTAAGCCACAAAGGCACCTGCTCCATAGATATGAGGATATATTTCTAGATTGATGCCTATCTGGCTACATTCTGTAGTCTGGGTTTACTGGTGTTAATTAACTCAGTTTGTGTGTTTCTTTTGTTATCTAAATGTAGATGGTTCTTTATACCTGGCCATAGAATTATGACTTATGCATCTTATGGTGGTTACCTTGAAATTAGAACAAACCTGAGCTCTAATCTGGGGCTGACTTTCCTCAGTCGTCTCTCTACATTCTGTGTTGACAATGCTACCATGTGAAGGCCTAAGGAATACAATGTTCATCAAATAATTAATCAGACTTTGCTCACATATGAATTAGTTCTGTTTGCTGGCCTATCAAGCAGAAGTATTTTAAACAGTTGTGAGAATGACCTTTACCAAATCATTTTAAACACAAATCCAAAAAGCTTCCACCCATGCACCCCACTTTTATGGTGTATGTTTATTTTGGGTTTTTTTTGCTTGACAGCATGCAAGTTCCTAGAAATTTTGGTTATACTTTTAAAGAAAGTATTACCTTACTTACCTTACTGTTAAGTTATTGCTTACAGGGTAGTACATGCAAGTCCTGCACAATATCTTAACTACTAGTTATTGATTAGAAAGGAAAACACAACCATGGTTGAGAAAATATATAAGACACCTGAGGAAACTATGAACTCTTTTGAGTAGTTTATGTTTACACGAGGAGACTTTGTACTGGTACTCCCTTCCACTTATTTATGTTTCATAGTTTGCTTTAAAAAAATCATCTCAAAGAAAATATTATCTCTTGACTAGAAAAAAGAAAAAGCAACTGGAAGAGAGGTGACTCACATTCAGTTCACCAGCTGGCCAGACCACGGGGTGCCTGAGGATCCTCACTTGCTCCTCAAACTGAGAAGGAGAGTGAATGCCTTCAGCAATTTCTTCAGTGGTCCCATTGTGGTGCACTGCAGGTAGGAAAAACGAACAAAAAAAAAAAACAACAACAAAAAAACTCCAACAGAATCCACCTGCCTAGGGCTGTTAGAGACATCTTTCCCTTTGGCAATTGCTATTTTGGGAAACAACCTATGGGAGAAGCTTAGATTCTTATATTGGCTTCACACCTGACAGCTTTTCCATGATCATGCCTCTGCTTTTTTTTGCTTGGTTTGCCAGTGCTGGTGTTGGGCGCACAGGAACCTATATCGGAATTGATGCCATGCTAGAAGGCCTGGAAGCCGAGAACAAAGTGGATGTTTATGGTTATGTTGTCAAGCTAAGGCGACAGAGATGCCTGATGGTTCAAGTAGAGGTATGTTCTAACCTTTAGTGATTATTCTCACTTTGGTTTTTTGGACTTAAATCTTTTCCAAGTGATAATAATGATATTTTTTAAAAATCCAAATTCTTCACAACCTCAAACAGTAGATGATTTCCTGAAAACTAAAACGTGGTAATCACCAGAAATACTTAGAAGCATTTTTCATTAGTGCCTAAAAGTACTGTGGAAGAAAGATGACCACAAAATATATAATTTTTAAAATAATGAACTACTGTTAACATATATCAGATTGGCAAAAAAAGTAAAAATGCTGAAAATAGATTTGGCATCATCTCATAAAATTAAACTGAAGAGACAGAATAGTATAGTAATCAACAGCTGGTTTTAGAAACTACACTTACAGGTTTCAAATCTTGCTTTTAATTATTAATACGAGGGTGAGTGGTATTGTTTATTAAGTAATTTTAGTCTGACTGCACCTCAGTTAAGTCATCTGTAAAATGGAGACAATGATAATACCTCACAGACTTATAACCACAAAAGTAATACAAATAAAGCACTTAAACAAGTCCCTGGCCCATGCTATGCATTTGGTGATTGTAAGTGATGGTAATTACTGAAAATGTCTGTATTTGACCCAGCAAAATCACATATATGCATATACCCAAGAGAAGCATCAACTAGAAACATTTGCAAGAATGTGCATTGCATTCAGCATTGTCAAAATAGCAAAAAAAAAAAAAAAAAAAAAGTGAAATACATATCAATGAAAGAATGGAAACACCGTAAATATGTATCAATAGGGGAATAGGAAGACAAAATGTGGACATGTGAACTCTCTGTACAACAAATGCTATGTTGTGGTAGAAAGCAATGATCTAGGTTTGTGTCTGTCTGTTTGGAGAGATGCTCAGATGAAAACAATGAGTGAGTAAAGCTGCCATACGAAACATTCAAGATATAATTTATGTGATTTAAAAAAAACATGAAAATGTACAATGCTTGTGATTACAGATACATAGATAGCAGTGTAGAAACATAAAAACAAATTGTTAACCAGGTAAAAAGAAATTATTTACAGTGGAAAATAAAGTACAGTGGAAAGACAGTGCCAAACTCAGGGAACTAAAGGTGGCGGTTAAAGAGGATTATCAGAAGTATACCATTTCCTTGAAAATACTGGATTCAAACAAAATAAGCAGTAAAGAGTAGTTAAATCTGGGTTTGGCCCATTGGATTACAAAAAAATAATTTTCTTATTAAAAGAATACTTTTCTTATTTTAAGTTCTAAAAACTATAAAAAAAGGTTTTCTAAGGAATAACAACTTGCTTTTTTATCTCTTGAATATACTGTGAAATTTATTATAGTTTTACATTCAGTAATTTGGCTTACTGACCCAATAATCACTAAAGGAAGTAACATACAATGTTCTTTAGTTTTTAGGAATAAAAGTTGTGCAATACAGAGTACATGGATAATCTATTTGCAAAGTAATTCTTTTCTGAAAAAATAATCTGAAAATAGAATTTGCTCATATTCCAGAAAACTCTGAGAGTGAACTTCCAGAATATTTAAATATTATAGATATCAATTTACTTTGCCATGAATTGTTCCAATATGAGCAAATTTATGGGGAATGTATATTTTATTTAAATATGACTTGGAGGACTCTAGATTATCAGTTAACTATCTGTATTTGTTCTTGAAATTGTAGGCCCAGTACATCTTGATCCATCAGGCTTTGGTGGAATACAATCAGTTTGGAGAAACAGAAGTGAATTTGTCTGAATTACATCCATATCTACATAACATGAAGAAAAGGGATCCACCCAGTGAGCCGTCTCCACTAGAGGCTGAATTCCAGGTAATGATAGTGACAACAATAATAATAATTACAGATAACTTTTATTCAGTGTCATCTACTTTCTAGGTGTTTGCTATGCACTTGACATAGTGCTTGCATTTAGTCTTCACCAGAACCAAAGGAGCACAGATGAGAAAACTAGGACACAGTGAGTTAAGAGAAATGCCTGAATCTACACAACTATTACATAGGAGATTTCTTTAGACCCAGAAATCTGATTCTATTGCTAATACTTTTAGCCATTCCTCATTAAGCTGGTATAAAATGAAGTGTCAAAATAATAGTATATAGCCACAAAACTGGTCTGCCAAAGGCAATACAGCATATCACCTTTAAAAATCGTATCTGGTTTTGGTTTGTAAAGGAAATCATTAGAAGAGTTTATGACTGCTTAGGAAGTTGAACTGGCTGGAGCTGGTAGACACACAGTAAAGGATAAGTACATGTGTCTTAACCTATTTATTAGGCAATTATTCTCACAGCTAACCTAGCATGTAGTTCACTATAATTTCAGAGAGTTTGCATAGCTGTCCTCAAATTGCTCAGTTGTCAAAAAAATGTTTTGTGTTTTTTTTGTTCCACCTATGATTTCCAGGTTACTGAGTCATTCCATAATCTACCAAACTGGTAAATTCAGAGTTTCTAAAGACCAGGAGTGTGCTTTTAATCACATGCAGAACCATTTAATGTTTAGGATCAAAGTGGGGTTAAGGTGGGGGTGGAGGTGGAGCATGCAATAATGACCAAGTGACTCAATCCCCCAGAAGACCTGTACTTATAATGGAAGAACTAGCAGACACAGGGTAGTCTCAAACAGAGTAGTGTTTTATTGTTGTTTTCTTGCTTTTCTAGCTGATAAATTAACCTTATTCAATATACCTGCCCTACTAATCCACATAAACACATAAGCTGTTAGAGACAGTTATACATTTAAGTTAAACATTCTTATGAATGTTTATTTACTATAGAAAAGACAGACAATTTTTTTCACTAAATAAATGTGCTTGAGTTTCTGCTATGTGCCAAGTACAATTCTAGGCACAAGAGTCAAAATGATCTGCAAGTGGACATGGGAAGAAGGATGAGAGGATGTGATCCAGATCACAGATGGAAGCTGTGAAATTATTCCATTTAAGCAGACAGTAAGACAGAAGATGAGAGTAGAAATGCAAGTCGGTTGGTAAATTTGGTATTGGGAAGTTGAGGCAGCTCTTGCCTGATGATCTTTCATTTTTCAAGAAAATGTGAGGCTAGGTCATCAGTTGAGAGTTGAGAGATACAAGGGCGAGTAGGGCAAAGAAGAGCTCAATGCTTGAAGGGTATAAACTAGTTACCTCAAAGTATAAAAACAATCTCCCTAGGCAGAGGCAGTAAGATTGCCAGAAGTTATCATTTGATCACCTGAAATTTATGATTATAAGTTTAAAGAGGAATTAGTCAGTTGGTTGTATTGTTTTCTATGGCAGCATTGAGCTCTTTGGGGGTAGAGGCTGTGTATGCAGATAGTTGAGTTAAACCTATCTAGGTTTTGAAAAGTGACTATTTGAAAATAGTGAGGCAAACGAGTTGAGGGTGTTTACAAATGAATGATGACTGAGGTGGAAAATAAAAAGCAAATTGGCCACATGAGGGAGGTGAGAGAAAGTAGTAAGGATAATAAGTTGGAGACTTTGATAGAATTACAGATTGCTAGGTTGAACATATCAGAATAAATGACTAGGAATAATAGGGGTAATTTTCAATAGCACAGATAGTTGAACTTATGATTTTAGAGGTGATGTAATATTTGGAATGAAACCTACAAAGGTGGAATGATGAAAGTGGATGACTGGGAAGTGGAGGGAAAGTCATGGGAGGTGAAGAAGCTAAGAAATGAAGAGACTAGAGTCTTGGATAGATTATTCTTGTCAATGTTGAATTAACCAAAAATGATGACAGACCTTGGAAAGAAGAGAATATACTTAGCCAAGCCTAAAACTAAATGAGGTGGAGTGATTCAGAAATCAATACCTGACACTTCCCAGTGAAGCCGGTGGATAGAAGCTAGTATAGTATGATGGCAGGAATATCAAAGTGCTTGGTTGATTTGAAAGCAAATGAGTAGAAATGGTTTGCAAGTAGAATCAGGGATCAAGGAGAACACGTATCTTTTCTTGAAGCTGTGAGGTAAATGGGGTGTGAGGAGGAAAGTCAACTTTTTCTTAAAAGGGCTGCTGAGTTATTGGTGGTGTCCTTAGCTGACATCCAGGTTTTAATTGGTGGAAAGAAAAAAAAAAGGGTGAAGTGACTGTTGGGAGAAGATGATTAAGATAAATGGGAGTTCACAGATGACAGACGATGGGCATCAGAGGGCAGGGAGGAAGGCACTGATGGGTTAGATGTAAGAGACTGGGTTGTATCTGAGGATACAAATAACCATTCAGGAATAAAAATCTGGGGAATGTGGATGCACTGGGAAGCTTAGACTTGTGATGGCAAGTGAAACAGGTAGAGATTTAAGAGTGACAGATCCTTTGTGTCTTAGATGAAGGTGAGCCATTAATTCCACCTATAATCCTGAGTATTGCTACAGGGCATAGGCTGCCTCGGTGACTACACTCACAAGAGCACAAGGTGTTGTAACAGTTTCCAAAACATCTGGTCCTTCATGCAGCTCATGGTGGTGTTCAAGTGGCCTAAAATTCAGTGATGATATTTTCTTTCACTCAATTACGTAGCAAAGAATGAGGTTTGAAACAGGGTGCCATAATTAGTTTGAATGAGGGTACTATGCTGAAAAAATATATGTCTATATACACACACGTATCTACATGCGTGTGTGTGTATATAAAATCTTACCGAATTGTACATGAGGAGCCTTCTCAGTTTCAGTTATTTGTAACATTATCTATTATCATTAAATATTATTCACTTGACAAATACTTATTTAAGGACTAGTGGAAAGACTGTAGGCAGGGGTGTCTTCCAGAAGAAATTGGTATTTAAACTGATACCTAGAGGGTAAGAAAAGTTATTAGAGCAACCAAAAGGGGAAAGGGTAGTTCAAGCAAGAAAAAAAAAAAAAAGTGTTTATGTGCCAAGAGTTGAAGAACAGCTTGGCCCTTCCAAGAATTGAGGAAGCTGGTTTGGTAGAAGTATTGAGGGACCCAGTAAGGTGTAAGGCTGGAGAAACAGTCAGGGGCGTATCAATAAAGACTTTTTATGCTATTTTGAGGAGGTTTGTTGTCCTCTTATAGTGATGGAAAGCTGTTCATCTTCAGAAGAGCATCTTCTGTTTTGTGTTTTAGAAGGATTAGAGCAGGCGAGATTGAAGACAAAGAGGCCAGTTAGGAAATTGTTGATGTTTTACAAGCGAGAAATGAAGGCAGACTGGATTAAGTAGGAAGAAAGAAAACTAAAAGGATTTGTGTATAGAAATGATGGATCTTTTCTGACTAATTAGGAACTGTGGGTGAGAGGAAAGCAATCTGGAAGGTGTAAACAAATTAAGAATGAACTTTCAAAACATGTGCCAAGTCTCCTAAGAATGTGTTGTCTCCAAAGTTTATTTCTGATCATTTAAAATAACTTACCATTGCTTTTGCAATATAGATCAACATCGGTCTAGTGGTTTCAATTTATATAAGAACAAACTATATTATTTTTCTATCAAGCAGCTCTGAAGAAGGAGACATAGTCTGTTACATATATATCTTTAGTGCATACTAGCCCTGTCAAAAGGACTAAATGCCTGAGCAATTTAAAGAAAAAAAATCAGAGGCAAACCGAAAAATTATGGCCTATAGGGAGCATATGCAAATTTCACAAAAATTAATGAAATGCTTTTCCTTAGGGAGCATCTTATGATGCAATAAGCCAATATTTACATTTTAAAGGAGTTTTTCTGTTTTTTTTTTTTTTTTCAGAGACTTCCTTCATATAGGAGCTGGAGGACACAGCACATTGGAAATCAAGAAGAAAATAAAAGTAAAAACAGGAATTCTAATGTCATCCCATGTATGTAGTTTATTTTTTTATTTTTTGTATCAGATAAAGTTAAGCTCTTTTGGATTTGTTTAATGTGGGACACACAGTCATATAAATTATCTTGAAGCAAGTTTTCAACATTTGGTTGTTAATAGGGAAGAAGTTACTAGGTATTAAAATACTAGTTATTGCAAGAACTTATAATCCTGAACATTTACAATGGGCTTTGGAGGGTAGACTGTATTCAGTGTTTTCTTTTTACCAATTATTTCAGAAATGGGTTGTCATAAAAGAGAAATATATAAAGCTGGGAGAAAAAAGAGCAAGTCTCTTTTACCCATTTTCTTTCATTTTTAGTTTATTTCAGTTATTTACTCCAGGGTAATTGACAAATAGTAAAAATTACATCCATTTGTTCTCTATATGTTTCCTTTTTATCCCTTATAACTGGGAGGTTGAAAGTAAGGGGAAAATACTCTATAAATTCTAAATCTTCAAATTTAACAGATCAAAATATGCACAGTTTCAATACTTGAATTCTACTATTTAAGCATATTAAAATGATCACATATGGTAATTTTATTCAGCTGCATAAACTAAAATTAGCATGGATAAAATATAACACAAGTTGATAAATTAGATGACCAAATAAATCAGATCAGTGCATGGTTGACCTAGTTAATTTTCATAGGAGTCCTTATGAATGTAGTTTAAAATATGGAATTGATGGTGATATGGTTAATCAAATCATTTGACCAAGTTATTATAAATTATAGAAATTAAGAAACAGTGAGAAATTATAGGTCAAATAATTTTCTGGGCTAAATAATTAATCAAAGCTACCCATATAAGATTGTTAATTTAATATTACTGGAGTATAATTGAGGGAAAAAATCTACGCTATGTATTTTGTAAACTTATATCAAGCAGAATTATAATAGTCCATGGGAAATTAAAGTATATGTATCAAAGATTAAATAATCATATATAATGATATGATATCTCTTTGTTGTTTGACATGGAATTATGTTCCATGTTTTTTCCTGGAATCCTTTTTCTTAGACTTTTGTTGTATAATTTGTTTATCGACAAGTACTGAATTTTATATAGGATCTTATTTCATGTAGATCAGTAAGTTTTCATAATACAATCTGTCCCTTTTTAAATACTTTCAAATTTCCACATGACAATGAAGAAGAAATTTAATTTTTTCAAGGAAGACTTACTACTGATTTATTTCACATAGATGACTATAACAGAGTGCCACTTAAACATGAGCTGGAAATGAGTAAAGAGAGTGAGCATGATTCAGATGAATCCTCTGATGATGACAGTGATTCAGAGGAACCAAGCAAATACATCAATGCATCTTTTATAATGGTAGGTACTTAAATTGCCAAAACCCAAGATCCAAACATTTTAAAATAATATCTATGTTATTAGGGCCATTCATTAAGCGATTTTATAAAAGAATAATGAGCTTGGTCATAACTACATATAGATTGACATGAGAGTTTCAATTTCAATGCTACAATTTAACTTAATGAAAGATTTAAAAATACTATAACCTAATAACCTGAGACAAAATAAGATAATGCTATTGGTTATATTTTATGACAAATATAGCTATAATCACATCAATTTTAAAAATAGTAAAATTTGAGCAAATACAAGTATTTGAAAATGTTTATACATACTCAGATACCCAAATTGTAGGCAATGACAAATTTGTATATTTGTATGGTTAGAAACTTTTCATTCAGATAAACTGAATTATTAGGTGAGTCTGTGTCATATCCCCCCACTTTTTTAATTAACTGAGAATTCAAACAATGAAACTTTAGTCATTTATTAAATATTTATTATTTATACACTGTTGGATTTACTTATTTTCCAAAGTTTCCTAAAGCACACATTCATAGAATATTAGTTTAATTAGGAAATATAATAAGAATGTAAAGACACTAATTAAAATTAGTATAGACACGATGAAGGTAATTTGAAATGCTTAAGTAATTCCTTTTTACAATCACATTAACCTTTATAGAGAAACAAAAATGTGTGTCTTTTGTGGAAAGGAAAATTTGTTTCGCAAGATATGTTGTAATCTTGATTTCACATTATTAGCTAAGAATTACTATTATCTGTATAATTATTTTACATATAGCTATTACATTGTTTCTTGTAAGAAACATAAGAATATTACTATTTGTATGTAACAGCATTGATATCAAACTGACTATATTTCCAAATGGTTACTTTAAGAATCTACTGAGCTCTCTTCTGTAGTAACGAAGTCCCACCCTTTTTTTGTCTAAAAAGAGCTACTGGAAACCTGAAGTGATGATTGCTGCTCAGGGACCACTGAAGGAGACCATTGGTGACTTTTGGCAGATGATCTTCCAAAGAAAAGTCAAAGTTATTGTTATGCTGACAGAACTGAAACATGGAGACCAGGTTTGTACTTTTGAGGATTTTCTTTTAAGCCTTTCTGTCATAAAACGTCATTCTCTAGTCTTGGATTGCTTGCTTCATCGCCATACCCACGTCTTTTTTTATCCCTCCATCACATAATTCTGTCTGCTCAGTCTTACCCCTTTCACCCTGGTGTTGGCCTCCATCAGCTGTGTCTGGATTCTGACAGTCTCTCCTGTTTGTCCCCTCCAGTCTTGCATGCTGCTCACAGATTAGCCAGGATGCAGCAATGTCAGCGTCACAGCAAATAACAGCTACATTTTCACGCTGTTTTCCTCATTTTCTCAAGATAAAAGCCAAGATCTTTTTGTGATATCCAGCACCCTGGACAATCACCCCCTCATGTGTCTTTCATCTTCCTCCCATTTTTATGTTTTCCATCCTCTCCACTCTGGACAAGCAGGTTTCATGCCCAAGCCTAAACACGCCATTTGCATTGTCATCACTGAGTCTAAACTTATTGATATTCCATGTAACTAAATGTGTGCTGTCTTCCAGTTTTGACCCTATTCTTTTAACAAGACCAAACTCCTGAAAAATGTATCTATATCATCCTTTCTTTATTCCCATATAATATTTATTGCCATAAAAGTCTATAGTTGAAGGTGAATCTAAGCTATAATTTGATTTTTTTACTTAATGCTTGTGACAGATATTTTATCCTTTTCTTAATGTCTTCAGTTATTATTAAAATTTCCCTGGTGGTAGATCTCACTCAGCTTTAGCACCAACCACATTATCTGACATATGTTCAAGCCTATTCAGTGAATAACCTTATAAGTATGCAAAAGATTTATGCTTTTTTATGCCCCTCTCTCTCCCCTAAATCTCACTCTTTCTCACCCTCACCTGGTCCCCTTCCCCTGTACATGGAAAGTTGCTTTTTATGTTTTTTGTTTTAAAGGAATATAAGTCCAGATTTCTAGCATGGAATTCCCACAATCCTTTCCTTCATATAAATTGTGAAAGCTGGGAAACAGGATGGAAGTACCGGCAGGACTCCCTGTCTTTGTCAGAAATTGTGGGGTTGTAGTTGGTAGACAACAGTTTGTAGTAAGAAGAAACACTTTTGTGGTTCATCTACTCTTCAATCTGGCCCTTTCCTTAGCTATGTAGACAAAATATATAAAGCTGCTTATGGTGTTGGTCAACAAGATGACAGAGACAAAGCTCCAAAAGATGCAGCCTCCTTCCTCAAGAACCACTGAAGGGACAGTGGGACCTGAGTTATTGAAAGGGTCATGAATAACATTGACTCATGCCAGCCATAAATATTGAAGAGGTCATGATAAGCATGTGGAAAAGAGGAGCAAACCTCAAAGACCTACACTAAGGAAAACAGCTGTTCCGGGGGTGTCCCAGTCACCTCGATTGTGCTCAGCTTCCCTTTTCTTACACAAGGAAACACCACATATTTATTAAATGGGTCGCCAGCACTTAAATAGATTCTGGATTTTTATAAGTAGGTTTCAATTTTAGAACACAATAATTTTCATTTAATAGAAAAGAGGCACAGACAGAGAAAGAAAGGGAGAAAGAGGGAGACTGATCCTTTGCATATTTCAAATAGGAAACAAATTGTTGAATTGTCTTCTTTTATCTAGGAAATCTGTGCTCAGTACTGGGGAGAAGGAAAGCAAACATATGGAGATATTGAAGTTGACCTGAAAGACACAGACAAATCTTCAACTTATACCCTTCGTGTCTTTGAACTGAGACATTCCAAGGTATGGAAACAATTTGGGGAGTATATTTCTTTGATATAATGGATCTGGTAGCAAAATGAATATAAATTACTCTATGCAGGCAAGGCCATCATATAAATAATGTTTCAGAATAACATTTTAAAATTATTTAAATAGAAGTAACTGTGAAGAAAATATGACTATCAAATTAGAAAATAAGCTGAACTTCACTCCAGTTAATGCTCTCTTCAATTCTGATTTTAGAGGAAAGACTCTCGAACTGTGTACCAGTACCAATATACAAACTGGAGTGTGGAGCAGCTTCCTGCAGAACCCAAGGAATTAATCTCTATGATTCAGGTCGTCAAACAAAAACTTCCCCAGAAGAATTCCTCTGAAGGGAACAAGCATCACAAGAGTACACCTCTACTCATTCACTGCAGGTGCGTGGGATTTGGTAGAATGTGCTCTCAAAATCATAATGCTTGACTTCTCGGTTCACATGTTGTCTTATCTAGTTATCCTCATATATGAAACACATAACCACAGTAAAAACTTCTTATGGAGTCGGTCACTCTCTTGGTTGTTTCCACAACACAACTATTGTAGAAATATAATAGAAGTGATTATATTATAGTGCAATAATTTTAAGTTGTGTTTTTTAATACTTGGTGTCATGTCATCTTTGATTCCTTGGTAGCTAACATTGAGCCAGGAATGTCATTTGTGTGAATGAATTAATGAATGGAAGGGTGTGTGAACAGATAGGTAGATGGGTATCACCTTACACATATACCCATATACATTGATCTACTCTATTAGGTGTCACAAAGACACCTAATATGTTTAATGAACACAAAGTTTATTAAACATATTTTAAGTTAAATATTAACTGAAATCACAAAGCTTAGCAATTTTGATTTGAAACTCATTATTTAATTTTCTAAACTGAACCAAAGGCAAAGATTGTGGTAATATCAATAATACTACTAGATTTTATTAGTTTCTTCATCTGTGATAGGTGCTTACATATTCACCTTAAATAAGCAATATAATTGAAAGAAAGATATATAATATAAAAGTTTACATGAAAAAGAATATTGAAGTAAATGAGAAACGAAAAATAGTAAAGTAAAATGAGAAATGTTTATCTAGTGAAAAACTTTTGGAATTTTTGAAAAAGTCTAATTGTTATTATTGGAATTGCATATACTAGAATCAAGCCTTAAGAAATATATGAATTTTCAGCATTTATGTGGAAAGAAAGCTGAGGAAGGGAAGTTTACACTGTAAAACTATATATGTTTCTTAGAATATGATTTATGTACAATAACTAAAGTGTCCTGCTGATAACATATTGTTTAAATTGAATCTTTATGATAATGCTTTATACTTCTCATTGTTTGGTAAACTATTTGATTGCCCTCTTTTTAGTGAATAATTCTACTAGGTATTACTTTTCTACTGATGCAGAAGTGAAAACATTTGTGAAACGTGGTAGAGAGGCAGAAGAGTGAAGAAGAGCATGTGTTCTAGTAATTTACAAAATATTAGGTCTAATATTTCTGATTACATCAGCTTTCTCTTCTCCAAATCTTGGTTTCCTTATCTATCATACTGGCATTCTGATATTGGTTTCAACAACTTCAGATGTAAATAAAAATGCATTAAAATCCATAAAATACTAAATAAAAGAAAATATATTTGTAAAGTCGAAGACAAATAAGTTTTCAATTCCAGGATTATCACACTCTTAAATTGAAAAATTTGCCTAAAAATGCATTTAGCGTAAATAATTTGGTTCTTGAAAGAGGTTGGAATAAGATAATTATGATAAACATGAAGCAAAAAATATATTCTCTCTCTTCCTGTTTTTATTCTAATATCACCCTTTTTGGTGAGAAGTAGGATTATTTTCTATCTTTTCTTTCTTTTATAGGGATGGATCTCAGCAAACGGGAATATTTTGTGCTTTGTTAAATCTCTTAGAAAGTGCGGAAACAGAAGAGGTAGTGGATATTTTTCAAGTGGTAAAAGCTCTACGCAAAGCTAGGCCAGGCATGGTTTCCACATTCGTAAGTATCCTTCACCATTGCTTTTAACATGCTCGGAATTTTTTTTTTCTTTTTGACGGTTTCCTTTTTTCTTTTCTCCTCTCCTTTCCTCTCGTTTGTTCTTTTTTCCCCTTTCCTTTTCTCTTCTCTATTTTCTTTCCTATTCTTTTAGCTTTTCTACTTTTACATGATAATTCACATTAAATTATTATAAGTCTAAATAAGAGCCTAAAGTTTACTAGCACTTTGTTGTGACAGTTCATGAAGAGCCTTTCCCTAAATGCTCATGAATTTCTTAATTTTCTTTCCTTCACTCCTGTATCGATTTGTGTTGTGTAACAAACCACCCCCAAATTTGGGAGCCTAAACAAATAACATTTATTATGGTTCAGTAGTCTAATGATATGCTGGAATGTTCTGCTGGTGCCCTCAGGCTCAGGCAATAGAGACCAGGCTGACTCATGTGTCTGCCTTCAGCTGATGTGTGCCCTACAGTTTGGCTGGTCTAAAGTGACCTACACTGCCAGTAGGCTGGCATGTGGCTGCCATTTAGCTATGGCAACAACAGTGAGTGGGCCACATGTCCCTCCTCATCCAGAAGACTAGCCCAGGCCTATTCACATTAAAGCAGCAAGTTCCACAAGGGAAAGAAGACTTGTGTGAGACCACTTGAGGCCCAGGCTTAAAAGTGACACACATGTCTTCTTCTGTATGTTATTAGCCAAATAAATAAGTCATAAAGCCTGCCCAGATTCAAGGGGTAGGGAAATAGACTCCACTTCTTGAGAGGGCCTGCAAATTCACATTGCAAAGAAATGTGGATACAGGAAGGAAAATAAGTTTTATATTCTTGTAATCGATCTATCGTGTATACCCTCTATGTGGTAGTAACTGTAGATGGTCATCTGGGAATTAATCCTTATTCACAGTGTAAACTTAATTACTCACTAAAATATATAAAGCTTTTAATCATGTATGATATTGAGATTTCATATCTTGGTACTTAAAAATGTATCAAATGCTTGCTATGTGCTCTTGCTATAAAGAGCTAATTGGTATGAGGGAAAGCCAGGTATTTACTAATCAATGTAGTGAGTAAAATGACAGAAAAATTATAAGAAGAACATGAATGAGGGCATTTAATTTAAACTTTAGGAATCAAGAAACGCTTCTCGAAGCAGTGATTCCTGCCCTGATTCTTAAATAATGTGTAGGCATTAGACAGGAGGATAAGTACAAAACGTGGCATCATGAGCAAAGGCATGGAAATGGCCCATGAGCGGAGTGAACACTGGTTTGGGGTTGCTCCAAGGTAAAGTTCAAAAAGTATCCTGCAGTCAACCCTTTAGCACCATAAAGAAACTAAATTATTTAGATGTTTTTATGAGAACATATCAAAAAGTACTTTTCTGTCATCCAATACTTCCACAAATAAATCATTAGTTCTTGCTAATCTTCATCTGGCATAAAAATAATGACATCAACTTTCTTCATGTAATTTCCCACTTAATTCCTTTACTAGGAGCAATATCAATTCCTATATGACGTCATTGCCAGCACCTACCCTGCTCAGAATGGACAAGTAAAGAAAAACAACCATCAAGAAGATAAAATTGAATTTGATAATGAAGTGGACAAAGTAAAGCAGGATGCTAATTGTGTTAATCCACTTGGTGCCCCAGAAAAGCTCCCTGAAGCAAAGGAACAGGCTGAAGGTTCTGAACCCACGAGTGGCACTGAGGGGCCAGAACATTCTGTCAATGGTCCTGCAAGTCCAGCTTTAAATCAAGGTTCATAGGAAAAGACATAAATGAGGAAACTCCAAACCTCCTGTTAGCTGTTATTTCTATTTTTGTAGAAGTAGGAAGTGAAAATAGGTATACAGTGGATTAATTAAATGCAGCGAACCAATATTTGTAGAAGGGTTATATTTTACTACTGTGGAAAAATATTTAAGATAGTTTTGCCAGAACAGTTTGTACAGACGTATGCTTATTTTAAAATTTTATCTCTTATTCAGTAAAAAACAACTTCTTTGTAATCGTTATGTGTGTATATGTATGTGTGTATGGGTGTGTGTTTGTGTGAGAGACAGAGAAAGAGAGAGAATTCTTTCAAGTGAATCTAAAAGCTTTTGCTTTTCCTTTGTTTTTATGAAGAAAAAATACATTTTATATTAGAAGTGTTAACTTAGCTTGAAGGATCTGTTTTTAAAAATCATAAACTGTGTGCAGACTCAATAAAATCATGTACATTTCTGAAATGACCTCAAGATGTCCTCCTTGTTCTACTCATATATATCTATCTTATATAGTTTACTATTTTACTTCTAGAGATAGTACATAAAGGTGGTATGTGTGTGTATGCTACTACAAAAAAGTTGTTAACTAAATTAACATTGGGAAATCTTATATTCCATATATTAGCATTTAGTCCAATGTCTTTTTAAGCTTATTTAATTAAAAAATTTCCAGTGAGCTTATCATGCTGTCTTTACATGGGGTTTTCAATTTTGCATGCTCGATTATTCCCTGTACAATATTTAAAATTTATTGCTTGATACTTTTGACAACAAATTAGGTTTTGTACAATTGAACTTAAATAAATGTCATTAAAATAAATAAATGCAATATGTATTAATATTCATTGTATAAAAATAGAAGAATACAAACATATTTGTTAAATATTTACATATGAAATTTAATATAGCTATTTTTATGGAATTTTTCATTGATATGAAAAATATGATATTGCATATGCATAGTTCCCATGTTAAATCCCATTCATAACTTTCATTAAAGCATTTACTTTGAATTTCTCCAATGCTTAGAATGTTTTTACCAGGAATGGATGTCGCTAATCATAATAAAATTCAAC
The DNA here is from genome assembly GCF_000001405.40 of Homo sapiens. Lineage (NCBI taxonomy): Eukaryota > Metazoa > Chordata > Mammalia > Primates > Hominidae > Homo > Homo sapiens. The sequence continues at coordinate 198,757,261 of NC_000001.11, forward strand.
CATTATTTTTTTCTTGTTTATAATACATTGTGTTATATGTTCAAATATGAAATGTGTATGCACCTATTGAAATATGTTTAATGCATTTATTAACATTTGCAGGACACTTTTACAGGCCCCAATTATCCAATAGTCTAATAATTGTTTAAGATCTAGAAAAAAAAAATCAAGAATAGTGGTATTTTTCATGAAGTAATAAAAACTCGTTTTGGTGAATTCTGTAATAGCTTATCATGAAGGTCAAACACAACCTTTAGATTGGTTTGGTTTTCTATATCTTTACTCTTTTGTCTGATTTTATATGTCTTAACTATACAGCACCGATTATTGTCCATTCAACTCACATTTATTTTGTGTCCCTACTTCTAATTATTTCACTATTGTAACATATAAAATTAACAATTAACCCTTATAGTAGTATATAGATCCTTGTGCTTATTTAACAGATGAAAAGAAGTAAATTTTACAATGAAGCCACAGTTTCTAATTTATATTAAGGTTACTTATTACATCTTTACTTATTAATGAGAAAAGGGGATTAGAATCACCAATTATGGGCACAAAAAATAAAGTTTGCTTTCACTTACCTCTTCAGTCACTCAAACTATTATGCATTCTTTTCTTTTATTGAAACTTGATCAGTTGCCATTTTCTAGATAATGTAGTTAAAATTTGCAGTTCTCATGTTCAATAGAACATTATGATGTATGCCTACTTTATCTGTTAATTGCTTCAAAATACAAATAGCAGAAAGTCTAAATAATCTACAAGCAAAGTTTTTCTTCAGAAGTTTCAATTGCAAGTAACATCTTCCAAATGTAGTTGTGTGTTTTAAATGTGTTTTCCACCTGACACTATCTTTTGAAAGATTAAAAACTACTTAGAAAATAGAGCAATAATAATTTCTATTAGTTTAAGAATCAAGCTTGAGACTTTTTTTCTACATATGGGAATTTGTTGTAAAGAAAGAGATGAAATAGTGGCTCAGAAAGCCCACTACTTTGTGAGAACATATACTAAACCGAAGGTGAGACCCATGGCACTAGAACATGGAATTATATGTCTATGATTTTTACCTGTAGAAAGAAATAATATGTGAATTATAGGTCTATGTCTATGGCCATGGGTTGCATTAATGGGGATCTGTTACAAGGTATAAAAGATTTATTTGCTAAAGTTTGGCACTGCCATTATTAATTCTAGGATCCAGTCAGAAATATTAAGCAAAAAGTTTTGACTTACAAAAGCCTGGTACACTGTAGGGATAATGTTATGAATCCAGAACATTACATTTATTGGGCAAAAAGAAACTTCTAGGTTTCTTTTAAAGTTGTTTGCTTTATTCCTGGTATTAGAATTCAATGGGAATAAAAGATACATTTAGTAAGCCTAAACTTCAGGTCCCAAGCTATTAATTGTGTACATAAGTGACAAATAAATATTTTCATTTAAGAGATATATATATTTTAATATTTTCTTGCAAGAGGAAAACTGTGTAAAGTGATTAGCTGAACATCTGTCTTTGCAAAGATAATTTTAAATGCGTTAAGCTTCCCCTCAGAATTCTTATATTTGTACAGAGAAATTTTCCTGTTTTTTTCCCTCTAAAATATTAAACATAAAATTTATTTTTACAACTAACTAGGACTGATCTTAATTTTAGATTTATACCAGATATTGGTTATAAGATGATTTCATAACACCATATTAGATCTGAATAAGTGAATGCTATTTGCTCCTAGCTAATTGCAGCATGTTTCTTGATATGAAGACCTTAAAATATATCACTTCAAAGGAAATGAATATCTGTTAAAATGAGTAGAAAAGGCTATGCTTTCAATCTCCTACACAAATTTTACATCTGGAATGATCTGAAGGTTCTTCAAAGACATTCAAAATTAGGCTTTTTTATGTCCTGTTTTAAGTGAAAATATTTATTCTTCTAAGGGTCCATTTTATTTGTATTCATTCTTTTGTAAACCTCTTTACATTTCTCTTTACATTTTATTCTTTGCCCAAATCAAAAGTGATTCCTAAATTTTAATTATATTTGTAGGACAATTAAAAGCTTTTGATAACTTACAACAAATGAATTCTTGTTTTTTGCTAAGATCCCGTAAAGAAAACTCTTCTTCTTTATTCAAACTATCCATGATTACTTTCTTCAAAATGACATGAAATTTGATTGTCAGATAAAATACAAGGCATTGGGTTACATTCGAATTTTAAATGAAACAAGAATAGTTTTTTAGTGCAAGTATGTCTCATGCAGTATTTGGGACATATTTGCACCAAAAATTGTTTCTTGTTTATTAGAAATTTAAATTTAACTTGGCATCCTATTTTTTTTAATCTCGCAGCTTTAACATGAAAGAATCAACTATATCTACTTCACTTAAAAGAACATTTGTAGTTCTCCTTGCAGAGAGAGACTTCACCTCTCTAGTTAGCTGTATTCCTAAGCATTTTATTATTTTTGTGGCAATTGTGAATGGGAGTTTGCCTCTCAGCTTGGCTATTGTTGGTTATAGCAATGCTAGTGATTTTTGCACATTGATTTTGTATCCTGAGACTTTGCTAAAGTTATTCATTATCCTGAGAAGCTTTTGGGCTGAGACTATAGGATTTTCTAGATACAGGATCATGACGGCTACAAGCAGGAATAGTTTGACTTCCTCTCTTCCTATTTGCATGCCCTTGCTTTCTTTCTCTTGCCTGATTGCCCTGGCCAGAACTTCCAATACTATGTTGGACAGTAGTGGCGAGAGAGGGCATCCTTGTCTTGTGGCGGTTTTCAATGGGAATACTTCCAGCTTTTACTCATTTAGTATGATGGTAGCTGTGGGTTTATCATATGTGGCGCTCATTATTTTGAGGTATGTTTCTTCAATACCTAGATTATCAAGAGATTTCAACATGAATGGATGTTGAATTTGATCAAAAATCTTTTCTGCAGCTATTGAGATAATCATGTAGTTTTTGTCTTTAGTTCTGTTTCTGTGATGAATCACATTTATTGATTTGTGTTTGTTGAACCAACCTTGCATCCCAGGGATAAAGTCTACTTGATCATGGTGGATAAGCTTTTTGATGTACTGCTGGATTTGGTTTGCTAGTATTTTGTTGAGAATTTTTGCATCAACATTTGTCAAGGATATTGGCCTGATGTTTTCTTTTTTTGTTGTATCTCCGTCAGGTTTTGGTATCAAGATGATGCTGGCCTCACTGAATGAGTTAAAAAGGAGTTCCACCTTTTCAGTTTTTTTTTGGAATAGTTTCAATAGGAATGGTACCAGCTATTCTTTGTACATATGGTAGAATTCAGCTGTGAATCCACTGGGTCCTGGGCTTTTTTTATTGTTGGTGGTGGTGGTAGGCTTTTATTACTGCCTCAATTTCAGAATTTATTATTGTTTTGTTCAGGGATTCATTTTCTTCCTGCTTCAGTCTTGGGAGGGTGTATGTGTCCAGGAATTTATCGATTTCTTTTAAATTTTCTAGTTAATGTGCATAGGGGTGTTTATAATATTCTGTAATAGTTATTTGTATTTCTGTGGGGTCAATGGTAATATCCCCCTTATCGTTTCTGACCGTGTTTATTTGAATCTTCTCTCTTTTCTTCTTTATTAGTCTAGCTAGTAGCCTATTTTATTAATTTTTTTTTCAAAAATCCAGCTCCTGAATTCATTGATCTTTTGAATTTTTTCATGTGTTTCAATATCCTTCAGTTCAGCTCTGATTTTGGTTATTTCTTGTCTTCTGCTAGCTTTGGGATTTGTTTGCTCTTGGTTCTCTAGTTGTTTTAGTACAAATCACTGCTCAAAGAAATCAGAGATGACATAAATAAATGGAAAAACAGTCCATGCTCTTGGACAGGAAGAAGCAATATTGTTAAAATGGCCATACTGCCCAAAGCAATTTATAGATTCAGTGCTATTCCTTATTAAACTACCATTGATATTCTTCACATAACTAAAAAACAAACAAACAAACAAACAAACAAAAAAGCCATTCTAAAATTCACAGAAAACCAAAAAAAAAAAAAAGCCTGAATAGCCAAGGCAATCCTAAGCAAAAAGAACACACTTGTAGGCATCATGCTACACCACTTCGAACTATGCCACAGGGCCACAGTAACCAAAACAGCATGGTACAGATACAAAAACAGACACATAGACCAATTGAACGGAATAGAGAACCCATAAATAAGATTGCACAGCTACAACTGTCTGATCTTCAACAAATCTGACAAAAAACAACAATGGGAAAAAGGTTCCCTTTTCAATAAATGGTGCTGGGATAACTGGCTAGCCATATGCAGAAGATTAAAACTGGACTCTTTCCTTATACCATATACAAAAATTGACTTGAGATGGATTAAAGACTTAAATGTAAAACTCAAAACTATAAAAACTCTGGAAAGCAACCTAGGTAATACCTACCATTCAGGACATAGGAACTGGCAAAGGTTTTATGATGAAGATGCCAAAAGCAATAGCAACAAAAGTACAAATTGACAAATGGTATCTAATTAAACTAAGGAGCTTCTGCACAGCAAAAGAAACTATCAACAGAGCAAACAGGCAGCTTACAGAATGGGAGAAAATGTTTGCAAACAATGAATCTGACAAATGTCTAATATCCAGAATCTATATGGAACTTAAATTTACAAGAAAAAAAAAACCCTTAAACAGTGTACAAATGACATGAAAAGATATTTTTCAAAAGAAGACATACATGTGGCCAATAATCATGTGACAAAAAGCTCAGCATCACTGATCATTAGAGAAGTGCAAATCAAAACCACAATGAGATAATATCTCATGCCAATCAGAAAGGCTGTTACTAAAAAGTCAAAAAACAACAGACGCTGGCAAGGTTGTGGCAAAAAAGGAGCACTTATACACTGTTGGTGGGAGTGTAAATTAGTTCAACTATTGTGGAAGACAGTGTAGAGATTCCTCAAAGACCTAAAGATGGAATTACCATTCGACCCAGCAATCCTACTAGTGGGTATACACCCAAAGGGATATAAATCATTCTATTATAAAGATACATGGACACATGCAGCACTATTCACAATAGCAAAGACATGGAATCAACTTAAATGCCCATCAGTTATAGACTGGGCAAAGAAAATGTGGTATATATACACCATGATATACTATGCAGCCATAAAAAGAATGAGATCATATCTTCTGCAGGGACACGGGTGGAGCTGGAGGCCATTATCCTTAGCAAACTAATGCAGGAACAGAAAATCAAATATCACATGTTCTCACTTATAAGTGGGAGATAAATGATGAGAACACGTGGACACATAGAGGGGAACAACACACTGGGGCCTACTGGAGGGAGAGAGAACAGAGAGGATCCGGAAAAATAACTAATGGATACTAGGCTCAATGCCTGAATGATGAAATAATCTGTACAAAAAACCCGCACAACAAAAGTTTTCCTATGTAACAAACCTGCACATGTACCCCTGAACTTAAAAGTTAAAGATATTTAGAAGAACATTTGAGAGTTCAGCTTTGTAAGATCCTGAGATGAAAAGATTAAATGAAACTATTTACATTAGTGTGCAAATAGGAACTTTAAAAATACTGACTCAATCAAGAATATGTATCTCATATCATTACTTATAAATAAAAAATAATTATTATAATTAACATTTATTGAGATAAACACATGCCAGGTATTTATCCCTTGTTTTATACCTGCATTGGTTTCATAAGACAAATCCTATGCCACATATATTCTTTTTTCCATTTTATATGGGGTAGAGGGTTAGAAAAGTTCAGTATCTGGTCTGTTACAGCAAGTGACAGAGCCAGGACTTGAACCAGCTCTTACAAACACTGTAGGCTGTGCTCCTAATCCACCTTGCAAATATCAGTGTCATGTGCTTTGAAAAACTGGTGAAGAAAACAACCTGAAATTGTTTTCTGTCTCTTCTTTATTTCATGATTAAAACAAAAACAAAACCGTGTGTAATATATGCTCTCAACAACACTGCACAACATAGTGAGCTTAGATGAACTCACAGCATTGAAGTTATTATATAAAAATAAACACACTCTTAAACACCCATGGGAAAGGATTGTTCTCATAATTTGTATGAGCAAAGATCACCTCATTGCTGAAGTGAGTGCCAGGAAATAAAACACTACAATAAATAACAAATGTCATTGTTCCATTGTCCCACAATTTGGTAATCAGAACAAGTTCTCACTGTTTGGATCACATTTCTGTGTGTTTGTCAGACGACCCATCAATCAGTATTTAAAACAAGTTAACAGGGCACCATAAAATGCAAACCACATTTATGGGGAGTGTGACTCATTAACTCTATCTGGGGTGGCACACTGAGTCCAAGGGAGCTCTCTTCTGATCTAGTTGTCCCCAATTTAGTATGCCAGGGAACTGAAAATGGACTTTCTATGTAAAATAACACGTTTTTCCCTCTAGAGAAACATTGCTTTGTTGATGTGTATTCACCCTTTCCAGAGTAAAAATGGAAACTCTGGTGCATTTTTATTTCATTTTCCAGAAAAGGGAAGTTTGCTGGATTCAGTGGTATCTTTCATAGATAGCAGGGAAATCACAGCTATAGAAGCTGGCGTCCCATCAAAGAATAAAAATATTTTATTGAATTTTTATGGATTGTGTAATCTTTAGTTTTTTATGCACACTTTTTGAAGTGGGAAGAAGATGTGGCACCAGGAAAGGAAATAATCTGTCCATGGTATGAAAGCTGGGAAGAGAACCTGGTCATCCACAGAACCTGCCCCCACTGGTTAACACAGGCTTAATGTAGGGGTCTCCTGATGGTGTATTAGGTCACTGCCTGCTAAGAATTTGTATGGGTAATCAATAATTCTGACTTGTCATTAATACAGATTAGTACATCATGAATTACATTTCTGTGCTTTTGTTGTATGCTATATAAGACAGGTGTGAAAGGGATTATTATAGTTTAAAAACATGGCATGTAGTAAATGCCTTTATTAAAGAGCTTTCATTTATATGTATTTGTTTTCATTGCACTGACAACTTAGGCTAAAGGCAGGAATGGAAACAAAGAATATGCAAAAGATCTAAAGCTAAAAGTTTGAATGTTTTTGTCATAATTACCAGATATTAAAAAAACTAAACTTTCTCAAGGGCCATCTAGTATCTGCTTTGAATTACTCTGAATTGATTTGGCAAATAAATTTCCCATCATTTCTCTTATATTGTGGTGGATCCTTGCAGACAATAGCAAAGAACTCTTAGGTATTTAAGGTTACACTCTGTAGAAGGTTTTAGCACTGATTCTTCGGACATCATGTTTTTTTTTCAATGCATTTTTTTACCTTACACTATTTTTTCTCACCTGGATGTATACTGATTAGGTTACCAACTCTTCAATCATCTACTAGATCTTTGTCCTAGATGCTGAATCTTGACTTTGATCCCATACTATCTTAGAGCATCTGGTAATCCTAAATGATAATTTTGCATCCATATTGAAGGAACACAAGTAAAACATAAAGAATCACACTTTAACAAACAAGAAGCAATTGTTCAATAGCTAGAGTCAAGTGAATTATCTGAGAAAATGCATATAAAGGATATAAATGTAGTACACCTTAATCTGGTTTTTCCAGTGTGTGTGCAAGTATATGGGTTTCCCCTAAGACAGTCGAATGTTTCTCATCTGAGCTCACAGTCAGTTTCAGTTTTATAAAATGCATTCTTAAATGAACCAAGTTATTTTTATAAATAAAATGTGCTTTGGCGGCTTTCTCTTTGTTTAAACTAGCATTAAATCATGGAAGTCAAGTTTCTCTTTGATGGGAGTCAGTGGGAAATAAACTCTACTTGTTCTTTCAAGAGATAGCAAAATATTTGTTTCCAATTTAAATGCAGGAAGTTAAAAAAGGTCAAAACTAGTCGAATCAATGACAACTTTAGTCAAATTACTAAAATCTTATAAGTTTCTCTCTACAGATTTGTACAGTATGTTTTAATTCAATGCCCTATAGTCATTTAGGGAACATCTGAATTTCAGAAATAAAGTCAACTATATATTTATATAATGTTAAAGGAAGAGATTAATTTTAGTTAGCATCGCAAGATGACATCCTTTGTAGGCTATTTATTATTTAATATAATTCTATGGAGATTTACATATAAGACATCTGTCCAGGAATATTAGCTGAGACTTGTATTTTGTGATTTTATGTAGCAACTGAAATTATTACAAGTGCAAGACATGTTATGATACTAACTTTTGCAAAAAAAAAAAAAAGAGGAAGAATTGGATATTGTCTGGGGTTTCTAACTACTCCATTGAAAACTCTAGTACTTCTTCTTATTCCAATTATTTAATTTTTTCCATGCCCTCACTTCAATTCCTTGTGCAACAGCATCATTAGCTCCTTCTCCTACAGTGGCCTATCACCTCCATTGCTCTGTTGACAACTAAGCTTGTATCAGTCAGATTTCTCTCCTCCTTGCCTCTATTCCCACTCTAGCTGCTGCTTTACTTGAAACTATTACTATTTTAAAAAACATAACTTACCTACTGGCACTATGAGATATGAATGATTCCAACATCGATTCAGGACCACAATGTAATGAATAGATCTTTTTCTTGTTTTCAATTGATCTCTTTTACTATTCCCCTTGGTATTCTCCCAAATGTGAACATCTCCATGGCTACTACTTTCATCAAGTGCCATTGATTCTTTTACTTTAGAAAAAAATAGCAGACATTCACCTGAATTTGTTCCTGTGCATTTAAAAATATATTCTAACTTTATCATATTCACTTTTCCTTTCCTATCTCAGAAGAAGTTTCCCTATCTTTTACTGGGCCAAACTCTTTACCTGTGGTCTTTGCACTTTTTGGAATAAACATTATTTTGTTAAATGATACATCCTTATTGTAAAAAAGCAAGTGACACAGAAAAGCACCAATAAAAATGTTAACAAACTATCCCAAATCCAACTGGAAAGCGGTTAAAGGAGAAAAGAGAGTTCACAGAACAAGAATTCCAAAAGGCCCTAAACATATGCTCAACTTCACTCAGATAAGAAAAATGCTAATTAAAACTTCATTGAGATAACAATTTTCAATAGTAAATATATCCTGTTGTCAGGGTTGTGGGGAAATAAGAACTTTCATTATTTTACCAGTACAAAATAAACAACCTTAAAAAGGACAATGTGGCAATAGCTATCAAATTTATAGGTGTTTCTACATTTACCTAGAAACTCTACATCTGGGGAGTTACCCTCGAGGAATATCTATTTAGTTACAAAATATGTGTACAGATTATTTATTACATCTTCCTTTGAAGTGGGAAATTATTGGAAACAACTAAAGTGCCCATCTATAGCTATTCAGTTAAATAAACTAAGGTATTCTATTCATTACCTATAGGGAATGGCAGGAGATGGTGACATGGGAAGGAGCTTGGACATGTTAGCATACAGTTTTGAGTTTTAAACTGTGCATCTATTCCCTATTTGAAAAATCATTAAAGAAAATTCCCTAACACACTTACAGATATAAACATTATATTTTTGTGAATATTATTCTAGTTATTTCTCTATACACATAGAAGGAAGAAAAGAGGAAAGGAAGGGAGAAAGAAATAAATGAAGGAAGAAGGGAGAAAAGAAAGGATGGAAGGAGGAAGAAGGAAGGCTAAATAAGAACATTTTTCCATTTTTTTTTTTCCTTTTTTTCTTTTTTTTTTAGATGGAGTCTTGCTCTGTCGCCAGGCTGGAATGCAGTGGCACGATCTCGGCTCACTACAATCTCCACCTCCTAAGTTCACGCCATTCTCCTGCCTCAGCCTCCCAAGTAGCTGGAATTACAGGGGCGTGCCACCACACCCAGCTAATTTTTGCATTTTTAGTAGAGACAGGTTTCCACCATGTTGGCCAGGATGGTCTTGAACTCCTGACCTCACGTGATCCACCCACCTCAGCCTCCCAAAGTGCTGGGATTACAGGCCCGGCCTGTTTTTAGATTTTAAAAGATGTATAAAAATCTAGTAATAACAAAAATTTGAAAACATAAAATATAGATTTTCCTTATATTAAAAATGATTACTTTTAATTCACATAAACATAAGAAAAAAGAATTGTAACAAGTTAAAAAAGAATTTTTTAACCTATAGTTAAATTTCTTTTTTTACAACATATATTTTATGACTTTATACTGAACCTAAGCCAAACAAAGATCAAAAAACTTCAAAATTGTTCAACTTCACTTACTATTACCTATCTTCCTGCTATTAAAGATAATGAATTGTCATATTCAAACTTCCTCCATCGTCTGTCTACACCTCTTGAGGTTTTTTGTATTTATGTTGCTAAATCCACAATATTGAACTAACTAGCCCTGCAGTAGGCCTATATTTAAAATGAATCAGAATCTAGAGTCTTTGTAGGGCTTTTCTTTTGCTAAAATCCTTAAATCCTTATTTTCATTCATCTTTTTTTTTTTTTTTTTTTTTTTTAGACAGAATCTCACTCTTGCTCTTTTGCCCAGGCTAGAGTGCAGTTGCATAATCTCAGCTGACTGAAACCTCTGCCTCCTAGGTTCAAGTGATTGTCCTGTTTCAGCCTCCTGAGGAGCTGGGATTACAGGTGCATGCCACCACGTCCGGCTAATTTTTGCATCTTTAGTAGAGACTGTGTTTTACCTTTTGGCCAGGCTAGTCTCGAACTCCTGACCTCAAGTGATCAGCCCACCTTGGCCTCCCAAAGTGTTGGGATTACAAGTGTGAGCCACCACCCCTGGCCTCATTCATCTTTAATTAGGATGATTTTATTATAAAGTGAAAGTGGGTCTTATCAAACTTCTTTATGATGCTGTTTCCTTCTGATCTTGAATATTTGAGAATATCTAGCATTTTTATGATTGAAAGAAAGCACAGCAAAAATTTAAAAAAAACATTGAGAGTCATTTTTTTTTTTGGTCCCAAAGAATTTTATAAACTTAATTTCATGGAATTCTGTCATTGATTGTTGCTGTGCAATGCTGGAGCCAGACCAAACGTTTTCTCTTATAAGCATTAATTGTGTTTTCTTCCTGGATGATTGTATGATTCTTTCTTGATCTTTGAAATTATGAAGTCCATCTTGCTCAATCTTGGTGCCAATCTTTCTGTATGGATTCTTCCTGAGACACAATGTGTATTTTTAATCTTTATATTCAGATTTTAATTTTTTTCACGAAATTTTAAATTTACTCTATCTTTGAATTTCTCTTTCATGCATTTGGCATCCTTCAGGGGCAGTTGTTCAATTGTCCACATCTATTAGTTTCCTTCAGATTTTTAAAGGAATCTCTTTTGTTTTTCAGCGCTGACTGTTTCCTGGATAATTTGCTCCCTTCTGCCTATCCTGTCAATTTCTTTCTGTATCTCTTTTTCTCTCTTTTACCCATTTCTTCTTCTTTGTGTATTTACGTGTGAAAGGGTGAAGATACAGAACCTTGTTTTTGTATTGAACATCTGCATTCCCTAATTTTCTTATATTTTATTGCCAATTTTAAAAATCTCATTGTCCTTTCATTCTACTCTTCGAGAATCTTCAACTTTTTGTATCTTCTATTGATGTTTTCTCTCTTAAATATAATTTCATTTCCACAAATTCTTTTAAATTTATTCTCAGGGTATTCATTTTTAATCACCTTGTATAGGTGCTCTATGATGGAAATAGCTCTCTGAGCATATTAGTTACAACGTTTTCCTATTCCAGGTATTGCTCTTTTTATCTATGTTTCCTTTGCCCAGCTCCAGACTTCCTTGATGAGATAACCTGAGCTCTTTTCCAGTTATCGTAAACATCAATGCCTTTAAGACACCTTCCAAATATCGCCAGATCTGTAAAGATGGTCTCACTGCCTCACAGCCAGAATGTATTAGTCTCTTCATCTTACCTTCATAGCACATTGATTATAATTCTACCATAGTATATATCATATTCCACTGTAATCTTTTTATGAGTATCTCCCTTAGGGAACATCATTCCTCAAGATCAGAAACTATACCCGTACCTATCCGTATAACTTTTCTGTAGCAACTTGCAGTAGTGGAAACATCTAAATGTTCAATAGGTATGTTTTAATTGCTATTATAAGAATAAACCACCTTGGTTTTAGTCATGTCTGAACTTTTAATTTTTTTTAGTTTTTGAGACTTTTCTAGAGAGTAAATTCAGGTTCACAAGAAAATTGAGAAGGCAGGATGATATCCTATATACCCTCTGCCACTATGTATACATAGCCACCCTCACAACTTTTTTGAAATATAAATTATATCAACCTCCAGTAAAATATTTACTACAGTTAGTTCTCAACCTTATTATCATTTTTTCTCAACCACATCACTCACAAACTTGGTTTTTTGTCTTAGAATAAATGTTGTGCTGTTTTCCCCAGCTTCCAGGATGCTTAGCTGCTTTAGTTCTCCAATGGGACTAATCATTTTCAACAATTTCACTGCATGCTTTACCCCCTGTGTCTTTTCTTCATCTTGATTCACCTTAACAGAGTTCATCCCCCAGTGAGCTTGCCACTTTGCCCCTTGTCTTTCAAGCACCTGGCACATGATGTGTTTGGGGGACATTTACTGGAGGTGTTTTAAGTGGAAGGAAGCAAGCTTTTTGGGGGCCTTTATGGTCTGCCCCAAACCCCATTTAGAGAGCAGAGTAAATTTTCATACAACACTGTGTCAGTGAGACTGGGACACGAAAGTGGGGGCTTAAGTAAGGGGAATTCAGAGAGGAACTTTAAAAAGTGACGGAATGAAGCCAAGTATACTTAGCAAAGTTGTTCTGAGGCTTCTCACTCTTGAAGATTTTTTTTTGACCTGGAGGGGAGCACCTGGCTGTAGGACCTCTTGCTTAGTTTCTTTACCCTCACTAAAAATAATTTCACACTCCACCTACCAAGTTTTAAGACAGGAAATGGGGATTGCTTTAAAGGAGCTAATAAAATATGATGCCCCAGAAGTCTCCATTGGAGTTTTTTCCCAGCAGACATGTGCAAAAATAAATGTCATTAACTTCCATCTGGATGCATATTGAACAATTTCACTGCATCAAACCAAACAGGTAGTTCTGTCATAGGACAACATATAGCACAAATAATGTAATGTTTCATGAATTTTACAGGGATACAGTGAAGTGACTTTATTACTAAATGGGCATTTAAAACATTAATAATTTTATTCATGAGAATCTATATTTTTAATAAATGAAGTTTTATAAGTATGAAATAGCTCATGTTCATAGAAATAAGCTCAAAAATAAGTGAATTTTACCAAAGGAAAGTATAATTTCTTTGTGGTATTAAATAAGAGAAGCACTTGCTTTTTCCATTGTGTAAAGCTCTTTAAAGTTGGGCTAACCCATTATAGACAACAAAGTAGATAGTCCATCCAAGTTCAGCAAAATAATCATATTTGAAGCTAAAGTTCTCCATAAAGGAACATCTCTAAATTAGAATAACTGGCTTGATGATTAACACTAAATCATTAATTTAGAAATAAGACTGATATTTAATCCTGTACAATCATCAAATCTTTAAAGAAAATGTAAATATTCCCCAAGAGGTGAGAGGCAGTGGATTCATGATAAATGCACTGTGGAAACTCTGGGCTTTGTTTATATACTTGCTTGATACTGTTCTTCAAAGTCTAAAAAGAAAATCTTGAAAGAATATTCAAACTTCTCAACAGTTCTGACCCCAATAATTTATCATCTAAAATATTAGAAGAAATAAGTCCCTGAATGCTCTCGGGAAAGTAAATCTTCTCTGAGTTGGCAGCAGGATTTCAATCTCAATCAAACTGGGTCTCCTAAGTCTTGATTTATGAGAAGTAGACAAATTTTTCTTTAAAAAAAAAACAGAAAACTTATAAGGTTCACATACAACCTAAATGAATTCTGTGGTGTTTGTATGCTAGAGATAACAGAGAAGTAAATTATACAATGATCTTATACTTTTTTATTATTCTAAATGAAATTTTTATTAATTAGTAAAACATTTCATAAGCATTCAGTTTTTAGATGTGGATTTCTAAGAGTTTTTCTATGTAAATATAATTTACTTATTTTTAAATTCCAACTCTTCCTTTCTCTAAGACCAAGTTATTAATGTTTTAAATAATTTAAATAATTAGTTTGACTAAATTTATCCTCTGAGGAAAAAAAATGAATTTGTGAAGACTGGATTTTCAGTCTTGGACACTTTTTCATCCAAAATATAGATTTCCTTTCTAAATGAATGCTGAATTAAAAGCAAACTTTAAAAAACTATGTTTTTATCAATTTATTTTTATATTTTATTATTAGGTAACATGGAATAGTAATTCATGGGAACAATCTATTTTCTCTGGGATAATTTTGTTATACTGAAATATTTTTAAATAGATGTGTTTGAATGCCTTTTATCACCTTGTTGCAGAAAACAGAATCACCACCAGGTTGCACTAAAACATTTACAATGGCTTGATTCTGATGGGGGTGGGTGGGTTTCTAAATGCTGCAACCTACATGTGCATGTCAATAAACCATACAGTACTGTCATACCTGCTTTCATTACAGGTTTTCAGGAGTATGCTGATATTTTATATTACTGAGGTTGCCTACACTTACTTAAGAAAAGTACTTATAGAATAAATCAATTATATTCTTCCTGGGGAAAATATTTTTTTTTTCTATACTGTGTTTCATACAATCTTCCCAAAGTGGACCAGCCTGGTATCGTTACTTACTCTTTATTGAAATCCATTCGTAGCTCACTGACGACAGCAGGCAGTCCTGGGAAGTGAGTGCCTTTTTAGAGTCAGATATTCCACTTGTAGATTTCTTACTCTAATTTTTTCAGCCATATACCTTTCTTCATTTCACACAACACTAGCAAGCAAAATCTATCTATCTATCTATCTATCTATCTATCTATCTATCTATCTATTTTTTATATATATGTATATGTAGATTATATATTTTTTCTGTATTTTATATATATATATATATAGAAAAAAAGCTACAGTTTGGGTCATATTTTTCTTTGACCCAAATCCAAACAGTGTTACAAAGGCTTTATGTATCTTGAGACATATAAAAATACATTCCCTGAAGTTCATTTATGTAATGTACTTTAGGCTATGTGGAAGACTCAATAAAGAGTCTTCTCTGCCAAAATATTTAGTTAGCAGTATCTTAGTTAGATGACAGATTAAGTTCATGTAAATTTAGATACTCCAACATCTTCTCTGGATACATTTTGAAATGAAAGAATTCACTAAATAACAAAATATAGTGGTAAACTAGACATATTTAATAAAAATACTATAAGAAATATATATTTTAGAAAAATGTGTATGCACAAATCTGTGTTTATAATTTAAAAATTAGAAACAGTTATGATAACTCATAGTAACAATATTTCCTTACTAGAAGCCATTTCTGTCTTCCTGCTAGTTGTGGTCTTGTTTTTGTACATTATTTTCCTTGGGCCCCAAGCTTATCTCTGCTGGACTCTTCATCTTTAGAGGTTATGCCTCTCACAATGCTGGCTTTAAGGTCCTCTCTGAATCACTCAAAAGCTGGGGTTTGCAAAACTCAAATATCTTCAGAGGTTAGGAAAATAACAAAAACAAATGAAAAAACTTGATAAAATATTAAGTGGTGGCAGCTTCAAAAACATAGAAAATATATACTTTACTGAAAAGTACTCAAATTCAATTATTTTAAAAACATGGTTCTGGCCTGACAAAACACAGCAGCCTGAACGTTGGCCACCTCAACACTATATTTTACCAGTCCTATTTCCATTGTATAAAACTGTTGCTGTTGGTCTGCTGGGTTACTTTTCTCTTTATCTGCCTCTGTTGCTTGCATTTGTATACTGTAAGTTCCATGTTGGGAGGAGGAAGAGCAGGAAGAAGAGTAGGAAAAAGAGGAAGAGGAGGAGGAAGAAGAAAATGAAGAGGGAAGAGACAGGATCTCCCTTTTCACTCCAGGGAAATAATGACTCTTTTGCTCATTTATATTTACCACTTGAGACATCACCTTAGTCTGTATTGGGCTCAGTTTCCCTATACAACATTTTCCAAGATTTCTGTTTAACTTTGACATTTGCTTATATCCATTCCTCTTACTGTGCGGCTCCCCGCCTCTAAGAGTAATTACTCAGGAGATCTAAAACTGTCTCTTAAGGCAAAGCTTCCCAACCATATGAAGGAGGCCCTTGTATACTTTGACATTGATCCTCATATCCCTCACCTTGTTCTGAAGCCACGGGAACCTTGAGGTTACCTGCAGGGATAAAGAAGGCTCGCACAAGAATTAGATCTTCTCCTGCATCCTCTTTACTCTGCTGTGTCTTTTTGTTGAGACAGAGTCTCTCCCTCTGTCACCCAGGCTGGAATGCAGTGTCATGGTCCCTGCTCACGGCAGCCTCAACCTCCTGGACTCAAGAGACCCTCCCACCTCAGCTTCCTGAATAGCTGGGACTACAGGCACATGCCACCACATCTGTCTATTTTAATTTCTTTATTTTAAGTAGAGATGGGGTCTCCCTATGTGGCCCAGGTTGGTCTTGAACTCCTGGGCTCAAGTGACCCTCCTGCTTCAGCCTCTCAAAGTGCTGAGATTGCACGTGTGAGCCACCATGCCTGGCTCCAGTATGTCTTCTAACTACTTCATTTACTCAGAGCTCTTGAGGTGAACAAGTTTGGAAAGTACTACCTTATGAGAAAATATGGCCCCTTAACCACATGGTCAGTTATCATTTTGGTCAAGTGTTTGTCATCTGCAAAACATCTTCACAGGATTGATTAATCTGTCCTTATGACCTGTATTGACTTCAGACTCACTATCACATATCTGTGGCATCTTTGATTTATAGATCCCAAGAAGGCAGACTCTTATTTTATAGAGCATATAGCCTATCTACTTTGTGTGCTAAGAAGGACCAGGGGGAGAAAGAGGACTGTCACCAGGAGGAATGTGTCCCAGAGAGGCAAATCGTCTTTTCTTATTTCCCCTAGCTTTCTTCCTTTCTTCACAGCTTCATGGGAAAAGGCAAAACATCCTTGATTTTTATACAAACCCTTTCTCTCCTTTTCAAACTGCTGCTGTCCCAGGAGAGGTAAATTCTTTTTATTAATTATAAGTACTTTAAATTTTCCTTCATGTACTATTTGTGACTAGCGGTTTGAACCAACTGGTTTTGCAGCTTGGGGTTTGGACCTTTCATTGCTTTTGTGTTTGTAACTCTTCTGCCCATTAATTTAGGGTTTTCTTTCCTGTCCTGATGCTTTGCCTGTTCTCCTTACTCAGCTAATTTTCTGCTGCCTCACTTGACTACACGCATTAACATCTTACAGTTTAAATATCCAACTTTCTACTTCTTTTGTGCTTAATCCTGACTCTGACATTCAACTATTCCCTGGTCTTGTTGAATTGCCTCCTTTCAGCCTATTCTGACCCTTTCTTACTAAATGATCTTGTACTACTTTCTGGTTTCCCAGTCTCAACATCTGCCTCAAACTTTACTCCAGTTCCTCCAAAAATTATTCCTGGAGCATTTAAACGAGTACGGAGAACTGTACTCTCACCCATGTGGTTTTTTTCCAAGAAAATAAATTTTACTCAAAGGTAAAACATCAGATCTTGTTTTCTTCTGATTTCTGGCCAGTCCTCTCCCATTTCAAGTGCTAGGAACAAGGACGTGCCTGACTCCTGCTCATCTTCTTCTCTCTCACAGGGAGCTCTCAGGGCAGAGGAACTTCTTCCTCCAGCCTTTGTTGCTTAGTGAGAGTCATTTATATTAATGTGCCTTGCAATGAGAAGTCAGTCAGGTGTCATGAAATTCATTGTCATGTAGAACATAAGGAGTGTCTACCTTATTAGACTTATTTTTTTTAAATGGGGACATAACTGTTCACTTTCCTTCAGAAAATATTGTATTGAAATAAGATAATTTTCAAAAATAAAGGCAAACATTTTACGTGTTTAATTATGTTTTTTAAGTTGTATTGATTTTTTTTTCCTGTTTGAGTATCCTTTTCTATCCATGTTACTGCTGTATATAACAATTGATTGTTAGAGAAATTGCTTGACTTTACCTCTCACCTTTGGTTAAAAATATAAAGAGCTACTTCACTCTTTAGATAGATAGTTTTTCTTTTATCCTTAGTAGTACATTGACTAACATTTTACACCACCCCCCCTAAAAAAAATCCCCAAAGGGAATCAAAATGAAAAAAAAATGAAAAAAAACAAGCCTATTATTTGTGTCTGCTTTTAGAACTCAAATTAATTAGTTAGATGAAATCAAGTTCTATTATTAATCTAACTAAATATACTGAGTATAGAGTAATTTCAGACATCTTCCCTTCACCAAGTTTATTTAAGGTTCTTTGGCAGGAACTGGTGCTGGAATAGGCAGCTTCTTGGATGCTTTCTACTTGCAATTTGATACCTAATGGTTTTCCTTTTGGCTGAGAAACTTCACAAACAGAAATGAGCGCTTGATCATGTGACTCGAGCACTGCAGGAGCTTGGGTCTGTGGAAACAAGGCGGGGGCAGCGGTCATGGGATGAAGACTGCTCGTGGTTGCTGTGTTCAAGATGTAGCAGGCGAAGAATACATCCTGAGAAGGATAAAGCCATGTCCTTAGAGTTCAGGCATGACCTCTGAGAGCTGGTTGAACATCCTCCTCCATCCCGGGTGAAGCAGCTGCTTCCACTCTGCTGGATACCCTTTTGGCGCAAGGCAGAATGCATCAAAACTGTGTGGAGTGAAACGCGTGAACCCTGTTCTACCAACAGTCACACAATTCAGGGAAATTTGCTTTGCTGTTCTTAGCTTCATGGTTTTCATCTCTAAAATTGGGATAATATTTAAAAGTTACCATTTATTCAAGACAATGAGCCAACCACTGTGTTAAGTACTTTATATTTTCTCATTTAATCCTAAGTGGAAAAGCAACAAAGAAGTAGAGTTTAATCGTATGAGTCTATGTTCTGACCTCCTTATGCCCCACTTTTCTCTTCCGTAACCTGGAAATCATGACGGTTTTTACCTTCCAGCATTGTGAAGATTACTTGAGATAACGAACACAAATATTTACGAAAGTGATTGATCCACGGTAAGAATTCAGTAGATGATGGCTGTGATTAACAGTCCTCAAAAGGTAGCTATTATTCCCACTTTAAGGATGTGGAAATTGGTACCAATAACAGTTGCTAAGTAGTAGATCTGGGATTCAAGCATAGGTCTACTGGCTATTAAAACTTAGCTCAAACCACAAGGCTAATAAAAATTCCTGTTGCCCAAACCTTCTCATTCCCTTGGCCTTTTTTCCCACCCAGCCTGTCTTAGCTGGGCCTATTGGTCTCTATGGAGCACACTAACAGTCATTTCTACTCATCTAGTTCCCAGACAAACCCTGATTTGAGAGAGGAAGTTTCAAACCAGACTCAGCTTCTCCATCCTTTGAGGCTGGATATTGAGTCACTCTTCCTGTTACTGTTAACTCAGGACAAAGAGTTCCAGCACTAACCACAGAGTCTTGTCCTGTTCAGTAAAGAATGCACCACAGCCACCTCATGAGAAAGAGGAAGGCCTTCTGACTCCGGCCGCTGCCTCTCAGTCCCACTCCTGCAGTCGCCTCTGTATCTCTTCCCCTCTTGTCCTCCACACTCTACGGTTCTCAAAACCAGGCTCTGCTTGCTATTAGTACTGACAACACTGTCATCCACACTTTATATACGTCCCTTCTAATATTTATTGTATCCCTTGTGGCGACTATTAGTATCTCAAATTTAGATTGGAGAAGCAAATTTAGAATGATTAAATAATGTGTACAAGGTCACACAACCATTTATCTTTATAATGATAATAATCTGCATTTATTATTCATGAATATTTCAAAATCACCTAGAACAAGGTTTCTCAAGCCCAGCATTATTCCAGCCAGTGGAGACAGTGTGCTGTCCCCATTTGTTGACAGAGCACTGAATTTACAAACATTAACTCTACTTATACCTCATTACCTCTACTCTCATCCCATTGGCCATAATTAACTATATGGCCACACCTAACTAGGCTGGGATATGTGGCTTTTATGTCCATACAAAAAGCAGAAATTCTGTTACTATAGAAGAAGAACATAGAAATTGGCAACAACTAGCAATATTTGCCACAACACTTCATAGTGTTATCATGAGTACCAAGTGCACTGTGAATGTGACAGTGCTTTTGTAAGTTCAAAAGGACTGAACTAATACTGGCTGCAGACTTCTAAAGAAACCCTTGCACCACAAATCTTGAAATGGTACCAACTCATGAAAATAAGTAATAGTTAGCAACAATCACATCAAGTTTCCCCAGGCGCAACTAGCTTCACTTCAACTGGGAATTGCCACGAAAACCAGGGTTTATGCTGCTGAGTGAAGTACACAATGATCACAGGAATTCTGGATTTGGAAGATTTTACCATTAGCTGTGCTGCAAATCATTTGATTTTCATGCCATTTTTCTAGACTGGGATGAAAACACACACACACACACACACACACACACACACACACACCTCTCATTTACTGTAGTTCTCACATAGACATCTGAAAAAGGAGTCTACTGATTGTACACCTTATATTCAAGGACCTTTGACTTGGGAATTGAGTTTGTCAGGTACTGTACCAGTCTGCTTTGACTAAGCCAAATTCTGAGTCCAATTTTCACTTTTCTTATCTGCAAAACTAATGAAAAGGATGAGATCATCTCTCCATCAAAGTAATAGCATTCTATAAATTTTGCTTTCCTCAGCCACTACATAAAAGTCAGGGCTAAAGATTGGTGGGAGAAGAGCCACAGGCTCCCTTTGGTGGTCTGAATAATCTACTGTGGATCACACAGCAGTCATTGGCTGGCTGGGACTCTTGGTTCAGCTGAGGTCCAGGCATAACAGGCCCGCCCTGCTGCCTCAAACCGAGGTGTATTGAGGAAGACGCATGTGGCTGTTTACACAGGGCCTGGAAGCCGGGGCCTGGCTCATGCTGAGCTCAGCTTCTCACTTCTCTGAGAACTGGAATTCCCCAAATTTTCCCCCAAATTAAAAGAACCAACAAACTGTATTATAAAAACAAACAGAATTTGTTTTTCTTTTAACAAATAAAAACTAATTTATGCTAAAGCTTTGTTGCCTTGAGTCAAGCCAACCGCATGATCCACTGCCAACGCTTCTCTGTATTAACTTCTCAAGTTTTTCAAGCTTAGTCCTTGCTGGAAAAAGTATAGGGTTTGCAAGCCACTAATTGGCATAAAATGCTCCTCTATTTTATATAAACACACAGCATAGTATCAAAAATAGAGTTGCATTCATTAGCCTAAAAATCCAGCTTCCCATGTGAAATCTTTTTTTATGCCCCTCAAGATTTAGGTCTGCCTCTAGAGTTAAAGGAAAACTTGTTTTTTAAACTTGTACTCTGTAATTTCACATAAAAAAGAAAAGATGGCTTTGATTTCTATTTTTACCTATTAACATATTTTATAAGCAGTAAGGCAGAAAATGAAATTTTTCCCTCAACTATTCAGTGCTAATATTATTAGGACAGCAAATCTGAAATTAAGCAAATCCATAGCAATATCGACAACAGCATAATAATACAGGTATATCTTGCTCTATTCCATGTTGCTTTACTGTGCTTTGCAGATACTGATTTATGTTAATAAACTGAAGATTTGAGTTTGTGGCAACCCTGCCTCGAGCAAATCTATTGGTGCCAGTTTTCCAACAATGTGTGCTCACTTCAAGTCTCTATGTCAGCATTTTTCAGCAATAAAGTATTTTTAATTAAGGTAGTACTTTTTTTAGATATAATGCTATTGCACACTTAATAGACTACAGTATAGTATAAACATGACTTTTATGTGCACTAGGAAACCAAAATAGTTGTGTGTAACTCACTTTATTGAGGTGGACTGGAACCAAACCCTCAGTATCTCCGAGGTATGCCTGTAAAAACACCAGATATGTTTCTATGGATACTGCCACAGATTGGTGATTAAATCTTGATCACATTTTGCGAAGCTAATTGTTTGCAATCCTTTGTGATTTTCAGTTCTGAGTACACTAGGCCCCGTCATCACTCTAAGCAGATGACTACTCCTTCTGCTTTACTGAGAGCAAGATTCAGGGTGTCCTTGGTAGGTCCTTTCCTAACTCAAAATCCCTCTATATCCCAATTCCTTCAGGCCTTCTTTTCCCTCAAAGGATTAGGCATTGCTTATGCCTTCTTTTCTGCATGAGACCCCCTCCACCTGTATTCTTGGTTTCATAGACTCAAACTACTCCACAAGTTTATCAGTCTCTGCTTCTTCAAACATGTTTCTTCTCTTAATCTTTCTGAATTACAAACAAGTTTTTCCCCATTCTAAAAACAATGCTCTATTTTTCCATCCCCCATAGCTCCTCAGCCCACCAGACCTCCCTCCTGATCAACTCCAAATTCTCAAAATTATTGTGTAAATCAGCTGTCTACATTTTCTCCTTCCTTAGTTGCTCTTCAAATCTTTGAACTCTCATCTCTAGCCCCATATCTTCTCCTGAAACTAGTCTTTCCAAATTTAATAATAATCTCTGGATTACTAAATTTAGTAATTCATTTTAATCCTCATGGTTCCTGACTTCTGTAGCATATGACACTATAAAGACGAATTTCCTCATCCCCATCCTCCACTAACCTGGGCCTACAGACACCAACAGCCCACTGTCTTTCCCTCAATGCCATGGTCCGGCATTAAACATTCTAAGGGCTTTGGACCTAGTAGATGGACACTGATGTCCCCAAGAACAAGGGGTCCTGCTGGCCTATTTCTAATTGTAGGATGGTGACTCTGATTTTGATCATTTTCCATGATGAGGTGAATATTTTCTTAGCTTCCACTATACTACAGCGTCCAAATTCGCATTTTCCCACTTCTACACATTCTCCTCCTCTGTATGGCATCAGCTGCTCCTCAGAGAGACCAAACTCACATTTTCAATACGCTACTAGATATTCCCATCTAGTCCTTGTAAATGGAATTTGCAACCTCTTACTCTTCCAGGGTCAAGGCCTCAGTGTTGTCTTTGATCTCATCCCCTTCCTCACTGCCCATGATTACCAGGACTGGTTGATTGTCTTTTTGCAAAGACTCTGGCAGGTGTCTATTATTTTGATTCCTGCTGCCAAGGCTCTAGTATATGCTCTTGCTATCTTTTGACTAAACTATGTCAATACTGTTTTATGGTTTCCTGGACTCCAATTGTTCCCAACTTTGGTTTATCTAACACATTTAAATAACTTTCCTATAACGTATCTTTTCATGGTTCTTCAATGACTCACAAGGAAAGGACACTAAGGTCACTCTCTTTTGCTGACTTAGGATCCTCTACCATGTGCACCCCATGGACTAGTTGAAATGCTCTACTTACTGCATGCTATCACCTATATTTTTATCTTCTTGAAACTTGTTTCAATACGTTTCTTCTACTTGGAAGACCTTCAGCCTGGAGATATTCACTCTAAAATCTAGCTGTCATTTTAAGTTCTAACTCAAATGCTACCTACTACAAGAATCATTTCTGGATCCCTCCTCACTGCTCCCTTTGAATTTATTATTCTTGGATATAATTTCTCCCTTAACTTAAATCCCACTCATATTTTTGTCTCCTATACTTAGCTACAGTTTATTTGAGAGTCAAACAATTATTAGTCATTTCAAGAATAAATTAAGGGAATGGGAAGATTGGAATATAAAGGAAGAAAGGAAGAGAGGGAGAGAAAGAAAAAAGGAAAAACTATAGGAAGAGATGTAGAAGGAAAAACTATAGGAAAAGACGTTGAAGGAAAAGAAGAGATGTAGAAAAGATGGAGAGAAGGAAATATGAAGAAAGATGGAGACAAATGCGAGGAGAATAAATTGGTGAGGGTGGGGAGAAGGAGGAGGAGGATCACAAAAACGGAGGAGACTGGAAAACTCAGGACAAAGAACCTCTGTCACTAGACATAAAAATAAGTTTTAAAGCTACTCAATCTAATATAGTGTGGCAGTAATCCAGGGATAGACTGATAAAACAGACTTGTGAATATGTAGGGAACATAATTTACAATAGATTTAGCAATGTAGATCAATGGGGAAAGCTACTGAGGCAATTGATTAGTCATATGGAAAAGAATTAAATTGCTTCCCTATTTCATATCACACACAAATGTTAGTTCCATAATTTATAAACTTAAATGCAAAAGGAAAATTATAAACTTTTAGATAAACAGGAGAACAACTTTCTTGTTTTAGGATAGAGAAGGACTTTGTAAACAAGGTACAAATAGTACCATCCCTAAAGGAAAAAAAATTATAGAATTCATTATCTTAAAAGAGATTTTGTTCATTGAAAGATACATGAAGAATGAAAAAGTAAGCCAGAAACTTGGAGTATATACTTGTAACACATATGACCAGTGCAGAATCAATATTCAAATATATACACATGCACACATAATTGTAAGTCCTGTGAAAAACTGAAAAAGAAAAATAATAAAAGCTGAACAGGTTCTATACAGTAGTGCTTGGAAAAATAAATATCTACTAAATCGCTTTAACAAACATTTAGTTTTAAATGTGTAAATTTGAAGCTTTGAGGCTTTATAACACTCTGATTTTATATATACTTGAGAAACTCTTTCATAATTATAAAATGAATATAAATGAATGATTGACAGCTACAAGTATGAAAGAAAAGAAAAAGAAACTGTAGAAGAGTGCTTAAAAAATCAATTCATTTTTATAAAGGCCCAAAACAGGTAAAAGTAAACAATATACAGTTTACACACCATATATATGTATGTATGCATGCATGTATACACATCAATATTCTAAAAATATAAACAAACAAACTAATGATACAGTCTTCAGGACATGCTTACCTGTGGACGGGGGAAGGACCATGCTATTGATAAAATCACACAGGAGCGTCAAAGGTCTGTTAATATTCTGTTTCTTTCAGAACACCAGCTGAGTACTGGGTGTTCACTCATTGAATTCTTTGAATTCTGCCTATGAATTTTGTGGCTTCATTTGTTTGCATCATATATTTAGTCTATGTGTGTGTATGTGTGTGTGTGTGTGTGTGTGTAAATACATATATACAGTCATGAGACATTTAACGATGGGGAGATATTCTGAGAAATGCATTGTTAGGCTCTTTTGTCATTATGAGAACATCAGAGTATACTTCCACAAACCTAGATGGTATAGGCCACTATACACCTAAACTATATGGTACAGCCTGTTGCTCTTCGTCCTCAAACCTGTACAGCATGTTACTGCACTGAATATTGTAGGTAATTGTAATGAAATAGGATGTATTTGTGTATCTAAACATATCTAAACATTAAAAAAGTATAGTAAAATATGATATTATAATCTTATGGGACCAGCAATGTATATATGGTCCATCATTGACTGAAATGTTGTTATGCAGCCCATAACTGTAAATATAAGAGACAATAGAAGAATTATTTTAAAGCTGTAGCTAGAATATTTAAACAGGCAATTTGGAGCATTTAAGAAAGTGTTAACATCACTGATTATAAGAGAGTATATATAAAGTATATATGAAGACAATTAGGGTGAGTGAAGACGTTGGGAGAAGACAATCAGGAAAAAAGTGGAAAAGAACGGGCTTCCCCAACAGCATCGCATCTCCCAAAGGATAAAACTATGAACTCATTGCTTGGAATGATGATACTGGGCCATGTTGGTGCCTGTGGAAGAGGCCTGAGGGTAAGAAGGGAGAGGAAGCAGCAGAAGGGGGGAAACGGTGAGAAGGAGATTAAGAATTGTAGCTGAGGTGGCCGGGTGCGGTGGCTCACGCCTGTAATCCCAGCACTTTGAGATGCCGAGGCGGGTGGATTACTTGAGGTCAGGAGTTCAAGACCAGCCTGACTAACATGGCTAAAAATACAAAATTAGCTGGGCATGGTGGCACGTGCCTGTAATCCCAGCTACTTGGGAGGCTGGGGCAGGAGAATGGCTTGAACCTGGGAGGCGGAGGTTGTGGTGAGCCGAGATCATGCCATTGCACTCCAGCCTGGGCAACAAGAGCAAAACTCTGTCTCAGAAAAAAAAAAAAAAAAAAAAATTGTAGCTGAGCATGCATAGAAAGCACGCATCCAGAGGAGAGAGAAAGAGTGTAAGTGCACCATCTGTGCAACTAAGAGATAGAGTGAAAAATGTGGGATTTATAAGCTATATACAGCTGCTGATATTTAATAGCTGAAAATAGAAGGAAAATTTAAATCAACTTTCACATACACGGACAGAACCTTTTGTTAGAGAATATCCTACTGACAGCAAAGAAATTTTCTCTTACCATATTCTTCCACAAACTGATGGTTCATTCAAAAATACTCAAAAAAGAAAGAAAATACAATCTCTGCAAAACTATTACCTCCCAAAAGAGGTAAAATGGCAAAAAAAAAAAAAAAAAAAAAAAAAAAAAAAAAAAAAAAAAAAAAAGCTGGTTGTTGAACACAGGTATAAAATTATCATCACCAGGAAACAGATGGATATCATGGCCCAAGCCACCCTTCAAGAACTCAAATAGATTTATGAAAATGGCAATTTGAACTCTAGTTAAAGTAGAGCTACAAGTGTTTAAAGAAGAGAATAAAATTTAAAATATTGAACTGACAGATACCAGAAAGTAAATGAAGGAGAAAAATAAAGCCATTAAGTTGCAAAATGAAAGAGGAGTTGAAAATTTCATTAGGAACATGGAGAAAAATTATAGGAGAGAAAAAAGCTTTAAATCTATATTTTCAAATATTTTAAATAATAGGAAAAATGATATTTATAGAAAATGGACAATGGGATCCCTTATGTGTAAGAGTTTGGTAAATAAAGAGGAAAATGGAGGAAACTGAATATTCAAACATATTTTTCTGAAATAATGGGAGATAAATTTCTGGACTTCAAGAGTGTGCTGTGTATAGTAAATAGTTTGCAAAGATGGGCACCAAGTGCTACTCCCTGGTACTCCTCAGTTTCATTCGTAGACTGTTTTTCCTGTTACCGAAATTGAAGTTTACTTTGGGACTGGCTTCTACTAATAAGATGTGGTAGAAGTGACATTCTGGGACATCCATGTCAAGGCCTGAGGAGGCCTAACAGTTTTTACTTTAGTAACACCATCTCAACGAAGACTTCCTTTCCTGAACTCTCGGATTTTCCTAACACTCAGCATCTACATGAATTGCATATATTTTGAATTCAGTAATCATTACATTGCAGTAGTCTGCTGCCTAGACCTGAAAAAGTCATTTTAAGATTTTTGTCAAATTATTGTATGGATTGATTCATCAATGAAATAACTGCATAGAGGTAGTAGTGATCACCACTGGAGAGAATAACCCCAACAAAGAGACTACAAAGAAAAATTGTGATAGCAATGAATAATCTATATTTAGAGGATAAAAAGTAGCCTGGTAAGTAATTGGGGCAGTTGCTCTGGAGGTCCTTCTTGTTGCTATTAAGTAGATCTTGTATTAGTACGCATGTATTTAAAAATATTGCTGCACTCACAAAGAACGATTAAAAATGAACTAAGTCTAAATAAGAATGGGAAAAAATGGAATAAAGAAAATTAGCATTGTGCTGGTTCCAATGATAATACCCAATTCTAGCCCTAGATTGAAGAGTCTACGACAAGGTACTGCTGCCAAGTTGGGGAGGTAAACATGGAACTCCAAAATTAAGCCAAGTGTCTCAAATAGGGAAAATGAAACACAAATTATTAAAGAATAAAGAAAGAAACTGTACTACTGTCCCTCAGGATTCTCACAGATTGCATTTACTTAAATATGAGTTTTCATTTTTTAGAAAAATCACCAAAGAGTTAATAACAACTTCCTGAAATCTATTTTATTCTCTGCCTTTCAGCCTATGCATCTCAATTTTTCCTTCAGTCTTTAAATAATGAACTGATTTCCTCTAAGGAAAATAATATGTTATATATATAAAATCTATATTATAATGATATGTATAATATAATAAAATCATATTATAATGACATAACATATTAAATTATAATAATATGAATGATATAATATATAATATAGTACATATTAAGTATAATATATTATATTATATTATATTTAATATAATGTACTCAATATTTATTGAAATATATAATGTTTATTAAATATATATATCATATATAAATATATATTCATCTAGGTTATGTGTCTCTCTATGCAAGGAATAATCAAGCCTAATATGTATTTCTTGGTTCATATTGTTACCTGGTGACTGGCCATTTCCCAGCCTGAATCATCACACTCCTCATTTTGACATTACCAAACCATTCATTCATTTATTCAATAAGTAGTTATTAGGCAATAAGTATTATCTGCCAGATCCAATGCATCAAGAAGTGGATACAAAGATAAACTATACAAATATGATCTCTGTTGCACTAGTCAGGTACAAGCTAAGCTTCTGTTAACAAAGAAACCCCAAAGTATAATGAAATAAATAAGCAAATGTGCATTTCTATCCTGTATGTTTGTGGATTGGTAGGGCCATGCCCCACACTTATAGGCCCGAGAAGTCTGCTCCAATTTTTGCTATACTACAGCCAGAAGAAAGGGAGAAGGGATCATGGGACTTTATGGACAATCATAAACAAGGAAAAGACCTGAAAGGATCATACATACATCTACTCCCATCTCTTTCATCAATGTGTAGTCATGTGGCCACCCGGCTGCAAGAAGCCACCTAGCTGCAAGAGGGATGGAAAATGTGGTCTTTAGCTGGGTGGCTCTGTGCTCAGCTAAAAGCCCACGATATGTAAGTGAAGAAGGGTGGATATTGGGGGAGCAGCAGTGGTCTGCCACACCTGTTTTCACTCATCCTATATACCCCATGATAACTAACATACAAGAGATAGATAGTGAGCTATGCCTTTAATAAAAACAGATTTTGGGAGTCATGGATGTACCCGGATGAAATTCACTTATGCTGAGACTCCTAGGATATTTAAGAATTAGTTAGAGAAAAAGGCACAGTGAAGGAGGGCTCCAGGTAGAAGGAAGAGTGTTCAAAGACCAGATGAGGGTAAGCATGGTGATTCATGGAAAGTTTATCTGAGTTCCAAATAGGTCTCCAGTGCCTCATAATCCCTAGCAGTACAGACACTCAAAATGTATGTAATGAATAAAAAAATGAATAATCCATTGAGTTCAAATACCACTTCTTCTATAGTATTTTTGACGGATGATTTTCTACTCTTTGAAAGCTTCTAGTGATAAAATGTTAATAAAGATACTATGTATTTATTTATTCTGCCAGTCAGTCAATCATTTAGTCAGCTAGCATTTATTAAGTATCTACTATTGTAAATCTCTAAAAACAAAACAATGAACCAAAAAGACAGCTCCTATTCAAATTATAGTCTATTAGTGGAAGGGGAGAATAAAATTTAGTCAAATAATTACAAAGTATAAAATCGATACTGAAATCAAAAATGGTAGGTGGTGTTATGAGAACCTTATCTAGGATTTGGTCAAGCCAAAAAATGCTTCCCTGAAGATATAATTAAAAGGCACTCTGTAGGATATGCAGGAATTAGCTACTGAAAAAGGAAGGGAAACAATACTTGAGAAGACTGCCAAGTGGAGTCTTGGTGTCAAAAAAGAGATGAAGAGAAGACTGGTTTGGTTAGATTGGGGCTGGAGAAATAAGCAGAAAGCAAATCAACTGTTGGGTTATAACCATTAATAGATTTGTTAGAATTTCAGATCTCACCAAATATCCATGTTTTCTTTTCCCACATACATATGGATCTGGTCATGTGAGCAATTCTCACTGAAGGACAGTGAGCAGAGAACTTCTATCTAAGTCAGTCAACAACAGGTGTACCTTCTCCACTCTCTCTTTCATCCCGACACCTGGAAACAAAGCACTCTGACATCATGGGGTAGCATGAGGAAACTAGCTTGGGTCTCAAAGCCACTGCTCATAGGAAGGCACTGATTTATGCTTCCACTCAGTCAATTCTGCTCTCTTTGGCTTAGAAAATTCTTCTGTCCCTTGTCAACTCATTGTCCTCTTGTACCCATCCATTTATCTCCCTTGGAGGAGGTTGCCCCATCAGTAATAATTTCATTGCTTTGTGGTATCAGTGCCCTGGACCTTGCTCCTGTCTTCTCCTCCACTGAGGATACAAATTATGACGATGGCAAACAGTATTATAGACATTCACATAAAAGTCCTCACAATAGAATATAATAGTGAGGTGAAGGGAGCACATTCTTAACCCAGAATGCATGACTTAAATCCTACCTTTTGTAACTGACCTTGCTTTGACACATTCAGCCAGTAACTTAACCTTTCTAGGTCTCAATATTCTCACTTGAAAAATATCGACAATAAAAATACTTAGTTGTATAGTTGATGTAAAGTCCTTAGTATACAGTACCTGGCACGTCATAAGCTATCAGTACATTTTATTAATAGCTATTACTATACTTTTCATTATTAGACATTAGTTAAAAAGTAATATAATAATAACACAACCAAAACAAACAAAAACCCCCTCATAACTAAAGGTACTTTTCCTTTCTTTTTCTTTGAAGTACAAGACCTCAACATTTTCTGGATAAGTATTAATCTGGATTGGAATATGAGTTCTTTATTTTAGGGTTTCTCTTGGTTATTTGCAGAAAAATTGCCCATTTTGACATTTTTGGTATTCATTTAAATTCAGATTATTTACTCTTTGTATATAACTGAGTTACTTCTTCCCAGTAAACCTTCTAAAGGCCTGTCACTGGTGAATTATTGATGCAGTGATAGCCTTTCTATTTGTGTGACTTTTTTTCTCTGCTTTGCATCTTGCGTTCCTCACATCCCTTTGGCCTACAGTTTAATTGAAATAGACTTTGTCCTATCCTGGCTTTTTTAGGAAAAACAGATGCCCACCTGAGTTTGAGAGATGAAGATATGCTGACACTAAATTTGCAAAGCTGTGTAGCTACCTTTTCTACCACTTCAACTTAAAGTAGTTGTTTTGTGTTTGCAATTTGGCCTAAAGCTCAATAGGAACACAGAAGGGGAAGTGATTTTTCTGAGATGGTCTGGGGGAACGAGTAGGGAAAACTTCAGGAAAAGAAATGACATTTGAAATATGATTAGAATTTTCTCAAGAAGAGAGGGAGGTACATTCCAGACAAAAGGTCACTAGGATGCCCCTACCTCTCTCTGTAGCTGAGGCTTCCCTCTGGTTGCCAGGGTAATGTTTTGAAGGCAAACACCAGCCTGGGTCACACAATCTTAGGAAACTTTATTGACCTCAGGATATACACAGGCAACACGAAAGTAAGCAGTGTAATATCTCAAGCTCATCACAAAGGAAACCACTTTCACAAAAGTTTACAGGGGTTAAGGGCCCCTCCACATTACAGCAGCTGTCACAGTTCCCTCCCTATTCAGCAGCCTTCTGTGATAACCATAGCAACCCATAGCCCACTGTTAGCAGTGTGACCTGTCTGAGTAGAGGGAGGGCAAACCTCCAGTCGACCACAGCTCCCTCTTCTGGGAGATTTCATCTAGTGCTGTCACGGGAACTAATGATAACAAAATAGAGAACATTTGGAGTTTTTATTAAATACTATTAGGTCTCAGGTAGTTCTTATCTCCTTTATACCTAATAACACATACCTGAATTATAGAATATTATCATCCCATGTGTGAGAAAGGCCTTACGATGGCGAATATTCAAATATCAATGGAGTGAACTACTTTGGCCCTTTACCTTACTAGGAAAAGCCATGAGGAAAACATTCTAAACCATTTTCTAAATCTAGCCTGTGTGTCTTTCTGCTTGTTTTCCTCTCTTGCTTAGTTGTTTTCAAATGTGCTCTACAAAGCTTTCTGAGTTTCTTGAAGCCCCCTCCAGGCCTGCTGGGGGTGGGTGATGAGGATGGGAGAATGCCAATGAGAAACTAGTGAGCCAGGAATTATAAAGTGAATAAGTCTACAAAGATAGGAGAAAAGTAAATGACAAAAACGCTCTGCATACCATATAAAGGAATTA
Organism: Homo sapiens; assembly: GCF_000001405.40. Taxonomy (NCBI): domain Eukaryota; kingdom Metazoa; phylum Chordata; class Mammalia; order Primates; family Hominidae; genus Homo; species Homo sapiens. The sequence goes on from NC_000001.11 coordinate 198,789,429, forward strand.
TTTTAGGTTCCTTAACTTCCTGCTCACCACTAAGCTGATTGTTTTCTGAAGAAAAAAACATAATGCTGTATGGATCATTTTCAGCTATCAAATTAGATCAACACTGGAAATTTCAATTCCCTTCTATATGAATAGAGTTGATTTGATTTTATCTTGTGCCTTTGGAAAAAACCTTTTACAGCTAAGTTCTTATTCTATCACCTTTCAATTCATCTACGATCTTAGCTATTAGGTATGTGATTTTTTAAAAAAGGAATGAGATAATATAAGACAAACTGAGTGCTTCATAGAAAAGTCAAAATATAAATAATACTATGAAAAAGGATATTTACATAAATATTGTATCTATTCAAGAAAGCAGTATGTATGCATTTGTTTTACAATAATCACTTTTTAGGATAAGAATAGGGTTTCTTAATGAATAGTTGTGCTTCCTTCAATCTCAACAAACTGTAAGAGATCTTTAGCTATATGAGCTGTCCTCCAAAAGAAAGCAAAATCAGTTCTGTTACCCTGAATATTATTGGCCTTACTTCTATTTTCCTAATTTTCTACATTTGTGTCTGAAAGTGTTGTGAACTTATTTTTTATGCTTATGCAATACATCTCATCAGTTGACTAGCATATCGGCATGTCTTATCATGATATTTATGCTGCTTTTTGGCAAAAGGCATGTTAAATAGAACAGCCTGTCTTCTTCCACAGTTTCAAAAAGCATTCCATGTACTTCTGATTCTCAAACTGCTGTACCCAAGAGTGGCCCGGACTGGCTGATTTTTTTTTATTAAATCTCTTTCTCCTTCTTCCTGATTTCACAGCTAGAACATATTTTCTCACCTGTCTTGCAGCAAGATTTGACCAAACGATTGAATTATCCCATTCAAGTTGGCATGCCCGTATAGAAATGGGAAAAACCAAGTGGTTTTCCTGTTCTCACATAGTCACACAACACAACACTTTTGACACCGGATGTGTGGGCTTCTGCCTATTTACGAAGAAATTCTTCAGTAAACACCAACTAAGTGTCCTATAATTTAATTCCATTCTGACACTATCAATCCAGGTGTTAGATCCCATAGGTTGAGGATTCAGTCCCATAAGACTGCCACCCACTTCAGATTCCAATCAAAAGTAGTAGATTGTCACCTCTACTTCTAACTGACTGGCTATAAATCAGGGTTCCCTTGACCCTATTCTCCAATTTGATTAGTTTGATAGGATGGCCCATAGAACTCAGGGAGAGACTTATGCTTACCCATTTATTATAAAGGATATTACAAAGAATACAGATAAATAGCCAGATGGAAGAGATGCATCTGGAGGCAAGGTATAGGAGAAGGGGAGCAAAGTTTCTATATCCTCTCCAGACATGCTACCCTACAGGAGCCTCCATATGTTCAGCTATCCAGAAGCTTTCTGAACCCCGGCCTTTTGAGTTTTTATGGAGTCTTCATTACATAGGCATGATTGATTACATTATTGGCTATTGATAATCAGCTCAACAATTGACCCTTCTTCCCTCCCTGGAGGTTGGGAGGTGGGTCTAAAAGTCCTAACCCTGTAATCATGGCTGGCTTTTTCTGGTGTCCAACTCTCATCTTGAAGCTACCTAGGAGCCCCACTTGCCACTCATCTTATTAGCTTACAAAAGACACTCTTATCACTTTGAAGATTTCAAGTGTTTTAGGAGCTGTGCACCAGGAAACATGGACCAAGACCAAATATCTATTTCACAATATCACAGCAAGCAACATCTTTCAGGCTTGCCATGCATGGTCTGCCATGATCGTTTTCACCTGCACGCTGAGGTTGATGAGACTACCAGTCAGAGAATTGGTGAACTGGTTAGGCCACCAGTCAGAGTAATTTTCAGAAACCTATCGACCAGTAATACCTATTGGGGCCTAAAGCAAACAAAAAACAAATGCCTGCAGGTGTAGACACTAAAATGTAGGAGTTTACTCTTAAAGCAGCATGTATTAGGTTAATCAATAACTCATCCTAACTCCTGTCTTGAGATCCAGACTCACATTTCTTAATTGCTACCTGGATACCCTTGAATTATATCAAGTATGACATATCCAAAACTGTAACAATTATCTTGGTATCCAAATATACCTTTTTTTTCAGTCACTACCCACTCTATTTACCAAACTAGGAATATTGGCTCACCCTTTATATCTGTGTTTCTACAACTTTGTCACACATACAAATCATTGGGCAGATTTGTTATAACACAGATTTTTACTTCCTCCCACTTCGCTCCTGACCCAGTGATTCTGATTCAGGAAGTCTAGGGTGGCCCTGAGACATCAGGGATACTGATGCTGCTAGCCCATGGTTTATACTTTGGATATCCCTGTTGTACACCCCCACCTTTAAACCATCTTACTTTCTAATTCGGTATTGAGTGCTAAGCAGTCCATCTGGATAAGTCTACCCTCTTTTTTTTTCATTTTCCAATTGACTTATTTTAGGTTTCTATTATCTCTCACATTTATTGTTGCATTTCCTTCACAAGGGGTCTGTCACCCTCAAACACGTTCTGCAACAGCTGTCAGAATGGCTTTGTAAACCATCTAACCAACCACCCAACCAACCAACTGACCACCTAACCAATTAACCAACCAATCAACCAACTAACCAACCAACTGAAATATTGCTTATCTGTGGATTTCTCATTTCAAAAATATAACGTAGTGATTTGTAAACTTCTTCGCTCTTTTATTTACCTATTTTTACTTAAATAGCAAAACTCTTTCTTTAATAGCATCTTGTGGATAAATGATGCTCATATCTGGCTGAAATCTGTATGGGAATTGGGATGCTGGAACTCATTCTTCTTCTTATCTCACCCACATTTTTGTCCCCAGTGGACTCCATGTAAATCGTATGACTTCTCAGAGCAGAGTTAGAAAATAATGTATTTGGATGGATTCTCCAGTTTTTTGTCATTGCTGTTGTTGCACATATGAAAGCATGGCAAGAAAGACTGTTTACAATCCAGCTACAGTTTAAGGGCTCCGTTTCATCCCTTTTATTTTTCCAATATGTGTGCTACATTGTAGCCATGCTTCTGGTTCAGGGCTACCTATGTGGCTACCAGTTATGTGCTTTCCTTTACTTAGGGTGCCCTTCACACACCACAGAGCCTAACACAAATATCCCATCACCAGTAAAGCTTTCTCAGATACTCATCCCACTCTTCCTACCACTCCAAGACAGAAGTCATTATTTTCTCCTCTTAATCTCCATTTGCATCCCAGTTGCAACTGTTCTATGTTTGTTCTATGACTGAACTCTAGGAAAGCAAAGGTCATACCTTTGTATATGTTTATCTATCATCATTTTTGAACATACAATATTTGAATATGGAGGTATAGGCACATATGTCTTCAATAAATGTTTGTTGCGCTCTAGAGCAGGATATGATGGCTAACAATCATGATTATGCTCATAAATCTTGTAGGATATAATTTAGAGCCATTATGGGAAATAATTTCCTATTATAAAATTAACCACCATGCAAAATTTATGTCTATAGTTCATCTATGCCTTTTATTTATAATAAATAATAAATACTGGAAAAGATAAATAGGTTGTTTTTGTCATTTAAGGAGAACTCTGACTGTAAACATACATCTTTCAAGGGAATTCAATTGAAATCTATTTAGCCATCACACATAAAACATTATCATCACCATGATCTCAGTGAATATGACACTAGAGAAAACATTCCCATTATACATGTTCCTGGGGTGCAACAAACAGTTATTTTGCCAGAGTAAGTCACATGTAAATCTAATTCTCTTTTGATCTTATTGAACACCAGTGATTCCTCTGTGACCAGCTCTAGAAGCAAATGGTTGATAAATGTAAAAGTATCCTGTGCTGGAAGAAAATACAGTTTTTTTCTTTAGTTTGGAACAACATGCCCTACTTTAATGCAATAATTTTTAGCATGTTGCCAGAATGAAAAGGTAAACGGCACAGACCTGACAAGTTTTCTCCAAGGAAGCATGTAGGTAATTCAAACCAGAAGTAGCCTCTTCCCTGACAGATGTAAAATTGCTACAATCCCTGATGTTCTCACTCCCACATGGATTATTAATTTTCAATAGCATCGGTGGGAGTTACATATACCTAGAGAAGAATAGGCCCTTAAAATTTGGAGGATCCATTCCAGTCAGTATTTATTGTGATTGAAATGTATGATGCTTTTGTGTTTTCCTGCCTTGCTATGATTGGTAGAGTTTTTTAAAAAACACATTTCATGTGACATTAAATGTATCAGTTTGAATACATGTCACAACCTGCGTTGTTTTCTTCAGGCTTCCAAACATATGGGACCATTTATGCTGTTCATAGCACAGCACTTTACATATAAATAGTGTTTACAGTGCTTAGTAAAGTTTTGTCTCTTTAAATTTTGAATTGGTTTCCAGTACCAAGCTGATGCATTCTAAGCAATAACTTTCCATCCACTGATCCAGCGACATTCTTCCTCTCTTTTGAAAATCATGGCTGATTAAAAGTCTAATGCAACAGCTGCTAGTGATCATGTGATTGATACATTTTTAAAGGCAGATGTTGAGTATTAAAAGCACAGACCTTCAGATTTCTCTGTAGTCCATGAATATTTTTGAATGACTGCTGCTTTATTTTTCACCTAACGTTTCCTTACTTTTTCCCTTTTCCTGCCTTATCCTTCTTTTTATTTTTCTTGATGAGCAGAATATAGTTTTAATGAAAACAAGTTAGTTTAGAAATATATACAATACCCAATGCATTTCATTCTCCAAAGCAAGTGCTGAAAAAAATCCATCTTTGATGGCAAAGAGTTTTGTTTACTCTTATTTAAGAAATCATGAAAATATCTTCAGGGTCTGACTGAAGAGCACAGATACAGTGGAGTCAGTAGAGTTTGAGAGTTTCTAGATGACCTAAATTGTCCTAGAATAGCATGTATGCTCATTAGAACTGTGTTTCTAAATAACTTCAGTTTTCATTATTATAGTTTTTATTTCTAACATGTTCTTTCACAAATTACCTCTCACATTAGAAGAATTAAAAATATATATGAAAAATACATTGCATTCAATTTTATTGGAACATTTAAAAGCATTGTGCTTTAATGCCTTGTATACATTCCTTCTTTGTTAACTCTGATCTGGTGGATTCTATCCTGAAGTTCTTCTGCCTAAAGTTATGACATCAGGGTGATTTCTGTTATGATGTTGATGGTATTTCAGGAGATGATTCATCCATCAGTGTCTACTCAAAGGAATAAACTGTCTTGTGAGAAAGAAAAACAGTAGTACTTATAGAGAATCACAGCATTTTAGAACTGCAAAGAGCTTTGGAAATCACTTCAGAAAGAGAGTATTTAAAACACTTGATACTAAATGTAAAGGCTTAGGAGTGAAAGGTGATTAATCAACATAAGCCACAGGGCCCTCAAAGGATTCTAGCACAGCCAACACATTTACCACTGTGGTTGGAACCTTTGAGATTATTCCAGTTTGGATAGTTCTATAGGATCCAGTATGTTCTCTTGGTTACCCAGCAAGAATGGAAAAGCCATTAGCTAAGCCCAAATGAAATCACCATGAAATCTATAAGCTATAAGGCTAGTCTCATAATAAATACTATGCTTTTATATAGTACCTTTCACCCCTGAATTATCTAGGGAAAGCCACAATATTATTCCCACTTTATATAGAAAGAGTGAAACAGTAATTTATCAAAGTGACTGAATAACTTAAGTTTTCTGTGAATAAAAATATATTATTGGAAAGCAAGTTATTAATTTAGCTCAGCCCTTAAAAAACGACTTCTCAAAGGAAAAGCAAGGATGTACATATTCAGTTCAGGAAAAAAAAAATCATTACATCTTGTTCTTTCCTCATTAGCATTCATAAGCCGTGTGTAATTCACATGGATTTCACATCTCTGCTCATGTCATTACTATTATCCTCAGCCTCAAAATCAGTATTTATTCAGTCTGTATGAATTTAGAGCAGTTTTTTAAAATTTCCACAACCTTTTTGCATTTATTGGTTTTGTTTTGACATGTACAATATTTGGGTCTGGGATTAATAATTAACTGTTGCTCCGAAGCTATAAGTAGCTGCAGTCATTAATAATACCACTTTCACCAACAAATGCTGATGCAGTAGGACACCACACCAGGTACATTATCAAGGAATGTGCTCAGAATAGCATCTGAGCAGGGTCTAGAGTTTGCAAGAACCTATTTTCAACCTGGTCAATGAACCTACCTTATTTTTAGCTTTAGTTAATCTACATAAATTTCCTGGCAATTTCTAGTGAGATTCTGGCCCCCTAAAACATGTTATCTGGGAAAAGAAATGCATAAGAATATGATTTGTATTTTAAAACCATGATAAAAAGCACAAACATTTGGTTTTCTTGAAATTTTAAATGGACTTAATTTAAATATAGTCCTAAGTTACAGCACCTTGACCACAACTAATGTGCTATGGTATTAGTTCATTTTCATGCTCGTATAAAGAAATACCTTAGACTAGGCAATTTATAAGGGAAAGCAGTTTAATTAACTCACAGTTCCACATGGCTGGGGAGGCCTCGGGAAACTTACAATCGTGGCAGAAATCATAGAGGAAGCAAGCATTTTCTTCACAAGGCAGCAGGTAAGAGAGAGAGCACAGGGGAAACTGCTACTTTTACACCTTCAGTTCTCATGAGAACTCCCTCACTATCATGAGAATAGCATAGGGGAAAACACCCCCATGAACCAGTCACCTCCCACCAGGTCCCTTCCTTAACATGTGAAAATTACAATCTGAGATGAGATCTGGGTGGGGACACAGAGACAAACCATATCATTCTGCCCCAGCTCCTTCCAAATCTCATGTCCTTTACACATTTCAAAAACAATCATGCCTTTCCAACAGTCTTTTAAAGTCTTAACTCATTCCAGCTTAAACCCAAAAGTCCAAGTTCAAAGTCTCATCTGAGACAAGGCAAGACTCTTCCACCTATGTTCCAGTAAAATCAAAAGCAAGTTAGTTACTTCCAAGGTACAATGGGGGTACAGACATTGGGTAACTGTTTCCATTCCAAATGGGAGAAAATGGGCAAAACAAAGTCTGGAACCCACCTGGGCAGTCATTAAATCTTAAAGCTGTAAATCTCCTTTGACTCCATGTCGCTCATCCAGGCCATGCTGATGGAAGGGGTGGTCGCCCACAGCCTTGGGCAGCTCTGCCCCTCTGTCTCTGCAGGGTACAGCTCCTGTGGCTGCTTTCACAGGCTAGCATTGAGTGCCTGTGGCTTTTCCAGTCACATGGTCCAAGCTGTTGGTGGATCTACCACTCCGGGGTATGGAGGATGGTAGCCCTCTTCCATCCCACAGCTCCATTAGACAGTGCCCCAGTGGGGGCTCTGTGTGTGGGTTCCAACCCCACATTTCCCTTCCACACTGCCCTAGCAGAAGTTCTCCATGAGGGCTCTGCTCATGCAGCAGACTTCTGCCTGGACATCCAGGCATTTCCATACATCCTCTGAAATCTAGGCAGAGGTTCCCCAAATTCAACTCTTGTATTCTGAACACCTGCAGGCCCAGCACCATGTGGAAGCTGCCAAGGCTTGGGCTTGCACTCTCTGATCCAATGGCCTGACCTGTAGCTTGGCCTCTTTTAGCCATGACTGGAGCTGGAGTGGCTGGGATGCTTGGTGCCATGTCCTAGGGCTGCACAGAGAAGCAGGGCTCTGGACCCAGCCCATTTTTCCTCTTAGGGCTCTGGGCTTGTGATTGCAGGGGCTGTCATGAAGATCTCTGACAAGCCCTGGAGACATTTTAACCATTGTCTTCACTCCTTGTTACTTGTGCAAATTTCTTCAGCCAACTTGAATTTTTCCAAGAAAATGAGTTTTTCTTCTTTTCTACCATATGGTCAGGCTGCAAATTTTCCAAACCTTTACACTCTGCTTCCCTTTCAAACATAAGTTCCAATTCCAAACCATCTCTTTTTGAATGCATATGACTGATTGTCTTCAGAAAAAGCCAAGTCACCTCTTGAATACTTTGCAGCTTAGAAATTTATTCTGCCAAATACCCTAACTTATGTCTCTGAAGTTCAAAATTCCACAGATCTCTAGGGCAGGGGCAAAATGCCGCCAGTCTCTTTGCTAAAGCATGGCAAGAGCGACCTTTGCTCCAGTTCCCAAGAAGTTGCACATCTCCATCTGAGACCACTTCAGCCTGAATTTCATTGTCTATATCACTATCAGCATTTTGGCCAAAACCATTCAACAAGTCTCTAAGATGATTCAAAGCCTCACAAATCTTCCTGTCTTCTTCTGAGCCCTCCAAACTGTTGCAGCCCCTACCTGTTACCCATTTCTAAAGTCGATGCCACGTTTTCAGGTTATCATTATAGCATTTCCCCACTCCTTGTACCAATTCTCTGTATTAGTCTGTTTTCACAGTACTATAAAGAAATACCTGAGACTGGGTAATTTATAAGGGAAAGAGGTTTAATTACCTCACAGTTCCACTGGCTTGGGAGGCTTCAGGAACCTTACAATCCTGACAGAAGGCAAAGGGGAAGCAAGCACCTTCTTCACAAGGCAGCAGGAGAGAGAGAGAGCACAGAGGAAACTGCTACTTTTACACCATCAGATCTCATGAGAACCCCCCTCACTATCACGAGAACAGCATGGGGGAAAACACCCCCATGATCCAATCACCTCCTACCAGGTCCATCCCTCAACACGTGGTGATTACAATTTGAGATACAATTTGGACACAGAGCTACCATATCAGCTATCTCATTGTTCCTGTTCAAAGGCTCCTTTGATTTCAGTCAAGGAAGATTGCAAAATACCTTATCTATGTACTATATATGATAACACTTCAATTACCAACAAAGAAATCTTAAAAATTCACTCCTACTACAAACAACTTTATTTACATGTTGCTGTCATTTGAATGTTTGCCCCCTCCAAAATTCAGTTTGAAATTTAGTTGCCATTGTGAAAGTATCAACAGTGGGGCTTTTAAGAAGTGATTAGTCCATGGGGGCTCCACCCTCATGGGCGGGATTGATGCCATTACAAAAAGTGGCCTTGTCTTGCCTGCTCTCTCATCTTCTCTTTGCCCTTCCATGGTTCTGTGGTGTGAGCAAGAGTATTCCTTCCCTCTGGAGGATGCAGTGCTCAAAGCACATTCTTGAAAGCAGAGACCAGGCCCCTTACAAGACACCAAACCTGCTTATGCCTTGATCTTGGACTCCCCAGCTTCTAGAGTTGTGTGAAATAAATTTCTGTTTTTGATAAATTACCCAGTCTCAGGTATTCTAACAGTACAATACAAACTAAGACATATGTTAATAGGTTTACTTCAATGCTTTTCAAAAGTTGTGATTACTATTAATACTAGTTTAATTCAGAGTTTCTCAACTTCTACAATATTGACATTTTGGGTCAGATAATTCTTTGTTGTAGGGGATTTTCCTGTTCTCAGCAGATGTTTAGCAACCTCCCTGGTCTCTAGCCACTAGATGTCAGGTACACTCCCAAGCTGTGACAATCAGAAATGCCTCTAGGCATTGCCAAATGTCTCCTGGGAGCAGAATCGTTCCCTGGTTGAGAATCATCTGTCTAATATGTAAATTTCTGTTTTTGGTGCTCAGTGTTGGTATCATTCCTTCATGTATAGCACCAATATTGTCAGGGTGCTTCAGGACCACTGGTTTCCAAGGGACACATGGATTTCAAAAGTGAAAGATATTACTTTAATTTTAGTACTTATATCACTAATCCCAAAAAGCAATTGTCTCTGAGTCTCTTCTTAGATAGATAGTTTCAGAAATAGTCACTGATTAGTTTCAGATTAGCAGACTTAAGTCTCAGAGTTTTTTATTTTGGCTGTTGTTACCTTTTTTTTTCTTTTCTTTTTTTTTTTTTTAAGTTTAGGGCTGAATGCTAATACAATAGCTTCCAGAAGTTAGAATTTCTGGTGATTTATTATGTGTATATATTAGAAACCTTATCATCTTTTAATATCAGTATACAGTACAAAATTATAAACATTTGATAAATTTAGGGAACTGTTACAATAAAGTAGACATACTTTAATTTCTTCTAATAACATATTGAAATTCATTTGATTTCTATGCAGTTTTAGCTTATTATTCTCCTATGAAAATATGTTACCATACTTTACAGCATTATAAGGAGACTCCTATTCTATTTCATACCATTGCAATTAAGTAGATAATTAATAAACTTTTCCAATTTTTCTCATTTCATTCCATGTTATGGCAAAATGCACTTGATATGTTTGCCAGAACGAAACTCATACACAAAGAGCTTTTTGCTTTTTTGAAGTTCAACATCAAATGCGTGTAAGCCTAGAATAGGAAACAGCTCTTTTGAAAATTTAAATTCAAGGAGCTGCTTTGCTGGAAGCCAGTGTATGCTGGACAGGGCCTGAGAAGTCTGGATTTTATTACTTAACATAAAATGAATCTCAGTTTTTCCATCTGTAAAGTGGTAAAAATATCTTTTGAAAATGTTAAGGGAGAGTAATGTGATCCTTGTGACGTGTGAACTATGCTTTAAATTCTTTTAAGAAAATCTCTACATTTGTGTTCCTTTTATGTTTGTACATATTGAAAGAATATATCAAATAACTCTATAAACTGTTGAACATGTCTAATAAATACCCTTTGATGACTAAAAGTATTTGAATCAATTCAAAATATCAACATGTTTATGTTACTATAAAGCTGGTATAGCATTAAAACATTGGTTTATATTTCTCATCTTATAATTTCAGAGTGAAAGGAAAAGGCTATTTTTTACAATCTGAAACAATGATAGTAAAATAAGGCATGAGTTATAGACATTATGAACAATGCCTGAACTGCTCACTTATGATTGTTTTTCATTTCTCAATTGAACACAGCTACAGAGTTTTCCAGTTGCCATTATAATGGCTGTATTCATTCTAGCTTGGGAATAGTGGTTTCAGATTAATTATATTCAAATTGAAATACAGAGATGTGGCTCAGAAAAATTGCTTTGGGTTTTGGTGGGCAGATAGTGATTAAATGAATGAGAAAGAAGGCAAATACCAAGGAGATGTTTTATGTATGCTCAACAACATGAAAATACTTACCATTGTACCCTAATGTATATAATGGGAGCTTAGTGAATACTTGTTAAATTATTTACTGAATGAATAAAACTTACGAATTGGTATGCAAAATGACAAGAACTATAGAAATATAAGTAAGTGATGGGTTATGTTAAGTTAGGACCCTAAACTTTGGTTTTGATCTTGGTTCTGGGATTCAGCCCTTATGCCGGAGAGCGGTATTTACTTTTAAGGTGTAACATTTCTGAAGTTTCAACTGAATGCCCAAGGTGCTCAGCAAGGCTTGGTCCCTCCAGATGAGCCAGAAATCACCTTTCCTAGCACTGCACAATATCGAGTGTCTTCACTCAGCAGTCTGCCCCCAGGAGCCACACTATGCTAAACCTGTGGAGACCTGCCTTGTGTGTGTCAAATCATCTGTTGGCAGAGAACCTGAGAGGGAATCCCATGAAAACTTTTGGGGGCTCCCATTCTGGGTAGTTTCCCCCTTACTGATATCTTGACCCAGAAATCCCAGCTGTCTCATCATCCCAGACTCCAATCTCTGTTTCTTTTACCAGAATGGATCACTGTTCTCCATCTGGGGTCTACGCCCCTGCACTGCAGTCTGGAAAGTTCCTTCAAGCAGAAACCTGGGTTGGATATATGGTTCATTATATGTTTTTCTTTCTTTCAAGGATCATAGCCTTGCCTTTCTGTTGCCCAATTTTTTTTTAAGTGTTGTCTTGCATATTTTATTCCATTTTAAGATAGTATTCTGTGGCAAGGTGGGCAAGTCCAATAAAAGTTACTCCATTTCTGGAAGTGGAAGTTGAAACATATATGTTGTTGGATGTTATTTCTAACATTGTGAGTCACTACAACTCTCATTTACATAAAATCTCAGTGAGGATTTATCTAAAAAACGGATGTCCAATCTTTTGGCTTCCCTGGGCCACATTGGAAGAAAAATTGTCTTCGGCCACACATAAAATAACACTAATGATAGCTGATGAGCTAAAAAAAAAAATGCAAACAAGTCTCATGATGTTTTAAGAAAATTTAGGAATTTGTGTTGAGCAACATTCAAAGCCTTCCTCCACATTGATCCAAAGGATCTGTTCCCCTTTTTTGACTAAAACCTTATTCTCATTACCTTTAAAAATTACAGCAAATTTTATTTCACTACATCTTGGTAAGTGGCTGAGTGCTGTTTGATGTGCATATCTCTTCTCTGTTCCAGTTCATTCAAGTTGATCTTTCCTTGTTTATTTGAAATGATAACTGAGTATGGCCTTTGAGCATAAAAATAGCAAGGACAAGGCATAAAAATAAATGCAAATGAAAGAAAATAAAGCTCTCATGAGAGACTTGATTCTACAAAAACAAAATTACATAAACTCCACATAACATGTAAGAGAATACACAGTTGAAATAAAATAGTTCAAAGAGAATTCTGTTTTTTTCTTGAATCAACTTTCAGTCTGACATATTTATAATGCCTGCAAAAGGCAGCAGCGGGTATTAGAATGGTAAATTAAATTAAATGTTGTGTTCTAGTGCGGGTATTTTATTTATGTATTTGTTCATTCATTCATTCATTCACACATTCAGTTTAAAAATAAACTCACTTAGCATGGCAGGTGTAGACTAAGTATCAATTCAGAAATTGCAAGTTTATTTCAGATTTTAGGAAAGGAGATCCAACATTAAGACTAATAAAACTGAAATGACCTTCTGCAAAATGTAGCACTTTTTTTTTTGTAATGAGTTGTTTCTACCCAGGGATTAATATTTTTTGAATAAAAAATAAAGTTACCAGAGTGCCTTTATTAGTGCATATATCTTAGTCTGGTTCCCAGAATTGGAAATGGATTGGAGTTCATTTATCCATACTTGCATTTCAAGGAATCTTGATGAATTTAAGGATTTACCCTAGGGTCGTAGAACACAAAGCTTACTTGCTCACAGTGTAATAAATACATTGCCCTGAACCCAATAATTCAATGTAATTAGAAACATAAAATAACCAACTAAAGTAACTAGCCACAGAGAAAGACACTATAACACCTGTTTTCTGCTTACATGAAGAAGCATGATAATAGAATCTGAAACCTTCCAAGGAGTCAAAGCCATGGATGGTCAGATATTTTAGTGGTCATCAAGTCACGGTATCTCAGGCTCAGGAAAGATGCTTACATAGCTCATATTTTAACTAAATGCCACTTCTTTGCTAGATGGACCCCATGACATAAATCAATGTCCCCATTGACAGTGAATTTATTATCACCTAACAGTTAATTGTAGCTTTTGAAAATTTAGATTGAAAAGAGTGTTTTTAATAAGCTACACATTTTAGGAGGAAAAACATAGATTTGCAGTTCAGAAATTACTGAATTTAATGTAAATTTTACATCCCAGTTTTTTCCTCTGTCAAATGGACTTAATGATGTGTGCCTCTTAATACTTTCGCATTATTTTTCAAAATATTAAAAATGAGAAAGTTGTATTGCTTCTTCAAACATGAGATAAATACTATTGTTACCTTAAGTAAATAGTGAAGAAATTGAAACTTAAGAGAAGTTAGAAGAATTTCTCATTGTCCCATAGGTGGTGAGCAGTAGACCTGGTAGTCAAACCCAGGATCTCATCCCTTACTCTTCATTACTGCTTAAAAGGTGCTTGCGGTGTTCACAGGGGAAGTTCTCTACATGGACTAAGTCCTATTGTTATTTCTTCCTTGAAAGAAACCTGGCCTCTGTCCTACTAAGACACATTCACACATGGCTGATTTCAGCATTTTCTCTCTTAGGCTAAGGTTAACTAAAGGTTTATGCCCCAAATTGCTATAGAGCATAGTGGTTAGTTATTGTACTCTGGCAGCAAATACCCCAGTTCAAGTCCACGATCTACCGCTCATTGAGTGTGCCACCATTAGAAAGCTATTTAGCCTCCCTTTCTCATGGTTTAAAATGGGGACTGATGATAGTATTAAATACACAGGGTGGTTATATGAATTAAATCTGATAATTGGATTAACATCAAATTTAATTATTAAATCATTAAATGTGATTGGAACTGAATAGGTATTTTATGAATACTAGTCATTCTTATTATTACTTTTTATCACTAAGCACAAAACAGGGGAGGTTTTTGTGATGTACTGCCCAAATGGCAAAACAGAAAGAAGGCCTGTTTATCTGGTTTTGTTCTTTATAATGAATACATCTTTACGGCGCTCTGCCTCCCTGCAACATTATATAACCATGATATCAATTTGCTTAGTACCAAGAAGGTACAAGCCTCTAAGGATGCAGTTCACAAAAAGGTACATTTTTGTTCACAAATATCTCTGGGATAAAGCTCCTTTGATTGATATGTGTTATTTCTTGACTTCTCAGACTTAAATTAGCAGAGCTGAGAAACTTTCAGGTAAAACTATGATTAATATGTAAGAATCTCCAATATACACTCACTTTTTGGGGTTATTTGACAGATTCATGACTCTCTGGGCTAATCATATTCCTTGGAAAGTGCATTTTTTGACTGTTACTTAAGACATCAACAATGTCATACTATAAATGACTACTATGGTAATTTTAGCACATAGTAATTCATTAGCCACATTCGTTTTTAATATACTATATTCATCTTTTCATGTTCATCCAGAAGGACTCACAATTTCTGATTACAGTCTGGAACACATGTCTCTAATAACAGCTCTTGCTTTGCCAATTTTTAAAATATAAAGATTCAAGGGTTGTGGAGTAGGTTAGATATTCTACGATTAAACTGATGAGATCAGGCAAGCCTGACTGCTTTGTTTTCTAGAAGTCAAACAGACTGCAAATTTACAGGATATAAGTAGTTCAGTTAGACAGTGAGGCACCACTGGGGAGACAAATGCTTATTAAGTTCATGGATTAATGCAGAAATAGTGTGTGGAACACTGCTTCAAGAGCTGAGGCTTTAAGCAGCACAATTTGGACATCGCAGTTGTGGTTGTTGTGACAAGCTGTTGGCTGACACAAATGGAGCCAGTTCTAGGGCAGTTAATAAAAACTCTACCAATTAATTTTGGTTTTGTTTGCTTGTTGGTAGTTTGTTGTATATACATTTTTCTTAATGCTCTTGTTTTATCAATTCTTTCAGAGTGTTTAGGATCTGGATAATTTTTAAAAATTATTTAAGCAGGATTCTAACAATATTATGGCTAATGTTACCTTTTCCCCTAATTCTTAGATTACTGACATAAAACAACTTTCTTTTGTGTGTCTAAGTTAGCTTTAATAAACAGAGACACAGAAAAATTTATTTTTCTAGCAGACCTTTTTCTTCCTTTCTCCCTTCCTCCTGACTTCCTTTCACTTAGTAGTTTTTCTAGCATTTTTCTGCTAATTTTAAAAATTTTGATCTTGATTTTTAATCTCTATTCCCATGTCTTTCTGTATGTGAATTTTAAAGGAAAATAGATATAGACCCTTATATGAGTCTTAGTTTTGTCAAATGTTTGCTTACCAATGGCCCCTGATACCAAGATAAAGCACATTTCGATGGAAGAGAAATGGATCTGATAACTAAAGAGAGTTGGTTCTCTATGTTACTCTCATATGAGAGACTAGTGTTATAGGTTGAATTCCTCCAAAATTCACAGGTTAAAGTCCTAACTCCCAGGACTTCACATGTGACTATATTTGGAGAAAGGGGGCATTTTAAGAGATTATTAAGTTTAAAATGAGATCCTTATGGTGAACCTTAACCAATATGACTGGTGTCTTTATAAGAAGCATAGAGTAAAACACACATATTCAAAGGGAAGACCATGTGAATTCAGAGGAAGAAGATGGCTATCTACAGCCAAGGAGAGAGGCTTCCAGAAGAAATCAATCCTGCCAATACCTGGAGCTTAGAGTTATAGCCTTCAGAATTATGAAAAAATAAATTTCTGTTGTCCAAGCCCTCCAATCTGTGGTACTTTGTTATGGTAGCCCTACCAAATGAATACAATTGGTTTAATATATATCACTATTTCTTCATGAGACTCAGGGGTGCAAGTGTAAAATGTAAGTGCAAAATGACATTATTCTGTTTTTCATTCAGTCAGTAGTTACCAAGAAGCATCTTACCACACCGACCAAGACAGGAAACCAGAGATCCCTACCTTCATGGAGCTTACTGAAATGTTATGTGCAAAAATGTTTTGTAAGTAAAATTGTTAAATGCGTTTTTTGTATTATTGAAAGCATTTTTATTTTCAAAGTCAGAAATGGAAAGGGCTGCATTAGTAGGAAGGTTGAATTGGAAAACTAAATATTATTACATGTATTGATCTCCATAGTAATCATTAACATTTATTGAACACTATGTGCTAGGCACTTTTTGTTTGTTTGTTTGTTTGAGACAGAGCCTTGCTCTGTTACCAGGCTGGAGTGCAGTGGTAGGATCTCAGTTCATTGCAACCTCCACCTCCCGGGTTCAAGCTATTCTCCTGCCTCAGCCTGCCAAGTAGATGGGACTACAGGTGCCCACCTCCACACCCAGCTAATTTTTGTATTTTTAGTAGAGACGGCGTTTCACCATGTTGGCCAGGATGGTCTCGATGTCTTGACCTCGTGATCCCCCCACCTTGGCCTCCTAAAGTGCTGGGATTACAGACACGAGCCACCGTGGCCAGGCACTATTTTAAGAGTTTTGTTAGCAATAGCTTATTTTATTTTCATAACAACACAGATGAATTCTCATAGTTTGCTCATTTTACAGATAAGAGAATTAGAACCCAGGGAATTCATGTGACTGGTTTAAGATCACACAGCTAGAAATAACAGCTAGTTATAAATCAATATGCAGAATTTGAAAACAAAAGCCCAACATAATAAAGCTACCAAGGAACAAGGAATTGTTAGAAATAACAGTTGGGAATATTTGACTGAAGGAAGTGTTTGAGTCTTTCAGTGAGCCAGTCTATAACGTGGGACTCGTGGGCAGCATACTCTAAATACTGAAAAATGGCAAATGAAAAGAATATGAATAAAGAGGAAAAGGATGAGACATGTTTTGTCTGCTGATAATTTTAAAAATATATCTGCATAAAAAGCTGAGAAGTGAAGCAACAATGGAAAGATTGCAATATGTTCATCAATGGAAGATTTAGCACAATGGTACATGCCCCAAGAAAACCCTGTTATTGGGATATTTTTTATTTTATTTTATTTTTTGGTGATGGAGTTTCGCTCTTGTTGCCCAGGCTGGAGTACAATGGCATGATCTCGGTTCACTGCAACCTCCACCTCCCGGGTTCAAGTGATTCTCCTGCCATAGCCTCCTGAGTAGCTGGGATTACAGGCATGCGCCATCACACTCGGCTAATTGTGTATTTTTAGTAGAGATGGGGTTTCTCCGTGTTGGTCAGACTGGTCTCGAACTCCTGACCTCAGGTGATCTGAAAGCCTTGGACTCCCAAATTACTGGGATTACAGGCATGAGTCACCATGCCCAGGCCAGTCTTTTTTAATATCACGTGACAGAGAAGAAGGAGAAAAAGCATCTAATGGTGGTTTACCATTTTACCTTGTCTAGAGAACTGCTTTATAGAAATGGTTACTTTCTGGTCCTTACAAACTATTAACTGACAAATAAAAGAATATCATATTTTAACACAGATTAAGTGGAAGATTTATACTTAGTATCTATAAGTAAAATGATATTAAAGACTTCTACTAAGAATGATTTTTAGAGTACATCTGTGTGTTTCCTGCTTAAAAAACAAAACAACTATCACCAACAACATTAAAAGACAGTTATTGGTTGATTTTTAGTATGTAACAAAGCTGTCAGTCCATTTTCCTTTAGACCAATTTTTTTCCCCTCATTAAACCAAATAACTTGTTTATATCTTTAGAAAGCTATCAAGCTAAGGTGCCCTAAATTATTTTAATTTTTTAAGTAATTGTAGGTGATACCACTATTCAAGAAATTCATATCTTGCAAAATGAAAACAATGATATGAGAAGCAAGGTACACATTTTTCCATCTGCAGAAATGGTAACTTTCCTATGTGGATGATTTGTTATTGCTTTGTAGGAAGCCAAATTCACCCACATCTATCAAACAAATACAGTGGTTTATACAACTTTTAAAAGCTGTGAAAGCCTGAGTTTTAAAAATCAAACATATTTTTGAACAGAAATAATCCAACTAAGTGAAACAGGTAAGAGCACAATGAGAATGGAGTCATTGCATGTTGGGCGGAAGTCAGGAACAAGTTTGGGAGGTATTGTTGAACAGTTGAGGACAATCCAGTGAGTAGAATATGGTTGTTCCACTGCTTTGGCTGGCATACAATTTTTTCCAGAGTTCATAAGGTAGCTGTGTTAGAAAGACATTAAGTACTATTGTTGGGCCTCCATGTCCACAGGTTCCATGTTCATGGACTCAATCATGGATCAAAAATATTCAAAAACAAAAGCAATAAAATATAGCAATTTGACAGTAAAAGACCAGCCTGGACAATATGTCAAAACCATGTCTCTACAAAAAATACAAAAATTAGCTGGGAATGGTGGAGTGTGCCTGTAGTCCCAGGTACTTGGGAGGCCGAGGTGAGAGGATTGCTTGAGCCTGGAAGGTTGAGTCTGCTGTGAACTGTAGTCACTCTACTGCACTCCTAGCCTGGGTGGCAGAGCGAGACCTGTCTCAAAAAAGAGAAAAAAACAATACAATATAACAATTATTTACACAGCATTTACATTGTATTAAATATTATAAGTAATCTAGAGACGATTTAAAGTGTATGAAAGGATGTATGTGGGTTATATGCAATTGCTACGTCATTTTATATCAGAGACTTGTGTATCTGCAAATTTTTGTATCTGACAGGGTTCCTGGAACAAATTCTCCATGGATCATCAATAATGATGGTTTTGTAGACTACAATTTGACTTTGTTTAGCATGTCTATGGTCAGATGACCTTACTTACCTTGATGAGGCCACTACATTTTGTTCAGTTTTCATAAAAATGCTACTGTACTCAACTGCATTATTGATTCTACTTGTTTCTTGCTGTGGTTATAAAATGGTTGTGTTTCCTGCTTCCACTGATTTCAGGCTTGTCTGGGTGACTTGCTTCAGCTGATAAAATGAAAATGGGGGTGAAACATGCCTCTTCTCAGCAGCAGCTTAAGAGCACTCATGTGATTTTATTGTAGCCTTTGATTCAAGAATGGTATATCCTGGTGGAGGTTGCTCTGTAAGCCTGGGCCCAGAAGTGACTAAATATGAAGCAGAGGCAAGACCAAACCATACTGGATATGAAATGTGAATTTAAAACAAATTATTGTTTCATGATGCTGATAATTATTTGTTACTGCAGCACAATCTAGCTTAAGCTGATTGATGCAACAACCTAAATGAAGTTTCTTATTTGGCCAAAAAACAGTTCAAGTACTAAAATGAGTCACATCAGCTAAAGTCTGGCATCTCCTCTGTACTTCTCTTTCTCCCTTTTCACTTTTCCTCCCTATTTCTTTTTATCAATAGCTCTGTAGTGATAACCATTGTGTTAGTATGTTTATAGTCTTTGAGTATATCTAACAGAGTGAGTTCTTCATACAACCAAAAAAGTCATAAAATCATGATTAGAGATCATCCAATCCATGCTTTAAATTTCACACAGGTTGGAAACTGAAGCCTGAAGACACATATTGGCTTGTCTGGGTTCATGCAGCCAGTGAGTGACAAAGTGAACTATAATAGAAAGCTATTATCAAGGTTCCTGGTTCAGAGCAATTTCCATTAGAGACTTCAGTCTCTTCAAGGAATTTCAGGGTGCTGCAATGAGCTCTGACACAATATTTTTGTCTTTTAAACATTTGGAAAATGACTCATATATGTATAACAGACACAGTAGGAAAACAGGCATGAAGCATTTAGGGAACAAAATTATAACTTCTTAGTCTGTTTCCAAGAACCGAGAGGAGGCACAGGAAAGACAGGAAATCAAGCAATATTGGCTACCTACTCTTGCTGGGTTAAGCAGTAGAGTCTCATCAAAACAAACTTTGTGGATCCCATGAGCATATGAATCTCCTGAATCCAAGTTATTTCTCTACCACAAAAGGCAAAGCGGCAGTACAAACGCACAAGAAAGGGCCATCCACTGGCTTCACTTCACTTGGGAAAAGTAAGCTTCTTCCTCTGATTGTTAAAATACATGGATTGGCACCTTTTTGTTTTTTGTTTCCCAAACCTTCTCCACTCCCTCATTCCTCATAAAATGACATGGAGCTGCCTTTAAATTTTGTGCTTTATTCCAGAGAATCAAAATATGAAAATCACCATGACAGGTTTATTAAGAGTCCATGGTCATGACTCCCAAGCTATGTCAGTAAAGGGCATTGCTCCGGCTCATTCCTTGTCCTGTGGCCTTGCCTTTCGAGGTCCCATCTGAAGGTAAAAATAGAAATTAATGTATTTTGCAGAGGCTGCTCAGTCATCAACCTTCTGATTCTCTTCAAGGACCCTGGCTCCTGCTGTCTCCTTCTTCAGTCTATGACTTGTGAGGAAGTGTGCTCAAATTTTACAAGCAACAGACTGAGTTTTATTACTCAAATGAAGAATCCATTTTATTGAAGTCCAGTATAAGATGAGGTCAGGCAGGCAAAAATATTTCTAACTTAGCAAGAGCTTAAACTCAATAGACTTTAATATTTAGGAATGTTATGAAGTGTGTGCTTTCCCTCTGTAAAGTATTATTCCAGACATGCAATTTAACACACCCCAAACTGTTAATAACCCCACCTGCCTACAGTGATACACACACCCTTCTCATTCTGGTATTTTGGAATATCCACAGTATGGTATGTCTAACTTCTACATACCCCTACTTTTTCAGGCTACAACCAACATGTCATTCTCCATGCCTTCTACTCCCAAAACCTCGAGATTTGCAGTTTCTGTCTTTCAAGGAGTTAATAAATTAATTTCTTTTTCTTTATACTCCTTGCGTGACACACATATCACTTTAATTTGTCCACTAGATTTGGGAAATAATCTTCTAACCATACCAAACTTGCCCCCTTCCAATATATCCCCAATCCATAGATGCATCTTTTGAAAATGTCACTCCCTTCATGCCAGCCTTCTGGATGAACCATCAATCTTCCCCTAGACATTAGGGTAGAATCCTAAAAGTGGTCTCTAAGACTGACTTCATGTATCTCCTTCCAAATGCACAACTTCATTTTCTTTCTTTCTTCTAAGTTCCAGTAACACAGAATTTCTCTTAGATCTTCAAATAGGCTGTGTTTACTCCCACCCCAGGGCTTCCATACATTATTTCCTTTGGCTGGAATGCTCCTTCCATCAACCTTCCCTTATTTGTTCTTCAAGTCTCAATTTCCTCTAGATATCTCTGGCCAAATGCTACTCCCCATGGAAACGTGCACTTTTTCACAGCACTTACTACATATATAAGTATTTGTTTAATAGTGTGGAAAGGGAGATATCCATCTTGTTCATGGAAGTGTCTTCTGCAGCTAACAGAATGTCTAGAATACAATAGCTACTTAAAAGTATATTTGGTGTCTGACTATTCTCTAAAATTGTCACCCTCCTCTTCAGATTTTATTATAATTACACCAGTTTGGGAAACCTTTGCAAAAAAGATGATTTGGCGAGAAAGTCAGGGAGAGTCAGGAAATTCATAGCGATAAGGACATGGAAGAAGAGCATAACAATGTCTAATGAAAGATGTACTTATAATAAGTAACCCTTCATGAAAGAGGAGAAAATTCAAAAAGGGATGTTGACCAAAATAGTGGAGGTGAGAGAAGGGATCTAAAGAACAAGAAAATCCCTTTAGCAGACAGAGAAGTGATTTTAGTGGCTCTTGCTTTCTATGGGAAATTTGAGCAATACCCAGAAAATAGCCTACAAAAAAACTCAGTGTTCCACGCCACTAAATAGAGGTTCCGGGGGTTTATGTCTCTGTTATTTCCCTACATCCCAGACAGGAAAAAACACAGTCAGAGAAGCACAGGCTGCTCTACAGTTCATCAGGCATAAAATGCCTGACAGCTCTCTTGAGATCACCATATCAACAAGCAAAGCAACCTAGCTTGTCAGATATTATCATTCCTAGCTTGGTCAGCACTGTGCATATCTGGCCCTGCATTGTTACACGAGGTGCTGTACAGCTAGACCAGATGATTTAAGTTCCCACCATGTTTTACTAAGATCACTATGTTTTAACTTTGTGATCTCATGCATTTCATTAGAGGTTATTCCTCTATACTGCATTGAAAGATAGAAAATCCCATGATCTAAAATATGCACACAGAAATTTAATAGCTGCCAAAATTTATCTTACACTATAGGATACTCCTTTGTGTGTGAAGAGAAAGCAGACATAAATGGGAATAAACATTTACCAGGTGCATAAAATGTAGCTGGCACTGTGCTAAACATGTTCATATTTACAGGGAAAGCACCAAACACCTCTTTTGTCCAAAGCCAATGACATATGTTTAACTAGGTTTTGTTTCTACTTTTAACAATAGACAACAACTCAACACTGGATACCTAAAACAATCTTGGAAAAGAAGAGCAAAGTTGGAGGACTCACACTTCCCAATTTTAAAATGTACTACAAAGCAACAGTAATTAAGGCAGTATGGAACTGGCATAAAATTAGACAGGTAGATACATGGCAATTATAATACATTTATAAGGTTTTTAATGCAGACAACAGTGTCCCATTTTGGGAAAAAAAATGCCACAAATGTAAGAGCTTATTGATGGGAGGAATTATAAAGTCACATTGGAAAGGCCCTGACGAGAGGGTAAAGACTTGTGGGCATTTCTTGATCTTCAATATACAATTACTCTACCTTTTGCCACAACTAGTCATATCACTTCCACTTGCAAAATCCTCTCATCCCCTCCCAAGATCCCCAAAGTTTTATCCAATTGTGGCATGAAGCTTGAAATTGCTGCATAAAGCTTGAAATTTTATATCAGGTCCTGATATGGTTCCTCTTGATGCAGATATTAAAGGACCAAAAAGACAAGTTATGGGTCCCACATTCTCCTAACATACAAAGGTAGAAAAGAAGCATGATAGCTATAACAAATACTCTCATGTGGAAAAGAATGAATGAAACAGTAGTCAGAAACCAACAGCATTCTGAAATCCTACTGAGCAAATATTGCCAAATTTCCTACTCTGGGAGTGGGAAATAGTCCTTGATTAAGTGCTATTTTTTGTTTTATAATCTGGATGTTCTAAAGTTAATTGTTCTCTATGGATTTTTATTTTACCTGTGTGTTCTTTCTTGACTTTGCCAGTTGAAACTACAGTTGACCCTTGAACAACATGAGTCTGAACTTCATAGGTCTACTTATAAGTGGATATTTTTTTCAATAACTATATTAGAAAAAGCTTTGAACATTTGTGATAATTTGAAAAAAACTCAGATGAATGATACAGTCTGGAAATATAAAAGAATAAGAAAAATATGGGTATGTCATGAATGCGTAAAATATATATAGATACTTGTTTATTTTATAATTTACTCATCATAAAGTATACACAAATCAATTGCAAAAAGTTAAAATTTATTGAAACTGCTGACACAAACACTAACTGTACATGGTGCCATTTGCAGTGGACAGAAATGTAAATGAATGTAAAGATGTAGTATTAAATCATAACTATGTTACTGACTGTGGTACATACTGTATGAGTGTGATTTTTTTTAGCCACCTCCAGTTGCTATTATGGTGAGCTCACGTGTAGTGAGTATCCACTTAAAATCCACCTTGTGACATTAATCATCTCCACAGGAGCAAGTTGTCTCTCCAATAAATTGTGTATTGCAGTAAAAAATGATCTCAAAGTTCTCACAAATTTTTCATCCTGCTTAGTGCAATACCATAAGCCCTGATTAACACCATGGGAGTACACAAAGTTATCAGGGGAACCATTCCCCAATATTTCAACGTAGGTTCTTTCTATTTTCCCTAAGTGTTGGCTGGTCTGAGAAATAAAGAGAAAGAGTTCAAAGAGGAATTTTACAGCTGGGCCTCCGGGAGTAACATCACATATCGGTATGTCTGTGATGTTCTCTGAGCTGCAAAACCAGCAAGTTTTTATTAGGGATTTTAAAAGGGGAGGGGGTATATGAACAGGGAGTAGGTCACAAAGACCACATGCTTCAAAGGGCAATAAAGATCACAAGGCAAAGAGCAAAATTAGAATTGCTGATGAGGGTCTATGTCCCGCTGTGCACATATTGTCTTGATAAACATCTCAACAGGAAACAGGGTTCGAGAGCAGAGAACCAGCCTGACCAAATTTTACCAGGCTGGAATTTCCCAATCCTAGTAAGCCTGAGGGTACTGCAGGTGACCAGGGCGTATTTCAGTCCTTATCTCAACTGCATAAGACAGACACTTCCAGTGTGGCCATTTATAGACCTCCCCCCAGGAATGCAATCCTTCCCCAGGGTATTCCTTGCTGGGAAAAGAATTCAGTGATATCTCTCTTATTTGCACATCCATTTATAGGCTGTCTGCAAGAAGAAAAATATGGCTCTATTCTGCCCGACCCCGCAGGCAGTCAGAGCTTATGGTTATCTTCCCTCGTTCCCTGAAAATTGCTGTTATTCTGTTCTTTTTCAAGGTGCACTGATTTCATATTGTTCAAACACATGTGTTTTACAATCAATTTGTACAATAGTGGTCCTGAGGTGATGTACATCCTCAGCTTATGAAGATAATGGGATTAAGAGATTAAAGTAAAGACAGGCATAAGAAATTATAAGAGTATTATAGGGAACTGATAAACGTCCATGAAATCTTCACAATTTATGTTCTTCTGCAGCAGTTCCAGCTGGTCTCTCCATTCAGGGTCCCTGACTTCCTGCAACACAAAGTGCCACTAGTGATGTGGCAAGAGCTCCGAAGAACCAGAGAAAAGTCATGATACTACAAGAAAAAGCTGAATTGCTCAATGTAAACTGTATATTGGGGTCCGTGGCTGTGGTTGCCTGCCATTTCAAGATAAATGAATCCAGGGTAAGGGCTATTGTAAAAAAAGAAAAGGAAATTTGTGAAGCCCTCACTGCAACTATACCAGCAGGCATGAAAATCTTGTACTTTTTTCAAAATACCCTGTAATCTTGTATTGAAAATGTAGCTTTTATGTGGGTGCAGGATTGTATGAGAAAGGCAATCCCTATAAGAATCTAATATGATTTGAAGAAAAAGCCATTGTAAGACAACTTAAAGCAGAAGGAGGGCGAAGGATCTAAAGCTCGATAATTTAATGCCAGCAAAGGATAGTTTGATGATTTTAGAAAGAGGGCTGGCTTTAAAAATACTAAGATAACAGGAAAAGCACCTTCTGCTGACCAGGAGGCAGCAGACAAGTTTCCAGGTGCCATTGAGAGAATCATTGAGGAGAAAGGATATCTGCCTAAACTGGTTTTTAATGTAGACAACAGTGCCTCATTTTTGGAAAAAAAAAAAAAAAAGCCACAAAGACTATGTATTAGTTAGAAAGAGAAGCAAGCACCAAGATTTAAGATAGAAAAGGTAGGCTTACCCAAGATTTTTGTGCAAATACTGTGGAGTTTATGATTAGGACTGCCATAATCTATAAAGCTGCTAACTCTCAAACCTGGAAGAGAAAAGATGAACACCAGCTGCCAGTCTTTTAGTTGCACAACAAGGAGGCCTGAATAAGAAGGTTTTTTTTTCTGGAGTTGTTCAATCTATATTTTTCCCTGAAGTCAGAATGCACTTTGCCAGTAAGATACTGCCTTTTAAAGTACTTTTGATATTGAACAATATCCCTAACCAACCAGAACTCCATGAATTCTATGCCAAAGGTGTTGAAGTGGTCTACTTGCTCTTAAACTCAATATCTCTAATTCAGGCTCTAGATCAGAGCATCATAAGGACCTTTATGGCTCACTACACATAGTACTCTATGAAAAGGATTATCAATTCTATGGAAAAGAACCCCAATAGAGAGAACATCATGAAAGTCTGAAAGGGTTACACTATTAAAGATGTCATCATTGTTACAGAAAAAGCCATGAAAGCCACCAACCCCGAAACAATAAATTCCTGCTGGAGAAAAGTATCCAGACATTGTTCATGACTTCACAAGATTTATAACAGAGCCAATTAAGAAAATCATGAAAGAGATTGTGAATATGGCAAAAAGAAAAAAAAAGGTGCGAGATGAAGGCTTTCCAGATCTGGGTCCTGGAGAAATTAAAGACCTAATAGACACCACATCAGAGGAATTAACAGAATATGACTCAATGGAATTGAGTGCTTCCCAACCAGTGCCAGATTATGAGGAAAAGGCATAGAAGAAGCAGTGCCACAAAACAAATTGACATTAGACAATTAGATGGAAGGAAGGTTTTGATTATTCAAGACTGCTTTTGACTTTTTTTATGACAAGGCTCCTTCTCTGATAGTGGCACTGATACTAAAGCAAATGGTGGAAGAAGAATTATTACTGTATAGAAATATTTTTAGAGAAATGAAAAAGCAAAAAGACAGAAATTACAATATATTTCCATAAAGTTACACTGAGTGTACCTGCC
This sequence comes from Homo sapiens, assembly GCF_000001405.40. Taxonomy (NCBI): domain Eukaryota; kingdom Metazoa; phylum Chordata; class Mammalia; order Primates; family Hominidae; genus Homo; species Homo sapiens. The sequence continues at coordinate 198,816,178 of NC_000001.11, forward strand.
TCCCCTGCCTCTTTTCCTACCTCCTCCTCTTCTTCCACTTCTGTCACCCTGGGACAGCAAAACCACCCCTTTCTACTTCTCCTTAGCCTACTCAACATGAAGACAATAAGGATGAAGACTTTTATGATGACCCACTTCCACTTAATGAATAGTAAATATAGTTTCTATTCTTTATGATTTTCTTAACGTTTCCTTTTCTCTAGCTTACGGTATTGTAAGAATAGAGTATATAATACATATAACATACAAAAATGTGTTAATCAACTATATATGATATTGGTAATGCTTCTGGTCAAGAGTAGGCCATTAGTAATTACGTTTGTGGAGAGTCAAAAGGGATACATAGATTTTTGACCATGCATATATTGGCATCTCTAACCCCCACAATGTTCAAGTCAACTTTACTTCCATTTCCCCACCTCCTTGGCCACTCTAAAGACAATACTAGAAAACAGGGCCTTTGAGGAAGTTTCTTAGTTCCTTCTTGGCCAAAAAAAGTTGAAAGCCCAGAAGCCTTTTTAATTTTCAAATAGCTTATTTTTAATCTGGCAGCACTACTTCCTATATAACTCCCTTAAACACTTTTTAGGTTTTCTATGAATCTGATTTCATTCAACTCTAATTATAAAAACAACACCTATGATTATGTTAGTGATAAGCTTCTCTACATAGACTTAATTCCAACTACTTATCCAGCCCATGTGCATTTCTCTGATGATCAGTGATGTTGAGCTTTTTTTTTCATATGTTTGTTGGCTATGTACATGTCTTCTTTTAAGAAGTGTTTGTTCATTTCCTTTGCCCACTATTTGATAGGGTTGTATTTTTCTTGTAAATATGTTTAAGTTCCCTGTAATTTCTGGATATTAGACCTTCGTCAGATGGGTAGATTGCAAAAGTTTTCTCCTATTCTCTAGGTTGCCTGTTCACTCTGATGATAGTGTATTTCACTGTGCAGGCCAGATGACACTTTCAATAGTCTACCTGAAGTTCTTCTTAATCAATTTCAAAAGTGAACACAGATTTATTTGCTGTTATATAGCATGTGTCCATTTTACCAGACTTATCATAATTTTCTCACCATTTTTGTTTAGGCTTTGCTAACAATTTGCTTGCCATTTTGTCATCTTCTTTCTGCCACCTAGTTCCAAAAGCCAACACCACATATTTTAGGTGTTATAGTATCACTTTTCCTAGGTCCTAATTTTTGTACAAATTCTTTATTGCTACAGTAACTCCCCCAAAACTTAGTGGCCTAAAGAGCAAGCATTTATTTAATTCGGAATTCTGCTGTTTCTTGGGCTTGTCTGATAACTCACTCATGTGTCTATGGTCAGCAGGCAGACCAATTATGCACTCTTGTCCAGGACAGCCTCACTTATATGTAGGACTTTGGCTATTTTTAACTGGGATGATGAGGGAAACAGGGCTATCTTTCTGTCATTTTCAGTGGATTATCCTTAGCTTTAAAGGCATCTACTAACATTGTCTTAAGATTTATACTAACTATCAGTCTATTTTCTATTTTGAAAAAGAAAGTTCTTAATTGTTTCTTCACAGAAAATGAAAAACATTTACACAATCATTTATTTTCATATCACTTTACTATTTTATAATTGTTTATTTACATTTCTACTGATCAGAGACGGACCCCACATATTTTCAGTTTCAATTTCCTGTCTTAATACTTTTACAGCAGTATCATGGTACCATAATATTGAAATATTCACAGTATGTCTTAATTTATTTTATTATAGCCCTTTCATTATGCCTAGGCAAAATGAATATAATGTCAATTTCTTTCAGTGAATAAAATATCTGCAAATATTCACTTTATTAATGGTTCACAGAAATTTGTAGAAGAAAAAAATAAGGATCTATATTTTGAGATATAATAAACATTGTTTCCACTGGTACCTTCTTTGTAAGTCATGTAAGCATGCCAAACTAACTCAGGTCTAACAAATAGCTGGTCTACACTTCTATTGAGAGTGAAAAGAAGTTGATGAGTTATATAGAAAAAAGGCATGGTTAGAATATTCAGATAATATGTTGCATTTGATACATAATTTGTAAAATGCACATTTAAGATTCACACAGATTGTTATAAATATATTTATTCATATAGGTGAGTTCTAAGAAGAAACTTCAACACATGCTCTCTCCACGCCTAAGCATATTGGGAAATCAGCAAAAGACAGAAAATAAAGATTTGGGCTTCAAAGGCAAGAAAAACAAGTGAGTAAATATTTTGAAATGCTTTCTTAACAAAGAATTAATATAAGGCATGTTTTAGTATCTCATGCTCTTGTAAATTGCTTCAACAAAGAAAACCTGTCAAAGATTCAAACTCTATTACATGGTGAAAATAAATGACTTCTCATTGTCCTATATATAGAAGTATGAAAAATAGAAAGCTTTCCTGAGGATTGCTTGTTGTAGTTGTTGTTGACTAATCAGTGCTTAAAAGCTTGTCAAAATGACACTTTATTTATTTAGATTAGTGTAAAAATGGAGAGAATTAACCTCCTATACAGATCAAGTAGTTAAAAGTCTAAGATAAATAGAAAATTAAAGATTTGCCTGCTAATGTGCATGAATTCTAGTCACAAATAAGTCTGTTTTTCTTGGACAGTAGTGAAGTTTAAATTGTGTATTTCTAAGAATGATTTTATTAAATAATGTCTCCAATTTACTGAAAATTCTTACTGTGCATCTTCTTTTGCAGTAATGGAGAGGCCAGGGCATTTCTAAGACACTTGGACAGTAAGTTACTATTCTGATCCTGCCAGGTCTGCTCAGATGCTACATATGCAAATCAGAACCAGAAGCAAGTTTTCCTTTGGTACCCAGCCAACACCTTAGCTATGCCTTTGCTCCATCCTAGTGCTCCTATATAGGTGGTCATATCAAATATCATTCCTGGTTGGTATTAAGATCTTTGGATCTTAACTGCTATCATTGCATTTCAGTCTTGCTCCGCTTCTTGTGACTGCTATTTTAAAAATTTTCCCAAATGTAGACATAATTAAGTCTTTCTCAGTAGTTCCTCATTTTTCAAACTCCTTAGAAGAGCAGATAAATTCCTTGAGTATATGAATATCCTTCTGTCACCTAATCTGACCTCACACACACATATCTCCTCACATATATCTTCATTTTATGCAAGTCAACTTGACATTCTCCTTCTAACCTTCATGCTTTAACATTTATTGTTTACTTTGATGAGAACGCACTCTTTTCCATGATTGTTCTACTGAATTCAAACTTCAAGATTCAAATCAAATATCAACTCTACATTAGTTTCCTATTGTTGCTGAAACAAATTTCCCCAAATTAGTAGCATAAAACAATGGAAATGTATTATTTTACACTTCTGGAGGTCAGAAGTTGAAAATAGGTCTTCCTAGGCTAAAATCAAGATGTTGGCAGGCCTGCCTTCCTTCCAGAGACTCCAGGGGAGAATCTGTTTCCTAGAGGCCACATTGTCTTATGGAATGGAGAAATTCCTTTCTTCATCTTCAAAACCAGCAGTGTGGCATCTTCAAAGTGCTCTCTGTGACTCTGACCTCCTTATTTCACTTATAAGGACCATTGGGATTGTATTGGGTACACCTAAATTATCCAGGGTAATCTTCCCACTTCAAGGCCCTTAATTACATCTGCAAAGTCCCTTTTGCTATGTAGAGTAAGACAGTCACAGGTTTCTAGAATTAGAATATGGGTATTTTAGGAGAGGGCATTATTCTGCCTACTATAAACCCCTCAAGGAAGTTTTCCCTTACTTCTCCTTATACTGTTGGCTTCATTTCATTTACTTTAATTAGAAAGTTAATGTATTGCACTGGAAAGAGGGACAAAAAACTAACTTGTAATTCCTATTAGGGTGACAACTGATAATGACGAGTGTTTTCCACCTCATAGTGCTTGCATTTTCATTCTTCATCATCAAATACTCCTCTAGCTTTATAATTTGATGCAACTACAACCATATTTCACATATATTGTATATGTAAAATAGGTCATTTGTAAGATCCATTCTAGGGGAAATGATGACAGAGGATCCGATCTGTTGTCATGAATCACAGTGTTTTGTTACTTATTCATGATAAAGTTTAGCAATATTTAAAAGCTTTGGGGGTAGAAGCTATTTGTTGCTAAGGCAAGATTTCAACAGAGACAAGAAAATATCCAGGGCTTACAGTAATAAAATTAAAGAACCTTTTGGAGTTGTCTTATATGCTAGGGAAATGGGATATCCCCCTAGTCAGAGAATGGGTCCTGGAGCAGCACAATGAACAAGAGTTCAACTGAGAGACAGCAGGGCCAGGGCCTGCCAGCAAAGTCTTCAATGCTCACAGCCCCATCACCTGTTGCTCTCAACAAAACTGGGTGTGAATCCAGGTTCCAGGGCTGAGTTTATTAAATACATAGTTTTTCTATCACTTTGGTCTAATAAAAAAAGGTCTTTGGGGTCTTTTCCCTACCTTATCCTATTTAAATCAACAAAACAAGTATTAATTGTCATATTTTAATCTGAATAGTTATCACAGGTCTATGTTTTTAAAGAGTAGAAGACACACGATTTTTAAAGTATTTCTTTTTTTAACGGGAAACCAAGTTTATGAATGTTGCCCACAGATCACAGGACAGAGCCTGGCAGGCAGACAGTCGGAGAACTCCTGCTAAGGCCTGTGTGGTTGAGCTTCCATGCCTCGGTTCACTCCAGCTGCTGCTATGAAATATAGCCCAGACACAGGGCTAAAAGGGAGCCTCAACTTCCTTGAAAATTGCAGATTTCACCATCACCTGTATGCGTATGGTGCTCAGCTAGTGGCTGCTCATGTCTACGACACAGACCTTTTACATGTTCTGTAGATTACGGCAGACCTTTAGCTCTATTACATTTATTTCAGATTAAAGTTTACTGGGTTGTAAAGGGAATTGAGCTGATATAAAACAAAAACAAAAGCAAATTAGGTTTTATGATATTACTTTAATTTTCAGGTCTACGGTGAGATTATTTTTAGTGTAATAAAATTTCGAACAAGTGAAATACTAGTAATTGTGGTTATATATTGCTTATTTTATATATATATATGTGTAATTTCTTAGTTTTCATCAATGAGTCTTTTTTTCCATCACTTCTCAAAGGGCTTGTTTTACCTTGTGTCTTTGTAGAGATAGTGACTACGTGTAGGCAGATGGCCTCACTAAGTCACTGCTTGAGCTCATGTATGGTCACTTTTTCCTGTGGATAGTATTTCACTTAATAATTGGGTATGGCCTTATATAACAGAAATCTCAAATGATAATGACTTTAATAAAATTGAAATTCATTCTGTCATTCTGTCACTAAGTCATTCATTCACTCAGTTTATAATAATACAAAATCAAGATGGACAATTCAAGTCTGGTACAGTAGTAGCTCAAGGGTATCTTGACTATAGACTCTTGTTTCTCTTTATGTTTCCCTCATTTCTGTTGCACCTGCAGTCATGAAGTTGACATTTCAGACAGATAGAAAGAGAAGCAAAGTATACAAGTCGGTTCTCTTCTAAATGTTCCTAGGTAAACCCCACCAAGATTCTTCTGCTTACATCTATTGGTAAGATTATAATGGCATCCGTTAGCTTCAGTGGAAGTAGGGACACTTGTGGATTTTGAGGGGTTTTTTTTGGTTGTGGTTGGTTGTATGTTTGTTTATGTCTTTTAAAGCTGCACACATTGATTAACCCACAACATCTAGGCTCTACAAGAGAATGTAGCAATCTTAAATGAGCTGTCAAAGATGTTATATTCTAAAGTATTTTAATTTTTATTTTGAGACTGAATCATAATGCAGAGATAAAATATGCATGTTCAGTATGTCATTACTTGTAAAAATTTATTACAGAATGTCTTGATAGGCTCAGTTTCTCCTCTTAGTAAGAGAAAATACTTTGAATCATGATTTTGAAGAGAAAATAACTTATCGTTAATTAATAAATGGATTTCTCACTTCTGCAATGGATTCTATGTTTGCTTGAGAAGCTTCTAAAAGACTTTAACATTAAAGTGAAAAAATCACAGTAGTTTTGAAGTGGTTCAGTCTTTCTTGTGTTCTCTTTTCCTATCATTAGGGAAAATGTTTCCTTGGGATGGTCTAAGAGAAGGCACTCCGGATTTATACATGTGTTTGATTACTGAAACTTCACTTTCAATTTCACTTTCTACTTTTGTAAATAAGAATGGTAATATTTAGCTTTTCAACATCATAGTGTTGTTATAAATATAAAGTAGAAAAAATATTAAGAATTTTAAAAGTGCTATATAAATTATAGGAAATTATTGACTTATCAGACTAGTTTATAAAATACTTCTTAGAGACAGGAAGAATATTATATGATAACTTCTCCCAAAATGTTTTATCATGAGAAACCAAAAGTAATGGCATAATTCTACCCTCTAGATAATGTAAACTTGAGGGAAAAATTACCGCATTGCATAGACCATTTATACCTCAGTTCCAATCACATGTCTTGAAATATAGTAATAACCATTGAAAAAGTTTTATCATGTAATTTACCTTCTCAAAGTTTTAAAGGAATGATAATAATTGTAACAATAGTTTTCAGTGAACATCCAGTTCATCCTCACAACGATTCATAAGTGCCATTATCTCCATACTCCATAAGAAGAAACCAAGGCTCAAAAATGTTAAGAAACTTATACAAGGTCACTAAGCTAAAAAGTATTACAGGTGATCTCCTAAGCTTTTGACTCTACAACCTTAACTATTTATCCACAGAATCTCTATGGTTTCCTTTCCTATGACTGGAAAATAAACTTTCATGTTAATCATTGATTGAGAAAGCATTTTAGACATGTTTTGTGTTTCTTTAAAGTTTTAAGAATCTGTACTCGAAATGCTGTGTTCATTCAAATCTCTGGCCTATTTAGCAGGCTAGGGATCTGGCATAATTCAGTTCCAAAGGCGTCTTGGGTATCTTAATCTTTACACCTCTGAGACCACGAGGAACTGCTAAAATAACATATGTGGTGGCTAGTAGGCTTTGAGACTTGAGGAGACAATTTATACAATTCTGTTCTGTTCTCAAAATTCCAAGTTAGAATTCATATCATTACCGAATGCGTGACCTTAGCAGTTCCCTTATGGTTTCTGGGTCCTGCCTTCCTTGTCTATATAATAGAGATAATGGTACCCAACTCACTGTGTTGTCAGGGATTAAATAAGACAAAAACATGTATCAGAGTTCTTTGCATATGGAAAGTAGTTAAGGAGTGTTGGTTCAATTACATCAAACCCCTCTGTGACAATAGGAAAATTCTTACAAGAATATTTGTCAAATTGACTGACTTACGATTATTTCTTTTTACCCAAGGAAGTAAAAATCAACAACAGCAAAAACCACTAATGCACAATAGACAGACACCTGTACAGTGAAATTCTACTTCGAAAATAAATCTCAACATAGTAAATACAACTCAGAATACTTCTCCAGAACATGGGATACAGAGAAATTTAAACAAATCCACTTCAGACATACATTGTACATGAATGTTTATGATTTGATTCTGAAAGGAATTCCCAATCTGAGAAAGAATCACAAATGGTCAGTCTCAACATTTATCACATTTGACACATAGAAAAGCTATTTTAAATACTCTAGGACAAAATTGTTAATCAGCTTTAGGCATCAGCTTAGTAGCTCAAGTGAAGAGAAGAAAGGATTTGCAGCATTCTCAAAAATGCAATAAACAATTTACACTAAGTTATAAGTATCCTGATTTTTCTCTGAAAATAGATTTGTCAGGAAACTTGAAGGAGTGCAAATATTGGGCTTTCAAACATCAACAGACACACATACATGCATATGCACATACACGTGATTATGCACCTCGTAACTGAAAATGACAGCTCTACAATCAAAAAGTAACTTTATATGTGTGTATGGAGTGTTGGACTACCCAGTATTCTCTCTTACTACTCATCCAAATATAATTTTTGTAACACAAAATGAGTTTTCCTAGTATACCTTAGGATCTTAGTGGACAGACTGGGAATCTGAGCCAAACTCAAGACAGGCAAAAGCTTATCATCAAGACCTTTCTATCTCTTGTTCATGACACCTTCTCCTTCTTTCCACAGCACCTGGCTTTATGGATATAAAGGTTCTGGAGTTAGATGGATCTAGACAATTGCTTAACATCTTTGAATATTTATTTAGTTATCTAGAAAATGTGACCAGTAACACTTGCCTCTGAAGATTGTTGGACTGATCTTACAGAATATGTCTCAACTACATGGCACAATGTAGGCATTCAAAAATAGTATATATTATCATTAATGCTGTCACCTGGCTTTCCTGGACTTATAGCTTGGATCTATTTACATAATGCTGAATTTTATCAAAAGACATTGCACATCCACGAAAATATACATAAACATATACACAAATGCTAGGCAATGGGCTTTGTTAGATATCGATGAATCGATGTAAAAATATGACTAAATAATGTTTTCTATCATAAATTAATTTACAATTAGTAAAGGATACAGCAGCTAAACAAATTAATTAATTTAATTGCAAGTAGCTTCATGAACAGGTTCATGCGATGTCTACATCATCAATCATAAGCCCTGTACCAAGGCATATGGTTAGAAAAGGGATAGAAAAGGAGGTGGGATGTCAGAATCCATCAACAGATGTCACGAGAAGAGCCGAGAAGAAGGAGGAGTCAGAGATAACCCTGAGGTTTCTATCCTAAGTGACTGGGAAGGCAGAAGGGTCTAAATAAAGCAATCAGGTGTGGCGGGGGAGTAAATGATTTTACCTTCAGTTATGTCGAGTTAAACGTGATCTTGGACCATGAAGAAATGCCAATGAGCCAACTTCAAATTTCAGTATTGCTTCAAATTATTTGTTTTTCATCTAGTCTTTTAAATATGTAACCACTTTAAATCTCATTACTCTAAATGTCACAGCTGGAATGATTGTGACAGGCAAAGCGTAGCATGTCACCTTTTCTAAATAGTGTTTGTATTTTAGCTGGAGACTTAATGCCATAATGTAATGCTGAAGTTACTCTATTGTCAAAACATAAACCACACACAAATATTGTGAAGTAGGCAAAATGGATAATATAGGAAGTGTGCATGTTACATTAGAGAAGATATTTGCAATAAGGTGAGACTTTGGCTGCTCTTCTAATTATAATACTGAGTTAGCTGCCTCCTCCATATAAGTGGTACTGAGTTATTCTAAATATGCTCTTCAGTGTTTCCCAGTGTAAATATACCTTCTTTGTTAGATAGTTAATGCCGTATTTGGAATTATTTAGATTAAACATTAGCTAGATGTTTTTTCTCAGCCATGTTTTGTCAAGTCCATGATACCATAATGTAGAGAAAACTTGCTGCCTCAAGAAATGTGGCACAAGCTCTCTTCTCAGCAAGGTCTGTACATGTCAAAGACATGAAAAAATGATCAGTCACCCTTTTATAAATCACAGTCCATTGGTTCCCTGGCAGTGTCATCAATTCAAAATGGCTTTTGTGAGTTTTTGGAAGCTCAGAGAGACCAACTGGAGTAGAAGGATGTAGATAAATCAGTGCATGTGTAGCTAAACCCCTAGTAAGTTAGCAAACTGAGACACAGCAATAGCAGTATTAGTCTACATGATAGCTTGAGCATATCTAAAATAAACTGTGGGAGAGAAATTGATCACTATTTCTTTAAAAATTAAGTCCTAACTTCAGACTAACCTCAAATGTACATTTAAATCTACACCTAACCAAATAACAGATCACCTGGAACTATGTCTATGCTACCAAGATTACACTAATCTCATAACAGCATAACATTTTCATTATTTATTAAAGGTTCCAATCACTATTGGTTGGTAGTGGTTTGCTAAACCCCAGTTTAATAAAAATTCTTAATCCTTGTTTGAGACCAACAAAAAACATCAAGCCTCCAACAGTTGTTAGAAGGAGAAAGACAGCCCTTATGCAAAGAGATTCCCTCTTCTGAGCTTAGACTGATGGTTGTAAAGGATCAGCATGGATCAGACACAGCCTCTAGGTGGGAGACCCATCCCATTATCTTTCCCTGTGCATCATTTTCACATAAACTCCGTTAGCTCAAACTTTTTCCTTCCTGTTTCTACACATCTTTTTGAATACTCGCTATTGTACTGTAATAAGCAGGTTCTTTTAGGCATATCAAATACAGCAGAGCAGATATCCACCCTGACCACAACAGCAGAGATTTCTCCGAAAATAATAAAAGCTTTACAACCTCCCTGAAAACTGTGGAGCCCTATAAAGAACCATCAATACCATGAACCACAGGTACATAGTTCCTGGAATTGCTCAAACAATAAATAAAAACATTCGGAAATACCTGAAAGGAGAGGACAGAGAACTCTTTATAATAACTCTATTAGAAAACAAACACATTCAGCTCAAAACAGTTGTCTTTTCATGTTTAAGAATGAAGTAGAGGAAACAAGTTTGAACTTCTTTATAGCTTCCCCAATAATGGAATGTATACAACTTGTCATTTATAGCGAGTGTACTGGTTGTTAGGCAAACATGAAATTGAAACACTCATAGAATGATTTTTGTTACTTTAGAATTAGGCAATTCTACATATGCCTGACACTCGAGGAAAATTATTCAGTTGAATTATCACTCCTGGCTCCCCATAATAATTCTTAAAATGTATAGAACTGGCTTTATATTAGGGGAATCTCTTTAGCTTTTTGGCGCTTCTGAATCATAGAAACATTGTCAACTCTCAAGTGTCCAGCGCTAAAGATCAGTTTGAGCATTATACATACCTTTTTTTTCTCCTCCACATCAACCTTGTCTTTTAGGCTGTTGTTGTTTTTTTCGTTTGATGGGTTGATTGTGCTTTGGTATTTCTAAAACAGGAAAAGTTCCCTTGTCCCCCTCGCAGGGTGTGCACTGGGAGTTGTAGCTCACCTCTTCATTGCCCAGCTGCTCAAACCTCTAGGGGAGCATACAGACCGGCAGGCTGTGGGGCTCTGACCCCACGGCAGTGTCTAGCGGTTTGCAGCTGAAGCTCTAGTGGGCGTGTGTTACAAGTTTGCTCTTTAATTTAGGCATCCGTAGGTGCCTTGTGTTAGCTCAATTAGAACCCCCTGCCTTATTGGAAGGACAGAGGGCTTTCTGTATCCTGAGGTTTCTTGCGTTGGTGTACTGGAAAAATCAGTTCACATGTGGGCTTGGAGAATGAGTGCAAGGTTTTATTGAGTGGAAGTAGCTCTCAGCAGATGGTGAAGCCAGAAGGGAGATGGTTTTCCCCTGGAGTTGAGCCACTCAGCACCAGGGCTCTCCTCCGACTACCCCGGCCGAACTCTGATGGCCTGCCGGTGTGCCAGCGTCGTGTGCTCTTCCACTGGTTTGCTCCCCTCGACGTCCTCTTGACGTCCAGCTGCTTGCATCTTCTTCCGCGGATGTATTCCTCTCGATATCCAGCAGCTTGTGTCCCTGCCCGCTAGGGTCTTGAGGCTTTTATAGGCACAGGGTGAGCGCATGACAGGCCAGGGTGGTCTTGGGAAATGCAGTATTTTGGCAGGAAAACAAAAATACCTGTCTTCCTCTAGTCCCTGGGCACAGGACTAGGGGTGGAGCCCTAGCCAGAGACCATGCCCTCCTCTACCCGGCATTTTCCTTCCCCACTTCTTTATCATTTAAAGGGACCATGCCCTTCCCTTCCCAGCACTTCCCTTCAGTATCATTTCCCCACTCTGGAGAGGTACATCTAACTGTCATTAGAATACGGACGATGACCTGTCTTAGCTGTTTCCTGCTGACAGCGACATGTTGTTTTGGGGGAAATGGCAGTCAGACTCCTCCCAGAGGTCTATCTAAGGGTTTCTAACAAAGGGGAGCCATTGTCTGAGGCTCCGGTTGTCTGACCCTTTGGAATTTGATGGCTTCTAGGCGTAAGAGGAAAAAAACAAGTTTTATAAGGTTAAGTATGTATGGGCTAAATATGTGTATGATACAAAAAAAGAATTTAGTGCCAAAGATTACAGAGACAAGCAGTAAAATATACTAACAACATTGAACCCTGCGCTGTTTCACCCAGGTGAAACACATTAAACCTTGCATGGGAGTGGATAAACTTTTAGAATGAAATAACTGTTCTTGCCATATCTTTAGCAGTTAACAGGTGCACACTGAGAATTCTGGGGTTTGTGAGCTTGCTTGGTGGCCTTTAAAGCTTCTGTCTCTTTACTGTATTTCCTCTCTCATTCCTGGGCCTCCCTGTCTCTATTATAAAAGACTGAGGTGGCTAGTTTAAGGAGGTTCTCTAAACTACTGTCTGGTTCCAGGGCCTGTTTTTGTAGCTTCCTCTTGATGTCAGGAGCTGCCTGGGTAATAAATTTATCCTTTAGGATTAGTTGTCCCTCGACTGAATCAGGAGAGAGAGAGGTATGCTTTACCAGGGCCTCTCTTATCTTCTCCAGGAAGGCAGTGGGGTTTCCATCAAATCTCTGGTCAATCATGGACAACTTAGTGTAATTGAGAGGCTTGGTCCTAGTTCTACATAAGCCTTCCATTATGCACTCCTGAAAGTGTCTCCTCTTCCAGGCTTCCACCTCATCATTAGGATCCCGTCTAGGGTCATCCATTGGTACTGCTTCTCTTCCAGTTGGGATAATATTTGCCTCCTTCCCTGAAGCTATATGTGATACAAAGCTCATCCCTATGTCTCTCTGCTGCTTGCAGAGCAGCCTGTTCTTCAGTATCCACCAGGGTCTGATTCAAAAGTAACAGAACATCTTTCCAGGAGAGTTCAACTATTTGGGTGAAATTCTTGAAAGCCTCTATATATCTATCAGGGTAATCTGAAAACTTGCCAGGATCCCCCTTAATTTGCTTTAAGGAATTGCTGTAGGGAAAAGGGGACCTGGATCTTACCTGGCCCAAATTCACTGGACATCTGTTGGAGCAGCAAGAGTAAGAATGGGGCTTGTTTAGGGCGAGAATTTCTAGGAGGGGGCAAGTGAGAGGCTAAAGCAGAATAGGGAGGTCTGGGTGGACCCAGAGGAGCAGGGCTGGAGGGAGCTGTCTCCTCTGCTGGAAGTGCCTCTGGGACTCATATCTTTAATTCCCTGGACTTTCCCCTTGCAGCCTTCCCTGAGATGGCAAACAGGAGAGCTGGATCAGTCTTACACTGTTGGCAAGGGTCTGAATTGCCTTGCAAGGTATAGAAAGCCTGCATATATGGGGCCTCAGACATATATTCCTGTCCTTACATCTACAGAAACGTTCCAACTGCTGTATGCCATTGAAATGAATGGTTCCTTCCTGGGGCCAACCGAGTCCTTCCTGTAAATCATAATTTGGCTAAACCTTTGTGCAGAGGGCTATGAGGCACTTTTCCTCCAGATTCTGAGGGTCAAAGCAATCCCAATGGTTCAGGATACACTCCAGAAGAGTATAAGCTGGGAGTGGTGAAGAGAACTGGTTGTCCATTCAGAAAGACAGGGAAAAGAGGCATCCTCATTTCCCTTTCTTCTTTCAGCAAAAAACTCAGGGTGAGATGGAGAGAGAAGGTCAGTGCCCTCCCTTGACTTTTCACCTCTTGTCCCTGAGCCCCAGTGACCTTGGCCAGGTGCCGGCCATAGGTACAAATGCAGTGTGTACCCATAAAGCAGGGAAAACCTGGAGAATCAGAATTAACTGCCCTCGCATATGCCTCCCTTTCTCCCTGCTGTTGGCAAACTCTGAGTTCCCTGGGCCTGTTTATGCCATGAATCATGGCCTCCTTCCAGAGGGTGGGGGGTTTAGTTGGCAGGAATTGGTCCTGCCCATTTACATTGTGCCTATTTCCTGGCTTTGGATCCCTCAGACCTGTTTTTTCTTTCCAGGGCCTCAGCCTGAAGCTTGGAATCAAGGTTGGGACTGAAAAGGCATTTTAGAGGCTGTTTCTGTTTAGAGTGTCTCACATGTGCCCTGCTGAATCTGCAGTTCTCAGCCAGCAAGGGTCGCTCTTCTGTTAACTTCCCTACCAGAAACAGAGTTGGGAGAGGGAGCCCTCTCACTTAGAAAAGGAAAAAAGAGAAAAACAGTTTAAGGGGCTAAAAGGGAGAGATGCTAGGAGAAGAACCCCTTGCATAGTGCAAGTGGGTCCCTCTAATCCTTATAACTTTCCCATCCTTGCCTTAGGTCAGACCAGGTTAAATTCCTTGGCCAGGGGAGGAAAGGTTTGGTTGGCATGGTGGGCAAGAAGCACCCAGTAGGGTCCCAGCTACCACTGGTTTTCTCCGGCTTCCACCCGCCCGTGGCTGTTGGACTTGGCCTTTGCCTGCTGCAGGCACAGTCACACGCCTGAGCTGGGAGGGGAAAGGTGCGCTGAGCCATGAATGCCTGTGGCTGACAAGGTGGAGGCATACGTGGCAACTGTAAGAAAAATTGGTCTGATTTGCACATTTGTTGGCTGAGCCAAATGCTCATTTTACTTAGTAACATTGCCACAGCCTGTAGCAAAACTCTTAACATTATAAATGAAGAGATAAGAGCCATTTCAAACTGTGTGAGAGAGAGAAAAGACATGAAAGGAAAACACAGCCTCTTACCCACAGGAAAGAGAGAGAGGTGGCAGGGTTTTGGAAGAAAGGCAGACCTGACAGTTTTGCTTTTGTTCACACTGACCTTCCGAGATCCCAGACGAGCCCCTAATTTAAATGGGAAAATTTCTCATGTCCCTCTTGCAGGGTGTGTGATGAGGGTGTGGCTCACTTCTTCAGTGCTCCACTGCCCAAACCTCTAGGGCAGCATACAGATGGGCAGGCTGTGGGGCTCCCACCCCACGGCAGTGTCTAGGGGTGAATGTTTACAGCTGAAGCTCTAGTGGACATGTATTACAGGGTGCTCTTTTAGTTTAGCCATCTGTAGGCAGTTTGTGTTAGTCAGTTCAATTAGACTCCTGCAAGGATAGAGGGCTTTCTGTATCCCAGGGTCCTTGCCTTGGTGTACTGGAAAAATCAGATCACACCTTCAGCTTGGAGAATGAGTGCAAGGTTTTATTGATTGGAATTAGCTCTCAGAAGTTGGGGGAGCCAGAAGGGAGGTAGTTCTCTCCTGGAGTCAAGCCACTCAAAGGCCCAGGCTTTCCTCTGACCACCCCAGCCAAACTTCATTGTTCCACCTTTGATGGCCTGCCAGTGTGCCAGCGTCTGTAGGTGCTGTCTTCCACCAGTGTGTTCCCCTCAATGTCCTCTTAATGTCCAGCCACTTGTGTGTCTGCCTGCTAGGGTTTTGGAGTTTTAATAGGCACAGGATGAGGGTGTGGCAGGCCAGGGTGGTCTTGGGAAATGCAACATTTGATCAGAAAAACAAAAATACCTGTCCTCACATAGGTTCATGGGGACAGGCCTAGCCAGGGACCATGCCCTCCTCTACCCAACACTTCCCTTTCTCTCTTCTGTATCATTTAAAGGGAACACACCTTCCTTCCCAGCACTTCCCTTTGTATCATTTCCAAGAAAAAACTGGAAAGAGGTGTGAAAGCAAACAAAACACAAAGGATAGCTGATTTTTTTTTTTTTTTTTAAGCTTGGGTAAAAACAGGGTCCAGAGAATCTTGAAGTTTCAATTGTTTTCAGTTACTCAGCTTTTCCCTAACTGCCCACCATCTTTCTGGCCTCCCAAAATGACTTCATTGCCATGAATTAAGAGTTGACCCAAGAGCTGGCTGAAAGGCATCAGAAAAAAAGAAAATGGCATTACCTAAAATATATGTCCTCATTACCATTCATTTCATATATATGATATTCATTTTCACATTTTCTATCTCCTTTACTTTTCAAAGTGAGGCACAGAAACACTGAACTACAGAAAGCAAAGGGCAAAGGATGGAGCTCGGATTTGAACTGAATTACAAAGCCAGTGCTCTTTCAGTGCCTTCCATGTTGACTCCTTTTGAGAGCGAACAACTGTAGTAATACATGTTAACTCAGGTTTAATGATTTGTTCTGGGTCCTCTATTTATATAAAATTTGATTTCCTGATCTCTCAATCCCTGAATCCTTGACCTAGCCTCAGAACCAGTTTATTTTTTCAATTGTTATGATAGGGTTTCATATATTATTTAAAATATACCTTGATAAGGACCTATTAAAAAAACTTTAACAAAAAAATAGTGATCTTTTTTTCTTCATTTAATGTCCTTCCCCTCAGTGGGTCTAGGCAAATAATATGCAGAAGAATTTCTTGAAGGTGAGATGTCTTCTAGCTTGAGCCTCAGGGGTTCATTCAGGTCTCTCATCAAAAGCAAATTTTAAGTAGGTCTCTTACTGATTTATAATTTACAAACTTTGCCAACTATAGCATACAAAAATCACCCTAGTGTAAAGAGAAATGCGAATTTAATTCATAGACATTGGTTGACACAAAGTTTAACTTTATTTCATAATGACTACATTTCAACTTCATTTATTGCTTTAAAGTTAAAATTAAAAGTCATTTTTATAGCCAAGCCAAAAGTTTTAAGGCAAATAATTTTCAATTGTGAATTATAGGATTGTCTTAGTCATTGGTAGTGCTACAACAAATATACCATAGACTAGATGGTTTAAATGACAAAAAAAATATATTTTTTCAGTTCTAGAAGTTGAGAAGTCCAAGATCAAGGTACTGGTTGAGCCAGTGACTAGTGACGGCCCATCCTGGCTTGCAGACAGCCGTCTTCTTGCATCCTCAGGAAGAGCAGAGAGAGAGAGAGAGAGAGGCAAGGTCTCTCATGTCCATGTATTGGTATTAAAAGGAAGGGCCACTGGGAGGTGATTAGGTCATGAATGGAATTAGTGCCCTTATAAAGGAGGCCCTAAATAGCTCCCTTGTCCTTTCCACTATGTGAAGTTACAGAGAAGATGGCCATCTATGAAGAAGCTGGCTCTCACCAGATGCTAAATCTGCTGGTACCTTTATCTTGGACTTCCCAGCCTCCAGAACTGTGATAAATAAATTTCTGCTGTTTATAAGCCATCCAATTTAAAATAGTCTGTTATAATAGCCCAAATGGGCTATGGCAGACAGTTCGGTATAGTGCATCCCTTTCAAGGAGTTGAGCATAGATTTTCTTTACACATCTCATCTTTTAAAAACCTTTACCATTTAGAAGTATTTGTATTATAATGTACTTGCGGCTCATAAAATAAAAGCATTGTCACATCATTTTTAATACACATACATTATTGGAAAACATAAAAATTACATCTAATTAGAGAGAAGGACTAAATTCCAAGTAAGTCTGGGGGAAAGAATAAGTACTCGAAAGTGTATTTACTGAGTCTGTTTTCAAGTGAGAGATGCATAAAATTCAAATTTACGAGCAGATAAATACATTTATGCCTACCAAGGATTTTTCAATGTATTTGTAACTTTTGCAACCCAGGTTTTAATCCCTGTCTGCTACTATAGGACCTTAAGTTTCCTTTAAATTGTCATCCAATATGGCTGAGATGATCCTAGGGTGGGTTATGTTTGTCCAGTACTATGTTATCCTCTGATATTTGCCATTTTCTTCTTCTTCTGCCCAGATCCCCTGAGGTGAGAAAGTATTTTCCTGACATTCCCACAGCCTGCTGTGTTCATGCAAATATCTCACTGCTGATACTTCTGTGGGCCAGAGGGAGAAGGCTTGAGTTTCAGATTCTACCACTACAGCAATGGGATGACTGGTTGAGTCAAAGCATCTCCACCCATGCCAGAAGAGAAGAAGTCAGAGAAAAGAACTAAGACAATTGCTGACCTTACAACGGTCCTGTCTTCTGATGCCATCACCAGAAATTTGCACACCTCAAGCTACAAAGTGACTCCAAAAGGAGAGTTCCAGTCTCTTTTATGCTGCTCTCTTTAATATCTTCCTCCCCAGGAAGGAGTGATCTTGATCGACTGGTCATTTTCCAGGTCACTAATTACTCCACATTTTCTATGGGTGGATGCTTTAAAGAAAATAAAAATGAAAGCTCTTCTCATCTTAATTTATTCTTTCCTTCCACTCGACCAGACTAGTAGCTGAGGTAGTGCAGCCAAAGAGTCACTTAGTCACTCTCCCTCTCCTTGGATGCTTTTTTGACCCATTTGGCATCTAGACCAGAGTTACTGCCAATTGGAATCTAGGCAGGAAGGCAAAGACTTGCTTTTATTAGGTTGGTGCAAAAGTCACTGCAGTCTTCGCCATTACTTTTAAATGGCAAAAACCGCAATAAACTTTTGCACCAACCTAATAGCTCTTTTCTCTGACTTCTTCTCTTCTGGCGTTGGTGGAGATGCTTTGACTCAACCAGTCATCCCATTATCGTAGTGGTAGAATCTGAAGCTCAAGTTTGGATTGACAAGATCCTCTGGCCCTTGTACATTCAGGTGAACATGGGTATAATTTAGCTGAGGTAAAGGGGGCTTGATGACGTATTGCCTAGTTTACAACAGATCTACATTAGCACTCAGACACAAAGCCTCAGTTAGTAATATTTGTGTCATCAGCATTTGTTTTATGTTCGTATTAAAACTAAGAGGAGAGATAATCCAGCTATGTTACTTCAGGTTCTCCAAAGGGCAGACTGTTTAAGACAGTATTAAGCTTACAAGGATTTTGTTAGAAAAAAATGCCTGCATGAAGAAATGGTGAAGGCCAGGTGCAGTGGCTCACACCTGTAATCCCAGTTCTTTGAAAGGCCAAAGTAGCAGGATTGCTTAAGCCCAGGAGTTTGAGAACAGCCTGGGCAACATAGCAAGACTTCATTTCTACCAAAAGTCTTAAAAAATTAGCCAGATGTGGGGGGATGCACTTGTAGTCATAGCTACTCAGGAGGCTGAGGTTGGAGGATGGTTTGAGCCCAGGAGTTCAAGGCTGGAGTAAGCTATGATGATGTCACTGCACTCCAGCCTGGATGACAGTGAGATCCTGTCTCTAAAAAAGAAAGAAAGAAGGAAGGAAGGAAGGAAGGAAGGAAGGAAGGAAGGAAGGAAGGAAGGAAGGAAGGAAGGAATGAATCAAGGAAGGAAGGAAGGAAGGAAGGAAGGAATGAATCAAGGAAGGAAGAAAGGAAGGGCTTAGAAAACAGCCTGATAGGATGCAAGTCTGACCCCCATGAGGGAGGCAAGGAAGAGAGATTGGAGGGAAGCACCTAGACTTCTATACAGTTTAAGGAAGTGTCACAAAAGCTGTCAAGAACTCCTCAAACCAAAGCCATCAGAAAAGTCTCTTGTTGCTCCATAATGAATGTGCCTAAGGAACCATGTTGCACTCAATGATTGGCAAGGAGCAGCCCCTCGAAAGGCATAGTCTTGGTACAAAGCAGTGATGGATTTCAAAGAGCAGCAGCTGGAGTTCAATTACACTTTCTGTGGTTGAAGGTTGAGATGCACATTCCCATGGCTGCCACACAAACAAACAGGGGATTTTGGTATTCCTTGGACACCTAATCAAAATGCCTAATAAGTATTGACCTAAAAACACCCTTGTTTATTGCCTGACACCTAGATGGCTCCACATCCTCCAGGCTCTTTAGGCCAATCTTTTAATAGCTGTAATGAAATGTTCTTTCACTTATTGAAGAAAACCAGCATTTTCTCATCCCAGTTTTCCCAGGTGTATTAGTTTTCTATTGCTGCATAACAAATTACCACAACCTTAGCTGCTTAAAGCAACACCCATTTATTGTCGCACAGATATGTAGGTCAGAAGTCCAGGAGGGCTCAACTGGGTTTTCGGTCTAGGATCTCATGAGGCTAAAACCAAAGTCTTGCCCAGATTACATTCTTATTTGGAATATCTGGGGAAGAATTTCTTTCCAAGGTCATTCATGTTGTTGGCAGAATTTAGTTCCATGTGGTTGCAAGCGTGAGGTGCCAGTTTTCTTGCTGGCTTTCAGTCACGGGGTCACGTTTAGTTCCTAAAATCTGCTTTGAGGTCTTTTTACCCATCCCCCTCCACCTCCACAAAAAGCCAACCTCATGCCAAATCTCCGTGAAACTTCCAATATCTTGAATGTCTTCTGCTACCAGCTAGAAGAAAGTCTGCTTTTAAGAGGCTTGCTTGATTAGATTAGGTCCACCTGGAGACACCCCCATGTTCAGGTCAATTGATGAATAACCTTCTCTACATCTGTCAAATTACTTTCCCATGTAATATAACATAATTGCAGCCATGCTAGCTCATTGTGTTTATAGGGGGTCATCTTAAAATGCTGCCAGCCACATAAACAACTTTGAGTATGCCTACTCCAGATCTCCTTGCTTGCTTCTCAAAAAGTCCCTCGTTTCCGCTCTGCTTTCCCTCACACTACTGTATGCCATACTGAAGGCAACATATTTTCCATAATTCACCAAAAGTATAACAAATAAACTATTGTGCATGGCACATGTTTACTATCGGTTGGGTTATTACTAGGAGATGATATCAGAGAATAATAAATACAAAAAATTTTAAGAGAATTTTAAAAATCAATAAACTACTAAAATTTCTTCCTACTCACATTCTTCGTACTTAGTTCACTGACCATCTTTACTCAGAGTCTGTTTCCTTTAAGATTGTTTTATTCTTTTATGCTCTACCTACCAGCGACTTCCTTAGAAAGACAGTATCACAGTTTACCACCTACCCCAAACTACTCAAAGCTATCCAAGCACACAATCTGGAGTTTCCTTAAACAAAAGAGGCATCAATCAGGTTCTCATTCTCAGCAAGAGTCTTCTTCCCTGTCCCCAACCTCCCCACCCCACCTCTTCCAGGAGAACATAGAAAGGAGCTTTAAAAGGGATTTATTCTAGTCCTAAATACAACAAAACTATGGGAGTGGTGGAACTTTTTGCATTATTCTGTGTAAAAATAAAGAGATTCACCATTTTCCCTGTTCTAACTGCATAAAGCAGAACAAGCTGAGGTTCTTGTGCACCAAAGCCTCATGTTTGCTGGATGCCTGGAAGTCTCTTTTCTATACCCTGGTGCTTTAGGATTTGTTCCAAAGTAGCATTGCCTTGTGCCCTATGTCTGGGTTTTAGCACAAAATAGTTCTCTCATATCTACTTTAAAGCCTCTCTAGGACACAAATGGATTTTTTCAGTCCTGACCCAGAGAAGGAAATGAACAGACTTGGGATTCGACTTTCTCCCCACAATAGAGGCTTTGGTGGTGTGGCCCTTCTTTTATATATCTTTCTACCCCAAGGCTTCCCCACTCCCTTGTGTAACCGAGCTTGTAATGGGGCCGCCCAGTAGTGTACCAAGCATGCACAAACACGTCTAAAATGCTGCAGAGGATATGGACTACACCAGTTCTGGTACCACCTAACAGAGGAATTTGCAGATTGTTCTTTTTCCCATACACATAGACATATATTCTTCTACTCCCAGCATGTAAGTGCTTTACCAGTTTTATTGGTCAGATTTGCAATTGCCTCTTTCACTTCTGGTTTATATGATTGAGGTCAGAGTGTTAAGTTTTATGGGTTAAATATAAGAGACTCACTGTTCCTTCTTGTTTTTCTTGTCATAAAGAGTACAGTACTGGAGTGGCAGAACTTAATGAATCGAGTCTTTAGCCTGACACCCAGAGCAGCACCTGCTGGCAGCTGGAAGTGACACTGCTGTAAACCTTCCACCCCATGGTTAGGCAGGGTTTGCACTGGAGCCTTGTTAACTCACTACCCTTCAAACACATGATAAATGTTCTTCTTTGAAGAAAACAAAAACAAACCAAAAAAATAAGGTGTTTTACACTAGCATCTTGTTTTCCGTGTTTTCCACTAGCATCTTGTTCACCTGTGCTATCAGAACTAAATATCTAAGATAATTAAAAAGTAATAAAGTTTTTCCATGTCTTTTTATTGAAATTGCAAAGATTTTACAGCTTTTTAATCTGCCCTGCCTGTATATGTTAATCCTTAAAGTAAACATAGAAATTTGATTCATTCTTAAAAGTCTTGCATATGCCAAAAATAGTAACCATGTATTTCCAACCTGGAAACCAAAGACCTGCAAAGTCCAGAAGGGCTGTTTATGATGATTCCTGTGAGTTCACAAGCATCGCTTATCACAAGTATTAAGGAATTTAATAATTGTTTTGATTCCAAGGGAATTTCTTTTTAGTTATAAATGTGAACCATTTCATTCGTTAGGCCCTTAATGAAATACCTGTGAGACATGTGTGTCAGATACTTCTTAAAACCTTCAAAATAAAGTGTGATGATTTCTCTAGAGACACTTATAAATAAGTTCAGAAAAAGACAGCCTGAAGACAGCTAAGGTAATGCACTGCTTACCACTAAGTGGGAAACTTACTCTACAGCAATCTTGTTTGATAAAATGCTCATGAATAGTCTTTTTACACCAAAAATTTATCATCATGCAAACAAGCAAGGGATTTGATGAACAAAAATCCCTCAAATTAAGTTTCCTTGTTTTAACCCCATCGCTTTCAGAATTCACATAGAACTTTATATAGAGAGCTATTTCCACATGACCAAAACGATACATTCAGTGATCCAGTGTCCCCAGAAGATATCCCTAGCAAATTGCTTGACAACAGATACAATGTATGTTTAGTGTTTTCTCTTTGCTAATCACTGTGGTAGGTGCTGTGGTTTAGATTATTTTATTTAAGATTCACAAATCACTTCAAAATATATATTCATTCAGTAAACTAAAATTTTATTCATCTATTGCTATGTATCATGCACTATTCCAGGCACTTGGGATGAATCAATTAAAAAAGCAAACATCACTCAAGGAGCTTACATTCTAGTGGGGGAAGAGAGAAAATATACAATTAATATACATAAAAATTGCATAAATTGTGTAATATATTGGAAGGGGCTAAATGTTATAGAATAAGAGAAATTTGAGAGTTAGATTGGGGAACAGTTTGTCTAATAAGATAGCATGGCCAGTATAGGTCTCACTGTAAAGCCAATATTTGGTCAAAGGCCTGAAAGAGACAAAAAATAGCTATTAAGATATCTGTGGGAAGGTGCTGCAGGTATAGGGTATATCTTCATCTGCAAAGACGAAAAGGCAGGAGTGTGACAGGCCTGTGAGAAGGCCTATTAGAATAACAGCAAGGTGGCCAGTGGGGCTGGAAGGGAATATACAAGGTGAAGAGCCATAGAAGATGAAGGTGGAGGGTCACATGCGTTCTGGGGGGCCATTGCAGGGACTTCCTCTCTTTCTCTGTGTAAAAGTGGGGTCATTACTGGCTTTAAGGAGAGGAGTGACATCATCAGATTTACATTTCAAAATGATTTCTCCCTCTGCCTCAGGAAGAAGAGACTGCCAGGAGCCAAAGGGAGAGGAGAAATGAGGTGAGAGTCTATCACAATTCAGGCAGATAGGATGGTGGCCCTGGCTACAATGAAAACCATCATAAGGAATAGCCAATAGCTAAGTGGCTTGATTTGGGGGATGAAAGGGCTGATTCTAAGGTTTTCGCCTAAACTACTATTATGATGGTGTCATTTAAATTGAGATTAGAAAGACTGTACATGGAAGAGGTTTGTGGAGGAAGATCAAGGACTTTGATTTTGGACATATTGAAAGTATGTCTAGTGCATATTGCAGTGGCAACATCAAGTATGCAGTTGGACATATAAGTCTGGAGTTAGAGACAAGGGTTGAGCTAGAGATTAACCTTGGAAATTATTGACATATAGATATTATGCGAAGGCTTTGGGCTGGTTGAGATTATCAAGAGAATGGGTACAAATGGAGAAGAAGAGATTATGAAGATCTGGGTCCAGAGCACTCTAATGATGACAGGTGGGAAAGAGGAGGCAGAACCAACAAAGACAGTTGAAAGACATAACAAAGGACACAGAGGATAAACTATGAGGATGATCAAGAAAGTACAGTGTTCTAAAAACCAGCTGAATACAGTGGAGAACATAATGTGGCTCTAAAGGTTTAAGAATTTGGTTAAATTTCATAAAACTAGTAAGTGGTAGCAGTTGGATTTAAAGCCAGCTCTTTTGACTTCAAATCCTGGTTGTATCTACAAAATACTGGAACCCTGAATATAAGCTATAGTTGTTATAAATGTAATGAAAGCTACAAACAAGAGTTACAAAAGGAAAGCCCTTTCTTGTCAGCAATGAGAGATTTAGACCACTTTTAGGCCATAAAAGTAAGAGCCATCCATGATCATTGAGAGTGATCTATTAATGATTGCTTAATATGAACACACTTGTACTTTTATCATACTTTAAAGTTGTTCCTGGTAGTGGTTTACTGATTATTCTATTTAAAATCAACAAGCCAGGCATGGTAGCTCACACCTGTAATCCCAGCACTTTGGGAGGCCAAGGCGGGTGGATCATCTGAGGTCAAGACTTGGAAACCATCCTGGCCAACATGGTGAAACCTCATCTCTACTAAAAATACAAAAATTAGCCAGGTGTGGTGGCGGGAGCTGGTAATCCCAGCTAACTGGGAAGCTGAGGCGGGAGAATCGCTTGAACCCGGAAGATAGAGGTTGCAGCAAGCAGAGATTGTGCCATTGCACTCCAGCCTGGGCAACAGGAGTGAAATTCCATCTCAAAAATAAATAAATAAATAAAATAAAATTAATTAAGACTTTTTTTTTTTTTAGAGGTAGGGTCTCACTCTGTTACCCAGGCCAAAGTACAGTGATGTGATCATAGCTCACTGCAGCCTTGAAATCCTAGTCTCTTGAGTAGCTGGGACGACAGATGTGTGCCCCCATGCCTGGCTAAGACATAAGGATATATTTTAAGAAGTCTTAAAATAGGGGAAAAGCAAAATATAAAGTCATTCCACAGAAGAGGCAAAAGATGTATTACACAACTTCTAAAGTTAATTTTACTTCAAAGAAGAGAGTACTGTAGTTGAAATACTTGACTGAAAACAGAAAGGGGCCTGGGAAGTCCTCCTGTCCAGTATTATCCAAGTATCTAGAGGATTAGCAAGGAAAGGGAGGAGATAAGAATTTTCAGGACTCCACTGTTTTCCCCATTTTATTCAAATAAGAATCATTCTTATCAATTGTATACAAAGGGCTTCCTGTAAGATTTTCTTTGACTAACAGGCCTCACAAATAAATGATATTTATTTAATTTTTTATTTTACTGATAAGAAAACTGAGGACCCAATGTGACAGGCTCAAGATCATAGCTGTTAAGGGTTGAGCTGAAATTTAGATCTTCGTCTTATGATACCAAGTCCAGTGTGTGTACCTGCTTGTATGTGTGTGCTTGTGTGGCATGAGTGTGTGTATGTGTGCGCATGTCTCTATGTTTCTGTATAGTACACTTCCTATCTCCTGATATAAGAGTGGGGGAATCATCCCCACAACATGGAAAAAGCCTCAAAATCCCATCTCAAAATACGCTTGTGAAGTTCTGGGCACCAGAGGACGCAGACCAACTTTATAGTCACTCAGCTGACCACGTAATGGCACACTCAACTGAAGTATTACCATTGGTGCCTCTTCAGACCCTGGAACTTCTCTTTCTTCCCCTTTCATTTCCTCATTACTTCCAGAAACTTACTGCTTCTGAGAGTTTTTAAGATTCCTGCTAATAATAATAACTAATATTTTTCAAGTCTTATGATATGCTAGGCACCACTTGGTGTTTTATATATATTCTTATTTATATAAAAATATATATTATATTCTTATTTATATAAAAATATATATTATATTCTTATTTATATAAAAATATATATTATATTCTTATTTATATAAAAATATATATTATATTCTTATTTATATAAAAATATATATTATATTCTTATTTATATAAAAATATATATTATATTCTTATTTATATAAAAATATATATTATATTCTTATTTATATAAAATATATATTATATTCTTATTTATATAAAATATATATTATATTCTTATTTATATAAAAATATATATTATATTCTTATTTATATATTCTTTCTTCTTAAAGAATTTACATATTCTTATTTATATATTAATATATATATATATATTCTTCATTCAAATGCACAGCAACTTTATGAAGTCAGTTTTAAAACTGTTTGTAGCTTCGACACAAGGAGACTGAATCAGAGTACGAAGTACCTTGTTCAAACTCCTACCACCAGAATTCCAACCTGAGAGTCTAACTTAAAGCTTGACATGTAAACACTACCTACGTGTGGAACACAGCCAGGTCTGTTCATCCCAGGCCTTATGTATATCTCATGTTCTCTGAATTATTTCTTTCTAAGGATAATGGTTTGTTTTTCATAGAATTTTATACTTTGTTTGATATTTTCCGTAGGCACTACATCATGAAAACAGGCATCAAAATTCTCTTGCTGCTATAACTCATTCCACCAAAGCCTTTCCTTGACTGTATAACTCATCAAAGAAACTAATGTGAGAAAAGTTATTAACAGCTTATAATCGGATAACCTATAATTTCCCTACTTTGCCCTCACTTCTGTGTTACATTTAAAAAGAGCTTTTACCTAAACCAAAACAAAATAGCTATGGAAAAGTTAGGCTCCATAATAGGACTGAGGGTGAATATAGTTCTGACTCTGCTGATCTCAAATTACACCATCTTCACAAACATCTCTGCTATCTATGAAGAAGGTCTCCTAAAAGCATTCAACTTATGCCCTCTAAGGGGACATAACACCATTCCATGATGTCGCACCTGGATTTTTTCCTGTACCAGAATACCCTTCTTATCTGTAGCGAGCTAACACCACCCTCTGAATGCCATGCCATTCTTCTGAGGAATAATTCTTTCCACACTCTGCACTACAAGCTTTCAGTCAGGGTAACTATGGATTTATCTGATACTGCCTGCCTAGCCAACCAGATTGGGATTGGTGATCAGCCTACATCTCCTCATCAATCAGAACCTTGACCTAAGATGTTGGAATTAGGGTCCATTATGAGCCACTCTTAATCCCATTCTGTTTGCAAAGCTGGAAGATGTGTGTTTTCGTAGCTATGTGGTCACAATATTATAATCATCCAATGGGTTCCTCCTGCCCACTGCACAGAAAAAAAAAAAAATTCACTGAGACTACGGTATTGCAGTACAGAAAGTGTTTAATTAACACAGAGCTGGTCAAGTGTTTGGACTGGAGTTATTACTCAAATCAGTTCCCCAAGAACTCAGAGGCTAGGGTTTTTATGGATAATTTGGCAGGCAGTGGGCTAGGAAATAAGTGCTGCTGAATGGTTGAGGGTGAAATCATAGGATGTGGAGGATGGTACTCATACACTGTGTCTGCCTCTGGGTGGGGGCCACAGGACTGGTTCAGTCCTGCTCTGGATGGAGTCAGTCAGTTGCCAGAATGCAGAAGTCGGAAAAACATCTCAAAAGACCAGTCTTGCCAGGCTCGGTAGCTCACACCTTTCTCTCATCCCAGCACTTTGAGATGCCAAGGTGGGTGGATCACTTGAGGTCAGGAGTTCAAGACCAACCTGGCCAACCTGGTGAAACCCCATCTCTACTAAAAATCCAAAAATTAGCCGGGTATGATGGTACATGCCTGTAATCCCAGCTACTTGGGAGGCTGAAGCATGAGAATGACTTGAACCCGGGAGGGGGAGGTTGCAGTGAACTGAGATTGCACCACTGCACTCCAGCCTGGGCAACTGAATGAAACTGTGTCTCAAAAAATAAAAAATAAAAATATCAATCTTAGGTTGATATTTTTTATCAACCCTTCTGACAGCATTGAGTCAAATATAATAGAAGACACACAGTGTTTCTATTACTCAAAGAGAGCTTTTGTACCCATGCAAATGCTATATAAGATCAAACAAATGTTTAGCAATAAAATCGTCTTTCTTGGTTGCCTACATGCATAAACATTTGGCATATCTTATTTACATTGGGGGTGCTCTTAGGAAAATTTTTTGGTATAAAATCATTGGAAATAAAATTCGAGGCCAATGCGAAAAATCTGAAGTCTTTGTCAGTTCTCCTTTTTTATCAGTTGGCCTGGAATCTTTTTTCCATCTCACTGGGAATTACGAGTGTGAAGGAAAACATCAAGAAACCAGAACCTGCTGCTTACTTCCTCAAAGAGTAGAAATGAGATGGTACAAAAAATGGAAACATCAGGATTACATTTGTTTCCTTTTATTATCATTTCTTTCACATCTTTTTTATACTTATCCTGCCTTAATATGTATTTTCTATTTTATTTTATTTGGAGTTTTATTTTTTTCTCATCTCAGCTATATATTTTCAAGTGATCAACCTGATCATTAACGCACCCCAGCAAATGCTTCTACCTCTGTTTTATAACTCAGTTGAATAAATGGATATGTGATTAAAAATTGATTTGCATTTTAAAAATTCCCATATCAATAAAGCAGATGGAAAACAAAGATTTTAACTAACATTTATATAATTTTTTCCTATATAATTTTGCCAATTTTTTTCTCATTCAATTGTAGAGATCTTGAGTTTCAAGAGTGCTTAGAGATCCACTCTTTCAGAGACTTCATTTGGAGATAAGAAAATTAATTGCTATATATGATTCTGGAAGAATATCAGTCTGACTTGCATCAAACAAGTGGTTCATGGTAAGACTGGGCTGACACATGCTTTCCAAATTTTAAATTTAATGTTTTTTCCATGAAATCATGAGACATTTTAAAATTTGTGGTGTTGTTATTGTTGCTGTTGTTAGCAGGAAGTAATAAAGAATAGACAGAAGATTATTCTACTTTGGAGTTCTGCTTTTATTATTTTACTTTTATTATTATTTTACTATTATTACTAGTATATATATATTATTACTATTACCCATATATTATTATTTATTATTTTACTCTGGAGTTAGAGGCCAAGTAGTTGCCTTTGCTGTGATTTAGATGATTCTGGCCAAGTTTTCCCTGGAATCTATTGCATGAAGAATTGATAAACTTCCTTGCAGGCAGCTCCATCTAAGAAAGCCAAAATAAAATAAATTTAGGTTTAGCCCAATCATGAACGCTTCGTCAAAACGAGGTGCAGATTTCAATTTCGCAAGGTGCATGGCCTGTAGATGAGTCTGTTCGTTCCACCTTATGGATTTATGCTTGATTTCCTATATAAATAGAATCACTCTTTTAAAGCTTTATATGACATTGGGGGAAAATGTAAGTCTTTGGTACCATTTTACCAGAGTGTTCAATTGAAAAATGAAAGAAATTCCTAATTGTCTACATGGTGAAGCTCTGGCAGTTTGAATCAGCACTCCAGGGGAGTGAGAGGACCCAGAAACGGCAGAACTTGGCATCAATGTTGTTGTTACCCAGTGAGATTGCTCTGTCAGCAGGAGAAAGCAGTGCTGGCTGGGTGTGATTACATGCAGCCAAAAGAACAGTGATCCTCAATGGGACTAGTTATAATTCAAAAGAAAAGACAAGTGGAAGAAAGTGGCTCATGCAGCGTGCAGGTTGACTGGGTTTGTAAAATCTCCTAGGACCCTTCAGAAATACTTTGGGGAAGGTAGAGATGGGGAGGAAATTCTGAAGACTGAGGCCCTGGTGTATCCAGCGTGCAAAGTTTTCACGGACATAACTTTGTATCTTCTATATAGCCACTGTTCGTTCTTATTTAGCAGCAGCAAAATATCATGAATGAGATACATCAAAAGTCTTTCTCCTGTCATTACATAATCACTACAATAATCTGAAAGCAGTTACTTTTGTGTGTGTGTGTGTGTGCGGTCGCCGGGGCTGGGGGGAGGGCAGAGTCTCACTCTGTCGCCCAGGCTGGAGGGAAGTGGTGCCATCTTGACTCACTGCAACCTCTGTCTCCTGGGTTCAAACTATTCTCATGACTCAGCCTCCCTAGCAGCTGGGATTACAGGCATGCACCACCACATCCAGATAGTTTTTGTATGTTTAGCAAAGACACAGTTTTACCATGTTGGCCAGGCTGGTCTCATACTCCTGAGCTCAGATGATTCACCCACCTTGGCCTCCCAAAGTGCTGGAATTACAGGCATGAACCACTGCACCCTTAAAGACAGTTACTTTTTTAATCAATATAACCAGAGTTTTTGCTGAAAATGGATGAAACAGAGAAGATAAATATATTGTACTTTGAGCTTATCCATTCTTTAAACATGCCAAATTTGCAGAAGATACCTTTACGAAGACTTTTTATCTCAATTCTTTTTTCTTTATCAATCTCTAAACCATTGAAGCTGAAATCATTTAAACGTTCTATTATATCTATCTGTACACTGACTGCTGTAAAATAACATTTTAATAAATAATTTAATAAGGAAAGTAAAAAGGAATAAAGTAGTGAAAAAGAGTAAAGAGATGCACCTGGACATTTAAAAGTATATAGTGACAGTGGCAAAAAAAAGGGCAAAATCTTTGCTTAGTTGGGAAGCTCTCAGTCATCTATTGCTGTGTAACAAATCACCCTGAATCTTAGCAGCTTAAAAGAACAAAGGCTTCTTACCTCATCGTGTGTGTGGGTCAGGAATGTGACATGGCTTGGCTTGGCTTCTCTTGGCTCAGGGTCTCTCATAAGGCTTGTAATCAAGATTTTGGTCCAAGTTTCAGTCATCTCAAGATTTGAGTAGGGGAGGATCTGCTTGCTAGCTCATTGACATGGCTGTTGGCTGGCCTCCATCCCTTGCCATATGGGCCTCTACAAAAGTCTGCTTCATGACACAGCCGCTGGTTGTCCTCACAGAGAGTTATCAAGGGTAAGCAAAAGAGAACAACCAAGATAGAAACCACCTTTTTTTTTTTTTTGTAACCTAATCTTGGAAGTGCCCCCGTCACCTCTGCTGCATTCTAGATCCAGCCTACAGTTGAAGGGAGGGTATTTCAGAAAAGCACCAATATTAGGAGATGAGGATCTTTGGGGCCTATCTTACAGGTTGCCAATCACAATCTCTAAGATGGAAAAGCTTTGGATCAAGGGTTAAATAGTGTGTTATTATGTTTATGAAATATTATGCAGTTTGATATTTGGGCACCTTAATCGTAATCTCCCTTGACACTCTCACTCTCTTTCATTGTTGAAATCACCCAGGTTCATTGGAATCATCGGTTTTGAATTCCACCATCTCTCTTCTGGGCAATAATAATTGCCTCCTAAACGATGTATAAGCAGCTCAACTAGTAAACCCTGTTAGTTCAACATTAAAACCATCCCAGAGTGATCATTTTTTTGAAACATAAATCAGATCATCCTCTACCTTTCAACCTTTGCGCCTATCACTCATTTAAGGACACTTTGCTGGATTCCTATTGCCTTTGAGACATTAGAATAAATATTAACATGGCTTACACATTTTTGTGTGGCCTTGGCATAGACCTCCTTAGCCTCAGGTAACAGCAGCCTCCTGGGAGGCTCTGTTCCAGCCGAATTATATGAGTCTCTATGCTTTCCTTGAACTGCATTTCTTCTTCCAGTATTGAGGGTCTGCACATGTTATTTTCTCTGCCTGGGATGCTCTTTGTCTCCTTATCCTCAATCCATGCCCCCAACTTCTCTACCAGTTATTATTTACATCTGTTAAGTGGAAAATTTTCCACTAATGCAGCTCTTGCCTAGGAGATCTCAAAACTAATTTAGTTTTAATCACAACTAGTTCTAACCAGTTGAAGCTCATAAAAGACCACGAACTTTTTTGTTTGTTTGTTTGTTTTGTTTTGTTTTTTAGATTGAGTTTCGCTCTGTCACCTAGGCTGAAGTGCAGTGGCATGATCTCGGCTCACTGCAGCCTCTGCCTCCCACATTCCAGCAATTCTCCTGCCTCATTCTCCCAAGTAGCTGAGATACAGATACATGCCACCATGCCAGCATTTTTTTTTTCAGTAGAGATGGAGTTTCACCATATTGGCCAGGCTGGTCTCGAACTCCTGACTTCAGGGGATCCACCCTACTTGGCCTCCCAAAATGCTGGGATTACAGGAGTGAGTCACCAGACCTGACCCAAAGACTATGAACTTTGAATAACCTGAGTACACCAAACATTTACTGGACCTAAGTGAAGATTCTTTACCAATGAATAAACTATAAGATTTGTTTTATCCAACCATGTATAGACCTTGGACTCATTTAGCTTATCCAGAGAGCTCCTTTTCAATTCTTATTTAGAACATTACCAACA
Source organism: Homo sapiens (assembly GCF_000001405.40). Lineage (NCBI taxonomy): Eukaryota > Metazoa > Chordata > Mammalia > Primates > Hominidae > Homo > Homo sapiens. The sequence continues at coordinate 198,848,299 of NC_000001.11, forward strand.
GTTTCCCTGTCTAGCACGTAAAAATCTGTAACTTTTCCTAGTTCCTTTTATTCTCTAGGCCTTTACTTAAGAGCCCTCTGTTTATATAACTGTGTGATTGATATCTTTCTCTGCCACTAGACTTCAAGCTTTCAGAAAGTAGTATGTCTGTGCTTACCATGGTATCTCCCCCAACACTTAGCAACATGCCATTAAATAAATGGCCTCTCAGCACATATTTGTTGAATGAATGAATAAATAATTTTTTATTTCATGACTTCATATTAAAAACCAGGAAAGAACATGTTATGAACTTATTTATTTCTTTTCTAGTTGTTTAGTTCTTAGGTTTTCAGGCAATGGCTGATATTTTTGACAGAATATAGATGAATCTATCTTAATTGCTATATTAGTATGTGCTTACCAGTTGCAAAAGGAATTTAATGATTTGGAGAAAGGCTATCTGTCCTCCCCTTTCTTCTGACATTACCAGTAATGTGCTTGGCCAGCTGTACAATACTGTCGATGTGTACAGAAATTCTTTTCTGAAAAGCACAGGTGATCATGTTACATCCTGAAGCCTGAGATCTGATTACTCTTATTATAGTAGCCTGAAAAGTTACAAATGTCATTAGTAGTCATTAAATTACTCTGCTTGGCTTTCTAAAGGAGCTCTGGTATTTAACTCAGCAATCTCTCATGGCTGCAAAGTCTATAATTTGAACATGCATTTTCATGGGGCTGCATATATTTTGACAGAGTCTATGTTTACTGCTCTAAAAATGACTCTCAGGAATGAACGCAGAACCTGAACCAAAGAATTCTAATAGAAATTCATGGAAATCCAAGTCTTGGAATTAAGTGTGTGTGAGTATTGGCATGCTCAAATTGTCTTCTCCACCCCATCCACTACCCTTCTATTTCGCTGTGTTCAAGCAATTTAATTCTGCATCTAATTTTAATCTGTAAACCATATCCCTTCCTGCAGTTGTAAAGCATGTGTTAGCACTTAACCAGCAGGAGGGGGTTGCCTAAGGTAAGAGGATTGATAGCATAACCCAGTCATCTTAAAAATGGCTTTGTGGGATTTGGCGCCACTAGCTAAGTCTTTATGTCCATGGGTCCAAGCTGGCTGTCCAGGGCTTAGGGAGACTCAGGCAGTGAACACAGAGAAATCTTTTATTCCTACTACTTGGTGTTGATTTTTCAGGAATATTTACATGGTGAGGGGCTGTGTAAGCAGCTCAGCATATTCACAATCAGCTTTCTTAGAAGGAGCAGGAAGAATGAGTGAACTTGAAAATGTGGTTAAAACCATTTAAAATTGTATTCGATTGTGATAGCAACGAGTAAAGTAAAAGAAATAATTTGGAAAAACACAAATATGTCTGCAACATAAATGCTACTGCTTCTAACTAGCTATAATTTATAGTATTAGAAATTAAGAAAAATCTATTTTACCTAGAAGTTATTCTGACGTGAACGTCAAGGAGAAAGTTTGATTTTAAGGTCAGTACATAGGATAAAAATCATATACAAATAAAATAACCCTTGAATGTCCTTAAAATAGTTGTAAAGTTCAAACAATTCATTTCATTTCCACAAAACGGTAAAGAGAAAATTAAAATTATTTCCAAAATCTTTCCATATTTTTTTCTTCCTTATATTACTTTTTCAGATTTAAGTGTATTCCTTGTTTAATGTAAACAATGCAACCCATCAATGGTGACATTCTGAGGGTAAATACTGTATGACATTTACTCTAAGATGTATCTTTCACATTTTAACATCTCTGAAACTAAGATGTGTTTTATGATTCAAGGCATTTTACGATTATAACAGTGAGGATTTCTTTCTTTTCTTTCTTTCTCTTTCTCTCTTTCTTTTCTTCTTTCACTACTTCATTCAATGATGGTTTGTCTTGCCATTAATTATTTCTTAGATAGGAAGAAATATAGTAGGTAAATTCTCATATGGTAAATATATAAGTAAAAGCTATGACTCCAGTGGAAATAAATGCCATGCTTTGTATGTAGTTTTCTGAGACACCCACAACTCAACTTTGACTCACAGCATCAGACCTAAAGCACTGGATTATATGCTTTATGAGTAGATTCATTCTTGACTCATTCATTCAACTAATATTTATTGAGCTCCTATTGTATGTTTGACATCGTTGTTGGTGCCAGGCTTAGAGCAGCAAACAAAGCAGGTAAATCCTCTGACTTGTAGAAATTTTTTTTCTATGATTAATAAGGAAAACCAGGACTTAAATCACTTGAATTGGCATGTCATGTTTCCAAATATGTAGTCTGAGGGTATAAACTTTGTTCTTGGATCACATGTTTATCATGCCCTAAATCCCAGTGACAAAGAAGTCAAGCTTAGCTATTGTTTTTAAAGGAATACACTATTCTTCTTTTCTTAGAAATAGTTATTCACTACAAGCTAAATTCTCAAAATTTGAATGTAAAGTAGATAACATAGCTTAGAGCCATCACTCTTATCAGTTCTGTGGCATCAGACATATTTTTATTATCTTGTGCTCAACTTTAGAATAGTATTTCCTTTCTCAAATGGTTCTTGTGAGGATTAAAGGAGACCATGTAGCCATATCATTGTGTGAATTAAATAAAGTAAATAATAATCCCATTTAACTTTATTTTGCATATTGATCAAAAGTGAAGAATAGGCCAGGCATGGTGGCTCAAGCCCGTAATACTAGCACTTTGGAAGGCTGAGACAGGCCAATCACCTGAGGCCAGGAGACCAGCCTGGCCAACACAGTGAAACCTCGTCTGTACTAAAAATACAAAATTAGCCGGCATGGTGGCACATGCCTGTAATCCCAACTACTCACTCAGGAGGCTGAGGCAGGAGAATCACTTGAACCCAGGAGGCGGAGGTTGCAGTGAGCTGAGATTGCACCATTGCTCTCCAGCCTTGGCAACAGAGTAAGAGTCTGTCTCAAAAATAAATAAACAAACAAATAAAAAGTGAAGAACAACTTGTGTTGTATTTTTTTGAACCAATACCTAGAGTCTTTTAAAACAGTAAAGAGGCGTATGTTGTCAGCTTAAAACAAAACAAAAAAAGGGAGAAAACTTGAAAATAAAATTTTCTCAAAAAGGCAAAATCTAGACAAAAATCAAGAGAAATTTTTAACTAAACTAAAGTTTTGTAATGACTGGTCATGAAAGGAAATCACAAATGAAAATTAGACTCTCTCTTCTTTTCAAACTATCTGGAAAAGAAAGATTATTGATAAAAGATACCCACTTATAATAATTCCTTTAAATATTTGAAATACATTTTAATTTTTTATACACCTTTCTTAAGATATCTTGATGCTACCATTGGGCAATGACTGCCCATTATTACTTAAAAGCACATCCTAGCATGTGAGTTATGACTTGATTCTTATTATTTTTCATTAAAAAACTGGTAAAGTTTGTAACTGATCAAGTTACAGAAATAATAATCATTATATTATTAATGATTATGTTATGTTATGAAAAATCAAAAGCAACATTCAAAGCCAAATGAGTAGTCAATTAAACATTTTAATATTTTATGTTATGAATTCCAGTCCATGTACATGAAAAGTATACTATTAAATGGAATTTTCATCAATGAACTTTATATCATTTAACTGTCAAGCACTCAAATTCCTTCAGAGGAAATATAAAAGATAAGAGTACATAATTGACTTAATCTTTCAAACTAACTCATTGTTACTTATGCTTATTTACCTTAAAATTTTGGACCTGAGTTTATCTTCAGATTTAGAATGAGAATAAAGTTAAATAAAGCGCTTTTATAAAGCATTGTATCATTCTCTGTGTGTGTGTTGTTTATGTTTAAATAAATGCGTGCTTTATAACATTTAATAATTTTAAATGCTGTCATCAATGCCCTGTGACTAGTAGGTATTAGAGTTCTAGCACTTTGGAGGGCTTTTAGTTCAATAAACAAATACATTTGGAATTTAATGATAAAGATATTTTTAAAATAAAATCATTTAGTAGCTTACTATTATTAAAAAGAGTATAAGTAACACGTTTTTATCTCAGAAATGTAGAAGATATAATGAATATGATAGAAAATGGTCAAAATTCCAGCACTAAGAGTTAAAGAAAAAAACATAACTTGTTATGTATAGCGGTATGATCATGCACAGGAATAGAGTCTACTACTACTACTAAATATTTACTAAACATCAGGCACTATGCTAAAGTCATTGTATGGATTATTTCATTTATCCTGAAAGCAACAATGTTCAGGTAGGGAATATTATACAAATTATATAGTTGAACAAATTTAAGCTTAGGAAAATTAATTTCTCCATGATTACTCTTCTAGTAAGTTGGAATTTAACTCTCTATCTGAGTTCTGAAAAATTTATACTTAAATATAAGCATGATTTTTAATTAAAATACAGTTATTATTATTTTCCATCATACATGTCATAATTCATTTTCCCGCTCCTCGTTTTTGAACATTTAGCTTGCTATTATTAAAAGTTTTAAAATAATGCTGCTTTGAATCTCTTCATACATACATACATAAATACATTTTAAAACATCACACTTCCTAATTTCAAAAGATTTCATAAAACTATTGCAATCAAAAACAGCATCGTACTGGCCTAAAACAGACACATCAACCAAAGAAACAAGAAAGCCCAGTAATAAACCCAACTACTTATGGTCAACTGATTGTTGACAAAGGTGCCAAGAACACACAATGGGGGAAAGACAACTACTTCAACAAATGGTGTTGGGAAAACTGGATAGCCACTTGCAGAAGAATAAAATTGGACCCTTATCTTATACCACACACTCACATCAACCCAAAATGGATAAAGGACTTGAAATATAAGACCTGAAACTAGAACTTTTAGAAGAAAACAGAGAGAAAAATCTCCATAACATTGGTCTGAGCAACGACTTCTTGGCTATTACCCCAAAAGCAAAAACAACAAAAACAAAAATAGACAAGTGGGATGGCATTAAACTAAGTTGTTTCTGCAGAGCAAAGAAAACAATTATGAGAGTGAAGAGACACATAAGTGATATATAGATATATAATAATGTGTGTGTGTGTATATATATATATATATATATATTCTCATCCATGGACTGGAAGAGAGTATTTCCAAACTATATATCTGGTAACAGGTTAAGATCCATAACATGTAAGGCATTCCAATTTAAACAATTCAATAGCAAGAAAAGAAAAAAACCTAATTAAAAATGGGTAAAGGATCTGAACAAACATTTACCAAAAGAAGATACACACATGGCCAACATTCACACCTTTTTTTTTTTTTTTTTTTTTTTTTTTTTACAGAGTCTCACTCTATCATCAGACTGGAGTGCAGTAGTGTGATCTCAGCTCACTGCAACCTCTGCCTCCTGGGTTCAAGTGATTCTCCTGCCTCAGCCTCCTGAGTAACTGGGACTACAGGCATGTGCCACCATGCCCATCTAATTTTTGTATTTTTAGTAAAGACAGGGTTTCACCATGTTGGCCAGGATGGTCACGATCTCTTGACTTCATGATCTGCCCGCCTTGGCCTCCCAAAGTGCTGGGATTACAGGTGTGAGCCATTGCACCCGGCCTCAACACCTCTTATCATAAGGTAAATGCAAGTTTAAACTACATTAAGGTATCACGTCACACCTGTTAGAATGACCATTGTCAAAAAAACAAATGAGAAGTGTTGGTGAGGATGTGGAGAAAAAGAGAGCCCTTGTATACTGTTGAGGGGAATGTAAATAATTAGTATAGCCATTTTGGAAAATAGTAGAGAGGTTCCTCAAAATACTAAAAAGAGAATTACCGTATGATCCAGCAATCTCAGTTTTGGGTATATATCTGAAGGAATTGAAAATTGGTACATCAAACAGACATCGACAATCTCATGTTCACTCCAACTTTATTCCCAATAACTAAGATATGGCAGCAACTTAAGTGTTCAATAGACGAATGGATTAAAATAAATGTGGAATATATAAACAATGGAAAATTATTCATCCTTAAAAAGGAAGGAAATTCTGCTATTCCTGACAACCTATGTGAAACTGGGGGACATTATGCTAACTGAAATAAGGGAGGCACAGAAAGATAAATACTTATGATCTTATACACATGTGGAATCTAAACAATTTAATTTCATAGAAACAGAATAAAAATGTGGTTACTGGAGGTTGGGAGAATGGGAGAGGAATAGTGATAGGAGAGATGTTTATTAAAGTTTACAAAGCTTTACTTAGACTACAGGAATAAGTTTTAGTGATCCTATCGTATCGCATGGAGACCACAGTTAATAATAATGTGTTGTATATTTCAAAATTGCCAAAAAGAACAGATTGTTAACATTCTCACCATCAAAAAATGATAAATTCTTGAGGTGTTAGATATGTTAATTACTTTGATGTAATTTTTCTACAATATGTTTGTAGATCAAAATATCACATTGTGGAGTTCAAGACCAACCTGGCCAACGCGGCGAAACCTTGTCTCTACTAAAAATACAAAAAATTAGCCAGGTGTGGTGGCACGTGCCTGTAATCTCAGCTACTTGGGAGGCTGAGGCAGAAGAATCACTTGAATCTGGGAGGTGGAAGTTGCAGTGGGCTGAGATTGCACCGTTGCACTCCAGCCTGGGAGACAAGAGCGAAACTCAGTCTCAAAACAAAAAACAAAAAACATAAAACAAAAACTAAAACAAAAAAATCACATTGTATCCCATAAACATATATAATTAGTATTAGTCTATTAAAAATAAATACATAGGTAAATGAGAATTCTAAAAACACAATTATTGGATAAAAGTTTACAAGCATTGTTAAATTATTGATAAAATTATTTCCATAACATTTAAATCAGATCATACTCTCATGAGCATTGTATAGTTCTGAAGGCAATGAACAGAAACCATCCTTAGCTAAATAAAATAGGACTTATTTTAAGCCATTAAAATTATTATAGACACTGAAAACAGCCATCAAAAAAAAAAAAAAAAAAAAAGCAGAGCAAAGATGGCTGGGAAAATGGTTTCTGGACCTGGAGCTTTTTGGACTAAAGATTTTTCATCCGTCTCTCAGGGAACTGCAAAAATCTCATGTCTATTTCTTGTAGCTGCTTTTCACTAACCAACTTCCATCTTTTATTTACTTTTTTTATATATAAACAAAGAAAAATGTTAATCTATTCCAAAGCTTCATGAAATTATACATTTTGTACACACCTTCTACTCCTGAAGGATTTATGTTTATCTTAATTCAAATTCATAAGAATGAAAATATAAAAGTTTCAGTCAAATGGATGGATTGAGTCCCTTTGGCACAGGTGTGTACTTCTGATCTAATTTGCCATAGCTGGAAGGGTGTGTTTCCATGTTCAAAAAATAAAGTAATGGAAATGGAAAAATCAAGCCCAGAAGTTTCAGCAGAAACCAAAGACAATCCAGTATAGCATGAGAACATTCATGTCACCATCACTAAATTTTCTTCATCAGTTAGCTTTACTAAAGAAATATTACATCTCATGGTTTTAATTTGAATTTTCATAAGTGAAGCAGAATTTTACATCATGTAGGTCTCACTCATTTGCTTTACATCTGTGACCGCTCTGTTCATGTCCACTGTTCATTTGTCTCTTTAGTTGTTAATTTTTTCTTACTCCTTTTTGTATATTAAAAATGTCATATATTAAGTGTATTAATCTTTTTTCTTTCTTATTGTTCATATTCATTTTCATTTGGCTATCTGCCTTTTCATTATATGGTTATTTTTGACACGTTATAGTTTGAAGTTCAATGTAGTCAAAGTCATGCTTGTCTTTTCTTTTTGCCTCGTTTGTGTTAAAATTGAAAATGTTCTTCATCATTTCAAGGATATTAAATTTTCAACTACGTTTATTTTAGAAAATTTTCAGAAATTACATTTAATTCATTAATATACTGAAATTAAGCTTGAGAACTTGTACGAAGTTCCAGATATTATCTTTTTCTCATTTAGCTAATATTCACAATGCTTTTCCCGCCAGAACGATCCATCTATTAAACATTTTATTCCAAGTGGATTAAACGGTTTCACAATATGATTACATTTTTAAAATCACTTTTTAAAATACTGTGAAGAAAATATTGAACAGATGGATGGCTGATGGTGGGAGTTAGGAGACCATTGGAATAGTCCAAGTAAGAGGTGTGCGTTTCTGGACTAAAGTTCAGTAGAAGTATACAGAATAATTGAAATATTAGCAAGATAAAAAGTGAACATCTTCAGGACTGTGCGATTGTATGTTTAGAAAAGGAGAGGAAGCAAGGTCCAGGAACATGAAATGAATTGAGATTTATGGCTTTGGTTTCCAAGTAGATCAAGAGTGTTATCCCTTGGGAAAAAGATGATACGTTATCTGTAGTCATGGATGGGCTTTGGTCTGTGAGAAGAGCAGAAGACAGATATGTAGCTTTGGGATGTGTAAGCTGGAGATAAAGACTTGGGTATCTGCAGCATCTGAGCAGATGTAAACATCATTCACGTGCCTGAGATTCCTTCAAAGATTGTGAGACAAGAGAAGAGAAAAAAAGCCATAAAGTTAAGAATGGGTCTCAGAAGGATACTGGCATTGGGAGTTCAAGCAGATGAAGAGCTTCTTAAAAATAAATAAATAAATAGGACATCACTGTAATAAAGAGAGAAATCCAAATGAGAGTAGGATCACAAAAGTGAATGGGGACTGGAGTTTAGGAAGAAGTGGTCAGCTGTGTCAGGCATCAAGGGGAGTTCGAGTAGGACAACTGGCAGAAAAGTTTGATTTGTATTTGGCAATATGGAGCTCACTGGTGATTTGGGGAAAAGCAGTGTCATTAGAATGATGTTATGCACAAGTGGGAGAGAGAAATGGTAGAAGATGCCAAATTACATATAGTTGAGGTGAAATGGGAAGTAAACAAATATAGACAGTGCTGCAGGCTACTATGTACTATTTCTAAAATCTTAGCTTTTAAAAAGAAGAAAAGAAGTGGGGTAAGTAACTTGAGGATAAAGCAAGTATAGAGAAGTTTTTCTCAAATTTCTTTTGTTTTCTATTTGAGAAGAGAGAAAACTGAACCTTGTTACATGTGAAATGGAGCCAGATGGTGAGAGAGGAGGGGGATATCACAGGGGAAGAGATGTCCCAAGCAAGGCAGGAGGCTCACGTGAGACAACTCAGGGCAGAATCCTACGCATTCATAGGCTATAAACAAGGAAGTGGAGGGAATAATCACATGGACTCAAGCTTCTCAATGAAAAACAGAAGTCAGTTCATCTGTTGAGAGTGGAATCGTGGAAAGGAGCAGTTGAGGAAAGAGGTAAACATTTAGGCTAAACATGAGGGAGTGGAGTAGAAGAAATGCTGGGTCAGAGTTGAGGGACTGAGGCACTTGGAGGCCCCTGAGTATGTGTATTAATGTGTCCATATGATGATGTGATTTTATTTTTCAGCAACACTGATATTGAAAGGACAGTTGCCTTGGAGATAAGAGAATGAGAAACTAGAATGGTAAGAAGTGATAGACAGAGTGGGATATTAGATATCGAATGTGGTAAAATATTTTAAGGTTATGATGAGGTCAAGAGCCGGGTCCCAGCAATGGGTTTCTGTAATGGGAGTTAAAGGCAAATGGGATTTAAAAGATCAAGGAAAAGAAAGGATAATTTATTTGACCATTAAAAAAAAATGAACATTGAAGCCATCCAGGTACTCCAAACATAGACACTTGAGAAAGCATTTTATTTTGCTATATAATTATTATCATTACAAATGGTAAACTTAAAACTGCTGTGATCAAATTTAATGACAGATGTCCTATATAAAAATGCAGAGGCAAACCACTTAAGAAAAACCATGATATGCATAGGCTTTTACTTGCAAAGTCAGATGAGTAAACATGAGGCAATTAATGGGCCATGACTGTAAGTCTAACCACGCAGTTCATGCACATAGAAAGTGGGTAAAGTTTTAAAGTGGAAATTGAATTGGGAAAATCAATCTACTATATGACTGTCATGAGTGTTCTGATAGTTATATAGTTATGTATATATTATTTTCTTCGTATTTAGCATGTTACATAGCAAGAGGCAGAATTATATGAGCAAATCCTCACCCAGAGAAGCAGAAAGCTAAAATTATCTGGTGTTTCTATCCCACTTTGACCAGAACATCTAACAAAAGTTGTAAAGAACACATATTTGTAAGTGTGTTATTGTCAATGGCATGGGTGCTGAGGTCCTACTTTATGTCTTTTTTTCACTCACACTACAACAGTAGGAAGGTGAGCTAACCTAGATGATGATACTGTACGTTTGATGGACAAAATAGTTTTGCCTTTTCTAAAACATGCTCTGTTTATAGCATACAAAAGATAGAGAAGCATTATTCTTGTTTAAACCAGAGTCTTTTTCATTGAAATCTCATCACATGATATAAATTGAATAAATAAACCAGAAGATGCTGACGAATTGGAAAACTTAAAGAACAATAGTACTATTTTGAACACATCTTTCAAAGATGGAATATCTGTTGATTGTGACAGCAAAAAGCGGGGCCACAGTTGCATTCATTGTTCAGTGAGCTTGTCCACACAGTTCAACCCACCGACAGCAATGAATGTTGATTGTGACCTTTTAAAAAATAATCTCTGCACAGGGAAGAGAAAGTCCTGGTGTGTCCACCTTTGGTTTCCTGTCTTCAGCGAATTCTGAGCACCATGGAGTAGATGATGGTTAGCCATAGGGTACAATCAACGGTCGATGGTTTTGATTTTAATTCCAAACTCACCGACAGCGTTGAATGTTCACTGAAGCAACCTCAAAACTCAGAATTCTACTCACTTTACAGTATCTGTAAGTATCTGAAGGGGATGGGAGACAGAAACAACAGTACCTTTAGTCATATATTTTATGCATTTTTATGCCATTTCAAAAGACTACAAAAGAAGACAAATAAGAAGCATGATTCTTCCAACAAAGAGTTTGGCAAACCTCCACATCACATTGTATGAGAGAAAAGGATCGGTTTCATTAAGCAAAAACATGGCCGATATTGGGCTAGTTCCAGAGATGGAATTATCTCACTGTTAAAGACAGGGACAATTTGTTATTCAAAGTACTTTGTGGTATAAAATCCAAACAATATCTTATAATTTAAATATTGTTACGCTTATAGTAAGCAAGCATTATGTATATAGCTTATACAGAAATTAAACAGAATTACCTTAGATTTCCTCAAATTGGCATTGATGATATCATTTATATTTACATTATATATTTACTATATTTTATTCTAAAATAAGGTTTTAAAATTAGTATAACTTCCTAAGAACAATCTTATTTAGAAAATGCTGAACAAATTATAAGTGAAGAAACCAGCTCAATACATTTTTCTTAGTTTATGGCACAAAGAGTTCATGAATACAGTGAAAGGTAAATACAATCTATGTATGCTACAAAACCGTTCATTTCCTATTATTTTAAATAACATCTAACATCTAACATCTCTTTATGGGTAGATGGGTGAGGGATTCTTTTCATAGTCTTATTTTCTAAGACTGTTTTATCATTAATGCTTATTTTAAAATTATTATGAACTCTACTGAATTTATTTTTAGAGCCATTTTCAATAATTTTCTACCATCAATTAAAACAAAAGTCACCTTGGATGTATCTAAACCAGAATAGAAAGTCATTATTTCACACATTTAAGTTGCATCTAATATGGTTATAGAGTAATTATCTGTAGGAGGGACAACCCACAATAATTTGGAATGCTACTTTGAAGGTGATAATGGTCTATTCAAGTCAAGGCAATTACTCTCGAAATGTTAGTGAAATATGTATCCCAAATTTTTACACATTCTTACATTTCAGTCACTTAGAATTATTTTAAAGCCAATAATTGTTTAACCTTTTAGACAAACTATTTACATGAAAACTTCAACAGATTTTTTTTGAGAGAAACAGGGACTAGAGATCAACTGGAAGTAAATTTTAAAGTGACAAATAGGCACAGAATATGAAACAGTGATGTATCTGAATTTTGCATTGTTTAATTCTTTTGAAAGAAGCAAATTTCTCCCACAGAATAAAACCCTAGAAGAATGCTTTATCAGTAGGCATTTCTGTGTTGCTGCTGGAAAGAATATTATCATGAGACTGAGGATTCATTTGTTTGCATTATCAATTACGACTGAAAGCATATCACTCCTGTTCTGTTGCCTGCCTATTGTGGTATTAGTGTCAGGTCAATATACAACTGTTTTCAATCATGCCTATTCATCTCTTGCTACATCTGCTAACGTTTGTATAATAGGGATGTTGTGATAAAAGACTCCATGCTCTGTATTTTCCCTTAACACAAAATGCATTTGGCCTACCAGTAAGCAAAGCTCTAGGTCAGTTACAAATAATTAAAAGGCATAACTATGTTATCTTTTGTTTTCCAAAATATTCTCCTAGAAGTCTTTGGAAGAATACAATTAACTTAATCCTAAAGTTGTTACATTCTTAGAATAAAAATCTTAACTATAATTGATTTAACATTAAAATTCTTAAAAATCTTATAATGATTCACTTGAAACAATAGAAGTTACATTAAATGTCTTGTTATTTACACATAAAATAGCAATGATAAATAAAGTGATTAATTATTTTTTCTTTCCTTGGGCTAATCATAGTCATAGTTTGTTAAAGATAAAACCTCATATCTTAACAGTTTAAATCCTCCACAATGGAAAATAGGATCTCTGTGTTCTTGCTTCCAATTAATCTAATGTCAGAGAAGATAGTAAACTTTAGGCTCTATATTCTAAATTATTTCGAGCAATACAGAAAAATCGTTCTACTTGTTGGTGCAATTTAGTTTTCTGCTCACTTATATGGTCTTGCAATTACTGTCATGTACCTTCCAATCCTATATCTTTTCCATCTTTATTTTCACAACTTAATCCTTAGTTATAAATCATTTATCTTTAAAATATTAAGATGCAATGGTACTGAGATTTCACATTTTCTGGCAATTTTTTAGAACACATTGTTCATAATTCCAGAATTCCAAGTTGGTGGTAGCAATATGCATTCTTGCATAGTTTTCCTTGAATGAAAAAAAGTCACAAGCAATAGGTCATTAATGCATAAATACTCTCTTATCCCCCTCTTCCTAATTTTGGAGGGCTGTGTGGGTAGGATAAAACCAATCTAATTTGCATCAAAGCCAAATTTATTGTAGCTTTCATTTCTCATCCCTAGGCTTGTGGGAACATTAAGTATTTCAGTTTTGCTTAAGGTTAGTAGGTCATAAATAAACCAAAGCAATTTTTTTGCTTTGTGCAAGAGGGTCACGAAATACATGAAATACCACTTTTAAACAAAGCAAACCCTAACATGAATTGACAGAGGAACATAAAAAAGTAGTGCAATGTGCCTCAGTAAAAAGCCATAGGGATTTGGGATGCTGAAGTTGTCTGTTTTAGGAATAGATTATATATCTTGTTTGATGATCTGTATTTAATTTAAGTGACTGCCTCTGCCAGTCCTTCCAGAGGGCAAGTGTGTGAAATAGAGCATCTCAATGTCAGTCTCCAGTCCTTTCCTCTGCCTGATGCCTTGACCTAAATTGGGCATGTGGGCATTGATCTGGACAAATGAAAGAGACTGAGTCTTTGCTGCCATGCACGTTTTATCCTTAGTTCTACCTAGTTTTAAAATCTGATGAGCAGCATGTATGCATAAATAGATTTATAGTTTAGTCAGTTTTATTTTATGTCATGAAAGTGAATCTATTCAAAACAAAAGAAGTGAAAAATATTGCATTAAAAAAAATGCCATTGCTGTTTCCTCCTCCTCCGAAGGAGATAACACTATCTCTGAAACCCATCATAAATAAAATTTCTGCTTAACCAGTATTTTGGGGTCCCAAAGTCCCTTTCTCATGTCTGTCTCCATTTTCTTAGAAGATTTCTTCCTCTGCTCAGGATATAAAATCTTAATAAATGCTTCAGCACTGGCACTATTACCTTCCCAGTTATGCAGTTAAAGTGCTTATCACAGAAATGTTCTTCTGGGTAATTATAATTGTAATTATGGGGCCTTCTGGCTGCTTCAATAGAAAAAGCAAAAGCACAAAAGAGGTCAGAAACTGACTAAATGTGATGGAGAGGCAAGTTGGGCACTTGGACATGTTTCTCCACTGAGAAAGAAGGAAAATCAGGGCGAGTCATGCCAAAGCTTGGCTCCAATGAGGTATCTTTTACTAGCGAAACACTAGCACCCCGCAGAAGACTATAATTATATTTCCAATAGTTTTGTAATTAATGATAGCCCTTACTCCTGATAACAGCAAAGGGCCTGAAAAGTTTCTGGTTTTCCATCCCAGAAAACTGTGTGAATAATTCTACATTACTCTCTTTGTAAAATTTCTTATGAATTTCCTTTTGAGAAGGGAAGAATTTCAACTATAACCTTTGCACTATTTGATAAAGTTATTAGTAATTGAAAAACATTAATAGGTTTATTCTTAACATACATATTAACTGTATTTACATATAAGAAACCCACATTGTGCCTCTGTTACAAAACAGACTTCGAGTGATTTAAAAATCTTTTCCATAGTAAGATCCAACCAATTGACACATACTGAACACTGAAACTTTTTTGTTCTTTTTATTTTTGAGGCAGAGTTTCGCTTTGTTCCCAGACTGGAGTGCAATGGCACGATCTTGGCTCACTGCAGCCTCCGCCTCTGGGGTTCAAGAAATTCTCCTGCCTCAGTCTCCCGAGTAGCTGAGACTACAGGCACGCGCTACCATGCCTGGCTAATTTTTTTGTATTTTTAGTGGAGACGGGTTTTCATCATGTTGGCCAAGATGGTCTTGATCTCCTGACCTCATGAATCCGCCCACCTCAGGCTTCCAAAGTGCTGGGATTACAGGCGTAAGCCACTGCATCTGGCCAACATTAAAAATTTTTAAAGCAGCTTTAAGCTCTGGAAAGATTTAGAGATTTACAGTCTACTCAACTTTTTGGTTTGTTTTTATAAGTGTTTACAGATATAAATGTTTGTGTGTTGTTTGTTCAAAAACTGCATACAAACTCAGACATTCAGAGTTTAATGTAATAAGAAAGTTAAAAAGAATCATTGTAACTCAACATTAATATTTTAATAATCTCCCATTGATTATTGATATTATTGATCATTATTGATATATTTTGCTTATTTTACTTTCCTCAAATTGATCACTTCTTACCACATGCTGGTTTAAACTGTTTTTGTTCAGTAGAGTGTATACATGCACACTATGTCTGTATGCATAAAGTTTTTCTATGCATATGAATTGCAGCAATGTAAAGGTGTAGTTTATTGGGCAGCATAATATAATAACTAAAGAAACAGCAATAGAACTGAGTCAATGAACCCATGACCTCCCAGTCACTAGCTTCATTGTATAACCTCTATGAGATTTGGTTTTCTGAATAAAATCTAGATAATAAGACCATTCTCATATACAGTGGTTCAATATATTTCTGAATAATCCTTTATAACAGATATTTTATAGGGGATACCATTATTTAAGGGGACCAGATTAAATCAGCGTCTCCTAAGATTCTAACGCTTCTTCCCTCAAAAACAACTGTTTTCCCACTTCTAAAATAATAAAAAAAATCTATTAGCTTCAAAACATATATATATATTTCTTTTTTTAATTTATGGCACAATAATATTCCCAGTAAGGTACAGCACTCTGCTGTGTGGCTTTCTTACCTGGTAGGTGGTAATGATTGACAGACAGGGAGAGCTCTTCCAAGACAGGTAGCTCTAAAGAGGATTGATGTCTACTTGAAAGTTATAATTAATCTTAAACCCGCCTAAAGTTAGGAACCCTTGATTAATCTAATGCATCCCTGTCTTAATCTTCAACATTAATGCAAAGTATGAAGACTATAGTGTATTCAGGATAATTATTACTGATAACTTTTCAAAATAGTTTCTTGTTCTTGAGCTTATTCTATATATTATTTTAAATCAAATCAGTATGCCATTGGCTGTCTACGTAGAATTAGACTAGTTTTTAAATTTTGTTGTAGTTTCGAAAATTGTTCAATCTTCATATTTTTTAATATTTTGAGATTTGTCTACTGGAAAGCTATTTCAATGTTTATTTGCTCTGAAATTTAGACTTCTTCCTGAAGCAAAAAATAAAAATAAAAATAAAGTGAGAGAGAGAGAGGAGAGAAAATGAAAGAAAACAGAGAAAGAGAAGAAAAAAAGAAAATATATATAACTACAATTTTTTCAAAATCCATGAGCTTATAGTGCAGATAAATTATACTGAGCTATCAAAAGTAATCTTTTATAAACAATGAGTTACTTAAATAATCAATTTACAAAAAAATTGATAGAAAAAATCTCATTTTTATAGAAAAAAGCACAATGATGATGTGAAGTTTGAAGTTAAATGAATGTAATGAAAAATTCAAATCATAGTTGAAGCCATGTTATTTTTTTCATAAAGAGAATCCATCGTGTAATAGTATAACCCCATGACTTCCACAAACTGTGCCAATGCCACAGTGAGCAGTGTTTATTTTTAGCAATGAAATATAGTGCCCTCGATCCAAGAATTTGTACTAATAGTTGATTAATTCTTCAGTTTAGAAAGTACAGATACGTTAACTGATATTCAAAATAACTTAAAATTAATCCCAAATAAACACTACCATATCAGTAACACAACTTATGTTATTACGTTGTTATTATTAATACTAAATTAATATTTGAAAAATAAGAGTGATATGTGTGTTAGAGAAAGTAAGCATTTTTGGGGGAAAATTTTTTTTTCTGGGACAATTGACATGATGGACATTTGTTATGAAAAGTAGACCCCCTTGCTTAGACAAATTATTAAAATTTGCTAGTGAGTGGAACGTGAAATGTACAATCAACAAAAAGACATGCTAGGCTTTTTAATTTTTTACGTGAATCATTAAAATGTTATTTTATTGTATCATGTTACTTTGGAGAATGAGTGATTATAATTGTATTTTTAGAATATTGATAATATCTTTCAAGTTTTCTTTGCTCCATTCAAAATACAGTCTACAAATTGGAATCTCCCAAGCTCTTTGACTGCATTCCCCACTATGTTATTAGAATACCTTACTATTTTGGGAGGATATTGTGGACGTATTTCTGGCTTCATAAATTATACAAGCATCTGTTCTTTCAATCAACAGGATACCATTTGTTTTTTACATCAATCTGTGTGAAACAATGTATATAATACTATTTTATTTCCCGTGAGCTTTTAGCAAGCACTGACTTTGCAGTCAAAAACTGTTTGAGTAATTAAAATGGTGGAAGAGAGATGAAAAATAGTAACAAAAATGTATTACAAAGTAAGATCTGTGTGAACTTTTAAAAATAATGTATGATATAAAAGTAGTTACACTATCTTTCTGGGTTTCTATACTACATAGACATTTTTAAATCAATTGACAGAACTTGAGAAGTTGTAAATACAAAGCTGAATATCTATTAAAAGGTTATTGCTCATGGCTCTAATATTACATAAAATGCTATGTTAGGATAATATGAAAATTTATAAAATTTTTGATACTGAGTTCTGATACACATTACATGGATTGTTTACTTCACCACAATTGTCTTTATAAAAATTTATCTTTTAAGAATGAAGAATCTAAATAGACTTGAATATGCAAGAAGTTCTCTAAACCTTCCCTAATGTAACCAGCAGGTTACTGTTTTCTCTCCATGGTGACCTGTGGACTGAGAAAGGATTCCAGCCAAAAGTCAAGACTCCATTATAGTTAAATATTTTATTTCTTGATAAATAATATAAAAATGAAATACTTTAGCTCAAACATACACCGTTATGACATGTTTGGATTATCTAAAGAATACATGCATTGATTTTGGACTCTGATAAGAAATCTATTATAGTCCTGAGATTCTGCAACTTTTTAGTTTCTATTTTTTATTTTCCTTAATCAAAGAGTGATTCTAGAGGGCTTAGTTAATATTTTCTCTATGCTACATTTAAAAGAACAAATAGGCAAAAATCCAGTATTTTTTTTAACAATTCACAGTACTTTTTTCTTTATAAAAAATATTTATAGATGAGCATATTCCTTGAACAATAGGATCATGTGACTACTTGATTCATTGAAATCACAACTGAGGAAAGAAAAAACAAAAGACTTAATCTGGTGATTACTTTGTGTTTCTACCAACATAAGGATGTTCTTTATTACATGTGTAGCAATAATACAGATGTTATAACAACTTTAAACTACTCAGAGTCTTTACAATATTTTCTTCTCCAAAAAAGATACTTGAAAATAAGATAGACAGATAAGTGAGAAAGTTACTTCACAGTAAGAAAGTTTTCCTCCATTCGTATTTTCAAATCTTCACTGTTGGTCTGCTTTCTTTTTATACTTACATATGTACAGAAAAATGAATGGCTTAAATTTTCAAAAAGTACCATATTATTGATGATAGCCTATCAGAGATAAAGGTAAATCACATTTGATGTCATTAGGTAACTGTGGAAAACTATGATTTCATTTAAACAATCTTTATGAATTTATTACCTACAATCCTGAAAGGACCCCTTCCCACTACCACTAATCCATCTAAAACACCTAGTTTCTAGCAAATACATGATGTAATTGTGTTATACTTTTAAAGTTATTCCTGTGGGGCTTAACTTACAAGCAACCTCTTTTCTGCATTAAATATAAATGGTTACCGGAGATCAATGCAGAGAAAAACTGATACAATTACCCAACTGAAGAATTACTTTCAAAAATATTAATATTTGCAATTAATAATACAGTGGCTTTATAGTTTACATTTTTTAATCAGCGAGGGTATTAATTAGATGATCTTGGATCAAGTTAACTTAGGTGCTTTTTAAATACCTCGCCTGAAACTCTAATTAAATATACTACTCTTCCCAGTTTCCTGTCTTAAAACTAAGTTTTTAGTGTCGCCTGGAAGCTGTTAAACAGCTGCAACATTCGAACCATGAAACTGATGTCTTTTAGGGATGAGTGGATTACGCAAATGCAAATACAGTTAAGTTTCTTCTGGGAAAAGGTCTATAAATGCATAGATTTAAAAAAAATAAGCTTAGTTATCAAAAACTTTCAGACATAAGAATATAAATATGCCCATAAGTACCTTAAGTGCTTTATGAAAAAAGTGACGATTACTATACAAATAAACAAATACATTGTACGGCCATAGGAGGAAGACAGAAGTATTTATTCCCTAGAAGTATTGAGCTACATACTCAAATTGGCACAGAGACTCAGAACATTGAACAATTTGAGACAAGCTATCAGATAGTGACACAATTCTAGCTTATTTTCCATGTCCTTTATATTATTCTATGTATATAATGTATTAGCTTCTATTAACAGTTTTTTATTTTCTATTTATTAACCAAGAATTTGTTTCAAAATTGTACAAGAAAACAATATAAATTAAGTTCCATATTTGTACCTCGAGACTTACAGGCTATCTGATATTTCCAGTTGACCTTTAATATAAGGAGAAAATAGGATAGTGTAGTAGGTTAAGGGCAAGTACACCAAGATGATATAGAATTCTAGTTTCAATGCTACATATTTTTCACTGTGAAAAGTTTTCTAAAAATGAAATATAGACACACCAGTAATTTAATCAAAGTTTCTCTTTCTTGGCCTATCTCTCTCACTAGCCAGTGAAATCCTTTGGGTCAGAGGCTGTTTTTTAGTCATCTATAGACTGTGAGCACCTAATATATTTCCTGGAGACAGGAGGAACTCACTAAGTGCTTGTTGCCTCTTCCTTGATTCCCTAGCGCACATCAATATCTAGATATTCAACTCAACACAGTTTATTTCCCCAGTATCCTCCATTTACCTGACTTCATAAAAAGCAGTGTAGAAGTAGATAATTTTCATATTGGTGCCCCATGTGTCTGAATGTAATCTATTGCATTTAAAGTTATTTTTGAGAGACTGTATGCTTATTCTAATAATATTTTCATTTTTGAAAACATTTCTATATTATCCCTGTTGATCAATGCACATGGGTACCATGTAAAGTATAATAATTTGGGGCCCATGCAAAACAGTATTCATGAACTGTTTCTAGTTTTATTTAGTAAAAGGTAAGTGGAAGGAAGCAGAGAAGACAGTACCATGCCTTGGTTAGACAAAAGTCCTCCTTGGAAATGAGTTTATCTATTTCTGTTCTTACCCTAACATATCTTTAGCAATAGGTTTCACCCCTACCCAGATATCCAAACTACATACTATTTTCTCATTTAGGTAAGTTCTGGCAAAAAACAAAAACAAAAAACAAAAAACATATATATATTTGTTCTGTATTGAACATAATATGTGTTATATATTATATATAATATGTGTTATATATTATATATAATATGTGTTATATATATATATATATGTTTTCCCATTTTATTACTTTTCTAGTATTGTCTTAGGTGCTCAGGACAAATATCCAGCTAATCTGCTTGTGTTCAGCCACATGACCTTCAGAGGTCTTTCATTGACCCCAGATTAAAATCCACCTAAGTCTTAAAATTCCAATTCTTGTGAACCAAGCTGATCAACCAAACTGATCAACTACTATATGTACCATATTTTGCAACATTAAGAGTTTCTAAAGCTATTTTTGAAACTTGAATCATTCTCAAAGGATGGAAAGTTGTCTTGTTTGAGCATCTTTGAAGAGTGGGGTTAAAAAAATAAATGGTTCGACTTAATGGCAACTCCTAAAAACACTGTGATCAGTGGCAGATTCCCTGGCTTATGGTGCCATCTTTCAAGGCATTTAACTCTGAAGGGCAAACAGCATTTGGATGTATACACTATAGGGATGTGTTTTTCCAAAAATTAGTCACATGAATGTAAATATTGATATTTATTTTAAAAACTCAGCAAATGGAAAGTTTGTTTCACAGCCAAAAATTTTAAAAAATAAAAGCATTTTTTACTAACAGTTAAGATACTGCCAATTAGAGTGTTCATAAGGGAAAATGTTTTAGCATTCTTGGATTTTTTTTATTGAAGTAATTTTAGCTAGCAGATACTTTCCCCCAAAGATATCATTAGAAAGAACATTAAAAATAACAAAATAACTTAGGGTCTTTTTTCCAACACTTCTTTTGCTTTCATTAAATTCAGCACATATCGATGTCTAAAAAGTTGATAATCATTCCATTGTCATGTCATCTCTTGTTTTGTCTTTCAGTACAGCTTTCTCTGTGAGACACTGATTTACATTGTAATCTGTGGTCATCATATTGTACCTAAAATTACACTTCTAAATGTTGTATTGGATTTCTTCTTACTGTTCAAAGGAAGAAATTCTGACCAGTAAACAACAAATTGAATTATATAGTCACCTCAAAGAGTAAGCATCCTCAAAATAGCTTCAAACATATTGACTGACTTGAACAATCCAATTCGTTTCTCTCCATACCTAATAACTAACTACAGGGAAGGCATATTTTAAATAATGAGATTTACAGATGAATCCTATCATTCTGGAGAAAAAAAAACTATAACAATATATTATGCTTCAATCTATTTTTAGCTTTTATTTTCACATAAAGCAGAAAAGTGATTTTGGCCATACCATTTCAAAAATCTTCTATTATTTTTTTTTTCATTTCAGGGTAAAAAAATTGTTTACTAAATGGACGTTTTTAACCTAAATATTCATTTATAAATAGCTTCTTTCACATTCTCAATTCTATATTCTGCCAGTTTTGTTAAGATCACCTGAATGATACAAAAGTTACTAATTTATACTGACTTAAAATCAATCACACAAGCACACCATTCTATGGATCAGGACTGCAAGATTGGATCTGTAATGAACAAAATTAGCCTCGTGAAATATTTTTCAGTAAGCACTTTTAACTTATCCTAATTTTCTCATACTATAATGGAAACATTTGAGGGCATTCCAGAGAAATACTTTCATTTCTTTGGGATAAACAATTAAAATAAAAAAGCCAGAGAATCTATTGGGGAGAAAATATATCAATGAGTAAGCTTTCACTTCTATTATGGGAAATAGCTTGAAGCATATGGCAGAAGTAATGGCAAGTGGCTTGATTTTCCTCTGTCTTTAAATACAACTTTTTACTTTAAAGTTAACATTATATTGAAAGCACAATTTTTGTAAGCCTCTGTAATTACTAAAGATATCTTATTTGAAAGGACAGTAAAATTTTAAAATTAGATGCACATACATCATCACAAATTTGGAAAAATTTGGGGGGAAATAATGGAATTAAAATATACAGTGCATACTGAGAAATTCAAAACAGATGTCTCCTAAAATTTAGTATATTTACATCGTTGTAAACAGCATATCTTTCCAAAACATGACATTTCATCTTTAGGAGAGTTTTTGTGTGTCTATAGGATGATGCGGTGAGAGAGGGAGAATACGTTCTATTCAAAGTTCTACATCTGATAAAACCAAAATTGAGTTTTTACAAATTATTTTAAGTATGACAGTGTTTCTAATTGAAGGAATTTACGAGTGAATAAAGTAATAATTTGCTTTAAGCTGACTTATTTTCAGGCTTTTAGATGTGTAGTATAGAATATTTGTTTAGCCCTCACTCTTTGATTTTTATATTTTTGAAGATTTTAGAGACTTTTAAACAAAAATGTGTACCAGAGGTGTTTCACAATATTTCTCTCCACCAATAAGGCTGAATTTGGAGGCTGCACCAATTGTCTTATTTTATGGCATTATAGTTTGCTTTGGAATTCTCAGAAGGGTATGTTCAGGTCCTTGCTGTAGAACTGTGGAAACATAAGGGAAGTCTTCGGGAATCTGAAGTTCAAATTTCCAAGCAGGAGTAACCCCGCCACCTTTTCAAATCTTTTTTTTTAGTTTTAGATGCAAACATGGAAACTAAAGGCTCTACTTTTATGGGAAATTTAGTAATTTTCTTTTTTTTTTCTTTTTTCTTTTTTTTAATATATTTTTCTTATACTTCCAGTTCTAGGGTGCATGTGCACAACGTGCAGGTTTGTTACACATGTATACATGTGCCATGTTGGTGTGCTGCACCGATTAACTTGTCATTTACATTAGGTATATGTCCTAATGCTATCCCTCCCCACCTCCCATCCCACAACAGGTCCCGGTGTGTGATGTTCCCCTTCCTGTGTCCAAGAGCTCTCATTGTTCAATTCCCACCTATGAGTGAGAACATGCGGTGTTTGGTTTTTTGTCCTTGCGACAGTTTGCTGACAATGATGGTTTCCAGCTTCATCCATGTCCCTACAAAGGACATGAACTCATCATTTTTTATGGCTGCATAGTATTCCATAGTGTATATGTGCGACATTTTCTCAACCCAGTCTATCATTGTTGGATATTTGGGTTGGTTCCAAGTCTTTGCTATTGTGAAGAGTGCCACAATAGACATATGTGTGCATGTGTCTTTATAGCAGCATGATTTATAATCCTTTGGGTATATACCCAGTAATGGGATGGCTGGGTCAAATGGTATTTCTAGTTCTAGATCCCTGAGGAATGGCCACACTGTCTTCCACAATGGTTGCACCAGTTTACAGTCCCACCAACAGTGTAAAAGTGTTCCTATTTCTCCACATCCTCTCCAGCACCTGTTGTTTCCTGACTTTTTAATGATCGCCATTCTAACTGGTGTGAGATGGTATCTCATTGTGGTTTTGATTTGCATTTCTCTGATGGCCAGTGATGATGAGCATTTTTTCATGTGTCTCTTGGCTGCATAAATGTCTTCTTTTGAGAAATGTCTGTTCATATCCTTTGCCCACTTTTTGATGGGGTTGTTTTTTTCTTGTAAATTTGTTTGAGTTCTTTGTAGATTCTGGATATTAGCCTTTTGAAGGCTGGTTCAACAAACACAAATCAATAAACGTAATCCAGCATATAAACAGAAGCAAAGACAAAAACCACATAATTATCTCAATAGATGCAGAAAAGACCTTTGACAAGATTCAACAGCCCTTCATGCTAAAAACTCTCAATAAATTAGGTATTGAAGGGACGTATCCAAAAATAATAAGAGCTATTTATGACAAACCCACAGCCAAAATCATACTGAATGGGCAAAAACTGGAAGCATTCCCTTTGAAAACTGGCACAAGACAGGGATGACCTCTCTCACCACTCCTATTCAACATAGTGTTGGAAGTTCTGGCCAGGGCAATCAGGCAGGAAAAAGAAATAAAGGGTATTCAATTAGGAAAAGAGGAAGTCAAATTGTCCTTGTTTGCAGATGACATGATTGTATATCTAGAAAACCCCATAGTCTCAGCTCAAAATCTCCTTAAGCTGATAAGCAACTTCAGCAAAGTCTCAGGATACAAAATCAATGTGCAAAAATCACAAGCATTCTTATACACCAATAACACACAAAGAGTCAAATCATGAGTGAACTCCCATTCACAATTGCTTCAAAGAGAATAAAATACCTAGGAATCCAACTTACAAGGGATGTGAAGGACCTCTTCAAGGAGAACTACAAACCACTGCTCAAGGAAATAAAAGAGGATACAAACAAATGGAAGAACATTCCTTGTTCATGGGTAGGAAGAATCAACATCGTGAAAATGGCCATACTGCCCAAGGTAATTTATAGATTCAATGCCATCCCCATCAAGCTACCAATGACTTTCTTCACATAATTGGAAACAACTACTTTAAAGTTCATATGGAACCAAAAAAGAGCCCGCATTGCCAAGTCAATTCTAAGCCAAAAGAACAAAGCTGGAGGCATCACGCTACCTGACTTCAAACTGTACTATAAGGCTACAGTAACCAAAACAGCATGGTACTGGTACCAAAACAGAGACACAGACCAATGGAACAGAACAGAGCCCTCAGAAATAATACCACACATCTACAACTATCTGATCTTTGACAAACCTGACAAAAACAAGCAATGGGGAAAGGATTCCCTATTTAACAAATGGTGCTGGGAAAACTGGCTAGCCATATGTAGAAAGCTGAAACTGGATCCCTTCCCTACACCTTATACAAAAATTATTTCAAGATGGATTAAAGACTTAAACGTTAGACCTAAAACCATAAAAACCCTAGAAGAAAACCTAGGCATTACCATTCAGGACATAGGCATGGGCAAGGACTTCCTGTCTAAGACACCAAAAGCAATGGCAACAAAAGCCAAAATTGAAAAATGGGATCTAATTAAACTAAAGAGCTTCTGCACAGCAAAAGAAACTACCATTAGAGTGAACAGGCAACCTACAGAATGGGAGAAAATTTTTGCAATCTACTCATCTGACAATTTAGCAATTTTCTATCAAAGCCTTTAATACAAATAAATAAATACTTTTTTTGTTATCCTAACTTCCATGAGACAGAGAGAGCGTGTGTGTGGGAGGAATGGAAGGAAGAAAGAAAGGAAAAGTAGGGAAGAGAAGAGAAGGGAGGGAAATGAAAGAGAGGAAAAGGAAGGGAAGAAAGGAAGTAAGAAAAGAAAGGAAAGAGGAAGGAAGGAAGGAAGGAAAAAAGGAGAGAAAGAGGGAGAGAGAAAGAGGGAGAGAGAAAGAGGAAGAGAAAGACAATGGAGAGGTTTCTAATGGGCATGGTGCCACTGTAACAGATGGTCATGGGTGTAGACAGCCAGGAGAGGCCTATGAGCATCAAGGGACATAAGGGCTAAAGGCAAGGCTGATCTGGAACCACCTAAACATCTACCTTTCCTGTATGAATTGAGAGAATATTTACTAATGGATTGACTGGAGTCTTTTTTTTTGTTCTTTAATCTAAACAACGGCTCTCTTGAGATTCCATACCTGAGCTGAGCAGGAATAAACTCTTGTACTTACTACCACTGCAGAGTTTTATATTTGGACAATTGGATAGTACTTACATGTCCCATTAGCTAACAGGTTACATTTATAGTCAAATATATGTTATGCAATAGCAGCTTTATTTTAAGAAAAAAATATTTTAAATTGCTTATTTTGGTTTTCTTTTGTGAAACTGAAAATTATATAAGTCTATGGTTTAATTTCAGATAATGTCAATGTAAGAAGTAGATACCTAATAAAGCCTATATTATACTTTAGGCATTACTTTGATTATAGATTATCAGCTGAAAGTGAGTATAAATTTGGGTTATTTCTCACTTAACTATACAACTATACAGATTCTGTGATAAAAAAGAAATCTTAAGAAGTAACCCTAAAATTAATATCAGGTAATAATGAAAACCTATCCACACTAATTCTATTTATTTTATTATAAAGAATATTCTACCTAGATTATACTCCTTATCAAAATAGTTTATCTTAAATTTCTAGTTCTTTGGATGTTAACCACATAGTCTAATAGAAGCACTTAATTTCATAAAATGATGACTAAGAAAATGTAACAGACTTGCCTAAAACCCCACAAAAATATAAAGACAGAGCCAGGAGTCAATGTATAATCTGGAGTCATTTCTAATAATTATTTCCTCTTTTTTAGGGGCTCAGTGAAATTTATGGGTTGGGCAAAAAGTCTCTTCCCAACTTTTAAGACTATGATTATTGCTTCAGCTCTTGTTCCATTTTTTGATTCATCTTATGAGTTTATTTTTATTCTATGTCAGTGCAGAGATAATACCTAGAGTGTTACAATGTTTCATTATAACAATACAAACTTACTGCCCTATTCTAATTTTTTTCTCTCTCTTTTGTTTTGTTTTATTTAACAAGTACACTCAAGAATCTAAAACTTTGCAGTGCCTTCAGATCAGTGTCATCACACCAGTACCCATGGAAAGCCAGTATCTCCAGCCCTTCCCTTCTGTCTCTCAGAGAGCCACAAGGAAATACATTTGATCTCAAAATGTTGTAAAACATCAGCATCCATTCATTGTTTTCTTCTGAAGAGCAAGGACACTTAACGGATTTTTCTGTATTATTTTATGTGAGACAACGCGTTGAATGCTTTATTCTTTGTAATAAATAAAATGCTTACCTGGTTCTTAAACTTCTCAATATTTTTTCTCCCTTCCTCCTCCTTCTCTTCTTCAAATAAATCACTTATTTTTCAATATTTGAAATGGTGAATGGTAAACCAAGACTTGAAGACAGAGCCAAAATTTACCTTGCAGAAATATACATCAGACCTTAAAATAGTATTTTTTTCAATATATCTTCCCATTTATTAATTGATATCTTTAAAAAATGTAAAAAAATTCAAATTATCTTGGATCCATGTGAGAGATACTTATGTGATATTTACCAACATTTCATATTAATATAGATATTTAGGTAATTTGTTGACTATTATATCACTTTGAGAGTTATTTATGCTTTTCTGTCTTGTCTCCTACCTCCAGCCCAACCTATATACATTAATATATAAATAATTAGACTCTTAAAAAAGTAAAATTTTGCTAAGTCTACAGAACAATAGAAAATGAGAAGTGGGAATTCCATACAACAGAAATTTTCTGAATTCTTGTCTGTCCAGGCACAAAGCTCATTTCTGAGGTCTGCAATTCTCTCTATAAAATCCGTGTGCATTGTCAGACATCAGAACGGGTCCTGGATCCCTGTTGGCATA
Source organism: Homo sapiens (assembly GCF_000001405.40). Lineage (NCBI taxonomy): Eukaryota > Metazoa > Chordata > Mammalia > Primates > Hominidae > Homo > Homo sapiens. The sequence goes on from NC_000001.11 coordinate 198,875,965, forward strand.
TGTGGCAGAGTCATGGCCCTCTTCGTGCCACTGCAATTACCAGAAGAATCAATGGGCAGAATAATGTGCTGCCTTTTTCTCTAGGATTTCTTGCTGAGATGATTTAGGCAGTAGATTTCCCCAAAATCAATGAAGTTCTAGGTGATTTTTTTTTGTTTTTGTTTTGTTTTTGCTTTCTATGTTTGTTTTATGAAACACTCACTGTAAGTAATTTCTCTGCATCATTATATAAAATAAAAGGAAAATAATTAGGAAAGGTCAGATAGAATACTTTTTTTTTTCATTTTAAATTCATTTCATTTAAAATGTATTCATTTAAATTAAGAATGGCCTAAGTTAAGAATCATTTTCCGTTTGTTTGAAGCAGGGAACAGTCATGTTGTAGTCCAAGAACTCTGACAGCAAATTTCAGGATGGCAAGGGCTGACCCTTTTTGCTGCGTCTAATGAGCTGGGAAGGCCTGAGTTGGCAGTGTTCATTCACATCCACCAGGGTCCTTTGCTGCAGGCTCTTTTGCCTTCCGTGAGGAAATGCAGAATCAGAGCCCCTGGGTACAGCGCACTTCTCAGCGCTGGGATTTTAAAAAGCAGATGTAACCTGAAGAGGCTGATCATGCGGTGGATTTGTTTCTTCTAGGGAATATTCCAAGGGGCCTCTTAGCTTTGCCCGTGCTCAAGTGACAGTTTTCAGATGATATGGCCAAAAACCAAGGCAAGTAATCCGCCTTAGGCTGTGCATTGTCCCCAACCAGGCATTTCTCTCAAGAAGGACTCAGCCCATAAATCAGAGACAGAAAGTCTGTCTCAGAGGAGCGTGAAGGACCCATTGTCCGCAGCACTTGGCTGTTTGTTGAATGTGTGATTACAAGCTGGAAAAACGCAGCCCTTGCAGAGGCTCCAGTGCCTGAATTATATAACAGCGATTAATTAGGACAACCAAATTTCAAAGTTGTGAAAAAATGAACAAGTTTTTAGAATGAATGGGATTAATTTATGGTGTATAGTAGGAGTCTGTCTAATTGATGTACCCTTTAGACAAGTAAAATAATTAAAAGCCTATATATTCTACCAACTTCATGTGAATTTTTTCAATCAATTTCTGTAACTCCTTTTGGAACTAAATATAGCACATGCTTTTTAATATGACAAAATCTGCTAAGTGTACTAGATGCTTACTCTTACATAAAGAATTGAACTAAATAACAAAGTATAAGCATGGCTTCTAGTTTTAAAAATCCTCAAAAACTCGGATTTTGTTTTTGTGTGTGTGTGTGTGTGTGTGTGTGTGTATGAAAACACTTTCCTCTTTCTCAGGTAAGGTTGAAAGAAGATACTTTGGTGTTACATTGAAATGATAGCCACCTTCACAATGAGTTACTTGGTGATTTAAAAATTTTCTCTTCAGAAATGTCATCATGTTTATTGAAAATTCCAGAGAATGTGCTGAATGTAGAAAATAATAATGAATAAAAAAGTCTTCATTGATAAGGCATATAATAAAGCATAATATTTTAAAAGTTACCTTTCACTTTCTGGCTTAGAATAATTATAAATATATATAGAATTTAGATTGAGGTAATCAACAATACTGGATCATTTCCTCCAAGGGAAGGCATTTTAAAGAGGTGAAATGAACTGTCTGGTAATATTTTGGAGTGTTTATGAGAACAAACAGTAGCTTGAAATAAACAAATTCTGTGAACAGAATACTATTGTTATTCTATTGACTCATTATTTAATAAAATTCAGCTATATATTATAAGAGTGTAAGTGCAGAAAAATCGATAACACAGATTAGGACTAAAATATTTCAGGTTCTGAGTGTGACTGCTACGTGTAATGTGCATTTTTTGAAAATAACTACAATCCATATTTTTTTTTTCTTTTTGAGATGGGGTCTCACTGTGCTGCCCAGCTCTGGAGTGTAGTGGTGCTATCTCGGCTCGCTGCAAGCTCCGCCTCCCGGATTCACGCCATTCTCCTGCCTCAGCCGGGCCCAATACATCTTTTTACTAGTCTTTACATACTTTCTTAAGTAAAACTTTACACACATCCCTTTCAAACCTAAGTTGCCTTCTGTCTGTGTGTTTTGCATTGTTCACGTCAAGTATATACATAGGGAATGAAATTAAGTGTTCTCTTCACTTTTCATTGTCCTTGTTTGTAACTTATAACTGTGAATCAGTCCATGGTAATAAATAACTTGCATTGAATATTTGTGTGCATGCCTGCTATTCTGCTAAGTGCTCTGATATGGTTTGGCTGTGTCCCCACCCATATCCACCTTTGAATTGTAATAATCCCCACGTGTCAAGGGCAGAGTCAGGTGGAGATAATTGAATCATGGAGGCTGTTTTCTCTGTACTGTTCTCATGGTAGTGAATAAGTCTCACGAGATCTGATGGTTTTATAAATGGGAGTTCCCCTACACAAGCTCTGTTGCCTCCTACCATGTAAGACGTCCCTTTGCTCTTCCTTCATCTTCCATCATGATTGTGCAGCCTCCCCAACCATGTGGAACTGTGAGTCCATTAAACCTCTTTCCTTTATAAATTACCCAATCTCAGGTATGTCTTTATCAGCAGCTTGAGAACAGAATTATACATGCTTTCTCTTCAATACCTCTCAACACTACATCTTGGTAGGCAGTCACATGATTAAATCTAAAGTCCTCACCACAGCTTATATGAATGGTCTGAACTGTTTCTCGCATTTTGTTTCCCATCTTCTTCTTTTCACTCACTCTTCTCTTGTCACAAATGCTTCTTTTCCATTTGCAGAGCATGCTAAATATGAAATAGCCTCAGGGCCTTTGCGCATGCTGTTGTCTCTATCTAGAATGCTTGACCATTAGTTGGAACCATGACTCATTTTTCTCACTTCATTCATGTCTCTAGTCAAAAGTTACCCTCTCAGGGTAAGTAAGGTAATAGTACCTTACTTACTCTATCAACTTACTGTGGTTTTTTGTTTGTTTGTTTGTTTTGCTTAATTGCAAATATCACCATAGAATATTACATTAGATACTAATTCAGTCCTTTAGTAAATAGGTAACAAACAGCTGATACATACCAGGCACTGTTCTAAGATCTTGGGATATGGCAGATGGCAAAATAGACAAATGTCCCTGGGCTCATGCAGTTTACAGTTTAGTGAGAAAGATGAAACATAAAGATAAATAAGTAAAAGACGTGGTGTATTAGAAAAAAAATAGGACTAACACTTGAAAACTAATAGAACAGGAAAGGGAATATGAACTGTGATGAGGGTGGGATTTAAATTTAAAGTAGGTAACCAGTGAAGGTGACTTTTAAACAAGAATTTGAATGGTGAGAGGGAGCTAACTCTTCAGATTTCTGTGGGAAGAAAATTCCAGGAAGAAGACAGCACATGCACATGCACTATGCAGGTAGGAGAAGACGGGTATCATTAGTCTGTCAGTTTATTATGTGTCCCCTACTACCAGAATGGAAGCTCCATTGCAACGGGTATTTTATTTGTGTGGTTTACAACTAAATCCTTATAGCCTAGAATAGAAATCTCTGAATAAATATGTTTGAATGCATTAAACAAATTAATTATTCTCAGTTTACCAATGAGGAAATTGACACACATTTAACTAATTTGCCCAGAGTACCACGGTGGTAAGTAGTGGGCTTAATATTTGAATTTGAAAAAAAAATACATGTATATATGTATACCACCACAATCTGTGTTCTAATTAATATCTTCTGCTGTTACGGTAGCTTCCAGTTCTCTCGGAAAGTAAGAACATGTTGTGGGTAGATTAAATGACTGAACTGGTAATCACGGAAGACAAATCACTATTCTGGATATTTTTATTCCCAATTTTAATTTAGATTCAGAAAGGTTACATGAGGTAACGTCCAGAAGTTCTCAAGGTTAAGGCCAGAACCATCTGAATCAAAGGCTCATGTGATCACTGCTATAGAGACTGGCAAGTCATAGATAGTTAGTCATGATTGTATAATTTATTACTGTATGACTTTGGGCAGTATTCTTTCTTTGTGCTTCAGTTTCCTTAGCCACAAAATGAAAAGATTGGGCTAGATAACCCCTAAATCTTTTTTTCTCTTTTTATGGTATCGTATCTTTAAATATTAAGTCCCCAAAAACACTCTGGAAAGGTTTGAATAGTTCTTATCTACCAAAGAGATGAGTAGACATTATCTGTGAAGAGAAACAGACAAGGCACGTGAGAAAAAAAGGGTTATTAAGGGGGGCAACTTGGTATAACAATTCATATGTTAGAAAAAGAGCACATAAATATTAGACTGGTGTCACTGAAAAACAAAGTGAGTAGAGGGAGAAGAAGGATGTTTGAAGCTGCTAAATTTTCTGGGCTCAGAATATGAACAACTTTTAATACCATGGAAGGGAGTGTGGACCTGATTCTGTGGGCAGCAGAATGTCTAGACAATTGCAACACAAAGTTATCTGAGTTGTATATATTTTACATGGTCAGTGATACATCTACTGTATGGGTTACAGTAAAAGTTAATCAGCTTCTAATTTATTTATTTATTTATTTATTTATTTATTTATTTATTTATGTTTTGAGACAGGAGCTCACTCTGTTTCCCAGGCTGAAGTGCAGTGGTGTGACCACAGCTCATTGCAGCCTTAACCTCCCTGACTCAAGCAATTATCTGGCCTCAGTCTCCCAAGTAGCTGAGACCACAAGCACATGGCATGACGCCCAGCTAATTTTTGTATTTTTTTGTAGAGATAGGTTCGCCCTATGTTGTCCAGGCTGGTTTTGAACTCCTGGGCTCAAACAATCCTCCTGTTTCAGCCTCCCAAAGTGCTGGAATTAAGGTGTGAGCCACTGCACCCAGCCAATCAGTTTGTTATTTTAAAATATTTTCAACTTGATTTGAATTGTGACAAGTGAAGGTGGAGAAGCAAGAGACAGAGTTTAAAAATTTATTGGAATAAATTATAAAGGTGTAAAAATAACTTTGGGAGGCCTTCCTTCCTCCCCTCTACTTTCTATCCTGTATTGGGTCTTTGTAGACTGTAAGGCGTGGGGTTCCTGCTCTCACGCAGCCTATCACAGCATAGACAAGAGCATTATGTAAACAACACAGAAACTCATTCCCCAAATCACTTACAAGGTGTAAAGTTAAAAAAAAAATTCTAAATCGAATGAGGTGAAATTTAGAGTTTTTAAAAGGCTATGTGGACATGTAATGGCAATTGAAGAGAAGAGTTGTAGGGTTTATCTAAGTAGTTAGTTCAATGGTCAAGAAAATAAAGAACAATGAAAGTTGCAGTTGCCTGTCCTCCCACACATTTATTTTTTCCCTCCTTTCTTTTCCCTTCCTCCTCACACTTATTTATGCTTTGCATAGCCATCTGTGTAAAAATCTCAAAAAGCTTCCTTTAGAGACTGTGATTCACCAGTCATTGCACAGTATTGCATTTCTTGATGACTCACATGTTGAGTAACCCATGTGCACCCTTCATTTTTAACTGGAGATGTGTCTTTCCTCTAGAGTTGTTGAATATCATTTGTAAGGTCAGTTGCACATTAGTTCCTCTACCACAGAAGCCATAGGAAAAAAATCAATACATAGTTTCCAGCAACACCATATAAAATGCAGTACGGAAATTTAGTAGAAATCCACTTCAAAACAGATAAGTCAAAAAGAAAAAAATGTAAAATGCAAATGCAAAGAAGTAATGTCTAGACTTTGACCATATTGGACAATTTCAGGTACTTTCAAATCTAAAATTTTGAGTTAATTCTTAAGTATATTTAGTTAAATTTAAATTTAACTACGTTAAGCCAAACCACATTACCAACATAAAATAATGACTTCATTCTAGAAACAACTGTAGTGCCTATCAATATACTGTATTCAAACATGAAATTAATTGCATATGATAGTGATTGTTTCTAAAAAGCAAACGAATTATTGCACTGATGGTTTTGATTTGTATGTATATATGTAATTTTATATTATATATGTATATATTTTAGTAATATGCATATGTATCTATTTTTTAAATTATATAATTGCCTTGCTTTAAGTAGTATGTATTTTTAGAAGTGAACTAATAAGTCAATATGCTTTATTTTCCTTTTCCAAACAGATCCTCATATTCTGAGCAATGACAACCACAGACACCTGTATTATTTCCCCACTTTGTTCTTTTTCTTTCTTTGTTTACTTGACTGCCTTCCATATTTTTAAATCGAAGCCTTTATTTATTCACCTGCCTTCATAATATTTTAGAATATATGTCTTGGTTGCCTCCAAACTGTTCAAGTTTTTAAAACATTTTGGGTCTCACATTTTGTGTATATTTTTACAGTAAATATTTTGAAGTGGGAGGAAGAGTATCATATAAAAGAATGGCCACTTCCCAAACTTTAAGGCAAATTGATCTTGGAGAAGTATTTTCTCATAGTCAGAATGCAGCTCTTCCAAAATAAATGACTATATCAGTGCTCAATGGCAGCAGGCTTCTTACAAAATTGATGTCTGAGAGATAACTATTTCTATTTTATGTGGAAAAACTTCAATGCAATTAGTTGTTCCATGATAAGAAAAACAAAGTTTATTCATTTAAATGATGAAGACATGAAGACAAATAACCATTCTCATTCAGAAATAAAATTGTGTTGTACTAATATTTCAAAATGTTTGCATTTTTAAATTAATGTTCATATCCAAATTACGTTTCTCTTTTTTCTAGTCAACTCCATTTTAGTTGTATCTGAAAATATTTTAGCATTATTACCAACTACTTTTTACCAACAAAATGTTTTGTCCTTTATTTCAGCTTTAAGGAATCATTAAGCTCCATTTTGTTTTGCGCTAATGAAATAAAAATGTTGGAGGAAGTGAAATCAATTTAATAAAAGCAAAATGAATCTAAAATTGTATGCTCTAGGAGACAGGCACTATATGAGCATTGATAAGAGCTTGTTATAGCATAGGTATTACTGATAGGTTTAGAATATAGATCTCTTTAGTTGAAAATGAAGCCCAGTAGTTGTAAAGGTGATAAACACTCTTGTAACAACAAAGATGTAATAGTATTGCGTTTTTTTAAGAGAAATACAGGAAGGGGTTCTGGGACTTTTTTAAAAGAGTACCATTCATATTTTATGAATTATTATGTGAACTATTATTTATTTCATAGTTCCACATTTAAAAATTAACAGTGCCTTTTGCTCCTTCTTTTTGGAAATAATTATGATGAAAGGAGCAAAGATATTTTGATGAAGTGACTACAGGGTGAAATTTTCAGGCCACATAAAGAGAAGGATAAATTCACTACACCTGTGCTTGTTCTTTTTGCATGAGCCTGTGGAAATGATAGTCCAGTTCTTTGACATGAAACTAGATTAACCCAAAGGATAATGAGTAGTTACCTTTAGGGGATTTCCCTCATGTGTTAAGGCATGAATGATACTTCTATTCACTAAAATTCAAAAAGAACTAAACTACAAACAGTCCTCATGATAATTACTGAACTTTTCCATGCCTAGATAAGCACTTTGGAAGATACCAAAGTGTATTATTATCTAGAGTTACTCATAAAGATGAGTTTAGGTGGCAACCCCTGAAAGATCTGGATTTGAAGCACCTAAACAATTCCTACCCTATCAGTTCAGGACAAGAAGGATTTGTATCTAAGCTCAAAAATATGTTTAGTACCACAAAAGCATTAATGCTCCCTATAACTATATTGAAGGAGATTTCTGCAGTAATTCTTAAGGTCCATGGGTCTGGATGTTTGAGAACTTTTCCCAAACTCATCAAATCTAAATGTGATGCTCAGTCCCCTGATTAAAGCAATATGGCATAGGGCAAGTTATATACTTAACTTAATATTTAAAATATGCATTCAGTATACACAGTTAATATTTCATTGCCTGGGATAAAATACTCTATGTTAATATCAGTAAAAACTAAATGGTGGTCATGGGTTGCACAGGTTATGGAAAAAGTATACATTAAAAGCCAGAAGATTTGAGATATTATTATACCACTTATCAGCTATGAAATCCTAAGGTAATTATTTAATATCTCAAAGATCTGTTTCTCAAGAGTAAACGAACAGCTGCCAACTCCGCTATCTACTTCATGGTGTTTTGGTGAGGATTCATTTAGCTAAGAAAGGCAGAATCTATAGTGGATGAAATGCATTTTGATACCAGGAAGACTAAAGTTTGAACTTTGATACTGCCACTTTTTAATTGAAGGGCCTTGTACACTTTACCTCTCAAAATGTGTTTCATCACCTGTAAAATGGTCAAGAAAGAGTTGAGCCAGACTGACTTGACTATCTATCTGTCTGTCTATCTATCTATCTATCTATCTATCTATCTATCTATCTATCTATCTGTCATTTATCTATCTGTCTATTGGCTTATCTATCAAATAATCATCTGATTGTATTGGCAAATATTAATGAAGTAGAATAAAGTATTTTTTGATTAGTATTCCATGCAAATGTATCCCATTATTAAGTGGAGTAGCATGAAAAAAAGTGTTTATAAAATCTGCTATTCAAATTAGTAACTTTGTGTCTATACTTAAAATTCTAATGGTTTCATATTATTGAAATTAGAATATAGCAATTTGGATACTGTATCAATAACACTTGTTCATTTTTAGAAAATTAAATGCATTCAAGTAACAAAAATATTGTAAAAGAAAATATATAAAACGTGTATTGTCTCTATCCTTCCTTCTGCCAATCTAAAGAAAGTATTCTCAGGGTGTTTTGTTTTGTGACAAGGTCCAGCTCTATTCCCCAGGCTGGAGAGCAGTGGTGCGATCTCGGATCACTGCAACCTCTGTCTCATAGGTTCAAGTGATTCTCCCACCTCAGCCTTCTGAGTAGCTGGGACTCCAGGCACATGCCACCATGCCCTGTGGTGTATTTTGTATTTATTGTAGAGACAGGGTTTTGTCATATTGCCCAGGCTGGAGCTCAAGCGATTCACCTGCCTCAGCCTCTCAAATTGCTGGGATTACAGGCATAAGCCACCATGCCCGGCCAGTCTCAGAGTTTTCTTTTAACACCTAGGATGGCAACTGCCCAGGATGATAACGAATGGGAGTTCTTAAAAATCTTCATAGCTAAAAATAATTGAAAGCAAAGACTAAAAAAGATATTTGTATACGTCTGTTCAAATAAACAGTATTTACAATTACCAGAAGGTGGAGCAACCCACTGCTCTCTGTTCATCAATGGTTGAATGGATAAATGAAATGTGATATACATATATAAAAATCTTATGATTATATATATAATATCTTCTGATTTTATATCTATATTATATATATATATACACACACACACACAGATAATGGAATACTACTCAGCCTTAATGAAGAATATTCTGCTACAATATGGATGAAACTTGAAGACATTATGCTAAGTGAAATAAGTCAGTCACAAAAAGACAAATATTACATGGTTTCACTTACATGAAACAACTAGAGTAGTCAAATTTATAAAGACAGAAAGTAATATGGTGGTTGACAGGAGATAGAAAGAGGCAGGATAGGTGTTAGGTGTTATTGTATACTGAGTACAGAGTTTTAGTTTGAAAAGGTAAATAATAGAAGAGGTAGAGATGATCGATGGTGATTTTGCACAATGATGTGAATTTACTTAATGCCCCTGAACTGTACACTTAAAATGGTTAAAATTGTTAAATTTATATCATGTACATTTTACCACAATAATAAAAATCTATCTAGTAATTTTCTGTACAATTCTCTACTTTCTTATACTTATGATTGTAATTATAATCTTCAGGTTTGGTGTTAATATTTAGTATTTCCAAAAGTGGTTTGAAAAGGGTATGGGAAGAAAAATGAAATGGGTCATTTTTGCATTGGCTCAGTCCTTTAATTTTGATCTCCATTTTCTGAGTTTAAAATAAATTTGTTTAATTAATATTAAGATAACCAAAATGGATTCTGGCTTTGCTTCCTCTTCTAGATAATAGATTTGGAGAGAATGGTTGTTGATTGGTTTAGCAAGGCAGGTATTTTATAAAACCACTCAAGTAGCTACTTATACATAGAATTGATGCCTGTGTATAAATAATACTTGTAAAAATGATGAAAGTATTTAATATTAGAAAATATTTAGGTCTTTTAAAAGGAAGCTTGTCTAGTTTTATATTAATATCATAATATGCTTCATATATATTCATTAGAGTTTTAAAGTTTTACCTTCCACATATATACCCTTAATCCATCCACAAACCTATGACTCAGAAATTTCTATTCTAGTACATACTTTAGAGCATTTATTGCCCATGTGCACCAAGAGATGCATACAAGAATACTTGCTGCAACAGCTTGCTTAATTCCAAAGCAGATAACAATTTAGATGTCCAAAAAGGAGGACAAAAAATAAATTAAGAATGCTTACATAATTTAATACTATACCCCAAGGAATAAAATGAACCTAAAACTATATGCAACAATGTAGATGACAATTAGAAACATATTTTGACTGAAGAAAAGCCAGTAATAGTAGGAATATGTACAAAATATTACCATTTTTGTAAAGCTCAAACCAAGCTAAACTTTCATTTGAAAAGGTAACCCTGAAATTCAGGAGGATGGAGAACCATCGTGAAAACCTGTGTAGGTGATGCGCTGCACACTTTAAGGGGAATTGTTCATATCAGAACTGTATGTAAGGGTAGGCATTCCCTAGATTTGTAAAGTACACAACCTGCACAACTGTACGTGGAGACTTTGATAATAGTAACCTCTGAGGGAGAGAAGGCAGAGAAGTACAGAGGTTGCTTTATCAATTTTGATGCTGCTCTAGTTCTTAAATTGGATAACAGATTTACAAGTGTTCGTTATATTGCACATAGTCTTTAGTATTTATCAAATAACATATTTCCAGAAATAATTCTGGGAATTATCCTAGTGTTGTAGGGTAGAAGAGAATGGGGATATAAAATTAACTATTTTCCACACAAAGAAAAGTGTTCTTTCTACTCTATTCTTTTGCCTCTGAAAACCACGATTTTTTTTGCTCCCAATAAGAAAAAAAAAGTATTTTAATGAAAATATTGCATCATATGTTCCCACTTAGCTACACAATATTCTGACAATAATTTCTTATTTGACAATGATTTCTTATCAAATGTCAGCCAAGTATGGAGACATCCAATCCTAATTCAATGAGAAAGTGTTATAATAAATTATCCCCATTCTCAATAAATACCTTCTGCATTTTTTACCTGATTCCTCAGCTAAGTAAAATATGTCAAAGGTTCCTTGGCATTTCCAGATTTAGAAAAAGACTTTACACCTCAAATCTGTTATGTTTCCAGTAGCCCCCTTTATTTCTACCCTATATGTGGCAAATAGAAGATGTGATTTTCTACACAAAAATAATAGGTATAAAAGTCAGTCAAAATCAGAATCAATATATTGTAATGGTTGGCTTTTTCCAAAACAGATATACATATTCTCATAAATATTCTCCGTTGATTTTATCTAAGATAGTGTCACTTTAAAGAAATGCCTCCCATGGGCATGTTAAAATCACTTATCCTCAACAAGCATATTGCATCTCAATCTTAAAATGAACATGTGATTTAAAAATTCATTATATTTTCAAGTTATTTAAATCTACTCTTAAAAATGCATGAAACTCCCTGTTGTATTCTGAAGCATGAAAGCAAAGTTATCCATCAGTTACTAATCTAGCATATGCTCCTGAAAAAAAATGTTTTACTTTTTCAAATGGCTGTAACTACTTATCAATATATATAATATTGGATATCAGGAAGGTGTAGGTTAATTGTGTATTCCTGATTATATCTATTTTTGAGAAAAAGCTCATTGATTCTGTAGAAAATGTAACATCTAGGAGGGTGTACAGCTCAGGAGTAGAGTATTGGACTGCAGATCAAGAAAATGTAATATCTTATTTTTATACGTACAGGAATATTCTGAGTAAAATGCTAATTTTCAGCAAGTTTTTATTGTTAAGTTACTATAATAAACATTATGTTAGAAGTACATATTCAAATGAAAACTTGTCTCTCCAGTGACATTTGAAACACACCATCTGCATTATGTGCTATAGCAGAATTCAGAGAACAGCTCCTTTCTTTTATATATAATAGTCATTCTATTATAAATCAGTTTAACGTAAAATACTTTGCTTAGAAAAAGCGATGCTTTAGCTATAATTTTCTGATGGGAACACATTTTTATTTTTCATGTCACAAAAGTCTATAGTATGCCATGTGCCATGTGATACGTTAGAGAGAAGAAAATCCTAAAATCAAACAAACAAAAATGTGGAAGAATGAAAAGAATAAAAAAAATCTTTAAGTTGGTTTAAATTTATTAAGTTAAAATAATGTAAGCCAAAGTATGTCTTTGTCTATCTTGATTACTTCAACTCGTAAACCTAGTTAAAAAGGCAGTTTACTCAATTTTTCTTCCAGAAGAGAAAAATGAGGGCAAGTACAGTATAGAAGAATTTTTAAATGAGACATACTGACAGAATATAACATGGTGTCCCATCAGATGATGTGGTGTTTTGACTGCATGGCTACAGAGGGCTATAATTTAAATGCCATTAAAGACACATAGGCTTTAGCACGGAGACAGGAATACTGTAAAATCTTTTGGTCTGTAGTCACAATGCAGATAAAATTGTTCCTTTGATCTTGCAATGCCAAAGTCTGTTGTCCAGAAGGGAAATGTCTTTGTGCTTCTGTCTTAAACTAAGACAGATTTCATTTTTTTAATCTAAGCCATTCTGTGAACACCATGTAAAATAAAGTGCATTTTATCAAGCAGAGCTTAGTTTTCTTCCATTGTTATTTTAGGTTACATTATGATTATGTAGTGCTCAAAAAAATGTGCCCAAAATACACACATCTGGGTTTAAAATGATGAGACGCTAACTTCAAATGTCTTGATGTGGACAGCTTAGTGGCATTTGTAGGCTAGGAGTTAAGAACATTGTAGTTCTCTTCTTTATATGTTTTTCTTTTTAAGCAATAGTGATATATTTTGTCATAAGACTAAGCAGAACATAAACACACACATTTGACCTCTGTAAGAAACCTCAGCAGCTAAGTCTGTAATAAAATATATGCTGCATGATTTGCAGAATCACACCCAATGCTCTCCAGATCAAGTCTCTAAATTTAAAAAATTGTAAAATGTTAACAATTTTTAAGCATTACATTGTAATTTTAAATGTATATACTACATTATTAAGGGGAAGCTACACTGTGGGAGATTCTCGTAATAGATTCATTATGTCTTATTTCTTTAAGAAAACTAGAAAAAGGAAGTAGTTCTTGGGATTTGCACATAGTCTTGATGGCTCATTGTACATGAACTATTACATTTATGCCAAATACATATGTAATTTTTGAATGACAGTATGTCAATGATAGCTTCCAGCACCCAGTGTATTTTAGGTCTTAATGGCTTATATGGTGATTCTCCTTTATATTAAAAGATGAGCAATATTATTTTTAAAAAGTAGATAGTGAGTTTGAGTTAGAGATACAGATATTTTTGCCAAGATTAAATCTAGTATTAAAAATGTTACTTATCTCTCCATTCTAATTAGACTTAAGAACTATTTCCAGTTTCTTTCCTAGGTGAAAATTTTGGGATGATTAAAGGCTGTATGTTTATTGGCTAAAACTAACATTTCCATTCTGTCAAAATTTATGTTATCAGGTGAGAAACTTTTGATAATAAACTTCACTAAAGTCAGGTTTGAATAGCTTAAAGGCAAAACGTCTTATGCATAAATCATCTGCTTATTTTATTTTCTGCCTTGATACATTTTATTATATTATGGCATAGCAAAATTCTTGAATGCAAGTTTCTGACCAAGAGGTCTTTGGAAAATAAAGAGTGATTTTTAAATGTGTAAGAAAAAGGAAAAAAAAAACAGCTTAATCAGCACTATTTCTGGCACAAATCATGCTCAAAGTGAAGCAATTCAAACATATTGGGCATTTCTGCACAACACTCATCAACAAGCAAACAGTCAAAATCAAAGCCTGTAACTGAACTCTTCAATCATATTGTTATAAATATTTGATAATTTTAACCATTTGTCATGTAGCAAAGGATATCTATAACTTTTAGCTGAAAGGATGTGCTTTCTTTGTTCTAAATATTTCAGATCAGTTTGTATTTAATAGAAACAGAGGCTCAGTTTGCTGTCTGGCCCAAAGTGGAGATTAATGGAGATGCTTCTGTTGAAAAGCTTTTACTTAGTGTGTATTATTACTCAACTTTGACATATTATTAGTAAAGACTTTAGAGGATGAGAACAGTGTCCCAGGCATCCTCTTTGTGTTTCCCCTAAAGTCCAATACATAAGTCAAATGATGAGTGCCCTGACGGTAGAATGGTGTGCCCATGTCTCCTTTGTGTAAGTGGATCCCTTGGCAATTAAAAGTACATCACTGGCGTTTTGTCCAGACCTCTGCAAAACATCAATGATGTGTAAAGACACCATTTTATAAAAATAATTCTGCTTTGCTGATTCTGAAAATAATTTATCTGACTATGAATGTCCAGGAACAACCCAAGATTGATACAGCATTTTTTGTGACTCATTGCAGGCTGATGAAAAGTGAATTTTAGTTAAGATAAGAAAGGCAAGCAGCATGAATGGCAAGAAAAACAATCCTAGAAAATGTGTTGTATTTTTTGTGTCCGATTTTGAAATAGCTTTTTAAAAACTTCCTATCAACGTCTTTCTAGAATCCATAATTGCTAATGGTTACAAGTATCAGCCCCAGGCAAATTGCCTAGTGAGATTTTCTGCAGCAGTGAAGGTAAACAAACCAGTCACTTTCTAAACAAACATTACTTTTATGGTTATTTAAGCCTGCAGTATACATTGGAGCATTAAAATAATATGAGAATGCACAGTATCTTCTGGTTATCATAGGAACATTTGAATAAAAGTGATCAAACGCTTAAACATAACACAGAATCAGTGTAATAGAAAGATATTATAAATACATTGCAAAAATATTTTTAACAAGAAGAGGATATTAGAAATTAGAGTCACTGAATACAAGGCATCAGAAATCACTTAAGATGAACTATTAAATTGTGTGTGATAGAAAAAGAGAATAAAAAAAGAAAGAGAATAAGAGAGAGGAGATTGAGATTTAATCACTATGAGTGTAAAATTCCAGAAGAAATAATTAAGCAAGGAGAAATATTAAATTTAATTGGAAATTAGGTCAAATAAAAATATACAATGGAAAACTTTGCCATATTTTAAAAGAATGTAGGGAAGAGGGAAAACGGAAATAAAAAATAAAATTATAAACTAAATCAAAATCATAATTAATCATATTTTTGCAGAGCTTTCCTGTGAATCAAAACAATCCTCAATCTGTTCTGTAGCAAGACAGTTTAGTTTCTTGGAGATCATTGGCAATCATTTTGATTACCAAAGTAATTGTAGGGCAGTACTAAAATCCATTTCATTCTTAATTTGATGAACAAAAGACACTAATGCTCTTAAAATGAGAATAACAATTATTTGTAGCCATTTCAAAGATAAATTTGCAGTAAATCAATCCAGCAGTCATCCCTTTGATTATTTTTAAAGAATAAGAGAAATCTGAATAAAAAATATATAGATTTATCAGCTCAAAAACACAAAATAATTTTAGGCATTTGGTGACACTAAAATGCAGTTAGATTTGCCCAACATTTAATATTTCTGCTCTTCTTTTGGAGGTCTCGATTTCTAGAAAATTAATAAGTATCTGAAAATCTCTGCTAACAGAGGTGCTACGTGGGCAAATACAGAGCAGGATGATTCTCACAATACTTACTTTCTAACTCAAATTAATTAATTCTCTTCCAATGATTTAAATAGGAGCATATTTTTGGGTAAGTCTTCTTCCGTGTTGATCATTTGAGAAAATGATGGCAGAAGTGAGTATGAGCAGAATGAGGTTTAATTCTCTAACATACTACTCTATATTTAAAATGATTAAATTTGGAATATGATATCATTAAGAGAAAGACAACATTAACACCTGTAAGTTGTTCAGATTGTGACATGTTGTACATTTGTGTATAATTCCAAAATGTGGTTGCCACAAAATAATGTGTTCACCAATATCCAAGCTTTTTGAGCTGCCAGAAAATATCAAAACAATTGGTGCTCTTTGGAATGTGTAGTTAACTTCCTGCTAGGAGAGGAGTCACAGCTGCTACAGTAGCAGTGGGTTTCCAGATGTCAAGGCTGTGAGGATAGTGAGGTAATTGCAGGAAGGAAGGGATACAATTTTGTTATTACAGATTACCCTCCCCATTGAAATCTCTGGATACAGCATTAGTATCAGTGCTTTGGATATGCACATTGTGAACTGGAGGTCTTCATGTTGAAGTGTAGAGGTCTGTGCATTTGCTTCAGTCGAAAAAGCTGAGCCAGGCTTATTAAAATTTGTGGGAAACAGAGTAAATGCTCTCAAAGCTGTATTATTGGATTTATAAAGCATCCATAAGTGTTAATATGTTTTATCAGCAAAAGTTGGTTTTATAAGGACAATAACCAAATAACAAAGTTTAGCTATAAATGTTCCAGTACTATAGCTCATCCACTGAATTAAGAGAAAACAAAATGTTTAGATACCGATAAATTAATCAGCAAATCTGCTTAAGTCCTTCTTTGTATACTAGTGACTGAGTAGAGGAAACAGATGATGATTTTTCCAGTATTCAACCTAGAAGAATTTCTTTCTCAACTTCCCATGCTATGTAGTCAGAAGAGTACAAATTACTGAAAACTCTGTTTTTCATTCAGAAGCTACAATCATGGTGCCATATTTCCATATGGGAATTTTAAACACTACAGTATTTTGACATATTTTATTGTCAAAACCAATACATATTTGTCCACACAAATTAAATTGAAATTAATTGAAGAAATTCAGTTTGATAATTTCTGGTGTTTTTTTTTTTCTGTTGAGGGGTCTGTATTACTTATTGTACTGAATGTACATATTAGCTTAAGTTTCTCTGTAAATGAATGAAATAATTGGTGCATTAGTTTCACCTAAAACAGGCAGGGTTGAGGATATTCTGAGACTTATGTGAAGTTGACAATTCTGGATTCATTCTACCAGCCATGAAGAGAGAGACTTCTCATCTCACTCATAACAGATACACCATCCTCTGCTGAAACTCTAAGCTTTTCATAGTTTTTGAGGGCAGTTACATATCACTATTGAATCACACTGAGCTATTCATGGTCAACTAATAGCCAAAAGTCCCATGTGCCATTCTTATTTCATGTCTCCCACATTCTATGGAATTTTGAAGTTAAGGCTAGAACTTTATGCCTGTCTTGCTAAACCTGACCTATTATATCTGACTAAGGCACACTGGATTGTACAATTCCAGAGAGTGCCATTCCTATCATTAACTCATAAGTGTTCTTTCTGAAGTTACACAGCCTCTATGGCCGCAGGTGGCCTTGTCTACCTTTGAATTTTGCTTTTAAATCATGGATAATTTATTCACTACAGCAGATGTCCTCTAGTTTAATTAATAATATACCTTAAATTTAATAGAATCCTATCAACGTTTAAATAAAATTATTGAATTAGCGGGGTCTTAAAGTACACGTAGGTGATGACTTATAGAAGGACAAGAGCTATTGGGTACTTTAGGGAGGGCTGAAGACTGAGGACATAAAATGATTAATTCTTTTGTGGCAGGTGAAATAAGGATAATTATGGGAAAATATAAACAAATATTGATAAAAAAGTATTTGCTAGTCTAGGAGAATGAACTTTGACTTTGTAGTAGGCATTTGAAAAAAAAAAGATTTTAGCTAATTCAAATCCCCATTTAGGAGTTGATTATCAGTTTTGTTTTTCTTTTAAGGTTTCCTGTCTTTCAATGGCATGTAAAGAATCTCTCATTAAAACAACCACTCTCCTAAGTCATTCTTTCCAGTGGTAATGCTGATGTGGTCTGTTGCAAATGAGAAAACCCAAATGAATACAATTTATTTATTTTCATCTACACCGCCTTTGCTATTTTAATAAAGAGAAAGTTCTCAAGTCAAAATAAGTTGTACCTAAAATTAAGCATGTCTCCAGAACAATGCCTCTCTATACTACTGCATCGCCGGAGAACTTGTTAGGAACACAAGTTCTCAGAAACTCTGATCATCAAGCCCAGCAATATGCATTCCAATTAACCCCCCAAGTAATGCTGACACAGCTAAAGTTTGAGAAACTTCGGCCTAGCAAATCTATGGTAGCTGAGTGTTTCTTCAATAACTAAGTTGGAAGAAATAGTGACCCAGTACTTGGTTAAAGGAAATTGTAATTTCTTTTCAATATGAACATATTCACTGTAAAAATGTTTAGTCACATTTCAAATATACTGGCAAGGATAAGTTCTCATATCCACTTTTCCCCTTTATTGCATGCCATATTATTTGTTTTCAGGGAAACACTTTACTGTAATTTAAAAGTGCAACATACAGGAACAAAGCATTGTTACCCTAAGCTCTTCATAAAGAAAAAAATTGAACTATAATCATGCCACCATTTTATTATTTAGTTACTACAAGTTGGACTATAAATCCTCCCAAGTTTAATATCTGAATTTTGATACTACAGATTCATGGTAATATGTTTAGCAACATTACAATTAATACCTGAAAGGAACTGATCCCACATCTATCCTCAGTGAACAATGCTGGGTCTACAAAAGAAAAATCTATTTTAATATTCATGGATCTAGATAGCTTATTAAAACCTCAAATTTTAAAAATATAATAAAAGAGAAATATTGGTATATTTAAATTTGGGGGCCTTCACATCACCTAGTAGAAAATTTTAAAGTAAGTGACCTGGTGAGGTGAGGTGGCTCATGCCTGTAATGCCAACACTTTTGGAGGCCAAACTGGGAGGATCACTTGAGTTCAGGATACCAAGACCAGCCTGAACAATACAGGAGGATTTCATCTCTGCAAATAATTTTTTTAAAAAATAGCTGGATGTGGTGGCACACACCTATGGTTCCACCTACAATGGAGGCTGAGGTAGGAGGATTGCCTGAGTGGGGGAGGTTGAGGCTGCAATGAGCCATAATCACGGCACTGCACTCCAGCCTGGGCAACAGAGCGAGAACCAGTCCCAAAAATAAGTAAATAAATAAATAAATAAATAAATAATCCTTAGGAGCTTTGGGAAATTATCCATGAAAGTCATAAAGAATGAAGGGCAAATTAGCTAAGTCATTCCAGGTGCTCAATGAGGAAGCCATATACACAAACACACACACTCATTAGATATTTATAAATTCATACTGAAGGGAAATCTTCAACATTTACTAAATCTTGAATTGTTCATGTAGCTTTTTTTTAACAGATAAACTAAGCTAAAAGTTACTGGTTTAACAACTTTCACCATTTTTGAAACAATAATGGATCAATTCCATATAATATACTTTTTTCTATTGTGTAAAGCTGAAGATTTCATACTACCTAGATATTTCTCTGTTATTGACTTGCCTCCTAAGCTTCCATGTGACTATTATTTTTTCCTTTCTTATCAATTTATTTCCACCAAAACACACACACACACACACACACACACACACACACAGAGAGAGAGAGAGAGAGAGGCATATTAAGTTAATAGCTTCTCTGCCATCTCATCTTAGTTTAAAAAAAGTTAACAGTCCATATTTTAGACATGATTATCATGATTATCAGCTCAATTTAATGATGATTTCCCAGGTTCTCTTCAGATTTTATCTTTCACTCTCAATGTTTGTGGTCTCCCAAGAAATCTGTGCTTTAATACATGGATAAAGCCAACATTTATGGAAAGGCACAATGAAGGCTACTCTTCTGTTAAAATCAGCTCCATGTAGAATCATCATAGTAGGGTCTTGTTTTGTTCACTGCCACAGAAAGTTACCTCTAAAAACCTATTACCATATTTAACTATAATACACAAGAAAACTTTTTCATACCCAAAGGCAAACATTTTGCATCTATTTACCTTATTTGCACTGCAAATTTTCAAATAAGGCACAAAATAAGAGCCTACATTCAACATCTTTCAACATTCAACATGTGTTGTGTAGCAAATATTTCAAGAGATGAATGTACCATTGCGATTCTTATTTTTATATCCTGCAGAAACATTTGCATTGTAGAGCTATTCTTAACTTATTACATAAACTTTCTCTGTGCAAAATTCCTATTAATGTGAATGCAAATAACCAATCAAACTAATTTTGCATAAAGATAAATGAAGAAAGCAAAATTGCCTAGACAAATAGTCTAAGCAGATTTTGTTCTCAAGGGAACATTCGGCAATATATGGATATCACCATAGTGGGAGGGGATACTATTGGCATCTACTGGGGAGAGGTCAATAATGCTGATAAAAATCCTCCAATGCACAGCAAATTTCCTCAGGACAAAGAATTATCTGGTCCAAAATATCAATAGTGGCACCTGTTGAGAAATTCGGGCCCAGAGAAAAATAAAGTGTTCTCTAGGCCAATATGAATTGGCCATAGTTACTGTAATTTCCATGTTTCCTACTTGAAAAATGAAAGCCTTCCATCACAGCAGTGTAACCCTGCAACATGAGTGAAATTCACTTTTCTTATACTCAAAATCTCCACTTCCACTCTAATTCTCAACTCCTGGGGAGAGCTTTCCTTCTAAGTGCAGAAACTATGACTAATTATTACAGACAAGCATTGAATCTTTATTGACTAACTAACATTTTTGCACTGGCATTTTGAATTATGTGGTACATTGCCTTGTGTGAATGTTCAGCTTTGTTAATCACTTTCTTTTACTGAAAAGGAAGTTATTACATTATGAAATTACTGCTCCTTATAAAAAAAGTAGTAATTTCACTATCTATATAATTACTATTCCTAATAAGACTTTTATTTCTATTTCATCTCTTTCTAAATTTTCTTTGTGATTGACAATTAGTTGACAAAATACTAAACCACAGCCAAATTTCTAAACAATATAAGCTGTTGATCAAAATATACCTTTCACTGTGCCTTTAAAAAATTCTTGGTTTTTAAAGGCACAGTGAAAGGCATATTTTCTAGAAATGTTTTCTCTACTGTACATTATAACCTTTTTATTTTTTAGCCAAAGGATGTTTCTAGGCTCCCCTGGCTAAAGATGTCACTCAAAATTTAGTGTAATTTTGCAACATAAAGATAACAGTAGACAAATGTTGCTGTGAATTTACAATTTATCTAGCAATATAAAAATAGAAAATTGGGAATAATGTATTTTTGTGCAATCTGATTTCAAGTTTCATTGAGTTATGTCCTTCAGTGCTATTTGTAGAATATGGGCAGGTGATACACAGCTGCACTTCCTGTCCCTGAAGATTCTAGGAAAGGCAATTGGCGTGAAGCCTAATTATTTCTGCTATATTTGATTATAGATACCTTTATTAACACCACAGATACTGCACCCCTACAAACTCTGATGATATCTTCATATCAGTTGTTACAGAGAAGTCTATAGAAGTAACAGGAAAAAATAATCATGTTCATCCTCCTTTGTGATGATTTCCCTGTACTTTTTTGGCTAAGAGAATTCAATTTTCCATATATACAAATTAATTATATGATAGTAGTGTATATTTTTGATATATTATTATTTAAATTATGACAGCCATTGAGACAATTCAGATCTTGATGATATTCATCTGAATTTGGAGACCATAAAATATAAATTAAGCCTGCCGACTGCCACATGATTCTGATTTCTTAAAAAAAGTGATTATTTTTATTTCACTGAGATGTGTCCTTGGTGTTTTGAGACTGAAACATATGCTCTGAATAAATAACAGGTAGCACTTAATTGTGGAGACGGAGAACGCTTTAAGTATTGTTATTTCATCAAAATGTTCATCTTTAACTGAAGAGATGACCATATTTTAAACATTTGAATCAAAATATGTTTAGGTTTAGAAAGCTAATCAAATTATGATTACCTAAATACATTGAAGACTTGCATTGTTAATCCTAAGGCAGTCTTGAAGCCTTTTGGAGCAACGACTTTTTGCTCTTCTAGTTTTCAAAAATCCTCATTTTCAGTAATATCACCACACACATTTTTGTATGATATTTGCAGTATTAATCTGAGTGGATATTTCCTTTAAAATTTCTTTATTTCTCCAGAAAAACTAGAAAGCCAGTTTAGGGGTATAATTTAAATTTTAAAAGCCTTGTTTAACAAAAATATTTACTGGTATATTTAATATGTTGGTTTAAAAAATATTATATCTATTAAATCTTCAAGAACAAACTATATTTTCTGCAGAATAAAACTGATTGTCTCCAATAATAGGATCTAGCTGTTTATTGATAATGCATTTCCTCCCCACCTCACCACTGCCAAATTTTATGGGAATTCTTATAAATGAGAAGATGAGATTTTTTTTCTCCTTCTTTTTTCTTTTTTAAGAATACAAAGCTAATAATAGAAAAAAAAACTTCTGATTTCCACCAAAACTGATGAAATAGCTTACCTTCTTTTCTTCTGGGTAATCCCTTTGTTCTGGTTAAAACTACAGAACTGTGAGTAATAAATAACTGGAATACACAAAAGTGAAATAGGGATTGTACTGGTATCCAAAAATATATTTATGTACAGAATTTGGTTGGTTTATATATTTTATACATATACAGAGGTCAGAAGATTTATTAGAAATTCAAGTAAGTTTTGCTATACGAATAATACACTCAGGCAATTCAATATATATTCTTGCCTATGTTGAATGATGGACGGTTACATTTTACTGTGTATATATTTTGATGATTATATTTCTTCTCAAACAGTCCTAACCAGTTTCTGAGAAAGTATTTTCTTTGCCTAAATATATGCAAAACTATAATTAAGCCAACAGCACTTATAGACAAGCTGAATGGCTTAGGACAGTTGATTTTTTGTGCATCATTTTCTTCATCTGAATATGAGAGTTGTATATACAGTTTCTATACTTTCTACCAGCTCTGAGATTCTGTTAATTCTAATGAAAAATAAGAATAAAGACAAATTATACATTGAAATTCTCAAGATCATAGTGAATATTATGCAAGGTAGACAGGTACCTACATTTATCATTTTGTTGGTGATCCTGCTTCTATCAAAATTCATGCCACAAATTACTTCATCTACAAATATTCCTGACACCCATAGAGCACAACACATTAAAAAATGGACTAGTGGACTGGGGAGGCCCTTCTGAGATGCACTGTCTCCTTTCTAAACATACTCTATTTTCTGGGGACATCCAGCATGGAACAGTAGTCAGAGGCCAAGAACTACAGTAAAAAAAGGGGGTGGGAAAAGGGGAATGAGAGGAAGGAAAGTAAAATATAGAATTGTCAAAGAGGTAAAATCAAGTGGAAAGTGTGGGGACACAGGAATGGGGCGGGGAATAGAAACCAACTGGGAAATGGATTCAGCGAGAACTACCTACAGCACATCTTCAAAACTGGGAGCCTGATTCACTGTCAGACGCAGAAGTGTCTTCTTCCCAGACTCTGAGCTCCAGTAGCCACATCTTTAAATTGCCTGACTCCAACAGCTGATTTGGTTGCCACCACATAAATAGAAATTATAGCTTTCAACCCTTCATTTTATCTCTCTTACCTATAATCCTCTAGTTCCAGTCTGTCTGACCACTTGACAAAGGTTTCTTCGTTTTTGTTTTGTTTTGTTTCAACATTAGTGCAGCATTGGGGGAACACTTAAATACGTTTTACACATAGAGAACAGTAGACAGCCCTGGAAACCCTAGACGAGAAAAGATATATCCTGCTGGGAACATAAAATGGCGCACAGGACACACACTAATGATTCTTGTAATTGAGATTGTCATGTGTCTTATTAAAAGCCATCATTTACCTGGAGGTCTTTCTTGAAAAAAAATGCAAAGATGCTTTACAGATTTTACTTAAGAATGTTTCTCAAAGCCTTACTGATCTATTTTCATAGGTATGTTGTTTGGTTAGGTCCTTCAAAGGGCTTCAAGGTTTACTTTTATATTTAAAAAGAGTGAAGATGAAAGCTATTATTTGAATACAGCATTGCATTCAGTGGCACCAAGATGCTTATTACAAGTGCCCCGATGAGACAGTCGAAGCGTCTCATGGAAGCCAGTCTCCTCTAATGTGTATTTTGGTGCCCTGTCTGCTGGTTCGCCTAAGTGATGTGGCATACATTTGATGAAAGGACAGTAAATGACATCAATTATAAAAGACATCTACTAATGAGAGGAAGAAGAGGAAGAGAGAGAAATTGAAAAAAAGAATAAGAAATTCTCTGAAATGGAAACAGCAAAGCACTTTGATTGAACTAAAAGAAATGACGTACCTTAATCATGCCCTAATTTTAGGGTACCACCAACCAAGCTACTCACTCTTCTTTGGAAAGATGACGTGTTTCTTCAACTTCTGTACAACTGTCATTGAAGATTTAAATCAATCTCCCTTCAGTTTCCATCATTGATTGTTGGTAATTTTGCCAGGATCTCTGTACAAAACAAAACAAAAAGATATTATGTGAAACTCAGGCCATGCTGAGCAAATTAGCTGAAATTTATTTTTATCCTCTTATGGGGATGTTTTCCAGTTCAACAATCCATAGGGATCTGCCAACTTTTCACATTCTAAATTTTCTCCTTTCTAGGGCTACTAATTTGGTCGCAGAAAACATATTTTTTTCTCTATAAATAAGCTTTGTCAAATAACAACCAGAGATTAGTGAAAAGATAAACTAGTTTTGGATATTTCTGGCATACTAATTGAATACAAGGTCCACATTTTCTCTCAATGCATATGCCATGCATAAAAACACTTAAAAATATTACATTAAATATTAGCATAATTGTTAAGGAAATCTAAGATTTTATTCTCATACATCTTATATAAATATACTTGCTTTTTAATCAACCAGTATCTCTAAAGAGACTTTATCTACCTAATAATAATAATATTATTTTATGTTAAAATCATTCTTCTAGTCTATGATAATAAATTTTCAAATAAGAAAATATTAAATGTGATTAAGCAGTGTGGTTTTTCCCCCTTCAATTGGGCTAAATAAAGACAAACAAATCTGTTTCTTTTCTTTTCAATATTGAAGTATAGAATCCTGATATTTTGCTTAAAAAAATACTGTAAGAGACTGCTTAGAATTTATAAGTTTGATGACCTTCTTAGGTTAGTCATTACATATCTCTGCAGGAATGCATTTCTATTACTTTTTTCTTGAACATTTTCTATATTACAATATGTTTTATTCCCATGATATTCTATATTCAAAGCTCTAGAGACTGCTTAGGAAGCACAACTAAAGATGTGTGAATGACCCTGTTGGCTGAAACGCAAGGAAGTGTATTGAAAAGCTTCACATGTCATCCAGTGCTGTTCTTGCCTTCCAAGGCAGAGGCAGTGCGCTTGGCAGTCTGGGAAAGGGCATAATCTTGCCCGCATTTTCTGGATGGATTTTTGGGTCACTCTGGTTCACACTGGCTCACTCAGCTATTCTGTGTACATATACTTAGTAGTGAAATGACTAAAAAAGGAAGGGTGAGTTAATATCAACCAATCATGTAAACAAATATAAATAAATAAAGCAGATATACTTTAAGAAATTAAAAGTCACAGAGTATCAGATTTAATTTTATAGCATGTGAAACATTCTGAAAAGTGAACAAATACACAAATCAACTGGTCTTTGGTGTAGTGACTACATAGCTTTGGACTGATTTATTTTACTGTATTCACCAGGGACTTCCTGTCCTTATTAATACACTGAACTGTTCTGCATATTAAGCTTAAAAGTTTTAAAAGACAACAAAAGTATTGCACACTCTCTTCAACTCCACATATTAGCATTTTGTAGTCAATGCTGGCTTTGTAGATTTAGTCCCCATTTTCTTCAGTTGGCAAAATTCTTCATATTACAGACAGATAAACTAAGGCTCTAAAACTCAGTAAGATTTCAGAGTAGCTGAATAGGGCTAAAAAGTCCAAATTCCCAAACCAGTGCTCCCATTTGATAAACAAATAGATGAATACTCACATTATTTTAATATCTCAAATGAAATATTAATTTTATTAATTAATATTTTAAACACCTTGGTTAAATACTCCATAGTATTCTTCTTAGATTCGAAATGATACTGAAAATGTATCCTGACATGAATGTTGCTCTGAGACTTTAAGGGTTTGTATAAAACATTTAACAGACATAGGGTTTACCTAATATTCTCTTTCCTTTCAATTTCCTTTCAATTATCTCTCATTAGATTATAAAGTAATTTCTTAGTCTCTTTTCTCTGTCTGATCCTCCTATTGACCAAAGAAATTTAAGAAATTCAGGAGCTAGGAAGGGGATGAGAGTGAACAAAGTGTGTTCTCAATTTTTAAAAAATTTGTTTTAAAACTTTCTTTTTAATTAAAATATCCCCAGTGCAATTTCTTGGTCTACTACTCCTGCCAGCTACTATTAATTATACTTTCACCTGTTAGGGGTCTAACACTCTCTAAAACATATTAAGCCAAGTTTTCTGTAAGTGTTGAGCCTATCTGTTAAGAACAAAATGATACTGAATGGATTTGGGTGAATATGTAAGCGGACAGGAAGAAAAGCGTAATCTTCCTTAGTAAATGACAAACTTTCTTTGTCTCCCAGTCCTAGGCTTTGTACCTACACACTGCCTGGTGTGGTGTGGAGGCCGACCAGACGGCCTTCACTGTTAGATGCCAGAAGAAGGGACTGCAGAAGCCAAGGCCCTGGGCACACAAGCTAAAACTTGCATGCTTGGCAAGGCTCAGATGCCAGGTTTGAATCTCTAATAAACCACTCGCTGCCTCTCCAGTAATGATACCCTGGGGCTGCTGGGAGGGGATTCTTTTTATAGGAAACATACTCATAAGGATTTAATATTATCTTTCAGAACCCTTTGATTTAATGGTTTTTTTAAAAAAACTTTTCCCCCTTATTTTGTAGACCCTGTGATGTGAGCCAGTGTTAATTCCTAATCCAACAGTAGTATATAATCAACATCTCTCTACTGAGCTCAATATTCCTTTTCCTTTTCAGCCGTGTGCTTAAAAAAAAAAATAAAATATCTTGCCACTGAATGTCTTTTTACAGACTGAAAAGACTTTTAGGTTAAACAACATTTGTTAGGCTTTGATGCAATCAAATGCAATTTCAATCTTGAATTATTCAGCCCTGCCTCTCTGAAATTGCACATATGTGTCAGCTTTCAATTTTTCTCACTAGTGTTTTACACATGAAATCTATTTTCACTGAGAAAATGGAATCTTTGTGTCTTTGTCTCTAGGAGCGCTGCTTTCAGGCATGTTCTGGCAGGGGCTTTGACTGTCTAGGCACTGGGGGAGGGGCCTGGCAGTCATTTGTCAGCTTTTCTTGCATCTGTAATTTCTGGCCACTCAGCAGTATTAGAAGGTCTTAGAAAGGGGGTGAGGAGGGTGCGGGGAAGAGCTTGTCATTGATGAAAGCCAAACCCCGAATAACTGCCCAATGTTAATGACCAAAGAGAGGAGAGTCTGAAAAACTTTTATTGTGCTTTAATGAAAAAGACTTTTTGGAAATGGCTAATTTACAAAATTGCACATGGTAACATTTTCAGATCTCAGTTTAGAAAGCCCCTGTCCATATTGTGTTACCGATTTCATTGCTTTTAGCTTGGCAAGGGCTCATGAAACTATTTTAATTTTCCACCAGTGGCTTCTGGTTATTTCTGCTCTTATTTCCTTGTAACAAAACTGACAGCCCAATTAAACATCTGCATTTCTTAATCTGAATTTCCCCCATAACTATTTTGCTTTTCTTCTAAAACTTCCAGATGTTTTGGTTCCTTTATAATTTTAATGCATGCGAGTATATTTCTTCCCATTTCAAAGAGAGAGAGAAAGAGAGAGCTAGACGGACTGACCAGATGTTTCTATATGAAAAGCTTTGTAATACACCAATAATCAGGTCAGTATTTTTGTCTCTTTATGAGAATATTTACATTAGAATACATCTCATTGTCTTTCAGCACTTTACAATTTGAGTCGATCTGTGCAACTTATTTTTGTGGGCCATTAGATTTCAGAATTCACATTGTGATCTGTTAATTAATCCTTGTGGCAAATGAAGAAAGTAACCAACTCTGTTATCTCAGTATCTAGTAACCAGGATAGAAGCTGCTGTGATTTGTTTCTTATTACTTGTCTTTTTACCCCCTCTGTGGGAAATAAGAAGTTGTAGGTTATGTGAAGCAACAATGTATTTAAATTCATTTTCCAGATTTGTACAAACATGGACGGAATCATCAATATCTTGCCTTGAAGTGTCTGGACAAGAGTTTAAAGAGTCTCTTGTATATTTCAAGAAAACCTGTTTCCCATAATTAATAACAGGAAGCCTGGTAAACAGACTTTTGCTGACAAATGAAACTGAAACAGTAACATATACACAGAAACATGGGAAAAGAAAACAATGCAGCATTGTATGGTTATTCCAGAAGAGTAGCTCGGTTTGGATACACTTATGCAATACTCACATAAAACCTCAAAGCCCAAGATTATTAATTATATATTTCTGACCATGTAAACACATACTTGCAGAGTACAATCATTTATCCCACTGCTTACTATTTGAAAATGATCTCTGGCTATTTAGACATTTAACATTTAGGCAGAAAATCATTATTTCCTGGAATATAGATTTTCCAGACTATCAAGTAAACATGAAGAAAGACAATTTTAAAAAAAATTATTATAAGATTGTGAAAGTCCATTCTTGATGCATACTTCTGGAAATGAAATGGGAACACATAATAAGATAATTTTGGTGTAACTTTTTTTTTGGGGGGGTGAGGAATGTATATCCAATTTGGGGAGCGTATATTTATGAGGTCTCAGGCACACTAAATGCAACAGTCATTAATTAGACAATTCACTGTGCAACTTGACCCATTTGTGCTTAAAGCTCTGGACAATGCTTCCCCTGGAAGTAATGGATCTTTATCTTCCAATTGTATCATAGAATGGGAACTCTCTGATCCCAATATTGACCTTGAAAGTAGCAAACTGAGGTTATCCATGGTGTCCCTGCTTAGAAACATGGAGTTTGAGTTTAAAATTTTTGTTTTTGTTTTCAAAAAAGAATTAGCTGCTTATTTAAGTTAACTATTAGGAATGAATTGCTTGATCCTTAAGTGATTTTTTAAAATTACATGTTAAAGGTGATTATCTGAGAATGGTTAAATGTAAAATAAGCTTAATCAGATATTTATTTCTGTTTATTTTAAGATGAATAAGAGAATAAGCAATGACGGGGGGAATAAGAAAATGTTTTTGTTTTATGATGTATTGTATTGCACATTAAAGGATGTATTTTGATGATTCGAGAGTAATAAAGAGACCTAAACTGTGCTACATAAGTAGAATTACTTGCCTTCTTGGTAGGCCCTCGTAAGTCGTATCTTAACACTAGAAAAATGAGAATGGAAAGTGTCCTGGGTGGCAAGGGCAGCGGTTTGTGACATGCATAATATACATTCATACAACTGACTTAGGAACTGAAAACCAAATATATTTTTTTTCTTAACCATATCCGCAGTGGATATAAATTTGAGTCAAGGAAGTTACACTCAAAATGGAATAGGTCCAATTACAAATAAATAACACTTGTTTCATATTTTATATATACCTGAGTGAAAGAGAAGGACATATGACACACTTGAACTCTGGAATCTTATATTTATTGTGGAAGTTGGAATCAACCAAACAAATACTTTGAATTTAAAGGGACAGTTGAGTTGGAATAATTATCGGAGTAGACACTTGTTAATTGCAAGAGAAAGTAAAACGTTTCCTTGGCTGTAAAATTTCAGTGAGTTTGTAGGTAAGAAAGAACAACATGCAAAAATTTAAAGTGATGAAAGTGTACTTATTTGAATTGCTGTTAAGTATAGGATGGACTCTATATATTTTTTTAGGTATATATTAGCTTTTGGGGAAGCTTTTTGGGAAAAAAGTGTTAATGAATCCTAAATCATAAGAAATGTCAATAAAGCTGTCGTTTGTTAAATCCTTGTAGAAAGAAAAGAAAGCCAATCAGGTTTCTTACTAGAATTATGCTATTTGCAAATTGATGCTTTGGAAAATATAAAATATCCTTCCAAAAATTTTAGATAAAAGTCTTCTCGGAAAACTTTTAAATATAAACTAACTTTTAAGTAACAATCATAAATTTATATAAAAACGAGGATATCCAAATTTAAAATAATGATTTTCACAGGCAGATTCATTATCATACTCTCATTTCACAATATTTAAAGCTATTCTTGGAAATGGTTTATCATAAAGACCATGTACATGATATGACTTACATTGTTTAGTGATATGATCCCAGAGCCACCCCAAATCTGGTTACACTAATTTCTCAGGTAGATTAGGTTGAATAGAATTCCCAATACCTGGTAGGAATAAAATCTCTCCTCCTTTCTTTGGCTCCATGAGAGCACAATGTACTAGTCTTTAGATGAATCAAACAGGAAAAATTTGGTGTATATATTTCAGAGAACAATGAGCTCTGTGTATGATTGTCAGAGCATCAGTAAATTATCTTGCTTTTGTAGGAAAGTACTAATGAAAGCTTCATTTCTTGAAAATGAGATCTGGAAGAAAAAATATTATTGACCACAGCATTATACATGTCACTGAACTTGGACAAAGATTTTAATCAAAGAGCTAAAATATATCAAGCAAAGTTCCAAGTTAGACTTGTTTAAATGTTCTCATAGTAACGTCTTTTGGTTCAAGTGGTTTGTGTATGGTGTATAAATTTCATTTTTGTTTGCTCATCCTATCATAAACACACGATTGGTGATTTCTCTAGTATACTGTCTTCTAGTTTCCATTTTCTTTTTAGTAATCTGCCACAGAAAACAGTAAAAATCTGCATCTTGACTTCTGCCTTTCCCTCTATTATTAATTTATTCATTTAGTTAGTCTTTTGTAAATTTCCTCTAACAGGTATTCTACAGGGATAAAACGTATGGGTATAAGTGGAAACTGGAAAAATTATTTCTTGACTACTTGGTGCCTTCTAACACTTTCAGTAGCTCCTATAATCTATCTGATACCTAGTAAATTTCCAATACAAGCAGAGTAATTTCTGTTGTGAATGTCAGGTATGAACAGGGTAATCCCCATCAACAGGGTTTGCTGAAGAGCAAGGAAACAGCGTTGGTACAATTCTTTGACAGAGAATTTAGCAGTTTCAACACCTCCCTTCCTGCTCCCTTTTAAGATTCATTGTTATCATCAAACAAAACTCTAAGACTATTTCAGACTTCCCAAAACAAGGAAGTTCTTTCAAACTCCAACCAGGTTTCTGGAGATCTTTTTGTCTTGCATTGTCGTGTGCTTTGCTTAGAACATCCCAATATATTTCCTGTCATTGTCATCATTCTAAACACTGCGACCTGTAATACACGCTGAGCCCACTGGAGGAAAACATGTTATTTTGTTAATAATGTGCTAGCAGTAGAAATTATTAAGATTGAAGAGCAGTTTTTAAAAATCTATTCAAATGTGAATAAATGATGGTTTTGATAGGATCTACATTAAAGTAACAATTACAATTTTATTTGTAGCATAACTATAGGTCAAGGCTGGACATGCACATTGACTATAAATATCAAGAGTGCTGATTCTTCTGTAATAAACAACAGAACATGCCTAACATATAAAAATCAACCTTTTTATTTTGGCCTTACAATAAAAAACAAAATGGTGAATCATTACTGCTATCCAATTAGCATCCTTTTTTCTAATTTCTCACCATTTACATGTCTTCTTCCTTCAAAGAGAAATCAAATTCGCTTTGCTAGAGTGTAAATTATGTTTATAAATTCAAATTTTGTAGAGCAAAAGTATAACATTTGTCTTGGTGGTTTAACAAGTAGAATATTCATAATATATCCCATCCATAATATATTCAGAAACGAATTTAGCTCTGCTTTACAAAAACTACAGATATTTAAAAATAAAAATAATTTTGAAGTATAGCTGCATTTTTTTTTGTTTAAATGAGAATTCATATGATATTGCTTGAGAGTTTCTGACTTTTAAGAACCCATGGATTTATTTATAGATTACTTAGCAAATGTAAGTATACATTGTCAATTTGTTAAATTCTACTTGCTTCTAGATAAAGGGTTTATTGAAACTTTAAATATGTTGTATAAATTCTATATGAAAGGAAATTAGAACAATGTATAAGCAACTTTTGGGAATTGATGCTCTTCGATTCTACATTTCTGTTCTTCATGGGTTGCAATATCTCTAAAGTGTTCAGTTCACTTTTATTGAAGTGTGATAAATAGGCATGTCAAATTGTATACAGAGAATAGAACACAAATCAGCTCTGCCTGTTTCTGTTGTTTCTTCATTCTCTAAATAAGTATCCATTGCTCAATACAAATAGGGTATGTGCCCTTTTATTTGGCAGGTCTTATTTCTTCATTGACTTCCACATTACATGGGATGGCAATAGAATTAACAGCCATTTATATATCTGGGAAGAAAGATTTATTGGACAGAAAAACAACAATTTTCTTTCCTTTTTAGTATATTTTGTACTTTCTCTTATAAATTCTATGGCAGCAAACAGTGACTGAGTGAAACTTGGTATACAAATTTTAATCTTATAATTTCAGATAACAAAAATCATTCCTTTAACAATATTTATTATGTAAAACCATCAATATTTATTTTTCATTATGCACAATACAGTTTTTATTATACATAATGTGGTAATATTTTAAAATAGTTTGCTCATAAAATTAACACTGTAAATAAAATTTATTGCTTGTATATTATAAAAAGATAATGTTATATTTTATACTATGTTACTAGATTTTTATCTATAATTTCAAGAATTATTTGGTTGTGTTCTTGAAGCTCTATGAGAAAATATTTCTTATGCTAATTATAAGCTTAGTAAACTTAAATATTTGAGATATTTGTGGTTTTGAGTGGCAGAGTATTTTTTTATTATTGTTAATGGGATTAGAAAATTCTGAACTTTGGAACCTAACAAAACAACCAAATAACCATTTCATTATACTCTGTCATCACATTTACGATGCTCATTGGAAGCAGAACAGAACAACGCTAAATAGAAGACAGAAGATGATACACTTCAATTTCTACTCTTACATAATCTTTTGAAAACATCTAAAATTTGCAATCAGGGTTTAAGCATGCCCGACTTTCAACAAATGCAATTTCCAAAAAGACAGAGTTGAGCATCAATAACTCTGACAGGATAAATTATTCTACTTTTAGCAAATCTACGTGCATCCATTATAGCATCTTCTTAGGCAAAAAAAAAAAAAAAAAAGAAATGAAAAAAGTGACTTTTTCCTCTTTCATTGGAAGGAAACCTAGCATATAACCAATGAGACGACTCCCAGTAAATATGCAGTGCCATCTTGATTGCTCTTGGTGACTATCCATACTTAAAAGAGACTGTTCCTTTCTGTATTTTAATAAATCCTTAACTCTGTTTCTTATACTCTTCTATCTCCCATACTTACTTTGCAAATTCCCCTATGATCAAGGATTAGCACAACACTGAGGGCTGAAATGAAAAGAAGGATCTAAGAGAAAATACCTTGAAAGAGACGACAGAACTCATCTTTGATGGAACAAAGAAAAGGTTAAAAAATTCTCTTTGGACACCTGAAAAAAATGTTTTCTTTTTTTTTTTTTCTTAGAGAATAAGCAGTTGGTGGGAGTCACCAGATTATCAGTTATTTAACCTCTCAAGACTAGTGGCAGGTTTTTCCTTTCTTATTTAGCTTAAATGATTATTTAGGAGTTAGGTCCTCAGAAAGCAAGGATTGTTTCCAATTCTCTGTTATCTTTGTACCACTTAGCCAGAATATCATGCATTTTAGGGGCTGTCAATAAATACACAATGCATTAAATTCTCTTTGCGTTTCCAGAGGAAGCCGGTAGGGAAAAGAAATAAATGAATGCCTGACTCAAGAGACTGAGAGTCTATTTGAGTGAGGTGTGGGTCTAGTGGAAATCTGCAGAAAAGAATCTTGTAGAGGAAAAATGACTCACAAGTATGTGAGGGGGAAGACTTTTTAATGTCAGTGTCCATATTTCCTGATTAAAGTGAGGGTATTTGCATCATGTTCTAGCATTCTAAATATAAAAGCAGCTAAGAATCTCCAAGAATCCCTTAAATTCTTATTCAAGAACAAAAAGAAATGAATAGTTTAGAACTCAAATATTATAATAAAAAAGTATTCTCTAGCGCAATAAAATCATTACAATAAAACTTGTTAGCTGATTGGTTAGTGTTTTAGAGTGCTGTAAATGCATAGTAACTGAAAAATGTTTCAGAATTTAAAAAACAGGTCATTGGTTAATGATTCAGAATAAAGAAATATGTGAATGGTCAGGACTAACAATAAAGTTAGACTTTTTCTCCTAGAAATAGTTTGTTAAATGATATCTTTAAGGATGCTTTTAATAATATTTATGCTTTAAACACACATATTTAAAAACAAGACAACACAGAACATATCACTAATAGGATGTATTTTCCCCATAGAATGTGCTTGTTAAAATTGTTCAAAAATGAATTATTGCATGTTTGTGTTCAGCCTAAAAAATGCAAAACATTGCTAAAATCACTACACTAATCTTTTGAAAATAAGATGCTAACAATTTTTTATGAAGATAACCATTTAAGTCAATATTCAGAATTTTTCCTCATGCTAAAAATACGTTATATATTTTAAATCAAAACTCTTCTTGAATATGCAGAAGAAAACTGAGAACAAAATGTGAAATTTAGTAGAAGGAACAGTAGCTTTGGAGCTCTGGGATCTGTCTTGACTTGTGACACAAAGCATGTCACCCAGGCCTCTCTGAGAGATGGGGTTAATCCTAACAGATGAGCTCCCTAGAGAGTAACTGTGAGAATAATTACCATTATAAATATGATATAATGAAGTCCTCTCAGAAAAGATGCTCTTTACATCTGGCAGAATCTTACTTGGTAAAGTCTTATACGATAATTTGACCTTCACTCTAACTTAAAATACACCAGAATCCAGCCACTTCTCACCACCTCCACAGCTGCCGCCCTAACACAAGGCACCTGCACCTCTTGCCTGGATTATTGCCATACCAGCCTCAGTGGCCTCCATGCTTCATCCTTACGCATTATCACCACCCCTAGCCTAAGCTGTTCTTTGCACAGAAACCAGAGTGATCCTTTTAATTCTAGAGCCAAATCACATATGTCCACTGGTCAGATCCCAATGGTTTTCCATCACACTCAGAATAAAATTTTGAATCTTAACCAGAGCCTTTCAAGACCCTACATGATTTGCTCACCTCACTTCTTCACTGCGTCCCCTGCCACTGTCTCCTTGTTCACTCTAACGACCTCCCTCTTTACTCTTTGCTCATACATCCTAATAGCATTCCTGCCTCAGGGCATTTGCACTTGCTATTCCCCTAGTCTGGTCTGGAGAGCTCTTCTTTGGATATTCATATGACTCCCACCATTCTTTCCTTCAAGGCTCAGCTCAAATAATATCATATCATAGAGACCTTTCCTGATAGCCTTATATAAAATGTCATACCACATATAATAGTCTGTTCTCATCCTGCTAATTAAGACATACCCAAGACTGGGTGATTTATAAAGACAAAAAAGGTTTAACGGACTCACAGTTCCACATGTCTGGGAGACCTCACAATCATGGCAGAAGTAAAAAGCCACATCTTAACATGGTGGCAGGCAAGAGAGAAGGAAAGCCAAGCAAAAGGGGAAACCCCTTATAAAACCGCCAGATCTCGTGAGACTTACTGCCACAAGAACAGTGTGGAGAAAGCTGCCCCCATGATTCAATTATCTCCCATCAGGTCCCTCCCACAGCACGTGGGAATTATGGGAGCTACAATTCAAGATGAGATTTGGGTGGGGTCACAGACAAACCACATCATTGCACTTTCATAATTCTTTTATTTATCTTTTTAGTATTTATAGCCCCCTGATTGATTATGTATGTGTTTACTGTGTGCAGTGAATTTGTGTTTATCATTGTCTTCTCAGCAACTAGAAGGGTGCCAGACTTATAACAGGTACTCGATAAATACTTGTGGAATGAAACAATGAATCAGACAGCAATCAGTCACAGAGATACATCAGCCATAAGATATTTTAAGATTACATCTATTTGTTGTATTTCATAATCACTTCTTCTCCTAGTCTTATAATGGTACTTCTGTTATATGCAATTCATTTGTTTCTCAAGATTTATTCTTTGATAAGCTCATTATTTGTGCTTTTTAATGATGCATATTTAGGGCATGCTTCCATTAAAATCTGTAAAAGTAATCATTGTCTTCAACATTGGTCATGTATTGGGCATAGATTTTTAATTCATATAATTAGAATCCCACTCCTATCGGATTCCCCTCAATTCCTAAGGTTTTTGTTTTCTGTTTATTTTAAAAATAGGACTATTTGAATATTACAATTTAGGAAGAGGCAACTTAGTACCCTTCACATTTCTAGAGATATTCATGTTCTAGAGCTGGCTTTTGGATTTCTTCAGGGATTTTTCTAAATCCTTACACATTAACTCAATATTTTAACAAATATTTACTTGTATCTATTAGATCAAGGGCACTCTGCTGAATGATTGAGATCCTGCCTCCAAGGATTGGTCTTCTAAGGATGAAAATACAGTAACACAAGAAACATTGTTGTAAGTACCCTTAAAAGAATAGAGGTGAAAGGTTATTGACATTTAAAGAAGAGACTAAGTACCACAGTGGTAGATGAGTAAGTATTAGAGAAGGTGGCATTTGAGTTGAACTACATTTGGATATTCAGAAAAGAGCAAGAAAAAATCATTTCAATAGGAGGAAATAGCATAAGCAAATCTGGGAAGTATATGGAAAACAAAACAATAAGTTCACATAATAATGGGAAACCTTGGGCTATGATTGTTTACACACTCAATTTCTTTGTGCAAGAGTGTGCTTACTGTAATGCACAGTATGGCCTAAATATAAGTGGACTTGTACATACACTTGAAAACATGTACTTAAAAAATAAAAAATTATTTTGTTTTTCCTGCTTTTATAACTTAAAAACCCCCAAAATCAATGTTTAAGTTGCATTAGAAAATTCAATAAGTAATACATACAATTGCAGCAATGTAGGCATATGTAGCTTTGAGCTCTTGAAGAAAAAAAATTACATAAGTTTTCAATTATTCTTTATATTCAGTGTAATCAGAGTATGTGGCACACACTTTAAGTTACTATTTAAATGTGTTACCATTATCAGGTATTTGCTTCCATGATAAAATACCTGCCTACATATGCACACTGAGATGGTTTTCATGTTTTCTGTGCCTAGTGATTATGAACACGGAGAACTTGCTAGGGAAACTTAAGATAAAACTGCTCTTCCATCTTTGTATTTTTAGTGAGAATCAACATGTTATCTCCTATGTGCAATTCATGACTTCACTATAACTATCTTGAAACATTGCATTACTAGCAAATATATGGCCAAAGAAGGACACAAATAACTTTTAATTGTTACAAGGCTTGCATCATGTGTGAATCTCAGGCAGAGCAAAAAAATGTAAACTTCAGTTCGAATGTCAGTATTAGGCATTTTCCTCATCCGAAAGCATTGCTTGCTTTATATAGTTTCTTTTTTGAATGATTTTGAGCAAGGCAGAGCAATTACGTGGAATGCTGGCAGAGGCCCATGCAACATCAGCCCCAAGTGACCAGGCACACACTCTTGGGAAGTCCATATGTGAATTAACAACTGAGAGTTTTTCCTGTGTGGGTTGCATTTGCTTTTTATACTATGAAATAATAAAATTATATCCGGCCTGAAACTACACCAACTTAAACATGTGCTTCAAATGTGTAAATGAAGAAAAACACGAGGAGAAAAATTAATGGCTGCCTGTTTTTAAGTCTTTTGTTTAGAGAATAAACACTTGAGGAAAAATATGAGTTACATTTCATGCTTAAATCCATATTTCATTTTTGGCAATTACGATGTCACCTCATCTGAACTGATGCCTGAGTTATCTTTCCAAATGCAGATTTGATCCTGTCATAGTTTTGTTTGCAATCTTCAGGTGACTGTCAATTACCTGATACATAGACGTGTTCAAGGAACGTGGTCGTATAAATGAATCAGGTGTTTGCAAAGGAGCTAGATGGCATTCCCAGAATAAAATCATACACATATATGTTGAGATCCATTTTGAGAATGGAATGTTGTATAAATGCCTCCATAAACCCATGAGATTTTCTGAGAATTCTGCCAGCAGATTGCCTTCACACTCAAACTGCAGCTCCTCTGGGTCCCCGGCCTATGGCCTGCTCTATAGATTTTGGGCTTGCCAGCTTCCACAATCACATAAACCAATTCCTTAAAATTAATATCTCTCTCCCTCCCTCTGTCTATACATATGCAGATGTATACATTTATATATACATATCTTATTTTTTTTCTCTAGATAACATTGACTAATGCAGGAAAGTTGTATGGCTTGAAGATGACCATCTGAATACTGACCAGCCTCTTCACATATATTTTGCTCTACAACTCCTTGGTAAATCCTGTCACAGACTCCTTCGTAAAATTGTTTTAGAACTAGGACACTTGAAATCTGTTGGATATGTCAGCTTCACTTTTGCACTGAAATTATTCCAACATGCAGGACTGGCCTTCCCAGTAGTCAGTACAGTATCTCTAGAATGTCTGGTCTGAAAGGTGACAACTTTGAAGGCTATTTCTGCTGCATGCCACAGCCCTCCTACTGCTAGCTACCCTGGAAGGCAAAGGGTTGATGTCAATGGAAGAACCAAGAACAGATGATAATGGAGGAAAAGCATGAGAGAATTCCATGCCTCATCAACATCTTTAGCAAAATTGTTTCTACTCTCTGCAAAAATTAATACTACATGGTGAAATGATGTGGCTGGCGATGTTCTCATCTCATGATTAGGACATAAATAACTTTTAATTGTTTTTAGAAGGTTTGCATCATGTATGAATCTCAGGCAGCAAAGTTTTTCATATGGTAATGTACTTTTTTAGATATTTGCCATGTCCTATTATTTTCAAGTATTTATGATAGGCAGTTTAAGAAGGAGACTTTGTAGAAATGTTGAATGAAATCCTTTACTTAAAATGTAGGGTTAATTTAATGTTGAAACCAGAGTTGAAGTAGTTGGTGGAGTGTAGACATGACGTTGAGGGGCAATTTTCTTGTAGCTGGTTTGGGTGGACAATCAACTTGCTCTGCCCTCTACAGTTTGGAGCACTATTCCTAAGTCCTGGGGAATGAAGGGCATATGCCTCTTGTGTAAATCCCCAATTCTTCTTCACCCATTGTTTTAAGTGGAGATTTCTGGCAATCACTTCAAGCTTTGGTAACTCTTTCCTGTGGAGAATTATCTACTTATTACCATATATGTGTAGGTTTTTGTGAGCTATCTTTATGAATATTAATTTAAATAAAGAAATAAAGCTAGGATTTTTTTAACTTTACTATATTTTTGTACTTTATATTCGATTGCCTTTTATTTCTTTTATGCATATATTTATGGGGAAAAGTTTCTTTCCCTACTCTTGTCTTTTCATATGTAATGAGTTCCATTAATGTAACACTTTAAGCTCTCCTTTTTATTCTACTCCAGACATGCATTTAAATGGGAAGTTGGGAAGGAAAAACTGGACACGTGAGCCTGCATATCTCCATATCTTCTTTTTCTCTCTTTCTCCCTCATCCTCTCACTGTCTAACTCTCATGTTCCCTTCCTCTCTTTGTATTGCCTATAGAATGTAAATCCTCCCAGATGACCTCTCTATGCTATAAATTTTCAGCCCACATACTTGAAGGTGTGAGTCACATTCTTCAAAATGATCAGCTGTAGCAATAATAAAGGTGATATTCTGCCTCCACCTATTTTGCTTCTTATTTCAGAACTTGAGTGGGGAAGAAGGGTGCTATTTATTGACTTCCTCAAGAACTTCAACTATCTAATGCATGGCTTGAAACAAATATAACCTTGCTTTCTGAGTGGAATGAAGTATTATCAACACATATTTACCTATATTTTATACTACTGTTTCGGTACTTTCTTTTTTAATTGTGATTCAGAAATATGTGTGCAGTAGGGCCTAATTATCATATTCTTATTTTTCTTCTCAAACAACAAATCAGTTGTTTCAATTAATTGTGCTGACACTTCATGTCTCTGAGGTAAAATGATAATCTGTACCTAAATTAGGAAAATAAGTCAAAAGAATACGGATTAAGACGTTTGATGGCAAACACCTGGATTTTGCTCGATGAAGGAATATAAACTTGACCAAAAAAGAAAACAACTTCAACAACTTTCTTTTTAAAACTATTTTACCACAGATTGTGTTATTTTACAAAATTGACATATTTTACCCTTAATAAATCTTTTTAAATTCTCATTGCAGTAAAGCACACAGGGAGTCTCAGCAGAGGGTAACTCTGCTCTGAATTATGATTTCCTTATTCTTTCCTATAGTGTTCCCATTAATTCAGAGGTACTATTTCTCTCCAATGAGAAAAATCATCAA
Organism: Homo sapiens; assembly: GCF_000001405.40. Classification (NCBI taxonomy): domain Eukaryota; kingdom Metazoa; phylum Chordata; class Mammalia; order Primates; family Hominidae; genus Homo; species Homo sapiens. The sequence goes on from NC_000001.11 coordinate 198,916,764, forward strand.
AATCAAGAGCAGAAAAAAAGGCTACCTTTTCATTTACTCTCTCAGTAATTGAAACCCCCTATAACCACTCTAGCATCTAACATTGAACTACATAAAAGCTATAGCAATTCAGTCAAACTCTTGAAGCTGGCTGTATTAGGGACAATGAGCTACAATTATACTCTAAAAAACATAATTTGAGACTATACATATGTCAAAGTCAACACTTTAGAAGTGGCTAATAAAGAACCATATTGATACCGAAAAGTCATTAGGGACAATCAGCTGTGTTAATGGGAAAGAATGACATACTCTGGGGGGAGCACCATGGCAGTTGTTATCATAGCTGCTGGGAATCCTACGGGAGTGCCATTTCCACAAAAATAAGAAGAGAGCATAGACTGTCAGGGGCTGCCTTTCATGGCACTTGAAATCTCTTTGGAGCTGGCATTGCACACCTGAGTCTCTATGACCCATATAAAAATGTGGCTATTGCTTCTGAATGCCTCCCCAGCTTCATCCAGATTCCTAGATCAGAGAACCCCATGCATGGCTTCTGTTTAGTCGTCACAATGTGTTCCTTTGCTATCTCCTTGCAATTTCATTTGCTTTCTAAATCAATTCCAGCTGTTATTTTAAAAACCATCTTAGCTTAAAATCTTTTTAGCAGTTTCATTTGTTACATCTTCCAGGTTCACCCCATAGAAAGAATAAAACCCCTGACGTTTATGTGGCCAGTTTCTAGGAAGTATAATTCTGTCATCTGGCCAAAATACAGACATACCATATTTTATTACACTTCACTTTATTGCACTTTGCAGAAATTGTGCTTTTTGCAAATAAAATGCTTGTAGCAACCCTGCATTGAGCAAGTCTGTCTGTGCCATTTTTCCAGTAGCATGTGCTCTTTTTGTGCCTCTTTGTCACATTTTGGTAACTCTCTCAATAATTCAGAACTTTTCATTATTATTTTATCTGTTATGGCAATCTATGATCAGTGATTTTTTATATTTACTGTTGTAATTTTTGCGGGTACATGAACTGCACCTATGTAAAATGGAGAATTTAACTGATAAATGTTGTGTGTGTTTTGACTGCTCCACAGACCAGCCTTTCCTCTGTCTCTCTCCCTCTTCTTGGGCCTGCTTCTTCCTTGAGACACAGCAATATTGAAATTAGGCCAACCCTACAATGGCCTGTAAGTGTTTAGGTGAAAGATAGAACCACATCTCTCATTTTAAATTTAAAGCTAGAAATGATTAAACTGGGTGAGGAATGCATGTGGCAAGCTGTGACAGACCAAGAGCTAGGCCTCTTGTGCTAGTTAGCCAAGTTGTGAATGCAAAGGAAAAGTTCTCCAGGAAATTAAAAGGGCTACTTCACTGAACACACAAATGATAAGAAAGCAAAACAGCCTTATTGCTGATTTGGAGAAAGTCTGAGTGGTCTGGATAGGAGATCAAACCAGCCACAACATTCCCATAAGCCAAAGCGTAATCCAGAGCAATACTCTAACTCTTCAATTCTATGAAGTCTGAGAGAGGCGAAGAAGCTGCAGAAAAAAGTTGGATGCTAGTAGAGGTTGGTTCATGAGGTTTAAGGAGAGAAACTGTTTCTGTAACATAAAAGTGCAAAGTTACAGAGCAAGTGCTGATGTAGAAGCTGCACCAAGTCATCCAGAAGATTTAGCTAAGATAATTAAAAAAGGTGGCTACACTAAAAATATATAATTTCAATGTACATAATACAGTCTTCTATTGAAAGAAGATGCCACCTATAACTTTCACAGTGAGAGAGGAGAAGTCAATGCCTGGCTTCAAAGCTTCAAAAAACAAGCTGACTCTCTTGTTGGAAGCTAATGAAGCTGGTGACTTTAATTTGAAGCCAATGCTCATTTACCATTCCAAAATTTCTAGGGCCCTTAGGAATTATGCTAAATCTACTCCACTTGTTCTCTATAAATGGAACAACAAAGCCTGGGTGGCAGCATATCTATTTACAGTATGGTTGACATGCTGTATTTTAAGCCCACTATTGAGACCTACTGCTCAGAAATATAATTTTCTTTTAAAATATTACTGCTCATTGAGAATGTACTTGGTCACCCAAGAGCTCTGATAAAGCTCTAATGCAAGAAGATTAATGTTGTTTTCATGCCTACTAACACAGCATCTATTCTGCCGCCCATGGATCAAGGTGTAATCTTATTATTTAAGAAATACATTTTGTAAGGCTATCACCGCCACAGATAGTAATTCCTCTGAGGGATCTCAGTAAATTGGAAACCTTCTGAAAATGATTCATCATAGTAAATGCCGTAGAGAACATTTGTGATTCATAGGAGGAGGTCAAATTATTAATAATAACAGGAGTTTAGAGGAAGTTGATTACAACCCTCATGGATTACTTTGAGGAGTTCCAAGACTTCAGTGGAGGAAGTAACTGCAGATGTAGTGCCAATGGCAGGACAACAAGAATTAGAAGCCGAGCTTGAAGACGTGATTAAATTGCTGCAATCTCATGATAAAACTTTAATGAATGAGGAACTGCTTCTAATGGACAAGCAAAGAAAGTGGTTTCTTAAGGTGGAATCTACTCCTGGTGAAGATGCTGTAAATATTGTTGAAATTACAACAAAGGATTTAGAATATTACATCAATTTAGTTGGCAAAGCAGATGCAGATTTTGAGAGGACTTACTTCAATTTTGAAAGATGTTCTACTATGGGTAAAATGCTACCAAACAGCATTGCATGGTACAGATAACTCTTTAATGAAAAGAAGAGTAAATCAGTGTGCTGAGCTTCACTGGTGTCTTATTTTCAGAAATTACCACAGCCATCCCAAACTTCAGCAACCACCCACCTCACCAGTTAACAGCCATCAACATTGAAGCAATACCCAAAACCAGCAAAAAGATTACAACTCTGAAGGTTCAGACAATCTTTAGCATTTTTAACAATATTTTAAATTAAGATATGCAATTTTTTTACATAATGCCATTTCACACTTAACTCATTATCATATAGGGTAAACACACTTTCATATGCACCGGGAAACTAGAAAATTCATGTGACTCACTTTATTGCAATATTTGCTTCATTGCAGTAGTCTGAAACTGAAACCACAAAATCTCTGAGGCACGCCTGTATTCTTCAGGTTAATTGTGGATCAGTAAAAAATCAAACTAAGCTCTTTCACATTTGTTTGGCATATAGAGAAATAAAAAGATAATGATGGTGACATTGATGAACGGGATGGAATTAGTATCAAGCTTCAGTGGTAAGAACAAGAATCTCAGAAATGTAGTCCCAAGTTTTAACATGACAAGTGGTGAGAACTCACTTGTCAATTGGAGGGTGTCAGATGACCAATTTTCTAAAATCAGTGGTTCCATAAACTACTGCTGCTATGAGAGTCCAAGCCATTCCAGAATTTACAGTTTGATGAGAGTATTCTGTCTTCATCTGTCTAGCTCCAAGAGCATCATGGCATCCTACCACTTCTCCTGCTCTGAAATGATTCTGAAACCACTAGTTTTTAGGTCTAAGGTTTGCTGAAAAAGCTATGTGGCATAGGGTGTCAAAAGGAGCACCGTCCTAATCTTGAAGATTCTTGAGGAAATCATACGTCATAGTGTATTGGATCAGATCATGTGGTCAGTGGTTATGCTAATTGTATTTATGCTATGCCCATCTAAACTCTCAATGATATCATTGATTTGATGAAGATAGATCCTGAAACATTGAGAATGACATGAATGAATGTTAAGATTCCAGTGTTATTTGTAGTATATCTGAACTCTTCCAAAGGCCTGTACATTTATTGGAACAAACATCCTACCGCAGCTGCTACTTCTTTGATCACATAGAAAATGTCCCTGCTTGGTGATTTTCTTTTCTTTCATGGCATGCACATCCTTAAGAACTGGGGAAAATATTACTTTAGTAAACTAATAACAACATTTTTTACATACTATCAGAGAAAGAAGTAATTATGGGATTTAATAAAATGCCCTAAGAATGTCATAGGAAATATTGATACAGAAATGCAGGTTTTTTTCTGAAACTGATACATTTGATTAATTCTTGGAGTCTCATTTTAAAAACTCTAGATTTTATTATAATATCACACTAAACATAGTTTAGTGTTTATTTTTATTTTTTATTTTCCTTTTTTTTTTTTTTTGGAGATGGAGTCTTACTCTGTTGCCCAGGCTGGAGTGCAGTGGTGTGACCTTGACTCATTGTAACCTCCGCATCCTAGGTTCAAGCAATTCTCCTGCCTGAGCCTCCTCACTAGCTGGCACTACAGGTGCACACCGCCATGCCCGGCTAATTTTTATATTTTTAGTAGAGATGAGGTTTTGCCATGTTGGCCACTCTGGTCTCAAACTCCTGACCTCAAGTGATCCACCTGCCTCAGCCTCCCAAAGTGCTGGGATTATAGGCATGAGCCCCTGTGCCTGGCCAATTTAGTGTTTATTTTTATAATTCTAAATCTTTAGAATATTTACTCCTCTGGTCATCATTATGAATATCAATTATATTAGCAAAGTATTGAATAAGGACAACTTAAAAAATGTAATTCCCTGAAATTTATTGCTATCCACAAATTTACGATTTTTATAATAAAATGTTCTGCAAACATGCAGAAGATATATTTTGAATATAAAAGAAGAATTAATTATGGTTCATATTTTAAAATGTCATTTTGAATCAATTTACTTATGGATACATCAAGGGCAGATAATACATTTTTCTCATATTTTTTATATCCTCCTACCTGTGTAGTGCAGTGTTTAGAATAAACAAAGCCTTAATTAATAGATATTGAATTAAGGTAGCACAGTGATCCAGTCTCTGTTCTCCTACCCTGAAAATTAACTAGGGAATTTGGTCAGCATCTCCTCTTTTGTCTTCTACTCCTCAAGGACAAATCAGTAAATTAGCTTTACTCTTTACTTATATAGTTAAAAAAATGAATATATGAATGCTTGAATTCGTGACTCAAATATCACTTATGAGTATGGAAGCTGAAGAAAAAAACTGATGAAAAATTATAAATGGGTACTCAAATACAAGACATTCTGGCTGGGTGCAGTGGCTCATGCCTACAATTCCAGCACTTTGGAAGGCCATGGTGGAGGATTGCTTGAGGCCAGGCCTGCAGTGAGCTATGATCTTGCCACTATACTCCAGCCTGGGTGAGAGAGCAAGACCCTGTCTCAAAACCAAACACAAACCAACAGAAAGCACAAACAAAACTGTTTCTAATAATAGTTTTTGGTTTCTTTAATGACTTTTGCAGTGACTACTCAATAACATTTGGAACTCTCATTCGTTTTTCAGGGATAAATAATGGAAGTCAACATGACTTCAGCAGACAATTTCAAATTTATTGTAGAATTTCTTAGAACTTAGGGCAATACTGTAGAGAACTTTGCCACAATTGCTTCCTGTTCCCTACTATTATGTTGCATTTGACCTTCAATAAAAGTTCTACTATAGTAGGCTGAAATTGCATATAAACACACTAGAGACATGTTTTAAAATAGTGGATACCTTCAAAATGAAGGTATTCTGAGGTATTCCTGCCTCAGCCTCCTCAGTAGCTAGCACCACAGGTGCACATCACCATGCCCAGCTAAGTTTTATATTTTTAGCAGAGATGGAGTTTTGCCATGTTGGCCATTCTGGTCTCAACCTCCTGACCTCCAGTGATCCACTCATCTCAGCCTCCCAAACTGCTGGGATTATAGGCATGAGCCACCGTGCCTGGCCAACCTAGTTTCTAATATATATATCTAATATATATATATATATATATATATATATATATATATATATATATATATATATAAAATGCATAAATATTTTTAAGTATATTAGAAATTATTTCAGATCTAGCAAATAACAAAAACTGTTCTGTTGTTTATGGAATAAATGAGTTTCTATAGTGAGTTTCACTACCTGACATAAAATCAAGAACTATTTTTTTAGAAAGCTGGGAACCAACAAGAAAATTTTCGGGCAATGACTTAACACTACTTGTCTAAGAGAGAAGTTGACTTGAGTCACACTTTCACATCTTGTAACTTTCAGTTGATTAATGCGTAAAGAGTCACAGGACAGAAGAGAAGGACTTGTGAGTCCAACCAAGTCTCTAACTAAACCGAACTTTAGTTGTTTATGGAAATTTTAGAAAATGCCAAAAAAAAATTGAGAGGTGTGAGATTTTCGGATTTCTAAGTACATATTTTTAATCCTTGACAGACTCCATTAACCTTGATCCAAGATTGAGACCATCTACAGTTTTTATTTTTTAAACCATAAGAACATGAATTATGTTGATGCCCAATGACTTCCCCTGAGCTAACATTTGAGACTGATTATAAAGTGACTACATTGTAACAATTTGATAACACTGTCCTTGGACTCAGTTTTATCCTTTTGCAAGGATTATTTGTGGCTACATTGATTTGGATGGAAGCCACTACAGGCTGGACTTCTGTGCTACTGTGAACTGTCTTGTAGCCAAGCTCAGTACATTTACTAAAACACTGTGAGATTATTTTTTAAATTTGCAGCCATTATTGGTATTTTTTTTGAAACATTTGTTCTATTTAGATGGAATAGCAGAATATAACGTGTTGAACAGGTAAAGGAGATAAAAATACTAAACAGATGAGCCATAGGGAAACATGACTGAGAACAAACATATTTATAAAAATATATATAAGTGGTGTGGAAATGAAAAGTGTATTATCCACACAGGTCAAATCTTATTATGATGAATTTTAAGAGAGTTTAGTATACAGTAATTTTAAATAAATAATTAGAACGAATGGACTTTTCCATTGTGCTTATACATGTTCTATCTCAGTCTTCCTTGTAATGGAACTTATTACAGAGTTTTGACCTGTGCATCTAAGTATTGATTACTGATGATAATCTGAGATAGGGCCCACATCCTTTCTAGGATTAATATGATCTTGCATTTGAAAAATTATTTATTACTTTGATGTTACCCCCTCCCCCCACCTATTATCTCATGTTTTAAGACAAAAGTGGTGGGAAGCCATGAAGCAAAGCAGCTAGATGCAGGAGTAAAAAGTCTCTCTAGCCTCTGAGTTCAAATCCTAGTCCTATCCCATAGGCATTATAGCATCTTGAGCTTATAACCTGGCCATCCTGTTTCTAAGTTTCCTCATCTCCAAAATAGGACAATAATGGGAGAGTTGCCTCATAGAAATTTTATTAAAATTAGGTGCAATATACATAGTTTTATGATTTACTTGTAGTAAGCACTTAATAAATGTTTCTCATATTATGAGATATATAGAGCATGTGCTGTTATGACTGTTCACAGGCGAGGAAACTGAATAAGAAAGGGGTTATGTCCTTCTGTAGGAAGTCTGATGTTTCTTATTAAAATGAATTGCTAAGCTTTATCCTTAGCAGGACTTTTATCAGAGCTAATGTTTTTAACCAAATGGGTTCATTGTGCCCTTTTTTTCCCTTGACACAGTCATTTTTAAGGGGAAGTCCAAGAAATTGAAAGAACTATACTTTTTATCACTCTAGATACTATATGAATGTAGATTACTTGCTTCTCTTCTCAGGCCTCAGTTTCTTTGTCTTTCTGTAATCTCTAAGGCTCTTTTCTGTTAGAAAATGATGTTACATTATTTCACAAACTAGACAATTAAACTCTTGAACTCTAAGATTTGACTCTAATAAACAAACCATCCTAAATTAAAAGAAAAGGAACCCACATTTTGACCATAAAAATGTTATGGATTATTTTGTGGTAATAATTAGGTACTGATATTAGGCACTCCTAGGCCAGTTCTTCCTTTTTTTTTTAACATCCCATTTCAAAAAATGTTGGAAGGGAAATTCAGATCCGTAAACTCAGCCTAACATTGACAGCAGTTATAGAAATAAAGTTTTACCTACCAAGTCCAAATATGATCATTAATAATGTACTGTGTATTAATAGGTGCACATGGTATAGACACATCAATGCCTAATGCAATGACAAATCACACCCAAATCTAATAGAAGTAAATATTACTAAAATTCTACATTATTTTTATTAAATAATTCCACATTTTCAACTAAGAAACTACTTTTGATATTTATTTAATATGGTCTGCTATTGCATCTCTAACCTTTTTTCCTTCATTTTCCTCTGTCTAAAGATTGGGCTTATATGACCAAATATCAGTTGAATACACTGATTTTTTTTTTAAAAAGAAGGATGAAGAAAATCACAGACATTTCTGCAATTTCATATTATGGATAGATTAAGAATAACTGAGTTTTGTATGCTACGAATACCTAAAAAGCAATTTAACTTGAATCTATTCTGTGTTTATAGAATATTCTAGACCTGGGGATAGTTTTGGTAAACAAATAGATTTAAAAATTTGTTTCTAATTGTCTGCTTTATGGCATGATCTAAATAGTTATTGATTAGAATTTCATAAATCAAATCTTTTGTATAGACTTCAGTGGAAAAAAATATTGTCAATATAATTATAACTATTTACATTTCAAGTATATTTTTAATTCATGTTACATTTCTTCTTTAACTCACTTGTGATTTTTTTCTCCATGGACTACCATTACTCATGTTACACTCTTCATGTTTAGATTTATATTATTATCACTACTTCTGACATTTGAATCTATAAGTTCCATCCCTTATGCTTACTATTAATGGAACTTCATTATGTGTACATCGTAGTTATAAACCAATTTAAACCTAAAGCATAGTCTGAATTAGCAAGAGAATTTATAACTTATTATCATTTATTCAGAAATAAGAAATCTGAGTTAAGTTTGCAATGACAAAATTCAGGGTAAAAGTGTTGGCAACAGTCACTCAATGATCAACTTTCCTATAATAAAAAATAATGGTAGTGCTAACTTAAAACATAATAAATTTGATAATACTCTGAGGACATCCATTTTGTAACTCTTAGTATTAATGTCTAAATCAGCAGTTGGAAACTCCCCACAGTCATATCATGTGGTTTCAGTAATAATAGCTAAAATGTATCCTGCAGTGAATCTTTTCTTTTTTTGAGCTACCCAATGGTTCCATATTATTACAGAATTTGCAGAGAATAATTTCTACCCCAAAAGAATCTTTACAAATAAGTGCCCATGCTGTTTCCTGACTTTACTTGGCTTATCTGTAAAATGCATTATCAGAATTGAATAAGATCCTTTTAAGCTATGTGATTTTACAAGTGATACTTCATAAAGAAAATCAGCGGATTCTGGTGAAGAATGCTTTTCAGAAGACACAGATAGGAACCAAAGTTCATATACAAATGAGTTTAAAATATGAAAATTAAATACTAAAAGAGAATAACCTTGAACAAGTGAGGCCACATTTTAAATAGGATGGACCACTTGGCACATGTATAATATAGAGATTATTTTGAGAGCTCAGAATTTATTAATTGGCTAATGGTCTCATTTTTAGATAATCATGTAGAGATACGTCCTAAGACCTTGGAGATCCACCAGCCCTACATCTCTAAATTACTGATAAGGAAAATGAGGTCCAAAGAGAGCCACCCAGCTGTTGAATAACATGTCTTCTGACTCCTTACCCAGTGCTTTTCTTATTTGCTATTTCATCTTGAGAAACAGACATGGGTATTCTGAAAGACAGTTAATTAATTGACCAAAATTGTGGAGAAGAAAACAAAAAAGACCGAAATAATAGACACTGACTATGTAATTATCTGGAGGAAAGAGTATTGGTAGTTTTTAAATCTAATAAACATACAAATGTCCAAGAAAAAGAAAAAAATAATAAATATTTAGTTAACATATTTCAAGTTCTTTTGGCCAAATTATAAGAAGACAGCCTTTAAAAAACAGCTTTCCATATTCTTGAATTTATTTTATAGCAAAAATGTGATGTCTTTGAATAAATGACTTGGCATACAAAACTCACAGAATAAAGAATTTTAAATATATTATTGTATAGTAATAATATGCTCTTTTGATAAATGGTATGGCTGCAATCATTGTATCAGCATTTTTTACATAGATCTAGTGTAAAAAGTCAGGAGTCACATTTATTGAGGGCTATAATATACTCTCTCTGAACCTGAGAAAAAATGGAGTCTTTCATATTCACCTGTCTTCATCTTTAGACCATGTTAGCCCAAACATTGTCTGGAGTAAATATTTACTAGTGGATACTAATTGTCCAATTTTGAAATAACTCGTAGTTAATAAATGTGAGTTGAAGATAGTTTAGGTGGATAGCAATCTCAAATATCTAACAAAGGTAGTACAGTTGCTTACATGTTTTAGGCATTAAGAACTTGACTAAAGTTTTAAATTGACTATAGGTATCTCTTGATATATTGCTACCTAGATAATTTAATTAGTGAGGAAAGTATTAATAGGGGGCAAATCATTTAAACTCACCTTTACGTACATCTGAAGTTTTTTTGTCTATAGATTATGTTTAGGATCATACATGATAGGAAAGGTGCTGATGCAGATTTCTACTCTGATGCCGTGGCAGACTCAGAGCATTAGAGGTTTGTATGGCAATGCATTACCACATGGTTCATGTAAATCTGCAGTAATACTGTATTCAAATAAGGATCTTGGTTTCAGTACACTTGTTCAGAATTGCGTTTGCCCCTTTTTAAAGGAAAATCTAGTTCCAAAAAGCAACCCTACTGTCAATGCTCTTTCTTTAACTATGATATTGGTGCTATTTTCTTGGCCAACAAAAGACAATTCTTAGGGATTGTTAGAATATTTTACAATAATCCTTTGAGAGTGTGGCATATGAAAATTAATGCATGGAGCTAACTGTAATACATTCTTCTTTATGAAAACAATAAAATGGGAGAAACAGAAATAATGTTAAAGAATAATATTTTAACCATATTACCAATTCCTTATGTAACATAAAAATAGCTAAAATGTAAGACTTAATTCCAAAGAATTTGAATAAAATAAAGGCATGAGGCATATTTTCTCAATTTCTGCAACCATGAAAGTTAGTTGAAGCAGGTGGAAAGATCTTTTAATTTAAATCTTTAATCAACGTTATAGTTTTAAACTAAAAATATATTAATAAGTACAGTATCCAATGAATATATTTATTTGAAAAATTTCAATAACTTAAAGACAAATTTAAAAACTAGTTAGGAATTATATATTTGATACCTCATTCTTTTTATTGTTTCTGATATGTAGGTGATTAAAATGTAAAAATAGAGACAAGAAAGATAAGTTGCAAACTATGAGATAGTGATTACTTCCATAGCCAGAGGGAAATCAGGATATGAAATGAGGATGGGAGTCTTCAACTGTATATAAATAGTTCTTTTTTTAATAATTTGGGGGTAAGTATAGCAAAATATTATAAATTATAAATCTTGATCGTGGAAATATGGATATGTATATCATATTGCTTTACTTTTCTGTGTAGTTTAAAATATTTCAAAATGTAAAATAAAGTTTCTTCTACATTTTAAATTTCTAGCTAAAAGAAATGCTTATATATTATTTCTCCAGTGAAATTTTAAAACCAACCTTTTCCTCAAGTTAGATATTTTATTGTCTTCACAATTCAAAGCCATGTATTTAAAATACATGAATTTATGTAATTTGGATAATTCTTTGCTAAACAAAGCATTCAGCAGAAAAGTAAAGTAAAATTCTGAATGTTATTAATGTAATCCAATACTTGCAAAACTTTATTTCCCCTTTTTATGTTTATATAGTTAATATAGAGTCATTTCATATGTTTATGCATGTTACATATAATAGCATTAGATTTTAGAGGCATATATATGGTTGGTTTGTTAAAAAAATCTATTAATTAGTATGTATAAATGGATGCTCATTTATATTTATCAAACACCATGTAAATACATAAATATATTTTATAAAATGTTGTAGTAAAAATTGTTTACTAAAAACACTAAAGTAGTTGGTGTATTCATCTCTTAGTTTATAATTTTTAAAAATAAAATTAATCCTTTAAACAAATATAAGCCTAGAATAGAAGAGCTTTATTTATTACTAAAAGTGTATGTGTGAAAACATAGAGGAAATAATTATATAAAGTTTTCTATGTCCCCCTCAAAGTAAAGTAGCTTAAATAGAAATCACTATTTTAGATATATTCTTACAAGAATTCTTTCTAACAACAAATGTAGTAATCTGGTTTAAATGTAAGTTGCACTTGAATAGCCTTATATCTTGAAGAAGAGCAATATGCACTATTTATTAATTATAAAAGGAAACGAATCTAAGTTTACTGAGTTTTTAAAGTTTTTAATAAAAATGTGAGCATCATAGCTACTGGATTATTTGCTATGTTCAACACACTCCGTTCACAATTAAAGTTTGCACATAGTGTCTAATAATGGTCAAGCACTTGCAAAAATGTTGCACCTGGAACAGGGAGGAGTGAGAAGGGCAAAGGTCAAAACCAGTCCTTAATAAGCATTGACTAAATAGACTTTGGACTCAGTGAAAAGTCCAGACGACCCCTGCAGCGTCATCTTACAGCTCTGATTTTCCTCTTTTCAACATGTAGTATAATCCATAAATACAACCAAATCACTAGCAGCTTAGTCTTTGGTTTGGTTTTCATCTTTCAGTTTCCCCCCACTGCCCCCTTCAAAAAGATTTGAAAAATTAACCCCTTTCTGTCCTCAGACTAACCAAATAATGAATTTCTTCATAGTCACTGTTGTCAGCTTAAATCGTTAACTCTTTTCAGGGCAAGAGGCACTTTGTAAAGTGGCTCATAATAACCAGAGTAGTGACTGAGTGTTTCATTTTCTCCCAATATATTTTGAATAGATAACTAATAGTAACAAGCCAATCAAACAATTATACAAATCAGTGAATTATGTCTCTTTTATAAATGTTTTTAAAGCAATAGAATTAAATTAATACTTAAAACCTTGCAAGGAATTTTTACTTCTGTTTTCCCATCACACAGTGGTTGTATTTTCATGAGTTTCTTGATAATTCATAGGTATAATAAAAATGTCTATAACCAATTTTTGACATACTCTTCTAATTTCAAATTATTTGATACAGTTTACACCCTGATATTCTTATTGGCATAGTCTCCTCTTTTCATACTTGTCTTTTATTTTTCTAGTCCAACATTTGCTGAAGGAGAAGTTAGTTCCTTTAAGTTAAAACAGTAATTTCCCTACAGGAAATATACCGAATCAAGTATAAACCACAAGAATGAGTCGAGCATCTACTTCAAGTGCATTAGTTGAGAGAAGCCTTCCACTCTGAAGTGGGAACACTTCATGAACCAGAAGTGAGAGCTGCCCAATCAAATTCAGTGTAATCGTATTATTCTGTCTACTACACTGCAGATTTTCAGAATGCCAAAGACATCTGCGTCGGTCCCTACATTTATCCTTTTGATGTCATGTCTACCCTGTTAACCCTGTTTCCCTTAGAGTTAAAAATATAACATTTTAAAACAAAAATTTAAGAAGACAGCTCTGCGTGTGAAACATAAAGAGCACCATTGAGGGTGAGGCAAAGTCCTAACTAAGCAGAAATGACTGGGAATGTAGCAAACTGGGTGGAAGTTCAGGAAGTGTGCTATAGTCTGAAGGAGGATCCTTTAGAAGGAGCATGAAAACAGATAGAAGTAGTGTCCCTGGAGAGTTAAAAGAGGCCTGGGTTTCTCAAGGATTGCTGTTCCTAACTGATTGTCGCAGTCTTAGAGAACAGGAAAGAGGATACAGCAAGGGGCAGACATTTTGCACGATTGCAAAGCTTCCCTAACTGGCCCTATTTTTTTATGCTCTGTTCGCCTACAGAATCAGGATACATGGAAACAGAGCAGTAAATCTCAACCATGACCCAACACAAATAAAAGTACCAAAACTTATTTCAAAGATAAGTAGAAAGTGTTTCTTATTTTATGTAATATTTTTGATTATCTACAATCTTGCAGGATCAAGACCAATTTTTCCAGAGTAACAAGGAAAAGGAGAAAAATGGGAGTAGCTCAGAGTTCTATTCCTTATTTAAAACTATCTGTCCAGAACATCTTAGCTTCAACCATCTGAAATTATAACACCGATGTAATTTTACTGTTTTTTCCCCCAAGATTCTATTATCCATTACCTCCCACCAACAAAGTTAGATTCAGCACTATTAAAATGTATAGTTTTAAAAGTAAAGCAAAACTAGAAATTTGTATAATGTAATACTTTTATGCTTTTTTTGTGTGTATATTTTGTTTGATTTCTTAAGTTTCTAAAAATATTGTATTTATTTGAGGTAGGAAAACAAGAATTGGCTAAATCACTGCCCTTAATTTTTCTAATGGGTTTTTATAATTCCTAAATTGATGGGAAAATCATCAAATATTGGAAAATTCTTATATTTTGGAAGCACAAATTGATTCACAGAACATATATATAATTATATATTCTCTCTATATAGATTGAATATATATATACACACACATATATATAAAAGATGATCTCAGATATTTAAATTTTCCATGTTCATAAAGAATTTACTTCATATTTTGGTGGCTTAGAACATGTCTTTATATTTGTGAATCCCATGAACAAATACAGTTCAGTTTTCTCTGAAATTTTGATTTAAAAAAATTATAATTGATCTTATCATTCATAAGACTTGCACTTTTCAAACAATTGAAAAAACATGGCTTTTGATGATTAGGCAGCACATATTTTTGGACAACTAATAGATTTGCTTGAGATATAAAGTACCTGATGAAGAATGAGCAAAGAACACCCAATCAGATAGAGTGTTGCCCTGAGACCACTTCAAAAACCCTGATAATTAATTTGGAGTTTTTCTTAACTCTATTATATATTTTTAAAGTATACACCTTTGGTTTATGGTTTTTTCTATCTTTATTAGGCAAACAAATGTCAATATGTCTGGATAACTTGTTTTCATCTAATATTTTCACCATTCGAATAATAAATGTCTTTTAAAAAAATCTTTGACTCTTTGCAGTAATTAATTAAGATAATTATTTGAGTCAAGAATTTTTCAAAAAGAAAAAAATTCTGGGAACTTAGATGCCCACTTTTAATACATACGTAATTCGCTGAGCTATACTGAATATGGAGCTCACGTTCTATTCTTGATTTTTTTTACTGGTCCAAGTTCAAATAAAATTTACATAAAAATATTTTCTTTATAAAATGACTATACAGATAATGAACCAAGAATATTATATAGTGAATATTTTCATGGTAAATTTAAAAAGCATATGTATCTTCCAAAAATAATGTTTTTTTAAATAACAAGAAAAATTAATTTAGTACAACCATTCTTTCATCTTAATTCAACCAATATTTTATTTTTTAACCAATAAAGTGCTTACTAGACAGTTGAAACTGTGTAAGCGAATAATAACTTAAAAGAATTACTTGTGATAAAATGATAGAAAAAGCCAACTCAAATAATTTTCATTGAAGACAAATCTTGCAGCTATATTAATATTAATAAAAATTAAATGCTTTTGATTAGTCTAGATTGGCTTGTAATGGTAAAACACAAAGACAAAACTGAGGCAGTGAGCCTCACAATGCCTCTACTGATTTCTCTACTGGCCCTTCCTCTGCACATGGTCAATTAGAATTGAAAATCCTGTGCTGATTTCATTCGCTGGAATTTTTAAGCAGGTCAGGAAGAAAGATGTTATTGAAAGGAAAAGTCTCATCTAAATAAGAAAGGAGCACGTGGCCATCTGGTCTTAGCTATACATATAAAAAGTTATTTCAGCTGAACTGCAGTCTTGATGTTTAAAAAGATGTGCCAGAAATCAAACCAAAATCTGTTTACGGTAAAATATCCCAAATGTTTCTTTTTAAACTTTCAAATATGCAATACACAGTTCATTTCCTATCTGTGATTCATGAGCCCATTTGACCCCAGCGCCTCACTGAGCTTGACTGAGTTTCACTCAGTAGAACATTCAATCATTTTTAGAACACTTTTCCTTCATAGAGTGTCAACAAGACAGTGGATCTTTTGAAAATTGTGAAAATAACTTTGATAGTTTTCACTCAAATTAATTTTGAGTATTGTCGTCATGTAGGATTGCAAGAATAAAATTTGAAACATAAAGCAGCCAAACCAGTTTCCCTTGTTTTCTCATCGCAACTTGAGGTTCCTGTGCATTCTCTGCACAGTGCTCAGGTATCTACTCACAATAATTTCAGGCCCTATGCCTAAAGGCTAAGTTAAAAAAAATTCTCTTTTCATGAAGAGAAATTTTAAGTGTTGAGTCTTCTTTTGCAAATCATTTTCATGGTAGTAAGAAACAGAGATGGTTTTAAAAATCACATTTTATACTGTTTGTCAAATTAGAGTCATATCTTTTGATATTCTTCTTTGACATGAGGTATTTGTGGTAATTATAACATCAATACATTAATTCATCCAATATCTGATAATGCCCTTCTGGTAGTATAGACATAGCTAGTTGATATCGCAATCTGAATTTTATTGTATTGAAGTACATTAGTAGTCTTCAAGAACTCTTATTATAAAGTGACAACAATTATTTGGGGTCAGAAGACTATATTCAAATACATTATATATATATATACATATATATATATACTAAATATGCTACATGCATGTAAGAGACATACATGATCATAATATCAGCACATGCTAAACAACGATGTAGATTTAAGCTAAGTCTTCAGATAAATACTTGGATTAAAATATTCTAATATATGAAACAAAAGCCTCTTGACATATCTTTGACATAAAATGCCCACTGGTTGTTTTTGTATATCTACTATGTTTGTTCTGCCATTTCAAATAAATCATTGCCATTGTGTAAGAAGAATAAACTGTACTATAGTAAATTGTTCTTTCTCCGTTATGCTCTGAAAAACCATTTGTTCTTGAATTGGCGTTACGTAGTTCAACTATTTCAATCAAGTCCATTATCTTCTTGTCTTTGAAAGATGCCTTTTCAGTAACCTGTACCCAATGGGCAATGTCATGTATTGTTTTTTGAAAGTAGGTAAAATTTAAACACAACTATTTGCCCATTTTAATCTTTGATAAGGAAATTATATAATTAATCATCAATCTTCCACTATATGTTGGAAGAACTGTTTATGTCAAAATTACAGAGTTAGGCCAAGAATTTCTTAACGAAGTTATTTATTAGTTCATAGTGGAGTCTTACCCTATAGACTGTCATCTAACTTGTGTAGCTTGTTTTCTCTAAGTACAAAATGTGTCAATTCTTTAGCTACATACTTTTCTTAACAATAGTAACATGAAAGCAGAAAAAGAACAAAACATTTTTTCATTTGTTTTAAAACAGTCACAAAATACATTGGCAAAATGAATCTTATTAATTTGTTGACATATACGTAGTGCTGTTTATACATATATGCTTTGAAATTCCTTTCAGATTAATTGCTTTTTAGTACGCAAGAATGAAGAAGTATTAAGAGCAAATTCCAAAATTTTAAAACTCATGTATCAGATACGTGGTATGTAAAAACTGGTAAGTATAGCAGTCATTCTATTCTAATGAAGATTAATTTAAATTACACATCAAAACTTGGTAGTTAAGGGGTAGAATGTATACAGAGTTGTTCTATATCTACCTCTCAAATCTGGCAATATGTTTTGGTAAAAGTATTAAACTTTATTGGAGTGAAATAAAATAATGTACTGAAATGTGTGCATTAATAAAAATCTGAGCACATGTTTGGTGAGTAACTATCCAGTATAAGACCCATAAAACAGACTTGAAAATAAATACAAACCCTGAACTAGCTCACACGAAAGTTAATTCAACTACTATCTAATCCATAGATATACCCTTATAAAAGCACATGAGAGAGCATTACTTCTAAATCATTGGTACAAAACTGTTCTCTCCTAAAGAAATAAGTTAAAAGTAAAAAGGATTTAATTGTTACAAAATGTTAAGTGGCGAATAAAAAACACCAAGTCATAATAAATTGAAGTATTGTAGCATTTTTATCCAACTTGATTTCAAAATGCTCACCATTTCTACATCCTATTTATATCATTGAAATTCAGCCACCTTTCAAATGTTCAAACAGCATATTAATAAGGCTTCCTAGAACCAGGAAACTCTGACTACATCTATCTTGATAAACATACCCATCCTGCCCCATAAACACATCTTCAAAAGAAAGATAGCTGCGAATAAAATAGTCCTTTCCTGTGGGTGTCGGTTAACCCCACGAGCACGTGAACTTCCTATGGGCACACACCCAACATACATTAGCGATTAGGTGATTGAAAATGTTGCCCACAAAGGCAAAATTTTATATATGATGACATCACCAGCTAACCTGGATTTCTCTGTGATATAATGATATAATTTCCTGGTTGAGTGTGTGCATCTTGAGATAGAGAAAGAGAAAAGAGAGCGAGTATGTGTGTATGTATGTGTGTGTGTGAGGAGAGAGAGAGAGAAAGATGCTTAAAGAACAGCATCATCAGAAATGGTATATAACCTTCTGCAAGGTTTGCAAGAATCTTTCGACAGACCTTTGACTTGTTCCAGATTTCATGCAGCATAAGTTCATTCAAACATGCATTCCCCACACAAACAAATTACATTATGTTTAGTTAGCACACTATTAGTTCCTAAAATATTCTGATAAGATCTGTTGAGATGAGATTTCTACACCAAATGAGGCATGTGCATCTGTATGATGTGGTGCGGGAGTTGCAAAGTCCCTTGAGACCTGCCTTTGAATGGGTAAGACGTCTTGGTTTCAAAGGTAATGAAAGGGTTAAAAATTGAGGCTGTCTAGGGTAAGAGAAAGGGGATATTGTTGTCTTTAATCTTTCCGCAGTATGTGTAAGACTTCCATCCCGGATCTGCACATAGCAGTGGAATAGGCTCGGCATGCATTGCGTGCAAGCTCCTTGATTGTAGAAGGGGAAAAAAATCTGGCTGGAGTCCAGACAGGCTGGAGCTCTGTTGATCATTATGTCTAGCCTTCAGGTGTCTCAGCACACAGTGGGCGGCGGTGGGGGAGGTGTAGATAACATGAGAGCAGACAAAGAAAAAAAATGGTGTATTTTTATAAGATTATGTGAAAATTTGTATTTATTTTCAAGCCCTCCTTAAGAAAATGAATCCTAACGTCTTGGACTTTTATAATTAGAACACAGGCTCTGCTCTGGCAGCTCTCTTTAAGCCATAATTAGTTATGTCTGGAGCCTTTGAATAATTCCTTTCAATAATTGATGGAGTTAATATTCTCTTTTAAAAATGAGGAGGACAATGTTTTTCACAAACTCTTTTTGTTGGAGGCTTTGTCATTCAAAATCTTCATCAGTCATAATCACACTGGTGTGATTTGCCTTTTAATTTCTTATAAGACTTAGCTTATAACTTTTTAAGGATGTGGATAATTCTAAAAGTAAAGGCATAATGTATTGCTAGATTACTGTAGCTGAATATAAAAAGAAAGCAGTAATGCAGGAACATTCTATCCATTTGTTTCCAATTATTTTATAAATTTAAAAACTGCATTGTATGTTGCTTCTGTTTGAACTCCATCAAAAAACCTCACTATGAATGTAAGGAACTTAGATGCTAATCATATCTTTTGCTTGCTAGAAAGAAGAAATGCCAAATTATTTTATTCTTCAAGCATTCTTCTATAAAGAAGCTTCCGCATGCTTCCTCCCCACCCCCACATCCTCACTCCACCCTATTAGGAATTTCAAAAAAAAAAAAAATCTTTATACATGGAAGGCTAGATCCTAAGACAGAAAGCTGTCTTTTCCTTCTGTCTTTACACTGGCCACTTTCAGTCGCCTTCACTTCTGCTGGGACTTTATTTCACATTGTGTGGACTACAACACCGAAACCAGTTCAGTCTCTATCCTTATTATAAAATTAAAAGTGGTGGTTAAAAAAACATATAAAGCCCTGGCTTGAAGCCATTGTTCAGAATTTAAGAGCTATTTGCCCCCAAGTGTCTTTGCAGTCTTTCATAGCTAATTATAATAACTGTCAGATGTCTGGAAAGTCTATGGTGCCCTTGTCAGTGGAGTCAGCAAAGTTTGTCTTTTATTTTTCTTGGGGACAGAGCAAATCTGATTAGACATAAAGAGCAAAAAGAAGTGAACTAAGTACATATGCGTGTGCCTTCATTTTTTCTTATGAACAAAGCAGCACACTAGAGCGATGTTCCAGCGCACAGCCTCCTACAGCTACTCTTTGGAATGCCTGACTTTTATTTTTAATTCTTTATCCTCAACAGAATAAAGTATGCAACAATTGTCCCTGGAATATTTTCCTGCCAGCTGAATAACCTTCAATATACACATGAAAGAGTACCCTTAAGAAATCTTCAAATATTGGATGTTTATGACATAAAACTATTTTAATCAGTACACTTGACGGAAAGAAAGGTATACTTACAATTTCAAAACGGTTATTTGCTCTAGTTTCTTGTCCCCGGAGGCAGAGCAGAGGCTTTTGCCAGACTGTCCATGATGCAGGTGCAGAATCCCTGTTTTCATGCCGGAGAGGAAGGTAGAAAGTGCTTCATAAAGTCACTCGGAACTCAGCCACTTGTGCTCAGACATCCCTTGCTCCTGTGGAAGCTGTACTATCTGCAGTTCTGAATTGAACTAAATTACAGCCCATGTGAAAGACAGGGGCAGTGAGTCATGTGAGAGATACAGAGCTATCCTATTGGCCACAAAGACATAGCTTAGGCATTCTGCCTTTTCCACCATTGGTGAATAGTTAAAACTGAAAGCATCTAGATCCTCCTCTTGAGCTTATTTGTCCTCTATGTGTGGAAGAATGACTGTAGGATTTTACAGTGACAGAATTAGTTAAGAAAGGGACTGAAGTCATCCTTCACAGAGACTGGTGGGAGGTGATTGGAAGCTCAGCTTTTTTAAGATTTCTTTTTTCTTTTTATCCCCCTGCCCTGCAGTTTTGTCTATAATTTGCCTGTTTGCCTGTCAGAAAAAATGTTTTTTGTATTTTTTTCTCCCTTCAGTTAACCTTGGAAGTGACAGAAAGTAAATTATCATCATATTCCTTTGCAGAACTGTCATGTTTTGAAGCACAAAATCAATTATTTTCAATGACGCATTTTCAAATTTTATTTTTACATTTACAGAGACTTTATTGTAGTTCTAAACTAATAAACTAAATTGTCCATTAGTGACACCAACAACAGAATTAACTTTTGAGTAATTATTACATTTTGGAGAAAGGAGGGCTAGAAATAACTCTGGGAAATAATAAAAGGCAACAATATCAAAACAAATCAAATAAGGGGCTTTAACTAAGAAGGGATAAAGAAGAAATATATTTCTCCATCAAAGTCACTCTTTAATTTACCACTTTATGTAAGGCAGAATGTCCAGAAACTGCCAGTCAGAAGGTATTTTTAGTTTTGCTAGGATTCTTTAATTCACCCAATTCCTTAAAAATACTTAAATGTGTTTGTAAAGATTTAGAGGCTGTAAACTACCTTAGAAGTCATCAAGTCTCACATTCCCTATGTTAAAGGTGAGGAATGTAGCCTCTGACAGTAGTGACTCTCTTCATAACACTGATCCACCGTGTTATGCAAAATAAATGAAGGAAACATTGAAATAAATACTAGTTTGCTCTGTCTTACGTACCTACTAAGAGCCAGTTACCTTCTCATTTAATTCAATAATTGTACAACCCATAGAATAAGTTTGACTACTTTCATTTCTCCTCGGCAAAAACAGACTCAAATGTTTTACTACCATGGTAGTGCCTGGATTTGAACCCAAGTGGCTGATTCCATACCTACTTTTTCCAACTAGGTATGTGTCCTTCCAAATAATGATGGTTGTCACTTATAGGTTCCTTCCTACTGTATGGCAAGTAATGTGCAAAACCCTTTAGAGCCCCTCATTCAGTTCTCACAACTGTTAATGAGTCAATTATTCTATTTTGCTGATTTCATTGATGAGGAAATGAGGTGTATACTACTCAGTATTATGTAGATGGTAGCTGGTAGCATGTGATTCAAATCAGCTCTGATCTGTTTTACACACTATATGGATTCTCATCACAGTGTTAAATAAGACTTGATTTTTCCATTTTTTTTTTCTTGTCTAATATATTAGAATATTTTGGCATAAATATGGAATATTAACTGTGGTCATGTCATTATCTGGGTCTGTTTGGTTCAGACCCAGATCATACCATTAAGTGATCCATAGGGGACTGGAAATAAGCATCAGAGGAGCAGTCATGGAACCATATTTATCTTGGGGCCCTACAAGCAGCCTCACACAGGGTCTTGCAATCATAGGAGCTTCCACATCAGTTGAAGGGGCACATGCTCTCAGAACATCAGCCTGGGTATTAATGAGTCCTACTGCTGGTTCAAAATCTGAAACCCACTGTTTAGCAGAATAAGTACCAGATCATTTCAAAAATAGTGTCAAAAATTCCATTTCAGCCAGATATCAAGAGCCACCAAGGAGTTTCCTGAATTGTAACCCTCCTGCAGCAGCTGTAATCATACAAATGGGAAATTTGCATTGGCTCCCGCAACCCTTGTGGGGTTTGTTTGTAGATGGGAGGTGATTACTGAAGTGCAACAGCATCTTCACCTGCACTTTCTAAAGCACACATTGCTGTTGCTCAGAGTATCATATAGGACAGGTTAGGCAGGTCCCAGATAGCATCGGAAGAGAGTTTTTAGTCCTCTTCTGTTTTGAATACTTTTGCTTCTTTCCATAAGTGCTGCTTACTTTCCTGGATCCACAATCCAATCACCTACCTCATGCTGTCCCGAACCCTTCCAGGTCAGCCCTCTCATATAGTGAGCATGTGATAACATTATGTTCTCCTTATCTTCATCAAATAAGCTTCTCTATTATATCACAAATATTTCAAAGACTGAGCTGTATCTTGTTACATTTTAATCCTGCATAATGCCCATCACAGTAGAGATGAGATAAATATTTGATTTTCTTTTTTTTGGCCTTCAGTGACCTATTCACTGGTACACAACAGATCAGAAATAAATCTGGTGAGGTAATGCGAACATATTTTTTAAAAACTTAGCACTTTAAAATATAGTCTAAAAAAGTGAATCAGACACTGGAGAACAAGTAGGAAAATTATTATGAGACCACAGAGTCTCCCTAATATTGGTCTAAATCAATCACATACAACACTTATACTAACTAAACTGATGGTCATGGTATTAGCACACACTTAACCTCAGTCCTCTCTGCTGTCATCTACCAACTTCTCCTTCATTCCTCTCATTTACTGTTTTGCGGATTTCCTTTTTGTCTAGTCCTGCTTTAGTTCGGTGTTCACAAGGGCAATCTATTCAACACTCTAATGTCTCAGTTCAGCAACTTCCTCAATTTTGATGAGGTTCACCGCCACTCCCCATGACAATCACCCCATGCTCATGTGTTAAAGCTTGGAAAATTTTATTATTTATTTATTTTTTCTTTTTTTGAGATGGAGTTTTGCTCTTGTTGCCCAGGCTGGAGTGCAATGGCACAATCTCGGCTCACCCCAACATCCGCCTCCCGGGTTCAAGCGATTCTCCTGCCTCAGCCTCCCGAGTAGCTGGGGATACAGGCGCACTCCACCACGCCTGGCTAATTTTGTATTTTTAGTAGAGATGCGGTTTCTCCATGTTGGTCAGGCTGGTCTCGAACTCCCGACCTCAGATGATCCACCTGCCTCGGCCTCCCAAAGTGCTGGGATTACAGGCGTGAGCCACAGCGCCCAGCCCAGACCGCCTACTTTCTAATCACCATCTTCAATGTTTCCAACTCTTTATCACTATGCTTTGTTTTTCAGCTTCTCTGATACCTTCAATCCTTTGGTGTCTACATTTTCTCCTTATCTATTACCCCCTTCATTCCTTTTCTCCTCTTTCCTTTCATACTTCATTTTCTCTTAGAGTTCATGATTCATGATTTCATACAGTGTCCTGAACTTTCTTGCCCTGTTTTTCTTCTGATGGCCTCCTCCTCCCAAGGAAACCAGATTTTGAATCAATCCAACTGTTAAACTTTTCTTTTTTTTTTTTTTTTTTTTTTGAGACGGAGTCTCACTCTGTCGCTCAGGCTGGAGTACAGTGGCGCGATCTCAGCTCACTGCAACCTCTGCCTCCCGGGTTGATGTCATTCTCCTGCCTCAGCCTCCCTAGTAGCTGGGACTACAGGCATCCACCACCACGCCTGGCTAATTTTTCATATTTTTAGTAGAGACAGGGTTTCACCATGTTAGCCAGGATGGTCTCGATCTCCTGACCTTGTGATCCACCCGCCTTGGCCTCCCAAAGTGTTGGGATTACAGGCGTGAGCCACTGCGCCCAGCCTAAACTTTTCTAAGCTATTCTGGGCTTTCTAAGAGCTGCTGGAGAAAAGTCTCTTAAGCCTAGAAAGGATGTTACTATAGGCCAATAGTCTCCAGATTTGACCAGTTACTCAGTGCTATATTAAAAATCTATGTTTCCCCAATCAGCTCTTTTTATCATTTTCCACAATGCTATCCAATCTTTTCTCCACCACCTCTACTCTGCATTCTCACCAGATTGTGTTGCCTTCTTAGTCTCAGGAGAACCAATGAACTTGCCATATGTAGATTCAACTTTTTCTTATTTATTCTCATCACAATGGAAAAGTTGTTTTTCAACCTTTTCAAGGCAGATCACTCACTGTGTACATGGATATCAATCTCTTCTACCTACTTGGAAATTTTTTCTTAGATGTTTTTATCTTTCTCAAATTGTCAACATGTCCCTGCCTACTAAACTCATTGATATTAGCATTTAAAAAATGCTGTTTTTTTCTTTAATATTTAAAAATCTCCTCCATAGATACCAGGTCCTGCTTCCTGTCTTCTACCCTTCCTGGGTAAATCTCTTCAAAGATTTAGTGATACTCACTATTACTGCTTCATTTCCTTTTGTTTCTCTACTTAATCAATCTGGCTTCTGTCCTCATCATACTGATTTTTGAGAAATACCTCTGTGCTACTAAAACCTATGAACAATTTTCAGTCTTTGGCTTCTCTAAAATGTTTGTGGACATTTGGGTTGGGGCACGTATACACCATGGAATACTATGCAGCCATATAAAAGGATGAGTTCATGTCCTTTGTAGGGACATGGATGAAGCTGGAAACCATCATTCTGAGCAAACTATCACAAGGACAGAAAACCAAACACCGCATGTTCTCACTCATAGTTGGGAATTGAACAACGAGAACACTTGGACACAGCGCAGGGAACATCACACACTGGGGCCTGTTGCGGGGTAGGGAGATGGGAGAGGGATAGCATTGGGAGGAATACCTAGTGTAAATGATGAATTAATGGGTGCAGTAAACAAACATGGCACATGTATACATATGTAACAAACCTGCACGTTGTGCACATGTACCCTAGAACTTAAAGTATACATAAAAAAAATGTTTGTGCAGTTGGCCACTCTGTTTCCTAAGGTGTTCTCCTTCAGCCTCATGTGTTCTGGCTTTTGTCACATCTTCCCTATGTTTCCTGTGTTTCCTCCTCTTGCCTCTTGAATATTTGTATTTTTCAGAATCTCCCGTAGACCATATTCTCTTCTCACTCCACAAGACTCTCTTTCAGTCATCTCATTCACCTACACAGTTTCATTTGCAATTCTGTACTAATGATTTCCACATTTCTATCTGCAGACCAGAACTTTCTCTCGAGCACCAGAGCTGTAGATCCCACTGCACCTTCCCTTGGATGGCTCACTGATATCTCAAAGCCAATACGTCCAACACGGAAGTCATCATCTCATCTTAAAATTGTGTAACTTTTATTGTTTCTTATCTCAGCGAATAGTACCACTATCCACCAGGGGCCAAAGACAGAAAACAAGAGGCTAATATTTATCTCTTCCTTTCCTTTACATAGGCTTTCATATCCAGCTAATCAGCATGCACCATAGATCTCTTGCATCTGTTCACTTTGCAGCATCTCATTCATAGTAGGCATGCTTCAGTATGCATAATAGTTAACATTAGGTGTCCCTTTTGTCTCCAGTCTTGCTTAACTCCACTTCAGCATCCCTGTGACTGCAACAACCCTTTCTCAAACTTGCAGCCAAATGGATCTTTTAAAAAGGCAACCTGATTCTTTTACTCCTCAGCTTAATACTTTTTAGTGGTCCCATTACTTCTAAGGCAAACTGTGAATGTCCCTGAGGAGGCTGCTTTTGTAAGCTCCAGTGTTTTATTAAAGTAAATGCATGGAAATGTTTAATGTATGAATAACATTATAATTTACTTAGTTAAGTCTCTTAAACTTGCCCTCAAACCTTTTAAAATCTTCAAGTGAAACTGAGGCATCAGCAGTGAACAATATTTGTCCAGTGGCATGAAGAATTCCTAAGGGAACTAACGTTCTAGTCTTAGAATATGAAGACAGAGTAGATTCAATATCTTTCTTCTTCAAGAGGATTGAAAGCCCACTCTCAGCAACAGAGAGACCTGTTTTCTCTTCCCCCAGATGAATCTTCTGTCTTTAAACTCTAGAGGAGTTCTAGGAAATCTTACATGTTTTTATATTGCCTCTTTCCTTTCCAGGGGTCCGTGAAAGTGAGGGCATCCCAAACATACAATGCAATAATAGAAATTATAAGGTGGGTTAGGTCAGATGGCTTTCTAATTTTCTTGAGTTTCCCTCTTTTCTTTCACCACTCTTCATTCTTCATTATTTCGTAACTCAGTTAATAGCAGCCCAACAATTGGTCAGTCTGAAACCTGCCTATCTTTCTTAATTCCCTTCTTTCTCCTCTGCATGCCCACAGATAAGTGAATATTGTGGGGCTTACCTTTAAAATAGACTTGAAATGCAATTACCTCTCACCATGTCTTTTGCTGCTGTGCACACTGAAACCACTATTATCTCCCACATGCATTACTGCAATCATCTTCATCTGGACTCTTCTTCCACACATGCACTCACTCCCACCACAATATGTTCTCCAACAGCAGCTAGCTTTTAAAACATAAAATATATTATGTCCTTTTCTTGCTTAGAATTCTCCAGTTGCTTCCCACTACATCTACATTAATCACCCGATTCATTGCTATGACCTATAAGACATAACATCATCCTGTCATAATCCATACCTCACACTCTGATCTCATCTTTTGCCCACCCCTCTCTCATTGCACTGCCATCACACTGGCCTTAGTTTCAGACATTCTGCAAGCTGTTTGATTAGCTGTTCTCTCTGCTGTCAATGTGCTTCCCCTTGATCTTCATCTGCTGGCTCCTCCTCATCATCTGTATTTTTCTTCAAATGTCACTGCTCAGAGAAACGATTTTTTTTTTGGAATGATCCCTACACATCTACCTATCTAACTTTTTGTCTTGTTTTGTTTTGCATAGCAATTATTATCAGAAAATGTCTTAGTAGTTCATTTACTTGTCTACTATCTCTCCTTCCCCATCTAAATATGAGTCTTACGAGAGAATACTGGTCATCATTATTTTTTCTCAAGTGCTTAGAACTTTTCATTGCATATAATAAGCAATCAGGTCTTTGTTAAATGAATGAATGAATGCTTAAATAATTATAAAAATTATAAGATAATTCAAGTAGTATATTTGAGGGGAAAAATCACCTGTCACAATAAAATTAATGTAGTTCTATATATTAAAAAAATAAAGAAACACTATTGCATTATCACTGAAGGCTAAAACCCAATATACAAGTTAACAAAAAATATATTGATGTTGAATGTTCAGAGAACTATCTAACATTCTAATTTTGACTAAAATTTTTTTGTTTGCAGTAAAACAATTGAGCTCAACAATTCTTTTTTTCTTTTTTTTTTTTTTTTAGATGGAGTCTTGCTCTGTTGCCCAGGCTGGAGTGCAGTAGCATGATCTCAGCTCACTGCAAGCTCCACCTCCCGGGTTCAAGCCATTCTCCTGCCTCAGCCTCCCGAGTCGCTGGGACTTCAGGCGCCTGCCACCTCACCCGGCTACTTTTTTGTATTTTTAATAGAGATGGGGTTTCACTATGTTGGCCAGGATGGTCTCAGTCTCCTGACCTCATGATCCGCCCGCATCGGCCTCCCAAAGTGCTGGGATTACAGGTGTGAGCCACCGTGCCCGGCCCTGAGCTCAAAAATTCTAAATACACTTTATAATGGCCATTAAGTATATTCAGTTGTAAATAAATTGATTGAGAAAATGAAATTGAGTAAAGTACTCAAAATGTAGTAGTCATGAAAATAAAAATAATACCAACAATTTAATTTATGAGTATGTTTCCCTCACTCTTTCAAAATTGTATCTATGTGCTCTTGAAAAATTGTTCAAGGCCAAACAGAGTGAAGAGAAGTATATCTATGTTGTTGCCCTGTAAAAATATTTCTGTCTACATTAAAATGGTCAATTTCTATGTTCAACTTTCTGAAGAAAAACCTACTGAAAAATGAATGTTATTGATGGCAGAATTGGACATCCTGAACTACATGTTATTAAATAAACCCAAATACATACCACTTTATAAATCCTACAGTGTCTTTAAGAAAACATACTTACCAGCCCAGCACAATAGTTCACGCCTGTAATCCCAGCACTTTGGGAGGCCGAGGCGGGTGGATCACCCGAGGTCAGGAGTTCGAGACTAGCCTGGCCAACATGACGAAACCTCGTCTCTACTAAAAACACAAAAATTAGCCAGGCATGGTGGCATGCACCTGTAGTCCCAGATACTTGGGAGGCTGAGGGAGGGGAATTGCTTGAACCTGGAAGGCAGAGGTTGCAGTGAGCCGAGATCATGCCACTACACTCCAGCCTGGGTGACAGAGTGAGACTCCATCTCAAAATAATAATAATAATAATAATAATAATAAAAGAAAATATCTTACCAATAATAATCTTTTATATTAATATAGCGCTTGATACATCTCAAAGCTCTTTAACTCCCACTGTTACCTATATTCACAATAACACTATGAGGAATGTGGTACTAGTATTTTTATCTCCTTAATATAAAGAGAGAAACTGAGATCTGGAAAATAATATGATTGTTGGTAAGTCACAATGCAGCATAGGAACAGCACCATGTCTCATGATGACTATGAAATTATTCTGTATCTTGGACATGCAAATAAATTATTGGATTATGTTAAGATTTCTAATTTGACCTCAAACTTGCATACTAAAGGGGAGAATGATTGTAGAAATAGCTACTTTTCACAGGTATGCATAAAACCTTTAGTTATATAGTTCTTGCTAGTAATTTTGCCCAGTTTTTTGGGTGGTCTGGGCCTTGGGTGGGAAAATTGGGATCTGATGAAACGAGAGTTATCTGAGCAGGACGTTTCTTAACCGTTCTGAATTTACAATGAGTACATATTGGAATATGTGGACAGATCATAGGGAGTTGAAGTAAACAAGCTAAAAAAGGCTGCCTCTTATTTTGCATTGAACTCTGTAAGAGATGACATTTTCTGTGAACTTAGATTTTTTACCTTTAAGTGGCTGTAAGGTGTTTGATTTTTCTTGGTCTATTATCCTTTCTTAAGAGTGATGGCCAGATTTCTTATGAGTACATAAAAGCCTTCAGACACAGTGAATTTCTCAAATACATATATCATTCATGTAGAACAAATTTGAAAACTCATTATTTTGGTTTTTTCTTTTCCTTTTTTTTTAAAGATTGGGTCTTTCTGCGTTGCCCAGGCTGGTCTCAAACTCCTGAATTCAAGTGATCTTTGCTCAGCCTCTTGAGTAGCTGAGACAACAGGTGCATGTCACTGCACTTGGCATGGTTTTCCATTTTTCATGTGGCTGCTTTGACTTCATGTGGAAAAGAGAAGATAGGCAATCTCCCAATTTCCAGTGCCTAGGCTGACAAAACTCAAAGTATATTTTCGTTGTCTTCTAATCACAGGGAAAGAGTTATATAGACAGAATGCAGCCTGTGAATAGATACTCTATATTTTAGAATTAAATTGAGCAAAACAAAGTGTCATTATTGCCTAGTCTCAGATTAAAACCACAAAATTATATAAAAGAACAATGTTTTTATTAGAGTTTAAATTTCACTTATCAATACACCATTTGAGCATTTACGTCTAGATAACCAAACAGGAATGCTTCTCCAAAATTAACATGCACATGAAGTACTTGGAACCTTGTTAAAATACAGATTCTGATTCTGTAGGTCTGAAGCACTGTCTTCAATTCTGCATATCTAACAATCTCCTGGGAGATGCTGAATCTGCTGCTCTGCTGAGTACACTCATTAGCAAGGCACTAGGAACCATTTAGAAATCTTAGGGCATAATATCAGAGGCTAACTACTTAAAGGTAACTTAATAACGATCTCCAACAGGAGAGTTTCTCCCACCACACTCTTTCCCTTTTTCTTTTTATCCTCTGTGTCAATTCTTGTCCTCACCCTCCAACTTTATCATACCTTGCTATCACTTGACCATACATGACAACTTCAGGCCACAGCTATTCTTATGTCATCATCAGCCACATACTAGCAAAACAGAATTTATAAAAATCTAATTGAACCACTCCATAACTCCTAACGAAAGTTCTACTTTCTGCTATCTCATTTATCTATCCAAGGTGTTACATTTGTCTTTCATCCACAACTTTATTTCTGGTATGCTTTCACTTAGCTCTTGAATGATCAAGAGCTCAAAAACATAATAGCCAACTTTGGCTTTGTTTTTGTTTGTTTTTTTGCTATGTTTTTACACAAAAATAAATTTCAAAATAAGCTCCTGCTTTTCTGAAATGTTTGCTCAGTGCTCTGCTAGACTGGTTTTGTAATGTGGTTCTACTGGACAGCACCAGTATGAATAAGTATATTTACCCATTTGGGTATCCAGTGGTGAATGTTTTCCTATTCAACTAACCAGTCGTAAAAATTTTAGGCAATGTGACTACTTGGTGAAGAAATGTTTGATAAAAGGTGAGATTCTTATATGACCCTCAAATAACACCACTGAATGCCTATCTACTTCATTTTTGTGTTAGTATTTATGTTTCATCTGATAGCACACATGATTCAATTAAGCCGTTTTAGCCTCGTTTATATTAACTAAGTATGTATGTGGTTGTGACACAGTGGAATTCAAGGCTGAAGTGCATTTAACACTATTTGGGGAGTGTATGTATTTATGGAAACTTCTGCTGAACCTTCTGTTGGTGTTCCTTGGGTTTTCTTTTTACAAAGGTTTATTTTCTGTTATTTCTTTTCAAAAATATTCCTCAGGCCATGATAATGACTACTTTGATACTTTATTTAATGAAAGAAAGTATCTAATGGTCAATTAATTTTATGAAATTATCCCATTGACCCTGGAAAAATAAAATAGAGGCAAAGTCACAATAAATAACAGTTTATTTCATAACTCTAGCTTCCTAATGTAGGTGAATACATGGCTTTCGAAGACACACCAAATTATCTATTAATGACTTCAATTATGAAAATTGTTAGGCCTACCAGACATCATATTACTTTTGAGTTGTATCTATATATTCAATTCCAACTCTACTTCCAACTCTTGGGTGGTCTAAAATTGAGATAATTAATTAAACCCTTTGAAAAGCATCTGCCATCCACATTTTATCTTGGATGAAAGAAATTATTTCATGTTTTACTTAAGGAAAGTTAATACCCAAAGGCTGCACATTAGCACTGTCTTGAATTAGAACTTGCCAAATCTGAAAATTGGCTACTCACATGCAATCTTCTTCAATAACTTATGAAAATTTAAATTAAATTGGATTAATAATTTAAGTAGAAAGTTCTACAAGGAAGGCTTAAAATTTTAAAGTTTTAGAATAAGCAGAGAAAATATCAGATAGAAAATGTGTTGCTGGATGTGCAATTTTAATGATTGTCTTAAAAGACATTAAAAGCAGAGAAAAAAAGTCCTTCATAGGAACTTGCCTTAGACTAATGTACTATATCTAAAGAGGGCAATAAAATCATTGGAAGAAAGATTGGCAGGTAAATAAAATTATACCTGTCACCTGGACAAATTGTTTTCTCCACTTTTACAAATCTGAGACAATTTTTGCTTAAAAGGAATAGGGGTTTGGGGGCTGGGGAGGGGAACAGTAACATCAGTTGGCTGCTTTAACAGATGATCGTTATGTTAAAAATTTCCAATTTAGAGTATTTTCTGAGAAAACACCAAATGGCGGATGACGCAGATGCAGCGGGAAGGCGGGGCGGGGCAGAGGCCCCCTGGGGCCCTGGGATGGGGAACCGCGGTGGCTTCCATGGAGGTTTTGGCAGTGACATTCAGGGCAAGGGCCTGGGCGGAGGCCGCGGAGTTCGACCAAGTCCCTGGAGGAAATCTGTCTCTTCTCCCTGCCCATCAAGGAATCTGAGGTCATTGACTTTTTCCTGGGGGTCTCTCTCAAGGACAAGGTTTTGAAGATTATGCCGGAGCAGAAGCAGATCCGCGCCAGCCAGTGCACTAGGTTCAAGGCGTTTGTTGCCATCAGGGACTACAATGGCCACGTCGGTCTGGGTGTTAAGTGCTCCAAGGAGGTGGCCACTGTCATCCGCAGGGCCATCATCCTAGCCAAGCTTTCCATTGTCCCCGTGCGCAGAGGCTACTGGGGGAACAAGATCTGCAATCCCCTCACCGTCCCTGGCAAGGTGACAGGCCGCTCCCTCTTTGTGCTTGTGCGCCTCATCCCCGCTCCCAGGGGCACTGGCATCGTCTCGGCACCTGTGGCCAGGAATCTGCTCATGATGGTTGGTATCGATGACTGCTACACCTCAGCCAGGGGCTGCACTGCCACCCTGGGCAACTTTGTCAAGGCCACCTTTGATGCTGTTTCTAAGACCTACAGCTACCTGACCCCCGACTCTGGAAGAAGACTGTATTCACCAAGTCTCCCTATCAGGAATTCACTGACCATCTCCTCAAGACCCACACCAGAGTCTCAGTGCAGAGGACCCAGGCTCCAGCTGTGGCTACAACATAGGGTTTTTATACAAGAAAAATAAAGTGAATTAAGCCTGAAAAAAAGAAAAAAAAAAGTCCAGTATAAGCTTTGGCATTAGGGATGATTTCAAGGAATGAAAAGCAAATGATAACAATATGCTTCTTAGCTAGTGGAGATTGAAAACAACTGTACAGTGGGCACAGTCATCAATGAAGCATGCTGGAACCTGAGCTTCAGGTCTGGGTAGAAGGAGAAAAAGCAGAAATGGATTAAACTCAAACTTGAATACTCAAATGATTGTAGAACTCATCTGTAGATTGAAAACTTGCAGATGAAATACAAATCCACTGGCTCAGTGTAGACAAGGGAATCTGGAATGATATGGGGACATGGGAGGGAGGAAAATCCAGTCATACTGGAAGGTATTTACTTCTTTTTGTTTAGAGCGCAACTCCTGCCAGCAGCTCAAGATAGACAAATACAGTGAATGCCTATTGCATAGGATTCCCACACCTCTTTTCTCGGAAATTCCACTGTAGCCTTCCATTCACATGTTTGCAACTGAGGTAATCCCAGCCCACAATGTATCAGTCCCGGTTTGGGACTTGATCTAAGTTCAGTTAATCAAGTCTTTTTCTTAGGACTTTAAAATTGTGACTAAGATTTAGCTTCAGCCTATAGACTAAGAAGGGAAAAATAGCCCATTTTAAACAAGAATATACACTAGAGAGTCATGAAAGTCAATCATCAGCAAGAACAAGGAGTGACGCAGAGCCTAGAGATGTGAATGGTATACTTGCAGAGTTTTCTACAATGTCATAGATTTCAATCTTAATGCCGAGTTACGTTCTGGCCCTTGGGTTTCTTGACATCTCTTCTTCAATGACCAAAGACAAAGGACCCATGGATTGAGATCTGATATGGGCTCATCACAGAGACAAACATCTGGTTTTGATGCAACTTTTAATCATTATCATCATACCATATATAACTAGGCCTCACTGTACCTCTGACTTATTCAATACAGTGCATTTTAATAAAAAAGGGTACAATTCCTTTCCTTAGAGTCACTCCCATCTTCCTGTAACAATTGATACGTTGTCCTAATGTTTTTCTCCAGCACCATGAAAGGCTTAAATCCTTTTTTCACTTATAATATGTATTGTGAGGTTGAAAGAGTCAGTCAACAAATATTTATTGAGAATGTACTATTTACCAACATTATCAGATGGGAAAATAAAAGTGACAATAATGCTCTTTTCTTACCTGGCAAGAAGAGATAATAAGGTATGGCTAAACCTACCATACTAAACCCTTTATGGAACCATTGAAATGCAACTAAAAATGACAAACGTACTATTGGTTCTTCGGCTTCTTTAAACATAGTGGATTATATATTGTAATATATGAGTAATATATATTATACTATGTAGTATATGATATGTAGGAGAGCCATACACAAGGAAACAATCTTTTACATTAAAAAAATAAAAATCCAGTTATCACCAACACCAAAGCTGTCAAGAGCATTGCTCTCCAAATATCTCTTATGACTATTTCCCTTTGATTTTTTCTGTTCTTTGCTGCCTTAAATGGTCTGACTTTCATTAAGCTCTCTATGTTAGCTTTTTATCAATGTCTTTAGTTCATCTACATCATTTCACATCCACTGATGCTCTTGTTGAGCTAGGGTCAAGTCAACTCCCAGAGGAGCAAGAGAAACTCAAATGACACTGATGTGTTTCATCTGACTCTGACTTCCAACCCTAAATTCGGGGTTTGTCCAAATAGCCAGGGTTTTATAAACTACAAGATATCACTTTTCCTATTTGCTTACTTTCATGAAAGCAAAAGTGAGATCAAACTTCTCATCCCCCAAATGAATTTCAATTACAAGAACTATTTTCCCTCTACCCTCCATTCCCCAAAGCCACATCCTTTGCAGCTCCTACCAGTTCCAGATTCCTGCAAACCTTGATCTCTTCAGATCCATGTTATAAAATTCATCAAGCTCTCTGCCTCTCAACTTTCACATCCAGTTGTCCCTGTGACTGTTGTGCTTTGCAGACTGAGAAGACTAGAAACTTGCTAAGACCTCTCTGTAGTCATGAGCAGAATGATGTTACCGTGAAGTGTTCTGTAAGGACACATACCATTTCACTATAATGCTTCTAATATTCGGAACTACTAAACATATTTGAGCTGCCCTTTCATGCTATTTTGCAGAATATTAGGGCATCTAATTAAATTATGCATGCTGATTTGACCAAATAAGGCATTCGCTTCATTTTAATGGAGAGTGACATTTATTTTCCTATGCCAAGAGAATTCCACAGAGCTTTCACTGTAATAAAGGCTAATTTTTATCTCTAATATGATAAATATATAGATATAACCAAACAATTTCTACCTTAAAAAAATTTTAGTCATTTTCAAGAGGTACATTTTTCTTACCTACATTTTTAAAATTAACAATAGGCTTGATAACTAACTTCAACTTTTCATCTTAGTTTTATGGCATATATTCTTGTCATATCCACTAACTGTGAACAGAACATATCATTTGAATGCACAATTTAGAATCAACATAATTATTTTAAATGGGTTCTTTCGATGTTTCAGATGACTATTGAAATTTATACAATGGGGTCAAATTGCAATTTACAAACTTTTGTGCATATTGAAAGTGATTTCTTTGGCAGTGATATGTTTTCAACAGATGATGATGATGGCAGTTATCTTCCGCTGGTCTGAATTTAATTTCAGTCATTTTTATTCATGATATTATAACCCATGGCATATTAAAGAATACATAACTTCTAAAAGTGCTGAATTCTCTTTGAGATGCAGTTTATCGTCTGTTAAATACTATACATCATAAGCAAACAATTCATGTAGAAAACTGTGCCTGTTCTTTCGAGGGAGGTAAATAGATAAGCTGTCCAAGGTACAAGGAAATAGAGCATAGATAATGCAGGTTTGAGATATTCTCTTGCTTAAGTGATGCATTAAATCAATATTCTGCAAAGTCGTTTTCTTGTTATGTTATTTACTTGGATAGTGTCACAATTTTCCATTAAATTGTCTGTTTCAGAAGATATATCTTTCTCAGTTCCCAATTTCATTTGATCAGTATTCTTTAAACTCTTTCACTATATATGCAAACTATCAACTATTTCCATCACGTCACTCTTCTACTCAAAGACCTTCAATGGTTCCCTATCTTGTGTCATATCACATGTAACCATTTGTGCCTGATTTTCAAGATCTATAGTACCTGGGCCCTACTCTAACTATAAAACATTATTTTCTAGTATTATCTAAGATTCTGCCTGGTGCAATCAGATCATATAAACATGTCATGCCAGTCTCGCCCCACTGTAACTATTTTCTTGCTCCTTCTCTTCTTCCTCCTCCTTCTTGTTTGTGTACATGTGTGTGTACTATATATGTAAAATGCTCTCTTTCCTTCCTCATTCTCCTTCTTTAACCTTTAAAGGCTAAAGACCTCCTCTCTAAAGTTTTCTCTTAGTCCCTAAAAAATAATTGATTGTCATCTTTAAGAAAAATCCTGCATACATAGCACACACTGTCTCTAACCACATAACATTGGTCTTATTTACATTTTCTTATTTATATTTTTATTCAGAATAGCTATTATCATATACTGAGAGACTTACTATGTCTAGTCACTTGATATAAATGAATGCAGCAAAGTAAATAATTTATCCACTCTCACACATGTGCCAGAGTCAAGAAACCAACCCATGTTTATCTGGGTCCAAAAATCTCATGCCCACTCGCCCTACTAAACTTCCTATTTCATGTGGGTAATTTCTCCATTGAATGATAAATTCCATCTATTTAATGAGGGAGTAAACATGAAACACTGGCAGGAGTATGAGAATAAGAAGCAAATGAGTACGTGCCTTGTTTAAACTGCTGTGCTGACTAGGGGTCTGTGTCTTTTTGAACTAGATCCCCTCTGTCTGTTTCCTTAAAGCTCTAACATTCCTTGACAAGAGTTTATGCTTTGTTATTTTTCAAAGAAGATGGTAGAATGTTGAGAACATACCTAGCATTCATAAAAACATTTTCAGTGTAATGTGTTAATTCAGATCATGATTATAAGGAATTTTCACAAATCAGTTTGATTCATTGACATAGGAATTTATGAAAAAATACCTAATTGGTAATATCTGTCCTAAAATTTTCATGTTAAAAACTAAAAAATTGCCTAGCACTTAGAGGATATTGAAAAATGTTTGTTACATGAATTAATAGCCCAACTCTGAAACCAAACAGGGTAGTGTACTAGTATTATAGTTATAAAATGAAAGGACAGGGATTTTGTACATATGCAACTTTAAAATGACAGATTCATAAACAGAAATTCAAAAGTAACCAAAATATTACATAAATATTAAAAAGATAGATATTTTGTATTGCTATTTCAGGTACTCCCAAGTGTCGCTTAGCAATACTGGATAGCTTTATTTTATTATCTGAAAAATATCTAGGTTCTCTTAGGATAGATTTTACAAATATTTAGTTTGGTTTTCTTTTTAAGGTTATAAGTGATATAGCAGACTGATATGGAGTTGTAAAACATGTGACTAAGCATCTTGAAATGAAGCCATTATCCTGGATTATCCAAGTGAGTCCAATGTAATCACAAGCGTCCTAATGAAAGAGAGGCAAAGAGAGATTTGGCACAGAAAGAAGAGAAGGCAATGTGAAGATGGAAGAGACTGGAATCAGGTGGTCACAGCCAAGGAATGTTAGCAATCGGCAGAGGCTGGAAGAGGCAAGAAGGCCTCTGAGAGTCCCTGGAGGGAAGACAGCTCTTAAAACACCTCGATTTTTGCCCATAATACTGATTTTGGATTTATAACCTGCAGATATATAAGATAATATGCTGTTTTAAGCCACCAAGTTTGTGAAAATTTAGTATAGCAGCAATTGGTAACTAATATCTTCTTGCAGTTGACATAATCTTACATATGAGAAAATCTAAAATCTTCAACAAAAACTTTTGAACTATTAAATATATTGAGTAAAGCTGCAGGATACAAAATCACCATACAAAAATTGGTTGGATTTCTTTATACTAGCAATGAACTATCTGAAAAGGAAATTAAACCATTAATCTCATTTAAAATAGCATCAAAAGGAATAACATACTTAGGAATAAATTCAATGAAGGAGATCAAAGATTTGTAGGATGAAAACTATGAAACATAAATGAAGGAAATTGAAGAAGAAACAAATAAAAGGAAATATACTTTCTATTCATGAATTGGAAGAATCAATATTGTTAAAATCCTATACTACCCAAAGTGATAGAGTCAATGAAATCCTTACCAAAATTCAATAACATTGTTCATTATTCACAGAAATTAAAAAACAATTTAAAATTTGTATGAAACTGCCACAGACACAAAACTGAATTGTTAAAGTAATCTTGAGCAAGAAGAACAAGCTGGAGGTATCACACTTCCTTATTTCAAATTATATTACAAAACTATCATAATCAAAACAGTATGGTACTGCATAAAAACAGACACATAGAGCAATGGAACATAATAAAAATCCCAGAAATAAACCTACATATATAGGGTCCACTAATTTTTGACAAGGGCACTAAGAGGACACAATGGGGAAAGAATAGTCTGTTCAGTAAATAGTGTTGGAAAAAACATATCTTTTATGGAAAAGAATAAAACTGGATCCTTATATTACACTGTATGCAAATATTAATTCAAAATGAATTGAAGACTTAAATGTAAGACCTGAAATCCTAAAACTTCTAGAAGAAAACATAGGGTAAACTCTCCCTGACATCAGTCTTGGCAATGATTTTTTTTTTTTTTGAAACAAAAAAAATGATTTTTTTTGTTTGTTTTTATAAAAACAAAGGAATGGGCAACAAAAGCAAAAATAAACAATGAGACTATACCAAACTAATATGTTTCTGAACAACAAAGGAAACAATAAAAAAATGAAATGACAACCTATGGAATGGTAGAAAATATTTGCACACCATGTATCTGATAAGGGGTTAATATTCAAAATTTATAAGGGACTCACATAACTCAATAGAAAATATAAACAACCTGATTACAAAATTAGCAAACGACCTCAATAGATACTTTTCCAAAGATGCTCAACATCACTAATCATTAGGGAAATGCAAATCAAAACCACAATGTGCTATCACTTCATACTTGTTAGGATGACTATTATCTAAAAGTCAAAGATAACAGGAGGTGGCAAGGATGTGGAGAAAAAGAAACTCTTGTACATTGCTGGTGGAAATGTAAATTGGTATAGCCACTTTGTAAAACAGTATGGAAGCTCCTCAAAAAATTAAAAATAAAACTATGATATCATCTAGTTATCCTACTTCTGGATATACAGGTTGAGTATCCTTTACCCAAAATGCTTGGGACCAAAAGTGTTTCAGATTTTGAACTATTTTGGATTTTGGAATATTTGCATATACATTATGAAATATCTTGCAGAGGGGACCGAAGTCTAAATATGAAATTCATTTATGTTTCATATACACCTTATACACACAGCATAAAGGTAATTTATATAATATTTTAAATAATTTTATGCATGAAACAAATTTTTGACTGTGAACTGTCATTTAAGTTAGCTGTCAAATGTTCCATTTGTGACATCATGTCAACACTCAACAAATTTCTGATTTTGGAGTATTTTGAATTTTGGATATTCATATTGGGGATGCTCAGCCTGTATACCCAAAGGAAATGAAATCATTATCTTGAAGAGATATCTGCACTCTCATGTTCATTGAATATATATATCATAGTATAGTATATATATATATTTACAATGGAATATTAGTCAGCCTTAAAAAGAAGGAAGTTCTGCCACTTGCAATGATATAGATAAAGCTAGAGGACATTATGCTAAGTAAAATAAGGCAAACACAGAAGGAGAACTATTCCATGATCTCACTTACATGTGGCATCTAAAAAAGTTGAACTCATGGTAAAAGAGAGTAGAAGGGTAGTTACTAGGGGTCCAGGGTTGGGAGAAATGAGATGATGGTCAAAGGGTATAAACTTTCAGTTAGAAGATGAATAAATTATGGAGACAATGTATAACAAGGTAACTATAGGTAATAACAATGTATTGTATACTTTGCTAAGAGTATAGATGTATGATATTCTCATCACACACATCACCACACACACACACACACACACACACACACACACAGTGTGAGGTGAGGGATATAATCATTAGCTTGATTGTGGTGATAACTTCACAATGTATGCATATATAAACATGTCACGTTGTACACTTTAAATATATATCATTTTTTGTTAATTATACCTTAAGTAAGCTGGGGCCAGGGGAGAACATATTGTAATGTTTTCCAGTTATTCATATTTAATTTTAGCCAAAATGACAGCTGTGGGGGCAATCTGGCTGTAGATTGTCAGGGCTGATTTGGCTAAAACTGAATGGCTAAGCAGGTGCCTCTTTTTCTGTCACTGTTCTGCATAACCCCAAACCCTATGCAAGTTCCACTGAAGAGTACAGCAAAGTTTTCATACCCAGAAAAACCTTCTTCACACAGTTATTGAGGTTTATTAGCAGAATCTAAACTGGGTTTCAAATCTGTATGAATCCCCCAGTATATCTAGTAGAATACTGTGTACACAATTATGATTAAACCAACTTTATTTGCATTTGTAAGCAAATATATTTATCTTCTCCAACTATTGTTGGATAGATTTGTGGTTACTAAGTCTACTAGACCCACATTTAGTTTTCAATTTCCTCGATGTTACCTGAAAATCCTACTTGTTATTTCACTGTGCACTGTGCATCTATTCTAAGAGGATGCTGTATTCAAGTGCTTTGGTGAATCTGGCTATGGTTATTCACTTATTACCTCAAGTATTTCCAATAAATTTTAAAATGCAACCTAATACTCTCTGATTTTATTTTAAAGCTGGTTATAATGAAATAATTTGGAGAGAAGTTTGATAATACTTCTTGGTAATATAGTAGTTCCCCTTTATTCACAGGAGATATATACCTCCAGCAGATGTCCAAAATCTTGCGTAGTACCAACCCCTGTACATACTATGGTTTTTTCTATACATACATATCTAGGATAAAGTTTAATTTATGAATTAATCATAGTAAAAGATTCATAACAGTAATGGATAATAAAACAGGAAAATTTTAACAACATGCGAGTATCACTACTTTTGCTCTTTGGGACCATTAAGTAAAATAAGGGTGACTTGAACACAAGGTCTGCAATACCACAACAGTTGATCTAATATCCCATATGGCTACTAGGTGACTAGCAGGCTGGTAGTGGACAGCATGGATATGC
This sequence comes from Homo sapiens, assembly GCF_000001405.40. Taxonomy (NCBI): domain Eukaryota; kingdom Metazoa; phylum Chordata; class Mammalia; order Primates; family Hominidae; genus Homo; species Homo sapiens. Next base: position 198,958,156 of record NC_000001.11, read on the forward strand.
TGAACAAAGGGAGGATTCATGTCCCAAGCAGATGGAGTGGGTCTACAGGAGCTTTCAACACTCTACTTAAAAAGGCTGCTTGATAGCATTTTACTTACTGTAGAGCTTCTTTCTGTAAAGAGGATTGAAGTCAATCCTCTCAAAGTCTGCAGCTGCTTCCTCAGCTAAATTGATATAATATTCAAAGTCCTTTGTTGTCACTTCAACAATATTCACAGCATCTTCACCAGAAGTAGATTCCATCTCAAGAATCCACTTTCTGTGCTTCTTCACTAGAAGCAACTCCCCATTCACTAAAGTTTTATTGTAAGATTGCAGCAATTCAATCACATCTTCAACCTCCACTTCTAATTCTAGTTCTTCTGCCATTTCCACAACATCAGCAGTTATTTTTTCCACTGAAGTCCTGACCCCCCTCAAAGTCATCCATAAGGGTTGTAATGAACTTCTTCCAAACTCTTGTTAATGTTGATATTTGACCTCCTCCTGTGATTCTTGAATGTTATTTATGGCATCTAAAATGATGACTCTTTTCCAGAAGGTTTTCAATTTATTTTACCCAGATCCAGCAGAAGAAATCATTATTGATGGCAATGATAGCCTTTTGAAATGTATTTCTTAAATAATAAGACTTTAAAGTTGAAATTACTCCTTGATTCATGGACTGCAGAATAGATGTTTTGTTAGCAGGCATGAAAACAACATTGATCTTCTTGCATCAGAGCTCTTGGGTGACTAGGTACATGGTCAATGAGCAATAATATTTTGAAAGGAATTTATTTTTATAAGCAATAGTTCTCAATAGGGGGCTTAAGATCCATAAACAATGCTGTAAACAGATACGCTGTCATCCAGGCTTTGTTGTTCCATTTATAGTGCACAGGCAGTGTGGATTTAGCATAATTCTTAAGGGTGTTAGGATTTTCAGAATGGTAAATGAGTATTGGCTTCAAATTAAAGTCACCAGTTGCCTTAGCCTCTAGCAAGAGTCAGCCTATTCTTTGAAGCTTTAAAGTCAGGCATTGACTTCTTCTCTCTCGCTATGAAAGTCGTAGATCGCATCTCCTTCCAACAGGAAGCTGTTATGCCTTCATTGAAAGTCTGTGGTTTTAATGTAGCCACCTTCATCAATTATCTTAGCTAGATCTTCTGGATAACTTACTACAGCTCCTATATCAGCACTTGCTACTTCACCTTGCACTTTTGTATTATAGAGGTGGTTTCTTTCCTTATTTCATGAATCAACCTCTGCTGGGTTCAATTTTTTTCTTCTGCAACTTCTTCATCTATCTTAGCCTTTGTAGAATTGAAGAGAGTTTTGGCCTTGCTCTGGATTAGGCTTTGGCTCAAAGTAATGTTGTGGCTCGTTTGATCTTCTATCCAGACCACTAAAACTTTCTCCCAATCAACAACAAGGCTACTTCGCTTTCTTAACATTCGTATGTTCACTGAGGTAGCACTTTTAATTTCTTTCAAGAACTATTCCTTTGCATTCACAAGTTGGCTAACTGTTTGGCATAGAGGCCTAGGTTTTTGTCTATCTTTGCTTTTGACATGTTTTCCTCACTTAGCTTAATCACTTCTAAATTCTGATTTAAAGTGAAAGCTGTGTAACTACTCTTTTTTTCACTTGAACACTTAGAGGCCATTGTGGGATTAACTGATCTAATTTCCATATTTTTGTGTCTCAGGAAATGGGCAGGCCCAATGAGAGAAAGAGAGATGGGAAATGGCTGGTCGGCAGAGCAGTCAGAAAACATACAACATTTATGGATTCAGCTGCCATCTTATATGGGTGTGGTTTATGGTTCCTCACAAGAATTACAATAGTAATATCAAAGATCATTGATCACTTATCACCATAACACATCAAATAATAATGAGAAAGTTAGAAGTATTGAGAGAATGACAAAAACGTGACACAGAGACATGAAGTGAGTACATGCTATTGGAAAAATTACACTGATAGGCTTGCTGAAAGCAGGGTTGTCACTAATGTTCACTTTGTTAAAAATGCAATATCTGCAAAGTGCAATAAAATGAATGAAGAGTAATAAAACAAGATGTGCTTGTACTCTGATAGATAACAAAATCAGTACTGAAAATAAAGTTTTTAAAAAATCTGCCAGTATCTACTTATAACTGTTTTATGCATTTGAATTTAAAATTCTGAAAACAATTCTGAATTGTGAAGGACAATAAAAGGATTCCAATAGGGTTTTGTAAAGCACAAATTACCTCTTGTTGAGATTTTTAAAGGTAACATTTTAGTACAGAAAGTTTATACTTGAAATAATACATTCCACATAAATTTTTTTTGCAAATGAAAGTAATCGTTTTTAATATTTAGTTTTTAATTTTAATTTTATTTTTCCATAAGTTATTGGGGTACAGGTAGTATTGAGTTACATGAGTAAGTTATTTGGTGGTGATTTGTGAGATTTTGGTGCACCCATCACCTGAGCAGTATACACTGCACACTATTTGTAGTCTTTTATTCCTTGCCCCCTCCCACTCTTCCCCCCAAGTCCCCAAACTCCCCCAAATTATATCATTTTTATGTCTTTGAATCCCCATAGCTTAGCTCCCACATATCAGTGAGAACATATGATGTTTGGTTTTCCATTCCTGAATTACATTACACCACTTACAATAATAGTCTCCAATCTTATCCAGGTCACTGCAATTGCTATTAATTCATTTCTTTTTATGGCTGTGGAGTATTCCATCATATATATATAGATACATATGTGTATATACATGTATATAGATAACATCTATCTATCTATCTATATATCTCACAGTTTCTTTATACATTCATTGATTGATGGGTATTTGGGTTGGTTCCACAATTTTGCTGTTGTTAATTGTGCTGCTATAAACGTGTGTGCAAGTATCTTTTTCGAATAATGACTTCTTTTCCTCTGGGTAGATACCCAGTAGTGGGATTGCTGGATCAAATGGTAGTTCTACTTGTAGTTATTTAAGGAATCTCCAACTGTTTTCCATAGTGGCTGTACTAGTTTACATTCCAACCAGCAGTGTAGAAGTGTTCCCTGTTCACCACATCCACACCAACATCTATTGGTTTTTGATTTTTTGATTATGTCCATTCTTGTAGGAGTAAGGTGGTGTCACACTGCGGTTTTGATTTGCATTTCCCTGATCATTAGTGATGTTGAGCATTTTTTCATATGTTTGTTGGCCATTTGTGTATCTTCTTTTGAGAATTGTCTATTCATGTCCTTAGCCCATTTTTTGATGGGATTGTTTGATTTTTTTTTTTTTTTTTTTTGAGATGGAGTCTTGCTCTGTCACCCAGGATGGAGTGCAGTGGTGTGATCTCGGCTCACTGCAACCTCCGCCTCCCGGGTTCATGCCATTCTCCTGCCTCAGCCTTATGAGTAGCTGGGACTACAGGCACCCACCACCATACCCAGCTAACTTTTTTGTATTTTTAGTAGATACGGGGTTTCACCATCTTAGCCAGGATGGTCTCCATCTCCTGACCTCATGATTTGCCCACCTCGGCCTCCCAAAGTGCTGGGATTACAGGCATGAGCCACCGCGCCCAGCCTGTTTGAGTTTTTCTTAACTTATTTGTTTGAGTTTGTTGTAGATTCTGGATATTAGTCCTTGTCAGATATATAGATTGTGAAGATTCTTCTCCTGCTCTGTGGGTTGTCTGTTTACTCTGCTGACTGTTCTTTTTGCCGTGGAAAAACTCTTTAGTTTAATTAGGTCCCAGCTATTTATTTATCTTTGTTTTCATTGCATTTGCTTTTGGGTTCTTGGTCATGAACTCCTTGCCTAAGCCAATGTCTAGAAGAGTTTTTCCAACATTATCTTTTAAAATTTTTATAGTTTCAGGTCTTAGGTTTAAGTCCTTCATTTATCTTGAGTTGATTTTTGTATAAGGTGAGAGATAAGAATCCAGTTTCATTCTCCTACATGTGGCTAGCCAATTATTCCAGCACCATGTGTTGGAAAGGGTGTCCTTTACCCACTTAATGTTTTTGTTTGTTTTGTCAAAGGTCAGCTGGCTGTAAGTTTTTGAGTTTTTTTCTGGGTTCTCTATTCTGTTCCATTAGCCTATGTGCCTATTTTTTATACCAGTGCCATGCTGTTTTGGTGACTATGGCCTTATAGTATAGTTTGAAATCAGGTAATGTGATGCCTCCAGATTTGTTCTTTTTGGTTAGTCTTGCTTTGGCTATGGGGGCTCTTTTTTGGTTCCATATGAATTTTAAAATTGTTTTTACTAATTATGTGAAGAATGATGGTGGTATTCTGATGGGGATTGCATGGAATTTGTGGATTGTTTTTGGAAGTATGGTCATTTTCACGATATTGATTCTACCCATCCATGAACATGTGATGTGTTTCCATTTGTTTGTGTCATCTATGATTTCTTCTAGCAGTGTTTTGTAGTTTTCCTTGTAGAGGTCTTTCGACTCCTTTGTTAGGTATATTCCTAAGTATTTTATTTATTTATTTATTTATTTATTTATTTAGCAGCTATTGTAAAAGGGGTTGAGTTATTCATTTGATTCTCTGCTTGGTCGCTGTTGGTATATAGAAGAGCTACCGATTTGTGTACATTAATCTTGTATCCCGAAACTTTGCTGCATTCTTTTATCAGTTCCAGGAGCTTTCTAGAGAAGTCCTTAGGGTTTTCATATCATCAGCAAACAGTAACAGCCCGGCTTCTTCTTTACCAATTTGGATGCCCTTTTTTTCTTTCTTTTGTCTGATTGCTCTGGCTAGGACTTCCAGTACTATGTTGAAGAGGAGTGGTGAGAGTAAGCATCCGTGTCTTGTTCCAGTTCTCAGAGGGAATGCTTTCAACTTTTCCCCATTAAGTATTATGTTGGCTGTGGGTTTGTCATAGATGACTTTTGTTATATTAAGGTATGTCCCTTGTATGCCAATTTTGCTGAGAGTTTTAATCAAAAAGGATGCTGGATTTTGTTGACAACTTTTTCTGTAAGTATTGAGATGATCATGTGATTTTTGTTTTTAATTCTGTTTATGTAGTGTGTCACATTTATTGACTTGAAACCCACTTGATCATGGTGGATCATCTTTTTGATTTGTTGTTGGGTTCAGTTAGCTAGCATTTTGTTAGGGATTTTAGCATCTATGATCATCAAGGACATCAGTCTGTAGTTTTCTTTTTTGGTTATGTCCTTTCCTGGTTTTGGTATTAGGGTGATGCTGGCTTCATAGAATGAATTAGGTAGGGTTGCTTCTTTCTCTTTCCTGTGGAATAGTGTCAAAAGGATTGATACCAATTCTTTTTTGTATGTCTGGTAGAATTCTGCTGTGAATCCATCTGGTCCTGGACTTTTTTTTGTTGGTAATTTTTAAAATTACCATTTCAATTTCACTGCTTGTTATTGATCTGTTCAGGGTCTAATTCTTCATGATTTAAGCTAGGAGGTTGTATTTTTCCAGGAATTTATCCATCTCTTCAAGGTTTTCTAGTTTATGTGTGTAAAGATGTTCATAGTAGCCTTGGATGTTCTTTTGTATTTCAGTGGTGTCAGTTGTATATCTTCTATTTCATTTCTTCCTGAGCTTACTTGGATTTTCTCTCTTCTTTTCTTGGTTAATCTTGCTAATGGTCTCTCAATTTTATTTATCTTTTCAAAGGGCTAGCTTTCTTTTCATCTATCTTTTGTATTTTTTTATTTGGCTGTTTGTTTCAATTTCATTTAGTTCTGCTCTGATCTTGGCTATTTCCCTTCTTCTGCTGGGTTTGGGTTTGGTTTATTCTTCTTTCTCTAGTTCCTTGAGGTGTGACTTTAGATTGTCTGTTTGTGCTCTTTCAGACTTTTTGATGTGGGCATTTAGGGCAGGAACTTTCCTGTTAGTTCTGCCTTTGCTGTATCCCAGAGGTTTTGATAGGTTGTGTCATTATTGTCATTCAGTTCAAATAATTTTTTAATTTCCATATTGATTTTTTTGATCCAATGCTCATTCAGGAGCAAATTATTTAATTTCCATGTATTTGCATGGTTTTGAAGGTTCCTTTTGGAGTTTATTTCCAGTTTTATTTCACTGTGGTCTGAGAGAGTGCTTGATATAATTTCAATTTTCTTAAATTTATTGAGGCTCGTTTTAAGGCCTATCATATGGTCTATCTTGGAGAAATTTCCATGGGCTGTTGAATAGAATGTGTATTGTGAGGTTGTTGGACGAAATGTTCTGCATATATCTGTTAAGCCCCTTTGTTCCAAGGTATACTTTAAATCCATTGTTTCTTTGCTGACTTTCTGTCAAGATGACCTGTCTAGTGCTGTCAGTGGAGTACTGAAATCCCCCACTATTATCGTGTTGCTGTCTATCTCATTTTTTAGATCTATTAGTAATTATTTTACAAATTTGGGTGCTCCAGTGTTAAATGCACATATGTTTAGGATTGTAATATTTTCCTGCTGGATGTCGTCTTTTACCATTATATACTGTCCCTCTTTGTCTCTTTTAACTGCTGTTGCTTTAAAGTTTGTTTTGTCTGATATAAGAATAGCTACCCCTGCTGCTATTGGTGTCCTTTTGCATGAAATACTTTTTTTCCACCCCTTTAAGTTTATATGAGTCCTTATGTGTTAGGTGAGTCTCCTGAAGGCAGCAGATAGTTCGTTGCTGAGTTTTTATTGATTCTGCAGTTCTGTATCTTTTAAGTGGAGCATTTAGGCCATTTACATTCAATGTTAGTATTGAAATGTGAGGTATCATTGCTTTCATCATGCTCTTTGTTGCCTGTGTACTTTGGTTTTTTTGTTTTAGCCTTTTAAGTTGTATTTTTGTTTTATAGATCCTGTGATTTATGCTTTAAAGAGGTTCTGCTCTGATGTGTTTCCACGATTTGTTTCAAGATTTAGAGCTCCTTTTAGCAGTTCTTGTAGTGCTGGTTTGGTAATGGCGAATTCTCTCAGCATTTGTTTGTCTGAAAACGACTGTATCTTTCCTTCATATATAATGCTTAGTTTTGCTGGATACAAAATTCTTAGCTGATAATTGTTTTGTTTGAGCAGGCTGAAGATAGGTCCCCAATCCCTTGAAGCCTGTAGGGTTTCTGCTGAGAAATCTGCTGTTAATCTGGTAGGTTTTCCTTTATAGGTTACCTGGTGCTTCTCTCTCACAGCTCTTAAGATTCTTTCCTTTGTCTTAACTTTGGATAACTTGATGACAATGTGCCTAGGTGAAGGTTTTTTTTTGTGATGAATTTCCCAGATGTTCTTTGTGCTTCTTGTATTTGGCTAAGTCTCTCGCAAGGCCAGGGTAAATTCCCTCGATTATTCCCCCAAATATGTCTCCCAGGCTTTTAGAATTCTCTTCTTCCTCAGGAACACTGATTATTCTTAGGTTTGGTCATTTAACATAATCTCAGACTTCTTGGAGGCTTTGTTCATATTTTCTTATTCTTTTTCTTTGTTGGATTGGATTAATTCGAAGACCTTGTCTTCAAGCTCTGAATTTCTTTCTCCTACTTGTTCAATTCTATTGCTGAAACTTTCCAGAGCATTTCAGATTTCTAAAAGTGTGTCCAAAGTTTCCTGAATTTTTAATTGTTTTTTCTTTAAGCTATCTATTTCCATGAATATTTCTCCCTTCACTTCTTGTATCATTTTATTTTTGGATTTCCTTGCATTGAGCTTCACCTTTCTCTGACCCCTCCCTGGGTTAGCTTAATAACAAGCTAATTAAGGTTAGCTTAGTAACTAACATCCTGAATTCCTTTTCAGGTAAATCAGGGACTTCTTTTTGGTTTGGATCCACCGCTGGTGAACTAATGTGATTTTTGGGGGTGTTGAAGAGGCTTGTTTTGTCATATTACCAGGGTTGGTTTTCCGGTTCCTTCTCATTTGGGTAGCCTCTGTCAGAGGGAAGGTCTAGGGCTGAAGGCTGTTGTTCAGATTCTTTTGTCTCACGGGGTGTTCCCTTGATATAGTACTCTCCCCCTTTTCCTATGAATGTGGCTTCCTCTGAGCTAAACTGTAATGACTATTGTCTCTCTTCTGGGCCTAGCCACCCAGCTAGTCTACCAGGCTCCAGGCTGGTACTGGGGTTGTCTGCATAGAGTCCTGTGATATGAACTGTCTATGGGTCTCTCAGTCACAAATACCAGCGGCTGTTCCAGTAGAGGTGGTAAAGGAGTGCAATGGACTCCATGAGGGTCCTTAGCTTTGGTGGTTGAATACTCTATTTCCCTGCTGGAAGGTGGCGCTTTCCAGAAAGCATCAGCTGTAGTATTGTGGAGAGGGACAGGTGTTGGGCGGGGCCCTAGAACTCCCAAATTTATACACCCTTTGTCTGCCACTACCAGGATGGGTAGGGAAGGAACTATCAGGTGGAGGTAGAGCTAGGCATGTCTGAGCTCAGACTCTCCTTGGGCAGGTCTTGCTGTGGCTGCTGTGGGGGATGGGGTGAGATTCCCAGGTCACTGGAGTTGTGTACCTACAAGGATTATGGCAGGGAAGTGGAAAGCCAGCAGTCACAGGCCTCACCCAGCTCCCACCCAAACTGAAGGGCCAGTTTCACTTCCACCGTGCCACCACCAACAGCCTGGAGTCTGTTTCCACCAGGTGGAGGGTGAGATGAGCTTGAAAACTTGCCTAAGGCTATCCGCCTCCCAGAGTATTTGGGGTGTCTCCCAGGTTTTGCAGTAGCAGTCCGCTTCCTTCAGAGGGTCTGTGGGTCCTCTCGGGATTGCAGGTTTGTTCTTGCTGTTGATCTGGAGCTAAAATTCACAATGCAAGCCTCCGCTTGCTGCTCTGTCCAGGGTGACAATCTAGTCCTGCCTCCCATCCACCATGATCCTAATGCCACTTCACCAGAGTTGAGAATTTCAGACACATGGAAATAGTTACCAAGTCTATTTGTTTTGTGTCCTCCTGGACAGGTACAAAGTAGTCCATTAACCTTATTAACTCTTGGATTTATGTATTTATATGTTTAGGCTGTTACTGATGTTCAAAGTGAAAGTGGCAGCTAAGCTTCCACATATATTATCTTCAAAAGCGAAACATAAAAAATGCTTGGTTTCTGCTAAAAGTAGATACGCACTTGCATCAATATATTTTTGAGTATATCATTTGCCACTCAGATAATGATAATTTCCTAGAAAAACATGATTTTTATATTCAAACCTATGAATTCAAGTTGTTTAACAATTTGTATGAGGCCATGGTTTTCTTGTAATACTGCAATAGCAACTTCAATTGAAAAATATTTTAAATACAGGTGGAAAGCCAAAAAGAATTCTTCAGTTACTTTCAAATAAATTATTCAATTGTGCATTTCCCAAATGCATACTTCTATAACAATTTAAATAAGCATCATACTAACAAATATCAAATATGAAATGGCTTTTTAAATGGAAGAAATTATTTCTTTTTCTAGGAATCCTAGTCACTTTGTATCTATATCTGACTGAGTGGATCCTTTAGTCATAATTTTACTGACATACATATATTAAATTATCTTGGAAAAAATGAACATTTTCATGCTTCTTAATGTGTAGTCATGTGATCACTTTAGTACAGCTTTCAGTTTGCCCAAGAGTACTGCTCTGGTTTTTCCCATAATTGGATCTCATCCAGTTAATGTATGACCCCTTTTAGCCCTTGTAATATCTGTTTCATAATGAGGAGGGGAAGAAAAAAAAAAGCTGTTGAAACTCTATCACACAGTAACTGTACCAAGAAGAGGAGGTGGTTGAATTTAATATGTAGCATTACTAACCAGTGATATGAAACATTCACTGTGAGCCTGCATTGCTGGGGTGCTAATTCCTTTACCTCTTGCAAGCATGTGAGAAAATAAAACTCAGGTTTTTACTACGTGGGATATGAGAAAGGGTCACAAATTACAGATTAATATGTATTTCATATCTCTTTTTTTTTCTATTAGTGCTATACAGTTGAGACCATGTAAATATGGATTGATTTAAACTACTTGAAAATCTGGCTATGCATTTTGTGAAATCAGACCATTTGTTTCTGGAGAGAAAACTATGTATGTAATACGATGAGCTTTACTTGGAGAGCTCCAATATTCTCATGTAATTTTCATGCAGGATAAATTAGCAAGCATCTTATAAAATAATAGAAAAAAGAATCATCTGGATATTTTTAATTTCAACTGAGCAAACGGAACTTTGACAGTGATTCTGAAAAAAGGGGCTTTGTTTTGTTTGTTTTAGTTTTTTGTGTGTTTTCAGATTCTCATCCATCTAGGCTTATCTTTAATCAGGAAATGGCTGTTGAATATCATTATAAGAAAATTGGAACTCGCATTGTATTATGACAAGAAAGAAATTTCTTCTTCTTTTAAATGAATTCAAATTTTTATGATCAAAATCATTATATATCAAGACACTGATATAACTTTTAAGCATGACTCCATAAACTTAGAAAATTTAGAGACAGTAGAAATGTTTCCACATAAATTATGAAACAAAATTCTACAGAAGTTTATGAAGGGTAAATAACAGAAAGATTCTGAAAAAATATAGACTTGCAAATTGGATATGAATTCAGAATAATAGCCCAGAATGAATGCCGAAAACTATTGAACAGTGACAAAGAATCATATGAAGAAAGATGGAAAAGAACCATAACTTAGGTTAAAGTAGAAAAGTTGTCTGATAAGACACAAAGAGCTTTCCTTAAATGTCTTCAAAAATTTGAAGAAAGAGAAATTAGATTGGAGTAGAGTTTCAAAGAGCAGACCATGGGCCAAAGTGTTAGGCCAAAAAAGGGATAGATTGTCCAATTATTTGAGCTATTTGTAAATGTAATGGGCTATAACAGTGGAGTTTAAGCAGAAGTTGTGCACTGTCACTTATGTTTTAAAATAATAATAAAAACAATTTCTGAGCCCCCACCACAAAATTTCCCATGTGGCGTCAGATGAGGAAGATGATTTCTAAGTTATTCAACTCACGCTTGTTCCTTCTATCTCCATAAACACTTCCTTTTACTTAATTTTTAAACCAAATACAATTGCCCTTTAAAATTGTATTTAGCTTTGATGACAAGATTTTAAATGTATTACATTTAGATTATGATTTAGCAGATAAGGAATACATACTTGAGTTTTTAGATCTTTGCAAAGGATGCCCTAAGATAAAATCATTTTAAATCAGACTACTGGCTATTTGTATAAAGATTGTTATTTCTTCACAAAAGCTAGGAACTTTGAAAATAATCTCATTGATTTCTCCCAAAACACACTAAAATATAATAAATGTAAGAATTGAAATGCAGTAATTATAAGAACATTTTTATTTTGGGGGTTGAATTTGTTTGAGGTAGTACTGGATGGTCTCAAAAAAAGAAAAAAATGCATGTATATTTTCATTGCAGCACTATTCACAATAGTAAAGACATGAAATCAACCTAACTTCCCATCAATTATTGACTGGATAAAGAAAATGTGGTATATATACACCATGGAATGCTATGCAGCCATAAAAAAGAACAAGGTCACGTCCTTTGCAGGAATATGGATGTAGCTGGAGGCCATTAGCCTTAGTAAACTAACACAGGAACAGAAAACCAAATGCTGCATGGTTTTTCTATACACGTAGAGGGGAATAACACACACTGGAGTCTATTAGAGGGTGAAGAGTGGCAGGAGGGAGAATCAAAAAATATAACTAATGTGTACTAGACTTAATACCCAGGTGATGAAATAATGTGTACAACAAACTCCCATGACACAAGTTTACCTATGTAACAAACCTGCATTTGTATATCTGAACTTAAAAGAACATTTTAAACAAAACAAAAAAGATAAACACACACAAAAACTAATAAAAATAAACATATTTTCATGTTCACAGTAATGCAGGATGCTTTCTACTTAGTTGAAATTTCAAGGTTGGTTTATTGTGGCAACTTCTTCCTTGAGTTAATTGTAGCATTGAATAAATTTTGAATCAGCTAGAGGAAAGTGCTACGTGTAAATAGAAATCCTGCTGTGTTTGATTGCTTGTGTCTCTGGAGATAAGGCACCATGGATATGCTCATCTTTGGCATGAATGGAGAGAAGCAAAGGTGTAATCAGCTAAATCCATTAGTAAGTTAGAGTAGGAGCAAAGTAAGAAGCAATGAAGGATTATGGGGGAAAGCAATGTGAAAAGAAAAGTGGATACATTCTAGATAATTTCTGAAGATACTGTCCAAAGAATTTTCTATTTTTTTTCTATGTGGGTCTTGAAGGCAAAGGAGTCAGAATTGACTGCTCAACAGCTAAACTGAAGCTACTGTCCTTTTCTGAAATGGAAAATTCAGAAAGGAACAAGTTGTTGCTTTTTTTAGTGGGGGGCTGGAGGGAGAACAGGATCAAATATGAACATGTGAATTTTTAGATGCTTATGAGGCATTTATGAGGATATGTCAAGTGAGATACATGAGTCTGGCACTTAGAAGAATTAGCTTGGCTGGAAGAAAAAATGGAGAAATGTCTATATTTACAAGGTATTTAAAGCAATGAAAAATAGAATTATCTAGGAGAGTTTAGAAAAAGATAAAAATGGATATTGACTTATAAAAAGATAGAAATAACATTAACATACATTTCTCCTATAGGAGTTTAATCATAGAGTAGGACATAAAATTTGCCCACATAATTTATTAACAAGAACTGAGCCTCTTAGCCAGATATTTCTGAATGGATCTAGAACAAGTCAATTCTAATATTTAGGACACTGCTTGGCAAGACTGAACAGATTGAAGAGTTAAGGGAACTAAGAGTGGAATGAAATATGGCCAAGCTGGATGGGGTTGGCACTGGAAGACACTGATGCAGCTGTGGTAACTAATAAATTTAGTCTAGTAGGCACACACATCCTTGCACAAATATAAGGATGGGTCAACAAATGAGGGTCAGGATTGTGTAACAGAAGTCAATAATAGGTTGTAATTGGTAGAGCACAGTAAGCAATGTTAAATTTGATGACTCATACAGCTGCAGATACATAGGAGGAGTCAATCCTTGAGTAACCTTCTCTAGATAGGAAGTAAGCTAGTATTGCTCTCCCTACTGACATCACACTAGCATGTTAAATTCTACATTTGCCTCATTGAATATCACATCCCTGTCTACTCTATTGTCTCCTCTTTCTTCATTAAGGATAGGCTTCTTGTTCCAGTCTACCAATCGTCCAAATTAATAACTTAAATGTAAATCAGTTCATATCATTCTTTTTATAAAACCCTTCCAAGGGCTTCCATCTGCACTTAAAATAAAATCTATGGCTTCAAGGGCTCTTAATGTTCAGGCCTTTGACCCCATTTTCCTGCTCATACCACTCTCTCTTATTACTTTCTGGCCAACTAGACTTTCATATTCTTAGAGGCAATAAAATCTCACCTTCGTAATTTTACTTACTTCTTGCACAGAAGGCTATTTATTTATTTATTTATTTTGAGACAGAGTCATGCTCTGTCGACCTGGCTGGAGCACAGTGGCGTGATCTCAGCTCACTGCAGCCTCCGCCTTCCAGGTTCAAGTGATTCTCCTGCCTCAGCCTCCCAACTAGCTGAAATTACAGGTGCCCACCACCACACCCAGCTAATTTTTGTATTTTTAATAGAGACGGGGTTTCACCATGATGGCCAAGCTGGTCCCGAACTCCTGACCTCAGGTGATCTGCCTGCCTTGGTCTCCCAAAGTGCTGGGATTACAGGAGTGAGACACTGCACCTGACCAAAGGCACTTTACTCTTTAGGCAGGTGCATCTGTTCCTTCAAGTTTCAGTATAAGTGTCACCTTATTGAATGGAACTTTCAGAACACCTTATTTAAAATAGTTTCCTTCTTTTTGTCCCTCAGCTCATTTCGTTATTTTTTTCCCCACGTAAGTTAGTGATTATATATTTGCTAATACATATTTACTAGCTAAGTATCTGCTCGTTGATTAGACTATAAACTCCACAAGGGCAAAAATTATGGCTTTTTGATTCATTATTAGACTCATGGTATTTGGCATATGGGATATTAACATTAGCAATATTTACTAAAGAAATGAATAAACACAGGGATGAATGAATGAATTAATGACTGAACAAGTACATAAATACATAAACAAATGAGAAAACCTCTCATTAGCATCTGGCTTTTTAGTACATGAACATAAGCCATCAGTAACAATAGTAGGGTTCAGGCTATCAACATCTTTCTACACCATGTGAAATTACAAAGAGTTGTTAATAGTCATACGCCAGTAAGTAAAATGTTATTACAACATCTGTTCTTGGATTTCAATGTGTTTTTGGATAGTTGATTTAGAGCCTTTTTTGGTACTGTTCTAGATTTTAAAATAGATTTGTAGATTTTAAATTATATTCCTGAGTATAGTTAATAAATTTTTACCTTAATTGATCTAGATATTGGATTCTAATTTTGTATACTTCTTGATCAACCAAACCATGAAGACTATTTAATTAGTTTACATCAGATAAAATATGATTTTAATTTTACAATTTACTAAATTTCTCTATTCCATCTAAAACTTAGAAAACTTATTTGTTCTCTTTATTCTAGCAAGTTACTGGATAATCCTAACTTTAGTCTGAGATTATTGCTAAAAAGCAAAACAAGCTGTGTCTGAACAACAGATCCCAAACTCTGTTATCAGTTTTTAAGCCTAGTTTTTACACATTTATATTAATGTCCAAAAGAAATGATTTAGGAAATGAGGCCAGTGTTTTGCTTTGGTGTTGATAATATTTGTTGAAAAGTTGTAAACCCTGCTAAAATCTGTGGTCTGGAGAAAAAAAATATACTAATTATTTTCATTTTAATATAAATTTTGTTTAAAGTCACAAATCATCATGACTTTTGCACACGTCAAGATAGGTCTGATATATAACAGGGACTTAGACAACATTAAATAATGAAAAAGAGTCATATCATGTTAAAATTCTAACAGTAATCCAAGTAGCCCTCATTGTACACAGTTTTATATGTACTGATTTTCGTTACCACACTTTAAGTCTATAATATCAGTACTTAAACAACATTGTTCAAATTTTAGTTACCACGGCATATTAACCATGAACAATCACACAAGATATAAAATTTGCTGCTAGCTCTTCAGGCCACAGATTACTATGTAAATAACAGATGCAACTCATGTTCAGCGGCCAATCACGTCATTTCTTTCAGAAAGGTGGGTGTTTTGTCACAATGCATCTGTTGCTCCGTTCACACAGAGATAGCTAAGCAAGTCATTGTGTTGTCTTCTTGTCTTCTAGTCACAAATCCATGCAACATTTTATAAAACAAATAATCAAAAGGAGGAACTGGATAAGGAAGATGTAATTTCAGCAAAGAAATGAAAAGTGATGATACTGGAAGTGAAATTTGAATAGATGGGGGTATAGAAGGCATGGTTGACTAAGAGAAGGAATGTTGACTACTGCATGTATGCAGTCAAGAGGAACTTAATGACGGTGAGCTTATCAATATAATGAAAAGGATAAGGATAAAATGATGATGACGTCCCAGAGGAAGTGATGCCAGCCAAAAAAAAAAAATTATATTAAGGGGATTCTCAACAAAACTTCATACCTTCAAAAATTCAAAAGATGAAATGTTAAAAGCTCATCTAACCTTGGGAAGAGTATGTTGGTTTGTTAAGGCATAGGAAAGACACTTACTGTTTGAAATTATATGACAAGAAGGAGGCAAACACCATTCAAACCACTCTCAACGAGATTTTTACAGTGAAATAAAACACAAATTCTCAATGTTTCTAAATGATTTAAATTACAGTGTTCTAAGAATATAAATTATATTATTTGTTTTCATTTCCCCTACATTTATAACAGATAATATCAGGAGAGGCCTTAATGTTCCGAAAAATAAAAACTTTAAAAATCATAGAACAATTGTAATTTTCTCATTGATAAGGAGATCACTTTGTACTGCCAGCTTTCACATCTTTTAAAAGTCCTACACTACCGTGAAAAGCAAGGACTGCTTGTACTAACTTCTTTACTTTATCTGAGTGAACAACAATCAAGTTCAATACATTTTACCAGGAAACAGGTACTACGTGGTTTCTAAATTACCTCTAATCATGTTTATGTAATAAAAAAGCCTACAGTTTTGATATGCCTTGGAACTTTTTAATAGACTAAAATTAAAGACAATCACTGCTACAAGATTTTCAATATGACCATTAATTGACCCTGCTACTGATCAAAATTGTGGGAATAATAAAGCATATGGAGTTTTCACTGATCACATATAATATATTGTAATTCACCACTGAAAAAAGTAATCTATGATGCATAATTTAAGCTTGGAAGATATATGCTGAAGTTATAATTTATTATTTTGAAGAAAAAAGACTCATCTATATTTTCACCCATCCCAAGAAAGATGTCATAATTTTTTGGGAAAGCTATAAATTATTATCATATCTCTGCAGATCATAAATAAATTAACTGCATTAAAATTTGCTCCCATAATAGCAGCAAGAAGATAAATTAATAATACATTTTAGTGTTAAAGAGGTACACATAAAGGCGTATATTAGCCTAAGATGAACCACAAACCAGAAAGCAGACCAGAAACATTCTATATAATCAGGGACTATGCTGGAAACAGAACACACTAAGATTGTTCAAGAGACTCTAATGAAGGGTTTGAAGAGAGTTAAAAAAAAATAGTGTGTTGAAGCAGCCAGAGATTAGCAAACATGAGAAGCCTTTATCACCTCTTGGCCTAAAGGGTTAAGGAAACGATGTGTTAATGAAGCCCAGGGAACTCTAGTGTGGAAAATAACTAACAGACAGGAGTTACAGTCCTGGAGGATTCAGCTGTTGCTGGAAATGTGGCTTAGAGCGGAAGAAAGAGGTCAGGAGATGCTCTGATCCGATCTCTTCCTTCTTTCCTCTGCAGTCTTTCACCAGTGGACCCCAAATCCACCACCAGTGAATCCCATTAGCCAAATCCCACTAGAATAAGCCAACAAGGGAAGTCAATGCAATCCATGAAGGTTGACTGCCTGAGGCCCTGAAGGGGACAGGAGGAGGAAGGAAGGAGTTTGATTCTGGAGATTACGGCAAAGAGAATAAGCAGAATAACCTAATAATAAGACCTTAGTAATGTACCTGTGTCTCACTGAATTATACCCCAGAAGCAAGACTGAAACACATCTCAAGATTTGAAAGTAAGCAGAAGTTTTAGTAAACTCAACTTGAATTCTGAAAAAGAAGCATTTTATTATAATAATGTTACAATATCAAGGAATTTAAGCTTCATTTTTCTATTTAATTGTACTTAATCCTTATTTTCCCACCTCATTTAAGCCATTACCTACCTGTATTTTGAGAAACTCTTAACCACTAACCTGGGAGTGGACAAAGATACAAACAAAATTATTCAAACATAGCATGGTATTACCCAGAGGAGTGAGTGCTTAATGCTGCCTGCCCAGTCAATGGATCTCATGAAGTGAGGCCATTAAAAGTGGACAAGTGTCCACTGTCCCCAGAACATTGAAGCAGCATGGGTAAAGGTGAGAGAGGAAGCAGGAAGTGGCATGATCCTTTTTTGAAACAGCAGGCATCTCTATATATGGGAGTACAGAGTAAGAAAGTGAGGTGATACTGGTTTGGAGAAGGGCAACCTTCTCTGAATAACTAGCCTCATGTGTCTTGAAAACAATCTTGGACTTTATAATTTAAGAAAAGAAATGGAGAAACACTAAAAACTGAGAATCAGGGGAGAACTAATTACTTTGAAAGCTTGCTCTGGCTGGGCACTGTGGCTCACGCCTGTATTCCCAGAATTTGGGGAGGCCAAGCCAGGCAGATCACCTGAGGTCAGGAGTTCGAGACCAGCTTGGCCAACATGGTGAAACACCATATCTACTAAAAATACAAAAATTAGCCGGGCATGGTGGGACATGCCTGTAATCCAGCTACTTTGGAGGCTGATGCAGGAGAATCGCTTGAACCTGGGAGGCAGAGGTTGCGGTGAGCTGAGATCGTACTACTGCACTTCAGCCTGGGCAACAAGAGCGAAACTCCGTCTTAAAAAAATCAAGAAAATGTTGGAACAATTTAATTCAGTATTAACTTGTTTCTTACTCTTGGGGAAACAAGAACAGGAAAAAAAATACAAACGGTGATTATATTGTTTACATAATTATAAATAATGCTTCCTACAAATGCTTTACAATGACATTTAATTAATAATTATAAAGATGACGCTATAAACATTGCACCGGACCAGCTATTTGGCAATGATTACAGCATGGTTCCTTGGGTATCCAGATAAAGCAGGTAAAACTGTGAAAAGAACATGGTTGCCATTTACAGCGACGTATTTGTATAAATCTGAGTGTTTTGACACATTGTGACTTTAAGACAAAGAAGAGAAATTGTGTGGTTACTAAACCTAATAGTAAGTGTCAGATCTGCAGCTCTTACTAGAAAAGAAATGCAAGAAATTCGCTGATTTATATAGACAAATCTCTGGAGAATACATGTGAGAATTAATTCTGAGGTGATAGAACAAAGAAGGAGAAATAATTTTAAATCAAGCTGAATTTATCAGCTCTGATGCGCTTACCGGGGAATCTGGCCACAAACAGTTATGAGTAGTTTGAATTATTTGCTAGTTTGGTTTGATTCAAAAGTGACCCACACTCAATACAGTTTAGATAGCAGATAGTTATTGTTATAATGTAGAGAAGGAATCCAAAGACTTTAGAGGTTGTGCACTGTTAAAAACATAAATATCTTTCCCTTCATCCAAGCCTTAAGAAAAAGTAATTGGTGAGGGATATATTGCCTTTTTTGAAATGTAATTTTGTGGAAACATTTTATAGACTAAGCATGCTGGCAGTGGACTCCACAGTTGATTTTAAGAACGAGAGATGTTGGTCATGCCAAGTAGTGATAAAATGTTAATTCCAGGTGAGACAAGTAATTATGATAGGCTGCAGTATAAGCCTACTCCACAGATTGGCCTGATTAACATACAAAAATTGGTTACAGAGTCTGCAGAGTCAAAAGAGATGGGCAATCCACAAAAATCTTCTTTGTTTTATTAAGAGAAAATTCACCTGGTAAAAAGAGGCCTGAGATGATGCATCAAAGTAGAGAATTGTTCCCCCCTCTCTCAATTTGCAGCTAGCCAATACTCAGGGCAGAGCTACTTGAATCAAACACCTTGAAGAAAGGCCCTGCAATCATATTCAAAGAGCATATTGTAGATTTTCCAACAAACGCCCCCCTGACTGGTCCTAATTTACCAGGGAATTCTCCATTGAGAGAAAGAAAACGCCTCAATTTTTCAGATATTATTGGGCCTTGGATTGAGGTAGTATTAATTCCTAAGAATCCAGAATGCCTCCACAGGCTCTCAGTCAGAGGGCAGTACTTCTTTTCTTTTTTTTTTGAGACGGAGTCTCGCTCTGTCGCCCAGGCTGGAGTGCCATGGCGGGATCTCGGCTCACTGCAAGCTCCACCTCCCGGGTTCACGCCATTCTCCCGCCTCAGCCTCCAGAGTAGCTGGGACTACAGGCACCCGCCACCGCGCCTGGCTAATTTTTTTTTTTTTTTTTTTTTTTTTGTATTTTTAGTAGAGACGAGGTTTCACTGTGGTCTCGATCTCCTGACCTCGTGATCCGCCCGCCTTGGCCTCCCGAAGTGCTGGGATTATAGGCGTGACCCACTGCGCCAGCCAGAGGGCAGTACTTCTGAGCATTATTTAATGATGGGCTTTTGATTTGAGCTCACATCATAGTAAGCTCATTGAGTTCTAAGACTCATTTCATGACTTCATACTGAATTCCTGAGTGTGTAGTTGAAATACATAATTTTCAGCAACTGGCAGAATCCTCATATTGGTTCTCTGGCTGATAGATTAAAGGCTATTATGTCAGACAAGACTAAGGGGAAGCACCTGAAACTCCTAGTCATTACCAAAACATTAAACCAAGTTCAATTCTGTGTACCTAGGGATAACACAGAGATTAATGCCATCATCAAAGACTTAAAAAACTCTCTGGTGGGGATTCCTATTACATCGCCATTAAACATTGCAGTTTAACCAGTGCAAGAGACAGATGAGTTTCAGAGAATGGCAGCAGATTATGGATTATTTTCAGTTTAATCAGATAGTGACTGCAATTGCAGTTGCTATTCCAAATGTTGGTCTTAAATGAATTAAAACAGGAATCGAGTAAGGATTATCAAATGAGCCAGAGGTGAGGACCTAGGTCATAAGAAACAAATGAAAAAGGGAAAGAGAGAAGCAATCTACTCCATTGTCTGATTCCTTTTTAACCCAAAATAACTAGAAAGAAAGCTTTTTGCTAGAGGGAAGGAGTGATTACATTCTGGGAGGGAATGGATACAAAAGAGAAGCTGGCAAGTGACTTTTATTGCAACTTCTATTCCAAATGTAGCATATTTCAAATATTTTCTCCCCCACTTTCTCTTTCTTCTCATTTATATATGTGTTATACTGCTTGTCATTGTCCCACGGGTTATTGAGGGTCTACTCATTATTTTAGCTCCTTTTTCTCACTGAGGAGTTTCAATTTGAATAATTACCACTGTGCTACACAATCACTATTGTGATCTCTTCTTCTGCACTGTCAATCTGTTAGGCATACCTAGTGAAGTTTTTATTTCACTTATTGTATTTTTTGTTCTAGAATCTGCATTTGGTTCATTTTAATAGTCTTCATGACTAGATTTAGATTCCTCATCTTTTCACTTAAGTTCATCTTTTTCTTTATATTTTAAACAAATTTTAACAAATGTTTTAATGCCTTTGCCTGCTAGAGGCTCAAATTTTACTATTTCTTCTCATGCCTAATAATTTTTAACTGTTTTCTGGTATCATGGATATATTGTAAGGAGTCTATTATTATCTTCATTTCAAGATAACAGGAATGTTTAATTTAGTTCTGAAAGGCAGTTTTGTACTGGCAGATGAGTTGGATCTTTTGGAGGCTTGTTTTCAGTTGTTTTCTAGAGTGGACTTTTAGTTTTAAGACTACCTTGTTTCTAACATGTGACCATTCTGAGGACTCACTTAAATATCTGGGTTGTTCAGTGTGTTCTCTCTACTCTGGGTCTTTGGGAATCTTACATCGGCCAACACAAGGATCTTTGTTCAGCTCGTAGACCCCTTACTAGTTATCTTTTGCCAGATCTCATCTTAACTCCTCCTGTTCATGCACAGTTAATATCTGAACAAAAAAAGTAGGGGACCCCTAGGCAGACTTCTGGATCACTTTCTGTGAACCACTGTCTTCCATTTGGTATCTTGCCCTGCAGTCTCCATCCATTTTAACAACCTCATTCTTTTTTTCTGTTGATATATTGCCTCAATACTCTGCAAAATACAGATAGAAGAATAAAGGCGATTACTGCCAGTACAATTATAAAGTTTTGAGCAGAAAAGGTTAAGAAAGGAACAGAAAATTCAAATATGCAAATATAGACATCATACAGTAAAAAAAGGAAATATGGATAGATGAGGTTTCTGGTATGTTTGTTACAAAGTAGGCAAAGAGCCAGAGACCTGAAGGAATGATGAGGCATAGCAGTTATATTGTTAGTTCTGTCATATAAAAGGATTCAGCTATATGCAATTTTCCCCTGTAATTGCCATAACTATAGATCAATATAGTTACAATGATATTAATTATAACTATTTTATTAATTTTTGGCAATAAAGTATTCTATGCTATTAAAACAAGAACATATAGACTTTTTTTTTTTTTTTTTTGAGACAGGATCTCACCGTGTTGCCCAGGCTGAAGTGTAGTGGTGCAATGGTGCGATCTTGGCCCACTGTAACCTTCGCTTCCCGGGCACAAGCTATCCTCCCACCTCAGCACCCTGAGTAGCTAGTACTACAGGCACATGCCGCTGTGCCTGGCTAATTTTTGTATTTTTTTTGTAGAGAAAGGGTGTTGCCATGTTGGCCAGGCTGGTCTCAAATTCCTGGGCTCAAGTGATTCACCTGCCTCAGCCTCTCAAAGTGATGGATTGCAGGTTTATTTTTATGTACTTAAAATATTTTAGAATGTTTACCCTATTAGTGTAATAGGTCAGACTCGGGGCACCAATTTTTAAAGTATTCTTGAATATTAATTTAGACTCATGATTTTAAGTTTAAATTGTATTAAGTACATATTTAAAATTCAAACATTTAAGAAAACATAAGGTTCATTTGTTATAAGCGCTCTGTCTTATTCTTAAATATTATTAAAATGCTTATAGATTTTTCTTGTGGTTTTGTTTATTATACAACTGAAATATTCTAAAAGAAAGTAGAATATAATAAACTTATATATGGAGCTTAAAATCTTTAGGTGAGTTTAATTAATTAAATTTATAGGTGAAGCCAAACATTAATCTGGGCTATATTTAAAGTTACTTTCAAAATTAGCTAGACTTACTTATAAATAAAATAAAATTGGAAAACTGACCTTAAAAATACAAGGAATAACATCAAATTATATATTTTAAAAAATAGTATCAAGTAGTTCATTTTTGTGCACATAATCTCTCATCAAGGACATTAAAAATTTGATCTACAATGCTTTACCTTCATGTACTTAAGAAAGCTTTAATTTTACATTTGTATGGTTAATTAATTTTGATGTCCTCTATTGAACACAAGATTCATGAAGGCAAAAACCCAGTTGGTTTCTGTTTTTTATTTAAGCCCAGTGGAGTGCTCTGAGTAGGCCCTCAAAATATATTTTTAGATATGGTGAATACATTCAAACAGCATTTTTTCATTAGCCAAAAAGACAGATATGAATCATCTTTATATCTAGGTAAATATAGATATAATATATGCATATGTGTGAGGAAAATATTCCATTTATTTCTCAGGTAAAATATATACCATAAAAACCTTCAGTCTTACAGCAAGATAGCTCCAGGTACTCTCTTCCAATCCAAGAGTATTTGACCATTCACGTCTTCCTTTATATATTTCTATGAGAAAGGGGGAGGGCCCTGGATTGAGAAATAATTGCTGGCATTAGTAAGTCTGTTGCAGAGGAGTGCAAGGCAAGAGGCCAGACTGAAGGTGATGGAGAGGACCAGCTGTAAAGGGAATATAATGAGAACGATGTGTAGACAGAATTGAGATTTCCTTTTCGTGTGTGTGTGTGTGTGTGTGTGTGTGTGTGTGTGTGTGTGAATGATAACAGTTTAGTCATATTAATATTCATTTAAAGAGAATGGCCTGTGCAAAGAGAAAGTATTAATGATGCATTGTCCACATGGAGTTGCTAGTATGGCATGAACACCAGAGGGATTAACCTTGCATATAGGAAGAGAAAATGCTGCCACTAAGACAAGAAAAGAAAAAAAAGGAAAGGAGAGAAGGATGAGAGTGGATGCAGATACATGCTGATGACATAGGGCACACTTGGGCAATGCAATTTCAGGCTTTCTTATTGCCCTTTCCTCTTTTCCAAATCCCCACTAGCCAAGTTCAAGTTTGCCTAAAATTCTGATTTTTAGATATAATACTGTGATTTCATCTCTCCAACTTTGAAAGGTAATTTTTTTTAGTCACTTTACTTTCGTTTGAACATTTATTACAAATATTCCTACTAAATTTTTTGAAAATGACTAGTTTAACTAATGACTATCAGAATCAAATGTAGTTTTAATAATATTTATATATATGTAAGTAATATATACACAAATATATTGATTAGTTAACAATTAACATATATATATAAATTTTGTCATAGGGAAAATTGTAAAGCAGCACAGAGACAAATAAAGCACATCAAATCAGAGTATGAGGCGAGCAGTGTCTATTATGGCTGACCTGTGTTTTCTGTTTGTCTAGCTGTTATTGATGATCAAAAAATATTTGCTCCATTCCTGAGATAGGAAGCAGCATCTTCTCCCAAGATAGGAAACAGTGTCTTGACAGCTTTTTAAGCTAGACAAGAAGACGGTGCAAAGTAATATATGCAAAAAGTGTGGAGTCAAGTGTATTGTAAAATGAAGTGCATAAATGTGAACAGTAAGTATGTGGTACAAAGAAACAGCAAAAATGATAGAAACATACAAATGCAATTTTTGTTTTATGTCTAATCCTTAGAATAGTATTTAGGAACTTTTAACAAATGCTCCATGCAATTTAAAGATTAATCTTACCTCACAATTTAAAGATTTCACAATGAAGCTAGTGACCCTGAGGCACCTTGTGACAAGCCAATGATTAGTACCTGAGTTTCTACTTTGCTTTTAGCCATTGATTCAGGCTGCCTCCCCCAGGACACCAAGATATTTCTAGGAAAACCACAGCTCACATTTGACTACTTTATTGATCATTAATCTTCCATTTTAAGTGTAAGGATCTGAAAGTAAATACTAATCACCTTTTCCTGGAAATATTAAAACTTTAAAGGTTCACACAGAAGGGGCTAGAATGACAGGGGAAAAACTATACATTAAAAAAAATGATTTGCAGGATGAGGCCCCAAGGATCCCAGAACATTATACTCTTTTTATATTCTCTATTCTGCTCTTACCCTATTTTATCATTCTCTATGATGAAATGGCATATAACCTTTCTAGTCATTTTCATTTGTAAATAGACTTATGTTAACATAAATTCATAAGGATATTTTAAGTCATGAGAAAAAAAGTGATCAAATCTCGTATTTAAAAAATGGAGTATTCCCCACTTCATGTAAATTCAATAAAAGCAGAGTGTTTCTGTCTTATTCATAGATTTATCCGCAGCATCTAATGTAGTACCTGACTCAAGATAAATGGTCAATAAATATTTGATGAATAAATGAATGAATGAACTATATTTCATCAAATCGAATCAATCAATACCATAAGCAATCAACTGTGTTACACATTAAAGAAACGCAAAAATGAGTATCCTACCTACTCTGTGGTGGTAACAGAAAGAGGATTCTTCGCTTGATCTGGGCCAAACGTCAGAGAAGTAATGAAAGAACATTCTTATGGAGATGGGAGATATGAAGTAGGAGACTGATGTTTAGCAGGCCACTTAACATACTTGAGACTCAGTTCCATGATTCGTTAAGTAGGAACCAATAAGCTGAGTATCACTGGCTCCCCATGAATATAAAAGGATGTATGTTATACTACTATTTCCAAGAACTTTCCTACAAAGTGTCTGTGACGGATTGAATTATTTTTCTCAACTTGTTACTCCCTTCTTTCCATACGAGGATTACATATCCCTTTCCCATTGGCATTGGTGACTTATTTTGGCCGATGAAATGGGAGTGTATGTGATACACTCCTCATACATAGGTACCTAATGGCAGAACTTGTAAAACGTAGGAAGTCTGTGCCCGTGTTCTTCTTCATGTCCCCTCTACCGTGTCCCAGCCAATGGCTATTCCTGCAGCCTAATTCTCAGAATAAAAAGTGAGGGGAAGCAAATCCTAACCTGACACACAACCAGAAGCAAAGACAGCAGCTGACCTGTAGCTGATGGTATCTGTAAACAATTTATTTATGTGAATAATAAATAGTTGTTGTAAACACTCAGTATTTTTAGCTTATTTGTAATGTAGCATGACCTCAAGAAAATCTGACTCATACAATCCCTTAACCACAAAAGCAAGTAATGTGTAAATGTGTATCCCTCTCCAAAAGGTCATAACTTAAACTGGATCATCAGAAGTCTGTAAGTTCTTTTTTTTTTTTTTTTCGAGACGGAGTTTCGCTCTTGTTGCCCAAGCTGGACTGCAGTGGCGCGAGCCTGGCTCACTGCAAACTCTGCCTTCCGGTTTCAAGCGATTCTCCTGCCTCAGCCTCCGGAGTAGCTGGGACTACAGGCACACACCACGCCCAGGTAATTTTTTGTATTTTTAGTAGAGACGGGGTTTCACCATGTTGGCCAGGATGGTCTTGATCTCTTGACCTCATGATCCGCCCACCTCGGCCTCCCAAAGTGCTGGGATTACAGGCGCGAGCCACCGCGCCCGGCCGAAGCCTGTAAGTTCTTAAAAATCTTTTAGTATCTAATTTTGCACTCCAGTTCATAGTATTTGTGTTTGTTTTATAAGCAGTGTTTCGAAATACTTACAACGAGGTAATGTTACTCTCTAGGAAGGTTTCAAACCACATGTACATGTGGCACATCACAGCACTTATGAGAAGCACAACGCTGTGAAACTTCAAATAAAATAAGGTTTTTGCTTTTGTTTCCTGTAGTAGAATAAGTCTATACTGACGCATTTAAAAAAAACTTTTTAAAATGTAAAACTTAAACATTTAATAATGTAAAACTTATGAGGTAGCTCGAGTTTTAAATATACGTATACTGAAAAAAATGTAGTTTACATACATAAACAGAGCTCAGCAGAGCTGATGTGTGTACATGTCAACATATGCATGGTTTAAGTGTGCATATTAATGTTAGTTATTTGGTTTTTATTTGGTTAATTATTTTGTTTTTTTATTTGGTTAATTATGATTTTTTAATCCCCAGAGAAAAACAGATCTTCAACAGTTTTTTGATGGAAATAAACAATTTCAAGTTGAGACAACACATCAGCTTCATGCATTCCTTCAGCTTGAAGTCAACTGGGCCTGGGTTGAATCTGGTTCTGTTTTGTTGTTGTTTCATTTTGTTTTTTAGCATTTGACTATGTACAGTCTCTATTTCTAAGTCTTGATTTCCTCATTTATAAAACAAAGCAACTAAATGATATCAAATACCCTTGTTTTGAAAATCAAAGAATAAGCACGGCACCCAAGACAACTTTTTGTATCACAGGCACACATGAATGCTTTTTTCCTTTTCCTTTTCTTATCATAAAAACCTATATTTTATGACTTTTACATTTATTCCTAGATGCTCTCATATGCATTATCTCATTTTTACAATAACATTATAAATATAAACACTGTTATGCTATTTTACAGATGAGAGACTTGAAGCACAGAAGGCTAAAACTACCTTTAACTTCTAAAGAAATTTTGTGAGAAGCATCTGAGACTCTTGACAGTTAAAATCCCTATCATTTCAGAAAGTGCAACTGGGGATCACATGTATTTTAAATAATTCTAGTTGAGAATAGTCAAAAGTCGCATTTATGAAGGAAGATTGACATTTTTAAGCTTCCCAATGATTTCATCAAGCTTATTTAGTACTCCTAGCCTCAGTTTCTTCACTTGCAAAATAAGAATACCAAAAACAGGAGCTTCGTGGATTAATTTTAAGAATTAAATGGGAAAATGTTTATCGACATTTTAGCACAAGCCTGCTTACAATAAACATTTTAAAAAGTTATCTATCTTAATAAATATCGATTATTTAAAATGAATATATTTTATTTGTGATTTTGTTTTTCTTGCTTTTTTATTTTTGACAAATCTGCCAGGTGTTCATGAACATTTATTGATCAATTTGAAGTCATCCCATTTCAGTTAAACAGATTTAACTGTATGTATGAAGATGGTAATGATAAATATAAGTAATCTCTAGATGGCACGATTGCAGATGATTTTCAGTTATTCTATTTGTTTATCAATATTTTATATTTTCTGGTAAAATGCATTTATTTTATATGAAGAAACATTATTATATATTAAAACAGACTTTTAATCAAGAAGGCTTAAAGAACTGCATGCAATGTTATAAGGCTCAAAGGTGGGTAATGCATATTCAAAATGCTCAAACTCAGTTTTGTCATATTGTAAGAAAATTGTCTTCATGATCATTTCAAATGTTTGACCAGCCTCCTTTTAGAATTTACTAGAGTGTCATTACTTTTGCTTCTTAACATGACCAATGAGTAGCTCTAAAGAGAAAAGGTGTTAGTTCTGTTCTGCCACTTTCTCATTTATTTCACATCTATTTTGTAGTATCTTTAATCCATATTTGATTGCAAGATTTTTTTTGATCACTTGTCAATTTTTGGAGCATTTATGCTTTTAAAATTTGAAAATATAACTCATAAATCCATACCACTAGGCACACAAAAATCATGTCACAATGTGCTTAAATGAACTAATACGTGAAAAAACCATTGTGGTTATCTTCCATTGTGAAATGCTCACTCATTTTGCCTTGAAGTATGTCACTGACCACAGAAGGCATGGAGTTATCTGTCAGAGTGTGATAAATAAAGTCAACACAAATATTTAGAATGCTTAATGCCCATCTAACTTTTTAAATTAATATGTGTATATATAAAATATTAATCCACAAATACGTTGTATATATATATATGAAAATCAGCAGATATCCTACTTACACTTTGAGATGTTATCATTTCACTTTGAAAAAATGCTGTAATAAATAATCATTTACTAATTAATAATCATTAATCATTTACATAGTAAATGAGGATACATACTGAAACAATATTACACAGCTTCCCATATGCACTCATAAAGTCAAATGAGGAAGACAGATGGTAAACAGTTCAGAAGAAGGAAAAAAGCAGAAGGAAATAAAAGAGTTTAACGAGGAAGCTCATTTAGACATGATGGGCAAAAATCTCTCAAAGAACTGGTGTTATGGCTCTTCTAAAAGATTAGATGCCATGAATCAGGGAACAGTAGGAATGAAGGCTTTGAGTTAGAAAAGAGGAAATTTTATTGTAAGGGACTGTCTAAATCCAATATGACTGTGGTGTAGTGAAAGAGGGGAACAGTTGAATGAGAAGAGGTGTGAGAGGTAGGCAGGAATTAATTATAACAGGCTTTTCAGCCATTGAACGGGTTTTGCATTTAATCTTCATGCAGTAGCAAGGGTTTTATATTGGCTGCATGGATAATAGATTAGATAAGCGAAAAGTAGAAGGCAGAAAACAAATTTGGAGTCCATCTCTGTAAAGCAGGGAGGAGATGATGATTGTTTGAATGAAGGAATAGCATTGAGGATGCAGAAGAGCAGGTGAATTCAAAGCATGTTCTGAGGACTGAACATTCAGGACTTGCTGATAGATTAGATGTATGGTATAAGGAAAAGGGAAGCATCAGGATAGACTCCAAAACTTTTTGCCTGAGCAACTGGTAGATGGTAAAGGCATCTATATCTATTGGGATGAGGAAAATTGGGGAAGAAGTGTGCTTGAGAGAGTAAATCAAGAGTATCCTTTCAACCAGATTGGGCTAGTGCCTTGGTGATGTAATGTAATGTTCAAAAGGGAAATTCAAGTTTCTATCTTTTGTAATTGGATGAGTGGTGGCATGATTTACTGAGATGGGAAATAAGAAAGAAACAGATTCGTTCTTACTCTAAATTGGTGGAATTATCAGATCTCTATTTCCAAGGCATATTCAAGAGGCATTTAAGATGAGAGGCTGAATATGAATTTGGGACTGCAAGTTTGGCATGCAAAGGAGAGATCTGGGATCTGGATATATTCATTTTAGAGTTAAAATACTGTTATTTAAAGCAAGGGGTATGGAACCTGGGGAAAGAAATGTAGAGACAGAAGAAAACCTGGTAGCAAGATAGTAGCAAACTCCGTGTTTCCAAAGAAAAATTTTTAAAGTTCCATTCTAGTATTCATGTCTCATAGAAAAAAAAATCTTAAAATAAACTATAATGGTTTTAAATAAACTCCAGCTTGCTGGTATAGCTTAATGATGTATGAAAGTATGCATTCTCCAAATCACATACAGATGCCCCTCGGCCTAGATTGGGGTTACATCCTGATTAACTCATCATAAATTGAAAATATTGTAACAGAAAAACGCATTTAATTCACCTACCAAACATCATAGCTTAGACCAGCCTACCTTAAACATGCTGAGAACATTTACATTAGTCTATAGCTGGACAAAAACATTTTAGCAGAAAGCCTATTTTATAACAAGGGGTTGAATGTCTCACATAATTTATTGAATACTGTACTGAAAGTGAAAAATAGAAGTGTAGTTTTTACTGAATGCACACTGTTTTCAAACCATTCCTAAAGTCAAAAAATCAAAAGTCAAACCACTATGAAAAGTGGGAGACTGTCTATATACAGTTTGAAAACTTTTGGCTACTTTTCAGAGTCTAGGTCACTCAGTTGCCTGATACTTTGTAACACTATTTCTCTGTTTCTTACTGTATTCAAATTATTGTTTTTGAAAAATGATTTTATTCACTACAAAACCTCTGCTAGCTGTGGTTAATTACTACTCTACCTTTTTGTGTACCTGTCTCTTCTGCAGGGTATGGAAAATTAAAAACTATACTTCTCAATTTCCCTTGTAACCATGATAGGCAATGCAAATTCAGTTCTTTCAATTAGATGCACCAAAAGACTGAAAACAACTTACCATTATTGGCTATTTTCTGTTGTCAAGTCATGGAGATGCCAGAGTTAGCCTTGTGGAAGTTGAGAGACCTTGATGACGGTCACAAGTCCTGGCATACCAGAGTCTAGTCTGTACTCTCTTGGATGTTAATTGCATTTTAGCTGTGACCAGACTCTGTTTCCAGGGTATAAGCTTCTCTTGGGGAGGGAGCCTGATTCTGGCTTCCTGATCCCTGCATCACAGCCAAGTTAATATATTCTCGCATTCAATAGTTGCAGTTTCAACTCCTGATTCTCCATCTTCCTGCCTGTGTTAGAAAGTAGTAGTTCACCTGGCAAATGAGTGCCACAGTGTTCTGTCAATCATTCTAGAAAGGCCATCATAGAGCCCATTGTTCCAGTATTTGCTGCAGTTTTGCAAGAACTTTTATAAAAACCGATAGTTTCCTAAATCCTTGTCTGCACAAAAATACTGAGAGATATTTTTACTTCCTTTATTAAAACAAGACCCATAGCCTGATTTAACTCTGGGGATAAGCAGAGTATCAGCTGGAATTAAACACTATAAAATTGTCGATAGAGAGGATCCTTCGAATCATGAATTTTTCATTATTTAATTTAGTATAATACATCGATTTATTATGGGTTTACATTGAGAAATACAGACAAACTTAGTAACCAGTACCCAATTTCAAAATTTATGAGATAATTCCTGGGTAAAAAATAAGTGACTGGCAGTTATGATTAACAGTTCACACTCTTATGCTTAATGTCCCTATCCATTACACACAAATTGAAGTAATTTATTTCTAAAAGCACTTTATTAATAGAAAAAGGAAAAGAAGATTCATTTATGTAACTGCACTCATAATAAAATTGTCAGAATCATTCTATTAGAAGAAACAATATACCTTCTTAAAGACACAAATATATCCCTTTTTATGGCTAAAGTATTTGATGTAATTTGATTTATGGCGTAACAATTGAACAACTAGAAATGCAAAATGTACTCTTTTCAGATCTTGTGATAAATATTCAGAGTTCTGAGCTCATATCTATTATATTTTATTGCTCTATATCAAAAAAATAATGAAAGAACAGGAATTTGTCTCCCTCAAAAGTTAAGTTTAGTATTCTCTAGTATTAGTCCATTCTCACACTGTTAATAAAAACATACTTGAGACTGGGTAATTTATAGAGGAAAGAGGTTTAATTGACTGAGAGTTCAACATGGCTGAGGAGGCCTCAGGAAACTTAGAATCATGGTGGAAGGGGAAGAAAACATGGCCTGCTTCACATGGCGGCAGCGAGGAGAAATGCCAAGCAAAAGGGGGAAAAGCCCGTTATAAAGTCATCATATCTCATGAGAACTCACTCTCTATTATGAGAATAGCAGCATGGGAGAAACTGCCCCCATGATTCAATTACCTCCCACCAGGTCCTTCCCACAACACAACACGTGGGAATTGTGGGAACTATCATTCAAGATGAGATTTGGGTGGGGACACAGCCAAACCATATCATCACTTGTGTGATACTTAAATATGGAAGATATTTTTCAGGCCAGAAGAACAGGTCAAGCACAGTGGCTGGCATACACCAGGTGATCAATAATTATATGTCCAGTGAATAAATGAGTGACTTAAGAGATTCTAAACAACAACCACAAAAATAGGTGATTTGGAAAATCACCATGGATGAGGTTGGCCACACAAGCTTAAACAAAACAGTTATTAAACAGCCATTATGAAGAAAAGAATCAAACATTACTCTGAAATCAGTTGAGCTGGCTTTGGTTCCTAAATATGTGTTTTATTTAATATATTTCATGTTCAAATAATAAAAAAAACTCCAACCTTGATATTTTCTCATCTGTAAAATAGGGATAACAAAGCTTCCCTTGCATAGTGGCGATAAGGGTTACATGATGGGTGCTCAAGAAATCGTGGTTATAGGTATTGCACAAGTATTTTAATTTTTATAGAAAAAAGTGTTTAAACCAAGAAAATTTAAATATCATCCCTTGCTTTTTAAGAAAGAGTAAAGCAAAGTGTTTCTAGAAGCCCTGCCGAGCACTTTAGGTGCCTCGTGACTTGTCATGATAATTCCTCCGCTTCTATGAACATCCTTCACTCTCACTACACCTTTTGAGAAAAGATTAAATTCAGTATTGATATGAATCCTGTCTACAGTTTAATTCTCCGATATGTGGGTTCTTCCTCCAACTGATGGAAAAAGAAGTATTAATACAAGTGAAACCATGTCAGCTTTAAATTCAATTTTACAGAATTTTTTTTTCACATTTGAAAACTGCGCTAATAAAGGTTAAATTACAAGTGTATGTCTTTATATGTACATAAATATTAATGCCAAATGTGTTCCTACACATGTGTTATATTGCATGCTTTTCATGTAAGCTGCTGAACCCTCATACCGAACACGGGTGCCTCCATGTCCCTCAAGGACAATGAGAAAGAACCAAGTGTGCCAAGTCTGTGGTTACATGCAGAGCTGGAAAAGAGGAGGTGACAGAGTAGTTTGGCTAATTATCAACATAATTTTGAAACCAACTCTCTAGAAGAGAGAGCTTAAAGCTATAGAAATACCTCTGAAATGCTATGCAAAAGTTAAAGACTCATCTTAATTTATTAATCCTATAAATTCACACAAAAATTCTACCAGCTTCTGAAAGAAAGTGTCTATTTGCCATCACATCATCCAATAAATAGCATGGTAATAATAAAAGAAGCAAACATAGTTTAATGTTTGGAGTTCAATTCAAACGATCTCATTAAAGTAGAAATGTCTAGTGCATGAGAAGCACAGTAGACGAGTAAAAAGTTAATTAACTCGTATTTATTTTCAAAATGCATTTATTAAAAATGAATTACACAGGTAAGTTATGTTTGCCAATTCTTACAGCTACACACTTCCAAGGACATCAGGGTTTTCCTGAATCTAAACTTTTAAAATATCACTACCCCTTTAAAGCTACCTTGAAGAAATTTTGCTTATGGCATAAGCACTTGTAACACAGGACACAGTAACAAATGAAAGAAGAAATAAAATTCATCCTGCACCCATGGTGCCAAGTTGGCTTTTTAAGGAACAATTAAAAGGAATACGTAACTATTTTTACACATTTTCTTGATACATAATAAATTTGGGAAACAGGGAAATCAGCAACTGAATTGATAATTTCTTTGCACTATGGTGCCTTAGTTGTCTATATAGAGCTTTATTACTCTATAAATATATAATAAAATTTGGAATGATAGGCCCATTTGGCAGTGTAGTGAATAATTAGTAAACTCAAGAGTACAAATTGAATCACATTTTGGCAAAGAATTGAAGAAAACACAAACAATGCAACAAAATTCATTGCTGAGGATGTTCAAAAGCTAATTCACATCAACAAATATACTTCACCCAAAGTGACATATTAAAACACATAGAGGAAAGGAATACTGGTGCTCAGGATAAACTCAACCTAAGCAAGAAAAAAAAACTAATGCAAATCATTATTTTCAAAGAGCAAAATTCATGACATCTAAAGTTTAATGCCCATTTGTGGGCTCAGCCAGCCCCAATGAAATGTCAATTACCAGAAGACTAACAATCCTTATGTGTAATAGTAAGCCCTAGCCAACCAATAGAAAGTTGAAAATACTATAGTACAACGTGGGAACTGTATGACCTGACACAAGATTATACACTGACACAGGGGGTTATAAGCAAGAACATGCTGAATGAATCTTCAGTGAAATGGCCCATACATTGTATCACTTTGATTATCAGATAAGACCTAACACCATAGGAAAAATGACTTATCTCTTGACTTCAGGGAAATACAATAGGATATTAATTAATATACTAGTTTTTTTTGTTAAAAGTCTTAGATTTATTCATTATTTTAAAACTAGGTACCTCTTCTTGTTCTTTTATTGAGACAGCAAAGGAAGATCTGCCTGGCTCAGGTATACAACGTGAGTAGCCAAGGAATGAAGATGCATAGGATGACATCAGAGAACAGGGCGTGGTTTTGCTTTTAATATTTTGCAGTCCCCTTCCAGTTGCCTTTCTACTTATATTCAAGTAGAAGAATTGGTAAAACGAGAGAGAGAGAGAGAGAGTATTTTTTTCCTCTTAGGACTAAATTATAGAAACACCATAAGCATTTTAAATCAAAGATCAGCTGTTTTAGGAATTCATTGTAATATCAATCCTATCTTATGTATTAACATTAGCAATCTAAGGTTTTCCCTAGCATGGGGAAATAGAAAACAATCCACCAGTTAGAAAAAAAAATCTTATTCTAAGCTTAACATTTTTATGATTAAAACATAAAATTATTGAGAGTGACATTTCTGCAATACTAATGGATGTGAGAATCATAAATTACAATAGAATGACTTTCTAAAAAACAATATTGAATACATTTTCTTCTTTTACTCTGATGTAACATCACATAGATCCTAACTCTGTATGTAGGTTTTACAGCTGTATTGGGCTGTTATAAGCCATGGCCCTTGAAAATCCTGATCTTTATTCTTTTTCTCTGTAAGATAAAGAATGAATTTTAGCACACAAGAGATCATCTGGAAATAAACAGAAGATTTTCATATTAACAATTTTCCTCTTTTCTGTTACATTCAGTATCTAATATAAGGTTTTCACTTTCTCTTTTGTCTGTAAAGAAACTAGATGATGTTTATCTGCTTGAAAACTATCATAACATAATGTACAGTATTATAATAATCTACTACGATAGTACCTTCTGTGTTTCTATGATTTTATTTATATGTATTCACTTTCCCAAAAGGATATATCATTAACTCTGCCCCAACATTTATTAGGAAAAATCATCTATGTTTTCTTGATCAGATTTAAAACTTCATCAATACTTCTACATGCTTTATGCTATTATATACCAAAGTAGAATTACCAAACTACGAAGAATATATACTTATAAATTAACATTACATATCATTAACATTAATATAGAGATTCATGTTATAAACATTTCATATATATATATATATATAGTGAGAAAGCACTTACTTCCTCTCAAAATAACCCAGTTAATCTTTGAAACTCTTTTGATATGATGTGTTGTGTTATTATACACAGTATATGTAGGGATTAGGTTAAGAAAATAAATCTACTAGAAAAACAAATTGAAGAATTGCTCCCTTCCAGTTTTCCTTCCAGTTTAGCCATTACTGAGCCAAAGGTGAAAAGACTGAAAAAATTAAACTGCCTTTCTCTAATTCTACATCCCACCCAACTAGTAGGAGATTTAATTTTTATATACTTGTAAAAATGTGATTCATGTACGAAAATCTAGATTGTCTATGCTTTTCTTTGTTTAGTTCTAAAGAATTTACATTGTGGCCTATTTATTAAGAGCTCTGAGGTGCCTCATGGTGAGTTCAAGTGCAAAAGAGGGTCTCTATTTGCATTTGAATTACCGCTATCCTCAAATAACCAATCAAGTAATGTCTCATTTTGAAGGGCAAGTGGGTGGGAAGAAAGAGTAGTAAGTATAAAGTTTATATTTCACATGATGTGCCAGATCTTCCCCTACATATAATTTTTCAAATTGGGAAAGAATGGAGGAGTCAAGTGATTATTATACTCCTGGCATTTTGATGAAGACAAGGACATAGCCATGCCAATCATCTTTCCTATTTCATTTCCTGAAAGGGAAAGATCAGTTAGTATGATTATCTTATTTGGTGTACAGTAATTTTACAGAAAGTATTGATTCTTTTCATTTATTTAAATGTGTACCACATATTATCCCATAAGATTCCACAGTATTATATCCCATAAAACTATATAATTTCTCATTTAATAAAAATAAACAATAAGAAAATAAGATACTATATTTTGTCATCTAATCCTTTAATATTTCAAATGTTAACATTAACACTGAATCATAATCAGTGTGCTAAAATTAAAGGCAAAAATAGGTATTTTTGTTTTGCTCTATGTCAGAATAATTGTTGAAATGTTAAGCCTTTTTAAATTTAATGATTGAAAGAAATAAAATGAAGACCACACTTAATGGAAATCAAAAGAATTTGTAGAATTAGACAATTTTCATGATATAAATACTGCATACATTTTAGCATGTATTAAAATTATATTAATATGCAATATATAGTCAACATGCAGTAAAAGGTTTCTACTGATACTAATAAACATATCAGCATTTAGTTAACAGAATAACTGTATTCATCTTAGTTATATTGAAAGTGATAATTAATTGAGTTCAATCACTGAATTCTTAAAAAAAAGATTATATAGGTGGTATAATTCAAAGGTAGATTTTCTGTAACTTAACTAAATTGACCCAAATATGGTTATATTTGCATTATTGTA
Organism: Homo sapiens; assembly: GCF_000001405.40. Taxonomy (NCBI): domain Eukaryota; kingdom Metazoa; phylum Chordata; class Mammalia; order Primates; family Hominidae; genus Homo; species Homo sapiens. The sequence goes on from NC_000001.11 coordinate 198,994,828, forward strand.
ATAGCTAATCAATGAGCAGTTAATAATTGCCATTTGGTCACCATATGGCCAAACTAATTTAGTTATTCCAAGTGACCAAAATAACATAAAGAGCTATTTGTTATTCTATTAAAACCTTAAATACAAATTGGAGTAACCATGTAACCAATATTCAAACTTGCAATAAAATATATTTCTTATAAAAAAATATTAAATCTAAATCATATAAATGTTCTGCTCATACCATCTGAGAGCATAATATGGCTACATTCCACACTTGAGTGCCAAATTTGTTGTCTGGCTGCTCTGGGATTAAGGTACATCCAAATAAAAGCATATGCTTGAAATATACAGAAGCCTACAAATACTCAAAATGCACTTTTCTGTAGCTTTGAAAATGAACATGGACTATCTATCAAGAGAACTACAAGGCAGCAGAAGAACTTGAGCATCTATATCTAGCTACCAAGTGAAGAGCTGTTTGTGTGTGTGTGTGTGTGTGTGTGTGTGTGTGTGTGTGTGTGTTTTCCGTGCTCTTCTTTTTAATCATGGTCATGTAAATCAGCATTGAAAGCCATGTGGGTGATTAAGCTGAGAATCACACCCAAAACTTTCACAATCAGTGCACATATATGGTATTTTGGCTTCTTATATTTCTGACCATCTGTCAAAATGGCAAAAAGCCCAATTCAAAGTTGCCAGATCCTAGCAAGTAGTTTTCAGATGGTTATGGGTTTCAAGGGATATTCTAAATAATAAATAACACTTGTCATTTAAGGATTTCTGGCATTCTAATAAAAAAGAAATCGTATTATACTTCTTTTATGCCAAAGCAAATAGTATATAGATAAACATCATACTTCCTAGCAAGTGAAGTAAGTAAATGGGAACATCTTGAAACAACAACTAAAAATATTACTTCTAGGTTGTTTGAATCATTGTCTTCTTTAAATAGAGATTTGAGTTTAAGTGTTTTCCCATTCAGTAATGGATCTATATGAATTGGTCTGATTTGTACTTATATTAACTGGCCTCAACTGGACCTAGGGGTAGGATTTGTGAAGGCAGGGCCACTGAACAGTGATAGAGTCCCTGTGTGAAATAGAAAGTCCGGTGACCTGAAAACCAAGGAAATCCTTGTACTTTATTTCTCTTTGCCTTTTATTTTTGGTGCCTTTCAACACCTTACTTAACAGCTCCAACTCTCATTTTATTCATGTTTAAAATTAAGCAACTGAAATAAATAATTGCTCGTCTTTTTTTTTTTTTTTTTTTTTGAGACGGAGTCTCGCTCTGTCGCCCAGGCCAGACTGCGGACTGCAGTGGCGCAATCTCGGCTCACTGCAAGCTCCGCCTCCTGGGTTCACGCCATTCTCCTGCCTCAGCCTCCCGAGTAGCTGGGACTACAGGCGCCCGCCACCGCGCCCGGCTAATTTTTTGTATTTTTAGTAGAGACGGGGTTTCACCTTGTTAGCCAGGATGGTCTCGATCTCCTGACCTCATGATCCACCCGCCTCGGCCTCCCAAAGTGCTGGGATTACAGGCGTGAGCCACCGCGCCCGGCCTGCTCGTCTTTTTAATAGTATTTTTTAAATTCTAGAATGCATAAAATATTCTCTATTCCTCAATGCCCCAATCACAGATCTTCTCTGTGTATCTTTAAAAATGGGCCCCCCTCTTTCCCAATCAGAATTATTTCCCCATTTGTGTTCCCATAGTACTTTGTACATAAATCTATTAGAATACCTACTACATGATAGTGTAAGTTTATGTATGTTTACGATGTCTCTGGTAAACATTTTGAGAGCTCCTCAAGAGCAGACACGTTTTGGCATTCCTAATATTTAACCCAGTGCCCAGCATACAGTATCTACTGAATAGTCACGTATTACAGTAAACAGAGACACAAGTATGTGCAACACTAAAACAATAGTAACTTTAGAAAAATAAAAACCACATGCACACACATTATATATATATTTGCAAATAAACATATATCTTACATATTATATATTACTTATATATGTATGTACATATATATTACATATATAATATGTATGTACACATATAAAATATACGTATATATTACATATATGTATGTACACATATGTAATATATGTATATATTACATATATGTATGTACACATATATGTAATATATGTATATATTATATATATATATGTTTATTTGCAAATTTTGGCACTCCGAAGTGAGCATGACTTGCCCTAATGCACAGGAAAAAAATGTGTTCTATAATCCACTTTTAAATGTATGCATCAATGATAGCTTATAAGATTTATCCCTGCCAACATTTAATTTAATTAGGTGAGAATTCTTACATTATTTTAGAAACTAGAACTAATTATTGCTATCTTTTAGATGCTTTCTTTGCAAAGACGTTTATATCCATCTGTCTTCTTTGTAGACTTTGTCAGAACTTGATGGGTTTCTATTTCAAGACAAGCTTTCGCTACATTCTCATTAGCTGCCATTTACCTCATTCTCTGGACTCTGTCATTTGGTTAGGATCAGTGCATTCACTTCTCATCTTCTGCATGGCATCCAGACCAAAGTGCTCCTAAGCCCTGTCGTCAGACCCAGGTGGCCTCACTCGGCCTTACCTTCTCACACGTAGACATTATAGATTGACTCTTTGTTCAGCTTTTTTAAAAAAGTTTCACTCTAGTACACAGACCTAAAATGACAATAATTCTTAATACTCTGTAACATGGGTAAGGGCAGTAAGTGGTAGGGCTGGAATTGGAACCTAGATCTTGCCTTTTTCACTTCACAGCCTTCCTTCTATTAGTTGTTTTTCCAACTGACCCATTTGATCGTTCTACAGTTTTCTGGAGTATTGACGAGCTCCTATGTGTGGTATTGCCTGAGCTTACTCATTTGATGTCTGGCAACATTAGGTTCCAATGTGAGAAACGGAAATCTGGTGTCTCTAAGGTCCATGCAGAGCATACTTTGAGAATGAGCCTTGTGAGACTGTAGTATCCAAAGCATTCTGTATTTCATGTAGGCAGAGTTTAAGATGTGAGATCAAAGAACAACACTACTTGTTGGATAAAATAATAACATTTGGATGTTTCCAAATGATTTTCTTAAAAAATGTAATTAATAAATGGAACTGGGCTTTCATTTCCTAAATAAATATTTCATAAAGTGATTGCACAAGCCTTTCTTTGCATTTTGCACTACTGAAGGTTGGTCAAACATGTTGAATATGCAGCAATAATGAGATCTGTCATCCAAAATGGTAATTTTGCTTGAAGTCATGTTTTCTTTAGAGTCCTTGTTATTTAAATAAATTCACTTATCCTCATGCTAGGCTTGATGCATTTTATTTTTACTTTACTTTTTAAAAATGGCAACAATTTAAAGAGAATTTTGTAGGATAAATTATGAGGTTCTTATTGTACAGCACATCTTTTTAGTCTCACTAAATCTTTCTGAACATACATAATCCATATCTGTATAGAAATTGCAGAATTTTTTTCAAAAAAGCACAGAAAACATGAATCTAATTTGAAGTTGGCTAAGTATCTGAAATAAAATATGAGAAAAACAAAAGTATGCAGTTAAAACTAGAACCTAAACTTTAGCTGAAAACTTTGGGGTTTTCTGAAAAGGAAATGTCAAAGTTGCAAGTAAGCAAAAAATTATTTAATCTACACAATGTCACTTTAAACAAATAGTTATTTAAAAAAATAAAGATGATGAAGAAGAAAACAAATTAAAAAAGACAATTGAGTATCTTTCCAGAGATTTTATTTATCCTAGAAGAGAAATGCCCCTTATCTTTATACCCATGAAGCTAACTTCATAACATTGCACAAAATTTTTTTAAGAAAAAAAATTAGCCTCATGGACTGTGGTATATAATTTTCCAATGTGTTATTTCTCAAAATAGTAACATCTTAAAATCTATACAATAAACTTCAGATTATTTCCAAACAAGGGCCATGGTCAGAATAAGTTAGTAGAGAAACTTCTTTGATTCTTTTATAAGAAATTATGTTGGGAATATTAAATGCTTGGCATACAAGTATTTAAAGTAGACAAATGCATATCTAAATTGACCTTTAAGTGGATATTAATATTTTTGTTATACAAATATAAAAAGAAACTCACCTAGGGTTTCTTCTTTTAATAAAATTACAGAAAAAGCAATTTATATATAAATGTATTTGAGTGTCTCTAAAGTGGAAAAGAATTGTGTAGCTCAACAATGCATCCATTTTAAGCAAGTCCAAGACATTCCATGAGCTTGTGGAATGATATTTAAGATTTTGCTGAAATGGATTTCTACAAAGCCCTTGTTCACTTTTCCCTGTGTGTGTGTGTGTGTGTGTGTGTGTGTGCGCAATTTTAAAGAGATTTAATCACAGTGAGTCTGATTAATTTACTTTCCTCTCATCAAAATGCTATTTAGCAAGAGTTGGATATTTGATAGCCAGTTATCTATGCTGGACCTTTTTCTTTGTATGGGGAAATGCGCATTTTGCCAAAATTAAATGGAAATCAAATATCAAGAATATGTCAGTAAGTGAGTTCCAAAGCTATAAATAAATTACGGTTGTGGTCTGAAATTCATTCCTACTGCTTATTCTCTATACATTATGCCGGAAGTTTCACTCTAGATACTTATTGAGGGCAGGGCTGGATTAGACTCCAGAAAAAATCAGGGACAGCGGGTGGTCTGATTCAAATGAGCAGCTCCAGGTCATTTTTCATACATTAATTAAAAAAAATCAACTTAAAGAGACTTTGTCATGGCCTAGATATTGCTCTAAATACTTTACACATGTGAACAAGTTTCCTACCAAGTAGATGATGAAGGTCACATTATATAACCCATTTTACAGAGGAGGAAGTGTTAAGTAACTTGCTCACGTCCATCTAGCTGTTAAGTGGCAGAGCTGAGTTTCAAACCCAGGCAGCGAGGTTTTCCCAAAAGAAGTCCTTGAGAAAACTATTAATATCCATTTAAAGGTCCATTTTAGATATGCATTTGTTTAGTTTAAATAATATTTGTATGCTAAGCATTTAATATTCCTAACATGATTTCTTTTTTTAATCTCTTTTATTATTATTATTATTATTATTATTATTATTATTATTATACTTTAAATTTTAGGGTACATGTGCACAATGTGCAAGTTAGTTACATATGTATACATGTGCCATGCTGGTGCGCTGCTTTCTTATAGAAGAATCAAAGAAGTTTTTCTACTCAATTATTCTGACCATGGCCCTTGTTTGGAAATAATCTGAAGCTTATTGTAGAGATTTTAGGATGTTACTCTTTTGGGAAATAACACATTGAAAAACTATATACGACACACAGTAAATTAGGCTTATGTCTTTTTTTCTTAATAAATTGTTGTGCAATGTCATGAAGTTAGCTGCATGGGCACTTCTTTTGGGGAAGCCCCACTGCCTGGGTTTGAAACTCAGCTTTGCCACTTAACATCTATATGGCCATGAGCAAGTTACACTAATCTAATTCTTAGATTAGGTTAATGATGCCCAAATTTGCTTCTTTAGTGAAGGGATTACAATAGGAGCCTCATAGAGTCTACTCAGCAGCATGGAGGTGTTCATTTGACCTGAGGCATGCTGAAAAGTGGTTAGTAATTCCAAAGAAAACAAGTAGCAAGGATTTAATAAATTCAGGACTCACGAGCCTTTTCTGGAGCTGCCTTTTCCTTGCATCGACACCTTCTCATGTGGGTGCGTATAATCAGCACAATCTTTTACATTACTTCCCACAATTTCAAATGTGTAGCAGACATTCCAATGTACCCAAAATTGTGCCCATTTTAGGAATCTAGACAATTCTAGGCCTAGAATATGGAATCTGCATGACTTGAGACCATGCACAACTACTTACTACCTGGTGCTTTTGGCCAAGTCATTCAACTTTGATAAACTATAATTTACCATCTGCAAAATGGGGATAATGGGAGCAACTACATCATCACCTTTTTTTGTGGATCAAAGGAGAGACCATAGGTAAAGAACCTCAAAATGATAAGCATGCAATACTATTTACATGAGGACATTTCCATGAAGTAAAAATGTTTGCATGGAGCCACCAGGTGAGAAAGAAACATGGAGAAAATAGCTTGTGGTCTATTTTCTCTGAGCTGCAGAATGAACTCATGTCTAGATCCTAAAGGAAAACACCAGTTCCAGGAGGCAGTCTGTGAAAACACAGGGCTCACTCAGTTTTATGTAGGGCAATACGTAGCATGACTTGGAGGACAGAAGAATTTCCTCATTGCTTTAAAACAGGGAGGGCAATAAGAAGCCCAGAAACTTTTGGGAATCTCAAGGCTGGGCAGAGGGTAATCATGCCCTTGGTGCGGACATTGGCTTTTCTTACCGAGACAGAGGCTGTTGTTGATCATAGGAAGATTGCACCTTCCAGGGACTTTAAGTACCAAAAGGGAAATGTGGAGGAAGAAAGGAAGGAATGAAAATACATTAGTGTGAAGTACACAGAAGACTCTCCTCTGGGTTTTCTAGAAATAGTAAGTTGAAACCTTGAGGGAAGCAAGCTGAAATCCTTTTTGTAAATGCACATACATGTGTACACATGCGATAGTGACCCTATTAATACCTACTTTGAGGCTTGTAAAAGAAACTTGGGTTATATTGGGTATTAATTTTGTCATTCTAACTACATTATAATGTCTTCAAATGGAAACCTATTTTATGAGAAGCCTCTAGTACATAGCCCAACATGTAGATAATCGATCATTATTTTCCCCCTCAGTGTTTTGCATAATTAGTGATCCTAGAACCACCTCTGGACTTAGGTGAATCTCCCAGTGATATGTTATCATCTTTGACTTTCTTAAGCTTGATTTTTTATTGTGTATTTTGTACACCTCTGATCAATTGTTGAGGAATAAATGTTTCAGGTTCTTCCTCAACCTCTCACCCTCAGCTTTCTAACCTGTTTCTTTATCATTTTGGTAGAGTTTCTTTTTGCTTTTATACAATCAAATAATTTTTTTCTGTATTATATAATATGTGGTCTAACATAAGTGTCTCTAATGTTGTATAAAAAAATTCTTGAACACAGAAATTTCCAAAACAAACAAATGACTATGTAAGGTTTGTATGGATAAATTCTATTTCATTTTTTATTAGGCTGAAATAATTAAAATAAAAATTTTGAACTGAATGTATATAAAATGCTTACATAAGTAATATTTTTGGTTTTTTTTCTATGTGAAAAATTATGATAGAACTTTTCAAATGCCTTGGCAAACATTCACTGGGGTGGAGGGGGAATATGACACAATTAGAAATAATTGTCTTCCAAAACTTTTTCTCTAAACACTGGGAAAAATTATAATATTATGAATTTTAGGTATAATGAAATCCATAAGAATAAAATTTTAAAAGAGAAGAACAAAGAAAAAGAGGAGGAGGAAAAGGCAGAGAAGGAATTAGAGGATTTCATATACAAAAGCTGTTTAAGATATATATATTACAAATTTCTGTAATGTTATGAGAATTGTTTTATAGGATCACATATTGTCAAGAGAATTCAAAACCTGCTTTTTCTTTGTTTGATTGTATATTTAAAAACTCAATATTTTTGCTGGGATTTTTCAGACCATAAAAAAATGCAAAAATTCTTTCCCTACTGGAATGCCTCTGCTTAACCCATTTTTCTACATCCTTTCTTCTTGCATTTATAACTGGATCACACCAAACCAGAATATGCCCCACAATACATCCAAGAAATACAGTGATAACATAGGTTCACCCATATCTTTGTTACTTCGTTGGCCTTAGTTTTCGGTTGTGCCTGCTCCCCCTCCCCTTTGTTGGCAAATAGATCAATTTGAGGTGTCTGCTTTATTTCTCACAAGCATATGTAAGCATTTATTTATGGGTTTTCTCTTAATGCATTCCATATTAGAAAAGGCCAAGAGTACAACATTTCTTTAAAAATTCAAATTTCTTGAGAAACAAGGAGGAGGTGAGGGGGAGGGAGTGTTAACTTGGCAGACTGTGTTTAAAATATTTTGCAAGAGGAGCCCCCTGAGGAGCTGTCCATTAAACTCCCACCATTTTGCTGTGAGTAGTGAATGTTTTTCCTGGCTCTGAATTTATGTGATTCTTAAATGTTCTCACAGGTTGAAACAAAAAAGAAATAACTGAATGTATACTTGACTATTCCTGACTAAATTATCTCTATTTATTACAAAGAGAATTTGTTTCTTGCTTGAACTTCATACTTCCTTTTATTTTTCTTAGAGAAAGCATAATATGTGGATAAGTTTTAACACTAGTCCTCTAAGAGTATCAGAAGGAACATTACATTTATGCCACGATTTTTTTCTCTTGTCTGCATTTGCCTGATTTTGGAGTGCTATTCACAGTCGCAGGAAAGCAGTTACGTCTTTGAAAAGCACAAAATAAATTCTGTTCACTGAGTGGGTAATTGTTCAAGGTCATCCATTTATTGTCTTTGTCTTGATTGTTTGAATTAGTAGCTAATAATGGTGCTGAAATGTGAATGAATTATTAGCAATGGGGCATATTTTGGGGAGTGTCAGGAAATATTACAGGGCAATTAAGGTTATCCAATAGCAAAGCTGTGTTCCCAGCAGATGTCTTGTAATTACTGTGTTTAAGGAGTGTAAGGCTTAAACTAAGATTACAGCTTTTATATTGTCTGCCTTTAGAAGTCATATTTGGAATTTATTCAGTTTATTCTCCTGCCCTTTCCCTTTTGTTCTGATTCTGTCACTTACGTTTTCATTTAAACATAGTCTTTTTATGAATTAAAATAAGTATCAGCAGATGGTATGCAGTATAGATGCTTATAAAATAGGAAAATGATTGCAGAGACATTTAAAATGACTATTGATAAATAATTTATATTGATATTATTTGTTACTCACTTTTTAATTTCTGGAATTCAAATATTTTTAAATCTCAAATAGTTTCACAACCTGGCATTTATGAAAGTGTTGCCCCAATTTATTCATACTTACCAGGGTGGTAAAAATCATTCAAGAAATGTTGAGTTACATATAATCTGGAAGCTTCTAAGTTTTAAGGGCAACACTCATTGCACACTTAATTTCTTCTTTCAACATTGACCTGTCACAATTGTTGTTGTTTCATTAAGTTTATAAAACATATTAAAATACGTGGAGTAAAAATTGTTATGTCTCTAATAATAAGTATTTTTGATTTGCAGATAGAGCTTTAGGAAACAGCACTGCATGCATTATTCACATCTGCTGTGAGTATACTTGACACAGCTGCAGTGGAGAGATGCTTGAAAAACATACTGTAAAATACACTCGGTTTCCTCTTATTGACATATTTAGCAGAACAAGGCTAATTGGACTATTCCAAAAAAGTACTCATGATCAAATCTGAAAGTTGATGTATTCGATCAACTCATAAATTATTAGAGGAGAAAGAGAATGGGTGGAAGGGGGGGATACCTAGCAAAGTGTCCTTATTTGTAGATTGCTATCTCTCGTGAACTATATAGAAATTTTAAAAGAACTAAAAAAGAAAATAAATAAAGAATGAGCATTAAGGTAAAAAAAAGTCAAGCGTTAAAATCTATAGGTCTCTAGCTTACAATTATTAAGACTTTCTCAGTTTTGTATTCTCCATAGAACTGAATAGATTATCTTGCTAATAAAAATGCCACTATTAATAACACCTATGAGACCTTGGATTTTCATATTGTATTTAATTTCAACATATTTGGGAGATACTAGTTAGGGCTTTGCTAATAATTTTTGAATAAATAATTTCAAACATAAGTTTTCTATAACTTTTGGAATAATTTTATGAGTCATTGGAAGCCTTAAAACAATTGGTTGCCGAGTCTTGAATTTCTCCTTATAAATGGCAAATCATGAAAACATTTTATAGTTAGAACATTTTGGTCACTATCTTTGATAGACTCATTATGAATATTAACAGTAAATAGGCATACATATTTATGCAATTTTAAAATATTTTGTTTAAAATTCAACAAGCAATTCTTGCATACTTACTCTTTGTATGCATTGTGATAAACATTCACAGAAGTATGCCTCTGAGTAAGACACAGATTCTCCTCTCAAGGAAAAAGGGAATTTTGTTTTGTGGACCAGATAGGTGTAAGGTACATACTGTGACCCAAAACAAAATGTTGCTAGTGTTATAATAAAAACACAGTGCACAGTGGCAACACAAGAGGAAAAATGGTATGTCAATGCAGGTGATTGGAGAAGTTTTCCTGGGCCTTTAGCATTTTGTGTATGAAAAAAATAGGAAATAAGTTAGGTCAAAGAGGGAAGAGCAAATGATAGGAACTCTGGGCCAAGAAATGGACTTTGGGGACTTGGGGGAAAGGGTGGGAGGGGGTTGAGGGATAAAAGACTACACATTGGAGGCTGGGTGCAGTGGCTCACGCCTGTAATCCTAGTACTTTGGGAGGCTGAGGCAGGTGGATCATGAGGTCAGGAGTTCGAGACCAGCCTGGCCAAAATGGTGAAACCCTGTCTCTACTAAAAAATACAAAAATTAGCCGGGTGCGGTGGCGGACACCTGTAATCCCAGCTACTCTACTCGGGAGGCTGAGGCAGGAGAATCGCTTGAAGCCGGGAGGCGGAGGTTGCAGTGAGCCAAGATCACACCACTGCACTCTAGCCTGGGCGACAGAGCAAGACTCCATCTCAAAAGACAAACAAACAAACAAAAAAAGACTACACATTGGGTAGAGTGTACCCTGCTTGGGTGACGGGTATACCAAAGTCTCAGAAATCACCACTAAATAACTTATCCATTTAACCACACACCACCTGTTCCCCAAAAACCTATTGAAATTAAAAAAAGAGAAACGGATGGAAGTGTAAAGGGGTTGTCTTATTTAGAGATGAGAAAATAATCTTTAATTGCCAGGGTGTAGATTTATAGCACCGATTAATAATGAAATAAACTCTAGTTAGGTTGGAGTTAGACTAGACAGGGCCTTAAATGTCACACAGAGGAGTTTAACGTGATCAATCAGTAGTTGTTTTGGGCTTTTGAACAAGAAAGTGAATGACCAGATCTGTTATTAGGAGATAATTTTGGAAGCTCTGTGAAAGATGGAATTAACGGGAAAGATTGGTGATAGAAAAATCAGCAGGAACCTTATTGCAATAGCTCAGTTTAGTGACAAAAGAGTCCTAGAAACCAGTAATTGTGTACTTTACCATTTTTTTATTTGCTCATTTTATCTTCTCTCTCCTCCTCCACCCCTTTGCTGTCAATAACCCAAGAACAACAAGAAAAAAATCTCAAAAACTAATATGTGTTAGTTTTTAAAAATTCAATAACTCAAAATAATAATAAAAACTCTGGCCCCCAGGGACAAAAGAGGGAGAGGGGACACTGAACTGTAATTTAAACACAAATTTTGATACAATTTTATTGAAAGGAGGGAGATAATAGAAATAAAAATTTTTACCAAAATAAAATAGAAAAATATTCCTTTCTCTTTCTTCAGTCTTCATATTACAAAATAATATGTATCACTGATACCAATGACTTATTTTTATGCACCATTAAAATTAGCACTTCTTCACCATGATACCAAATTCTCTCCACTCCTCTCTCCCTCCTCTCAATAAAATTGTATCAGAATTTTGTATTTAAATTACCACTTCAGTCTTCACCCCTCAACTTTTTAAAAGTTGTGTTATATTGTTTACTTCTGAACCAAGTCATTTACTAAGATTTGCACCCTTACCCAAATAACTCTTTGTTTGTACTGGAGTTAATACTCGTCTCTTCTTTTTCATAAATTGCTACATTCCAAACAATAAAATACCTATGGAAATTGTTTTGTTTATGTTTGCTTATGGTCAGTCTCACCAGGTAATGTGTCATGAATTCATTGGTTCCTTTTTTGTTTCCTGGAGACATTCATTCCTTAGTCTTCATGCTCTCAATAGCCTTGGGGTTTCTAGACTTGAAGAATGGCTGATGTCTTAGGATTTCCCTTCAACATTATTCCAGGAATTCTTTTCAACCTCTCCTGTGTTGTAATCATTTTTCATTAATCCTATGTCTTGTTTATTTATTCCATTATTTTGGTGATGTATATCTTCCTACAGAAGGGTGTATCACAAATACATATTTTTAGATCTAACCTATCTGTAAGTTGCTTTACTTAATCTGTGTCTTCTGATTAATTTTTTAAATGGAGCATAGAAGTCTAGGTTGGAATTAATTTTCTTTCAGAAGTCTAAATGTTGTAACTCCCATATGTGATCTTCTTTATCTTTGTAGAAGTTTTTAGCATCAAATATTTGTATGCATTGTACAATTTCAGAATGATATACTTTTGAATATGTTTTTATTCATTTATGATGTTGACTCTTCAGTGTGCATTTTTCTTTATTTATTTAGCAAATATTATTGGATATTGTCAATACGCTAGATACTGTTCTAGATGTTAGGGAAAAAAAGTGATCTATATTCTGAAGTCCTTGGAAATTTCATTCAATTATTTCTTGTATTACTTTTAAGATTCAATGGCTGTGGGATGTAAAGAGATCCCCAGAGAGAGTACAGAGTAGGAAGAAGACCTTGAAGACAACAATAAGAGGAAAGGAAAATCATCAATTAGAGGTTGATAGAAAATATCAGGTAAGTAAAATGAGACTCATTCATTTACTCAGACACTCATCCAACCTCACTCTTGGGAGCCTGTGGTTTCTGTTGCACATGGCTCCTGCAGTTCATAGAAGCGAGCCACTTCCCTGTTGCTCTCTCCCTTGGGCAATAGCAGAGTGCCTGTGGTCATGGTGTGCTCACTTGGCCCCTTGGCCCATCTCTAGCTCAACCCTAGGGATAGTGGCTAGTCCATATATCTGTATTCCCGTGTTTCTTAACATTATTTTACTGCTGCTTGCAAATCCCTCATTACTTCAAACCTCTGTTACAGTTAAAAAAAATTCTCATAAACTTCTTTGTTCAAATTACCATGTGTTTTTACTCTCTTGATGGGATCCTAACTGATTCACTGGATAAATATAAATCAAATTATAAACATGTATAAAATTATTATACCCCCCAGATTATATTAATGTTAGTTATCTTTGGATATATTGTCATTATATTGCTTATCTGCATATTCTAAGTCCTTACAATAAAAATATATTTTGTGATAAGAAAACCATCAACATACTTTTCTTAATCCCCAAATAAATTGTTTTTTATCCACCTGTAGACAGTAAAGAATGACCTGCAATTACCTGCAATTACTCAGTATGATTTAATTTGGCTCTTTGTGCCTTGTTCAAATACTGTGTAATGAACTTAGAGATAAATAACCAACAGAAAACTCAGAGTTTTGGTACCGTTTCCAGTACAAATTCATGATCCAAAGTAATTTACTGATGCATTAATGTTCATGGAACATTGCAAGAAATTATTTTCAGAAGTAAGGCAGGTAGACAATAGAAGTGTTAAGGTTTCAGCTTTCCCATTACATGAAATAATCTTCCTTGTCTAAAACTTTATTGGTTCCCACATCTAATGTATACTTACAGAGATCGGAGGGAGGGTTATTTAAACCTTTTTGACATCCGAATTTGAATTTTAGTTGTCATCTTATAAAAATCAGACATTGTATTGATCAGAAGTAATCTAATTGGAAAAGGTCCATCATTTTAAAATTTAACTTCTCTTGATATTTTTCTGTATGTACCGGATCACAGGAATTCTGAAATGAAAATGCTCTTACTTCAATAGAGAACCTTAGGTAAGCTAGGTAGTTACACTAAAGGCCAGTAGAAGGGCTAGGGAACGCACAGTGAAACTGGAGTAGTTCTCTTAAAGTTTGATTTAGACTGTAAAGTGGTTTCTAAAAATTGCAATTTTCTTTTTCTCAGAAAATACATAATTTTCACCTTTAACTTGACTCAAAGTTAACTTGCAGTTATAGCTTTGACATTAGTAAAATCCTGCACTACTATTATTTTAAAGCACTATTGCAAAAACTTAATAAATACCATATTCTATATTTTATTTTGCAATAAAATAGAAAATTTCATCATATGCATTTAATTGTTTCACTATTTCTTAAAATAATAGTTTCACATAATGTTAAAGTATAACTGTAGTATGTTAGCAGTTAATCTTGCCTTTCCTGGTTCAACCTAAAATTTCTGCCCTGGAAAAACAATTTAGCAGGTTTTTATCAGTGTACTAGATGGTTGGCTCAGAATGAAGCAAATGTGTGTACTAGGAATAAAACACAAATTAGAAATGTTACACACAATTAAAATTATAAGACACAGAAAAAGGACTAAATCAACTTTGTTTAACATATCATTGTGTAATATTATGTATGAAATATATAGGCTTGGTATGGAAAATCAGGTAGACAACTCAGGTTTATTTTATGAAGTATTGTCAAACATGAGCTGCTCTTGAGAATATTGAAACTCAGATTGGAAGCATTGCCAGAGAGACCACATACTTGATAGGAACAGTTTTCTTTTCTTCTTTTAAATTTGATTAGTAATTTTGATATTTTCAACTTCATAACATCGGAAACATCATTCAAAATATTCATGAAGATATTAGAATTCCTTCTTCTGGAATAGGAACACATTTATTTTCAGCCTTAAGTAGCTCATTTTTAGTTATTGGTCTGATTTTCCTAAATTTAGCATAATAATATCTTGTCCAATCCGTTGTCATAATAGAAAAGATCATTTTATGTGCGATTTTGGTTAGCTTCTGGTTTGCTTTGTCAAATTTAGAACCACTTGAACATCGTGGTTTCTAAATTTAGTCAAACCCTTTGAGCTTTAAGTTCCGTTTGGCGCTGGCTGAACATGAACTGCTGCTTTGAAAAAAAAATTCTCTTGGCACTATCAGAATCTAGATGTGTGCACTGCACAGACCTCCTCTTATTTAAAAGAAATACATTCACTTTTATTTGAAAGTTGAGAGCTCCAAGAGGATAAATAATAAAATGAGAAACTTGAAAGAAATAGGTCATATTTTAAAAGAGCTCTCAAGCAGAATTAGGCCTTTGGGTTTAGGGCCTAAACCCAAATATTATTTAAAAGAGAGAGAGAGTCCATTTCAGTTATTTTAAAATGTAGTGATTTAATTTATCTCAGGAAGTTAAAGCAAACTCTGTCCATTATGTTGCCATTAGTTTGGTGTTACTAAGAAGGAACTTGTTGAAGTATTTTATTTTTCATTAAAGACAACTTATTTCCACACTGTAAGGGATAATCAGAATATACATCCCTCAAAGTCAGTGGGTTAATTTTATTTTTCACACTTGTACAACAAATTTAACATAGAATGATAATTAAAATTAACATTTATGGCTGGGCACGGTGGCTCACGCCTGTAATCCCAGCAGTTTGGGAGGCCAAGGTGGGTGGATCACCTGAGGTCAGGAGTCTAAGACCAGCCTGGTCAACATGGTAAAACCCCATCTCTACTAAAAATACAAAAATTAGCTGGGTATGATGGCACCCTCCTGTAGTCCCAGCTACTCAAGAGGGTGAGACAGGAGAATCACTTGAACCCAGGAGGCAGATGTTGCAGTGAGCCAAGATTGCCTCATTGCACTCCAGCCTGGGCGACAGAGTGAGAAAAAAAAAAAGAAAAGAAAAGATAAAGAAAGAAAAAGAACATTTACAAGGAGACACGTCAGGCAATGTCTTAAGTTTTTTACATGTATTAATTCATTGACTACAACCACCCTTTAAGATAGGTACTACTATTATTCCCAACTTACAGATGACGAGGCTGAGGCTCCAATGGTGAACTAACTTTCTAAGTGTCACACAGATAATAACACAGGAAGTTGCACAGCAAAAGCCAGGGTCAGAACCAGAGCCATCTGTTAACTCCTACTATGCAGTAACTCAGTAGCCTGGATGAAATCTAAAGGCAACGATGTTCAGGGATCCAAGTTTCCCCACATTCTGTCCACATCAAGCAAGTTAGCCTGTGTTTACGTAGCAAAGATTTTTTTTTCTCAACTTGTGCACTCACTCTTTAGACACATGTACAGAGAGCTTATGTAAAACCTGCCACACATAGTGTTCAAATTGTGACATAACACAAGGTTGTAAGCTCCTAGACGTTTTCTAAAGGAATCTCACTTGTCTCTTAAACTGAACATTCTGTCAACTTGCTTGAAACTTTCTGGGAAAACACACACACACACACACACATACACACACACACACATACACACACACACACACACACACACTTCACATGATTCTTTGTACTTCCAGTCTCAGCATGCTTTTCCTTCCTTGGTGGCTCAAGTCTAGGCTGAGCATTCCTAGATTATGTGTTCATCCTCCTAATATTCTCTATACTATTTCCCTGTATACTTTGATGGCTTCTCCTGCAGGCCTCATGCACAGTTAGTAAGCGCTGGTTGTAACTAAATGAATAAATAAAGGAATTGCTGTAACATAGAGAGCTGCTGTTCCTGAGAGATGACACTTTAAACACAAATAGGAGAGAATATTTTGTAGACAGACTTCTGAAGGCGGATACATTTTTCCTTTTGTCTGAGAATAACCAAAAATCTGGTTAGAGAAAGGCCGAGAGAAGTAATCTTTTCTCTATGCTTACTGCCCCCTTGTAAGATAAATTCAGAGTGGTCCCCTAAAGAATTGGGAGGATTAAACTGAAATGCCACCGAGATCCTATCTGAAAACACTTTAGGATAACATCTCCAACTCTAATGAGCCTCTTTACTGGCAGCAAACAAAACCAAACATTTAGATATATTTACTGTTTTACAGCAGGTCGGACCTTATGGGTAAAATTTCCTAAATCATACTTTCCTTTGTTATTTTAGTTTTAGTTTATCACTCTTAGGTTTCCTTCCTAAGGATGCTAGAGAGCCAAGACACTTGTGAGCCCTATGGAAAGAAATTGTTCAATACCAACCAGCTCTTCCCCATAAAGAGGTAGTCATTTTCCTTTTTTTTTTTTTTTTGTATTTAAGACCTCGCTTATAGCATTTACTGTACCTTCTTATAGTGCAGCCATAATATTGGGTATTCAATAAATGTTTTATTGAATTGGATTGAATATTTTAGCTCTTACCTTAAAACATCTTTCTTACAGTAACAAACTGAGTGAAAAGTGCACAAATGGTCTCCATTTTATGTTGGATTATACATGACATTTCTAGGAAGTGAAAAATGTAGGGAATTGCAGGGGCAATAATTTGTTGAGTGTTGGAGATAGAAATATCAACAAAATGATATACTCCAAGCTCATCAACTATTTAATGGTGCGTAGTTGGGTTCTATTCTGTGTCCTTAAGTTATTGTCACTGCCCTGTCATAAATTATAGTGACATACACTGTAGCTATTTCTTACATTCTTCTGCAGCAGAGTAAGCAGAATTACCAATTTCACATTTTCTGTGCAGTTCCCTGTAGATGGGATGTTTTTTAAAAAGTGGGAGTTTGAATGAGAATAAAGGGTAGAAGGGCTATAACAACCCAAAATAAATAAATTTGTAAAATTCTATCATCATGCATGCATTTTCCCATGTGCTCTGGTGTGTAAATTCTTTTATCCCTAAATAGATAGCTGACAGAGAATATAAATGCTTATGTATCTTTAAAACAGCCACTATTCCAATACAAGAGAAGAATAAAACTAAAATGTTGGTATATGACTGCAGCCAGAAAAATCAAGAAATCTGCCTCTCCGCACTCCAGATTAGCTTGAAATTTTCTGTCTTCCTTTTCCCTTTTTGAATTCTAATTTTCTTTTTTTAAACTGGAGCATACGAATTTTGCAAAAGTACTTATTATTAGCTCTTCTCCACAGGTTTTGTTTGTTTCCAAAAAATTAGGTTTTCTTGGAAATTTGCTTTAGTGAGTAAACCATATTTAGAATATTATCTTGCTCAAACTAGACACTCAAAATGTATTAAATTAATTAATGTGTTTTACTTCATGTAAATGCACCTATTTGATTATACAGCTTTGAATAAGAAGATTTCAAAGAGAGATTGTAAAGAGAGGGATCACGTTTGAAATCCCTTTCAGCTCTAAGCTCCTTCTTTGCCATCCTTTTTTGGTCATCTTGTCTAAAACTTCAAAATTAGTATCTGAATGTAGCATGAAGCTACCCTAATCTCTACACAGCAAAAAGGAAAAAAATATAACTCATAGAATGTGATGAAAACTATTTGAAGTATATTAAATATAAAAAATATTTGGCAGAATATACACAAAACGAAATAGTGTTTACCTGGAGAGGGTGTGATGGGAGAGTCTGGGCAGAATTTAGTTTCTTCCACTAGGTTATAAGTTTTATACAGCAAGGTCATGTCAGTTTTGTTTTCTATTGCGTGTCTAACTGCTAATATGAGGTTCAACCCATGGTACATGTTCAAGAAATACTTATTAAATGATATTCTATTCATTTTTCTTCTGTATAGGTTTTTACAAAGAAAAAATATTCCTTTTCTAGTCAGAAAAATAAACAATAAAGTTTTTTAAACACTTTGCAATACAGCATATTATTGAACCTCTGTAAACATTTGTTGAGTGACTGAACCCAAGCAAAGAGCATGAAGTTAGTTGGGCAGACTGTGAAACATGAGCCACTGTTCTTTAGCAGCATGAAAACCACACCTTTTTCATCAGGTTAAAACTGAACACCTAACACAGGCATGCCCAGGTCACCTGTGTCATGGCTCTTCCCAGTGTTTCCCGTCATTAGGCTGATGTTAAAGAGGCCAGAACTTTCCAGTGGGAGCTTATCTGATATACCTCTACTCCACTTCAAATGTATCTCTAACTCCAGGTATTCACTTTCCTTCTTCTACAGACTTAGAGAAAGAAGTGTCATTTTCTATCTCAAAAGCTCACAACTCCACCTATGCCTGGGATCCAGTCCCCATGGTCCTGCTCCAGGGCCTGATTCCACCAAGCTGCCCTCTTGTTTCTGGCATACAACTCCTTACCATGGCTGTCCCCATCCATTCCACAACTGTGCAGGACTCATGTCTTCTAAGAATAAAAAATCAAACCTGCAGCACCCAAGGAGCTGATCAAGCCACTGCCCCTTTAATAACTTCTCATCGCCTTCCCAAGGTAAATTATTCACTGAAAATCTGGGTGGCATTTGAAATCTGTGGGGAAGCTGGTGAGGTGGAATGGATAGTGATTTTGAAGTAGCCTACTCACCAGCAAGATACCATTCAATAGGTTTGGCTGGACTTCTGCTCCTTGGCTACTGCTGCTGATTCCCACTCCCAGCTCTGACTGTTGCATTAGCCTCATGAAGCTCTTTGTTGTCTCCAATGGGGACACAGTATTTAGCCTCATCATTCCCCTGTTGTCTGTGACCAGCCATAACCTTCTCATGGCTGTTTTCACGACTACATGACAGAGTTTTTTCAAGTTTTACATTACTATAAAATCAGACAAGGTTTTTGCTTCCTGATCACTCACTTTCTCCTTAAATCTTACGCTTCAGTTTCTGCTTCCACCATTTAATAAAACATCTCTCACGAAGAGATGATTAAGAAACTCTTACTTGTGAAACAATGGTTTTCTTCAATTTCATTCTACTTCTGTTCTCTGGATTATACATTACTACAGACTAGAGATCACCAACAGGCACCCTGTGGACCAAATCAAGATAGCAATGTATTTTCCGTAAGGACATTGTTTTTAAAAAATATATTTCTTTTGAAGTCAGTTACTTTATATGAGTCACATGCATTTCACTTTTTCTTTGTCCCATGCCTTCTTATTACTTTAGACTTGGCTTGCTGCAATATTTGCTTGACCACTCTAAAGATTCAACTTTGCATCTCTTAGTTAGATGATTCTCTCCTTTGAGCTACTACTCTACTCGCTTTGTTGTTTTTAACTACCTTTAGGATCACTCTTCCTTTTTCTTCTCTCTCAAGTTCTTCCAACTCTGCTTCCTCATCCCATCTTTGAGATATAGATACTTTATAAAGATTTGCTCATAGTCTTTGTTTTTTCTCTAACCACACTCACTTCCTTGGTAATTTTGCTCAGTCTTATACTCTCAATTGTCACCTTTACCTAGTGACTTCCAAGAATCCACCTGTCTCCTCCTGACTGCCTGTGGGTTCTAGTGTGCATTGTACATCTTCAGCAACAGTTCTGAAAACCATTTAAATTTAGTATATATAAGCCAATACTTTTCTTGTAGCCCTAAAACCTACTCTTTTTCCAACATATCCTTCTGGTTATTACTAACCTCCTAATTGCCTACATTAAAAATGTCAATTATTACTATTATCTCTCTCTGATGTTTCTTTACTGTCAAGTTCTATTTATTTCCACCTATCCTATTTCTTTATCCTGATTTCCACTTCCCTTATATGATGCTCATGAAAAGTCAGTGTTTCTTTAATTTGATGGTGCTTCCAATAGAGTGAAATTTTTTTAATTACACAAAATAATGCACATCCAGTATCCAGTATTTTCCTAGACATACTACTGTTACTCTTTTTTAATATATGGTCTTTTAAAGATGGTATCTTATGTTTACAAGGTTCACCTTTCTTCCCCTTGATGAGTATCATGAGGTCTCATTTTCCACACCTGAGTGTCTCACAGACCTACCTCTCCTTCTTATAGAGACATTTCCCAAAGAACATTTTACATTACATGCGTGTATAAAGGGAAGCCTGTAATTTTGACCTGGTAAGGAATGGGTGAGTTGCTGATCACCCTTCCTTTTTGTAATTCAGTTTAAGAAACAAGCTTCATTTTAAATTCCAATTCTATAGTCATATTTTCTACAATATTCATTATTTCATTCTTTCAACAAGTTAATATATTAACTTTTATTCCTAAACCAATTATTTTTTCCTTATTCATTTTACAACTCATTTCCAGATTAAACTTTCTGAAGCCTAGTTCCATTAAGTTTCCCCTACTATTCAAAAATGTAACAATGGTTTCCTCTTGTATATAAAATATAACGTTCAACTCCAGTGTAGGGCATTCAATTCTTTCCACAACCTGAACCCAAATTTCTTTTCCAACCTGATTGTCCCACGTACATGTGTCACACCCTTCAGCTAAACCAAAACTTTCACCTTCCACCCTGTGGTGGATAGGCTCTGTGGTGGCCCCCCATCATCCCCATCTCCTGACATTTATGGCCTTGAATAGTACTTTCCCCTGAGTATGACCATGACCTGTGACTTGCTTCTAACCAATAGGATACAAGACAGGGGGAATGTGATTACATATTTATGATTATGTAGAGAAGATGGTGTGACCATCTTGTTAAAGTTTATTTTTTCCTGGCTGGATTTAAAGAACTACACTGCCATGTTGTAGGCTGCATGTTGGGTGACCATTGTGACAAGGAACTTAGGGTGGCCCCTAGGAGCTGAGGATGGTCTCCAGTTGAACATCAACAAGACACTGAAATTCTCTGTCCTTTAACTGCAAGGAACTAAATTTTGCCAACGAAAATGAATCTTTCTCCAGTTGAGTTTCAGATGAGACTGTACTTCCAGGCAAATCCTTTTTGCAATCTTGTTCACCCCAAACAGAGGACTCAGCTAAGCTCTTCCCAGATTCCAGATACACAGAAATTTTAAGGTAATAAATGTGTGTTATATTAAACTGCAAATTAGTGATAATTTCTTATTCTGCAATAGAAAACTACTACTCACCTTTTGCTTTTGCATTATGTCTGAAAAGTCTTTCTCTATATGATCATATATTTTAACTCTACCATACATTATAACTCAATGCCAATTACTCCAAGAAGTATCCTCATGTCTTGGGAAGCAATCTATCCCATCTCTCAACTCCAACATCACCTTACTAGATCTGCTTCTATGAACATACTTCTTTTACATTTTTATTATGGGTGCTTATCTTCTCTTTTAGACCATAACCTTCTAAAACGCGGAATTTTATTTGATTCATCTTTAAAAACAAGGGATCCAACACGTTGCTTTGAATATGTTAATAGCTCAATAAATACTTTAACTAAATAACATTTTACAAAATATTTGAGCCTAAATATTTCGGTGCTAGGAAGATTAAAATATATGCTAACTTTCTGTTTTATACAATGACAAGCTTAGTGGGCAATGTATCACACTAGTAAATACTGCAGAGAAATAGACTCATACTTCCAATTATTTATTTTTTCAGAACCTGCTCAAACTCCTTTGCATTGTGAAATATAAGAAGTTTTTTCTAAAGGAATGATATAAATACATAGTATTAGAAAAAATTAGAAATTAATTTTTATGTAAAAAATAATAGTTTTCTAAAGGTTTTACAAGGGCCTTACTATTAAAATGAAAGGAAAGCAGTTTAACTTTATTTCTCCATTGTCTACAATATTTGTCTTCTACTGATAATGAACATTCTATCTGCTACACTCATAACTGTTGTCTGCATTGGGAGAATGATTTTGATTAACTTACATAAGGGCATAAAATAAAAATTTAACCTTTTTTAGTTTTTCAAAAAAGTCTATAAAAATAGTAAGTGAAATGAAAGCAATCTTCTATTAACAGGAAGATAGTCTAGGGCTGAGTTTATGCTTTGTGGAGCATCCATGTTGTATGTGAAAGGTAGCTGTACTTTCATAAGAATTGCTGAATAGTAAAGAGAATTGGAATAATGTTTAATATTACATATGGTAATACCATTAAAATATAAGCAGATTTATACATGTTTTCTCCTAGGAACATGTCTTCATGTACTAGTTTTCTGTCTATATTGAGAAGTCATGATTATTATATCCTTATTCTATACTAATTAGCTCATTTCCTAATAGCAGTAGGTGCCAGTGTATCAAAGATATAAGATTGTTCTGAAAACTGCTTAGATGTAACGGAGACTCAGGACACTTTTCTAAATTTTCATTTATTCAAATATTATTTATCTATAGAACTATGGTTTTTAAAAATAACATTTTTAGATCTGTACTATATAACCCTGGTAGAACCAGTATCACACCAAATGTGTTTGATAAACACCTCTAAATTGCTAAGAGTAAGATGAAAATGATCTTTTGTGATAAGAGATTTAAAAATGGTAGTCTATTTCAAAAATATCAAAAATAAAAGAAGGAATAAAAGCTTCACAATAAATTAATGCTTTACTCTCTAATATGCTTCCTTTAAGTATAAACCATTCCATTTAGCATTCAGAAACTGCTATTGAATCAGTCTACATCCAAAACATATTCACTCACTACAATTTGTGTTGTCATTTTGGAATATGACTTTAAAGCATGAGTCATAAAGCCTGTGAAGTGCTATTGTCAAAAAAGTCATAACATACGTTATTTAAAGGAACACATTAAATTCTGCATTATTGTAAATATACTTTTCATAATGCTGTTTGCTAAAATACTTTAAAAAAATCTACAAATTTACTTTCAATAGCTTTTCATTGAATGGGAGATTTTTAAAGCATATACTCTGATTTTGTGCTTCTCTGCAAGGTAATAATTTCAACATTATCATTATCATGAGTACATTCTTTAAAATTTAAATGTCTTAAATTCAATATGCCTATAATTTTCTGTGAATCTGCACATATAAGTATCCACATGTAATTCTTATGAATATAGATTTCATCTCCTTTCCCCACCTATACCCACTTTCCTGCAGAACAGCTAGAGTAATCCATTTAAAATGAAACCCAGATTATGCCATTCTGCTACTTAAAACACTCCAATATCTCTCCATAACACTTAGGATAAACCAAATTACTTGGCTGCTCAACACCCTACTTGATTGGTCCCTGCCTCAGCCTCTCTAATGTCAATGCCTATCATTCTTCCTTAGTTCCTATCATATCACACCCTGAACTTCCTTAGTTCAGGGTGTGATAGCTATACTGGTAACATTCTGGCCCTTGAATGTCCTTGAATATCTGAAGATTTACCTCTGCATTATGGTCACAGCTGCTCCCCCTTTATCTTCCTATGCTTATTTCCTTCTTGACACGTAAATCTTAGCTTAAATGTCACCATCTCAGAGAAGTCTTTGTAGGTCACCAACCCAAAAGTAGCTGCCATCTTCCAAGCATTGCCCATAATGTTACCCCTGCTTAATTTCCATCTGAGCTGTCATCCTTTGTGTATGTAGGTGTATATATATATTTATTTTGGTTTGATGTCAGCCACACCCAACCAAAAGTAAGCGGCATAAACCTAGTGCCTGGCCCTTAGTAGATGTTTTGAAGGGATGAGTGGAACAGTAAGATACAGAGGCCTTGCTGTAGCTTACCTCCTAACTCTTAAGTTTTGGCTTTTTCTCTCATTTGCTATGTGACTTTAGGCAATTACTCAAACTCTCTAAGCCTATTTCCTCATCGGTAGAAATAAAATTGTCATACCTATTTCATGAGGATTTTTGAATAATAATGAGATACTACGTATTCAATATTTAACTTGTTGATTGATACACAGAAGTCAAAAATTCTTAGCTATTTAAATGTTGTATATATGTGTGTGTATACATATGTACACATATATGTGTATATATATGGAAAGAAAGAGTCTCATCTTCAATACAATACATTATATTTCTGAGGCTAATGTTTTATGTCATTTATGAATAATTTAAAACATAAAATAACATGAGAAAAAATAAAGTTTTGAATGATAAAAGAAACATTAAAGGTTATATATGAATTTAAATGTAATTTTCTCAACATAATCGTTAGTGATTTTTCTCCATAAAATGTGTCCGTATTTTATTGCAAATGTAAAACAATACATAAGAGTATAAAGTTTCAAAAGTACTTACTTCATAATCACCTTAATTTTACTATTATAGATTTCATCTTACATTGTCTGTTTTTATGAAAGCATGTGATTCAAATGCTCCATTACTTCTATTACTCTATAGAGTACTGAAAATCAACATATTTTTACAAAGTAAATGACTAGTGGGCTGATGATAAATGTTATTTAATGAAAGACAAATATTACTTTTTAAATGTTTTAAAATATAACTAATATGTGAGAATTGATATTTTTATAAATATGGAGTTTTTATCCTCTGGAAAATTTAATTATCTCACCTTTTTAAATTTATGCTGCTATAAGGGCCTTCTGTTTTGCAACATTATTGGAAATATAGTCCCTAAATCTTCGTTTTAAAACTTGGCTTTTAAATTGAAAAATCTAAAAATATGGGCTTTTAGAAAAACTTCTGGAGTTAAGGGAAGAAAATGTATAAGAATGAATGAAGTTACAATATTCTAAGACAGAAAATGACAGGTTGCTGTCACTGATGTACAAGCTAGACCAATCTGTTTGGGTCAATATGCGAATGTTGACTTAGGAAAGAGATATAGCAGGAAAGCAAAAGTTTTGTACACTAGAAAGCCACATGGCAGTCTGAACTTTTCAGAGGAGATGGGTGGGGCTTATGGATTCTTTAAAAAAGCAAAGTCATCCCACTTTTAATATAGCATATAGGGCTTTCTTTAGTAAAAACGTATCTTTCTCCTAAATCAACATTTAGACTTATAGTCAACTATAAAAAGAAAGGCTGACTACCAATTAACTGACTCTTTTATACCACCCAGGCAAGCTTCTCAGTTACATTTGTTATTTTAGAAAAGTACATGTTAGACTTAAGAGGGAACCCACATGAGTTTTGGCATTCTTCTTTTCTCCTCAAATAAAACATGAAAAGCTGTATTGAAAAGAAGATCAAATGATGAACAAACTAAATTTGTTATAATTGTTGTTAACAATATCTAATAATTTTGTTTCTTCTCACAAAGTTCAAAAAACAGTGTTAATTCAGTTCATACCATTTGAATTACAGTGAGATGCTTCAAAAGTGTCAAGTTAAACGAGTATACAAAACTGAGTTCTAAAATATAGATTTATTCAGATTAAAACTTTCATTCCAATGCTATGTTAAAATATTAATTTATAGAATAAATACACAGAGATTACTCACCATATGCCAGGTAGTCTTCCAGGTGCTGAGACCCAAAACTGAACAAAAGAAAACCCAGCCATGGACAGGTTCTACACGTGTTATGTAAAACCTTCCATGAACATCTCTGTGCTTGGAATTGGAACTTTAAGGAGCTTGCCACCAGAATTTTATTCAGAACTTACCAATAAGGATCTATATAATTCGAGTGAACTCCATTTAAGTTTTTTATGTCTTTATTTCCATGTGTGCTATAGGGTGGAGAGGAAGTATCCTGTGGTGGCTAAGCATGCATGCTCCGAAGCCAGGTGGCCTGCCACACTGCTTCCTCTCCGTGCAACACTGGGCCCTCTCTGACCTTTGGTTTCCTCATCTACAAATGGAAGGTTATAATGATATCTACCTTCTAGATTGTTATAAGGAATAAACTAAATAACACTTGTGTGGTACTTAGGCTAGAACTTACATTATAAGCACTCAACAAATGTTCATTATTATTATTGCTTAAGCTGAGGGAATAGCTAGATAGCACCAGATTCTTACGTGTACAGCAGAAGAGAAGGACCGGGGGAAAAAAATCCATATTGTTTGCATTCTCTTCTTAGAAAACAAGAAAGTGAAACATGAATGGAAGGATTTGTGCTTGTCGTTCTAACATCTGGCATTATTTTAATCAAAGAGGAGGACTGAATGTCTCATTAAGTTTATACTATTATTTTTCACCAAATTAAAATAAAAACACTGTCAGACTTCAATTTTCAGAAGAAGCTCAAACTATATATGTATAATTTCCACTTCTAACCATTTTATGATCCAATTCTTATGGTAATATTTGGGAAGAATCTTCCCTTTGGGGATCTCTTTCTCATTCTGCATCACCTTTATTACTATTCTTTAAAGAAAATGTACAGTTTGTTAGCAATAAAATTATGGAAAATGGCCTTTGGTCCACTTTGGAAATAAACTTGAATAGCAAGCATATGAAATATTTTGGAGAGTTTTTCTTTTAAGTGGCAAGCTATTGTTCTATTATGGATATAGCCAAGGTTAAAGAAGTTCCATATGGCTTGAGCAGTAGTAACACCACCAATAATTAAAGGCTGCCCCAATGTCTCTACTTAGCTATGACACCATAACCATAATTATTTTAGGACTGAAATGAACTATAGTTTTTCTCTAGTCTAACCTATCATTTAACAGTTGAAGAAACTGAGGCTTAGTTAGATAAATTTGCTGACCCAAGACCACTTGGCAAGTTGGCAATGGAAAAGGGAATGCAATTCACATCTCCTGCCACTCATAACAACACCCTTGCCCTTGAACATTGGCATCTTGCAATAATGGAAAAGGTATACATCTTGAGCATTTTGTTCAACTACTTTTCCTTTATTTTCTCTAGAAAATATAACTATGAAGAATTATAATGTAACTGAAGATAATGGGAATCTGGATTAATTTTTACTTTCAGTTTGCGTATATTCTGACCCATATAAGAATTCATCTTTTTCCTCCCCCTTGAAAATCTGTTATATTTTTCTCTTCCTCTTAAAAGTTTTAACAAATAATAAATGAGTATCTCAGAAACATACATAATGATATGCATTGTTTTCATGTTGTGTTTTTTTATATCACTTCAAAATTTTTAAGTAAAATTTATAATTAAGTTTATAATTTATAATTTGTAAATTTAAGTAAAATTTATAATTTATGGTTAATATAGCAAGTAATATTTTCTTCCCATTATTCCCCTTAGGCACATGGAAATTGGGGATAGACTTTAAGTATGATTTTAAAAGTTAACATGAAGGTAAATAAGTTTATTTGACATAAACACACTGTCTCATAGATTAGCTATAATAGAAGCTGTTTAATCTATCTCTGTATATATATGTTTATCCCTTAGTCAACTGTGTGTTCCAAATAAATCATTTTGGTTTTCTTCCCCATTTTTAATCTTCAGAGTTTTCTTCCCTAAGAACAAAAGTCAATAAGCATATTACTTGTTATACATTAAACAATTAACTGAATGGATTAAGATAGTTTTATTTTAGCCTAACTCTTAAGCAGGAAAAGAGATTCAATGTTGCCTCTTCAGTTTGAGTTGGTTAGCTTTATGCATAGGCAAAAAGGCAATTGCAATTATATTATCTGATTATTTGTAAGAATTAAGATAAATTAGTGCTCTAAACGGAGTCAGTCAACCCTCTTCCATTTCCCTTTCTAGTAAATAGAATGAAGACAAGATTATTTTCAGAAAAACATTCAGAAAGCTTCAGGCCGGCTCTTTGAGTAGATAGGTGATTTACTGGGCATCTGGGTGGAGCATAGAAGCACTGAAGTAGAGGAGGGAGAAGTGACAAAAAAGTATATATTTGCGAGATCTATTATTTGTCTGGCCTTTAACATAAATGAATGGTCTTTCTTCTTAGGTTTTCATGACACATTCTCTTTGGGCATGCTTCAACTAGACATGTGTAAATAAGATTTGTTTTAACATATTTTCACTCCATGTTTGTATGTAGACACTGAGTACACTAGTTAAAATAACTGACTTTGCTGCCTTAAACATTTCATCAACATTTAAATCTTTAATCCATCTTGAATTGATTTTTGTATAAGGTGTAAGGAAGGGATCCAGTTTCAGCTTTCTACATATGGCTAGCCAGTTTTCCCAGCACCATTTATTAAATAGGGAATCCTTTCCCCATTGCTTGTTTTTCTCAGGTTTGTCAAAGATCAGATAGTTGTAGATATGTGGCATTATTTCTGAGGGCTCTGTTCTGTTCCATTGATCTATATCTCTGTTTTGGTACCAATACCATGCTGTTTTGGTTACTGTAGCCTTGTAGTATAGTTTGAAGTCAGGTAGTGTGATGCCTCCAGCTTTGTTCTTTTGGCTTAGGATTGACTTGGCGATGCGGGCTCTTTTTTGGTTCCATATGAACTTTAAAGTAGTTTTTTCCAATTCTGTGAAGAAAGTCATTGGTAGCTTGATGGGGATGGCATTGAATCTGTAAATTACCTTGGGCAGTATGGCCATTTTCACGATATTGATTCTTCCTACCCATGAGCATGGAATGTTCTTCCATTTGTTTGTGTCCTCTTTTATTTCCTTGAGCAGTGGTTTGTAGTTCTCCTTGAAGAGGTCCTTCACATCACTTGTAAGTTGGATTCCTAGGTATTTTATTCTCTTTGAAGCAATTGTGAATGGGAGTTCACTCATGATTTGGCTCTCTGTTTGTCTGTTGTTGGTGTATAAGAATGCTTGTGATTTTTGTACATTGATTTTGTATCCTGAGACTTTGCTGAAGTTGCTTATCAGCTTAAGGAGATTTTGGGCTGAGACGATGGGGTTTTCTAGATAAACAATCATGTCATCTGCAAACAGGGACAATTTGACTTCCTCTTTTCCTAATTGAATACCCTTTATTTCCTTCTCCTGCCTGATTGCCCTGGCCAGAACTTCCAACACTATGTTGAATAGGAGCGGTGAGAGAGGGCATCCCTGTCTTGTGCCAGTTTTCAAAGGGAATGCTTCCAGTTTTTGCCCATTCAGTATGATATTGGCTGTGGGTTTGTCATAGATAGCTCTTATTATTTTGAAATACGTCCCATCAATACCTAATTTATTGAGAGTTAAATGTTAGACCTAAAACCATAAAAACCCTAGAAGAAAACCTAGGCATTACCATTCAGGACATAGGCGTGGGCAAGGACTTCATGTCCAAAACACCAAAAGCAATGGCAACAAAAGCCAAAATTGACAAATGGGATCTAATTAAACTAAAGAGCTTCTGCACAGCAAAAGAAACTACCATCAGAGTGAACAGGCAACCTACAACATGGGAGAAAATTTTCGCAACCTACTCATCTGACAAAGGGCTAATATCCAGAATCTACAATGAACTCAAACAAATTTACAAGAAAAAAACAAACAACCCCATCAAAAAGTGGGCGAAGGACATGAACAGACACTTCTCAAAAGAAGACATTTATGCAGCCAAAAAACACATGAAGAAATGCTCATCATCACTGGCCATCAGAGAAATGCAAATCAAAACCACTATGAGATATCATCTCACACCAGTTAGAATGGCAATCATTAAAAAGTCAGGAAACAACAGGTGCTGGAGAGGATGTGGAGAAATAGGAACACTTTTACACTGTTGGTGGGACTGTAAACTAGTTCAACCATTGTGGAAGTCAGCGTGGCGATTCCTCAGGGATCTAGAACTAGAAATACCATTTGACCCAGCCATCCCATTACTGGGTATATACCCAAAGGACTATAAATCATGCTGCTATAAAGACACATGCACACGTATGTTTATTGCGGCACTATTCACAATAGCAAAGACTTGGAACCAACCCAAATGTCCAACAATGATAGACTGGATTAAGAAAATGTGGCACATATACACCATGGAATACTATGCAGCCATAAAAAATGATGAGTTCATGTCCTTTGTAGGGACATGGATGAAATTGGAAACCATCATTCTCAGTAAACTATCGCAAGAACAAAAAACCAAACACCGCATATTCTCACTCATAGGTGGGAATTGAACAATGAGATCACTTGGACACAGGAAGGGGAATATCACACTCTGGGGACTGTGGTGGGGTCGGGGGAGGGGGGAGGGATAGCATTGGGAGATATACCTAATGCTAGATGACAAGTTAGTGGGTGCAGCGCACCAGCATGGCACATGTATACATATGTAACTAACCTGCACAATGTGCACATGTACCCTAAAACTTAGAGTATAATAAAAAAAAAAAATTAAAAAAAAAAACAAAAACATTTCATCAAGTCAGTTGGAGCTTCCACTCCATCAAGACAGGGAGTTTGCCCATGCTTGAGACCTGCTCTGTAATATTTCTTTATAATTTCAGCTATGACTTTGTTCATGCTGGTACAGAATTTAATGCTCACTATTTCATTACTGTTGAAACTTTGCAATTTATAGTAGCTTTTACCATTATATCATGGCCATTCATGTTTCTTATATTTCTTTTAGCCTTAAATGCCACCTTTTTTGGTATTAACATCGAGTCTTCTGCTTTCTTGGTTTGCATTTTTTCTTATCTTTTTGTTCACTCCTTGACTCTCTAATTCTCCTTACCAATTGTTTTAAGCATGACTGTGTAAACATTAAGTACATTGGTGTTATGTTTACTCAATGTGAGAGTCTACCTTTAATGGCAAAATTCATTCCATTCTCAGAGTAGAGATCAGTATATCTCATGTTTACTACTGGCTTAAATTTCTTATTATTTTTTTCTCTTATTGTTTTATTTGAACAAATTACTATTTATGTTATCTTTTGTTTTTGTTTCAGTTATAGTTTTCCATTCTGTTAATGCTTTCCCCTTTTCTTGCTCTTCTTATTAGATATCTATGACTCTACTATTATTTTAAGAAGATAAACTATGCTCTCAGTTGAGATAGACTGTCTTACTCAGCCAACACTCAGTTTTCTTTGATATCTTTCTCATTCCTCAAAACAATAACAAAGGAAGATGAAAACCTAGAAAAAATTACATTAGGTCTCTCCACTATTTGCAAGATGCCATTTCAATTTTAAGATTTTTTTTTTTTTTAAGACAGAGTCTTGTTCTATCACCCAGGCTGGAATGCAGTGGCACGATCACAGCTCACTGCATCCTTGAACTGCTAGGCTCAGGTAATTCTTCCACCTTGGCTTCCCACAGTGTTGGCATTACAGACATGAGTCACTACATCTGGCTGCCTCAAAATTTTTTTTGTTTTGTTTTTTGAAACAGAGTCTCACTCTGTCACCAGGCTGGAGTGTAGTGGCGGTGATCTCGGCTCACTGCAACCTCCACCTCCCAGGTTCAGGTGATTCTCCTGCCTCAGCCTCCCGAGTAGCTGGGACTATAGGCATGCACCACCACACCTGGCTAATTTTTGTATTTTTAGTAGAGACGGGGTTTCACCATGTTGGCCAAGATGGTCTCGATCTCTTGACCTCATGATCCACCTGCCTCGGCCTCCCAAAGTGTTGGGATTATAGGCGTGAGCCACTGCACCCGGCCGGCCTCAAGATTTTTAAATTTAGCATTAAATAACCTACTAGATTTTATTTATTAAGATAGAAAAAATAGATTGAAAAAAGATAATGAGTAAATTAATAGGTGAACGAATGAATGGATAGGTGGATAGGTAAATAGATCACCACCTTCCTTCCTCCTCTTATTTCTTAAATTCCCTTTTGATTGGTGTGAGTCTTTTTTCAAGTAATTTTTTCATGCAGAGTATTTGTGTGGTACATATTCTAAATTTTTGTGTTTTTTAAAGTAAATAATATCTCAGGTTGCTACATAATTCTCGAGTTATAAATCCTTTCCCCCTTTTTAGTGTCAACTATTACTAATAAGAAATACCATGCCAAACATACTTTCTCCACAAACCTTGCAGACAACTTTTATTTCTATGTGGAGGTGTCTATATTTAAAAAACTTTTGACTTTAGGAATTTCACCAGGATAAAATGTTAGATTTGTTTCTTTATTCATCAGTTTAGTTTAGAACTCTTAAAGTCCTTTTGCTGCACAGACTTTAGTTTTTTCTTCATGTCAGGGGAATTTTCTTAAATAATTTATTCAATTACTGTCTCTCCTATTTCTGTTTTTTTTCTTCTGAAAATTCTATCATTTATGTTGTCTGTCATGAATCTAGTCTTCAGTCCTTTTATCTTTTCCCTCATGATAGCCATCTCTCTATAGTTTTGCTTTGTCATTAGAAATGTTACTTGTACTTGACCTCTTAAGTTACTTCATATGATTTTTATATTGGCCATTCTCTTTCAGTTCAACTATTATATTGCTTACCCTAAAATAATGATTTTTTGTTTTATTTTGCTTTGCTATTGTTTTAGCACAAGACAGACTTTTGAAACTCAAGTGTACTGAATGTTATATTTTGTATTTTTCTCTCTCCCCACAAGCAGTTTTGCTTCACTGCAAATATGCCCTGATTATTCTGCCTGATCATCCTTTCTGACTGGTGGGAAATTTTAGATAGGTTGTTATTTCTGACTTCTTGTCTCATGCAGCTCAGATCTAGAGGTTGGAGCTTCCTAAGAGTTTAGAATCCCATGGCTAAGAAAAGCAGAATAGTTCTGACACCCACAGTTTAGAGGGTTGCCTGTTTCTTGCCAAAGGACCTGGAGGAATTCTCTTCACTCTCTAGCTCCCTTGAACTCTTTCAGCCTCTAGGGACAGGAGAACTCATTCATCACTGCCCCTCTCAATCTTCTAGGGGCCAGAGGCACCTTATATATTCATTCAGAAGAATGTCACCCTTCTTCTTATGGTTTCCCAAAATATAAGAGAGCAATTATGAAAAAAAATGAAAGAATCATAGGATAGGTCCAGAAGATATAAAGCTTCTTCCTTCCTTCCACAAATCTGTGAAAGCTAGAGTCTTCCTACAATCTACTTCTTTATTCTCCTTTTTCCCAGGCAATAATGCATTACTCTAGTAGCTTGCCCTGCCACAGTTCTTTCTGCTGTGATTTTAACAGACATCGTATCCCAATTATACCAGTTTTCCATGGGTTCCAAAGTCTCCTGCATTAATAGAGTCAAATAGCTTGGAATAGGAGTTGATAAAAAAGAGAAGGTGGCCCAGCTGCTGCCAGAATCTCTGCTCATGGTATCTATTTTCTGTAACACTCCCATAGTGAGCTGATCAAATCCTACTAGTGAGTGAGTTCTCGTGAGATCTGGTCATTTGAAAGTGTGCGGTACTTCCCCACTCATTCTCCTGCTCTTGCTTACATGTGACAGGCTTCTCTCCCTTTGCCTTCTGCCATGATTGGAAGCTTCCTGCGGCCTCTCCAGAAGCAGATGTCGCTATGCTTCCTGTAGAGCCTGCAGAACTGTGAACCAGTTAAACTTCTTTTCTCATAAATTACCCAGTGTCAGGTATTTCTTTAAAGCAATGCAAGAAGGAACTAATCCACTGCTCCAGAAAAGATATCATATATGACACAGCATCTACAATTAAGGCATAAATTTACTTGAGTTACAGTAGCTCACTTTCACGCTCAAAGATCCATCTGACTTTTTTATGTTGGTGAATAAATGGCGATATCATCGGGACTACCTCCCATGGATCCTTAGGTCTTTAATAATGGCACTAACTGTGGCTATTTTTCCAGAATAAGATATTATTTTGGATTTACTCTCTTGACTGTAGAGTACAAGGGTAATTTCAGAGGCTTCCATTTGGCATTTCTTTTTACAATATCCCCTACCTCACAGGCCAAGGAACCAGAGTGGGATTGTTTCCAATAATAAGGTGTGCTTACTTTAATTATATACCAAGGACCAAGAAAATGATCATCCATGGCCCTAGTAGACCCACGGTGAGCTGGACCTGTTCCAGAACCTGCACTTATTATTCAGCCCTCATTCACACCTAATCTAATATAGCAGCCATGGTGTTTCTTTCAGCCCCTGTTTATCTAGGTCAACTCGAGTCCTACATGAAACAGTCCTTGAACTATTTCAGTGTTCCCTTTCCCCAGTGAACAATTACCTAAGCAAATGGCCACAGACCTTTTGGGGAAGGACTGGAGAATTGTTACCTAAATACTTTTCATGGTAATGTTGGGTCCTTCCCCTGAGGAGTTGGCATCTCCTCCCATCAGTGGGTTCCTGGACTGAAAACTGCTACAAGTTCTGCAGTAGGAAAGAAATTGTGACTCTTTATTGAGGCAACTGCCCTTAAATTCCTGTTCATCCCTCTGTGGTTTTCGTGGCTTGTACAGATTGAGCTAGACTGTGTAGCAGGAGAATATCACAGGTATGATGAACACATTTGGAAATATGTGATCTCATTTGTGTCTTCATCTCTTGAGTAGTTAACATTATCCAGCTCCTCTGGACCTCAGCTGCAAAAATGCGTCTTGCCCACCTGGAAATAACTTCAGAGTGCCTACACTATTCTAGCCACTGCAGCCTCTTCTTACCTACTGAGGAGAGCTGATCTGGCATCGTCCTTGGGAGTTTCTCTACTCTTAGATTCCTTACTAACATGATGTGTTTCTACTAACATAGGTTAGTAGACACAAACAAACACATGGTGTGTTGTTTGAGTGTGACCAGTCTCAGATTCCACTGTGTATGACACAGTTTCACTGGCTCTCAGTCGCTTCATCTCCTCAACAACTGACTCACTGATAGTGTTCTGCCTGTAACTACATCAGGAGTAAGAATAAACAGAAGTGTGTGTGTGTGTGTGTGTGTGTGTGTGTGTGTCTATGTGTATGTGTGTGTGTATGTCTGTGAAGAAGGGGAGGATCGTGGTGGGAAAAGATCTGTATCTCAAATATATTTTTTCCTTCTATAGAGCACCTTCTGACTCACCCATTTACTATAATCTAACACTGAGATAAAGTGTAACTTTCTCAGCTTCCTTCAAGGTTAATTTTCAGAGATCTGAACATGCACACTGACATGAGCTGTCAGGATACATCTTGATTTCTAAAAGGCATTTAATCAGTTTTCCAAGATATTCCTGCAGATAAAATGAGTGAATGTTGAAAGAATAATAATAAAGTTATTATTCCAGTTATGAATAACCACACCCAAAGAATACCAAGCTTCAAATCACTGTCAGCCTTGAGTTAGGTTTCTTGTGACATGCATTGGATACTGTCTTATTCAACATTTTAATCAATGGCTTGGATAAAAATAAAGGTACACTTATAAAAGCAAAGTCGGATGAAAAATGCTAAGATTTAAAAATAGAGTAAAGTTGTATTAGTCCATTTTCACACTGCGGATAAAGACATATCCAAGACTTGGAAGAAAAAGAGGTTTAATTGGACTTACAGTTTCACATGGCTCAGGAGGCCTCAGAAGCATGGCAGGAGGTGAAATGTACCTCTTACATGGGGCAGCAAGAGAAAATGAGGAAGATGCAAGAGTGGAAACCCCTGATAAAACCATCAGATCTCATGAGACTTATTTACTACCACAAGAACAGCATGTGGAAAACTGCCCCCATGATTCAAATTATCTCCCACTGGGTCCCTCCCACAACACATGGGAATTATGGGAGTACAATTTAAGATGAAATTTGGGTGGGGACACAGAGCTAAACCATATCATTCCACCCTTGGCCCCTTCAAATCTCATGTCCTCACATTTCAAAACCAATCATGCCTTCCCAACAGTCCCCCAAAGTCTTCATTCATTTCAGCATTAACCCAGAAGTCCACAGTCCAAAGTCTCATCTGAGACAAGGCAAGTCCCTTCCACCTATGAGCCTGTAAAATCAAAAGCAAGCTAATTTCTTCCTAGATACAATGGGGGTATAGGTATTCGCTAAATACGGCCATTCCAAATAGAAGAAACTGGCCAAAACAAAGGGGTTACAGGGTCCATGCAAGTCCAAAAATCCAGTGGGGCAGTCAAATTTTAAAGCTCCAAAATGATATCCTTTGACTTCAGATCTCACACCCACGTCACACTGATGCAAGAGGTGGGTTACTATGGTCTTGGGAAGTTCTGCCCCTGTGGCTTTGTGGGGTACAGCCCCCCTCCCAGCTTCTTTCATGTGCTGGTGTTGAGTGTCTGTGGCTTTTCCAGGTGCACATTGTAAACTGCCAGTGGATCTACCATTCTGGGGTCTGGAGGATGGTGGTCCTCTTCTCACAGCTTCATTAGGTGGTGCCCCAGTAGGGACTCTGTGTGGGGGCTCCAACCCCACATTTCCCTTCTGCACTGTCCTAGCAGAGGTTCTCCATAAGTGCCCCGCCCCTGCAACAAACTTCTACCTGGGCATCCAGGCATTTCCATACATCTTCTGAAATCTAGGCAGAAGTTCCCAAACCCCAATTCTTGACTTCTGTGTACCTGCAGGCTCAACACCATATGGAAGCTGCTAAGGCTTGAGGCTTGCACCCTCAAGCCATGGCCCAAACTCTATGTTTAGCCCCTTTCAGTCATGGAAGGAGTGGCTGGTATTCAGGGCACCAAGTCCCTAAACTGCACACAGCACGGGGACCCTAGGCCCTTCCCATGAAACCACTTTCCTCCTCGGCCTCCAGGTCTGTGATGGGAGAGGCTGCCACAAAGGTCTCTGACATACTCTGGAGACATTTTCCCCATTGCCTTGGGGATTAACATTTGACTCCTTGTTACTTATGCAAATTCCTGCAGCCAGCTTGAATTTCTCCTCAGAAAATGGGATTTTCTTTTCTATCGCATTGTCAGGCTGTAAATTTTCTGAACTTTTATGCTCTGCTTCCCTTTTAAAACTGAACGCCTTTAGCAGCACCCAAGTCACCTCTGGAATGCTTTGTTGCTTAGAAATTTCTTCTGCCAGATACCCTAAATCATCTCTCTTAAGTTCAAATTTCCACAAATCCCTAGGGCAGGGGCAAAATGCTGCCAGTCTTTTTGCTAAAACATAACAAAAGTCACCTTTGCTCCAGTTCCCAACAAGTTCCTCATCTCCATCTGAGACCACCTCAGCCTGGACCTGATTGTCCATATTGCTATCAGGCTTTTGGTCAAAGCCATTCAACAAGTCTCCAGGAAGTTCCAAACTTTCCCACATTTTTCTGTCTTCTTCTGAGCCCTCCAAACTGTTCCAACCTCTGCCTGTTACCCAGTTCCAAAGTTGCTTCCACATTTTGGGGTATCTTTTCAGCAACACCCCATGACTGGTACCAATTTACTGTATTAGTCTGTTTTCATGCTGCTGATAAATACACACCCGAGACTGGGAAGGAAAAGAGGTTTAAATGGATTTACAGTCCCACATGACTGGGGAGGCCTCCGAATCATGGTGGGAGGTGAAAGGCATTTCTAACATGGTGGTAGCAAGAGGAAATGAGGATGATGCAAGAGAGGAAACCCCTGATAAAACCATCAGATCTCATAAGACTTATTCACTACAAAGAGAACAGTATGGGGGAAATCGCCTGCATGATTCAAATTATCTCTCACTGGGTCCCTCCCATAACATGTGGGAATTATGGGAGTACAATTCAAGATGAGATC
Organism: Homo sapiens; assembly: GCF_000001405.40. Lineage (NCBI taxonomy): Eukaryota > Metazoa > Chordata > Mammalia > Primates > Hominidae > Homo > Homo sapiens. The sequence goes on from NC_000001.11 coordinate 199,032,841, forward strand.
TGGGTGGGGACACAGAGCCAAACCATATCATTGGTCATAGTACAAAATTAATAAAATGAAACTTAGAAAAGAACACAATCTTAGAATTATACTGCAGCTAAGATCATGCAGTTTCAAACTGCTGATCGTATAGATGAGGAAACTAATTCCCAGAGAGGCGAAATGATTGACTTAGGGCCACTCAGCTTGCTTGTAACAGTGCTACGATTGAATTCTGTCTCGTTTTTCCAGTGTTATGTGACTATGCCTCGGTTATTCTCACTCAATACTATCCTTAGATAGCCTCCATATTATGCCTCCAAATTGATTTTTAATTTGCTGAATTCTGAATAGATAATAAAAACTATGCTTATCAATGTGGAGTCCTATACCTAGTCCAAAACAAACAAACATAAATTGTTTGTATTAGTGCAGGATGGACAAGGCAGACATGTGAAAGAGACATTGGTTTTTTGGCAATAATATGTCTCTAAAATGTGATTTGACTTCATAAAATACTAATTCAGTCTTAAATTGCATCAGTGAACAGGAGGCATTCGGATTGAGACAGGCTTTTGTTGCATTTTGTTCTGCAATGATCAGAGCACTTCTTTAATGGCCCATCCAGTGCTGGGCAGCACCTTAACAAACTAAAGAACATTAGTCATAGGACCACCTGAGTGAAAATCTGGAAATCATGACAGAAATAGAATATGTGTTAAAACTGACATTGAGATTTTTTCACCTAGAGGGAGTAAGCATTTTATTTATGTGTGTGTTTGTTTATTTGTTTGATACAACACAATAGTAAACAGCCATGAAGAAAAAGAGTGATTTATTTGTAATCATGTTCAGTTCTGTCTGAAGTGGTCTGAATTTTCTGTAATAAACAGAGTCTGGTAAAGCTGAATTTTCTTTCTGATTAAAAACAGCATTAATCCTCTTTGCTTTTGTTAATCTAAAATGATCCAGTGCCTTTTTTTTCAAAAACCACAAAGAGTTGCATTTCTTTGTTTAGTACCTAAATATGTTACCCATTGAGCCAAAAGATATGACCCCCAGAAGCACTTTTATTCTTTCTACTGTTTGGCTGTATATGCAATCTGTGGTGAATGTTTGAATGTTTCTCAGTTAACCCTGCCTGGGTGTCTATAGATTTAAGAGTTACCCCATTATAGTCACAGGCCTGTGTTAAATCTGTTAAATAATTTTATTTCAAAGCATAATTTATTTTATTAATAAGTAATATATTATTTATACATGATGTCAGTAAGTAGCTCAAAAAAGACACTAAAAATAAAGTGGGAATTTTATCTTATTTTCTTTAAGTGTCTTTTGTTCACAAGGAGAATCATTTTAGGTCTTTTATAAAAATATTAGTTGGAAATATTTTATTAGTTAAAACTTTCAAAGACTAATGAGTTGACATAAGAAAAGTTTTTATCCACCTTTCCTAAGTGAAGTATTGAAATTGAAATTGAAAGTATTATTATGAACCACGCAGGAAGCCAATATTTTTAATGTTATCATGTTGAAATAAGACTAATAACTCACACTGATTTTCATCAGTGAAATAAGAGGATAGTTGAGTTCATTTGAAAAGCAAAGTATAAATATTGATGAATGCCTTTTGACTCTGTCATCTAAACTTCAACTTTAATGATAATATTATATGCACTGTCCACTACTTTATATTTGTAACATGGACAATATATCTAATGGAGCATTTAGGTATAAAAATATAATTTTTAAATTTTTATATAATTCAACCAAATCTCTCTTTAAAGACCCTATGTGATTCAAATCAGAAGATGTAATAGTCATCAATTTTGAGTAAGTTTAGGAAATAAAGGTTTAAACTCAGTCATTTCAGATTTTCCTTAAACCTCTTCTCCCTTGAATGCGTCTAATTTAGGGATAGTGAGTCCTAAAGTTGTTGAGAGATGGGTGAGAGAACACTGAGTCCTCGGTCACCAAATGTCTGTCGGTGTCCACAGGGTGTATCACTCTCTGCTGGCCCTTTCTGCCTCCACGGAGTTGTCCAAGTTGCCATCAGTCCACACATTCTCTGTTTTCTCAGCCTAATTTCTCTCTCCCTACTTTCTCACACCTTTAAAAGGAGAAGTCATTTTGAGATGCTCTGCAAAATGCGCACTCTGCAAAATGAGAGACCAGGGAGCTGGATCAGGTTTCGTCTGGATTCAGTATGCTGATATTTCATGTCAACTATTACCATGGTTCAGGATTATCTAAAACTTTTCTCTCTTCCCTTTCATAAAATGGCAAGGTCTTTTCTGCTTAGAATTCCTTAGCTCTCTCCTGGTATTCTACCATTCATCTCCTGGAGCTGATGCCTCAGCTCTTTCAAGAGACCCTCACCTGAGTCTGACTTTCTTGCTTTCTTTTCCCATTCTCTTTCTCTCCAAGTTTTCAGAGGTGGTTTTTCCTTTATCCTTTTTAAAATTTTAATCTCATCTCCATTTAGAGCAGAGGAAAATGCTTTGCACTTTTCCAGCTCTTCTCTCTTAATCCTTGGACAGTCATATTTTCATAAAGCCAATAGTTTTCTGACATCATGATTTTCTGGCTCTGTCATACCTCTCCTTTGAGGCAATGGGAGCCTCAAGCCCTGTAGTAGCAAAGGAGTGAGGAAGGGGAGCACCAATGGGTTGAAAGACAATGTGTGTGCATGTTGCAGGGGTAGATAGGATGGGTGGGTAGCGAAGCCTGCTTAATATTTTGTAATATTGTTCTGTTATGAGTGCTTCATCATGCTTATTGGTTTATTAGAGAAAATCAAATGCCTACGTGGAAAGAGAAACAGGTGTCTCTCACTGGAATGTAGCTTCCTGAGGTCAGGGACGTGCTTTGTTTTCTTCTATAACTTTAAAGCCATGCCTGGCACATAGCAGAAGCACTATAAATAAATCCAGGATTAATGGGTTGAAGGAATGCCCATTACATATCTAGATTGAAAGTGTTCTTAGGTTCAGCACTGTGCTTCAGAGTGGGCCTGAAAAGAAATTAAATGAATGAAAGCTCAATCTTAAAACAGGACTAAAGCTTTGATAATTTCAAAATGAGGAATAGGTCCATTTTTAGACTGCACCTTTGAAGTGTTAGATATCTCAAGTGGGTCATTTTATGGTTGAACTCTCTGACAAATGTCTAAAATGTGACTACTGTGTTGAAGAATAGAGATTAATGTACTGTAGGCCACATTCCCTGCTGGTTCGCTGCAAATGGGTCTATGAGTGCCATGTATTGATCTTCTCAGCGCTGTGGGTGGCAAGAGCCCCTTGGCTACCACCTTTATCTGACAGAAGCCTCCTCCTTTTTCTCAATTTGTCATCTAAATGCATGGAGCAAGCAGGGTTGAGTCTAATGTAAAAAGTCTGACCTATATTCAAGCTAATTCCTTCTAGCCTCAGCTTTTCTCTAAATGATAAATTATCAAGTATATAAATTGACTGCCACATAGGTAACATTCACTAATATCGGTCGTTATTTTTACTTTATATGTGGAAAGGCTGATTCTGAGCAATGCTGCATGTTACTTGCATGTTAGGTATGAAGTATATGTCAACTTAAGCAGCAAAGACTTTCTCCTCATTTTAAAATATTAATTATTGCAACAAAAGCAGTAGCTTTGTTAAGCTACTTGCTAGAGCCTGAAAATGAATCTATGCTATCGGTGTATAGATGAATATTTCACTTTATATTCTTTTAGTCCATTTCATCTAATACAATAGCTACATCGAATAAATTGGAATTAAAATAAGACCTAGGATAATATATTATTTTACACTCTTTTAAATTGAAATTTATTTGTTCTTAACTGTTGTTATGCACTCTAATTTTGGTAGTATGTTGTGGCATATGCTTTAGGAAAATATTAATGACCTGGGATCTAAAATTAAATGGATGATTTGTATCAAAGGCAGTTCCAAACTATGAGCTAATACATTTAGTGAGAGATTACTAAGGACTTAAAAAATTCCTTGCTTATTCCTTTTCTCCATTAGGTTTCAATAGTTTATATATGCATAAAATTCTCTCTCTCTCTCTCTCTGTCTCTTTAAAATAGAGATGGGATCTCACTCTGTTGCCCAGGTTGGAGTGTAGTGGTGTGATCACAGCTCACTGCAACCTTGAACTCCTGGACTCAAGCAATCATTCTGCTTCAGCCTCCTTAGTAGCTGGGACTACAGGTGCACACCACCATATGCAATTAATTTTTTAAGCTTTTTGTAGAGACAGGAATCTGACTATGTTGCCCAGGCTGGTCTCGAACTTTGGGCTCAAGTGATTTTCCTACCTCTGCCTCCCAAACTACCTGAATTACAACTGTGATCCACCATTCCCGGCCCCATTTATCTCATAGTTTGGTAGAATGAGAATCCTGGGCAACAATTTGTTTGAAAGCTGATAGCTGTATTTGAGAAATTGCAAAAGAAGGCTATAATTTGGATTTCTATTTTGAAAGATGGCATAAACAATACTAGGAGTTCATTCTGGGAGAATATTATCTAAAGATATAATTAAGAAAATAATTTTGCATGAAAAAAGAAGGTCATTAAATAATAATATTTAAATAATTTGTAAAGTTAGAGATCTTTTCTTGGTGTTATCTTTACCTTTAAGAAAGAAATGTGTTATATAATAGGGTAGTATAACTGGATCTGAATTTTTTTTAAAATCCACAATTTGGATAAATTTTTGTAGGACCCAAGTGGAATAAATTGTTTAGTAATCGGTAGATTTCTGCTTAATGATTATCCTTGCAGAAGTCTAATGATATTTACAATTTCTACATTTATAGTTGCTCTTGCTGGCTGAATAAAATGTCATTTGTTGAGACTCACTGTTATCTTCCCCCTAAATTATTTGGACTTTCTAAATTTTAAAATTAATGTTTATTCATTATTTAAAATCAAAATTCCATCAGAATTTTAACTCACTTATTTTTAGCACTATTCTTTTTCTTCTTGGCTATCTTTAAAAAACAGAGACTAAGTGACATTTAATTGTCCAAAAATGAAATAGTCAAGCCTGTTTGATACCTTTCTATAATTGATTAGGGCTAAATAAACAAAGAGGCAATATTTTCCTGCACTCTATTTGGTCAGCATAGTATAAAATTTTTTTTAGACATCAAAGGATTATTTTTATTAAATTCGAAGCCTGCCTAAACCACATAATTCCTTGGTTTTACCTCCAAATCATTTATATTGTACAAATCACTCAGGGCAGCAATAGCGAGTGATAAATAGTATAAATTTAAAAAGAAATGACTTCCAATCCATTCTAAAATATTTGCCTAGAGAATAGGTATAAGTAAGATAAGGGACTAATTTTAAATAATAATGCTGGTCCCTTCATTAGAGAAATAAATTAAATTGTCTTTAGATTTCCCACAGGCTGCCATTTACCATTATCCAGTTTTGATAATGAGTTTGAGCAGGTATTTTTCTCTTTGATTCAAACTGATCTTCTAGTGAAAGAGCCCAAAGGGAAGTAATCTTCTTCAATTCAAATTTCCTATGCCAGGACCACTGACAACCCTGGCAACTGCAACCACTAAAGTCATTAAGTCGGATAATGGCTATTTACGTAAAGTTCACACAATTGTTAAATTGATTCCAGATGTCTAAATAATCTGCATGCACATTAGCAGGAAGTATATCAAATATATACGTGTGTGTTCTATATACATTAACCTACCACCTGTCAGTTACATGAGAGTAGATAGCCCAGAAGTAATAAAGCCTTACCACATGTAAATTGTAGCTCTGAAGGCTACCTTCACTTACATGAGCTCAAATCCATATAGCTAACTCACCTTTACTTTTATCAAAATTGCTTTGAATTAAGGATGGGAGAAGAACCTTGGATACGGACACATTAGTTACATTAAAATCAAGTCTGTTGTGAACCTAAGGTAAAAGCTGAGAGGAAGGTTTAAAAGCAGGTATTTTCTTTCCATTATGCATTCCAAGAAAGGATTCTAGTTGTTGGGAATCTATCGTAATGCTCTTGCTGAAGGTTCCTCAAGTATAACTCGGGGTCTATGTCCCTACTGCTCTTTGGAAGAGAACAGAATTCTTTTAAAGATGTGGTCTACAGCATAAAGTATTATGTATTAGAAATATTGATTCATGTTTGTGAGTTCCCCTCCACAACTCTAATGAACAGATTATCCTAGATGTAAGATGATCTTTCAGTCCTGGTAGGGCTCTACAGTTGCCCTGAAATTACAGCTGTCTTAGGGAGAAATTTTCTTAATTGCTTTAATGTAAAATTATTTATATGTATTTATTTATTTTCTACTTAGAATATTTTAGTTTATTTTTTGCCTTAGGGAAATTTTAAAATCACAATAATGTCTAATGTTCATAAATAGAGATTTTTAGATGTGATGCACTCAAGAATTTCCTAGGCGCTGTCTTTAAGGTTAACATACCTATCTGGGGCTAGCATGGTTTAGGGTCTTGAAGGACTGCAATAGCACTAGTAAAAGGAGGAAAAGAAGATGTACTCTTTTGGACAGAGGAATTTTTTTTCTATCTTCTGTTCAAAGAATAAAAGCAAATATGAAGGCATATAAAATATTTGGAAAACACACTCTAAATTTGGTGTATTCAATAAAGTATAAAAAGGATAAAATAATAAAAGCTGTTTTGCCGAAGGTAATATGAGTATCTTGTAGCTCTTCTCTTAAAGAAGTGATTCTGAAATGTTTTAGCATTTACTTTATCAGAATAATAAACTCATCAGATGAATGCCCCTGCACCCACTTCATATATAACTGACCACTGCCTAAAGCCATGGACTTCCTAGCAGAAATCTCTCCCTGATGTTCTATCTCCTATCCCAAACCATTTCACAGTTTAGACAGGCAACTGAGGCAACTACACACAGATGTGATATATACCTCAAAAGTTTTGTAAGAAACTTTTATGGAGTTTCAGATGAGGGGAAGGCTTTGTCCTGTTGGAAGAATCTGAGAGTTCCATGCTGGAAATTTCATTTCAATTTGAACCAAGGAATGGACTACACTGGATCTCAATAGGAACAAGCTGGTTGAGCATATTCCAGACAAAGGACTAATGTGATCAAAAGATCAGAGAAAATAAATCTCTGACATGACTGGTGACCAGGTCAATTCATCAAACAGGTGGGTCAAGAAATAATGCCATTTGAAAAAAAAAAAACGTTAGAAAGTTGGTTGGGATTGCATTATAGATACCCCTGCATATCAGATTACATTTTGAAAGATTTTTGCTCTTCATAAAGGAAACTGTGGCAAATATTCAAAGAAATTTGTGATCTTATTAGAGCTGCATTAAGAAGATTAATATGATTAAATTCATAGGATGGAACAAGAAGAGAAACTAGAGGTGGGCAGAGAGAGGCAAAAGCCCAAACTAGGGTGGGGACATTGAGAATGGAAAGGAAGTGACATATTGTGAAAGAAAAAACACAATTTGTGGTTACTTAAATGTACAGAAAAACAGCATAAGCAGATTCTTAATCAACAATTTGCCAATATTTGTTTTACATATTAATAGAGCCGAAGGGTGTTTTCATAGTTTTAGGAGGTGCTTCAAGAGATCTGTGCCATATCCTTCTCTGGAATGTTCACAGTGTTAACACATCAAAGTCTATGAGAACACCTGTGTAAAGATACCAACTTAACTTTATTTCAGCAAGAAATTATCCAATTTATTCCAGTAGATATTGGCATGTCTGTAGTTGTATGTGGAACACCTATTCACAGTCTAAAAACCTAGTATTCTTTAGTACACACTTTCTGGTGCTTAGAGCAATAACAAACATTAGCTGTCAGTTCTGCCTTTTGTTGAGACAGAGCCATACTTTCTTGTCATTTTTATTCCACACATGTCATTGCTTATCAGTGTGTGCTTATTGAGGGGAGGGGTAATTTTGAGCCATAACATAATTTATGTTATTGAATCATCAAATATTTTGAACTAGAAAATGTTCTAATCTAGCATCACTCAGTTAAAACTCTATTTGAAAATATCTTGGAAACATATAACAGAATGAAAACCATAAGAACAAAGACCATAAATCCAGAAAATAAAAATGAATGAAAAGATCAAGATATAATATACAAATGACAGTTAAACTTTTATAATTCCTTAATTTATGAAAAATAATTCAAATACATTTAGTATTTTACAAATGAGCAGGTAAAATAATTATGATTTTTAAAGGCTATATTAAGATATTATTTCTTTATAAGAAATGTAGACATAATACTTATAATTTGTTTCTGCAGTTAATAATTAACATGGGTCTTTTTTTAGATGAAAAATCTTGAACATGTAAAGAAAAGTCTTGACATTATTTATTGTATTAGAATAAAGTACTAGAATTCTCTCATTCCTTATTAAAAAATTAAGCCTATGTTACCATGTTTGTCAATCTCATTTGATTTTCTATTCTTAGGTCTAAAGTTTCTAATAACAATTTAATGCATTTATCAGTAAAACACATGCTTAGAATCCAAATGTATTAAAATTTTTGCTAAAGTAAGCAAAATAGACAAATAATGAAATGTTTTTACTTTGATTTTTAGAAAAAAGGTAAAGAATTTTATTCTCTAAGAGAGCAAAACAAATTATCTTATGGTGACACTAAGACAGAAAAGAGTTTGTTTTCATTTCTGGTATTCTTTGCCAATGTTTGACAGTTGAATTTTTTTTCCAGATGAGAATTGTGCATCAATGTTCAAGTCCCAAGAGACGTTATCAGTCTGAACAGCCCAGTGAACAAGTATTTGTGACTCTCCTTCCAAATGAAATGTTCTACAGAAAGGTGGAAGTGGTAAGAAACCGTTGAAACAGTGGTTAAGAAGGTAGGTCTTTGTGGTACTGATGGGAAATAGTCGTTAGGGGAAAGCTGCTTCACCACACAGGAAACAGAAAAACTCTTGAATGCATCTTGTCCAGCTGTGGCAGAAGAATTTACATAGATAACATTTTAAAACCAGAGAGTTTGTACTCAACTGGTGACCAAGAAACGGAGAGATGAAGGGCTGCAGGCAGAGAGTAGAAGGGAAATATTTTAAAGTTACAAGACTTACAAGCTGTGCATTTTGCAAATCACATAGCTACTTATCTTCTCAGAAAAGATGTTTAAAATAGAGACCTACACTTTATCATATTGAAAACCAAGCAATCTCAATGAAGGTTTTTAAAAAAATGTTTACCAAACCAAAAGAAACTCAAGGAAGCATTTTATAAGCTAACAGAGCTATTATTGAATGCCTTAAAATGGAAATATTTTTATTGTCTAATTATAGATATTGAAAAAGGTAGTAAGTATAAATATTCATAATAAATATTAAAATAGTAACAACAAAGTTTGCCACTTTTTCTCACTTAAGAGGAACTGATTTGGTTTTGTGATTTCACTTAATTATAATGAAAATTCTATAAGCTCAGAACTGCCATCCACATATTATAGATGAGCAAACAGACTCACAAAGATTGAGGCTTTTGACCAAGCTCCTAGGGCTTAGGCTTTGAACTCAGATGTGATGGAGTCTGAAGCTTGTGCTTGTTAAACATTATTGTGCAACTCCCATCATAATAATTTGAACAGTAACAAAAATAAGTACATTCTGTGTTTGGTTCGTTCTCTCTTTTTTTAAGTTATTTTATTCTTCTTCCAGCATGTCATATATATTATTCTCCATATAAGGAAATATAAGAATATATTCATCCTTATATAAAATGTTGGAAATGCTCTCTTGGAAAGGTTTCTTTGTGGCTTCTGGTTTTGTTCATTACTTTGCTTTTAATGATCATTATTATTATTCTTTCACAATATTGTAACATACTACCAGAGTCATTTTATTGTAAACACTTTGAAAAACATACTTCAACAATAATATTGTGGCTATAACTCAAATTCTCACCCACACGGAAAAATTGTGTGTTTTTGCTATAAAATATACGTGGTAAAAAGAAGTGTGAAGTAGAAAATGACAACAAAGTTGCAATAAATTCATTAAAAGCATAATTCATTGGTCTTTCATTCTATTCTATTCATCTAGTGAATTTATCAGATTTTAAGTGGTTTCTTAAAGCACTTAAAGTAATTTCTTCAAGCAATCTAGATACTATTACTGGGGAAAAACATCTCAAAGGCAAACACTCTTAGTATATCAATCGCTAACTTGAGACCATGTCACATAAAATAGTTGATGTGCATATTCTTTACTTCTTTTTGCCTATTTCATGGGATCGCGTTTGCTAGGTACCCAGTCTAGCAAGAAAGCCCAGTTGACATTTCACCTTCTAATCAATATCTAAGCAAACATTTTGAACACTATCTTCTTTCTTCTCCTTCTTTCCCCGGTCTAAGTACTTCAGGCAGGTGCTATCTGATTTGTACGTGTTTTAGCCATCATTATACCTTTCATTTACATGAAGCCTAGTTCATTTCACATCTGAGGCCTCTTCCAGTTCACATAACTCTCCCAATTACTTCTTGAAAATATGAAGAGTCAATCTCTCTTTCCTTTTTTAAAGTACTTAGAAAACTTCTTCATTTCCTAAATGTTTGGGTGTCATGTTCTAATTGAATTTTCATCAGGCTACAAGATAATTTAAAATGCTACTTTACTGATTTTCTATTTAGGTTAAATACTACTTTCTAATAACATATTTCTGTGTGCTTTACAAGCATGCACAATTCATGCATGATGCTTGTTTAGTCTCTCCCAGAGCTAAGGCAGGCCAAAGAATGATTTAGATATATCCTCTGGGAGACAAACTTTTATGTAGCAGGATGGCTATATTGTAAACATTTAAGACTTGTCTGAAACTCTCTACAACGTCCATATTCACATTGTCACACTGTCCTTTAATACAGCTCTTTTGGATTTTTAAATATAGTAGATTCCTAGGATTAAAGCAATTAAAATGGGAGCAACCACTTGTAGGAATCTAGTCCAATCCTCTTATTTTATAGCTAAGGAAAGTAAGACTCAGCACCATAAACGTATTGAAGATTGGCTCAAGGATCAGGTTGTTTTCTGATTTCCAATATTGTGTACTTATTCTAGTATAATTACTAGCAATTGATTTTTACTCAGTAAGACATTAGGCCCAGGGTCCCAGACCAGATAAAAAAAATAAATGATCAAAATAGCTTGAACCATTTTGGCCTAAATATTTCTGGTTTAGAGAAAAATATGGTATCAATGGATTTTATGAGGCCTGAGATGCAATATTTGAATGTCCTCATGATCACTGATTCACTCACTTTTAGATTTTGAATGTCATTTTAATGGCTTTTAAAGATGATCATATTATTTTGGTCCAGTTGGATCATTAAGGCATTTTTTTCTAAAGTAAACCACATAAAATCACTAAAATGGAATAAATCTAAGTTACAAGGAGGACTAAGACACAACCATGAATGAGTAAATCTAAATTCTATGATTAATGACTTTGAGGACCTTGTACTTGACTTCTGTAACAGCATTTAACAAATCCTTTCATCAGAATCATTTCTCATGCTGTACTTTAAATGAAGTTCTTTGTCTGGTCTAGAGCAAGCTGGAGAAGAGCTGGCAAAGAGCCTTTGGTCACATATTTCAAATTCGTTAAGCATCTTTAATCTTCCCCTTGTAGATAAAATCTCTTCAACCAAATCTCCTAACTTGGTTCAGATAGTTCATAGTTCATAGTTTCTGAATCCCCAGTGTGCTCTGCTTTCTAACCCTGCCTTGCAGTTTCTTCTATACCTTTCATTAAATCCATGATGAAATTTAAAACACACAAGCAGAATGATGTAGGCTATAAGCATTAAGGAAGTTAAGGAAGTTGATTCGCCATTTGTGTTTTCATACTGTTTCTTTGCATTCCTACATCTACATAGATAGATGTTTTATCTTTCACTATATTATTTACTTATCTCTATCTTGATACACTTTGAATAAATAACTAGCCTCCACCCACCAATTTTAGTTGATTTCTTGTTAAATTAAAATTAAAATGGCATACATGCACATTTATGTACACACACACACACTCATACATAACACATACACACAAAATCTTCTGATCGCTGATCACCTTCGATACTTACTCTATTCATACCTATACGTCACAATTTTTGTACTATACCCTTTAAGACATACATTCTTGGTCCCGATGTGTGTTCTGGAAAGACGTTTTGAATTTGCTATTTTTCACTGGCTTTATAAACAACAGGTTGAGAATAGTGACATTGGAGTAGTTAAGCTCTAATATGGTGGAAATGAGTAGTTCTTACAGACTGAATAGGGGAAAATAGCAGAGGACAAAGAGAATTTTATTCAGATTTTTAAAAAAATAAGTTCTAGAATTTAAAAAAGAAATCAAATATGTTAAAAATAGAAGAGCAAATTGGAGAAAGACTAAAAAAGAATAAGAAGGAAATGCAAATTTAAAGAAGTGCAAGTCTGTTAGGCAAAATGTAAGAATATTGGGAAAAAATAAGTTAAGCAGACTGATTATTTTGGCAGCACAAAATAAAATATCAGTATCTATCTATATATCCATATATATAAAAGAGAGGAAAGAACAAACCACAAGTCTGAAATATTATTATACTAAGAAATAATAAAGTATCATCATTGCTGCTATTTCCCTTATCTTTGGTCATATTAAATATGACCAAAATAATTTTCTACAAATTGAACCTGATATTATTGTATTACTCAAGTTAATGTATAATGCATTCTACACTTTTCTCCACTTTTACAAAATACTTATATTGCATTATTGCTCAGTCAGTTTATTGGATAATGTTGATCACTGTAGACATCTTTAAAAGTGCAGGACATGGGGAAGGGGGAACAAGATGGCTGATTAGATGCAGCCAGGAGGCACTGCTCCCACTCAGAGAGACCAAATTATCAAGTAAACCACCATAATTCGGGAATGTCTTCAGAAAGAAAATGCCGAACTCAATGAAGAGGTGATGCTGAAGCTGAGACTGAACAGGGAGGAAGCTGGGAACCCCATGCAGGGTACCTGAATGCTAGAGCTAGCTCCTGAACCTGAATGGTTCCTGGGAAAGAAGTGAATGAAGGATGACTCACACTTGTCATGAACCTCTGGGATCCTTGCTACAGGGGACCCCACATCCCCCATGGACTTATGAATTGTCTGGAGGATCTTCCTAGGGAGCAGGCAGAGACAAGCCTTCAGACAGCATGGAGCCTGGGAGCGTTTGTTCACTGGGCAGCTCCAGCAGAGAGCAGCCATAGATGGCCACGCTCCAGGGATCTCTATGCACCTCCGGGAGGCACTGGCCTTAGCTGACCTCTGAGCTAAGAGAGAGCAGGGCTGGTTTCCCTGTGGGACTAGAGCACGTGTATTCCATAAGCCCTCCTGCCCACTGGCCTCTCCTGCCCACTGGCCCCCATAGGGTCCATGCCTAACTGTTCTGCAGAAAAAAGTTCACAGTGAGGCCTCTGCAGTCCAGTCTGAGTGCATTGTTCCACAAGAATACTTTCCTGGTAACCCAAGAGCACATCAGATCCCTCAGCACAACTAGAACCCAACTCTGAGCCATGGGATACCCCCAGGGATGCAGCACACAGCTGGGGAGAATGAGCCAAGCTCTGTAGCCTGCACCTGAGCAGGGAAGGAGCCCCCATCTTAAAAGCACTGCAACAGGTGAGATGCACAGGTTCTTGGGCCAGGGTGGAAGTGGGGTGAGCTTCCTTCTGAAGGACCATTCCAGAAAGGCTGTGGCATATCTCCCTGCTGTAGCCTTTCCTTAAGGGAGCCCCACGGCCCAGAGCACCTAACAAAAGAAATGTGGACATGGTGCCATTGATTGAAAGGGGCTCCCCAGTGGGCCATGAGCAGACCTGGTGAGGGAGTAGTGTATCTCCCCTCAACCACAGAGCATGTCTGCAAACTGAGTGAAGTACATAAAGTGGTACAGTTTGGTATTAGCCTACCTATAAGCCATTACTCTTAAGCACCATCTACTGCATCACAGCCCAAACTACAACAACAAAAATTATCCTGCTAATAACATATATGCCTGTGAAAACAAGCACAACAATTCACCCATACATAAAGATCCTATGCAGAGCCCTGACCCTCAGAAAGCATCCAGAAATGAAGCCAAGTGACTATACTCAACTTATATCATAGTTAAATGAACACCAACCCTCCAAAATGAGAAAGAATCAGCACAATAATTCTGCTAATTCATAAGGCCAGTATGTCCGCTTACCTCCAAACGAGTCCACTAGCTCCCCAACAATGGTTCTTAACCAGCCTGAAATGACAGACATAGAATTCAGAATCTGGATGGCAAGGACACTCATCAAGTTTCAGGAGAATACTGAAATCCAATCCAGTGAATTCAAGGAATCCAGTAAAATAATCCCAGAGCAACAGTCATTCTAAGAAAAAAAAAAAAACAAAACTGAAATTCTAGAAAAATTCACTACAAGAATTTCATAATACAATTAGATGTATTAAGAACAGAAAAGACTAAGCTGAGGAAAGAATCTCAGAGCTTGAAGGCTGGTTCTTTAAGTTAACTCAGACCAAAAAAAAAAGATAAGAAAAAGAAGTTTTAAGGAATGAACAAAACCTCCAAGAAATATGGGATTATATAAAGAGACAAAATCTATGACTCCTTTCTATTCCTGAGAGAGAATAAGCAATTTGGGAAATATATTTGAGGATATAGTCCATTAAAAGTTTCCTAATCTCACTAGAGAGGTTGGCATGCAAATAAATATAGAAAACCCCAGCTAGATACAATGTAAGACTACCATCCCCAAGGAACATAGTCATTAGATTCATCAAGATCAACACAAATGAAAAAATCTTAAAGTCAACCAGAGAGAAGGTCAAATCACATCCAGAGGGAACTTTATGAGGTTAGCAGCAAACTTCTCAGCAGAAACCTTATAAACCAGAAGAGATTGAGGGCCTATTTTCAGCATTGTTAGAAAAAAAAATTCCAATCAAAAATTTCATATCCTACCAAACCAAGCTTCATAAGTGAAGGAGAAATAAAATCCTTTTCAGATAAGCAAACACTGAGGGAATTTGTTTCAAAGAAACCAGACTTACAACAGGTCCTTAGAGAGTGCTAAACATGGAATGAAAAAAACACCTGCTACCACAAAACACACCTAAGCAGATAGCCCACAGGCACTTTAAAGCAACTGCACAACCAGCTAACAGGATCAAAAATCACACATATCAATGCTAACCTTGAATTAAGTGGGGTCAAACACTCCATTTAAAAGACATAAAGTGGCAAGCTGAATGGAAAGACAAGACCCAACCATCTGTTGTCTTCAAGAGACCCATCTCATATATAATGACACTCATTGGCTCAAAGGGTTGAGAAAGATCTACCATGCAAACAGAAAAGAAAAAAGAGAAGAAGTCACTATTTTTATATAAGAAAAAATAGACTTTAAGCCAATAAAAATGTAGAAGGACCATGAAGGACATTACACAATGATAAAGGGTATAATTCAACAAGACTTAACCATTCTAAATATATATGCACCCAACACTGGAGGACTCAGACTCATAAAATAAGTTCTTGTCCTGTGAAAAGACTTAGACAACCACATAATAATAGTAGGAGAATTCAATAACCCACTGACAGCATTACATAATCAAGGTAGAAAACTAACAAAGAAACTATGGATTTAAACATGACACTTGACCAACTGGACAAAATAGGCATCTACAGAACATGTCACCCAACAACCACAGAATATACATTATTCTCATCTGCACACAGAATGTATTCTAAGATTGACAACATGCTTCATCATATTGAGCAAGTCTCAATAAATTTAAAAAAATGAAGTCACACCAAGCAAACCCTCAGACCACAGTGCAATATAAATAGAAATCAATATCAAGATCTCTCAAAACAACACAAATATATAGAGATTAAACAACATGCTCCTGAATAACTTCTGGGTGAACATCAAAGTTAAAGCAGAAATTTTTAAAATCTTTGAAATTAAAGAAAACAGGGACACAATTTACCAAAATCTCTGGAATGCAGTTAATGCAGTATTAAGAGGAGTATTTATTGCCCTAAACATCTTCATAAAGAAGTTAGAAAGATCTCAAATTAACAATCAAATGTTGAACCTAATGGATCTGGAAAAAAAAAATAAAACCAATCCTAAAGCTAGCAGAAGAAAAGAAATAACTATAATTAGAGAAGAACTTAACAAAATTAAGTACAAATATTAATGCAGAAGATCAATGAAACCAAGAACTGGTTCTTCAAAGCAAATAAACAAGATTAATAGACTGCTAGCCAGATTAACAGAGAAAAAAGGAGGATTCAAATAAGTAAAATCAGAAATGACAAAGATGACATTACAATTGTTCCTAAAGAAATACAAAAGATTCCCTAGACAATAGTATAAACAACTCTATGCGCACAAATTAGAAAATCTAGAGGAAATGGATAAATTCCTAGAAAAAACACAATCTTCCAAGATTGAATCAGGAAGATATTGAAAATATGAATAAACCAATAACAAGCTCTAAAAATGAATCAGTAATAAAAACCCAGCAACCAAAAAAAGCCCTAGACCAGACGGATTCATAGCCGAATTCCACTAGACATATAAAGAAGAACTGGTACTGATCCTACTGAAACTATTCCAAAAAATTGAGGAGGAGGCACTTCTTCCTAATTTATTCTAGGAAGACAGCATTACCCTAACACCAAAATCTGGCAGAGACATGACCAAAAAAAAAAAAAAAAAAAAAAATCAGGCCAATATCCCTGATGAACATAGATGCAAATATCCTCATCAAAATACTAGCAAACCAAATCTAGCAGCACATCAAAAAGATAATTCACCCCAATTAAGTAAGCTTTATTCCTGGGATGCAAGGTTGGTTCAACATATGCAAATCAGTAAGTGTGATTCACCACATAAACACAACTAAGAGAAAAAAACCATATGATCATCTCAATAGATACAGAAAAAGTTTTTGATAAAATCCAACATCCCTTTAAGAGACTAGGCATCAAAGCAACATACTTCAAAATAATAAGAGCCACAAGTGACAAACCCACAGCCAGTATAAATACTGAACGGGCAAAAGCTAGGACCATTATCCTTGAGAACCTGAACAACACAAGAGGACCACTCTCACCTCTCCTATTCAACATACTACTGGAATTCCTAGACAGAGTAATCAGGCAAGAGAAAGAAAGAAAAGGCATCCAAATAGAAAGACAGGAAATCAAACTATCTCTTTGCTGACAATATTATTCCATATTTCAAAAACTCTAAAGACTCCATCAAAAGGCTACTAGGGCAATAAATGATTTTAAAAAGGATCAAGATGCAAAAGCAGTGTATAAATGTCAGTAGCATTTCTATACACCAATAATGTCCAGGCTGTTAGTCAAATCAAGAACCCAATTCCATTTATAGTAGCCACAAGAAAAAATATAAAATACTCAGGAATACAGATAACTAAGGAGGTGAAAGATGTCTACAAGGAGACTACAAAACATTGCTGAAAGAAATCAGAGACAACACAAATAAATGGAAAACATTCCATGCTCATCGAAAGGGAAAATCAATTGTTAAAATAGCCATACTGCCCAAAACAATTTATAGATTCAACACTATTGATATAAAACTACCAATGTCATTATTCACAGAATTATAGGAAACTATTCTGAAATTTGTATGGAACTAAAAAAAAAATCCCAAATAGCCAAAGTAATCCTTATCAAAAAAGAACAAACCCAGCAGCATCATTCTCTGACTTAAAACTATACTTTCAAGGATACAGTAACCAAAACAGCATGGTAGTGGTACAAAAATATACACACAGACCACAGAACAGAATAGAAAACTCATTAATAATAAATAAAGCCGCGCACCTACAACCGTTACAAAGGCTGACAAAAACAAGCAATGGAGAAAGGACTTCCTGTTCAATAAATGGTGCTTGGATAACTGGCTAGCCATATGCACAACAATGAAACTCTACCTTTACCTTTCACCGTATACCAAAATTAATGCAAGATGAAATAAAGATTTAAGTATAAGACCTCAAACTATAAAACCCCTAGAAGAAAACCTAGGAAATACCCTTTTCAACATCAGCCTTGGCAAAGGATTTTTGGCTAAGTCCCCAAAAGCAATTGCAACTAAGACAAAAATTGACAAGTGAACATAATTAAATGAAATAGCTTCTCTACAGCAAAGAAACCATCAACAGAGTAAACAGACAACCTACAGAATGGGGGAAAATTTAAAAAAAAAGAATGGGGGAAAATATCTACAAACTGTGCATCCAACAAAGGTCTAATATCCAGAATCTATAAGGAACTTAAACACATCAACAAGCAAAAAACGACCTGATTTTTAAAATGGGAAAAGATCATGAACAGACACTTCTCAAAAAAAACACATACGAGTGGCCAACAAATAGGAAAAAATGCTCATGATCATCAGAGAAATACGAATCAAAATCACAATTAAATAAATATCAACTCACACCAGTCAGAATGGCTATTATCAGAAAGTCAAAAAACAACATATACTGACAAGGCTGTGGAGAAAAGGGAACACTCTGACCCAGCAATACCATCTCTGGGTATATAGGTCATTAAACCCAAAAGATCTTCATCATGGCACTATTCACAATAGCAAAGACAACAAACTCAAACTAGGTGCCCATCAATAGTGGACTGGATTAAAAAATATACATACACACTATGGAATATTGCATAGCAATAAAAAGGAAAGAAATCATGCCCTTTGCAGCAACATGGATGGACCTGCAAGCCATAATCCTAAGTGAATTAATGCAGGAACAGAAAATCAATGTTCTCACATTGTTAGTGGGAGCTAAACATTAAGGCCACAGGAACATACACATGGGAACAATTGACACTGCAGACTACTAGGGGGAGAAGTAGGGAGGCGGCATGGGAGGAAAAGCTACCTATCAGGTGTTATGCTCATTACCTGGGTGCAGTATACCCATGTAACAAATCTGCATATGCGTATTTAATCTAAAATAAAAGTTGAAATTGTTAAAAAAGAGAGGAAAAAAAAAACAAGTACATAACATTTCAGAACTCTGGATTACCATATAACAACTATTAGGATTAAACAAAGATCACATTCAAAAGAACACCCAGAATACTTATCAAAAGAGATATATCAAATTGTTTTTAAATCGCTTCTTTAGCTTGCCCTACGAACACCTTATTCTCTGTGAAAAGTATTTTAAGTGTTTAATACTTGAGATGTGTAAAAGTATATAAATTAACTTTTCCATTCCATTTATTTGATCAATTGGCTCTTTTCTTGGAATCTGAATGACAATGATGATAATGAAGAGATTATCTGAAATAGTCACTTCCTTTCTAAAGTTGAGGCTGAACTAGTCTTGAAACTTGTCCACTGGACTAAAATTTTAAGTTTTGACTAAGTTTTTATTTTCAATTTTTATTTATTATAATCTAATTTTAGAAAAGAATTTGCAAATGGACTATCCTACCTATTTGCTCTCATTTGCAGAAAATATTGATCTCTGTTTCCCTGCCAACCCATGGTTATTTTACAAGTATTTAATAGGAAAGTTGATTTTAAATCAAACAAAATGCCAGGCATGGTGGCTCATGCCTGTAATCCCAGCATTTTGGGGGGCTGAGGCAGGTGAATCACGAGCTCAGAAGTTGAAGACGAGCCTGGCCAAGAGGGTGAAACCCCGTCTCTACTAAAAATACAAAAAATTAGCCATGTGTGTTGGCAGGCACCTGTAATCCCAGCATTTTGGGAGGCTGAGACAGAGAATTGCTTGAACTCGGGAGGTGGAGGTTACAGTGAACTGAGATCGCGCCACTGCACTCCAGCCTGGGCGACACAGCAATCTCAAGAAAACAAAAACAAAAACAAACAAACAAACAAAAAACACTGCATAAGATTCCTATTATTTGAGTTGATTGATTTTAACTTATGCAGCAGAGCAGCTTAGTAGAAGGTACAGTCTTTACCTACCCAGAAGACTGTAGTTGGTATCCAAACTCAGCCACTTATCACCTCTCAGAAGTTAGAGAACTTTATGAACATCACTGAAGATCTGTCTTTTAAGTTTTGAAAATGAAGTTAAAGTACTAAATATAAAATAATTTGGCTGATTAGCTGAGCATGGTGGCACATGCCTGTGGTCCCAGCTATGTAGGAGGCTGAGGCAGGAGGATTGCCTCAGCTGAAGAGTTTGAGGTTACAGTAAGCTATGATTGCACCATTGCATTCCAGCCTAGACATCAGAGTGAGACCCTGTCTCTAAATAATAATAATAATAATTAAAATACATAAAATAAGGCCAGCACAGTGGTTTATGCCTGTAATCCTAGCACTTTGGGAGGCTGAGGTGGGAGGATCACTTGAGGGCAGGAGTCTGAGACCAGTATGGGCAACATAGTAAGACCTCATTTCTACAAAAAAAAAAAAAAAAAAAATTAATTAGCCCAGTGTGGTATTAGGCACCTGTAGTCCTAGGTACTCAGGAAGATGAGGTGACAGGATCCTTTGAGCCCAGGAGTTTGATCTACAGTGTGTTATGATCACACTGCCGTACTCCAGCCTGGGTGACAGAGCAAGACCCAGTCAAATATATTTATATCTCCAGTTAAATAAGAACATCTATGCAATTTATCTGGTAGTTCTAAAAGATCAATAAACAATTGCCACTATAAGTAAAAACACATTTTTATAGCAGCATATAGTAGCATAAGTATACACATTTGTTTCTTTTAACTCACTTGTCTTACTAACATTTATTAAAAACTTTTATTTTTGCAATGTTATATTATTAAAGTCCTAAATCTGTCTCTCTTTTACATTTAGTTAGGGTTTGCATGCTATTCCATGATTGAGTTACATTTTGAATGGGGCAAACTCTTCACGTAATTTTAGCATATTAATTCCATAAATTGTTAACATTTGTAAAAAAGGTATTTTAAATTAAAATGTCATTTCAAATAAGACCCTTTCTATTCCAAACATTGTACAGCATTTGTTCATAATGTTTCCATTTATTGTAAATAACCTTTTAGGTTCCAGTGAGATATGAACAAATCTTTATCTACTGGTAGAGATAGAAAATATAATTTTGCTTTTGAGAGGAGATACACCATGTGGTCTGAGACTGTAGTAACTAATTTTGAGTCTACTACATCCCAGAATACACAAATAAATACACTGTAAGTAGATTTCTATCAATAAGTCAACAGATATGATTCTAACTGATGAGGTCCAGTATAAATCATAAATATCTCTTAGGCATTTTAATGTAAATTGTGCTTATGCTGCTGTTATTGCTTTTGGTGATGATGATCATGATGCTACTTCAAATTTTCCAGTTTGTTAAGCTACAGGGGCAAAAAGAAATACATAATGAGTTTTCTCTAAATAGATTGCCATACTAAATTCAATTTTCATTTGTTAGCCAAAGCATTCAAAATTACATTTTTGGTAACATAAGATGAGAGCACTGAGCTACAAGGAATTCTGTACTTAGAGACATATACTGTAAGAAAGAGTGCCATTGCAGGTACGTCATTAGAAAATAAAATTGATGGATCATCTGCAGGGATGAAGTGAACACTAATGTAAAGTCCTGGAAATCTACTGACATCATTGAAATATGCCACCATAGAGACAAGCACTGAAATAGTATGCTTGGACCAAATCATGCCAGTATTTCTGGTTTATATAGGCCGATAAATGATTTTCAGAGGAGAAAAAGAAAAGGATTTGAAAAAGACATTTTGTTTGTTGCCAAAATATTTAAAGATGAATTGCACAAAGATTGGAACCTAATTTTCAGAAGACCAAATTATAGCATGTGGAGCATTTCCTGAATGCTCAATTCAACCCTTGATAATAACATTAGAAAAGTTTACATCATTCCTAGGATAAGATTAGTCCTCACTAGAGAAACATGTGAATGACAGACTACGCTCTAGTTCATCATTTGGCCAACTGCTGATTCACCAACTGTCACTCCAGCCAGTTCACATGGAGTCTGATGAATGTGCCTTGAGTTATCACAACAGGAACAGCAAGAACAGGCAAGAGCAAAAAACTGAGTCTTTCATAATGGCATCCATTATGAAAATCATTTGATCATTTTAGATAATAGGCATTGAAATAATTTGGGTAACATATATTTAGCCATTCATTATTTTTAATGACATTTCAATCAATGTTCAATGAGAAAACAGTATAAAAGGAGATTGAGCTCACCACACTTAAATTATTCAGCTCAGTGTCTGGTGAATAGCCTATCTTTTTCAGTCAGTTTTCCTACAGAGTTGTCCCCAGAAAGCCTACTCATGTCTAAAAGGATCTTGAAGGTTACTTTTAATTTCCACTGTTGATGAAACTACTTTTGGCAATCAAAGCCTTCCTACAGACAAAAACCCAAAGGCACTCTTGAAGATACAAAAATACTTCATGGCAGTAACTATAAACACTACTGAGCATTTGTATATTTGTGGAGGAATGAGATAATGTGAAAAAGTTAGGTTGGCCTTTGCATACATATGCCTAAGTTAATATTTGCCAAAATTATCTTTATCTATGCAGAAAAATGTATTGTACAGACTTATTATATTTAGAGTGTATTATTAAGTGGTTTGATTATTTTGGGGATATCAAAAATGCACATACAAATAAATTTTAAACACTGTATTCAAATTTCATAGTGTAGTTTCTGCAATATTTACACCAATAAATATATGTGCATATATGTACATATATGCACATATATGTATATATAACATTAAATACATGTGCATATATGTACATATATGTAAATATATGTGTATATATAATATTAAATATATGTACATACATATGTCAATGGGAAAATGCCCAAATATGTATATTTTAGCTAGATTTCTTCAAAGACTTTATAAATATTCTATAGTTGTATTGTGCAAAATGCTTACACAAATAATTAACTCCTTTTTTAAAGGATGAAAATTAGGAATTTAAATGCTCCTGTTAAAAAAATGCAGTAGCATCTTATTTTTGAGCTTTGCTTAGAATGCATTCTCTATCCTTGTCACAAGCTTGGTTACTTGTTGCCTCCTAGATATTAAAATTCAATGAAATATTGTTTAGACATCTCATCATCTAATATTAGAAACATCATCAAGGAATTTTAGTCTTGTATGATTTGTAATAAAAAATACTTTGTAATAATAAAATTAAAGTTTATAACCTAATAATTTTGTAACTTTTAGAGCTTTAAAAATCAATTTTTCTTTCAAAGACAAAATGATTAGGATGGACAAGTTGACTATGTTGTTAATATCAGGAAGGAAAACACCCCAGAGAGCTTCAATTAACCAATTTACAATTAATCATATAGGAGTGTGTGTGTGTGTGTGTGTGCGTGTGCACGTGCGCGTGTGTGTATCCAGTGGTTAATCAGAGATGGCAAGATCAGGTTAGCTACACATTGGCTGGTTGCATATCTCTGGTGTCACTCAATCCCAGAAAGTGTCTCACATCATAAGAAAGCATTTACGGTCGGGCGCGGTGGCTCACGCCTGTAATCCCAGCACTTTGGGAGGCCGAGGCGGGCAGATCACGAGGTCAGGAGATCGAGACCATCCTGGCTAACACGGTGAAACCCCGTCTCTACTAAAAATACAAAAAATTAGCCGGGCGTGGTAGCGGGTGCCTGTAGTCCCAGCTACTCAGGAGGCTGAGGCAGGAGAATGGCGTGAACCCGGGAGGCGGAGCTTGCAGTGAGCCGAGATCGCGCCACTGCACTCCAGCCTGGGCGACAGAGCGAGACTCCGTCTCAAAAAAAAAAAAAAAAAAAAAAAAGAAAGCATTTATATAGAGAATACTGACTACAGGAAGTTTTTTCTGCATTTCTTGTGTCAAGGTGTCCTTTCTACATCAAGGCGGGTGGGGAGCAACCCCTGTGTTTCTCATGTCTTACTGAATTAACTTCCTGTTAGTTTTTTGTTTCACACCATGAAATTATTTGTTGAGTGCCTACAATCTGTAGAATACTATGCTGGGTGCTAGAGCCTGTGCTGCATTGCATCCTCTACCACTTAGTACAGTATCTAGCACATGACTCAAAAGGTATTTAAAAAGTGTAAATGAATAAGTGATAAAACAAGAAGTTTGACCGAAGGAATAGACACATTCTTTAAATTGTGAATTATCTAATTATGTGTCCTGATATCTAGATTTGGAAAATGATTGTTCTGGAACTGATGGTAATAAATGACTTGGACTTCAAAAGAGCCTGAAGAGAGCTGCATACATCTTTTGCAGTCCTTGTCTGCATGCCACAGGGAGAAAGGCTGTGCTTTATGTGGAAATCTCAATTTCTTATATATCAGAATGTTCTTTTGCTAAGGCGGGGCAGAGACCCAAACTACCGGGATCATGACAACCATTAGTTCTTTCTGAATTTCTGTACTAGTTAAGCATCTTGATTTAACACAATAAAGATCTATTTCTTGCTCCTCTCAGAGTCCAGTGAAGGTAACTGGGGTAAAAGGCTCTCTGTGCACTGCTAGCCCAGGCTTCTTTCATATGTCTCTCTCCTAAAGCCTCAAAGTTCTCAGTGGAATCCTCTGCACCTGGCTGAGTAAATGATCAAAGAAAGAGAGTATGAAACGCAGCATGAGTGGGTCTAAAAGTCAGGTCTGGAAATGGGGAACATCATTTCTACTCATACTCCATTGGCTCACTTACCTGCAAAGACTCTGAGAAATGAGTCCTGCAGTGTGCCCAGGAAGAAGAGAAACACTGGTGAGCACATTCTCTGCTGCAATTGGCAACACTCCCAGGTAGAACTCTGCTTTTATAATAACTACTAAATCTTCATGCTGTTAAGGAGTTTATTTTGTTAATATTTATTTGTCACTACCAAACTTAGAAAGAAAAAGGAGAGTAAAGAGTAACTAGAAAAATATCTACAAACTGTCTATTGTCAGACAATAACTGATTTTTCTCTTTCCCAGCGAAGTAAACATTGGTCCTGAGTCTTTAGGAAGGAGATGGAAATTAGAGTTATAGAAATTATTGGAAGGAATTTTTCCACAAGTTAATAGTGAGGGAAAAATAACTTAAAGTAATGTATTTATAGTTAATTATAAATGTAAATATAATTAATCATAAATATGAGTATCTGCATGTGAATACATGTGTTTCCTCCCAAGAGCTGCATACTTCTTGGGTTACTTAAGGAGTAAAAGCATACTGGGTATTTTCCAGATTAGAAACCAGCAGCTGGAGTAGGAGCATCAACTCCCACTCAAAAACAGTTCTTTATTCCCTTCCATTCTAGTGAAAACCCTCCCCCAACTTCTAACATTTCTCTTTGAATTCTTTTTTCTTTTTTTTCTTTTTTTTTTTTCCCATGGAAGGAAAATTGTGTCTTCTGGAAGCATTCTCACGGGTTAGAGTAACAGCCAAAATTTCTCACTGCTGCCTTCTGTAGGCCCTTGAAATCTCCAAGACAAGCAAAGCCAACAGTGAAGGTTTTTGTTTGTTTGTTTGTTTATGGCTCAGTGATCTCATCTTTTCTTTGATCAGGACATGGTGACAGTGGGACTTTGAGAAGTACTAAGCTATGAGGACGCAAGGGCATAAGAATAATACAATGGACTCTGAAGACTTGGGGGGAATGGTGGGAGGGGTCGAGGGATAAAAGACTACAAATAGGGTGCAGTGTGTACTGCTTGGGTGATGGGTGCACCAAAATCTCACAAATCACCACTAAAGAACTTACTCGTGTAACCAGACACCACCTGTACCCCAATAACCTATGGGAAAAAAGTACAGGTTGTATTGAAAGTTTTCTAGGCATCTGGACAGCTAGAAGACAATTAGGTAGAATGTCACCTGCAAACAAATCAACTGAACATTTACTTAATATACATCTGCCTTTATAAAGGGTACCTTGTAAATTGCATAGCTTTATTCTAAAATGGTATGGTTCATGTGCAGGAATTTTATCTTATGCTTTATTTTAACATGTATTATTTTTCCCAATAGATTTCCAGATCTCCCACGTATTATAATTTGGTCTATAAAAATAAGATATTTTAATATCAAAAATGATTCAAATAATTTTTTAAATTAGTTTGAAATGTATTTATTTCCTTTTTCTTCTTTCAGTTATACCAACTTTTAAGTTTTAACTGAAATATAATTCAATATAGAAGAAAAGGATTATATTAAGTAGTGTTCATTTATACAAGTGTTTTCCTACAGTTGAAGTTGAGAAAGACTGTTAACACTTGATACTCCAGTAAAAACCTGAACATCTCTCTTAGATAAATTCTATTGCATTGTTTTATTATCCTGTTACTCTGAAATCATCTTACTACAAAAATTAATGCATTAGATATACACATTAAGCATATTATAAATACTTAATAGTAACCTTTTATAAATATAATCAATGAAATGAAAATAGCTATTACATAATATAAAATAAATTTATAGTTTACTTAATATAAAACAATTACAAATTAGTTATTAATTTCCCTACAGAAAAACCATTTTATCACTTTGTACTTTAATAGTTTAAATGGCTCATCTATTTACATGACATTAAAAATAATAACTATGTAAAAAGTTATGAATTATTAAGAATTTATCACATTCATTCATTAATCAACTATTGATAGGCTATTTGGTTTCAAGTATTATACAGTTATAATTTAGAAAATGACACGTTGATAATTATAACGTAGTATACTTGTACACTTGTACTTTACAGTTTTGAGAGAATTTTCACCTCCAGTATTTTACTGGAGTCTCAGAATAACCAAGTGAATTTCAAAAAAAAAAAAAAAAAAAGTCTGGGACCAAAATCTATGATCCTTTCCTCTAGTACGTCAGTCTAACTCTCTATTGAAAACCCCCAAATGTTGAGAAAATCCCATGGAAATAATATCCCAACTAGATGATAATATTATTTAGGCCATACTTTCTTTAAATTTTCTGCAGGATAAAAAGTTCTATACACTTGGGAAAGGATAGGACTACATAATGTAACCCTTAGGAGCTAGGTTTCAGTTAATTGCAAAGTCTATTTTCTACTGTTTTCTACATGGTGTCATAGAAGTTTTATCTGGTTAAAAAAATGGGAAAAATGATTTAAGAGTGCATTTACTGCCTCAACATTCATAGCACGCAGGAGTGGAAATAACACTAAGCTTGAAGTCAATCGACTTGGATTTGAATCCTCTTAAACACTTGCCAGCTCTGATATTGGGCAAGTCACCTAACCAGAGTTTCCAACCTCTGCGGAAAAGATTGTTGCTCTTAATAATAATGATGATGGCAATGATTATGATAGTTTTGTATTTATTGAGCACTTCCACTCAGAAGTCATTTGTCTTGATGTTTAAAATAAATACCATTGATTAAAACCTATTTCACAGTAATTTTGAGAGTATGTCTATCATATACTTATGTAATGTATGTTGACATACATACATCTAGTGTTACGAGATCTGAAGGTGTAGTTTTAAAATAAAACATTGGTTACTAAAGTTGATATGGAGACAGAAAAGACCCAGAACAGCCAACACAATATTGAAGGAGAAGAACAAAGTTGGAGGACTGACACTACCCAACTCCAACACTTACTATAAAGCCATTATAATCAAAGCAGTGTGATATTGATGGAAAAATAGACAAATAGATCAATGGAACAGAATAAAAAGCCCAGAAACAGACTCATATTTATATAGTCAACTGACCTTCAACAAAGGAGCAAAAGCAACATAATGGAGAAAAAATAATCTGTTCAACAAATGGTGTCCAACAATTGGACATCTACACAGAAATGATTAAATCTAGACACAGACCTTACACCCTTCATAAAAATTAACTCAAAGTGGATCATACACCTAAATGTAAAATTCAAAACTATGAAACTTTTAGAATATAACAGGAGAAAATCTACATGATGTTGGGTATAGCAATGACTTTACAGATATAATATCAAAAGCAGAATCCATGAAAGAAATAATTGATAAGTTGGACTCCACTGAAATTAAAATTTTCTGTTCTCCAGAAGACACTGTCAAGAGAATGAGAAGATTTCTTACAGTTTGGGAGAAAATATTTGCAAAAGACATATCCAAAAGAAACATTGACTTTTTTTTCCTAATAAAAGATGGTTATCTAAAATATACAAATAAATCTCAAAATGCAACAATCAAAAATGAACAGCTAGATTAAAAAATGGGCAAAAAAACCTGAACAGACACCTCACCAAAGAAAATATACACATGGAAAATAAGCATATGAAAAGATGCTCAACATCATATATCATCAGTAATTTTAAAATTAAAACAACAATGAGATATTATACACATCTAATAGAATTGGAATGGCAAAAATCCTAAACACTGATAACACCAAATATTGGTGAGGACATGAAGCAACAGACATTGATTGCTGGTGAGAGTGCAAAATGGTACAGTCACTTTAGAAGACAGTTTGGGAGTTTCTTACAAAACTCAACACACTCTTACCATATGACCCAGCAATCATGCTCCTTGGTATTTACCCAAATGAACTGAAAATGTATGTCCACATAAAAACCTGTATATGGATGCTTATAGCAGCTTTATTCATAATTACCAAAAGTTGGAAGGAAGCAAGATGCCCTTCAGGAGGTCAATGGACACATATCCTTTGATTCAGACAGTGGAATATTGTTCAGTGCTAAAATGAAATGACATATGAAGCCATCTAAAAAGACACAAAGGAACATTAGATGCATATTACCAAGGTAAAGAAGCTAATCTGAAAAGGCTGTGTACTATATAATTCCAGCTATATGACATTCTGAAAAAGGCAAAGTTATGTAAACAGTGAAAAGATCAACAGTAGTCAGAAATTAGGGTAGAGGGAAGGATGAATAGGTGGAGTACAAAGGATTTTTAGGTCAGTGAAACTATTCCGTATAATACTATAATGGTGGATGCATACATACTGTTATATATATATGTTAAAACCAATAGAATGTACAATACCGACAGTGAACCCCAACATAATGACATTGGGTAATAATGATGTGTGAATGTAGGCTCATTGATGGTAACAAATATACTGCTCTGGTGCAAGATGTTAATAGTGGTAGGGACCGTGCATATGTGCTGAGGGTATACAGGAACTGTGCATTTTCTGCAAAGGTTTGCTGTAATTCTAAAACTGTTTTGAAAAATAAAATCCATTTAAAAATTAAAATAAAATAAAATTTTTAAAAAGTGTTGACAATATGATTGAAGTCATTTTTAAGTGTTTTAAATTTGTTGGTTATATTAAATCTTTTCCCCCATGTCTGCTCAGTGTATAAATTCACATATCATTGCCTTTCCTTTCTGATTTGTCACACTCCCCCTATACATTTCTTACACTCTTCTTCTCTCATTTACTTCACGATGCCTGAGGCATATGTAGAATTGTAGTCTGTGGTTCAAGTTAGGAAAGGTACTAGATTTCATTGGAAAGTACTTACTTCCATTCTTCCTTCCCCATTTCAAGGCCTTGTTTGATAAATTATCAATCAGTCTTTTATAGAATTATAATTCCCAGTAGGCAAAATGGAAGTTATATTATTAGGAGACAATGTACAGGTAGGACCCTTGAGTTATCTCTGAGCCAACTTACTGCCTGATTTATACATCACTAAAAGATCATAATGTCAATCCAAATTTAGTTTCAATGTCAATGCCAACTTTAGTTTTCTTCTCAGTATCAATATTAGAAGAAAGAAATGGTTTTCTCTTTTAAAGCTTTAATCAAACAAATTTAAAAGACACCATATTTTGGAGAATTTAGAATACTTTTTGCTATATGATTTATAGATGGATTTTTTAAATGTTTTATTAATTTAACACATTTTTATTGATGCTCTGCCATTTGCTAAAATCTGGGGATATGGTGAAGCACAAGAGAGACAAGTTTCCTGCTTTTGTGGAACATGTTTTCTGGTATGAAAGAAAAATAAAAAGCATGGAAACACAAGAGTACACAAATAATGACAATATAATGAACACTTGGAAAGAAAGATATCAAATAATCAAGAGAATCCAATTAGATGGTATGATTAGGGAAAATAGGTCAGAGAAGGTAACATTTGGACTGAGACCAGTAGAATTAAAATGAGCACACCAAATAGAAACTGTGGTAATGGGCATTCTTGGAAAAGAAAAATGATACCCTGGTGCAAAAACAGTTTGCATGAAAAAACACAAAGTGGCCCAGTGTACCTGAAACAGAATGAGCAAAGGAAGAATTCATGTAGTGAAATCAAGGAAATAGAATGGAGTCATCAAAAACCTTACAAACCATAGGAAAACTTAAGATTTAATCTAGCACATTAGGAATTCATTGAAGGATTTTACATGAAGGAGTAGTATGATCTGATGTATGTCTTAAAATGTTTATACTGGTGGTTGTATTTGAAATAAGGATAAACAATGGACTACTAAAAAACAATTAGTAGACTACCACATCGGTCGAAGGGAGAACTAATCAAGACTTGGACTAGAGAAGTGATAGTGGAAATAGAAAGAATTGAATGTATTTAAAATATCTGTTGGAAATAAAGTGAATAGGATGTGTTGCAGATTAGATGTTGGGGGTATGGAAAGGAAATTATCAGATAAAACAACTAGGTATTTGTCAAGTAGGCAGTTGGATATGAGTCTGGTTTGGGCACAAGGTTGTCCACATAGAGATCTGTGGTTCATAGTGAACACTGCATTGCCATCCTGGAATGTTTGGAAATTGTATGTGGGCATTACTTAGACGTCACAATGATTTGGGGGGTTCTATTGACATTTGGCTGTCAGTGGCTGAGAATGCTAGATGACCAGCCGTGGTGTACAAAAATTTGGAAAAACAAATTATCGGCCCATGTCCTACACAATATTTCAATGTTCTCTCCAACTGAATACCTTGTAAAGATAAATTGGTAGTAGTTAATTGCATGATAATTCTTTTTTATTCAGCAAGCAGTTACATAAGAAGCCCAATAACTTATAAAAAAGATAGTTAAGGAGAAGGAAAGCAAATATATTGTCTTAAAATCATGAAATAAATTTGTGTACTCTGTTTATCTGTCTCGTACTTGATGTATTCTTGCATTTCCAACCATATATTTAGTGGTAACACATTTCAGTGCTGTAATGCAGCTATTAAAAATCAGTAGTTTTAGTGCTGTAATGTAGCCCTGATGTAACAGATGAAACCCCTTGCAACAGACTCAGAACCAAATGTTAATTAAAATAGTGCAGATGTATTAAGGAATGTCATTAATAAAACTTTAAAAAGATATATCACTGCCAAGATAAGAAATGACTAAAGTGAAAATAACATGGAAATGTTATATTTGTCTTGGGGCTGCCTATTGTTTCTCAGACGTTCTGTCCCCAGAGGTGTAACACAACTTCTCTATATCCTCTTATATTTCTGCTTCTCTTTCTATCTATACTCTAGTCCCTGTTGCCCATTGAAGTAGAGTCCTGTGTCTCCTTAAGTACCAGAGACTAAATGTAGGCTTCCATTTGTGGTAGAATTTTAAGAGAGAAAGTATGTTTGAAATTTTGAGATACTTTATCACTACTTCATACCATGCAATAACATAGGAATTATTTTGGTACTAAGAAAAAAGTTCCTTAAGAGAATATCAAACTTTCTTATTGGTTCCACTTCAACGGTCTGAAATTTACCTTGGCCACTTTTCTTATTCCCATTATAGTTATTTTCTTCCCATATACAATTGAATTGTATTTATTATAACATTCTAAACTAGATTTTATTCTCAAGCCCATTTCTACCTCTCTGCACCTTTTTTTATATTTGTTTGCTTCTTGTATATAATGGCTTTTGATTGTCTCACTTATACATTCATTATAAATAGGTACAAACATTACCTATGGGTATGTCTACTAATAAAGACATTTCTAAAAATTTACATGTTAAATCATATTATTTTATTGTAAATTAATTTCCTTTTATTTTTTCTTTGAGTTAGGCTGCTATATTGACTTTTTTTCTAATCATGTCTCTAAGTAATTTACAGTATTTGTAAATTTTATGTGGGGATAGTAAAGATGGCAGTGTAATAAAATATTTTATATAACAGAAGGCCTTAGATCCAATAGGAATGAGATCCACTGATATAAGTATTATTTTAGCCAGCCAACTAGATGAGATCATCCAGGAAATGGCATAGCCAGAAAGGAGGAGGGGGCATGGCACTTGGCTCTAAGTTACTCTAACATGTAGGTTGTGGGTAGAAGAAGAGAGGCAAAAGTGAGGAGCAGGAGTAGCTAGTGACGAAAGAAAGAAACAGAAGATATTGGCATCATGGAAGCCAACAGAGAGAAGTATTTCAGAAAAGAAATGGGATCTCCTTTGTTAAAGGCTGCTGAAACTTTAAAGATAGAGACAGAGTAAAGTCCTTAGCATTTGGCAAAATGGTAGCTATTGATGACATTAAGAGGAGTTTCAGTGGAAAAGTGGGAAAGTAAGGTTGTAGTAAGTTAACAGTTAATTGGAGGTAAAAGCTGAGAATTTTTTTTCTTACAATGAAAATAAGAATTGTATGTAGTGAGGATTTCAGAACAGAAGAAGTATCTTTTATGAGAGATATTACAGGAGATTAACAAGAAAAATGATTAAATTTTAACAGCAGAGTCTTCTGATTCTTTTGATTACACATTTAGCTTATAAAAGTATATTTGTTATAAACAGTATAATAACAAAAATATTTAAGATAGTAAAATTTTAAATCCTGGTAAAATAGGCACGAATATCAAAATAGTTGATGAGAAGCTTGAAATTGAAATAAGAAAAAAAATCCCTGGCACATAGCGGGTACTCAGAGTATATTTTTAAATGAATAAATAGATTATTTGTAAAAGACTGATATATTGCTGTTCTTTGGAAAGGGGTGTAAATAAAAACATTAGCTTATGTTAGGTGTTCCTAGACTTTCTGTTGGGGCTATATTTAACTTTACTACTTAAAAGAAAGAACACTAAGTCCTCTTTTTTTTTCTCTCTCTCTCTTCAAAGAACCAGTAAGTACTTGATGGGTATTTTATTAGTGATCTATGTAAACACCATAGCTTAAATATTAAAACATTACATAGAAAATCATCTGTCTATTTAAAACTGAAAGTGAGAAAAATATCTAATGACATTTGTTTTGAAGCACTTCACTAAGATTTTAGGTGAAATATTTTAAGTTCTTGTCATAACAATGCAAAATATACAATTTTAGTGGATTTTTTGCTCAATGTAATTTTCACTTTAGGCAGAATGACTCAAAATACACTGATAAAATTGTCTTTCCTAACAAGGCAATTGCTGTTGATCATCATAGTGCAGCCTCAGGGAAGATGGCTTTTTAAGATATATGTGTGCTTGAAGTTATTTTAATAGGTAATGTCAATGTAAGCTTGGAAAATGGAGGCTACACTGAAAATTGGTTGAAGATGGGGAGTCCTCTAAATATGCTTTTGTCATACTTTGGAGACAATAATGCAAAAGCTAACATAGTAGTGGGCTACGTTAAATGTATGTGAACAGAAAGTCTTCCCCTGAACAGTAATTCACAAGTCACTTTTCCCAAATACCAAGTAGTTTATCAGCAAATGGCTTTAGTTAGGTCACACTGAAACACTTGGGCCTGTTTTAAATTACGTCACTTGTCATGGCCTCCTAATATCCACCATTGGTTGGGTGATCAGTAGTAGTAGGAGAGAGAGGTATAGAGGGTGAGAATCAACCAAAATTAAGGACTCTGATGAAATTGAACATATTACAATTCTATGATCTTTTAATATGTATTGCACTGAAGGTCTTTCAATCCAAATTATAGAATCTGTTCACCATATGCTGCACACTCTCTGGAATTCTCCACATGGAAACAACCAATTTATTTCTAAGAGAAATTTGACTTAGACTATTTTTGGGCAGATTTTGCAGTGTTTTTGTGTGTTTAGTCCAACGAAATTGTTAAAGCTATAATTATTTTTATGGAGAAGGCTAACTACCCAAACACAGGAAAAAATAATTTTCTCAAAGCCTATTTGAAAACTATAATGAAAAAGTTAAATATTTTATGATAAAATAATAATAATTCTCATCCTACTATGTGTAGATCCTACAATAATAACTCAATTTTTTTCTTTGCTAAAATTGCCACACTTAAAAGCATTTCTGAAAACACGTACCATCTTTTCTAACACTGGCATTTCAAATGTCTCTTTTCCATCCATGGGATCACAGGCATGCCATCCATCACTGGATACTCCTTGATCTTAAGAAGTTTTCTCTCTCGTGCTCTCTCTCTCTCTCTCTCTATTTGACTATTTCACTAAGGAGTACTATGCTCTAGCATATAATGTACTACATCTTTAAAATTTCTTAATTTCATGATTTCACATGATTTAAAACACATTAGTTCCTTTTTTTAGTTTTTTAAGTTTCAATTTTCTGTAGCTTATGTTCATTTATAATGAGTGATAGCTGTATTTACAAACACTCTAGAGACTATAATCCATTATATTTAGAATGGTAAATTATTTATACATCTATTCTGGAGAGTATTTTGATTTTTCTTTAAATAATCATTTTTTTCTGAAATAGAAAGCATATTATCTTCTGTTGCTATGCTATTGTTTCAGTTTATGTTTAGATTTTCAATTTCAGTCTTCATGATATTTTTGGTGGTGAAGGGTTTCAGTTTTGAAAAAGTGATGAGGTAATGTCTTTATTTTTTAATCAGCGTCTCCTCCATTCCACTCTTTTCGATGTTTCTGCCTCCTTGAATAGTCCTTGATAAAATGAAACTTTAATCATCATTCAGTTTGTAGTTTTTCCTAACAAACACTACCTTTTTAAATTAAATGTTATATGCACTTTGCAAATCCAAGCTTATGTAATATTTGGAAAGACTTAGAAATCATCTGTCCAATCTCCTCAGTTAGTGGATGGGAAAAGTAAGCTTCCCTCAAATCCTAAGGTGAAATGATTGCTTCAAGATCATAAAACTGGCTAACACATAGGGTATTTCTCAAAATTAATTTCCAAAAAGATTATATGTTTCATTAACTAAAAAAAAATCCCTGAACATTTGTTCAATAAAACAAAAACATTTTAAACAAAATGAAAGTCAATTCATTACAGATGCATAAACTATTAAGAAAATAAAATTATTTCAAACATTTATATAAACACATAAGCTTGACATTTTCATTTTAATTAATAATTTCAACATTCTTGTCTTTCTAAAAGTTTACAGGAGCATTTGACTAGTTGCGTTCTTAAAAATGCTTTTGGCTACTTTTGCAGCCAAATCATTACCTAACCACCTCTACTTCAGCCATGATCAGGTGAATAATCTTTGTACACTTGGACTGCATTTTGAAGGTATGTTTATACTGAGTTGTCATGTTACAGGATACAGATAACAGGTCCATATGAAACTCAGAATAGTACTTTAATAGATATGCTACTTGCTATAAACAAGTAGCTTTAAATTGAGATAGATTTTTTTTGCCTTACAGTCAATCAAGAAAAAAAATTATATAGGTACTCACCACTTAATTTGGTCTAAAAAAAGAATAAATTTTCAGGCACTGTCTGTATTATAAAGTTCCATTGCTACCTCTTTATTTCCATGTAACATGTTAATCATTTTGTTCTGGGTTTGAAATAGATTCTTTAGTATGTAAATATTTCAAGCCTTGGTATAGCATTTCAGAAATGCTCTCAAATGTAGAATTTCACAGATCACTAAAAAGCTGTGATTTAATTTTTACAAATAGTGCAACATAAATTTAATTCAT
Source organism: Homo sapiens (assembly GCF_000001405.40). Taxonomy (NCBI): domain Eukaryota; kingdom Metazoa; phylum Chordata; class Mammalia; order Primates; family Hominidae; genus Homo; species Homo sapiens. The sequence goes on from NC_000001.11 coordinate 199,068,777, forward strand.
CTGGGTGCTGGGTGGCTTAGTGCATGCTTATCTAGTTATAGTATTTGGTGAGTAGCAATGTGAATTTTATCAAGTAAATGATCTTCGGGTTGCAGAATGGTCTCCGTTATGGAAGCAACATAAATCTGATAGCTGCATAGACTAAGGGCAGAACCAACAATGAAATATACATATTAATCCCTGAATCATTTTCTGAAATAAAATGTTAGAGTGTTTTATCTTTAATCATAACTGGGAAATTTTAATATATTAAGTTCAATGGACAACAAGTGAATGCAGAAATAGCAAGCTATATTACAGGTGTGTTTTTAACAGTCAACAGTTTGGAAGGAAAACAGGAAACCCTTACTGCTGGTCTACTGTTGATGTATGTCATTATTTTTACAAACAAGGAAGACTGTAGCTAGTTTATTTGACCTATTGTCTAGGTAAGACCACATGTCTTAACTGCTCCATTCGAAATTTCTCCCAAAGAAGATATTGCTTTGTCTCACGCAACTCTTCACATTATACCATGTCAATCTGATGGCTTGATTTATTGTATTTCTCACCACTCTTATTTTTGCTATCTAGTTTTACAGAAATACAATTATCATTTAAATTATAGATTTATTGCCTAAACACTGGAAAATAAATTTAAAGCCATTAAAAACACAGAAGCAAAAACTGTATTATTTAACAGTAGTTAAAAATCCTTAGTTGGATATATTGACTGCATCTTGCCACTCGGAACTTTCTGTAAAAGGTTAAAAAAATTAACTTTAAAATGTTCCTACCAACTTCTTCAGTTGCATTTGGACATTTGTTAAAAAAAGAAACTAGGGTTTTTTTCCCCCTTTTTAAAACAGCAACTTTGATAAAGCAGATAAAAGTGAATGCTAGGTTGTTTATCAAGTGCGTATTTTAAAATCTTAGCTTTGTTTATCTATAGTAGTTTCTTTGGAGACCATTATAAGAAGTGGCTACCCAATGCACTTTAATCTTTCTAGTTTGTGATATGGTTTAACTGGATGTAAGATTAAGCTATATCATTCTAGCTTTACATCAGTAAATACCTGGTAAGAATTAGCCTTGTACATAAATAGCTTAGAATTTAACCCTTTCTATATAATGTTACTTCAAAACTGTGATGGGTTTTTCCACATATCAAATGTAAAATATAATGAGTAATTTAGGCTTGTTTAGCTTAATTTCTAATCATAGATATTTAAAAATATATGAAGGACTAAACTTTGACAGCTAGCAATTTTAACTATCAGAAAATTGTAACATACATTTTACATTTCTGCTTCCTTGATTTATTGATTCATTTCTTCAAATAGCCATTCTCAAACGCAGGTAGCTTAACTGACCTTTCAAAGGCCAGCATTTATGCTGTATAATTAAGCTTGCAGACTAGATACTTTGTTCTGAATGTGACTATAATGCTATGAGCTTAACCAGTAAGCTCTTCGAGAGTTAGAAAGAGCTCCAATAATCAGCATCCCTCCCAATTCAGAATATTACATCCTATAAAAAGATTATTTATTATCTGTATGTACACTGAATATATCTATCTCAGCTTTCACATAAGAACCTTTGGAGTAAAGTAATCTAATAGATTTATTATGCCCATCCTAAATATTTATTCAAGGTTCAACAATCCTGATTCTTTTAAACTTTTCTCTATTGCATTTTTTTTCTAGGATATCTTCATTCTGGTTATACTTCTCCAGATAAATGATAGTTCAGAATTATGTTTCAAAACGCTTTAGAGGAGATTATGTTGTAGAAAAAATGTATTATTTGTTATATTCCCTTAGCGATGGAATATAACTCTTCCTTTAATTGAACAGTATGTTAAAGTAATTGAATTTTCTCATTAATATTCCTATTGAACCATATGTTAAAGTAATTGAATTTTTTCATTAATAATTCTATTGTATAAGAAAACATCGTTCCTATAACACTTAAATTCCAGTGTGGCAATACACTGACAAATAATGTGACACATCAAAGAATAATGTGAAAACAAAATGTATATCTTTGATGTCACTCATTCAAGATAATACATTGAAAGCATAGAATGGTGAACAAGATCATCCAAATCATTTAAATTTTATTTTTCTATTCCATGAAAACTTTGAATAAGACCCCCAAAAATATCTGAATGTATATTTCATATCAAATATGACACCTTGAGGAGCTGTTATTGCAACAACGCACTCAATGTTTAAAACAAAATCAAAATGCCTCAATGTAAGTGTAGTCCTTCTCCTACTTTAGTGAGGTACCTTATATTTTCTATATCTCTCTCCAATAAATTTATTCTCCTACTACTTCCCCCAGATCTCTGAAAAATAGGACATATTAACCCCTTATTTTTCCTCAAGGCCCTGTCAAACGATCACGCCAACATAATAACAATTTTTAAAAAGGACTCCCTTTTAATATGTACACCTTTTTGAATATACACTTATGTATCTTACACCATCATTTCATTATTTGCATTACATCATCATTTCTTTAATTATTTGCATAGTATTTATCTTAACATCTAATTAATTGTTTTACCTCTAACCTTGTCTGTGCTCTGACAACAATTTTAAATGTTAAATATACCTGTTAAATACCAGAGGGATGAAGATGATGAATTAAATACAACCTGTTTTTATATTCCTGTCAAGAATCCCACTAAGATAAAAATAAGGGGATTTTTCAATGTGAACACATATAGGACAAAGATAAGTAGAGTAGACACCATCACAACTGTACTTTGGGAGACAGAAAGCATATGAACAGATAGTAACTGATTTAGCAATCTGGGAAAGACTGAACTCTTAACTCATGGCAAAAATCCAAGAAACAACCTTATCTATACATAGAATACCATTAAAAAATTAACAATTTGTAGTGCCAGTTTTCTGATGGAAATGAGGGCAAGGTGGATTAAAACAAGGATGAGTAGTTGGAAACTTTAAGCAACAGTTAAAACCATACACCCATTAGGATGGCTAAAATTATAAACATGGATAATAACAGGTGTTGACAAGGATGTGGAGTACCTATAAAATGGTCCAATCACTTTGAAAAACTGATAGTTTCTTAGAAATGTAATCTTACACATCTAGTATTTATGGAATGGAAACAAAAGCATATGTCCACATAAATATTTATAAACAAATGTTCACAACAGCTTCATTTGAAATGGTCAAAAATTAGAAACACCTCAAGAGTCCACTTATAGTTAAATGAATAAAATAAAGGACGTACATTTATACCATGGAATAATATTCAGTAATAAAAGAAGCAAATCATTGTAAGCACAACAACATGGATAAGTCTCAAAATCATTATTCTGAAAGAAGCAAGACACAAAAGATTACAAGCTGTATTACATTTATATAAATTGCAAAATTGTCTATAGTAGTTGCCTGGGGTAAGGACTAAAGTAAGAATTGACTTCAAGGGATGTGAGGAATATTTTGCGGGTGATGGATATATTCTGTATATTGATTGTGGTTGTGTGGTCATGAGCAAATATACTATCAAAATTTATTGGGTTGTATACTTTCAATAGAAGATTTATTGCATGCCTGTTATTCCTCAATAAAATCAATGAGTAAAAAAGCAATTTAAAAAAGAACAAAGAAACAATGAGAACCTCAGGTCTTCTCAATCATTGCATACCTCCAAAGGATTTATTTTATTTTGTACCAAAAAAAGACTGGAGGTGGGCAAGATAGGTTTCTAATCTGGGAGACATTTGAAGGTAGGGGATTCTGTTGAACATAGGATAATTAAATTAACATTTATAATACTGAATATTGATCCCCTAGCTCTCTCCCCAACATGTCTTCCAGAAATGACAGCAGCCAAGATTATAACCTCTAGGCTATTGAAAGATCATTATATGGAGAATCTACTTAGCCAAGAGAAAAAACATAAATACACTTTTTTTTAAGACAGTGGCATAACCTATAGCGAAGATTACAGTTACAAGCTTCATTTGGGGGCTCAATATTCCAAGGCAACTTTTAAATGCCCTACTTTTAAATATTAGCAGACACCCAAGGATCACCAGCCATCTGTGAACTTCCAAGTTAAAAAAAAAAGGATCAAAATATACAGAGAAAAAATAAGAAATTTTGGAAATTGGGACTATGCATGAAAAAAGAATTTTATTGATATGCTTAGAGAAATAAGACATTTTTATGAAAAAAGAATTCAGCAAAATTTTAAAAAATTCTATTGCAATATCCAAATATAAAGGTGAGAAAATCTCCTTCAAAGCACAGAAATATAAAATTAAAACAGAAGAAAGGAAAATTAAGTGAAAAGAATATAAGAAAATGAAAGAAAAACTAAAGGAAGTATAACATCCAGGTAACAGAAGTGCCAGAGAGAGAATAATAAAAACTGAAGAGAGAAAACTATCAACTAAATAACTGAGACTATTTCTTACAATTGAAGGACTTGGGTTGTGAGAGTAAAAGCCCCACTCTGCGCTCAGCAAAATAGACTCAGCAAAATGGACCCATATCAAGGTACATCAACATGAAACTGTAGAACCCTGAGGGCAAAGATAAGATTTTATGACTTCCAGGGAGGGAACAAAAATGAATCACATGAAAAGTCTCAGGAGTTAGAAAGGCTTCAGGCTGTTTATGAACAACACTGGAAACTACAGACAATGAAGCATTGTCTACAAGATTTTAAGGGAAAATTATTTAAAACCTAGGGTTTGATACTCAGCCAAATCATAAATCAGTACTATGGTAGAGATGTTCAATGTTTGTAAAATAATCTACTAGGTAATTTTATCAAGAAACTACCCTAAATGAGCTTCATTAAAATAAGGTTATGTACCAACAAAGATGGAAGCATGGAATATAGAAAATATAGAAAAAGTAAAGAGCATCTTTCGGGTCATGGCAACATGAAAATTCCACAAAGATAGATGTATAGCAGGCATAAAGGAAAATCAGTCCAGAATGGGGCAGGTTAGAAGTCCTCAGAAGAGATGTCTTCAAAAGATATATTTTATCAATTAAATGTTGCATTTTAAAACGAGATTTTGACAATCGGTGAAAAGCTTAGATTTGACTTAGTGTTAAGTACATGATAAAAAAAAAAGTATGCAAAAATCAGGTAATTTTTAACTCCAGAGGGTGAAGAATTTGATTAAGAAAGGAGAAATAGTTTTAGTATGCAAAATAGCTTAGAATAGCATTTACATACACATAATTGTGTAAACATGGATGTAATAAAACTTATAACTATATTGATAACATGGGGAAGATTGAGTGTGAGTGTGTGTGTGTGTGTGTGTGTGTGTGTGAAAGAGAGAGAAAAAGAGAAAGAGAGATGCAGAGAGAAAAAGAAAAGAGGTATACATTTGTGGTAAGAGCTGAGTGTATGAGAGTAAAACAGTGCTAAACCTCATTTCTTTATAGGAGAAAATAAGTAGAGAATACCTAAGAATTGAACAAAAAGTCAAGACATAACAATATAATTCTGATATTTGAAGTATGGAGGTAAATGCCAAAAAAAATCAGCTAAAAAGTTGAAAATAGTTGCCTCTATAGACAGGCAAATTAGAGAGAGAGGGCACAATGAATTCTCTATTTTGTTATAAGAAAAAACTACTTGACTCTTCTAGCTTTGCATGTGCATATATAAGGATAAAGATTAAAACAAAACCACATTAAAAATATAAAAAATAAAAGCTATTATCCTAGTGTGATGGTTAATACTGAGTGTCAACTTGATTGGATTGAAGGATGCAATGTATTGATCCTGGGTGTGTCTGTAAGGGTATTTCCAAAAGAGATTAACATTTGAGTCAGTGGGCTGGGAAAGGCAGACCCACCGTTAATCTGGGTGGGCACCATCTACTCAGCTGCCAGTGCAGCTAGAATATAAAGCAGGCAGAAAAACAAGCCTACATCTTTCTCCCATGCTGGATGTTTCCTGCCTTCAAACATCAGACTCCCAGTTCTTCAGTTTTGGGACTCAGACTGGCTGTCCTTGCTTCTCAGCTCCTCCTATATATATATAATAGGAGATATATTAGTTCTGTCCCTCCAGAGAACCCTGACTAATACATCTGGCTTCAGAATTCCTCAGTCATGTACATTATTATGTTATATTATGTATTATGTCCATTATTATATTATAATGTTCTTTATCTCTAGCCACACATCATCATATAGTCATGTTTTGTCATTACAATCAACTTGTATCATCTGATGAAAAGAAATGTATTTTTAATGTTTTGATTCTAGATCTAAATTCAAGATCAGCATTCTAGCTTTTTGTCATGTATTAATTTCTAATATCTGAACTTACTATTTTCTCTTCATTAGGATGTATAATATTTCCTATTTTTAACACTACAATTTCCTGTACTTCAGAGCTTTTCTGTCTTCTCTTGACCAACTTATCACTCTAAACTACATATTCAGCCACTCACTGTAACTTCTCTAACAGCTAAGGATCCCTTAATTGCTTGAATGTTCTCTATTGTAAATCTCTAATTTCTTCATAGCTACATCCTTGCCAGGTTCCAAAAGGTCTTCAGAGAAGTCTGGACTCCTATGCTAACTTATGTTGATTGCCTACTCTATTGTATAGTCCTCAAAGTATTAATTTTACCTGTCTTTCTAATATTCAGCTAATTTTTCCATGTGGTTTAAATTTATCAACTTTCCTCCTTTTCTTCATAAAGTATCCCTAATGTTTCATTATTCTTTATGCAATAAAATATCACATATCTTATCTCATACATACAAAGTAGAGAAAGAAATACCTTTCTCCCTTTCTCTATTTTTAACTAGGTCAGGTCCTTTTGTACTGTGTAGTAGGCCGAGTTCTAATACACCATCCCCTGAAATCCCAAGATTCCTGGTCCCTGGTGTACACACATTTTCTCTCAGTTATTCAATCAAATACTAATCTCGGTATCTCTGTGAAGGGGTTTTGCTGATATAATTAAAAGTCTTAGGTTTTAATCAATTGACATTAAGATTATCCTTGTGGGCCTGACCTCATCACATAGCTACTTTAAAAGCAGAGAGGTTCCTCCAGATAGTTGCAAAAGAGCATTTCAGAGATTCAAAGCACCATTGCTTGCTTAAAGATGGAGGAGGACACATGGCCAGAAGTGCAGTGGCCTCTTGGAAACTGGACCAGGCCCTGGCTAATAACCAACGAGGAAATGAGGACATCACCCGGAAGGAACTGAACTCAGCCAAGAACAGGAATGGGCTTGGAGGCTGTTTGTGCCCAAGACCCTGAAGATAAGAAGTCAGTCCAGCTGAAATCTTGATTTCAGCTTTGTGATACTTTGAGCAAGGAGCCCCACCACATTATTCCAGACTTCTGACCTATAGAAAGGTGCTAATAAATGGGGAATGATTTTTTTACTTGCTACATCTGTGAGAATTTGTTCCACAGCAAAAAAAAACTAATACTGCAAAATTCAATTCTCTCTACTTGATTCTGAAACTTTCTCTATCAACTAGCGCTTGTTTTGTGTGTGCATGTTTAAATTCTATCCTATCCTATCCTATCCTGTCCTATCCTATCAGTCTATTATTCTGCCTCCTAATTTTAATACCAATCTTCTTGCAAAAATAAGCTACAGCTACTATCTATATTTTCTCCTTAATTCTGAAGAATACAGAGCCAATGTCCTGTGGAGCATGAATGATGTTTTAATTGACAAATCCTGTTAACTTTGTTCACCCTTTCTGTTTCTCCACAGTGTTGATTACTGGCAGGCTTCTCTGGTCATCTTTCTCCCTCCACTTCTATCAACATGGAGTTTTGTACTCAGCAAAATAAAAATCTTTCAAAACTGAGCACCAAAACAAAACAAAACAAAAGATATTTTTATATTAAAAAACCGAGAGACTTTGTTGGTAGCAAATTAAAACTACAATAAATGGTTAAATGAAGGAATATGGTATCAATTGGAAATGTGGATTTCCACAAAGGAATTGAGGACATTTGATATTATAAAAATGTAGGTAAGTATAAAAGAAGTTTATTTTTCTTATTTTTGAAAACATTAAGTAATAATTGACTTTTTAAATCAAAACTAGTAACAATGTATTGAGGAGTTTACAATATGGAGAAAAGGAGTAGCAAAAGACTATTGTAAGATTCCTAGAATGTATGTGAAGTAGAGTATTATTATTTGATTGTACGCTGTGATAAGTTAAAGATGTAGAGAGTAAATCTTAGAGCAATTACCAAAATATGATATAAGACAAATAAATAGTGGAGACAAAATTGAATAATAAAAAAACTATTAAATTATTTCAAATTGTTCTCTTCAAGAGACCAAAAAAAAAAAAAAAAAAAAAAAAAAAGAGAGAGAGAGATGGGACAAATGGAAACCAACCAGGAAGATAAGAGATTTAAACTCAAACATTTTAATAATTACATTAGATGCATTTACATTCAGTTGAAAGACAGATATTGTCATAGTGGATTAAAAAATCTAGGCCTGGTGCAGTGGTTCACACCTGTAATCCCAGCACTTTGGGAGGCCGAGGTGGGCAGATCACAGGATTGAAACCATCCTGGTCAACAAGGTGAAATCCTGTCTCTACTAAAAATACAAAAATTAGGTGGGTGTGGCGGCGCGTGCCTGTAATCCCAGCTACTCGGGAGGCTGAGGCAGAAGAATTGCTTGAACCTGGGAGGTGGAGGTTGCAGTCAGCCAAGATCGTGCCACTGAACTCCAGCCTGGTGACAGAGCTAAACTCCGTCTCAAAAAAAAAATATATATATATAATGTAATATATATATATGTATGTATATATCTATTCATATATATCATATATTTATTTATTATATATATTATATATATTTATATATTATATATACACATCTCCTGTTGGAAATTCATTTTAATATAAACATATAGAAAGGTTAAATGGATCAAAAAAGCTATGCAATGCTAATACCAAATACAAGAAAGATGGAATTCCTATTTTAATATCCAACAAAGTAGATTTCAGAGCAAAACATACTACCAATGGCAATCAGGCATATTACATACTGATAAAAACATCAATCCATCGAACAGATATAACTACCCTAATGTGTATGTAACTGTTAACTTAAAGACATACAAAATAAAAACTGAAAGGAGAAATAGACAAATCCACAATTATGGTTGTAGGGCACACTCTTTTCTGAATAATTGATATAAGATGGGGGGAAAAGGCAGTAAAGTTAAATATATATACCACCATTACCAACTGGACATGAATGAAATTTGTTGAACACTCTACCCAATAACAGCAGAACACACATTCTTTGAGGTACATGTTGATCAAATACCAATATAGATCATATTCTGAACCATAAAGCAAACATCAATAAATTTAAAAGATTTGAAACTATACAAAGTATGCTCTTTGGGTATCATATTTGGAAATTAAACAACAAATTTGTAAGTAACTTATTGGTCAAAAAAATCACAAGGGAAATCAGAAAATGTTTTGAACTGAATAAATATGAAAATACAACCTATCACAATTCTTAGGACAAAGCTAAATTGGGGAAATGTGTAGTATTAAATGCTGAACAATTACTAGAATAACAAAAACAAAAAAAGTGCTGGCGGGAACACAGAACAACTACACTTTGCAAACTTTTTAACAGTTTCTTATAAATTAAAACTTTTACTTATCTAGATATTTCCAATCCTAAATATTTACCAAATAGAAATAAAAATATATTTCCAGTCGAAAATATTTAAGCAAATTTTCAGAGCAACATCTTTCATAATAATCCCCAACTGAAAAAAACACACAAATTTCACTCCTAGATATTTACCAAAACAATTCCACTCTTACATATTTACCAAAGAGAAATACAACTATGCGTCTAGACAAAGATCTATAAGCAATTCTTCACAGCAACTGTACTCATGGTAACCCCAAGTTTTGTCCGTGGGTGTGTAAATAAACAAATTTTGGCATATCCACACAAGGGAATACTAATCAGCAATGAGATATAAACCTATTAATACATGTTACAACACGGGTGGGTCTCAAAAGCATTATGCTAAGAAAAAAAAACAAAAAGCTACATGCAGTGTGCTTTCATTTATATGATCTTCTGGAAAAATCTAATTGGTAGGAAACTCTACAAACAGAAAACAGATCGGTTGTCCATAGTGAGGGTAGAACAGGGTATTTATTGGATAATACAATGTTTGGGATAATAGAAATGTTCTGTATCTTGATTGCGGTAAACATTGGTCAAAGCTAATTGAACTGCATATTTTTTAAAAGATAAATTTTGATGCATATGAATTACATCTGAATAAACTTCACTTTTAAGATGTTCTAATATATTCAGAAAGTTTCTTTCCACTTTTATAGATTGAGTCAATTTCTGTGACCTTATCAACATAATACTCTGCTCTGTCTAAATTTCTTACTAGTATTAGAAATACAGGATCTTTTCTTTTCAACTTTTACTATAGTTTCAGGAAATGAAAATGTTCAGAAAATTGTTTCTCCTAGATTTTCTCAAGAGGGGTAACAGTGCTGTTGAAAGTGTCATATGCCAGCATTATTACTGTTATTGGACAAGGCGTCATATAAAACCTATGCTTTTGTCTTTCGATTTCTACTTTCCAACATGGTATTTTTGTGACATCAGACATCTGTAGGGTTTACTGGCACCTCATTTTTCAATGTGATTTCAACATATGACCATCCCATTTCAACTTCCCAATTTGGAAGAATACCATTGCATTTTATTACAAAAAAAAAAAAAAAAAGAAAAGAAAACGAGAAATTCCAGAAGAAAATGGGTTTTTTATCAGGATATTATGAGTGCTGGTAATTAATTTCCTCAGTGAAAAGGATGAGCCCTTAGGAATACAATGATAAAAGAATATTATTCATCTTCTTCCTGCAAGCTAACAAGCAAATCAGTATCATTAGTGTTTTTGAAAGATTAACTTCTCACCTAAAAACATGCTTAGGGATACTGAACATTTGGTATCACTAATTTTCTTGAGCGCATGTAATAGCCTTTTAAAAATATTTGCTAATAAAATGAAGTTCACTCCTCACTTAAATTTCAGCTTAAGCCACTCCCTCTTTTAAATATTACACAATTCATTCAATTTTATAGTCTTAAAATTATTTCTTATTCAATTTTCTGTCACTCTTAGCTCATAACATATTCATTTAAATGTAAAAAATTAGTTCTAACTTTATTTGATTACCTTTTAGGTAGTGATATTGAGTTGAACTAATTCTACATTTTTTAATATACCTAGTGATCTAGTGCTGCCTTTTGTTTATGGAATGTTGATCATTGTGATTTTTAAAATGATCATTATCTGGATCAGATGGCCTAAAACTAAAAGTATCCCCATTTAACCTTTCTTATTTGCCAAATCAGCAGAACTCAAATACATTGTCTTCATATAAACCAGATTTTCATTAGTGTTTACCTGTCAAATTTCCATCTATTTTTTGATACAAGACTCTTGCTCATTTCAATTATTTGTATGCTCAGAGGCCTCATCATTCTGTCTTTAACACCAGTCACACATTTTCCCTATTACATTGTAGAAATCTGAAAATAACCAACGCATGTTGCTGAGTTCTCAGATCAATTGCCTCCTTGTTTTGAATATTCAGTTTATGGTTAAACTGCTGCATTTCAATATCACATGCAAATAACCATTTTATCAACATTTAAAAATCCTCAGTGATTGACTCACGTCTCTTTTCATCACTTTACTGCAAGAAAGGAGTTGAGCATAAGTAACCTTCTTGCATTAACCTCAGTCACTATATCATGAAGACTTAAACAGAACTGAAATCTGCAATACAGGAAATAGATGATTAATTAAAGATAATTTCTGTCATTAATTAAGCCATTCTTTACATAGTGGCAGAAAACATGGTATTTTCCTGCCTCTTCATAACATTCATTATTTTCTGTTCTCTAGAATTTTTAGCTTTGAACTCTTCTTGTGCAAGTACAGGTGTGTGGATGATAAATGTAGAGTGATTCTGAACTTACCAATACAACTAGTCTAGGCGTCATCTTACTCCTCAGGATTAGAACTACTTGAAATCTGAGAAACACGTACAGCCTCCGTGGCTGGTTCATTTTGATTGCAGCCGAATTTTTCCCTCCTGCCCCTTCATCATTCTCACTCTAAGTGTGTGGTAGTCTCTGATGTCACTGAGATTTTGTCTTCTGAACACCAAATCAAGCCTTTGCACACTTTTCCATACTCTCAGATTGATTTTAAAACAAATATATGAAAAGGAAGTGAACCCAAGGCATCCAAAGTATTGGTGGTTTTCATTTCTTCCAACTACTATATTGTATTTCTTTTCCTTTTTTTTTTCACATAGTTACTTTGAGCTTGTACTTAGTGGACATTTTTCTAGACATCTCCTGGAAAAAGTTATTTGTTCATTATTTTAACATGTATAGATTCTCAATTCATTGCACTTTTCAAAATGAAGCTATACATTTGCTGTGAATTTTAAAACTTGTATGCATTTGACATTTCTTCCACAGTCTTTAAATTTTATAATCCGATTTTGAAACAAGCTCCAATTTTTGTTTATTATTTTGTGCATTGAAATAGATCATAACATTCCCTTTTAAATAGATTCAGAGAATAAGCCATTGCCACTCTATTGTTAATCTCCAGAATTCTTCTTCTCATATTTGATGACATACTTATGTAGAAAGCATGATGCAGCCCACAAAACATTTTAAATGGTTTCAGACTAGTGAGAAAATAAGATAATGGACAAATAAAAATAAAGAACCAGGAAGTAAGGGAGAATTTGTTAGTAGTAGTAAAATGAGTATTCAGACCAGAGAAAGAGTTTAGCTACCAAATTCTTATCCCTCTTGTCATTTTACCAACCTTTCTGAAACCCTTGAAAATGACTTTGTTTCAGGATTTTAGTTTATTCTTTAAAAAAGTCTATCCACATGTGTATGCAAGTCATGAGAAACAGCTTCACTATGACAGCCACCAGATGACTAAAACTACCCTTTATAATCTACTGAGATTCACTGTCTACAATCTCAAAGGCAAAATGTGGACATAACTCATAACCCTTTTCACTAACCACATTTTAATAATAGAAGCCTACAGCAATTAGTGGCACCAAATTAGTAGGAGGAATAACCAGAAAACAGTCAGCAAAGCATACCTAACAATTTCAAACCCACTCCCAAGCTATTTTTAAAATGTTTACAAGTAATAAGACTCCCAGTTTCACCACACTTGACAAAACTCAAGACTAAATGTTTCAATTTCCATTTACAAATAAGTATTAAGAGATAATAATATAGCAATGTTGTTAAATGGGTAAGATTTCAGGTAGATCTTCAATAAAAGCACTGGAGAATTTAACTAGGAGATAACTACCACTTTTAGGATTCTTTCATTTTAAGGGATACCATATGTAGCATCTATGTCTTGGGCCTGAGGACTGGTGCTTTTCTGAGGATGACACCAATAGTTAAGTTTTCTGAAAAGTCCTTGTTTATGTGTTCTAGAAAGTCATACCTTGAATTTTCATGTTTTTCCCTCAACATTCTGCCAACTATTTTCCAATTTCAAATTCAATCTCTCTTTGTAAATTTACATAGTCACTCTTTCCTTACCCTATGTCTTGGGAGTATCTTTGATTCATAATAATTCTAGTATCTCTTTTTTTTTGACATTTGAAGTCAACTTTCCTCTTTCATTTCTGATACTCATAGCTTTTGTTTTATGTTTCTTATATGATATTTATCTATCTGTCTATTACTTTGGGCAATTTGTTTAACCTTTCTGAGTTTTTTATTTGCTGAAAATCAGCTTAGTAATTAGATTAAAGGTATGACAACAATTAAGAGGCTAAATGACATAATGTACTGAAAAGCACCAAGCAGAAACTTGGATATGTATATTGCAAGCCAATCTATAGTTTCTGAGTTTCTTCTTTTCTCATTTTCTTTTATTTTTTCTTAATTAGAATATTCTCTTTTGCTACGCATAATTTAAATTTATTTTTTTACTTATACAAAACAGAATCATATCATTCCTGTTTTATATTTATCATATTTCTTTATATGTCTATGACATCATTGTTTTACCTCCAACAACCAGGAATTCCAAGACACTAGCGTATTTAAAACAGGCTTGATCATCATAGCCAGGGCTGGTCAGTGGCCACAGCCTCAGCTCCAACTGCTTCAAAAGGACTTTGTTAGAGCTGAGTGTGGCTGACCTCCCCTCTTCCCAGGGGAAAGGAGAATGTAAGGAGGTCTTCAATGTATACGTGGCATCATGGTCAAAGGCATTTTCAGTTTCCACTGTTCATACCTGGCCTCGAGTCCTACAGAATTCTGATCATTGCCAACTCAGTCCCTCAAGATTATCTCCTCCTGTCTTAGCAAATAGAGTCCCAGCTTCACTGACTGTAGCTGCTTGAGGAGAAAACAAGACCACGTCTTAGTTCCATAATAGATTAAAGGTTTTCATGAGCCATGCTGTGGCTGTGCAGTTCCCCTGGCTTTTTCTTTCACAAGAAACAAATCAATGTACTGTCTTCATTTGTTTAGTCCCAGAGTTTCCAAAGCTCTCTCTCAGGTAAGAAGAAGAGCTCAAGTGTTTTGTTTTTTTTTTTTTTTTTCCTCTCTAAGAAGACATCATCTTATCCCATTAGTTAAAGAATATTTGGTTTCATAGATTGAATCTAAAAATATGGATACTTACAAATATGAAACCTATTTATCCTGGTCAAATGATGGGATGCCATTGAAATTGAAGTGGTATTGTGTAAAGTTTGTGCTGGATAGTTGTTTTATTTATTTTATTTTGCATGCAGCTTCTGAGAAGTTTGAACAGTAGCAGTTTGTGATGTGGCAGTCACTCTTTCCAACAATACTAAGAATTAGTCTTTGTCCACACACACCAACTGCAATGCAGTCTCTGTTCTAGCACACACTGATGCTGTTGCCTATTTTCAGCTGGGTTGATGACTACATTCCAGACTCATGAAAACTAAGCACTGCTGTTATGGTACAAACCCTGGGTTTTCCTCTTGGCTGACACTAAAAATAACCCACCAAATTTGTAATTTTCAAGATAATTTTGGCTTTGGCTTTGTAAATGATGACATACATCTGGATTATGTCCTCTAACCTTGACATTGTTTCAAGTGTTATCTCTGAACACATCAGCTCTTAGTTTGTATTAAACAAATCCATATTAAATTATTTTAGTTTTGTATCTATGTGAAAAAATACAAGTGCAAATGTTTTGAAGATGATTCAGCATATATTTTCCCTAGTAATCATTTCATTTTTAAAATGTCCATATAAGTAGAATATATTAATTTACTAAGGTATAAAAAAATTTTAATGCAGTATTTTACTTCCAGCTACTTTTCTTCCACTTCAGACATAGAAAAAGAAAATATAGTTGAAAAGCAACTTATGACATTTTTCAAAGCTGCCAAGTTGTCGAACTTTGATTCTTGTGAGGTGCTAAGAATAAGCACAAGAGGGTGAAAAGTCTACCTATATCACTCTTGGGGCTCTGTGACAACTAGGAAAAGTGATTTCCACTCATTCCTCAGTCCCTGCCCCAGCAGGATGAAAGCATGTTGTTTTACAAGAAACATGCGCCTTTTCTTGAGTAGTAGGGAGACAGCTGATGCAATTGGAAGCTTTGCCATCTGTCCCTGTGACCACAGACTTTACACAGAAATGCTCCTACCAGGTCATGTATTTAGATTCTGTGGTCATGTATTTATACTATGTAATTAAAACTGCTGGGGAGAGAAAGGGTAGGCCAGACTGTGATGGTCTCTCCTTCAAGCCCTTACATAAAGTCTATTCCTGTTCTTGTTTGCCTGATGTTGATCCAGAACTTTTCAAGCTATCAATTTAGTGTAATAGATGCCTGTCATGACATTCACAAGGAAGGTCAAGCTACACACAAAATGATTTTCAAATTTTAACTTGGTAAGAATTTTTCATGAAGGATAGAATGCTGTATTCTGACTTAAGAAAAGATTTATTATTTACAGAGTGATCTTTAGCAAGACTTGGAATTTCCTCCTTCAGTGACTTTTGTCTCTCAGTCAGCTAGTGAAAGCACACAAAATGATCTTTCAACATTTTATCCAACGTTTAAATATTTTTATGGTGAGTATTTTGTAAAGGAATATAATGCTGTGAGTACATTTATCAGTGGTGTTTTTTTTCAAGTCTTATGGTGATAAACAAATCTGGGATGGGGATCATGACCCTCTGTTAGCAATGAACCTCATCACTAAGTCAGAGAGAGATTAGCTAGAAAACCTTAATGCTAAGATGAAGGGGAGAAGTGGGAACAAGAAAGAATGACAAAGAAGACAATAAAACAATATGTGCAATATGGGGGGATCTTCCTGGGGACATTTCACTGCATAGATTTACTTACCTCAACTAATAGAACAAGTTTTCCTGGTATTGGCTCCCTAAAGAACAGTACAGCTAGTAAGGATTTGCTGCTTTTATAACTTGACAAAAGAGAAAGTTTTATTCTCCCCTTAAACGTGATACATGTTTCTCAGACTAATTAGCAATATAAATTCGTGGTAGAATAAGAGTATCACTGAAACTCCTGAAAATCAGTCAAGCCACTCAGGAGCTATCGAGCAAGCATCTCTGCAGTGGGAATAGGCACATCAACCCTACTAACTGCACAGAGAAGAGCAAATGGATGGGAATGAACTGTGCCTCCCTTTGCATATTAGCTTATAAATAAAAGGCTGTCTACTGTTTATTATAAAAGTAATGGAAAAATTAGAAGACTTAGGGCATACTCAGGCCTTTCTGACAAGCTCGAGTATGTTTTCTCAGCATTTCCTCCCAAACCATGGTAGGCAACACACACACACACACACACACACACACACACACAGAAATCAAATCCAACACACTCACACAGAAGTCAAATCCAACACACACACAAACCCAATCCAGCCAGGAGGATCTCAACTGTCATCTAGATAGTATCTCTGATTTGAAAGGAAAATTGAAGAAGGAAAGAAGAAAGAAAAAGAGAGGAAGAAAAGAAGAAAGAACAGAGAGGAAGAAGAGTAGGAGTGGGAGAGAAAGGGAAAGAGTAGTAAGAAATAAAGGAAATTGAGACATTTTCTCTCTTGTGCTGACCACAACCATGGAGAAAAAGGCAATTAGACTATCTTATATCTTCATTGAATTGAAATCTCTTCTTCATTGAAAATGGTCAGTATGAAAGAGAATTCTATGCAGTTGTTTTTATTTATTTATTTATTTATTTATTTATTTATTTATTTATTTAGAGATGCAGTCTCGCTCTGTCACCAGGCTGTAGTGCAGTGGCGTGATCTTGGTTGACTGCAACCTCTGCCTCCTGGGTTCAAGCGATTCCCTGCCTCAGCCTCCAGAGTAGCTGGGATTACAGGCACGTGCCACCACCCCTGGCTAATTTTTTTGTATTTTAGTAGAGACAGGGTTTCACCATGTTGGCCAGGATGGCCTTGATCTCCTGACCTTGTGATCCACCCACCTTGGCCTCCCAAAGGAGGATTACAGGTGTGTACCACCGTGCTCAGCCGTTATCTTTTATTTTGAAATTAAAATCAGTTGCCCAAGAGAGCATGATGATTGTTTTTGTCTAGAGACAACTGAAAAGGGTGATGTGTTGCCCTGTATGACTTTCAGAACTTGAGGCATGTTATCAGTGCCATGCTTATTCAAAACATCAGTGAGTGGATTAGTCTGGTATTTGATGCCGTTTATATTCCAACCTCCCTTGGAGATTTCAATCCAAATGGAAGAGTGTATAAGATTTTTGACTAAAATAGACCAATGAAGTAGCACACATAGAACAAAATTCTAGGCACTCAACTTCAGAGACTCTATGCATCCATCTTAAGGAATACTCTTCATACCAAGAAAGAATTGTGATCTTTTCTGGGCCTGGAATCCTTTTCCCTACTTCTTTCTCAGTTAACACCCTTTAAGACAAAATAGAAGTGCCACTTTTTAAATATAATTTACCTTCTTCAAAGCAAAATTTTTTGCTTCATCTGTGAGTCTCACAACACCATTAGAGGCATCATTATAACAGGACCTCTTGGCACAGAAATTATTTTATCCGTTATCTCTTCTCCAAGATCCTCTGGAGCAGGACCTATGCCTTATTTAACTTTTTAAAACTTATTTGTTGTGGTTTGACACTCAATAATTTTAAAAATAATAATGTAGTAAAAAATTATTGTAGAAGGTTAGGAAATACAAAGGGGAATACATCAACAGATTTTTAGGAATTAGCAGAGAAAATGTTATTAAGATAGAGAAGAAGAGGAAGACATAAATTAGAAGAAATGGCGTGGGAGTGTATTCGGGGAGAGAATGGTGGGAGTGTAGGTAAATGGAGTAGAAATAGGGAGGTTGACTGTGGGAAACACAGAAAGATTAGTGTATGAGAAGCTGAGAGATGAGGCTGGGAAAGCTGTAACTTGAAACTGTGGGAATTAAGTCAAGAGGAAAAAGTTGGTTGATTTGTGTGAAGAAGGAAAGAAGAATTAATGGAAAAACATTGCTGACTACACAAAAATGCTTGGTTTGAAATGGAGGAGTCAATAGCAGTGGACTGAGTACAATGCAGCAGGAAATGGTGAGGCAAAACCAGTAACAGGATCTAAAAATGTCCAACACTTTTACCAGGGCCCTGCAAAGTGTTCGAAGGGAGTCTTTTGTGGATTATCTCATTTGGTCCTCAGAAGCAAATATCACAAGGGCATAAAAATGATCAATAACCCCAATTCATTCATTAAGACATTGCTCCTATTCTCAAGGAACTTATAACAGATCAAGGTGAGAAAATATAAAGAATAGGGATGAAAAATGGCAAGCAGTGGGTGAATGACAATAAGTGTTTTATATGTTCACAACTGGGGCCTGCTACTGGCATCTAAAGTAAAGAGGCCAGTGATACTGTTAAACATCCTACAAAGTGTAGGACATCCCCTTACAACAAAGAATTCACCAGCCCAAACAAAATGTCAATAGTGCTACAGTTAAAATGCCCTTGGACAGTGCATATAGAAACCTATTATAAAAATAGGTGTATTTCTTACATAAGCATTAGGTATTAGCACAAACTTCAGCTGGTACTCCACTTTGGTGATATTGAGGTAACTGTTGCTTTGTTTCAGTACCTAGAAATCAATCTTTTTTAAAAAAGTCTTGTTCCAATAGGAACTAATCATTGACTAATATAACAAAATCCAAAATGTGGACCACTCTACTGAACTATTGAACCAGCTTCTTAAAAATTCATCGCAAAGAACACACACACACACATACACGCACGAGAGAGAGAGGAAAAACTGTAGTTTTTAGAAGAGACTGAAGAGACCTATCAACCAATTACAATGTATAAACATTTTCTTTTTAAGAGCTGGGATCTCACTCTGTCAACAACCCAGGCTGGGGTGCAGTGATGTAATCGTACCTCACTGCAGCCTCAAAATCCTGGGCTCCAGAGATCCTCCTGCCTCAGCTCCTGGAGTAGCAGGGAACACAGGCGCATGCCACCATGACCGGCCAATTTTTTTTTTTTAAGAGATGGGGTCTCTCACTATGTTGCTCAGGTTCATAAACATTTTTTAATTCTAATTTAGATGAACAAGTCCTTAAAAATGTAATTTGGATGAACACCTCCTTAAAAATGTATGGGACAATCAGAAATTGAACAATAAGTGGGCATTTGGTGATATTAAGTGAATGTTAGTTTTTAGGTGTGATAATATAATATTTCAGAATGTTAGAAAAAAGACCTTATCTTTCAGAAAGATATACTGAAATACTAATGGATAAATAATATAATCTTTGGAATTGCGGAAAGAAGTGAGTGCTAGTATATGAAAAGTGTCCATGAACTGATAATTATTGAAGCTGTGTGATGGATAGTATGGGATAATTATACTATTCTCTTTAGTTTTCTATATGTGCTTCATATACTCACTAAGAAACAGTTTTACCCATATATACGCCAACCTAATTTATCACAAAAGTAACACTGCTGTGCAGTGGGCAACGTGTAGTTTTTCCAATAAAGGTGCTGCATCAATGGATTACTTATTTGAGAAAAATAAGTATCTTAATTTCTGCTCACCCAAGTCACAAAAATCAATTAAAAATGACTGTGGTCTATGTGGTTAAGGTAAAACAATAATGGCTTTAGATGAAAACATGGGCAATCATCTTCATGATTTTAGAGTAGTCCAAGATTTCAGAAACAGAACACAAATAGTTTTAAACTAAAGCAAAAAGATAAATCAATAGCTCTGTTCATCAAATGATAACATTAAATAAATAAAGAAGGAGTATATCTACAAAAAATTTACCCCCCACACAAAAAATCATATCTAGACTCTGTAAAGAACACCTGCAAACTAATAAGGAAAGGATAGAAAATCGAATAGTAAAATGCACAAAATACTTAAACAATTCACATAAAATACATTAAAATGGTCAATAAATATAGAAAAAGTTACTCATATTTATTACTCATTGACAAAATGCAAGTTAAAAAACCACAATGTGATACCTCTACTTCCTCACTGGAATTGTTAACATGAGAAGACAGACAATACCAGGTGTTGGTGAGGATCTGTAGCAACTGCAAGTTTCATATACTGTTGGTGTGAGACATAGTTTAGTATAGTTTAGTACAACCTCATAGAAAGCTCTTTGGCAGTGTCCTCTAAAGCTAAATGTATGCATACCTTACAGCCTAGCAATTCAAATTCTAAGGATATACCCAATAGAAATGCATACACATGTTTACCAAAACTCCTGTACTGGTATGTTCATAATTCTAGTGAAATACCATATGTCAGTAAGAAGGAACTGATTACAACTGTGTGCAAAAACAGTTCTAAATTTGCCAAGCAAGACGTTGAACAGGAAGTCACACACAACTAAATAGATACAGTATCATTTTGTTTTAATGAAATCAATTAAAATTAATAAAATTAGTCAATGATAAATTTTATTTTGATAAAGGTGAGAGATATGCAACATCTCTGGTTTTAGAAGTGGGTGTCAACTGTGGGGTGGAGAATAGTAACTGGAGTTGGCATAAGTGGGGTTTTCCGACATACTGGCCACATCCTCTTTCTTGGTTTAGGTGATGTTATACACGTGTTTGGTTTCAAAACATTCATTGAAGGGAGCCTCTAAGAAATATGTAAGTTTGTGCAAATATCTTATACCTCCATATTAAATTGCCAAAAAATACTACTAATTCAACTATGTTAAAATCTAGAGCTTGCTTTGAAAGAATTACACCCTAAAAGAAGTACTTGGTCACACAGTTCTCAACAATGTTTCTTATGAGACTTCTGACAATGTGATGTGATGATAGAATAAATGTATTCTTAAAAATAGAAGAACTAAATCATGATAAAAAAATCAAATATTGCCACAAACTGATGACGGATATTGGTTTTGATAAAATATCAAAGAAACTGGAATGAGAATTATTATTGTATTTTCATGATTTTAAAGTAATATTTCAAAATGAATGAATCAATCAAGATGTGCAAAGATGTAATTTGATTAAACTATGTAATATCCTATGTAATTTGAAATATTAAAACTTAGAATAATTTTTCTTAACAAGTCCCTCCAAAAAAAAAAAGCAGAAAAGAAAAAATTGTAATTGAAGTGGCATTTTCCATTAATGTCATCGTTTACAAACTCTGAATTACCCTTTTGTGGGGAGGTAATGCTCTGATATTTATCAATTGGTTCTCAGTGATATTTTTAACATCAGCAGTGTGCTATCATGGTGGGAAAACAAAGAAGTACATATTGAAAAGATATAAAAAATAATTTGTAGAAACAGACCAACTCTCATGAAGCCTGCAGTGACAGGTGTTATTTGATTAACATAAGGAAAAAGATCAAAATACACTGAGCACTTATCATGTTCAAGAGTTAGTTCTTAACTCCCTATATTTGTTCTCTTTTAATCTGTAAAATAATCCAGTGAGGCTGATAACATTGCCCCATTTTACACATGATACATTGCCCCATTTTACACATGATAAAGTTCAATAAGTAGTCCAAGTTTGGGAAGATACTAAATGACTGGATATTAAATCCAGGCCTGGATCATGCAAGAGAGTATGATGAGTGTGGAACAGAATAACCAAGGGTATATTCATAACTATTGACTCTGGTTGGACTCTGAAGCCAGATGATTCCAGAGATGAGTTCCAAACAGAAGTAGGAGTTATTGAGAGGTGAAGCCAGCTGGACTTCCTGGGTCAAGTGGGGACTTGGAGAACTTTTCTGTAGCTAGAGGTTTGTAAAATGCATCCATCAGTGCTCTGTAAAAACGCACTAATCAGCACTCTGTAGCTAGCTAGAGGTTTGTAAAATGCACCAATTAGTTCTCTGTAAAAATGTACCCATTGGCGCTCTGTAGCTAGCTAGAGGTTTGTAAAATGGACCAGTCAACACCCTCTAAAATGGACCAATCAGCACCCTGTAAAATGGACCAATCAGTGCTCTGTAAAATGGACCAATCAGCACTCTGTAAAATGGACCAATCAGCAGGACATGCATGGGGACAAATAAGGGAATAAAAGCTGGCCACCCCAGCCAGCAGTGGCAACCTGCTCGGGTGCCCTTCCACACTGTGGAAGTTTTGTTCTTTTGCTCTTCACAATAAATCTTGCTGCTGCTCACTCTTTGGGTCTGCACCACCTTTAAGAGCTGCAACACTCATCACGAAGATATAGCCCTCCACTCCATTTTGAAGCATATCATCTTTATAGGACAGGGGTAAAGTCCCAATACTAACAGGAGAAAATGCTTAGGACTCTAACAGGTTTTTGAGAATGTGTCGGTAAGGGCCAGTAAATCCAACATTTCTCAGTCCTCTTTGTGGTCTAAGAGGAAAGGCAAGGGTGCAGGTTTTCGACAATGCATCAGTAAGGGCCACCAAATCTGACCTTTCTTGGTCCTCATTGTGGTCTAGGAGGAAAACAAGTGTTTCTGCTGCTGCGTCGGTGAGTGCAACTATTCCGATCAGCAGGGTCCAGGGACCATTGTGGGTTCTTGAGCAGGGGAGGGGGGTGCAAAACAAACCAAAACCATGGGCAGTATTTTTCTTTCAGATGGGAAACACTCAGGCATCAACAGGCTCACCCTTGAAATGCATCCTAAGCCGCTGGGACCAATTTGACCCGCAAACCCTGAAAAAGAGGCAGCTCATTTTTTTCTGCACTACGGCCTAGCCCCAATATTCTCTCTCTGATGGGAAAAACCACCACCTGAGGGAAGTATAAATTACAGTACTATCCTGCAGCTTGACCTTTTCTGTAAGAGAGAAGGCAAATGGAGTGAAATACATTATGTCCAAGCTTTCTTTTCATTGAAGAAGAATTCATAACTATGCAAAGCTTGCAATTTACATTCCATAGGAGGATCTCTCAGCTTACCTCCATATCCTAGCCTTCCTATAGCTCCCCTTCCTATTAATGATAAGCCTGCACTAATGTCCCCCACCCAGAAGGAAACAAGCAAAGAAACCTCCAAGGGATGGCAAAAACCCCCAGGCTATTGGTTATGTCCCCTTCAAGCTGTTGGGGGATGGGGATTTGGCCCAACCCAGGTACATGAACCCTTCTCCTTCTCTGACTTAAAGCAGATTAAAGTAGACCTGGGGAAGTTTTCAGATGATCCTGATAGGTAAATAGATGTCCCACAGGGTCTAGGACAAACCTTTGACCTCACTTGGAGAGATGTCATGCTATAGTTAGATCAAACCCTGGCCTTTAATGAAAAGAATGCAGCTTTAGCTGCAGCCCTAGAGTTTGGAGATACCTGGTATCTTAGTCAAGTAAATGATAGAATGACAGCTAAAGAATGGGACAAATTCCCTACCAGTCAGCAAGCCATCCCCAGTATGGATCCCCACTGGGACCTTGACTCAGATCATGGGACTGGAGTCATAAACATCTGCTGACCTGTGTTCTAGAAGGACTAAGGAGAATTAGGAAAAAGCCCATGAATTATTCAATGATGTCCACTATAACTCAAGGAAAGGAAGAAAATACTTCTGCCTTCCTCGAGTGGCTATGGGAGGCCTTAAGAAAATATACTCCCCTGTCACCTGACTCTCTCAAGGGTCAATTGATCCTAAAAGATAAGTTTATTACCCAATAAGCCGCAGATATCAGGAGAAAGCTCCAAAAGTGAGCCCTGGGCCCTGAACAAAATCTGGAGGCGTTATCAAACCTGGCAACCTCGGTGTTTTATAATAGGGACCAAAAGGAACAGGCCGAAAAGGAAAAGCAAGATCAGAGAAAGGCCACAGCCTTAGTCATGGCCCTCAGGCAAACAAACCTTGGTTGTTCAGAGAGGACAGAAAATGGAGCAGGCCAGTCATCCAGTAGGGCTTGTTATCGGTGTGGTTTGCAAGGACATTTTTTTTTTTTTTTTGAGACGGAGTCTCGCTGTCGCCCAGGTTGGAGTGCAGTGGCGCAATCTCGGCACTGCAGGCTCCACTCCCCGGGGGTTCACGCCATTCTCCTGCCTCAGCCTCCTGAGTAGCTGGGACTACAGCCACGAGCCACCTCACCTGACTAATTTTTTGTATTTTTAGTAGAGACGGGGTTTCACCATGTTAGCCAGGATGGTCTTGATCTCCTGACCTCGTGATCCGCCCGCCTCGGCCTCCCGAAGTGCAAGGACATTTTAAAAAAGATTGTCCAGTGAGAAACAAGCTGCCCCCTCACCCATGTCCACTATGCCAAGACAATCACTGGAAGGCATACTGCCCCAGAGGACAAAAGTTCTCTGGGCCAGAAGCCCCCAACCAGATGATCCAACAACAGACTGAGGGTGCCCGGGGCAAGCGCCAGCTCATATCATCACCCTCACTGCACCCCGGGTACGTTTAACCATTGAGGGCCAGGAAATTGACTTCCTCCTGGATACTGGCATAGCTTTCTCAGTGTTAATCTCCTGCCTCAGACAGCTGTCCTCAAGGTCCGTTACCACCTGAGGAATCCTGGGACAGCCTGTAACCAGGTATTTCTCCCACCTCCTCAGTTATAATTGGGAGACTTTGCTCTTTTCACATGCCTTTCTTGTTATGCCTGAAAGTCCCACACCCTTATTAGGGAGGGACATATTAGCCAAAGCTGGAGCTATTATCTACATGAATACGGGGAATAAGTTACCCATTTTTTGTCCCCTGCTTGAGGAGGGGATCAACCCTGAAGTCTGGGCATTGGAAAGACAATTTGAGGGGTAAAAAATGCCTGCCCAGTCCAAATCAGGCTAAAAGACCCCATCACTTTTCCTTATCAAAGGCAATATCCCTTAAGGCCTGAAGCTAGTAAAGGATTACAGGATATTGTCAGACATTTAAAAGCTCAGGGCTTAGTAACAAAATGCAGCAGCCCCTGCAACACCCCAATTCTAGGAGTACAGAAACCAAACGGTCAGTGGAGAGTAGTTCAAGATCTTAGACTCATCAATGAGGTAGTAATCCCTCTATATCCAGTTGTACCCAACCCCTATACTCTGCTCTATCAAATACCAGAGGAAGCAGAATGGTTCACAGTTCTGGACCTCAAGCATCCCTTCTTCTGTATTCCCCTGTACTCTGACTCCCAGTTTCTCTTTGCTTTTGAGGATCCCACAGAACACACATCCCAACTTACATTGACGGTCTTGCCTCAAGGGCTTAGGGATAGCTGTCATCTGTTTGGTCAGGCACTGGCCCAAGATCTAGGCCACTTCTGAAGTCCAGGCACTCTAGTCCTTCAGTATGTGGATGATCTATTTTTGGCTACCTGTTCGGAAGCCTCATACCAGCAGGCTGCTCTAGATTTCTTGAACTTTCTAGCTAATCAAGGGTAGAAGGCATCTAAACCGAAGGCCCAACTCTGCCTACAACAAATCAAATATCTAGGCCTAATCTTAGCCAGAGGAACCAGGGCCCTCAGCAAGGAACAAATATAGCCTATACTGGCTTATCCTCACCCAAAGACATTAAAAAAGTCGTGGGGGTTCCTTGGAATCACTGGCTTTGGCCAACTATGGATCCCTGGATACAGTGAGATAGCCAGGCCCCTGTGTACTCTTATCAAGGAGACCCAGAGAGCAAATACTCATCTAGTAGATTGGGAACCAGAGGCAGAAACAGCCTTCAGAACCTTAAAGCAGGCCCTAGTACAAACTCCAGCCTTAAGCCTTCCCACAGGACAAAACTTATCTTTATACATCACAGAGAGAGCAGGAATAGCTCTTGGCATCCTTAGACTCGTGGGACAACCCCACAACCAGTGGCATACCTAAGTAAGGAAATTAATATAGTAGCAAAAGGCTGGCCTCACTGTTTATGGGTAGTTGCAGCAGTGGCCATCTTGGTATCAGAGGCTATCAAAATAATACAAGAAAAGGATCTCACTGTCTGGACTACTCATGATGTAAATGGCATACTAGGTGCCAAAGGAAGTTTATGGCTATCAAACAACCACCTGCTTAAATACCAGGCACTACTCCTTGAGGGACTGGTGCTTCAAATACACATATGTGTGACCCTCAACCCTGCCACTTTTCTCTCAGAGGATGGGGAACCAATCGAGCATGACTGCCAATAAATTATAGTCCAGACTTATGCTGCTTGAGAGGATCTCTTAGAAGTCCCCTTAGCTAATCCTGACCTTAACCTACATACCGATGGAAATGCATCTGTGAAAAATGGGATATGAAGGGCAGGTTATGCCATAGTTAATGATGTAACAGTACTTGAAAGTAAGCCTCTTCCCCCAGGGACCGGCACCCAGTTAGCAGAACCAGTGGCACTTATCTGAGCCTTAGAACTGGGAAAAGGAAAAAGAGTAAATGTGTATACAGATAGCAAGTATGCTTATCTAATCCTACATGCCCATGCTGCAATATGGAAAAAAAGGAAGTTCCTAACCTCTGGGGGAACCCCATTAAATACCACAAGGAAATCATGGAGTTATTGCATGCAGTGCAAAAACCCAAGGAGATGGCAGTCTTATACCACTGAAGCCATCAAAAAGGGGAAGGAGAGGGGAGAACAGCAGCATAAGTGGCTGGCAGAGGCAGGCAAAGACAGAAGAGAGGAAAGAGAAAGAGAGAGAGAGAGAGGAAGAGACAGAGACACAAAGAGGGAGTCAGAGAGAAAGAAAGAGAGAGACAGACAAAGAAGGAGTCAAAGAGAAAGAGAGAGATAGAGGTAGTAAAGAAAAAACAGTGTACCCTATTCCTTTAAAAGCCAGGGTAAATTTGAAACCTATAATTGATAATTGAAGGTCTTCTCCATGACCCTATAACACTCCAATACCACCTTGTTGTCAGTGTAAACAAGGGCGTAGCCCAAAAGCACTGAGGCCAATGACAACCCATACCCTTCCTATCAAAAATCCTTAACCCAGCAGGTTTCCTAACAGGGGATCTAAATTTTAATTAATTACCATACAAAGGTCCGACCAGACCTAGGATGAACCCCCTTCAGGACAGGATGATAGATGGTTCCTCCCAGAAGATTAAGAGAAAAAGACACCACGGGTATTCAGTGATAAGGAAACTGTTGTAGAAGCAGAATTAGGATAATTGCCTAATAACTTGCTCAAACGTGGAGTTGTTTGCATTCAGCCAAACCTTAAAGTACTTACAGTATCAGGAAGGAGCCACCTATACCAATTCTATGTTAATATGGACAGAACGAGGTCTTATTAATAGCAAGGAATAATTGAAATTCCAAACTTACAAGGTTTTCAAGAAAAGTAAAGTTTGCTAAAAGTTAACAGTGTAATGTGTATTATCCTAACTTCCAATCTTGTGGAAATCAGACTCTATCCGTGCCTCTCAAAGCTCAAGTCCGTCAGCGGAGGGCCATACAACTAATACCCCTACTTACAGGGTTAGGAACCGGAATAGCCAGTTTATCTACTTTATTATCCTACTACCACACATTCTCAAAAGATTTCTCAGTTTACAAGAAATAACAAAACCTATCCTTATTCTACAATCCCAAATAGACTCTTTGGCAGCAGTGACTCTCCAAAACCGCTGGGGCCTAGACCTCTTCACTGCTGAGAAAGGAGGACTCTGCCCCTTCTTAGGGGAAGAGTGTTGCTTTTAAACTAACAAGTCAGGGATAGTATGAGATGCTGCCTGGTGTTTACAGGAAAAGGCTTCTGAAATCAGAAAACGCCTTTCACACTCTTATACCAACCTCTGGAGTTGTGCAACATGGCTTCTCCCCTTTCTAGGTCCTGTGACAGCCATCTTGCTATTACTCGCCTTTGGGCCCTGTATTTTTAACCTCCTTGTCAAGTTTGTTTCCTCCAGAATTGATGCCATCAAGCTACAGATGGTCTTACAAATGAAACCCCAAATGAGCTCAACTAACAACTTCTACCAAGGATCCCTGGACCAACCCACTGACCCTTTGGCTGGCCTAGAGAGTTCCCCTCTGGAGGACACTACCACTGCAGGACCCCTTCTTTGCCTCTATCCAGCAGGAAGTAGCTAGAGTGGTCATTGCCCAATCCCTAACAGCAGTTTGGGTGTCCTGTTTAGAGGGGGTATTGGGAGGTGAAGCCAGCTGGACTTCCTGGGTTGAGTGAGGACTTGGAGAACTTTTCTGTAGCTAGCTAGAGGTTTGTAAAATGCACCAATCAATGCTCTGTAAAAACGCAACAATCAGTGCTCTGTAGCTAGCTAGAGGTTTGTAAAATGCATTAATCAGTGCTCTGTAAAAACTGGCACTCTATAGCTAGCTAGAGGTTTGTAAAATGGACCAATCAGCACCCTGTAAAATGCACCAATCAGTGCTCTGTAAAAACGCACCTACTGGCACTCTGTAGCTAGCTAGAGGTTTGTAAAATGGACCAATCAGCACTCTGTAAAATGGACCAATCAGCAGGACATGGGTGGAGACAAATAAGGGAATAAAAGCTGGCCACCCAAGCCAGCAGCAGCAGCAGCAACCTGCTGGGGTCCCTTTCCATGCTGTGGAAGCTTTGTTCTTTCACTCTTCACAATAAATATTGCTGCTGCTGACTCTATGGGTCTGCACCACCTTTAAGAGCTGTAACACTCACCTCAAAGGTCCATGGCTTCATTCCTGAAGTCAGCAAGACCACAAACCCACCAGAAGGAACAAACTCTGGACACACTATCAAGTTTGATATAAAGTGTATTCACATTATCTTTGAGGTTTATGGCAAGATGAAAAATTATCCCCAAAGATATCCAGGTTTTAATCCATGGAATCCATCAATGTTACCTTTATATAGAAAAAGGGTCTTTGCAGATGTGATTAAGAGATCTTAAGATGGGGATATTATCTAAATAATCTGGGTGGATCCTAAATGTGATCACAAATGTCTTTATAAGAAGGAGGCAGAGGAGGCATGGTGCGGTGGCTCATGCCTGTAATCCCAGGACTTTGAGAGGCCGAGGCAGGTAGATCACGAGGTCAGAAGTTCAAGACCAGCCTGGCCAAGATGGTGAAACCCCGTCTCTACTAAAAATACAAAAAATTAGCCAGGTGTGGTGGTAGGCGCCTGTAAACCCAGCTACTCGGGAGGCTGAATCGAGAGAATCGCTTGAACTCAGAAGGCAGAGGTTGCAGTGAGCCAAGATCGCACCACTGCCCTCCAGCCTGGGCGACAGAGTGAGACTCCATCTCAAAAAAAAGAAAAAAAAAAAAGAACGAGGCAGAGGGAAGTATCACACAGAGGAGACAGCCATGTGACCACAGAGGCAGAGGTTGAAGTGATATAGTCACAAGCCAAGGAATCACACAGGCACCAGAAACTGAAAGGCAAGAAATGGACTCTCCCCTAGAGCCTCCTCAAGAATTGCTGCACTACCAGCATTTGTTTCAGCTGATGAAAATAATTTTGAACTTCTGGATTTCATAACTTTAAGAGAATAAATATGCACTATGTTAAGCCACCCTAGAGATTTTGCTTAAGTTGTGTTTCATAGCATGTACACTATTTCCACCTGAATTGTAGGTTTAAGGGCGAGGGAGTGACTTGATGAACACTTTTGTAGATTACAAGGTTACTAAAGAACCCATCTACTTCTTGATACACATGCTGTTTAAAACCCAATCTTAGTCCCCAAATAGAATTTGCTTTCTTTCTTAATTTCCCTCAGAACTACTCATGAAAGGGAGTTGTAAAGTCAATGCAATTGAGCATACAACAACAATGAAAAAATACAAAAGCCAGATGACAACTACAGCGTTCAGTGACATCCTTTTATCCCTGACTGCAAGCCAGGGAGGAGGGAGAGGAGAAGTCTGTGACGGTTAATACTAAGTGTCAACTTGATTGGATTGAAGGATACAAAGTATTGATCCCAGGTGTGTCTGTGAGGGTGTTGCCAAAGGAGATTAACATTTGACTCAGTGGGCTGGGGAAGGCAGACCCACTCTTAATCTGGGTGGACACAATCTAATCAGCTGCCAGTGAGGCTAGAATATAAGCAGGCAGAAAAATGTTAAAAGAGAGACTGGCTTAGCCTCCCAGCCTACATCTTTCTTCCATGCTGGATGCTTCCTGCTCTCAAATATCAGACTCTAAGTTCTTCAGTTTTGGAATTCAGACTGGCTCTCCTTGCTCCTCAGCTTGCAGATGGCCTATTGTGGGACCTTGTGATCATGTGAATTAATATTTAATAAACCTCTCTCTCTCTCTCTATATATATAATATATACTCATATATATATTTCATTAGTTCTGTCCTTCTAGAGAATATATATATATGTGTGTAAATATATGCGTATATATGTGTGTGTATGTGTATATATATATACAAGGAATATATATATATATACAAGGAATATATATATATATATACACAAGGAATATATATATATATATATATATATATATATATTCCATTGGTTCTGTCCCTCTAGAGAACCCTAATACAAAGTCTATGACAGAAGAAGGTGAAGATGCAGAGCCCGATCCCTCCCAGTTCACCTTTCTACAGTTCACCAGCCTGAAGCCACCAGGAATTCGCAGAGGAAAAAGTGATTTAAATTGGTTGAGAGACTGGACCTTCAGCACTGCTCTTTCTAAACATCTGAAAGTCTGTGTATGTCTATGCAATTTGCCCAGGATTTCACCTTGGAAGGGGAAGAAAACTTTGACAGAAGTTATTGAAAGAGGCAATGGTGAGAATGAATAAGGCTTGTTTATGATTACATGTACAGAGTTTAACCCATTCCAAAAAATAGTTATACTCGTGTATCTCATTTCATTTCTACAACTCTGAGTTTTAAAAGGTAAAAATCTAGCAAAGTTAAAGAGCTCACTTAAAGTCATGCAAGAAAGAAAAAAATAGTAGGAGCTACCATAAGCTTCCTTAAGCTATTCTGTTCATTGTTAAGCAGGGTGCTCATGCATTATGTACATTATCTCATTTAATCCTCACTTGACCCTACTAGGTAGGCAGTTTATCTCCAGTCTTCAGATGAAGAAACAGCCTTAAAGAAATTAAGCAACTACTGACTGTAAAAGAGCAGGGATTTAACCCTACATCTATCGAGTTCCAAAGAATAGGTACTTTCTGCTTTGAAGTTTGTAAAAATTACAAGCCAACTTTGAACTTTCAGTAGAGCATGGACATCATTTGTCAATGGATGAACTTGATTAGATTCAGAATAGGAGGAAATGATGAGGACTTAGGAAAGACTGTGTTGGGGAAGAATTTATGTTGTGACTCTACCAAATTAAGGCAATGCTGACTTTTACCTGGTTTCATTTGAAAAGGAAAACAACCAATTTACTTCACAAAGGAAAATCAATGTAAAATCTTCTCATCGATACCTGTGATACTCTGACAGAGGTTTTAATACTACTGCAACACACTCCCACATTTGACTTAAAATGTAAGTGAGAGCATTAATGTCCAGCTTCAGAAAATTGGTGGGAATTGGGTGATCATTTCTAGATAAATACTTCCCTTAGATATAGATCAATGCATTGATGCAAATGAGGAGGATTCTGTGTGCACCTTCCAAGGATCTGGATCCTTGTTGGTGTAGGGGTATAACTTGTTGGGCAGGGTGTAACAAATTCGTTTCATTGGAGGCTCAGTCAATGTTGACCTCCTCTTCTCTGCATCTGTACTATTAAAAAAAAAGAAAACAAAGAAAGTGACTTAATACAGAAAATTGTTTACACAGGTAGTAAAAAGTCAAAAGAGCATAAAAGAGACATTGAGGCTACCCAGAGATGAATAACTTAAGAAAGAAGATACCACTCCTAAGACTGGGAAAAACCTGAGGGAAGAATGGGATTACCAGAACATAGGAGCTTAGAGGATGGATCTGGAGGGCTTGTGCTTGGACCTATGGAGAGACACTCTGTGGAGCGGGTATCATGTATTCGACATTCAGATCTCTGAGGAGGGTGAAACCACAACTGTAACTCCAACTGCGAAGGCCAAGCTACTGCTAGTCCCCTGAGGGGTTTCCTTCTAGCTGGCAGCAGGAGACCTGAAATAGTCTGGAGACTGCAGCTGGAGGTGGCTGCTCTGAATGCTGTCTATGCTATTTCCATATTGGCCCCGCCATTTTTATGAGGGACACTGTCAGAAGCTAAAATGCAGGGAGGGAGTCGCTTGTTCCTTTCCTCTGACTTCCAGTCGCCCTCTGGCTTTCATGGGCAAAAAATGAAAGGTAAACAAGTTGACAAAGATGTCTCGGAAATTACGGTTTCCAGCAATTCTCAACTCTGCCCAGAGTGCAGAGGGTGCATCCAGAGCCAAAATCCAATAATGGGTTCGAGATATTAGTCACAGCAGGGAGAGTAAAATAGAGAAAATTCAGAGGACCTAAGGGTCAAATTTAAAAAGGACAGAGGATATTTGTACATTTCAACATCATAATTAACAACCACACAAAATTCTGTATAATCAAGCCCTCCCAAGATTATTGCCCAATCACACCAGAACAGTTTCCTCATTTTGTTAATAAAGACAATAACATTCCTTTACCAGCGTTCTACTCTTAGGACGCAGGTTAAGTTGAACTTCACAAACAACAGGCAAGTTTAGAATAAATTGCAAAGAATAAGCCTTACAGGTAATGATGCACATTTTTTGTTGTAATAAGAAAAAGGCATAACATGGGACCCTCTGACCATTTATTTTATTTATTTATTTTTTTTGAGACAGAGTCTTGCTCTGTTGCCCAGGCTGGAGTACAGTGGTGCGATCTTGGCTCACTACATCCTCTACCTCCTGGGTTCAAATAATTCTCATGTCTCAGCCTCCCATGTAGCTGGGACTACAGGTGTGTATCATCCCACCCAGCTAATTTTTTCTATTTTTAGTAGAGATGGGGTTTCAGTGTTGGCCAGGCAGGTCTCGAACTCCTGGCCTCAAGTGATCTGCCTAACTCGGCCTCCCAAAGTGCTAGGATTACAGGCATGAGTCACCATGCCTGGACTCTCTGATCAAATTTTTAAGTGTACAGTACATTATTGCTAGCAGTATGAACAATGTTGTACAAAAGATCCCTTCTAGAACTGTTTCATCTTGCATAACTGAAACTTGAAATGCATTAAACAGCAAGTCCCCATTTCCTCCTCCCCTCAGCCCCTGGAAACCACCCTTCTACTTTCTGCTTCTATGACATTGACTGCTTTAGACATACACATATAAACACAAATAAATGAAATCGTGCAGTATCTGTCCTTTTGTGATTGGATTTTTCCATTTAGCACAATGTCCTCATGGTTCATCTCTTATCACATATAACAGGATTTCCTTTATTTTGAAGGCTCCATAATTTTATGTGTATACCAAATTTTCTCTATTCATTCATACACTGATGGACATTTACATTGCTTCCGCATCATATATATGTGTGTGTGTATATTATATATATATGCTTGGGTTTATTTCTGGGCTCTCTGTTCCATTGTCTATATGTCTGTCTTTAAGTTAGTACCATAATGTTTTGATTACTGTAGCTTAGTGATATGTTTTAAAACCAGGCAGTGTGAGGCCTCCAGTTTTGTCCTTCTTTTCAAGATTGCTTTGGCTATTTGAGCCGTTTTTGGGTCCATGCAAATTTTAGATTTGTTTTTTCTATTTCTGTAAAAATTGCTATTGGGATTTTTTTATTGATAGGGATTGCATTTTAATACTCTGAAGTTTTCCAATCAACGAATACAAATATCTTTCCATGTATTTGTGTCTTTAATTTTTTGGATAAAGGTTTTGTAATTTTCAGTGTATAAGACTTTTACCTCCTTAGTTAAGTTTATTCCTAAGTATTTTATAATTTTGATGTTACTGTAAATGGAATTGTTTTCTTAAATTCATTTTCAAATTGTTCATTTTTTATAGAAATACAATTGAATTTGCATATTAATTTTTTATCCTGCAACTTTACTGAATTTATTAATTCTTGCAGTATTTTTGTGAAGTCTTTAAGGTTTTGTACATGTAAGATCATGTCATCTATGAACAGAGATAATTTTACTCTTTCTGATTTGGATATCTTTTACTTCTTTTACTTTCTTGATTGATCTGGCTAGGACTTCCAGTATTACATTAAATAGAAATGACAAATGTGGACCTTCTTGTCTTGTTCCTGATCTTAGAAGAAAAACTTTTAGTTTTCTACCATTGAGTATGGTTTTAGCTGTGGGCTTTTTATATGTGACCTTTATTATGTTGAGGTTTTCATCCTATTCCTAGTTTGCTGAAAGTTTTCCATTATAAAAGGCTGTTAAATTTTGTCACATGCTTTTTCTGCACCTATTGAAATTATCATGTGATTTATTTTCCTTTAATCTGTTAACGTGATGTATCATATTAACTGATTTTCTTACCGTGAAACATCCTTGCATTCCAGGGATAAATTCCACTTTGTCACGGTGTATGATCATTTTAATGTGCTGTTGAATTAGGTTTGGCAGTATTTTATTAAGGACTTTGAATTGTATCCATCAGAGATATTAACTTGTAATTTTCTTTTTATGAAGTGTCTTTTTGTGGCTTTGGTATCAGGGTTATGCTGGACTCATAAAATGAGTTTGTAAATGTTCTTTTCTCTTAAGATTTTTGGAAGAGTTTGCAAAGATTTGATGTTAACTCCTTTTTAAGTATCTGGTAGAATTCACCAGTGAAGCCATCTGGTCCTGATTTTTCTTAGTTGGGCAGCTTTGACTATGGATTCAACCTCCTTTCTAGTTATACTGCTCAGATTCACTATTTTTTCATGATTCAGTCTTGGTAGGTTGCATGTTTCTAGGAATTTATTTCTTCTATATTATCCAATTTATTGGTGTATAATTGTTCAGAATACCCTCTAATAATCAATTTTATTTCTCCCTTTCATTTCCAACTTATTTGACTCTTCTTTATTTCCTAGCATAGCTAAAGGTTTATCAATTTATTGATTTTTAAAATAACTTACTTCATTGAGTTTTTTTCTATTCTTATTCTATTCTCTATTTTGGCTATTTCTGCTGTAATTTTTATTACTTCCTTCTTTCTGATAACTAAGGGTGTAGCTTGTTCTTTTTCTAGTTTATTGGGGCATAAAGTTAGGTTGTTTACTTTGAATCTGTAATTTTAATGTAGATGTTAACTGCTGTAAGCTACCCTCTTAGTATTGCTTTTGCTGTACTTGCTGTTATGTTGTGTTTTCTTTTTCATTTGTCTCAAGATATCTTCTAAATTTTCTGTTTTCTTCCGTGATGCATTCTTTCTTCAAGATTGTGTTGTTTAACTCCCATGTATTTGTGAATTTTCCAGTATTCCTTCTGCTATTAAATTCAAATTTCATTCCATTGTGGTCAGAAAAGGTTCATGGTATGATTTCAAATGTCTTAAATTTGATAAGACTTGTGACCTAACATGATATTTCCTGGAGAGTGTTACATGCGTGCTTGAGAAGAATATGCATTCTGCTACTCTTGGGTAGAATATTCTGTAGATGTCTGTTAGGTCTATTTGTTTTTTAGTATTTTTCAAGCCCTCTGTTTCTTTATTGACCTTAATTCTGTATGTCAATCCATTATAGAAAATGGGTTATTAAAATATCCTACTATTATTGTGTTGTCATCTATTTTTTCTCTTCAGTTCTATCAGTGTTTGCTTCTTATATTTAGCTGTTCTGATGTTGGCTGCATATATATTCATAACTATATATTCCTGTTGAATTGACTCTTTCATCATTATGTAATGTCCTTCTTTGTCTCTTATTAGAGCTCTTCAGTTAACATTTATTTTTTCTGATATAAATATGGATACCCCTACTGTCTTTGGTTACCATTTATGTGGAATATCTTTGCCATCCTTCAACTTTCTTTTTTTAAAATTTTTATTTTAGGTTCAGGGATAAATGTTCAGGCTTGTTATACAGGTAAATTGCATGTCACGCGGGTTTGGTATACAGATTATTTCATCACCCAGGTAATAAGCATAGTACCTGACAGACAGATTTTTCAATCCCCTCCCACCTGTCACCCTCCACCCTCAAGTAGTCCCCTGTTGTCCTCTTCTTTGTGTCCATGTGTTTTCAATGGTTAACTCCTACTTACAGGTGAGAATATGCAGTATTTATTTTCTTTTCCTGCATTCGTTCACTTAGGATAATGGCCTCTAGTTCCATTCATGTTGCTGCAAAAGATATGATCTCATTCTTTTCTATGGCTGCGTAGTATTCCATGGTATATATGTACCACATTTTCTTTATACAGTGTACCATTGATGGGCATTTAGGTTGACTTCATGTCTTTGCTATTGCTATTGCTATTGTGAGCAGTGTTGCAAAGAACATACACATGCATGTGTTTTTATGGTAGAATGATTTGTATTCCTTTACGTATAAACCCAATAATGGGATTGCTGAGTCAAATGGTAGTTCTCTTTTAAGTTCTTTGAGAAATTGCCACACTGCTTTCCACAATGACTGAACTAATTTACATTCCCACCAGAAGTGTATAAGTATTCTATTTTCTCTCCAACCTCACCAGAATCTATGTTTTTTGTTTGTTTGTTTGTTTTTACGTTTTAATAACAGCCACTTTGACTGGTGTGAGATGCTATCTCATTATGGTTTTGATTTGCATTATGAGTGTCTTATCATATGCTTGTTGGCCACATCTATGTCTTCTTTTGAAAAGTGTCTGTTCACGTCTTTTGCCCACTTTTTCACGGGATGTTTGTTTTTTGCTTGTAAATTTGTTTAAGTTCCTTACAGATTTGGGATATTAGACCTTTGTCAGATACACAGTCTGCATATATTTTCTCCCTGC
This sequence comes from Homo sapiens, assembly GCF_000001405.40. Lineage (NCBI taxonomy): Eukaryota > Metazoa > Chordata > Mammalia > Primates > Hominidae > Homo > Homo sapiens. Next base: position 199,106,173 of record NC_000001.11, read on the forward strand.
TGTAACTTGTCAGTGTACTGTGTTGATACTTTCTTTTGCTGTGCAGAAGCTCTCAACAGATGCAGAAAAGACTTTCAATAAAATTCAGCATCCCTTCAACTAAAAAACCCTTAACAAAGTAGGCATTGAAGGAACACACCTCAAAATAATAAGAGCCATCTATTATAAGCCTATAGCCAACATCATCCTGAATGGGCAAAAGCTAGAAGCATTCCCCTTGGGAACCAGAACAAGACAAGGATGCCACATTGTACTGGAATTCCTAGCCAGAGCAGTAAGGCAAGAAAAAGAAATAAAAGGCATTCAAATAGAAAGACAGTATAAGTCAAACTATCTCTGTTTGCAGATGATATGATTCTATACCTAGAAAAACCCATAGTTTCGGCCTCAAAGTTCCTAGATCTGATAAACAAATAGAGGAAATTTTCAGGATATGAAATCAATGTACAACAAAAATCAGTAGCATTTCTATACACCAACAAGATCCAAGCTGAAAGCCAAAGCAAGAACACAACCTTATTCACAATAGCCACAAAAAGAATAAAATACCGAGAAATACTGTTAACCAGGCAGGTGAAAGACCTCTACAACAAGAATTACAGAATGTTGCTCAAGGAAATAAAAAATGACACACACAAATGGGAAATATTCCATGCTAATGGAGAGGAAGAATCAATATTGTTAAAATGGCCATACTGCCCAAAGTAATTTATAGGTTCAGTGCTATTCCAATCACACTACCCATGATATTCTTCACAAAATTAGAAAAAAACTATTTTAAACTTATATGGAATCAAAAAGAGCCCAAATAGCCAAGGAAATCCCAAGCAAGAAGAACAAAGCTGGAGGCATCACATTATCCAACTTCAAACTATACTACAAGTCTACAGCAAGCAGAACAGCATGGTACTAGTACAAAAGCAGACACATAGACCAGTGGAACATAATAGAAAGCCCAATAATAATGTCACATACCTACAACAATGTGATCTCCAACAAAGTTGACAAAATCAAGCAATGAAGAAAGGACTCTGTATTCCATGAATGGTGCTGGCATAACTGGTTAGCCATATAAAGAAGATTGAAACTAGATCCCTTCCTTACACCATGTACAAAAATCAGTTCAAGATGGTTTAAAGACTTAAATGTAAAGTCTAAAACTATAAAAAATCCTGGACAATAACCTAGGAAATTCTAGACATAGGCTCTGGCAAAGATTTCATGATGCAGGCACCAAAAGCAATTGCAACAAAACAAAAATTGACAAATACGACATCTTTTCATTTTCAACTTCTATGTGTCTTTAAGTCTAAAGTAAATCTCTTATAGGCAGTATGTAGTTAGATCTTGTTGTTGTTGTTGTTTTATCCATTCAGTCACTTTATGTCATTTCATTGGTGAGTTTAATTCATTTACATTTAAAGTAATTATTGTTAGGGAAGGTCTTACTCTTGCCATTTTCTTAAGTATTTTAAGCCTATCTTGTAGCTCTGTTGTTCCGCTTTTCTACTCTTGCTGTCTTCCTTCATATTTCAATGATATGAAAGGCTAGTAACATGCTTTGATTCCTTTCATTTCCTGTTGTGTATTTTCTATAGGTATTTTCTTTGTGGTTACCACAGGGCATACATAAAACATCTTATATCTATAAAAATCTATTTTAAACTGGTAACAGTTTATCGTAATTGCAGACAAAAACTCAAAACTTTTACCTTCCCACCATTTTATATCGTTGATAACAGAAATTACACCTTTTTATAGCATGTATCCATTAACATATTATTGTAGCTATAGTTACTTTTTATTCTTTTGTTTTATAATTTCTTTTAGAATTAAAAATGATTTATGTACCACCATTACAGTATTACAATATTCTGTATATTTCTATGCAGATAGATTTACCAGTAAGCTTTATACTTTCATATGTTTTCATGATGCTGTTTAGCATTCTTTTATTGCAACTTGAAGGACTCTGACTTTTCTTTTAGGGCAGGTCTAAAGACGATGAACTCTTTCAGGTTATGTTTACCTGGGAAAGGTTTTATCTGTCCTTTACTTTTGAACGACACTTTGCTGGATATTATAGTATTCTAAGTTGGCAGTGTTTTTTTGTTTTAATGACAGCTCTTTGAATATATTAACCCACTCCCTTCTGGTCTATAAGTTTCTCCTGAGAAATCTGCTGACAGCCTTGTGCAGACTCTTTTGTATATGATGAGTTGCTTTTCTCCTGGTGCTTTCAAAATTCTCTTTTGTCTTTGTCTTTTGACAATTTGATTTTAATGTCTCAGTGTGGATTTCTTTGCATTCATCCTACATTAAATCTGTTGAGCTTTTTAAATATAGATATTTATTTTCCTCTTCAGAGTTTGGAACTTTTTGGTTATTATTTTTTGAAATAATTGCTTGGCCTCTTTCTCATTTTGTTCCTCCAATATATTGACTTATAAATAGTACCCCATAAGTCCCTTAGGGTTTCTTCACTCTTTCATTCTTTTTAAATTTTTGTTCCTTTGATTGGATAATTTCAAATGACATATCTCAGCATTCACAGATTATTTTTTTCTGCTTGATCAAATCTGCAGTTTAACCCCTGTAGTGAATTTCTTCAGGTTATCATATCCTTCAGCTCCAAAATTTTTGCTTTTTCTTTTTAAACATATTTTCTGTATCTTTGTTTAAAGATTTTTGTTCATGGATCATTCTCCTGAGCTCATTAAGCATCTTGATGACAGTAATTTTCAATTATTTTTCAAATATATTGCATGCTTTTTTTCTTCAGGATTGATTTCTGAAGATGTACATTGTTCCTTTACTTTGGCCATGTTTGTTTGTTTCTTCATGTTCTTTGAAGCTTTGTGTTTATATCTATGCATTTGAAAAAACAGCCACATTTCCCAAAGACTAATGAAGACTTCTACAAAGACTAACAAGTAGTCTTCGTAGACTAGCACTATAGAGAGAAAGACTTTTATTGGTCAGCCCAGCTAGAGAATCTGGAGACCTCTCAAACCTTTCCTGTGAATGTATTTTCTCTGGACTTGTGCATCTAAAGCCCCAATTAGAGGGATTTGTTGGTTACTTTTATTCAGGAACTCATAATCTCTTGTGCACTCTGGTGTATGTGGCTTTACAAGTTCTTAGTACTAGAAGAGGAAGCTGTCCCATGCTCTCTGGTTCCCAGTGGCCATCAAGTAGCTCCCTGTCCACACCCTTAGTCATTCTAGACCGCTATCAGTTCCTCAAGCAGTCCTCCAGAAAGCTGAATTGTAGGGTACACACTCTGCTCCTCTCCCTCTCTCCCATTCTGTGTGAGGTATGAGGTGAGACAAAAGCCAATCCCTCAAGCGATTCTCAAAAAACACATGGCGTTGCAGGCAAATTCCATTTTTCTCTCTTTCTCCTTGAGAAGAAGACTCAGATTGAGCACCTTCTCTCAATCATGCAAATCCATGCCAGCTGTAGGCAACTCTCTGCTTTCTGTTGTCTCTGCTACCCCCAGGCCTACAACCTGTGCTAGTTCCTACAGCACTCCAGCTGAGAAAGTAGTTAAGGGAGAAATCAGTCCCTTAGGGAGTTCTCCAAAAAGCTCGGACATTGGAGGCAAACTCCATTTCTCTTTCTACCTTCTGGGGGAGAAGTCTCAGATTAGAGCCTTCTCCCAATCATGCAAAGCGGTACTAATGGCTGCAGGCTGCCAGCCACTTTCTGCTATTCTCAGTTGCCTTCAGGCCTCCAACCTATGTCATGTCAGTTCTATCTGTATTCTGAATGAGAAGTGAGGTGAAACAGAAACCAGTCTCTTATGTAGGGCTCCATAAAGTCAGAATGTTGGATTCTCTTTCTTTCCCCCAAGGCAGAGTCACATGCCAGGGCTTTCTCTATATATACTGAGCTGTATGGGCTTAGGGCAAGAGCTATCACAGGTATAGTGAAATTGTTCTTCTTACACATTTCATTTAAGCTCTTCTCAGCTTTGTGCTCACCTGAGGTATTGCAACTTCTTAACTGGATTCTGGAAACCTCATAAAACTATTTTGGTCGGTGTATCATTGTTAAACCATTATTTAAAGAATGAGGATGGAGACTTCCTATCATGCAGACAGCACTACTTTTTAAATAGCAATTACTACATATATTAGCAAAAACTTTCGCCCAATATGTCAAGATGTTAGTTCTCTTTGTATACCTAGAACATTAAATCTCTAAAGCTATGTTCCTGTGTTAGACTTCTCTCTTCCCGCTATGTGCTTATTGCTGTACCAGGCAATAGGCACAAAGAGGTTTGCAATAAGATGTCATTGTCTATAAGAGATAACTTTTGAGGAGAAGCAGTATATGAAAAGGGTAAGAGTGTAAGCTTTTGCATCAGAAAAACCTGGGTTTAAAGTATGCCTCTTATAGCTTCTGGAATGTAGATAAAATATATAATCTCTCTAATGCAGTTTTGTCATTAGAAAAATGGAGTGATAATACTATCTAACTACTACTGTTACAATAAGGACTAAATAAGGTAATATGTGTCAAGTTCTTAGCCAAGTGTCTGGCACACATACAGTTAAATGCTTAATATTCAAAATGTGTTGAATATTGTTTTCATTGTTTTGCCAGATTTAGTAATAAAAAATGGAATGGCCCTACAAGATAGAGAAAGCTTCTACAATAGCATCAATAAACTCTCATTTCACACTTGCTCTACTGTTACTTTGTTTTATCTTACTGCTTTCTATTTGTTTTCATCACCTGCATTGTGTTCATTTGAAAATGCACAGGGTCTAAACAAATAAAGTCAAGAAAAAATACAAAAGCTGTTTTGAAAGAATTAGTAAATTTCGACAGCAAGCATATTAATGTTGTAAGATTTGGCATATCTTGGGATTCTGAGATAATTACTAGTGAAAGAAATGAATAGAAAACTTAATATTTTTAGTTTCACTTCTCTGTTGAATGGATAATATTTTTATTGTATTTTTTAAAAATCGGTGATATTTCTGAAAAATGAGCAATATATGAAATGATAAATTTATTTAAAAACTCATATAGCTAAATCTAATCAGCTTATGCAATTTTTCTAGTAAAATGATAATTACATATATACAGTTATGTGATTATTCATTCTCCAAATCTATATTTTGTGCATGTATTGTTAATGCTCCACTATTTTAATATGCAAAATGCCATAAAATAGCACTGGTGGGGACCTTAGATAGCATGTCTCATAGTCTCAATTTGTAGAAAAGAAAACTGGGAAATAAACTCGCTGAGACCTACAAAGATCAGACTGGAAATTAGAAGCAAATCTGGGGCTATAATCTTTTCTAATTTATGCTATCTTCATTTTTCACATGATTTATTCACAGCCACAGTCTAAAAGATAAATGTCGGCATTCAATTAAACTAGTACTTTTGACCTCCCAATTTGTCTATCAGTCTTGCATAATGAAAAAGAAGATTGGTAAAAAGTTATCGATTGTCACTTGGGTCTATTTGTTGGCAAGTAAGGAGTCATCAAATACTCCTTATCAAAAAAACACCTGCCTACATTTTATATTTTCTGAAATTTCACTAATTAAATAATTATTTATTTGATTTACATGCGTAAATGCTTCAAAGATCTATTCAGATGCAAGAACTAATGAAAGTAGAGGAGAAAAAGCCATAAATTCAGGGGTTGACTCATTTACATTGAAAGGCAAAAGAGAAAAAATTAGATCTATCAACTGTATGGTCACTCCTGGTGTGCTTGTCTATCTCTCCTATTGGATGAAATACATTTTTAGGACAATGATCAAACTTTATTCATCACTATACCATTCACACCTTCTAGTGACTGGCACTAAGTAAGAGATTAATTGTTACATAAATTTTAAAATTTTTATTTATTAGGCACCTATTATGTGTAATTCACAGTGCTGTGCTGTGTATTTTTCAGTATGCTATCTTTTCCAAATTTAACAATACTTTTGAGGTAGCTATTATTTTCTCCCATTTTACAGAAAAGAAACCTGAGGTAGAGAGATGATAGACAACTTGCCTAAGGTCACACACTTAACAAATGTAGTGCTGGAACTTTAACTCTGGTCCTTGTTTCAAGAGGCACTTCTTTTCCTACACCAAAAAAGCCACAGAGCCCACAGAATTATGGATTATCAGGACTTGAAGATGTCTTTAAACTTATCTAGATACTCAAAACTGGTTATATTAGGGATTAAAATCACTTTTCTATGCTTCATGGCTTCTTGTTTATTCCCAACAGTAGTGTAAATAAGCTGGTCACATTGATTCCTTTCTCACTATTTATTGAAAGCATGGATAATGAATTAAGAATAACTTTGTGGAAGAGAAGAATATTAATAATATTTTATAATATGTTAATAATAAATAATAATGAATTAATAATTAATGAAATAATAACCAGGCCTCCATCCTGGTTTGCAGATGTCTGTCTTCTCATTGTACTTTACATGGCAGAGAGGAAGGAACTTCTCAAGTCTCTTTTTATATGGCACTAATTGCATTCAAGAGGGATCCACCCTCATGACCTAATTACTTCACCATTTATTGCATAATTACTATGTGTGAGAAATATGAATTAATTTATTCTTTACCATTGCAAACCTATGAGATAGAAATCATTATTCTAATTTTTACACACAAGGAACTCAAGCTTAAAGACATTACAGGACTTTTCTAAACTCCCACGTGTATAGTACAGAAACACAGTGGGCCTCTTGGGCTGCATCTAATAAATTATGCTAATAATGTTACTCATAGTGAGGGAGGAACTGGAGATTGGGTTCAACCATATGGGCAATTAATCCTTCAGTTATGCCTACCTAATGAAGCCCCAGTAAAAACTCTGAACATGGGAGTTCAAGTGAGCTCCTGGGATGGCAATACTCTGTAGATAGTGTCGTACATCAATACCAGGAGGTATTCTTTGTCATTAGGACAATAAGAGCTTCACATTTGGAATCCTCTTGGATTCTACCCTACATGTCTCTTTCGTTAGCTGATTCTATCCTTTCCCTGTAGCAAATATTGTGAGTGCAATAGCTTTCAATAAGTCCTGTGAGTCTTTTGAGTGAATTAGCAAACCTGAGGGTGATTTTAGGAAACCTTGAACTTACCTCTTGAAGACCCCAGCCACCTCCTAATACCATCACATTGGGGGTTAGGATTTCAACCTATTAAACTGGGAAGTAGGGCATAAACTTCAAGTCCATAACAGCTTGCTAAGTAGTTCTACCAGATGTCAGTGGCAGCCTGGAAAGGTATCGCCACCTACTGGCATGCACTTGCACTGTGGCTGCAAATGCTGTTTGTTGGATTTGGCAGGCATTACTATAAATCCCCACCCTAGATTCAGAACTTGAAAGCTGAGTTTTCCTGCAGTCCCAGTGTAAGCTGAGTCAATTGCCTAGATTCTGAACAATGTTCCCAGGAGTATCCATCTATATTGACCAGCTAAGGCTTGCAATGTCTCCTCCAAAAGGAATGTGGTAAGACTTCCCTCCAAGTGATATGAAATGGGCTTTATCAATCAGCAAGGCATTACTGACAAGTGGCGGGGTAACTAAGTTATTATTTTCCTTGTACATTTCAGTCTGCTCCATTGAGTAGAGGGAGGATGCTGTTTAGAGATTCTCATATGTTGTGAGGCACACATGGAGCCAATGTAAACTCTTGTGTTGTTGCTTGCCTTGCTGCTGTCACAATTTGTCTCCTGATAAAGCAGGATGTAAGGGGTCACACCCATGTAAATCAGTGGCACGATGCTTATAGAAAAAGAAATGAAGAAAGGAACACTTTATCCCTGGCCCACCTAATACCCTTGAGAAGGTCATGCAATTGATTCAATAATGTAAAACACTCAGATTGTGCACACATGTCTTATTGGGAACTGCTGCTTACCAGCATGCCAAGGGCCTTATGTTCAAAATCCAGAGCCTCAAAAATACTTATAAGGCATTACTACTCTCTTGGAAGTAAATCCAAATCCTTCAGAGGTCAGTTGGTACACTCTAGAGAAGGAAGCAACCATGTATGAACATGGTCATCCAGGACCACCAGGAGTTTATCAGGTAAACAACCAAAGGGTAAAAGCAGTCAGGAACAGACAGAAAACTTAAAAAAAAAAAAAACCCAAATCCCAAAACACCTGTCAAATGCAGCTGTACACTATCCTGTTGACTGTTGGTCTCATCAGTATTATTCTGATTTCACTGGTCTGCAATCTACAAGCTCAAAGCATCTAAGTAAGCCATTATTTCAACTAAACATGGACAATGGTGAAGCCCACATGCCATTGAATTTGGCTAATACAAGCCCTATAACCCAAAGTCTCTACCAGCTTTCCCATCACCAACCAAACCAACAACTGAAGCAAAGGGCCTACAACAAATGGCTAAAAATACAAGTCACAGCACTTTGGGAGTCTGCGTTGTGCAGATCATCTGAGGTCAGAAGTTCAAGACCAGCCTGGCTAACATGGTGAAACCCCATATCTTCTAAAAAAAAAAAAATACAAAATTAGCTGGGTGTGGTGGTGCATGCCTATAATCCCAGCTACTTGAGTGACTGAGGCAGGAGAATTGCTTGAATCCTGGAGGCAGAGGTTACAGTGAACTGAGATTGTGCCATTGCACTCCAGCCTGGGTGACAAGAATGAAACTCAGTCTCAAAAAAAAAAAAAGAAGGCCAGGCATGGTGGCTCATGCCTGTAATCTCAACACTTTGGGAGGCCGAAGCGTGTGTATCACCTGAGGTCAGGAGTTCGAGACCAACCTGGCCAACATGATGAAACGCCGTCTGTACTAAAAAATACAAAAATTAGCTAGGCGTGGTGGCAGGCACCTGTAATCCCAGCTACTCAGGAGGCTGAAGCAGGAGAATCACTTGAACCCGGGAGGTGGAGGTTGCAGTGAGCTGAGATTGCGCCACTGCACTCCAGCCTAGGAGACAGAGCAAGACTCCATCTCAAAATAAATAAATAAATAAATGAAATAAAAAGAAAACAAAAAAATACAAGACATGCCTACAGGCTAATGCTGGCACTCCAAACTCAGGCACAGATATTTTATTTGACATATAACCTGGCATCATATTAATAACAACCAAATTAGGAAATCTGAATCAAAACCAAATTCCAACAAAACTCCTCTCATTACCCATCTAATAGAAACCTTGGACTAATTAGAAAGTTTTAGACATGGCCATCCTTAATGGGGGCTTAAGTGGTGTCAGTTGGGTCTGGCATATTTGTCCATTACAACAGCATCATGATGCCAATATCACCTTTGCTAGCTGTGAACCCAAAATCCCTTTGACTTGAAAGATATTTGCAAGCCAGGCTCCCAGGCCTAACATTGCCTCCAAATGACACAAATGGCTCCGTGTCACTATAATACCATACAGCCACAAAAGTAAGACCCACATTAATGTGAGTGGACATAAACTTGAAAACAATCCTCAGTCCCACATCCTGGATGACATTGCCCCAACCCAAGATTTCATCAATGGAAACGAATTCTTCCCCAGCACCAGAGATGACTTTACCCATGAAGTCAAAGCCTCCATCCCAGTGACACACATGGACTTCTCCTAAGGCCCTGACAAAGTGGACATGAGACATTTATTGCTTTTCTTCCTCTGACATTGAGGATTCTGTTGCTTAGTCTCATTGTCTGCTTAGCCCATGATCCTGGTATACCCCTTGCTTTATGACAAAATACGCACACTCCTCTCTAAAGGAAAATCTGATAGAGGTTACTACTATCTATGACATTCCAAAAATGAATGGAAATTATTACTTTCCCCCAGAGGCAACTGCACATTTCAATCAACCCTAGGCCCCTTGAGGAGAGAACTACCCACTCCAGGACTTTCTTCTATTACCCACCTCCAGTTTTCCACAACAACCTCCTGCCCTGTGTCTTGAATCATGATCATAGTAATCAACCATTTTCATTGGTGATACACAAATATCACTAATCTTTATGTATAATTTACTAAACAATCAACCACATACTCTCCAACAACATAACTGCCAGAACACTTTGCCACTTGACACTTTGCAACTCTACCAAGATATTATTAGAGATCCTGGAAATTTCAGATCTATTTTCTTGACTAATGCCATATAAATGGGAAACTTGGTTATATGCTGGTCTATAAGAAATGCTTATACTTCTACTCATGGTCTTCTTTTCTACTCTCATAATAAAATATTTTCTATACTGTTTAAGGCAATTTATGCCCTATTGTCTAAAGGTTTCCCCTGTTATCACCCCAACGTTTTCTTAATATGATGCAACAGCATGATAGGGCCAGTTGTATTAACCTTGTCTTTTATTTTCTATATTATGATACTGTGACATTTGGGGCCTTGGTAACCCTGGAGAAACTAACTTCTCCATCCTACCCAGGGTTAGCATAAAGGGAGAGATATATTACTACCTCAATTCCTACAGACAGTAAACAACTCAGTCAGTGAGCATGCTTTTCAAATGCAAATCAACCAATCTAGAGCTCATATCCTCAACCACCTTCTTTATTGGGCTCTCACACTTTAGGCTATTATTCACCTTCTCTAATCACTGTAGGGCCAGGTACCAGACAACTTGAAACAGCCCTTATATCCTAAAGACCATTGGAATTATTCAAAATAGCCAATTTGAGGCCTGCTTACCCAGCCTTGCCCATTCCTTCTCATGGGAACCACAGTAAGATTTCTTGCCCACAGTTTCTCCTTCTCCCTCTCCCTCCTTACCAACCACAGTGCTTCCCTGTGTGCTCCTCTACCCTCACGGTGTGATTTTGTGTGATGCATTTGTCTCCTTCTCTGTTGCAAGAACCTGAGGAAAAGGAGAAGCAGAAGGAAGAAATGAATAGACTATTTGGGGATATTTTGAGCAGAAGTATTTACTCCCACCAAAGATCACATTTCAGTTGATCTGGGATGGGCACCAGCATTTGGTATGTTTAAAAAGCTCTTCAGGTGATCTGAATGTGCAGCCAGACTGAGAACCACAGTGTAGTTTATTGAATAGTTTTCTATTGAGTACCTACTGTGTGCAAAGTCATTTGTGTTATAAATTCAATCCCTATCTTACACAAAATGTTTGGGTTTATTTTGTTTAGTCTCAATATCATGTGTTACCTTAAGGAAACTGTTGTTTAGTAATCAAAGCAGGACTTTCCAAGTTAGGATTTTCCATTTCTGCTCCTGAATACTTTTCTGCAGAGTTACTGAGTAAATAACTGTGGAAAAATTACTTAACCTTCTAATGCATCTATTTGTTTATTTGTGAAACAGACATATGTACTTATTTTTTAGCAAAGGTTTGTTTTGTTGGTTATTTTTTGTGTGTGTTTTTGGTTTTGAAGTAATTTTCAACAATATTTTATCATTCTTGAATGAATGAGAATACTTTCAAAATGTATGACATCTCAAGACTTCTTTTCTTAGAACCAAGAACTTCGCCCATAGGTTTTTTCTTTCTTTCTTTTTTAATTGCAAAGTGAGTGGCAACACTACTCATGATATGAGATGCCAGAGCTAACATCCAAGAATAGACCAAAGTAGACACAAGATTTTTGTTGTTTGTAGAAAGTGGGCTCCATTGTTCTAAACTTTTATTCTAAACTTGGCATTCTGAAATGGTTACTATAAGGTTAAAGTCTCTTATCTCCACAGCTTGCTGGACAATCACTAAGAGTTTTGTAATGATATAAGGAATTAACTAAACAACTTGTAAAATTTTTCAAAGATAGTGATGAGCCCAAATCAAGATGTAGAGTTATTTCTCTATTCACAGATGCTACACATAGAATAGGTATCAACAGAGACCTTTCAGTTCACAATTTGAGAGTTTGGCAATGGTTGTACTATTACTTGACCAATGCTTTTCATGTAGTAGCATTAGTAACTATAGTAGCATTTGTAGTTTATGCCTGTGGTGGACGCAAGGATAATTCAAGTTATAACAAGACAATCATTTCTGGAGCCTAAGTGAGTAACACCTTCCCTGAGTGTGGAGTGTTTAGCCAAGTAAAGTCCGTTATTTTTCTTAAGTGCCCATTACCATTTCACAAGGCTGATTATTTCACAAATCACAAGATAACACACAGGAGACCAAGGCTGACTTCTATTATTCTCAAGGGTGCATGTTATTTAGCTGTTATAGTAAAATGATTATGACTTTTATATTACCAGTCTAATGACAATATTCATTATTTACCATTCCTTTCTTTAAGATTATAATCAAGTTTCATTTGACCAACCAGTTAACTACATTTGTCAAATATTCAAATTCATGCATAGGAATAGAAGGAGATAAAGTAATCAGCCCAAGGTAGCTAAGGGACAGAGGCAGAATTCCAATTCATGTGTGTCTGACTATACAAACTAATAGTTTTCTCATTAAGTTGCTTCCTTGAAGAAGGTATTTGAAAGTTTCTCACACATACTAAGGTTAAAATAAATATAATATTTTTTTCTTTTTTTGAAAAAAACACAATTTAGTCATGAACTTACAGCTAACTTTGTAGGAAACTGGTCTTTATCCTGTTCCTAGTATGAGTGCCTAATGCCTCCCATCAAGCCATACATCTTTACTGTATGTTACTAAATCAAGATGTCATTCATAGGAAACATTCTTTATAGTCTAAATAAGATTATGCAAATATTCACAAAAAAAGTAGAACTGTATGCTTCTCATTCCACCTAAAAATCTCATTTCTATTTAAATAATACCTATGAAATTTTTACATTAATTATTTGTACAAAAAACAAAATATAAGTTTTTGCTTTTTAAAAATAAACTATTTTTATTACAGTAGAGGATCAAAGAAAATATGTTGCTAATACTGACATGAAAAGGGATTGAATCATGGGTTAAAGAGAGGAAATTAAAGGTGGAGGTATGGCTTTGCAGGCTAATTGGTACCTAACGTCTGAGGACTTTTGTTTTTGATGGTAATACTGCTAAAATTTTGCAAGAAGGGTTTCAAATTTAAGAAACTGGAATGAAACTCTGTTATTTCCTTTCTAAACTGCCTGTTCTACCTCTCAGTACAGAAGCTGATAAAAGCAAAGGGCATCCTAGTGGGATACTTATACTCGTTTTTTTTTTTCTTTTTTTTTTTTTTTTGTCCTGGACCTACTCAAATGTATACCAGAATAAAAACTACCATTTCTGAAGTCTTATGATAGTATATTACTAAGTTAGTTAGCATCTAGAAGCTTATGTAGGATAATTAAATTGAAAGAAGAAGAAATTTTATGAGGATTTTATTTTATTTCATTATTTGAATGGTTGTAGAATGGTGGGGAAGCATCTCTTGTGGTTAATATATGTAAAACAAAACTAATTTTAAGGTAATTTAGGCAGGTCCAGTTTTCAGAGCCATAGCAAGAACAGAAGGTAGACTTTTTTTTGTAGACTGATAGCCTGGACGCGAGGATGATGGTGTACTCATTTCATATGTAATTCACCTGCTTCTCAAATAAACTGAATACTGTCTTAAAAAAAAAAAAAAACAACCATTTCAATCAACATTAATATGGTATGAATGTTAATTTTTAAGCGTTTTCATATTTCAAATGTAAAGCCTGAAAGCAATAACTATGATGAAACGTAGTGAAAGGGTTGTTCTACAAAATTCCATAGAATTGCCCAAACTTCTACAATTTTAGTCTATTAAGTTTCTTTCTGGCAATTAACAGAAATCTGGATTCTTATATTAAACCTATATAAGTAAAGTCATAGAGTAGTAACTAAAAATTGGAATTCATAAATCATGTTGATAGGTTTTATTTTAAAGTTTAAAAATATTATTTATATACTTCCACATGCATTTGGTATTTAAATTGCCATTAATCCGATTAATCATGGCAGATTCCCAATTCCAAAATGTCCCAAAGAAATAGTAAAACTTATGCAAGCAGTATGTCAAAGTGAAATCCATCCTTAGGTCAGAACAGCTATAACTAACTCTTTTAATTTTTTTTTAATTTGATTAAACATCAGACTAATTAGAGCATATTATTCTGATTAATTTTCTTCAAGATTTATTAATTTGTGTAACACCTAAGATCTTTCATAAGAAGATCACCTTGCCCATTAACATGTTAACAGTCTGGAGCCAGAGTCTTCCAAAATTTTTAAAACTAAATTGATAAATAATTGTTCTTGGTCTGCACTCTGCTATTATAAGAGTTCTAAGTTGCTTTTACTTTTACTTCTCAACTTTAGATTTTTTATCCGTGTCATGACCCAAGTGGTTTTGAGTGAGTAAAGGTAATGCTGTATTTGGAAATGAGCTAACCACTTGAGATAATATACTCCCAAACGGCCAAGGGAGTCTTTATTCTCTGTGGGTACCTTTCAAGCAATCTGGAATGACAGAAAGTATTTTTGACTCAGTGGCCATAGAAAAATATTAAGCAAAACCTCTATCTGAAAAGCAAGAAGAGTGAGAAAGATAGTCTTTTATATGATACATAAAAAATGATTTGCTTTCCTTTATCTCCACTAAGGTGACAGACACCTGCTCACTTTTCTTTTAATTAATTGACAGATTTATCATAAATCAATACTTTCTAATGGATGAAAATTCTTCACTATGGTTGTTGGGTTAATAATTTGAGACCGTCTTTCAGATGCATTGAAATAAATATATTCTATTATTTTCAATTTATTGGAAAAGTAAACAAAACATTGTATTTTTTATATAAATTGACCTAATGCTAAGTTAAAAATGCAAATCACTAAAAGGAAACAAACAAAACAATTAAAACCTGGAATTGAAAGTAAAAGCCTATTTTTCAATATAATGTATTCATTAGGAATATTCCAAACTCTTAAGTACCCATTATATCATTAATATAAAAATATTGGCTACCTAAGTACAAATATTGTGGACATAATTCTTGGCTATTTGACCATGGCACATTCTTATTCTCAAGTAGAGGTGGCCATTTTTCACAAGGTAGGTGTTCTTATTCAGATGGAAACTGAAAACTAAACCCTCAAGAATTCTCAACAATAATCATTCCTTACTTTTGAAACCTTGAACTCTGTTACAGCACTATGGATGATAACAAAGAAAATTATTTCCTAATCCACTTACTAGCTACTTGACCTTGAGCAAATCACTTGCCTTCATGATTCTAAGTTGCTTCAACAGTGATATGAGGAATGTTGAATTAGAAAATCACCAAGGTCTTTTTACCTCTTGAAAATTCTATAAATCTATGATTCTAAAATTTGCTATTCAATTTACCCTCTACCTAAACTTTTCTTTTATGGCTTAAAGTTTAATTTATTTTCATTCAGACTCTGATCATTACAGCAACAAGATTTTCTCAGATATTTAAGAGGCTGAGGAGACACAATTTATTATAAATAGATACTGGTTATGTATAATATTCTTAACAAGAGATAGCAACTTAGCTATTTCATGGTTACTTTCTTTTTCCCAATTCAGGACTAATTCAGGTGTTTAGAATAACTTTAAAAAAAATAGACTATGTTTAGAGCAGTGTCAGGTTTACAGAAAAATCGAGTAGGATGTACAGAGAGTTCCCATAAACTCCCTTTACCCCTCCTTCCCAGTCTCTCTTAGTAACATCTTATGTTAGTATAGTGCATTTGCTCTACAACTGATAAAGGAATATTGGTACAGTTTTGGTAACTAAAGTCCATGATTTTGAAAGTTGATATTCAATCTATTCTCTATCTAAACTTTTTGAGTACTTATGTGTTAAACACTTTTCTGAATGTTTTACAAGTACTAACTCATTACATCCTCACAAAATCATTATCAGGTAAGCTATATTATGATGCCTACTTTATAAACAATCTGAAACACAGACAGCTAATTTGTGATAAAATTAGAATTTTAATCCAGGTAGTAAAATCTGTGTATTTGACTACTCGACTAACTATGTCTAGATTTCTCCAAAGAAGTGTTTTGTGAAATATTAATTCTCAAAATTACTGAAAAAAACAGGGCTTATGATCTATTGGTTATGACTTTTTCAGTGTTAAATGACCAAAAATTATTTAAAGTAATTTTTAAATTAACTAAAATAATTAAATTTTAAATAAATTAAAATTATTTAAATTAATTAAACAAAAATAAAATTTATTAGCTGAAGAAGCCAATATGTTGGTGCAGGTTGGCGAGGTGACTGGTTTTAGGAATATTGACTCAGATTACATCATTATGATTTACCTTGGGCTCCAAGCAGTGAAGGTCATGGAAGCAGCAATTGAGTCCTCATACCCTCTCAGCTTTGCTCACAACAGTCACAAACTCTTCCATAAGTCTCAATAAAAATATGTTTGCATCATATTATGTGACATATACTTGTGTCATATTATCTCTGATTGGTTTACATGTTCATGTCCAAATCAATCACTATGGCCAGAATCATTTCATAAGCAGACTGGTATTAAGTTGGGGTTCCTAGTAGAATGGCCATCATCAAAATCACATAAATGAAGACTGGAAATGGTAGTGTTTTCCCAGATAAATACCAGGATGTGGTTACTAAAATTGGTTGATGGCTGTCCACAGATGTCCAAGACAGATAGTTAAGCTTATTTTAGAGATAATTCATAATACATTTCTGTCTCAGAAGTTACTGATGCATAAGAGCACATTAAAACCTCCAATAAATTCTGAAATAAAGAAGTTATTTTAGTTCATTGCTTTCTCCAATCTGTTTGACCATGTAACAAATTATTTAAGCAAAATATATTAACATTCCTTTGAATTATTATTCTGTAGAATATATTTTAAGGAATGTCACTGAAGGCCCAGATTCTTACTTTCAGAAACTAATCTAATATGTAAGACATACAACAAAATCCTTTGTTCTGTTTTTTTCTGCATCATTGGGTTACTTAATCTGACTCACATAAATTTTCCTTATATTAGTCAGTATTAAGAATAAAACTCAGGCAGGGCACAGTGGCTCATGCTTGTAAACCCAGCACTTTGAGAGGCCAAGGAGGGAAGATCACCTGAGCTCAGGAGTTCAAGCCAACCTGGGCAACATAATGAGACCTTGTCTCTACAAAAAAATTAAAAATTAACTGGGCTTGATGGTGCACACCTGTAGCTCCAGCTACTCAGGAGGCTGATGGAGAAGGATCACTTGAACCCAGGAGGTTAAGCCTGTAGTGAGCTAGGATTGCACCACTGTGTTACAGCCTGAACAAGAGAGCAAGGCTCTGTCTCAAAAAGAAAAGGAAAGCTCATTAAACATATAATATTCTTAATGATAAAATGCATTAAAATTTTCCAGAATGTACCCGTAAAATATTAAAATATGTGATGGAAAGCAGAATCACTAGTTTGAAGATCTGCTTAATTCATATGGAGGTTGTATTCATTAGCTTTTGCAAATTTAAACAAAGATTAGAGATTTAAAGCTACAAATATTTATTATCTGTTAAGATTTTGTGGGTTGGCTAGGGAGTTCTTCTGGACTGAGTCAAGTCAGCTGGCGGTAGATGGTCTAGGATGGACTCATCCTCTTGCCTGGTATTTGACAGACTAATTAGTCTGCGGTGGCTTATGTCTTCTTCATGTGGTCTCTCTTGCCTAAGTAGGCAAGCTGGAGCATCTTATATGGCTGTTTCCTGTTTCCAAACACCAATAAATAAGGGCAAGAACCAGAGTGCAAACACTTTCAAAACCTCTGCTTTCATCATTTTTGTTTAACAACATCTCAATTGCTAAAGCAAGTTAAAAGATCAAACCTACCTCTCAATGGAAGAAACTGCAATAGCACATTGCAAAGGGGCATGTGGAACACGCACGGAGATATGGAAAGAATGAGGCCATTTTTGTTATCTACCACAGAGCTCTTAAAATCTGCATTTCCAAATCCTAGATTTAGTTCATTAAGTGAACGGGTTAACTAGCTTACATGAACTGCAATATCAAGATATATATTAATATTAAAATAATACATGCATGGAAAATGAAGAAATAACCTTTGATTTCTCTGAATACTTCAGTCATGCTTAAACGATTATACCTGTTCAGCAAGATTCAAAAGTATTCATGAGAAAAAATGGTAGAGGTTTTGTGGCAAGATTCTTTTCAAACAGAGTCTATGATGCAGATTTCCATGCAGAAGTTTCATTGATGAGTACCTATTGGAAATACCTGTAAGAAAGTGAGGAAAGCAAGAATGGGTGAAAAGGGAAATTGAACTGCAAAGAGGTTGAAGTTAAGCCTGGTTCATTCCACAGGGATCTCAGAGTTGAGATGGCCTTTCAGAGTTGTCCAGAAATAAGGTAAAGAGCTGGTAGTTTATATCCCCCACAACACAAACGCACACTCCAATGAGTCACTGGGTAATGGAAAGATTAGGTTTATCTTTGAGTAATTTCTGGGAAAAGACTCAGCAGTGACCCATTAGCAGCCAACACTGCAGGCAACTCAAGAAAGAGACCCTCAGTTCTGAAGAGAAGACCTGAATTCAGCATCAATAAAAGATTTTAAGAGATGGATTTCAGCTTAATATAAGAAAAATGTGTTTTAGTGGCAGATGAAACTATTGAATTCTCCTCTTTGGAAGAGTTTAAAAATCCATTAAATCAACACTTTGTGACCATTTTGTAGAACCAAATTATGGGAGTTTTGACTAGTTGATCTTAAGTACACTCTTCAACCCTGAGATTTTATGATTTCTTACTTTCTACAAAGTAAGTTTTAGGATGGTATTAGAATAATTGATAAAATAAAGAACTGCAGTAGATTTGCTGGAATGTATATAAAGCAGCCTTTTTGAAAAACCTTAAAGAACATAGGTGTTCAGTACTGATGAACTCAAAGTACAGTGTCTCATTTGTTTGGTTCTGTTCGATTAATTTAAAAAGAGCATTTAGGCATAGTGGCTAATGCCCGTAATCTCAGTACTTTGGGAGGCTGAGGCGGTAGGATAATTTGAGCCCAGGCATTTGAGACCAGGCTGGGCAACATAGTGGGACCCTGTCTCTACAAAAAAATTAAAAATTAGCTGGGTGTGGTGGTGTGTGCCTGTGGTCTCAGTGACATGCGAGGCTAAGGCAGGAGGATCATTTGAGCCCAGGTGGCAGAGGCTGCAGTGAGTTATGATTGCACCACTGCACTCCAGCCTGGGCAACAGAGTGAGACCCTGTCTCAGAAAAATAAATAAAAATAAAATAAAAAGAGCATTTAGTTAAGTAAAGCTCATTTTATCCTGTGTACATTTCATTAATATATACACAGGGACTCTTTCCATTAAATAGCCAAGTGTGGGATTGAGAAAACATGGCTCCAAGACATCATTGCTTATAAGCATGCCCAGTGACAAAATGAAAATAATATTTCCAGCATCCTCATGAGAAATTTGCAAATTATAGAGCCATGTATGCACTCTCAAACGTTCAAGATACAGTACTTATGAGCCTATTTGCAATTATGTGTTGACAATCAAACTATTATAATATATGTGAAATTATTGAGAGGGAGTTTTTACTTTAAAAAACACTGAATTTTTGTAATACTTTTGTAAGGTAAAACCCTTAAATTGTCTCAGAAGTATCTATTTGCAATATATTTGGTTTACTTTTTGTAAGACATAATATATTGGCTCCTTGAAACTTTGGGATTTTTTTTTTTTTTTTTTTTTCTGAGATGGAGTCTTGCTCTGTCACCCAGGCTGGAGTGCAGTGGTGCGATCTTGGCTTACTGCAACCTCTGCCTTCCAGGTTCAAGCAATTCTCCTGCTTCAGCCTCCCAAGTAGCTTGGATTACAGGAGTACACCATCACGCCCGGCTAATTTTTGTATTTTTAGTAGAGTGGGGTTTCACCATGTTGGCCAGGTTGGTCTGGAACTGGCTGGTCTCAAACTCCTGACCTCGTGATCCACCCACCTCGGCCTCCCAAAGTGCTGGCATTACAGGCATGAGCCACCATGCCTGGCTGAAACTTTGAAATTTTTAAATAAAAAATTATAATCGGGCTGGGTGCAGTGGCTCATGCCTGTAATCCCAGCACTTTGGGAGGCTGAGGCGAGTGGATCACCTGAGATCAGGAGTTCAAGACCAGCCTGGCCAACATGGTAAAACCCCGTCTCTACTAAAAAACACAAAAATTAGCCGGGTGTGGTGGCAGTCGCCTGTAATCCCAGCTACTCAGGAGGCTGAGGCTGAAGAATCTCTTAAACCCGGGAGGCGGCGGTTGCAGTGAGATGAGATCACGCCACTGCACTCCAGCCTAGGCGACAGAGAGAAAGTCCATCTAAAAAAGAATTATAATCATGACGTTTTCTGGAAAAATCTTCTTTTAAATAAATAGTCTTATTATCTACAGAAAAATTAAATATGCTCTAAACCTTAAATGTCTCATCGGAGACTGAATCCTCCAATGTGTCTTTCAACATAGAACTGCCTCAAACTATTGTCAAATGAACCTCATAACCTAGTTCCTGATTTGGAATATATGTATGTCACTCACTTCCAAACAGAAATACTTATAAAGACATTAACTTCTTTGTCTTTTTTAAAAAAAAGTGTTTAATCTTCCATAACCTAAAAGTGCTTAAGTATTTCTCCCTAAGCTGTTGTATTCAGGTCATGTCTTCATTGCAATACATAAGTTATAATAGTTACATAGGAATACTTAAGTTAATTTTTTCTGTATTATAGAAAAGTCCTGTGAATAAACTTTTCTGATTTCTGTCAAGTCAGTGAAATACATAAGTATTATGCATTATTATTTCCCTATTCAGTGGTCATTTAAGTGGTGTTAAGAATTTGACATTAGTTCTTTGTATATAGAACCAATACTCTTAGAATGTATTTATCACCATGACGAAGACAATAAATCAAAGTTAAAGATTAAGAATAAGCCACAAAGTCCAGGCGCGGTGGCTCACGCATGTAATCCCAGCACTTTGGGAGGCCAAGGCAGGAGAATAACCTGAGGTCGGGAGTTCAAGACCAGCCTGACCAACATGAAGAAACCCCGTCTCTACTAAAAATACAAAATTAGCTGGACGTGTTCGTGCATGCCTGTAATCCCAGCTACTACGGAGGCTAAGGCAGGAGAATCGCTTGAATCCAGGAGGCCGAGGTTGCAGTGAGCCAAGATTGTGCCATTGCACTCCAGCTTAGGCAACACGAGTGAAATTCCGCCAAAAAAAAAAAAAAAGAAAAGGAAAAGAAAGCAGCAGCAGCAGCCACAAAACACTCCTCAAGTTCAGCAGCTTCTTAATTACTATTACTACTCTGCTTTAAAGCAGAGGGAAGAGCAGGTGATTTGAGTGGAGAGGGAGATTTCAGAGAAAGAATTGTCAAATTTAAAAAATAATGACAAGAGTAAGTTCTGACACTAAGGTAATTCCTATGTTTATAAACCAAGCTGAGGAGTGGATGAAGGTGCTGATATAAGAAACAAAGAAAGATAAAGGGATCAGGAAAGCATATAAACTAAACTTTGTTATGGAGATTTGAAATACCAACGGACCATCTGAGTGGAGATATTTGATATGTAGTTACACAGATGAGTTTGAGATTCAGACAAAATTTGTGTGAAGTTAAATATTTGGAAATCATTAACGCACTTGGGAATTATACAGTCCCCCAAAGTATGCCAAGTGAGAAATAAAAGCAAGAAGATTGAGGATGGAACTCAACGACTCCTATTTCCATATTATTTCTTCTGTAGCCTCTTTTACAATAATTCTTTTCTTAAACTCTGAAGAATACCAACATTCTGACACATTTGGGGGCAGGAGACTCTTTTATTGTCTCCCTATCACTCTCTCTCCCCCTTCTCTCTTTCTCTCCTCTCTTCTCTCTCTCTCTCTCTCCCTCCCTCCTCTTTTATTCTCATTGAGTTGACAGAATACATTGCACTCAAGAATCACATTTAGAAGGACAAGAATCAGAACTACATTTTGCTTTATCTTTCCCCATTCAACTTTGATTGCTTTGCAATGAGACAATTGAAAAACATCCAGAAATAGAAGAATGTATTCTGTTTCGAAAAAACAAACATACAAAATATATATTCAATTTTTAATTGTTTAGAATTAATAATAAAAAATACAATTAAAATATGTGTGGTACTAATGAGTCTAAATTTATATTTGATATTCTGGGGGAATTCTAACCTCTTAACCTTCTTGGACATAGAAACAACAGGAAAACCCTTCATGTGGCTGATCCTACTAGCTGAGCTTATGCCTTGGAAGACCTGGAGGACTTTCAAAGCACTGACAAGACACACTGGATTGCACACTGTTGCTACCACACTTCTTGTCAGGTTCTGCAAAACTTCATCTAGGACCACCTACCACAGTCACATCACTCTGGATGCCACTTTATATTGTTATGTGCAAAATTTCTTACTCATTACTAGATGGGGACTGTCTATTCTGCATTGCTGTTTGCCACAGTAAACAAGCATCTACCTGGCTTTTAGAGTGGAATAAGTGTTGACTGTAGTGAGCTAATTCTGCAAACAATAAACCATTCTTCTTGAAATAGCAAAAATCATATTCCTTTTGAATTGACACAAGTCCATGGCATAATATGCCATATAAAGATAAGAATTACAGCAAAAACTGTTTGGATTTTTGTTTTCTTCTTTAAATAGCTAAATTATGAAAAATTTGAGTTCTATGACATTTTTGTTTATTATTCCTTATTATCAAGTAATTGATTTATTATCTTTGACTATTTACAGCACCTAGTTCATTAATAGTTATACCTCTATTGATTAACAATTTTTCAAAACTTTTGTTACTTTGGGAATGTGAACATAGCCACACATTTTGATAGCACAGATTAAGCAGAAACACAATAAACCCTAGTCATTAAAATGAGAAGTCATCATTTATTAACAGAAAATGTGTGTTAAGCACGTATTTGTATTGTTTCTTATGCTGATTTTCAAGCAGATAATTATAATAACTAGGCTGGGTCTTCATTGATCTGTGTTACATGGATTTGATCAATTCATTGCTAAAGCAGTAATTTTGAACAATACCATTGCTAAGTACTTAGTCATCAATATAGGGTTGAATAGTTCATCTGACAGTTTTGTCTTAATTACTAAAATGTCTTTCTGACCAGTTCAATTGGACCATTTATAAGGTAATCAATTGTTTTAGTATTGATTTGTAAATGACATATCCAGGAAATCACATAAATCTAGTGTCAGGCGCTTAAGAATATAACGCAGATGTACATTTAGTCATCTGTGCCCTGCTTCACAATGTACTAGTGCATAAATAACTCTAAAAAAAACAAAAGTTGTAGTCACTCAGTTTGACAGTCAAGGTTGAAAGTACAATTGGAAGTGGGCCATTTTTTTTTTTTTTTTTTTTTTTACTTAGATGCATATAAAAGAATTTGGATGAAAACTCCAGGGATAGAAATTTACATTTTTCTAGTTTGGCATGGAAATTCAAAATTAATTCCAAAACTGAAAAATTGCATGTGTCTAAACCTATATTTAGTTCACAGCAGTTTAGATGCCCTCTCATAAACCATTTATCTGCCTATTTTATTAAATGTTAAGTACATTTGACTATAACTAACTGATGAAGAAATAAAGAAAAATAAATTTTACATTTCTACTTAAAATTTTATTTATATTATCAGGAAAAATATTACATATTAAATATTCTTAGGGCATGGGAAATTATAAAAAGCATAAGGGCAATACAAGTCCATTAAAGCGCTTTTCTTAATTTAAAAAAACCCTCTTAAGAATATTATTCTTCCAACCTGAAATAGTCAATTAAAATTCTAGCGAGCATTAAAAAAAATTCTTTCTCTGTGCAATAACAGGAGAAGAGAAGAGCTCTGGATAGATATGTACCGAAATATTTTTTAAAGTTTGTAAGTTTATTTCTGGGAAGAGGAAAGGTTATGCAAGTTCTTTATGTATTGCTTCTATGTTTTTGTATTTTTGGGTTTTTTAACAATGAAAATATATTAAAACATAATCAGAAAAAGAAACTATTGAAGTGTTAATAAAACAATAATTAGATAAATGATAATTTCCAAAAAATATATCTTTATAACATTAACTTGCATTCTTTTTCAAAATTGCTTGATGTTTTCCTTTGCAATTTCCCTGGGAAATAAATAAGGTAAATCTCATTTAATTTGTCTAGCCACTGCCATATTAACTATTTATCCAGAGTAGCACTTTGAATTGGAAGAGGACTCAGGTTAGAACTAAAGTATTCAGTATTTATTTCTCCCCAAACATTGATATGAGCATTGTAATAACTTTCACTTTATCTTATTGAGTAGTTTATTCTATGATGGCATATCTCTTTTAATACAGTTTTTTATAGTTTTCCTTTGTTATGATTTGTAGCATTTTGAATTATAAAAAAAATTGGAAAGGTTTGTGAGAGGTCATTAAATTCTAGGCACAGAAAATATACAGAGGAATCATTTGGAAGGTGTGCCTTGATACACTTTTACTCTGTGGTCAATTTATAACTTTCTTGGAAGGTTGCAGTATTAAGGCCAGATAATTTACTTAAAAATATTTTTATTACTTTTGAGAAGATGAGAATTACTGAGACATGAGCATTTTTACAATGCATAAATGTTCAGCTCTATTTTGAAGTATGAGTAGTAGATATAGTAATTGATATTTTTTAAATGCTATTTTTACTTTATCTACAGAAAACAACGATGGTAGAACCTAGTAATTCCTGTATTCTATATGTTATTACAGATGGGACACTAACACCACACTAAGTGGTAAATCTTCCCAGTTTAATGTCTGTATTGTAAACTTCAGTGGTTCTTAAGTTTATTTTCTCCAAGACTCAAAAATCTCATGAGATAATTATAATGATAAGGTACCTTTTACTCTGAGCTGAGATCACATCTTTAGCTGTTTCTATACTCAGCCTTATTGATATAACCAAACAATTTGTGCTCAATAACTCAAATGTTTTTCAGACACGGTTTGACCATTAATCTAACAACAGTACTCTATTTTGGGTTTGAATGGTAAGAGAAAAAAAATCTTTAATTAGTACCTATTATGTGCCTGGTGATTCATATTCATTATATTGATTAAATCTTAATATAAAATTATGAGATGGGTTTTAAAACCCTAATTTTTCAAATGAAGAAACATGCTCAGTGAGGCGAATTTCCTTATTGTAAGTCTTGTCTATAGGTAGTGGGGCTATGATATGAGATCAGCTCATTTGTCTTTACAGCTGATGATATTTTCAATATATCAATGTTCCTCAACATAGGGGATACCTCCATCTGCAACAGAATTGCTAGGGAAACTTCTTAGATGATAAATTCCAATGCTCCATCCCATAGTGGCTGAATCATTTTCTGAATATGGGTCTCAGAAAAATCCAGCTGAAATAATCACCCCATTGATGCTTACACATCACTGATACACGTGACTACCTTTCAGGCATTGTGCATCCCCTTCCTCAAGCCCTAATACAAACGCATCACAGTAGATAATCAAATGACCAAATACTTCTGGGATTTTTTTTTCATTCCTTTTGATTAAGTTTTTAAAAAATGATTATTACTGGAAATCAAGAATTTTCTCATAGAGACAGTATAAACATTTCATCAGTGATTAAATGAAGATATAGATAGTATATTGATCAAGCCAATTGCTGACTCTAAGCTGGCTCAACGTGTTGGATGAGAGTCAATTACATAATTACATTGGTTTTAACAGAAAGAACAATTGAGTTAAGTCAAGTATTAAAAAATGTAGGAGTTAAAAATTGTACCTCAGTAATGAGGGTTGTATTAGTCCATTCTCACACTGCTGTAAAGAACTACCTGTGACTGCATAATTTATAAAGCAAATAAGTTTAATTGACTCCCAGTTCCACAGGCCCTACAGGAAGCATGGCTGGGAGGCCTCAGAAAACTGACAATCATGGCAGAAGGTGAAGAGGAAGCAATCATGTCTTACCATGGCAGAGCAGGAGAGAAAGAGCGAGTGAAAGGGGAAGTGCACATACTTTCAAATAATCAGATCTCATGAGAACTCACTATCATGAGACCAGCAAGGGGGAAATCTGTCCCCAAAACTCAACCACCTCCCACCAGGCCCCTCCTCCAATTTGACCTGAGATTTGGGTGGGGACACAAATCCAAACCATATCAAGGGCTTAAAAGCTGACCACAAATGATCAGTAGAAAGAAGATAGGGGCTTAACCAAAAGCCATGCAGAAAAAAAGGAGTTTTAAAAATCTATACCGTGGTGTGCTCTCATCATTCCTTCCCTCAACAACACAGAAAACAAAATCCTCAGAAATAAAAATATAATAAAATATAATATAAGTCTTCGGCTTTATTGATAGACTTAATAAAATAAGAAATTACATCTTTTTCTTTCATTTTGTGCTAGTTGTACTGCTTCTGGAGTTTGGTAGATAGTTCTGATATTGCAATTGAATAATGACATTGACAAATTACATTGTATATTAAGATTATCCCAAAAGGTGAGGAATGCAATACTATGTCACGTGAGGAATGGGTGAAGACAAAGGGAATGTTTAACCTTAAAAAGAGAAGTCAGGAGGTATATGATAGCTATCTTTTTAAATTTGACAAGGTTCCTCTATATGAAAGAGATGACATTTTGGCTACAGAGTTTGAAATAAGAACAAGAGTGGAAGCTTTAAAGCTTCAGATCAAAATAAGGAAGGCATTATTTTTAGTAATCAGAGGAATTATTAGACACCAGAAACAATAGTATCACTAGAAATCTGCTTGTTCCAAGTATTGTAGTGTGAGTCAAGCATTGTATCTCATTCCTTTTGTTTCATCATGGCCCTGATCTTGCCTGTCTTGATTGCCATTTTAAGTTCCTAGCACTTAGCACATAAACATGTCTTAATAAATATTTTTTAAGGAATAAATGCACAAGACTTTATGATTCTGAATTGTCAAACACCAATTCCATGTCGACTCATGTTACAAGGAAAGAATAACGTTCATGTTTCTGCCAACCATATACCCAGTGTCCCATACTCACCACTTCTAGCCAACTAGAGAAAAATCTGCCTCAGTCTGGTTAATTGTGATAGATAATGAGAATTTGTTTATGTTAGTAACTTGTCACCTAGAAATCTTAAGTTTTGATGATTTTAGCAAACAAATTACTCTTGAGTGGTCTAGGGAAGCTGGTTACTTGACTAAATTTTAATAAGCCACTGATAAAAACACATACCAGAATAAGGCAAATTTCAAAAGGGGGGAAATGATGTGATTACAAATAACTCTTTCATGATTGTGATAAGAAGGTTGGGATAACTGATCTGCAAAGCATATGTGAGTATCTTTAAAATGGTTATTCAAGAACATTTGTAAACTATGCATACAAATAAAAACCAATTACAACCTCCATCCAAATGATGTGTAAAACTCCATCATTAAAATTTAATTTACTTTAACCATTATTTTTAGATCCATCTTAACATTTTGGACAGAATAAGGAAAGGAAGTTTATGTTTTAAAACTATATAAAATATCTACCTTATTTTTTCTTATATAGAATACACCATTGCCTTAATTAATGCAGAGCAATGGGTGGTTTCGAGTTCCAGAAATATTGTAACAGTTTCTGGTAAATGTGCATCTGACTTATCCAGGAGGTAACTGAATTGGAAGCACATAATACTGATTTAATTATATATTAACTTAGATTTGTTTCTTATCAGCAGATGCTATATTTTTATTTAATTATCTATAACATTGATATGCAATATTTTAAGAAATAGATCCAAGTTACAGCACTCATTAAGTTGATCTGTGGCCCTTCTCACCTACTTCTTCCTCGCCTTGGAACAAATCATTCTGATTGGTATTCTTCCTAAATTAAATCACTTTAGTCATTATATATCACAAGTATTTTTTTAGTTTCTGCTATTTGCACTCTCTGTTTATCTCTTCTCATGCATAGGAAAGTATAAATATATACAACATTTTTCTGAATGCTGTATTCCAGTGATTTATCATCTGTAACATAGCTGTAGTTGAAAAGTAATAATGGAAACTAAACAGAGAATTATAAATCTCCTGTAAAGATGGACACACCTTAAATCACAAGACATTCCTGAATACAACAGATATTTAAAACAGGTAAATTATCAAGTAATAATTTAATATTCACTGGTAAACAAAAGCTTTTTACAATTACTTTAACACATAGAATTTGTCATATTTATTAGAACACTCTGGGGAAATATTGAGTAAAGCCATTTTCTCTTCTATTCAAAAGTCAGGAAAATTAAAGAAATGAACACTTGATCTTTAGACATGCTTTATCTTTAGCCTTCATCTTCAACATTAATAACATATTTTTACTATACATAAAAAAGAGAGGTGGTATATATTAATAACTTGATTTTTTTTCAACAAGCTTTATATCATTGGATATTTATTTTGTTAGCTTGTGAAGCAAGAATGTTTATTAGTTGGTTCACATTATTTTAAATATTCTTGCTTCCTGAATACAGTGGTATATAACTGGGACCCTAATAAACCTTTTGTGTTGAAAACTGTGTAGTGTAAAACTAAGACCAATACTGTGAAGTCTCCAGGCTTCCGGTATTCCCAAGAACTTGAGAGGGTTTCTGGTTTTCTTGTTAGCATCACCCCTATAATTGGCTCTGTATTCTGCCTCTCTTACCTTTGCACACACACATATACACACACTCTCACACTCACATATCCCCCTTGCCCAGAAAAATATCCAGAACCCAGTATTCTGCATTCACAGCAGCATAAGGGACACTTTAATGGTGAAGAGATACAAAAGGGAAAGAAGGACTTTCCCAAAGCAGGAGGGATTTACCTAGTGGGTCCAATCTCTAATGATAGGAAAGCAAGTTAGCGGATTGTCATAGGAACCTAAGTAATAAATTGACATATCTTAGTGATTCATTGCATGTGGGGCTCTCTTGCCCTCTCTATCTATCTCAAATGTTTATCTTTTTGATTATTTGCTCCTGCCTCATCTCTAATAACTTGAACTATTCTGTATATATTTCTTTCAATTAATTGCAGTACTATGCTTTGAGTATTCAATATTTTCCACAGATGTTTCTCCTTAGTTTGGTATTCACTTATGCATTCATCATTTAATTAATTAATTTACTCATTTTCATTGTAACTGAGTGCACATAATATGGTTTCTAAGACACTTGGAAGATAAAAATTACAACATTTGGTCTCTGCCTTGAAAAGAATAGATCTAGTCTCATAGGTGATAAAATTAAGCAAAAAATAAGGCACTTGGTAAACACAAGTTTGCTCCCCAAATACATCTGGGTTCCTGCTTTTCCATGTGTTCTCTGAAAGCAAGGTTTACATGTCTGTTGTTGTTGTTGGTGGTGGTGGTGGTGGGTTTTTTTGGGGGGTGGGGATGGGTTTGGTCAGCCTAAATGGTAGCATCATACCTGGTTTATGTAAGAAACTAAATAAACTTTTTGCTAAATTCTACATAATTTAATATTATATTCTGACTAAACTAATTTTTAAGTCCTCTTCCCAAATATTCTGTGGCTTACTAGTGAAGTTACATGCCACTTATCTTTATTAACTGCTCCTATTTCCTGGGCCACTTTAATCAATATTAACACTTTAATCAATATAAGCATAATAACAAAGAAAAAGATGCCCATTGGACGTTTTTCTATTAAAATATATGATGCTATTATTTTGTATTTTCCAAATAAAACCATGATTATTATAATTACTTATGGAATTATTTACATGTTTCTTTACTATTTAATCTTAGGGTTGTGTGGTTTCTTTTAAATATTAAATTGATATTGATTCTCAGGAACCAGTGCAAGAGCTTATTAAGTGGGTATTTGGCCACTTGCCCAGTGGCTTCACATTAGTTTGTACTTGGTGAGTAAAAATAGAAAGTAGGCAGGGCGCTGTGGCTCACGCCTGTAATCCCAGCACTTTGGGAAGTCAGGGCGGGTGGATCACCTGAAGTCAGGAGTTCGAGACCAGCCTGGCCAACATAGTGAAACCCCATCTCCACTAAAAATACAAAAATTAACCTGGTGTGGTGGTGTGTGCCTGTAATCCTAGCTACCCAGGAGGCTGAGGCAGGAGAATGGCTGGAACTCGGGAGGCAGAGGCTGCAGTGAGCCAAGATCGTGCCACTGCACTCCAGCCTGGGTGACAGAGCAAGACTCCATCTCAAGAAAAAAAAAAAAGAAAGAAAGACAACGGAAAATAGAGGGTAGTTTATAGTGGTCGATAGTTGATTTACATACTGTTTATTTCTGTCCCTTTTCCTTAATAGTTAACATATGGACACAAATTAACATATCAACGTTCTTTGATTGACAAAAGGCACACTGGATAACACACTTTGATAAGGAACAACTTTTGTACTTATTATATCTGAGATACTGTAGTGAGCACTGCAGAGACTTTTTAAAACAATCTCTGCATATGTTTTGCATGTTAATATTATACAGAGACAACCTTAAATATATCTTCTGAGGTCTTAAGAAAATATCTTATAGCCTCCTCATGAATTTGATCTTGTTCTGAAGCCTGTTTTTAAAAAAAAATCTCTGAGATACTAGAACCCAGCAAGCCCTGAATCTTTTATATCTAAAAGCCCTTTCTTTAGCTTATCTTTCTTCTTCTACATTCTACTATAAGCAACAATAAGAAGCCAGGTGGCAACTTCAATACTCTGCCTAGAAGTCTCCTTAGCTAGATCATATAGTTCATTAGGTTTATTTTTTTTTTTACTTTGTTCAGCAACAATGTTGCTAAACTTTCTACCACTGCATATCAAATATTCTCTTTCATTTAGCTTTCAACAATATTTTCCTTACTTTCTGTTAAGCCCTCTCTAGCACTTCTTTGATGGCCTTCACGTTTACTAATAGTCTCTCCATAGCCCTTTAGCCTTTCTCTAACACTTTCTTCAATGTGCTTCCAGCTTTACTTCAGCTGCCTCCTGGTCCCAAAGCTACATTTTAGAGTTTGTTATGGCAGCATACTACTTTAAGTTCAACAACAACAACAACAACAAACAAAACAAAAACAAAAACAAAAAACAAATAAACCCTGTTCCAGTTACTATAACTGCATAACAAATTACCACAAAACTTAGTGGCATAAAACAAGCCTATATTTTAGTCATGGTTTCTCTGGGTCAGGATTTCAGAGAGTCAGAGGCTCTGAATGAGCCTTTTCCTGTGAATCTGCTCTACTCAGATTCAGCTAAGAGCTAGAATAGCTAGGCTCTTTAGGCATTTCTCTTTATCTCTCTGTGCCCTCTCCATGTGAATTCTCCAGTACTTTGGCTTCAAGGTAGCCAGATTACTTGTGTGTAGGCTCATGGATCCTAACGCATGTGTCTCAAGAGCCAGGCAAAGAAGTATCACTTTTGCTAACCTAGACTCTGAGGTAACACAGCATCACTCCTGTTACATTCAACTTATTAGAGGTCAGTCAGGCTGGGTCATACCTGTAATCCAAACACTTTGGGAGTCCAAGGCAGGTGGATCACTTGAGGCCAGGAGTTTGAGAACAGCCTGGCCAACATGATGAAACCCTGTCTCTACTAAAAATACAAAAATACAAATACAAAAAAAATACAAAAAAACCCTGTCTCTACTAAAAATACAAAAATTAGCCAGGCTTGGTGGAGGGTGCCTGTAGTCCCAGCTACTTGGGAGGCCAAGTAGCTGGCAGGCTGAGGCAGGAGAATCGCTTGAACCCAGGAGGTGGAGGTTGCAGTGAGCCAAGATTGTGCCACTGCACTCCAGCCTGGCCAACAGAAGGAGACTCTGTCTCAAAATAAGTAAGTCACTGAGGCTAGGCCATATTCACAAGAAAGAAAGTTAGATTTCACTTCCTGTGGCAGACATGTCAAAGAATTTGGAGACATGTTTAAAACCACCACATGTGTGTATAATGCAAGAGAGAGAGCATTTTAGAAAGATAGAGCAAAGGACACAGAATGCACAAAAGAGCACAGTATTACAGGACACAGTAGGGAAAGTTATTGTTCATAACTGGGAATCAATGACAGTACAATTTGACTGCACATAGCATGACTTTTGAGAAGTAATGAGAGACACAAAAATGGTGGTGGTATGAAGCAATGTCTCTCATACTAGCATCTGTAGCCCTCATTCCCCAGAGCTTGCCCTACTTTTCCCTCCACCTGTAGGCCTCATTGCTACGCTTGTTCACAGATCAAGCCTAACTTACTGCAGGAGGTACTTAAGACTTGCAATCTTAGCATCTAACTTGTATTGTTTCATTCCTATGTTATAAATTGTTGAGCCTGCCTCCTTGACCGTTATCTTGAGTCTCAGTTCATATGTATGGACTCCTGCTTTTATTTTAATCACATCCTTTTCTGGAGTTTTTTTCTTCTAAATTGTCTTACCTGTAGGCATGCTGGATGCTCAAATCAGACTTCTAAGGATAGAATAACTACAGTGGAGAATCTAGGAAGAAAGCCAGTTAATGTTTATTGAATTTGGTCTCTGCAGCAGACACTGTTAGGCATTAAACATGTGTAAGATTCCTCAATTTAGCCTGAAAAACAGGAAAGTTAGTCCATCTCCTTGAGTAAGGTTGGTCAGGGTCGGAATACCAAATTGGCAGGCTGAATAAACAAAAACACTACTGTCCTTGCAAAGATTATGGCAAAATTGGAGCTAGACGAGACTGTGTTATGAGGATTGAATTAAAATTGGGAAATGTGTGGACTAGCACTGTGTGTGTGTGTGTGTCTGTGTGTGTGATGTGTGTGTATATCTGAAGTTTACTAAACTTTGAACTCCACAAACACTTTTAGGTTCATATTCATATCCCTAGTGCTCAGCTAGTCTTGGCTTTTGAAAAATGTTTATGAAACTGAAAAAGAACTGAATTATTTGGTATATGGGTGCTGGCTTAGAGAAAATGAGAAGGGGGTCTACATAGGACACCCAGACACTAAACTCTAAATCTAAATTGTTAGAAGAATTGGCCCTTTCCATATCATTAGAATTATTTCTTTCTGCCTTGGAAAGTCAGCAAGACCATGGTTTTGGTTTGCAGGGCTGTCGTTCCTCCCAGAAAGCAGGTAGGGAGTTACTTCATAAAAGATCAGAGTTCTTGCCTTTTTCTTGTCATTCTCCTTCAAAACTAACTTAATCTGGAAGACTGGGATCTGCTTTTTATGGAAGGAGCCAAATCTATGTAGAGCAGGAATTTGACAAATTACTTTCTGACTTCTTGCTGTCTTGATGTGCCTAGGAATAGAGGTCCCTTTATCTATCAGTTGGGTTCCTCTATTCCACTGTTGAGTTGGACTGAGATCAGAGATTACAATAATTAACAGACACACAGAGAGGCCTGAGCTTTTTACTTACGCTCCAAAACTTGAAACACTAAAGTGAGTTTTAGACGGAAAGTGTGAGACTTAAGGAAAAGGAGCAACCATACTATGGGAGATGTGGCAGAAATGGCAAACTGATTACCATTTCTCTTCTGCAGAACACACAGCTAGACTCCAATTCTCAGTCTCCCTTGCAGTTAGGTATACCCATGTGACTCAGACTAGCTGACAGAATGTGAATAGTGATTTCTGGTAAAGCCCCTTCCAGCTTGATTTTATCTGACACAGTGATCTTGGAAAGTGGGGTTGAAGATGGCAGAGTCACAAATGGAAAGTGACTGGACTCCTGGGTTGTGATTTGGAGAAGAGATGCCTAATGATCACAATCCCTGCTTGAGATATTTGTAAGTGAGATATAAGCTTGTATGTAAGCCTCTGAAATTTCAGGGTATATCTCTTTTATCAGCTCCCATATCCTTAACTAATAAAGGAGGTATTCTTGGGTTAGGAAAGCTAAATACATAAATTCTTTCCTCAATGAGTTTTTAAGATATTCTGGGAGGATAATTATGATTATCTTGCTAATTAACTAACAGCTAAGTGGTATAAATATGTACAAAATTAGCCCCATATGAGTTCTGTTTAAAAATATTACCGTATGTTTAGCAATTTCTTGAGAAGATTAGATATTAACTAAGCTTTTAAAAAATGGTAGAGTTTTATAATAAAAAAGGAATAAAGAAAGAACATTTTATGACAAAGGTACATAATAAGAAGAGATGTGTGTTCAAAAGATCATCAATAGACTGGGCTGGGTGTATTGTATGTATATGTATTTATATACATAACAATCTCTAATGTCTTCAAAACACTATAAGCTCTGGTCTTGTAGTATTTTTAAGATATTAGAGATTATGATGTATATAAAGATATATTGAGAACAGAGTTCAGAGATGGCTGAATACAAAATAGGTAATTTATAATTTGTAATTTATCCTATATGCATTAATGAACCATTTTGACATATGATTGAAATTGTGAAGGCAACATTCTAGAAAAGAGGCATAGAAAAACACGTCTATTAATATCAATTAAAAATACTGAAATAAGGGCTGAGCACGGTGGCTCACACCCATAATCCCAGCACTTTGGGAGGCTGAGGCAGGTGGATCACCTGAGGTCGGGAGTTCAAGACCAGCCTGGCCAACATGGTGAAACCCCGTCTCTACTAAAAATACAAAAATTAGCCAGGTGTAGTGGCACACATCTGTAGTACTAGCTACTTGGGAGGCTGAGACAGGAGAATCGCTTGAACTCGGGAGGTGGAGGTTGCAGTGAGCAGAGTGCCACTGCACTCTAGCCTGGGTGACAGAGCGAGGCTCCGTCTCAAAAAAACAAAGCAAAACAAAACAAAACAAAACAAAACAAAAAACCTGAAATAATTGTAATATTGAGCAGTAAGTGTCTACACTAAGGTGGTGACATTAAGAATGAAAATTTTAAAAAAGAATAAAAACTTAGGACACTTTCCCTTTGGGCTATGATGGGACAATTTGTATGAGACTAGCCATCTCACCACCAACCCCTTTAGTGATACATATTCTTGTATCTAAACAGATCTAAACAGTAGTTTTAAAATTAATACAATTTTTAGAATGATATAACTAGGGGAAATACGGGAAGCTACAGTTTTAGGTGTTAGACGACAGAAAGAACAAGACAGAGCTCCCATGAGAAGGAAAACTCATGTCCCAGGATGTCATGGCTTCTTGCCTGGAAATAGTTCATCAACTATGACATAGCAAGCTAATGTCCAAGCAGAGTACAGTGGTTGGACAGGTACCACTGTCCAGTGATTGCCCCTGAACTTAGGGGGTGCATTATTTGTAGAGAATATGATAGCCAACGGATCAGAGGCAGAAATGCAAGAACAGACTTGTTGATGTGGATGGAATGTGTGAAATAAGAAAAAAGAGGAAAGGGAGCTGTGTAGAGAAAGTAAGTCTATATGGAAATTATTTGAAAAATACCATTCACCAGCATTCACTCAAGAAATTTTAAAAATCTGAATATCTATCTATAAGGAAATAAAATTCATTATCCCAACTTTCCCACAGAATAACTCCAGGCCTAGATGGTTTAACTGGCGAATTCTATCAACATATAAAAAGGAAATAGTACCAGACTTATGACAATTTTTTCAGAAGCTAGGGAAAGAGGAATAGTTTCCCAGCTAATTTAGGAAGGAGCAGAATCATGATAACAAAATATGAGGGGCATTATAAGAAAAGCAAATTGAAAGCTAATGTCCTTCAAGAACATAGCTTTTGCCACAATCCTCAATCAATTATTAGGGAAATAAATCCAGCCACATAAAAAAGGTAGTGGATAATAACCAACTAGGCTTTATCCAGGAATGCCAGATTGGTTCAACATTTGAAACAACACAATTCACCACAGTAACAGAATAAAGAAAAAATTATATAAATCAAAGAGGAGAATAATATTGTTCAATAAAGTTCATAAATAGAACTACATGTATATGGTCAACTGATTTTTAACAAAAGTTCCAATGTGTTCAATACTAAAATCTTGTATTTTTCAACAATGATGCTGGAACAACTGAATTTTCATATGGAAGAAAATGAACTCTGACTCTTATCTTACAAATATGAGAAATTAATTTGAAATGAATCAGACTTAACTTTAAAAGCAAACACTATAAGGCTTCTAGAAGAAAATATAGGAGAAAAATCTTCGTTTTAGGGTTAGAGAACTATTTCTTAGACGTAAAAATTAAAATTAAAAGCAGCACTAATTATCAGTGATACATCAAATGTCAAAGATAGGGTTCTGGAAATGATTACCCCTGAACCAAGGGGTACGTTATTTGTAGAGAATTTGAAAACAATAATAAAACTGGCTAAATTTAGTCTACTTTTTATTATCACCATATAGTCAAGATTCTAATAAATATCTGTGATGAAATACTCCTCCTGGAAAATAAAATTTTATGGTCAAACAATCACTATGATTACTTTGAGTTTTAATAATAGACATGTAAGCCTTATATTAGCAATTCTCATTATGCATTCTTTAAAGAACATTGTATTCTATGTGGAAATTAATTCATGCAACTCCCAGTTATCCAGTCAGCCCCCAACATGCTCAGTGTGCCACACATGCTCATTTCAGGAGCAAGTTTGTTTTGCTTCAGAATTGTTGAAGCTTGCATTGGGCTAAGATCATACCACGAACCCCTTTAGTGATACGTATTCTTATGTCTAAACACTAGTTCTGAAATTAAAAAAAAAATAATAAAGTGTATATAAGACCACAAATAACCTGAGCTAAATTCGATTTTGTCATTCCATGTGAACATTTTGGATTTTATTTGTGATTAAAATTTAAAACAGTGAAACAGATTGTGAATTGTGAAGTGTAATATTTTTGCTTTCAATTGAAAATTTTAGTTTATAAAAGAGATATATTCTGAACTTGAATATCTTTAAAATTAAAATTTTATTATTTTAGTTGCTAATTATTTGTACTAAAACTAATGAATCAAGAGAACGATGACTATGATTATTAATCACTATGACAGGACAATATGTTGATGTAAGTTATTTACCTTTTTTTTTTAAAAAAAAAGACTTTCCTACTTTAAGTGGTTAAAAGTATTGAGGTATTACTTTTTCCTTTTCTGCATTGTAACACTTATTTTATACAAACACAAACACACACACACATACTGTATCTACTCTTGTGTGTAATTCTATGCCAAGAGAAGAGTATACTAGGATAAATAAAACAGTCTTTGCTCATAGGAAATGGAAGCTAATTTCTAATTTAAAGAAGATAGCTGGTCTTTTTGTCTTTCCTAAGGAGATGTATCATAACTTCTTTACATGCTGTGTCTACTATGGCTCACATGTGAACATATCATCTTACACTTAACCTCTTTCTTTATCCAACAAAATTCATGTTCAGAAGTTGGTTATGCAAATGAATGAGGGCTTGACAGAGGGCATAAAAACTTAGGTTTGGAGACTAACATTTTTAAAGCATGAAACAATTGTTAACTAGAAAATGCTTTTAAAATACTTGTTCTTAATTTATTCTATCTGCAAACTTAGTATATTAGACAGGTCTTTGCCCCCACTCATATCCTTTTGGCAAAGATTTTTATTCCAGCAGATACCGTGACAACCAGTTGTGCATATGGGCATCCAAACAGCACCTCAGTTATTCTGAAAGTTGAGTAAATCTGCAAATGAGAGGAAGTAAACATCTCATTGGTCAGCACTTTACCAAGGACAGGACCTGGTATCACTCACATCCCTTTGGATAGGCAATTTCTAGGCATCTCTACTCAGCTTCTCTGAGGGTCTCCAGTGAGAATTGGACTCCAGATGTCTCTGATAGTGAACAACTAGCACAACAACTTAGAACAATATTCTCTTCCATTGATTCTTACCCTTCCCTAGTTCCTAGCCCTTCATGCATGTGCTTCTGATAACTTCTCAAAATAAATAACCTACATACAAGTTCTTTGCTAAGGCTCTACTTGTTTGGTAGACCCAGGCTCAAATATCTAATAAAGGTATTTTTATGTGTCTTCTTAGTTTACAGGCTCTGGATCAAGCTGTTCTCTGCATTTATGCAATATACTTTTGTCTAGTTCAAAAAGACCATCTTTTTTATGTCACCTGCCGACCAAACATTGACAATACATGTTTGTCTCCGTGTATGTGTGTGTATACCCACGCTTGCTTTAAAACATTTGCATTTGTTACACTGGCATTGAAGACCCTCTATATTTTGGTCCTATTTACCTACCCAACTCCACTGGCTATTTTCCACTAATACAAGCAGTTTATGAAATTCAAACTTTTTTCATTACTCTCCTTTCTCAAATCTAAAACTTGTTATCCTCCAAAATATTTTCAACTCCATGTTTTCATTCTATTCAGCACCTGTTTCACAGTATTTAACTGTACACAAAGGCTTATACTTATTATTATTGCATTTTATTATTTGCAGAACAAGTAAAATACTTCACAAATAAGTAAGAATTTTCCTAGGTGTCAAAGAATGAGGTGGACAGGAGACAAAGTTATTCTATGCAGAAGAATCTGCTTACACAAGGACACAAAGAAAAGAACAAAAAAGGTGTATTTGGAGAATGTCAGTTTTATTAACATGTTTAAGGAGTGAAGATCCAATAAGAGCTTAGGGAAATAAAATTTAAACGTTTTTACTGTGACCCATGTTAAGAAATACATTATGCTTTGCAATCCATTACTAGGGTAAACATGTATTTTATCATCCAACCTGGGACATTGCTAAATGTGAAAAGAACAGCTAGAGACAACTGGGGGAAAACAGGTATAAATAAAACTTGTCCTGGGCAAACTTGAATGCATGTTTATCCTAATCGGTGCATGCATAAATGTACTTGGCTGTACAGTGAATGATTCACACTGCAATTTCTCTTTTTCTCTATTTCATATTTTCAAGAATGCTGTTGTGACCTATTTGTTGATGTCACTCACTAAGGGCTAAAAAAAAAAATACTAGCTGAGAGAGAGACAAAGTCCAAATAAATGCAGGACTTGACGGCCCCTACATTTATTCCCCAGCAAACATTATACACATAGAAGTAGGTGATGGGAGCTTTTGAAGGAGTGTAAGCCCTGGAGAAACCTGTGTCCATTACATGTTAGAGAGGCTGCTCTTGCAGGAGTCTGGAGGGGTCTTTGAAGTTGACAAAAACGGGTTGTCACTGAGCATAATTTTTCACCTTAATTCTCACTCTTTTTAGGCAATTAAGCAGATCACTTAAGGGAGATAATTTATTTGGCTCAGTCTAGACAAACTAGAATTTTATATAAACTTACATTTTAAGATATATATAAGAAAAATACTTACAAAGCTTAACTAAATGTTTCTAAAATTTCTCACCAATAGTCTATTTTCTTCACTCAGTAGTGTTAACTGAAAATGCATATTTCTTGGTTTCATCAGATTACTTCAAGTATAAAACTTCTGAGGTTTCCTTTATACAGGTTTCCTTTATATCCAACTTTCTTCAGCTTCCAAACTCAGTTTAGGTTTGTGTTATGAAGTCTCCATTTTTTTTCCCATATAAACCAGAACTCGAGAAGAAAGCATCAGGAATATAAATAGTTTGTGAAATTATGTTCCATTTGTTCCAAGGGAAAATGATAAAGCTTGACTTAAAAGCTTTAAACTTCATTTGGAGAACCAAGGCAATTGCAACTAAAGTGCAAAGCTGTACATACAAATGCTCTCAATTATATGACCCATTTCATGATTTCTATGGAAAACCTGGAAAGAGACAAGTGTCAGCTAAATTCTAAGAAATCTTTGTGACTGTGATTTCTCAGATCTAAACCTTACAAAGCAAGATGTAAATGCAATAATTCCTGAGAAAATAATTCAAGACCATGCTTGATTGACAATGATTCAATAGTATCATACATGTCTTAGTTTATTACAGAACCTCTAACAACCAATGGGTCTTGCCACTGTTTGCACATTTTTGTTCATCATAGAATTTCTCTGACTCATTATTTTCTTAACACTGTGTAATTTTGGTTAGCAATTACAGCCAACAGTACTATAAGATACAGCTTATCAGCAAAATAAAAAACAATCAAACAAACAAAATCTTAGAGCCCATGTAGCAATTAACATTTGGCTGGAAAATAAGTGCTAGATTTTGATCATAGAGAGAACAATTTACTTGGTTGTATTTTTTTAGTTGGCTTATGGGGAGAGTGTTTTATTAGAGTCCATTATATTACTAAAACTTATTTTAATGGATTTGAATATGATTTTAAATAAATAACTTTTGTTTATACGTATATGTTTTCAAAAGACTGGAAGAGTTTTAAGGGTAACCTGCTTGTAATAGTTTAAGTTGTAGCACCACTTCACAATTCAGAATTAGAAGTGAAAAATTACATTTATGTTACCGTCAGTTTAACCCTAAAATAATTAAAATGGAGAAAAAAGAAAGAGCATATATAATAAATCAGAAAACATTTCCAACCTTAAAGCCATGATCTAGGAAGATGAAATGGACAGAATGGAACAAGATGATCCATAAACTACTGCAGAGAGGAACATTAACGAAAAGCAAGCATTGTATCTCTGGAAGTCTCAAGAACAATTAGACCATTAGTACCTTTCCCAGCTCACCTCCCAGAATATTAGCACCCAGACTGGTAGTCCAAAAAGATAAGACCGAACAAATCTTTGGAGCACAGGAATAGTCCCCAAAAATGGAGCCAGAGATCTTGACATTTAGGAGCCACCCTCACAAAACCAGCCTACCACTCAACAAACACAGCTGAGGAACACAGATTTTCTAGCTTTTAAAATAACTTCATTATAAGGTGAATCTGCAAATCACTAGGCTTTTGAAGCATGCCGCCAACATAAATAAGCAAATACAAAAAGAAAAAAGAATAAAAGCAAAAGAAGATGAAGGAGATTTAAGAGAACATGTAAAAATTCAAGAAAAGTGTGAAAGAACTGTAATTAATAAAGTAACATATAATAGGCAGAAACACGGTGGTTGAAGCAATTGGCCCTGGCAGTGAAGAATATTTTATAGTTGACTTTGTTTAGAATTTACTGATGCATGGTGATGATAAAAATGAAAACTGATATTTGGTCAACTCTAGTATTATTCTAAAACGTTCTTTATTCTAAAACGTTCTACAATAAACCCCTTATTATCTGTACCCAAAAGAGATTGCTCCTACCAACCATCCCTTAATGTGCTGCTAAGTTAATATCCTCAAAGCAATGAGAGAAGCATTTGTACTCAGTCCAGATTGGAGTAGGTGCATTAAGCACTTCTGAATGACAGTTTTCGAACAAAATCTGGTCCACTAACTGTTATTAAAGATATGGAACAACTTAGTAACACTTCAAGAGAAAACAATGAAATTGAAAAAATTAGATAATTATTAAATACAACAAACTAAAAAGTACACAAAAGGGAATTGTGGTATATTATTGGTGTTAGAAGAGAATGGTACTAGTATTCTCTACTAGTAGAGAATACTAGTACTACTATTCTCTACTAGCCACTGGGTGCAGTGGCTTACAACTTAATCCCAACACTTTGGGAGGGGGAGGGGAATCACTTGAGCCCAGGAATTCTAGACCAACCTGGGCAACATAGCAAAACCATGTTTCTATTTTTAAAAAATAAAATAGAATAATATTACATAGTAAAAATAATGGCAATATAGAATACGGATAAGAACATAATGTAATCTTACAGTTATAGGAAGTGCATGCATGGTGTCAAAAATTAATATATCAAAAAGCAACAATCATATATTTCATAAACATGGAGGTATAGTTGAACAAATATCCCAAAGAAAGTGGTTGTACCTGGGGATTGGAATGATTGGGACTCAGAGAGTAGGGGTAACTACTTTTTATTATGGGCTTTTTGGGCATAAATTAAATGCATATATTACTTTGATTAAACTCAAAAAGTGAAGATTATATGGATTTAATTAGAACAAAGCTATAATAATGACATAAAACATTTCCTGTAACTCTATAGGCTGTCAGACAATGCAGAAGTTAAAAAAGTCACATTTGGCACGTTTATTTCACACTACATTATTCTATTTTATAAAATTTAAAAAATTCTGTAATTCTGAAAAACATTTGTTATCGGAATGAAAGATAACATAACTAGTCTTAGATGTAGAATTCTTTCATAAATTAGAAAAAGACCACCTTTATCTTTAATTAATAAATTTTAAAAGTTATGTTTAATTTAAACTTAAGATTTTTATATAGTATACTCTTTGATAATACATAATTTGGAAGCAGATTTTTTAATTTTAAAAAATAAATGTGTAAAATAAGTATGCATTTTTAAAAATCAAAGACTTAACTAGGATTTTATTGTAGAGATGGTATGATCTTTCTGGCTATATATACTTGGAATTGGGCTGGGTCCTAATTGATACATAGGAAACCAAATAACCTAGAGAAAACAATACCCATGAATGATTAGCAAATTTCTTACATATAAAGGAAATGATTTAACTTCAAGAGACTAGAATAAATGAAAACATATTCAAAATTGAAAACGTTAATGGAAGGTAAGTTTGGTTTGCATTTGTGCATTTTATTTTGCAGACTAGAACAGACATAAACTTCTAATTCTGTTAACATTGTAGCAGTTCATGGCAGTACAGGGGAAGACTTTTAGAAAAGAAAAAGATACTGGAGGAAAGGATTGATCTTTTCTGACAGCATGTAACACTTTTTACAGGGTAAACAATAATGCTTAGATTCTTTTCCTTTAGCAGCAAAAAGGCTCTGCTCTCAGTATTTAACAGCAGAATGAACAAAACTTGCTTTATAAAACAAACAAATCCATAGTCTATTTCTGTTTGTTGGTTTTACTATGGTGAATTCCACACAAAAGGGGATTCCTTCCTACTGCTTTAACATAACACATTTCCGTGATTATGAAGTGTAAAAGTGCTAGCCATTTTAGGTCCAAATATTGAG
This sequence comes from Homo sapiens, assembly GCF_000001405.40. Taxonomy (NCBI): domain Eukaryota; kingdom Metazoa; phylum Chordata; class Mammalia; order Primates; family Hominidae; genus Homo; species Homo sapiens. The sequence continues at coordinate 199,149,153 of NC_000001.11, forward strand.
GCTCATTATTGTGGTGAGTTTGAATGTTGACTTATATGAGATTTTCTTCTTCCCTATGCAAATGAAGTGGCAAAATGTTGCTTTTAGGTCGAGATCAGGTAAACTGAGTCTAGATGCATCTAATTCATCTAACTAAATCTAATTAAACTTAATTAAATCTAAGAACCCACTAGATGATGGTAAATCAGTTTTGTAATATCTAGCAATTGCTTTAAAAATTTTTTTTTCTCTCTAAAAACACAGTATTTGCTGGCTCCTCTATTGCTGGATATGTCAGCTATTTACAGAAGACTTTCAGATGAGATCTTGCAGAAAGGATCCCAAAAGGCATTCATTAGGAGAGAGTTAATTATTTGGTTTTACTGTGAAATGGAGAGTTAATTTCTGTCTATCATGGCACCACAATAGTTTTAAGGTCATGAATCATTTTGCGATCATCCCTCACATATTTTCCTCTCAGATGTATACGCTTCCTATTTCATATCCATTGCTCAGATTAGCTCTTCCTTTTGAATTTATTACAATAGACACATTGGGGTTGACTAGTACTTGCTCTATCCTTTCTTGTTAAGAACCCTGTCATCCTGGTCCAACAGCTTTGTATATGATTCAAATATTGCTTTTCACAGAAGCAACTTTTAACATGCAATGCGAACATCCTCATTATGGGAGAGATGAGAACAAATAACAGCATGATATGGCTGTCTTCTGAACTGTGCACTTATTGACCTATTTACCAATTATAGCTTTCTCATTTTAACATTGTGCATTATGGATATTCATCAAGGACAGTAGATAACTCCTATGAAAGTAGAGTCCATATTAGTATGAAATGGAGGTTATATTATTTCCTATAAAATTTACTAAAAGGCAAGCATTAAGAATACAGATACAAGCATATAAGATTGAAAGTCTGAGTTAATTCATAACTATTTCAATGATGCTGTGGTGGACTTGATAGGCTAGTTAGCATTTCAGCATGCATTCAATGCACATTAATAGGGCTATTAATATTATATCCTTATGTTGCTGTTATAAAATGAGAGTCCTTTTTAAAAAAAATTTTCGCACGGTTAACTGACTAGGACTCCAAAAATATCATAAATATTTTGGAGCAATGTTATAAGAGTTATTTGCCCCTAGCACGTTCTAGTTTAGCAACATGAGTGTTAAGGAAACCATGTCAATCCAGTGTCACATCTTTGCCATTTCAAATAAGACAAGTGCAAATAGTTGTGTGTGTGTGTGTGTGTATGTGTGTGTGTATGTGACAAGTTGGATTAAATGTACTTTGTATAATTAAGTTCAGTGAAGTCAGCAGATAATATCAAAAAGGATTAGAAACAAGCCCCTTATCCTCAAAATGTAAAATTTTATTCATAGGAGCCAATTTTAATTTAATTATCTTTTTTTGAAAAGTGCCGAAAATACCTTAAACTAGGGCAGGATTTTTTTTATTACTTTAAAGATATCTTGATTGATACTTTCATCCTTATTTTTTATTCTTTTTGGAGGTATAAATTAAATGGAAATAATATGGAATATATATTAGATCTGACCAATGTGTCTCAATGATAGAAAAATATGGACAATTCACTATTTTATGATGAATATAAAAAAATTCCAGAAATAAAAGTTAGCTTTACAAATCTGTTGACTGAATTATTAATAATCCTAGGCAAAAAAAAACACCATCAAGAAAAAATAAACCTTTGATTTTTGCTTAGAAAAGTTAGTAGTCATTGAAAAAGTAGGTCAGTGAAATAACTGGATTACTCAAATTAATCAGAACTGACAGGTAGACTACTAGAAGTCTACAGGCTACAGAGTTTTGGTTTGAATGTTTTTGTAAATCTGGCATTTCTTAGGAGACAGATGAAAATTAATAAGATTATGCTAATTTATAGCATAAAGTAAAATGTTTTATAGCACTAATACCATCGAAGACTTTACTGAGCACTGAAAAGTAAATGTAATAATTCTAATTGTAAATTTATTTTATGTTTTTCAAAATCAGAAATCATCCAAAACTCAGTTACACTGATGCAATTATTTGTACATGCAAATATAATTAGGATGAATATTTTATGCTTAACTTCAAAACGATGGTAAAATTTCCAATACCACATTGTATTTTTAAGTTCATGCAGTAAGAGTCATCTAAATGATGTAAAGAAAATAGGGGTAAGCAAGTGTAAACATAATGGTTTTGCTTTTTAAAATAGTTCTGGGTGGATTTAAAAATTATGTATGTTTATACTTTACAAATTTAACACATTAATAAAAGTCCAAAATTTGGAAAAGAGTGATAATGGATTTACTTACGCAGGCCACGTTTTTAAATTTTGTATTATTCCGAGATGGCTTCTTATGCTACTTGATGTATCACTAGACTAAATATTCTTTGGGTTTTAAATTGATGGTAAATGTGTTGGCCCCCAGTTGAAGATTCCATGTGAAATATGCTGTCTGCAAGAAAACGCATCACTCTAAAGTGTATTTTAAAACTATTAGTAAAGGCACTTTCCACCCTGATAATTTGCATAGAACACAGTGAAGCAAAGAAACATGCGATGCCTTCCAGCTAGATGCTAATAAGGCCACAGGAAAAAAAAAAAAGAGCATTTCAAATATGTCTGCATAGCACCCCCATGTCTTTCTCTAAAGTAGGCTGAAGACTCCTCATTGCTTACACTGCAAAAATTTAGAACACTTTCAAATAAAATACATCTTCACCACTTTTTTAAAGGAAATTATTACGTGTTACTCTTAACTGATCTATTTTTAGGAGCCAAAAGCAGCAGGGTATGTCAGAAAGGGCTGCTTCATGAATTATGTATTTGTCCTTTTTCCACTTGGCTACATTCGTTTTATTTTATGAATCCTTGAAATCCTGAGAATGGTAAGTTTTAGGCTGAAATTTTCAAAATTTCCTAGCCATATGCTTACTTATCCAGCTACATCTTTCTACGAGGCACTTGCTCCTCAGAGAAACCAGCTCCAGGACCTTTCTTCATGAAATATAAAAGTGATTCATTTTTTTTTAAACGAAGGCTGCGTATCACTTGAATTGTTTTCATTTGCATCATAAGGTTTTTAATTACTACTGTCATTGTTTTCACTTCCCTAAACTTGTAGTTAAAGATTCAAAGTGTATTCACCTCTCAAGGCTTAAATTCTATTAGATGGTGCATATTTTGTTATTGGCTTACTGTTTTACCAGAAAATCACAACAAACTATTGCAAATAAGTAAGTTGAAAGTAAACTGGTTGTATAAATTTTACAATTTCCATTAGTTAAATATGGTAGCAACAAAATTATAAAACCTATATGAACAATATTCTTCCATAAAGCTTTGTGTAAGAAAAATATTTCTAACAGCTGTGACTAAAACTCTAGAAATAAGATCATTATTGCTGACCCTGAGCTGAATATTAAACATAAAAATATTGATTTGCTCCTCATCCTCATAAGAACATTTGCTTCGGACATAAATAGGAGGGTCTGGCTCACTGAAAGAAGCTCTCCCACTGCCCCCTGCATCCTTTTGTCTTTATCTAATTCCATCATCTCAGATACCAAAGATTCCCTCTCACAATGGTTTGCAGTTGCTTGTTATGCATGACCTTCTGTATTTTGCCTGTTCCTTTCGTTGCCCCTGGAAAAACTGAAGAGGAAAAAAAGAAGAAGAAAGAAGAAGAAAGGAGAAGGAGAAAGGAGGAGAAGGAGGAAGGGGAGGAAGAGGGAGAGGGAGAGGGAAAGGCGGAGGAGGAGTAATAGCTGTACTACTGCCTTTCCCAAAGTCGGTTCACGCTTGATGCTCTCACTGAAGCAGGTCAAAGAAGGTGAAACTCCTTCCTTTTCAATAGACTGCATTTTTAAAGTTAGAATTCCACATTGTACTTAAATAATATAGAAAATGTAATTTTCAGCCTTTAAACCACAATTCCAGACCACAAACAAATTTTGAAGAGCGAATTTAAATTTCTTATGAACTATTTTTATGATATTAGTATAAAGTTAATGTGGTGATAAAACCTTTTGCAATCATCTTCTTGGAGATCAGGGCTTATTTTCCTTGATAATTTATTTAAGTTTGAGAATATTAGAAACAACATCACCAAAAATAAAAGTGGGTTACTTAAAGATTTTTTTCTTGCAAATGACTCTTATGTCAAGTCACTTGATTTGCAACAAATAATAATTAAATTTTCATTCGAATAATTTTTTGGAAGAGCTTTCCTATAAGTGTAAAATTTGTACTCAATGTTTTCCTTTATTCAAAATGTCAGAACTTTAATTTCTGGTGATGTTAAAATACAGCAATAATATGGCAAAACATATTAAATGTGAGCAAAAGTGAATGATGTGAAAGGACCAGAGTGTATAAGGAGAAAATTTAGGTATTTATGTACTCTATAATTTTAAAATTATCATTGGAGAAAATGAACTTATCACTATGCACATTTACTTCATCTGCAACCATTGTTTATTGCTTTAAGGAATTATTCAAAGTATCTCTCTATTCTAAACCCTTTACAGTTCTTTATAAGTTAGCATACATTTTCTTTTTTTTTTTTTTGTAGAGACAGGGACTGGCTTTTTTGCCCAGGCTGGTCTCAAACTCCTGGGCCCAAGCAATCCCCCTGTTTCAGCCTCCCAGAGTACTGGGATTACAGACATGACGTAGTACACCCAGCCTTTCAATGGTTGATGATAAAACAAAAATTCAAACTAGAACAGACTGTTTCTCAGACATTATATGTCAGTGATTTGTGATGGTTTTAAACACTTTATGCCTGTTTTTATTTGTTAGAGACCAATATGTGTCACCAATACAAGAGAGAAGCATCCCTCTTGATCCCAATCTCTTCTCTTATGGTGGTTACATTTAATGTATATGATAAAGTGATGAGATGTTTGCCTGTGGTTTATGGGCCCAGAGTAAGTTACTAACCTTATGTCTATTGGTTTATTTCACACAATGTATATTCCAACAGTGCTTAGCTTTTCCAGAAGAAAAGAACATCAAAGTTTTCCAAATTTACATACATATCAACCTAAGTATTCACACCTATTCATAAATACAGTCTTCAAATTATTAAGTTGAGATTATTTTCAAACTGATCTGTAAAACATACATTATTAATTAGAGGAAATATATCTTTATAAGAATAAAACACTTGTGGTTTACTAAATTACTAAGAATTAATTATAAACTGGTGGTATGTACCTCCCTCTCTATCCTTCTTTTTTACTAAATTGAAATAAATCAAAAAAAGAAAGCAGGTGGGTAGTTACAAAAATGTTTCATTAAAAAAAGCAGTAGGAACCACAGAGAATCTTATGGTTTTTGAGTAGAAAGTCTGATTCTGCAATGCTGACTGTTGCTAAGACTGAGGCTGTGCAGAATTTAAATATGATAGAAACAGTGAGCTTGCAATATCTGTGCCCACTGAAATACAGAGAGCCCTAATTTGTTTTGCTTTTAATTATAATGACATTTTCTATTATTAATCACCAATTGGGAAGCAAGATGCTTTTTGTGATATGCTATTTTCAAGTCATAGTTTTTCTCCATTTGCTATGCACTTTATTTTTGTATACTGAGTTCATTAGGTTGCATTAGGCTCCTTATTAGAGAGAAAGACAAAGCTGGTCATTGTGCCCAAAGTGTCTATGTTTCAAAGATTACATAGATCATTATTTAAAACCATTTAAGTTTATGAGGAAAGAGAAACATTGTCCAGAGAATAAAGGCTACCTGCTTTGTACTTATTACTATTATTTTTATTAAGAGCAAATTATGTGTGCATGATTTCACATCTATAAACAACAAAAAGCCAAAAACCAAGTATAAAGGAGTAGTTTAAACTTTGAATCCCGTTCTCAATAAGTTCTTGAAGAAACAGTACAAAATAGGCAGAACAGAAAGATGAAACCAGAAGTTAAGGCATTAAACTTTGTTTTTAATCAGCCATATGAATGGTAACTCAACTTTTTGCTAGGTGACCATCTCTCTTCATAAATAGCAACTGTGATCATGATGACAATGTTCCAAACATAAGAAAATAAGAACATAATTAATCCTACAAAGTAGCCAAAATTCTGAAGTAAACATATTCCTTAGTATGACACTGAGGACATTTTCAGGGTAAGACATTGACCATGCTCTTTGGATTCCAGAAACGTAGGCATTCCATGGAGTTTTTCACACCCACAGGCCTTTGTTCATGTTATTTCCACATGGTTCCATTGCTCAAATGTCTTTTCTAATTTCTATTCTCTGTAATCCTTTTCCAGTCCCCATAATCCAAACCAATCACTCACTCTTCTGATCATACTTACTTTGTTTATGCTAATACCATAACAACTAAGTGTGTATGTCTCCTACATTAATTTGTTAGCATCTCAAAGAAAAGGACCAGGTGTTAGTCTTCTGTGTTCTTTCTAGCACCTAGCAGTGTATTGCAGTGTTCACAAATGTATACCAAATAGAATAGAATTGAAAAGATATCATTATCCTGATGTTAATTTTATGTGTCAACTTGACTGGTCCAGAGGATGTCAAGATGTTTGGTTAAACATTACTCTGGGCGTCTGTGAGAGTGTTTCTAGGTGAAATTAACATTTGAATTGATAGACCTAGTAAAGTAGATTGCCCTTCCCTTTGTGGTGGACTTCTCTAATCTATTGAAGGCCTATGTAGAACAAAAAGACTGAGTTAGAGAGAATTTGCTCTCTCTGCCTGGTAGTCTTCAAACTGGGACATTGGTCTTCTCTCGCCTTCAGATTTGGACTTGAGCTTGAACTGAACTTATGTCATTGGCTTGCCTGGTTCTCAGGCCTTTGGACTCAGACTGGAAATATATAGGTATATTCTATTGGTTCTTTTTCTCTGGAGAACCCAGAATAATACAATTATCAGCCATTCATTTGGGCATATGAAAATTTACAACTCTTAATCTTATTTAAAGGCCCATTTTAAAATGAAATTTCTCTTCCCATTCTTTATGAACCTATAAACAAACACTGTCTTCAAAGAAGAAATAAGAACTTCAGCAACCATAATTTAATTATTGCAAACAATTCTTTGGTCATGAAACAACAGCTTTGCAAAGTGGAACTATTTCATGGTACCATTTTATGGAAGGACAACTTAACAGCTACACTGGGAAAAACAATTCAGCATAAAAGTGATAAAATCACCCCGTTTCACCTCTGCCAATGGCTCATGGTGTTTCTAAAACAAGGGGAAGGAAATAGCCCTAATTATGTCTTGTTCAATTGCATCATTTAAAGCATTAACCTGCTTTTAGCAAGGCTGTTTTTGATAATCTATCTTTACTAAGCAAATGTTGCTTTTCTGCCATCTTTTCCCTATGGAAAAAAAATTTAGATTATTTGCAAATCATTAACACTAGGGAATATTAAAAAATAAAATATATTAACTTCAGTTTTCATGGGTTAAGAAAGAAAATGTTTGAGATAATAACTTATAAATAGGCACAGTAGGCCTGATTCTTCTAGAAGAGTATACATAGAAATGTGTATCTGACAACTCCAGTGTTATCAAACATGTATATTTGGAAATAGCGTTTACTATAGTGTACTCTCTGTCCTTCACCAAGCCAGTGACATACAGTGTATTCATGGCTCTGAGAGGAGATAGAGTAATAAAACATACTTGGTTTTATTTTATGGGCGATGGATTTTGTGTGACTTCGATGTACCAGTGTAAGTTCATTGATTGGGTGACTCTGATGTACCAAGGTAAGTTCATACGGTGTAACAAATGTATCACTCTGTTGTGGGCTATTGATAGTGGAACAGGCTGTGCACATGTAGGGAGAGGGGTATATGGAAACTACTTTCTACTCAATTTTGCTGTGAACCTAAAACTGCTCTAAAAATTAAAGTCTATTTAAAACAAAAGTAGGGGAAATAATCTACACATGAAATCCCTAAAGATAATTATGGTGCCTCATTGTATACTAGACTTTCTAGAAGGTTGTATCAAGTCTGCTTTCTCTGTACAAGTGCTCTCAAGGAACAAGGGGACACCCCTAGGTGCGTTCACTGAGGAACACACATGCAGGAGCCAAATGACTTCACACTCCTCAGTCAGAGAGGGCTAACATGAATTATAGTCAAAAGAAAGACAGGCACAGAACTGAACCTATCCCTGAAACTGGCTTCTCCCAAATATCTTTTCAAAATATCACCTTTCTTTTCTTTAATATTTTTCTTTGCCTATTTCTCTCAAATCCTGAAAAGGAGAAGGGAAGACAGTAGGCCCAATAAAGTGCAAATGGGAAGAAAGGGTGGTTAAAAACGATGACAGGTGTAACTGAAATCTGGAATGCTGTTAAATTTTTAACTCTCTCTCCTAATTATAGCCCTCCTGACACTTTCTGTTTCTGAGCTCCATCAGTGAATGGTGGAAATGACCTCAATACATTTCATTAACTAGATCTCAGATTTTTTTTTTCTTCTTCAATCACTTAAGCAAAGCAACTCTCAAGCCTGACTGTCCTGTAAAAGGTGAGGTCTCCTTCTTGAAGCTGAATCACTCCCTTGGGGTTTGAGGGTCATTTACCTTTGGTTAGTACAGCAGATGGAATGTTGTATGCTTGGCTCAGGGCTTCTGGCTGAGTGCCCTGGACTGTGAGGACAGTTGCTTAACTCAGAAGGTGGCTTCAGATTCCCCCTACCATCTTTCCAGGGCTCCCAGCTACTTGAGAAAGCTATAAATTACTGTTGTTAAAATGTTATACAAGAAACTAAAATATCTCAACAGCGTAAAAACCCAAGCCATTCAATTATTAATTAAAAAGGCAAATGATTTAAATAGATATTTTTCAAAAGAAGACATACAAATGACCAATAGTATATGAAAAAAAGTTCAGTATCACTAATCATCAGGGAAATGCAAATCAAAACCACACTGAGATCTCCTCCCACTCCAGTTAGACAAAAAATAACAAATGCTGGTAAGGATGCCTATAAAGCGGAACCCTTATATGCTGTTGATGGGAATGTAAATTGGTACATTTGCTATGGAAAACAATGTGTATGTTTCTTAAAAACCTAAAAATGGAATTACCATGTGATCCAACAATCTACTACTGGGTATATATCCAAAGGAAAGGATATCAGTATGTAGAAGAGATATTTACACTCTCATGTTTGTTGCAGCACGATTCACTATAGCCAAGATATGGAATCAATCTAAGTGTCCTCAACAGATGAATGAATAAAGACAATACACAATGAAATACTAATTTATATATACATATATATGTGTGTATATATATACAGACACAAAATGAACATATATACACATTGCATATATATACTACATTATATTATATGTAGTATACAATGTATATACAATGGAACACCATTTAGCCATAAAAAATTAAATCAAATCATTCAAGGCAACATGAATGAATCTAAAGGATATTATGTTAAGTGAAATAAGTCAAGCACAGAAAGATCAATACTGCATGTTTTCCCTCATATATGGAAGCTAAAAAAGTTGATCTAATAAAAGTGGAGTATAGCATTGCATTTACTAGAGGCTGGAAAGGGTAGGAGGGAGAGGAGATAGGGAGAGGTTGGTTGACAGGTACAAAATTACAGCGTAAACAGGAAGAATAAGTTATAGTGTTCTACAGCACTGTGAGGTGACTAAAGTTAACAACATTTTATCGTATATTTTCAAATGTCTAGATGGGAGAATTGTGAATGCTTCCAACACAAATAAATCATAAATTTTTTAGGCAATGGATTTGCTAATTACCATGATTTGATCATTAGACAATGTACACATGTATCAAAATATCACACTATACCCCCCAAAATAGTACATTTCTTATGTGCCAGTTAACGTAATAAAAATGTAGGTACGGCCAGGCGCAGCGGCTCATGCCTGTAATCCCAGTACTTTGGGAGGCTGAGGCGGGTGGATCACCTGAGGTCAGGAGTTTGAAACCAGCCTGGCCAGCATAGGGAAACCCCATGTCTACTAAAAATACAAAAGTTAGTCAGGCATTGTGGTGCATGCTTGTAGTCCCAGCTACTCAGGAGGCTGAGGCAGAAGAATCGCTTGAACCTGGGAGGCAGAGGTTGCAGCAAGCTGAGATTGAGCCACTGCACTCCAGCCTGGGCCACAGAGCAAGACTTCATCTCAAAATAAATAAATAAATAAATAAAAAGTAGGTACAGAATTCCAGATCAGATGTGTGCCCCAAGAAGTGATTTAAATAATAAATTATTGTTTCATTTCTGCAACATAGAAATGAGGAGCCAGTTTCTTAGAAAAATGAAAAAGAAAAAGACTTCATTGTATGAACATTTATTTCTTGGGCTTTTATTATAGTTACATTGTAGCACTTGTGTTAAAACTCATACATTTATCAAATAACCTAATGGTCCATATAGAGCATAATGAATGCTTCACAAATTATCAAAATTCTCTTGGATAGATGAGGTGTCTACATTTACTGAGTGTTTTATTTTTATTTTTACTTTTTGTATGCCAAGGTTTGTGCTAGGTTGCTTGCAATGTATTATCACACTTACTCATCACAGCTGTCCTAATGCTAACCTCTCTTTTGAACAAATAAAAAGTTGGAGACTTAGAAATGAGAAGAGTTTGCCCAAGTTTACACAGTTAATAAAAGACAAAATCGGGATATAAGAGCACTTGCTGTTTCTTATTACCACACTATTGACAGAAAATTGCAAAATGGCAGAATTTGAAACTGAGTCTCCTGCCCCTGAGTGTGTGTTCTTTTAATTATGATTCACACATTCCTATAAGCGCCTGAATTTTTCTCATGGAGTTAAGAATTGGCAGTGAACAACAAAATGTACTGAAAAATTCATGGGCTTTTGAGTAGGAATCCCCTGAGTCTAAATCTCAACAAAGCCATTTATGAGGGGTATTATTTGGGGCAAATTATTTAATCTCTCTAAGCATTCATTTCTATCTCTGTAAACCAATAATATACATTTCATAGGTAAAAATGGAAATAAAATGTATAGCATGTATTTGATATTGTGAAAAAATGCACATAACATCCATAGCATGATATTTGGCACTTAACTGTTGATACTCGATTATATAATAGACAGTTAAGTTTTTTCAAAATTATTCTAATATTGGCATAATACAAAAATATTTTGAAAATATATATTTGCCTGAGTCTATTGAGGCAAGTTGGGGTCCAGGAGCCTACAGGATAGGGGGGTGATTTAAAAGCGAAGATAATAAAAAGAAAAAGAAAATTAGTTTCTAAAATGCAAAAAGGAGGTGGAGGAATGTAATAGCATTACAAGACAGGCTAATGTCTTGAGATAAAATTATCCAAATATGTCCTTCCTCCCTACCCTCTTTCTCTTTCACATAATAAGGACTAAACTACCACTAACATGGATGGAGTATATCCCTCCATGTCTCCATGCCTATTACAGCAGCCAAGCACTACCCAATAATGAGATAGTAAGAGAACCCAGAGAAGAGATGGTATATTACATAAGTGGGGAAACACCAAGGGCAAAGGTAGTCCTCTAGTACCTCCTCTCCCAGTCCCAGTCTAGACAGAGGGAGTTACAATCCAGATTTTGAACACTTGTGCTCCTTGATTTTCCTTCCCCTATCCCTAGGCCCTGAAAGTTCACAATCTTAATTTATATTTTTTGGTGTTTTGTTTCTGTTTTGCTTTGTTTTGTATCTGACGTTCTCTACTTGCACAAACTTTGCCACCATGTTTAAATGACTTTGCATAGGGTTGGTAGTTCCTTCCAAGGAAGGAAGGGAGGGAGGGAGGAAGGAAGGAAGGAAGGAAGAAGGAAGGAAGGAAGGAAGGAAGGAAGGAAGGAAGAAGGAAGGAAGGAAGGAAGGAAGGAAGGAAGGAAAAATTATCACAGCAAGCAGTAGGGGACCTGAGGTCTGAGAGTAAGATCTTATTAGTCATAGACAAAATTTAAAAAATACTTTTCTTAGTGTGATTAAGTATGAGTAAATTTGCAACTCTGTATAAGAATCTGTTCTCACTCTCAATTCTCTAATTCATATTTTGAATATCATTGAAATAAACTTTACATTTCAATAAAAATACTCAATTTAGGTAGTAAGAAGCATTTTGATTGGTGTTAGATGATGACTTGAAATAAGTAAACTGACTGGATTATATTAATATTTTAATTAATATTTTTCCTCTCTGAATATTTTTCTTTCCTTTCTCTTCCTTCTCTTTCAGCATGAAATCAGCTCTGTGCTGAATGCCTCAGGGAAGGAATGTGGCAGAGAACAGAAAACAAAAGTAAGCAGCCATGGCTGTATTCATTTTCTAATTAATTCACTCATTTACTCTTTCAGTATATAGCACTGCTGAGAGAATTCCAAAATGGTAGCTTTTTTCCTCCTAAAATATGTCATGTCAGCTCATAACTTACCCTTATATTCATTTATTTAATAAACAAATATTTGTGTGTGTGCTCTTAGCATGTATCAGAGTATTCTGGATGCCGGCTGCCAAAGGTAAAATGGCAAGAAGACAAAGACCCTTTTCATGTGGAAGTAGAGGGCAGATAATTTTAAAAAGCAAGGAATTGCCTTGATGTATTTTCTATGCCCAAACTAAACTCCAGAGAGGAGAAGAAACATTGCGATGTAAACACACAAAAACAGAGAGACCTGAAAGGAAAAGGATTTTCCTCAGAGAATTATCTCCCCTCAGATTAAGAGAAGAAGGCAATGATGAGAGACCTGTGGTTTCCTGCCGGGGCTGAAGGTACCTCCCCTCCATTTCCTAGGAAAGTACAGCAAAAGGAGAAAATGGCTTCACACTGCTTCTGGGCGAAGAGAACATATGCCCTCTCTCCCAAGATTTGCCCACCAACCATGCTTGGCACTGAGGCATCAGAGAGAACTAAGGGACTTGTAAAGGCCACATAGGCCAGGATGACAGCTGTCTCAGCAGCTACAGGCATGGACTCACAGCCAACAACCAAATGGGCCATCCCCAACTCCTTGGCATTAAGACCTTAATATCATAGTGAAATCCTAACTAGAGAAATGTCAGTAAGGATTGGGGCTTGGGAGTTCAGGTATTTTTTTCCCAGCAGTCTAGTGGAATTTGTTCTGGAGTCAGAAATTAGATAGCTTATAAAAATTAAGTAATATATCATAATTTTTAATTTCATAGACTGAGATATCTATTACACCAGTACGGTGCTTGGGTAATCTATCGTGGCATCTTTCTTTTTTTAATTTTGCATTTTTTAATGTTTGTATTTCAGATGGTGTTTCGCTCTGCTACCCAGGCTGAAGTGCAGTGGTGTCATTATTTCTCACTGCAGCCTCAAACTTCTGGCCTCCAGCGATCCTCCTACCTCAGTCTCCAGAGTAAGCAGAATTATCAGTGTGAGCCACTATGCCTGGCTCTGTCTTGACACTTTTGTATTTTTCAACGCCACATTGAAGCAGCTGTCAAGTCCTGTCTCTTCCTGCACACTCTGTGTGTGTGTGTGTGTGTGTGTGTGTGTGTGTGTTTGTATATTTCTCAAAAGTATTGCTGCCTATCTTAATTACTGTTTCCTTGGCTCATCTCTCCAAATTGCTACCCTAACCAAATGTCCCTGCTTCCAGTTTTATTATCTTTCAATCAATGCAATACCCAGTGCATTTTATTTAAAATCTGTATCTCACAATGTCTCTTATCTGTTTCATACCCTTTGGTGGTATCTATCTGTCACAGTTAAAAACATGACCCACAAGCCCTTCCAGGAACTGGTTTTTCTCTTCTCCAGTCTTCAGCCTTAGCTCCCTCTACATCTTTCAGTTTGGTTTCTGATCCAGCAACATAGCCACATATTTTTTTCCCAGTTTTAGATCCTTTGCTCATGTTGTTCCCTCTGCTTGGAATTACCCTCACTTTGCACTCACTTTGCCTTTGTAACTTCCACTTATGCTTTAATGTTCAATTCAGGCATCCTTTCCATCAAGATAGTCTCTGATTTTGCTTTAGTCTACTTCCTGTAGTACCACTGTAATTTATGTAATAATTACACATAACTCCATTTTATATTCTGTGGACATCTAATTATGTATCTGTCTCTGCCCACAAACTGTGAGCTCTTTGAAGGCAGGAGCCATGATCACCAATCTTTAAGTCTCTATTACCTACAACAATTTCTGGCCTAAATAGGCATTCGATTCATGTTTGTTGAACTGAATAAAATTATCTAAACAGAAATCTGGCAACACTTCAGGGATCTTTCATCAGGAATCTAATTTTAGAGAATCCAGATGTTTCCAGGCAAGCAAATTAATGTGCCAGTAATTCTTCAGGGTCCATCAATGTATACGTTGTCTGATGAGTTTAAGGACTGATCAGATGCTGTTTCACAGACGTGAATGTCTAGAGCTGTTCCTGAGGTAAGACACTTTAATTATGTGGATGTGCCCTTTAGATTTGTATTCAGTGCTATCGTCATGATTACCAGAGCAATCATGACCATAATAATAGCAAGAGTCCCTTGCATTTATATAGTAGCTCATAGTATGTAAAGCATTTTCTTACACATCACAGCTTTAAAAGATAAACAGGGTAGGCATTATTATCTCCACTTCAGAGATGAGATAACTGAGGTTTAGAGAGAGTAAGCATGTGGTCTAAGACCTCAAGCCCATTAAACTGCAGAGCCAGAACTGAACTGACTTGTTAATCTTTGATTCATGCTGTCTGCTTAAATTCATGTCAACGATCATGTTTTCTAGAGGAAATAGGAATTGCCTATCTAAGCTCACTTCTTTTCATTTCAAACCTAGATGCAGGATGTGCCTAAAGAGAAAGAGAAAGAGAGGCATGATTTCTGCTACATGTCATTACTTTGGGTTCTTCAAATAAATCAATTAAATGTAAGCAAACTTCTAGTAAATAAATGAGTAACTATAATTGCTATGGAACATCTAAAGGTAATGTAATGGATAACTAATTGTTTTCAACGTGAGTGTAGGATTGGCACACAAAATTGGCAGAAACAAGGCAGCGTCTTTTGGGGACTTCTTGATCTCATTTATTTTTCTGTCTCTTCTCCCTAACTCACCACTATACATGATAAACTTAAAGCAACTAATCTCTCAATAACTGTTCTGCACTCATGTCTTATTTCCTGTCCTACCTGTCAAGTGCCATAGAGTAGCATTAATATCTTATTCAGTCTTATTAATTCATTTAATAAGCATGAATTAAATGTCAATTGCGTGCCAAGATTCTGATATACTCGAACGTTACCAAGATGAATGAGACCAAGCTAGCCTCAGCTCTCGTGTGGAGTATGCAATCCAGTGGGGGAAGATAGGTGACAATGAAAGCAACATTCCTGTGGGTTTCAGAAGTATGTGGTAGCACAGTGATAGCCCCCAAAAATGAATAAACCATTTAGCTTGGAGGATTCTAGTGAGACATCAGAGAAGATGCATACAACCTTTGAGCTTCAGTTTTATCATAAAACTAGTAGATGGTCAATAAATGGCACATAGTAGATGGTCAATAAATATTTGCTGGTTGATTAAGACACAATCTGGTACAAGTTATTACAACCCTGCTAAATTCAAATCACTATAGTATACTCCCTCTTAGAAACATTAGCCTTATAACTTCATCTGAGTTTGTGGAATTAAAAGTTTCTCTCTGTATTATAGAAACTTCAAGCATCCGCAAAAGACTGGGCAAGACATCCTTCCAGCTATATTTGACAATCACCTCCCTTGCCTATGAGCAAGGTAGTAAGCTTTTTCTCACAAGCTGTTCACTCTGAATGAAGAATTTGTTCTTTTTCGGGGGACTGAGTGTCTCTTACATGAGAGAGGTTTGTTTCTTCCTGCCCAATTTGAGTTTTTGTGTTCTAACATTAAAACATAGTGAGTGAAGATTCTTTTCATCCACCCATTTCTAAGTCAGATGAGTCAATGTGAGATGGCAAAAGAAATGATGATCACTTAAGAGACCCTGTGATCTCTTAGAGTTGACCACAGAATTAAATATGGCTTCTTCAGGTAAAAGTCAGTAAACCAAATTAACTGTCACCTATTATACTTTTCCTCCTTTGCTGGCACGTCACCTATTATATTTTTTCTCCTTTGCTGGTATTCCTTTTGAAGTGAAAGTCAATAAACCAGAATAACCATCACCAATTATGTATTTCCCCCTTCACTGGTAAGGCAAATCTTTCTTTGTAAATTTTTTAAAAGATAATAGGAAAACAAATGGAATTCTAATGTTTTAAAGTTTTGTGTTTCCCAAAATTCAATCAAAAATTTTGACAACATACATTTGTGGTTCCAGGAAATTCAAATAAAAATAGCTTTTGAAGACTTAAAAAAAATCCCCAATGGATAAATATAAAAGTTTAATGGCACTATAGTCTTCTGGAGCAAATGTGAAATACTTTCTGCCCTTTGGGTTTATTTCTTTTGCACAATTTCTATTTTAAAAATTTTCTACTGGCACTGACTCTAGAGCTGTACACTGGCTTTCTAGTATAAGTAAGTCTGCAAGCCTGGCTTACGTACAAACACTGTACTGGATGCTTAAACAAGAAAATTAAATAAACCCCTAATTCATCACTTTCCTTCATCCTCCCTTTCACCTGTCACCCTACCTCCACCCCAAGTTTCACAGCCTAAACAGAAGAGATCAAAAGACTGAAATATTAGTGATATTTTGGAAGGAAGAATAGATGGAATCCAGATGGATGGAAACCTTTATCTGATTCTTGCACACATGGCCACAGGTAACTACTGCATTACTTTCTGTCAATCGTTTCTCTGTTCTTTTAGTTTGATGATGACTTCTGCTAAAATATCTTGCCAAAAATAGAAAAATTTCTTGTAAAGTAATTAATACAGTATTTATATAGAAAAAGCTTCATGGGATGGGCGTGGTGGCTCATGCCTGTAATTCCAGCAATTTGGGAGGCCGGGTGGGTGGATTGTTTGAGGTCAGGAGTTCGAGACTAGCATGGCCAACATGGCGAAACCCTGTCTCTACTAAAAATACAAAAATTAGCCGGGTATGTTGGTGCGTGCCTGTAATCCCAGCTACTCAGGAGGCTGAGGCACCAGAATTGCTTAAACCTAGGAGGCAGAGGTTGCAGTGAGCTGAGATCATGCCACTGCACTCCAGCCTGGGTGAAAGAGTGAGACTCTATCTCTAAAAAAATAAAATAAAATAAAATAAAATAAAATAAAATGAACAAACTTCATAAAAAAAACTCTTCTTTTCCAAAAAGCCTATGTAGAAATGTAAAATATTAACTTGTTCAATATTACCCTAAGCCAATGAGGTAAAGAGGAGGCAAAATAGCACTGCTATTTTCAATTTTTGTCTAGGTCAGGTGAAAGCTGAAATGATTTTTTCAAAATCAAAATGCAAGTCAGTGATGTGACAGATAGTATGGCCATGTGTTTCTTTGGTATGTGAATAAACATTTAGCCAATATTATTGTTCTATAATGGGAAAATTCAGAAACAAACTGTTCTTTCATCATTTAAGTAAAGATGCTTGTTTAGCACACATTTATTTTCAAGAAATTCTCTTGACAAAATATAAAAGTTCAATGATTTAGAGTAGCAGTCATCAAAATAGCCACATAACACAGTGGAAATAATGATGAATAACAAAAAAGATCGAGATTTTAATCCTAGATTTGCCACTGTTAACTCATGGTCTAACAAAAAGATTACATTTTCATTTAAAAAAGCAAACACACAAAAAATAACCAAAAAAAAAAAAAACCCCATGAGTATAGTTATAACTTCCATGAAAGTCTCACTGGATTTTCATGAGATGCTAGATTCATTATCCGTAAATGATGTGTGGAGTTATATACACTCTCTATATATATTTATACTTTATAGATAATGGATTATATATCTAAATTGATTTCTAACACTTAAGACTGATATAACAGAAATGGGAAATATCATTCACAAAAATGATAGTTAAGACTTATTGAACTCATACTATATGCCAAGTATTAAGGACTTTATATCTGATACTTACTATTCCTTAGGACAACCCCAGGAGGCAGGTTCTGTATGATTCTCATTAACAGATGAGGAAACTGATATTAACAGGATTTTCCCCCCACTCTCTCTTCTGTATGCAGAATTTTATATTCGGGTATGGCTGACAGATTTTCAGTCATTCACATATTAACACCCAGGCTTCATACAAAATAATCTCTAGTTAAACGGAGCTACAGTTTCAGGTAACAAGATACTAAGTTTTACTTGTGGGTTTTATTCCAAGATATATATATTTCTATTGATCTAGCTCCACACTATTTCTATAATCAACTGAGCTTACCATACTTAAGAAAACAAATAATGGTTCAGTGAATATATATGCATAGAAGTATTAGTTAAGTGATTTTCAATTTCTTTCAAGATTAAAGTTTATTCAAATATGTAATGGACTATTGCGACATCTTCAAATGTTTTTCCATAATTTAGGCAACAAGAAGTATAATTTTTTTCATCGAGTCCAGTTTGATTGACTAATTTACATCATCAAATACATTTTTCCTTGTTGAAAAATGTACAAATTGTTTACAGTGAAAACGAGATTCCAATAGCTTTAGTTACTGCATTATTATATTTGTACTATATCAAAATTCTGAATTAAAAATGTTCCTCTGTGGTTATTTTAAGGTCTCTAATTTTGTGCTATTTAAATAAAAGCCAGATATTTAGAAATTTTGGAATTAATATATCATGCTCTTTAATATCTATGTGTTGAGTAGGGGAAGGAGAGTTGAAGTCACCACTTAAAGCTTTTTAAATAGATTACCTTATTTAAATAAGTAAACTCTTCAATTTTTACTTGGATGTCTTCGTTCCAAGGAGGCAACACTTAAAGTGAACATGTAAGACTGGATAAATAAAATTCAATACATTATATCTGACAGAGTTTTAAATCTCTACACAGTCTAATAAAAAATAGATTCAAGATTATAGCAATACCAACTTTCTTGGAATCTTACAAAACATGTTCAATCAACTAACCTATGTGTATACAGTAACAACTGTAATGGGCCCCATATCATGCTAAATACCATGAGGACTATAAAAAATATAAAAGCGTCTGCCCTTCTCAGTTTATAATGGAATGGGGAAATATTATTTATGAACCTGAAATTATTTCAGAGCTATACTAAAGTATATACAATTAGTATTAGCCCTGAAGTCATTGCCCATAAATGGAATAAAAAAACAAGAATCTGGGCTGCAATAACTGTTTGGATGCATGTAAAACATATGTCACCTAATGTGACAGAGTCTTTAATAGAAATGTACTATATACTCTAATGTTTTCCAATCTGAATTTATGCATTAAATAAACTTTTTTTAATCGATTATGTAGTAGGCTCTATATAATGCACTGTGGGGAATATAAATGTAATTAGGCTAATAAGCTGTGTGGTAAAGGAAAAATGATACAGCAGTAAGTATCACACAAGCTATAATGTTTGAATTGCAATAAAAGGCTTATGGGATTCAGGGAAGGGAGAAATCTACTTCATATTGAAGTAGAAAAAGGAAAGTTCCAAGGGCATTTAGATGAAAAGTAGAAGTGATGGCAAAGATGTTTCTGAAAGCAATCAGGAAAGGATATACCAAACAGGAAGTAAGAGCCTGGGTATAGAGGGATGAAATTAAGCTTATTTAGGGGAAATGAAAAAGGTGAAATTAGGATGCCTTGTTATGAGGTAACCGAGGAACACAGAATTTTGTTCTTTGCTAGACAATTCTCAATTCCCACAAAGTCACCAGAAGAAGTGTATGCTCAGAGGCAATGATCAATCAAAGAATAATCTTCATTCTGTGAGGATGTGGCTTCAAACACTTGTATAATGCCTTTGTGAGCTAGTCTGACCTAGATAGAGAACACTTCCTCATAGGCTAAACGCAGCCTCCAACCTAGAGCAAAAGTATGCAAAATGCTGTATTCTCACCTTTTGCTAGAAGCTGGCTTCTAGCAAAGATTATTGGCTTAGGACAGGCTTATTCAATTCCAGGATTCATTCCTAGAATAGAGGTAGTGGGTATCCTTTACCTTAACCAATTCATTCATTCAACAAATATTTATTAAACATTTACCATTCAGTCAACATTCTTATAATGCCTTGGGATACTTGAGTGAGCAAAACAAAAATTCCCAAAATACAGTGTAGTTTAAAATTTGTATTCACAACATAGCTATGCACACATTGTTTCATTATCTCTCTATAACTGAATTCATCCATGAACTCTTTATGCCTTAACCTTTCTGACTCAAGCTATTTAGTCAATATCCCAGCTTCAGTGGGACTACTTGGAGAGATTACCCTGATGTTGGAGAAAAACAGTAGGCACTGTCTGATTCCAGCCTGGAAAAGCAAAACTACACAGCAGAGATGGACCAGCCAGCTGTCTCATCAGGAAAGGGAAGATTAGTGGAGGAAAATATAAAGTTGAATCTTTTCATGTACCACAAGTTCTACTTGATTTGACCTGCCAGGTTACACCTTAATTCCAGGTGGTATTTAGATTGAACATAGACTTACATAAAATCAAGGCTTCTGGCTTGAAGCTATCCTCTACCTCTTGCTAGTCTCCACTGAGGTGTCTAAACACACTGACTCTTGAATTCTTGACTCCCACCCCTGCTGCATCAGCTGCCTAAATAATTAATGAAATTCCCCCTCAGCATTGGAAGGGTGCATTAACCACTTCAGGGACATCTTTGCAGACTCCATATATTCCATCAATAATCTAAGAACAAACAGAGAAAGCCCCATCAATGGAAGCCACCTTGGCTGATGAAGATGATGTGATTCCTAAGATATGGTGTGACTGCCATTCAGGGACTGAGCTGTATGGTCTGCTCTGCAGCTCTTCACCATAGCATCCTTATTCTCCTTGTTTCAGCTTCCATTTATGCCCTTCATTAGGACAATTGAGATATTTGGGTCTTCTTCACACCTTATTGGAACTGAGGGAGATGAAGATAATCTCTCTCTGTCTCATTTCCTCTCTCTCTCTTCTTCTCTCTCTCTCTCTCTCATGAACATTCTTTGAGGCTACTTCCAAATAGGTCATAACATGTTTCACTAGAAAAAAACCTGTGAATCTTGAAGTGCAAAGATTAAAACTGTTCAATATGTACTATGGTTCTGGGTGTGGTGCCTCATGCCTGTAGTCCCAGCACTTTGGAAGGCTAAGGTGGGAGGATCACTTGAGCCCAGGAGTTTAAGACCAGCCTAGGCAAAATGGTGAAACCACATCTCTACTAAAAATACAAAAATTAGCTGGGTGTGGTGGCATGTGCCTGTAAACCCAGCTACTTGGGAGGCTGAGGCACAAGAATCATTTGAATTTAGGAGGTGGAGGTTGCAGTGAGCCAAGATCACGACACTACACTCCAGCCTATGTGAGACTGCAAGACTCTGTCTCAAAAAAAAAAATATATATATATACATACCATGTATTGGACAAAGGTAGATCATAAGCAAAGTGATTTGGAATAAGCAAATATTTATTAAGTGTCTTTTCCATGAGAGTCAATATATTAGGCGTCAGACAAACTAAGGCACTGACAAAGAAAGGACGGCATAGCTGAGAAGGCTATAGCTGAAGCAAGACTAGCAGGATCTGGGTAGCTACTGGAGATGGAGGTAAAAAGAATCAGATGACTCAGAGGTTCTCATATTAGTAACTGGGAAAAGGATCATGCCATTGGCATAAACATAAAACCAGGAGGACAAGCAGGTTTGAATTCTGTTCTGAAAGTGAAGAGTAGAAGATGTCAGAAGGGCAGCCAGCAGGCCTTGGAAATCAGGCTCTGAGCTTGGGAGTGAGGTCAAGAGTAGCAATTCACACTCGACACTTATACCCAGAGCAGTGTCATTTGAAGCTGTGAAGATGTGATCACTAAGGGAAGAGAGAACTGGAAGATAAGGCCAAAGTCAGAACATTTGGGAGCCCCTATACTAAAGGGGACAAGAGGAATAACAAAAAGTGAAAAAGAAAAAATATAAAGGTCATATCAGAAACATTTTTATAGGAGATATCTTAGCATACCCCTTCAGAACTCTTTTCCTCAGACTTACACAAACCAAATTGGATTCAATAAACCAATTTTAACAGATATGTTAAACACATGATATATACCAATTAAACATTCTGTAATTATTAAATAATAAAATATGTTTATGTAAATCTAACACATATCTTTATGACAAATAATAGGTGCTTTCCCCGATAGTTTTCTTAGGTCATTGTTTAATTACCTTTCACTGTTTCTTGGAATATGATGCCAGCTTATTTTCATTATCATCACTGGAAAATTTGGGAAAGTAGGAAAAAAAGAAAAAATCTATCTTACTATTTAATAGTTTGTGATACAATATATTAATAATTGAACGATAATTTTACTGTTACTCCAAGTAATCCTAGAATCTGATAGACAGGAAATCAGGGAAGTAAAATAACTCAAATATGCTTTAAAGACATGTTAAGTAACTTTTCCCCTTTCCTGCTTATATTTGTGCCAAATAAGTAAAACCAATATAATTGGAGAAGAATGGGAGGTGATGCTGCATTTATTAATAGAATGGTCACCAGCATGACTCCTCCAATGACTGAAATAATAAAATATATCACAAAAATTGAAAGGGAATACAAATTCTAACAAGATTGGTATAAATTTTGCATTAAGAGCCTCAGAGGTCAAGGATGAGGGCTTCAGAAAAGATTTTTCATTTTTTAAATATAAAAAGTCTTGTAAATCTTCAACAATCATATTCTTTAGATTTGAAGGTAGAAGTCAGATAAGTCCAGTCCATAGGATTCAGCAGCGTATAGAGATAGAGCAAGGAGAGAAAGATTGTCTGGACTTGTCTCTTATGAGGAGCAGCACTGCAATAAAGGGAATAACTAGGGATTTTAACTTAATGAGGTGACAGGATTGAGAAATGTTTTTTCTTTCTTTTTTTTTTTTTAACATTGCAATTTTCAAAGTGTTTGTTGATTTAATGTCTGACAAGGGATGGAGCAAATGTGATAATGAGAGTGATATCCACAGAGAATTACATGCCCTCCTTTATTTCTCCCAGCCTCCCTGAGGTTAGGTTTGAGCCACATGACTAGTTCTAGCCAATGGACTGTAAGTGCAAATGATGTGTGTCAATTCAAGAGTGGATTTTCCAAGATCTCTTTTCCACACGAGGGCAAATTTGAAGTCTCATGTTGCTATGGTTGAATCACAAAGTGGAAAGCCCCTGGATTCCCAAGCTACCAGACATATTACCTATCTATTGCTGTGTAACAAACTACTCCCAAACAGATGTTTATCATCTTACAGATTTTGTGGGTTAAGAACCGTAGCATAGTTTACCTAGGGGCCTGTGGCTCAAATTCTTGCATAAGGTTACTGCAAAGCTGTTTTCTGGGACTCTAGTCTCCTCCGAAGGCTCAACTGTGGTGAGGGAGTACCTACCTCCAAGCTCACTTAGGTTTGCTGGCAGGCCTTGGTCCCTTGCAACCAGTACCTCTCTACAGGATTCCCTTCTAACACAGCAGGTGACTTTCCTTGAAGTAAGTGATTCAGGAGAAAGTGTGAAAGTGTTCTCAAGATGAAAACCACAGTCATTTTATAACCTACTACTGGAAGTGCAACCTATTATTTCTGAGTATTTAATCATTAGCAGTGAGTCAATAAGTCCAGTCCATATCCAAGAATACAAGATGAGTCAAGGAGATATAGAGGGGATGAATACAAGGAGTCAGGGATGACTGTAGGGCCATCCTTAAGGCTACCCCAACACACCAAATGAAGGAGAATACCCACTAACGGAACTTTGCAGGAGTACAAACAAAATCTTTTGTTTTATGCTATAGAGATTTTTGAGGTTGTTCTTTTAGTATAGCCTCATCTCTCATGACTAATAAAAGCTCTAGTAGGAGACAGAATGGAATTGAACCATAAAAAGCTAACCATAAAAGTAGATGAAGATGATAGGGCATAATAAAACATCAAAAATGTATTCAAATAGTATGTTCATAACAGACTTCAAAAAACAATTTGGTATAGTACTTTAGACATGACTATGTGTACCTTTCATTTTTAAGCCTATTCTTATATGATTTCAAATACCATTAGTACTCCTAAATGATGTCAGTGTGATAGAATCTTTTTTTGTGGTGATTATCTAAGGCTGCCTGTATGCATGACTGTTAAAACATGCCTAGAGACTTTACAAACAGATGGTTCTTTGGATCTTCCCACAGACTGTCAGCATGAAAGTGCAACTAACAGCTTTCTGTGATCTTCTATACCTCTACTTCCTCCTTTTAGTTACCAAAATTGATTTTAATTTTTTTCTCACACCTCAAGTTTAGATAATCTAAAGTAGGTCACTCTGTAGCATCTAAAACACTCCCAGTAGCTCTGTTCAGAGTGTGAAGTCAGACACTTTTAAAGCATTCAAAGTGAAAGCCAGCACTGGGAAGAGAAACATAAAATGTGTTCAAGTGGTTCTCTAACAAAACAAGATACAATCTAGTTCCTTTAATACAGTAAAATATGATAATAATTTTCAATGTTATTTCCATAAAGCTTGGGATAGACATTGGGTCTTGTCATGACAAAAAGTCTTAGCATTGTCCTCTTGTTGGTTAGCTCCTTTCCTGCTCCTTTCATATTTGCAAGTGCTGGGACATGAGCTCAGTTTCCAAAAGACCTACCAAAGAGGTATATTGGGTTGAATGGTGTCTCCCCAGAATTTACTAGAACCTGTGTGAATTTACCCTTTATGGAAATAGGCTCTTTGTAGATGTAACCAAGTTAATACGAGGGCATGCTGGATTCGGGTGGGCCCTAAATACAATACGAATGATGTCCTTACAAATAGAAAAATGCTGACGCAGAAACACAGATACAGAGGGAAGGAGCCAGAGATTGGAGTGATATATCTATAATCCAAAAAATGCCAAGGATTGCCATCAACTATCAAAAGGTAGGAGAGAGACATGGGGCAGGTTCTCCCTCAGAGCCTCCAAAGGGAACTAACACTGATAACACCTTAACTGCAGACTTCTAGACTCCAGGACTGAGAGAATACATTTCTATTGTTTTAAGCCACCCAGTTTATGTTAACTTGTTTCAGCAGCCCTAGAAAACTGATACAAGAGGAGAGGAAGAGACTCATGCTTGGGCAAGTGTGGCCACCCTGCCTCACCCTAGTACTAAACTCAGTCCCAGCCTCTGCTCTGGCTCTAGCCCAGCCTCAGATCCAGCCCCAGCCTATGCTTCATTTCTAGCTCTTCCTCCAGCTCTATCTCTATTTCCAGCTCCACCCCAGCCTCAGCCCCAGTCCCAAGGGCCAGCATTATATCTTATGCTCCTCCCTGATTCAGATGGTTGGCAGGAAGAGTAGTGAGAGAAAAGCTCCAGTCCCAGTCCTTCATCTCTAAAGTTCCCTGGAGCTTTAAAAGCAAGTTAGTTGTTCTTTGGAAAGTCCAATCAGTTAGAGCTTCAAAACCACACTACATAAACAAATTCCCTGCTTTCAAAAGATCTATAACATCTTTCCTTACTTCTTTTCCTATTTCTTGTCTTTACTTTTACTATTGTTCCTTCTTTCCCTTCAGAAAAATCCTTCTTCATTGCATCTTTTATGTTAAGGTTAAAGTCAAGAGATTATGACTCTTAGAAGAAATCATAGAAGTAAATTTTCATGACTGTGGGTTCAGCAATAGTTTCTTAATTATGAGACCAAAAATACAAGTGAAAAAAGGAAAGAGTAGATATATTGGGCTTCATCAAAATGAAAAACTTTTTGCTGCAAACTATACCATCAAGAAAGTGAAACAACAATCCACAGAATGGGAAAAAATATTTGCAAATCACATATCTGATAAGGAACTTGTATTCAGAACATGAAAAGAATCTTTACCTCTCAGTAATAAAAAGGACAACTAAGTCAAGTGAAAATGAGCAAAATATTTGAATACATGTTTTTCCAGAGAAGGTATACAAGTGACCAATGATATCATAAAAAGTTGCTCAATATCATTGGACAGGATGGAAGTACAAATCAAAATCTCAGTAACAGAACTTTTCACACTCAATAGAATGGCTGCAATAAAAAGGGCGGACAAGAACAGTGTCGGCAAGGATATGCAGAAATCAGAACCCTTGTACATAGCAGTGGGAATGTAAAAAAGTACAGGCATTTTGGAAAACAGTCTGACATTTCGTTGAAATGTTAGCCATAGAGTTATCACATGACCCAAAAATTCCTCTTACAAGTGTATATCCAAGAGAAATAAAAACAATGTCCATGTAAAACATACACATAAATATTCATATTGACATTATTAATGACAGTCAAAAAATGTAAATCATCCACATGTCTTATCAACTGAGGAATGGATATATAACTGATGTCTATATCCATACAATTGAAAATTTGTAATCGATAAAAAGAAATAAGAATCAAGTGCTGTGCATGCTAAAACATGAACGGCCCTTAAAAATAATCATATGATGTGAAAGCCAGTCACAAAAGACTACATATTGTATGATTCAGTTTATGTGAAATGTCCGGAATAGCTAAATCTATAAAAAAAGACTGTATATTAGTGGTTGCCTAAGGGCTAGAGAAGCGGTCTGGGTAATGGAGAGTGATTGTTAATGGATGCAGGAGTTTCTATTTGGAATGATAAAAGTGTTCTAAAACTGAACTGTAGTTATACTACTCTCTTTTGGGGGAATGATAAAAGTATTCTAAAGTTGGATGATGATTACACAACTCTGAAAATACTAAACACTGCTGAATTTTTTTAAAAATCATGAGCTATAGTTAAAGATTGCTATTATTTAAAGTTAAATACCACAAAGCAAAATGAATTGTGAATAATACTCAAATGAAAAGTTTTGTGTAGTTCATGATATTTTCAATATTACATTAAAAAGAAATTATACAGTCTTTTAGAATCAGTGGTGAAAACAACTTATTTTAATAAATATGTTTAATGTGACAAAAATGACTAGCATTTTTCAAGTAAAATGGATTTTCGTAAAAATTATTTTGTTTAGTTTAAATTTTGGAATCAAGAATTTAAACTTTTCTTTGCACTTGTCTTTTGGGCATGACCTAACTACTAGCTTGTAAGTCAACTGGTTTCTACATATCAGCCTTCTCAGATTCAACGACACCTACGTGTGAGAGTTTTTGTCCTAGCTTTCCTTTTCCTGCCTTTCTTACTTTATTTTTGCCTCGAGATAATGAATGTGGAACGCCATACTTTTGCAGCAGCTCTGTAGTTTTATGCTTATAATGGGAATCTGGAAACCAGAAAGTCTTCTGCCATATTTCCACATTTAAAAAAACAAATTGTGATGCAATGTAACTTTATTTCAGTATATCAGTTAGTTTAATTTATCTAAATTCAAGCATTTTTGCATTCTTGAAGTTTTCTAATCAGTCTCTGCAACTTTAAAACTACTTTTGGCTAATGTTAGGTGAATTTTCTTGGTAAGAGGAAATATGAATTGAGAGAAATTATATTCTTTTTAAAAGTCAAAGACAATCCCATTGCCTTGTGTGATTTTAAACATAGGCACAATTTAATGACAGCCACAGAGAAAGCAGCACTTGCCATGCCCTTGTGGCTAAATGCCATCTATACAACATGTTAGAGTTACTGTCTCGTGGGAGAGGGAGGCTGAGCGTAGTCACACGCACCACAAAGAGAAAAGGGAAAACCAAAGGAGTCTTTACGAGAGTTAAAGAAAGAGGCTAATGGTACCGAACATTATGATTTCTCAAATTCCATAAAAACATAGAAGCAAACTATTTTTCTTTCCCAAAGTATATGTGAAAGACTTCCTGTTCAGTTCTTCTGCAGTACTATTGTGGAATTTTCCTTTGAGGTTAAAGTGCCTAAATTTTCCAGCAAGAGAATCCCTTTGAAGTCAATCTGAAACAGTGTCAAAACATATGGGAAATAACCCAAAACATTTAAAATACTCTCCTTAAAAACTGTAGAAAATCCCTCTTTAAAATAATGGGTTGGAAGGCTGTAAGATGCACGCATTGAAAATGCTAGTGTTGTTTGGTTGTTTTGTCTGGATTTAGAGGGAAGGGAGGGGATTACACTCTGAATTGCATTCCTTCTTTACTAGGACCATAGTAGTGATTACATTTAGTTCCAGTTTAGACATAAGCATTTTCAGATTTATGCCGTGTATGTTCTTGTTATAAAGCTTTTTCATTCCAAAGACAGACGATTTCAGGAAGTGTTTAAGTTTTTACCCACATATATAGATTCCGTATTTGATTTACACATTATTTCATGTAATATACCTCCAAATATTCTGGAAAATTAAAAGAGAATGAAAGCAATAGTAGCTGCTAAAATTAACCTACACAGGGTCTGCCAATATGTAAACAGTAGTCTGAGTTGGGTGAAAGGAACCAATTGGGAATTTTTACTGCACGTGCATTAAAGCTTTAAATGCACGTAGCATTACAACTTTTCTTTTGTGGAGGTGTTTGAAGAAATCACATTTTTACTTATTCCTATAAAATATCCTGTTAATGATTTGGTTCAGAATCATTCTATAAAACCTGTTTGCTGATTTGATCATAATTGAGGGGAAAATACAGAAGACTCAAGAAGAACTGTGTAATATGTTATTACCACAGGCCATTTCCAAGTTCTGTTGAGTATTTCCATCTCTATATGCTACTGGCATCTGAAATTCAAAATATCCCAAAATTAACTTCCTATACTTTATGTACTTCTCATTCCCAATCCTTAATCTTTCCATTCTAGTCTTTATCTCTATTAATGCTACAAGTTGTTCCAAAACATCAAGTCTAGAAACTTTGAGTCATTAGTGCTTCTCACTCACTCACTTTACTTTTCCAATCACTCACCAAGTTCTATATATTCTATTTCTGTGTATGTTTCATATTCATATCCATCTATACATTTCCACTGCCACAATTATGTATTGCTTAGACTATTTGCAATCTCTTCAGCCATCTCACTTACATCTGTTTTCTTTCCAAATATAAGTCAAAAGGGTCCTGCTTTAAAAAAAATCAAACAAATTATTTAAGAATGCCTCACCATCTGGACTCACTGTATCATTCTAGCCTCATATTTCTTGAAATCCCATAACAGTCTCTACTTTTGCATTCTTATAAAAAATTCAGTCTACATTGAGCCTCCCTTGATCTTTCATGTTTCTGTACATTTGCCATGATATTCTCCGAGCCTGTCAATAGTTCTCCTTGCCTATCAAAAGGCTATCATATTTGGATGCCCATATTGGATAAGATTCTTTAGTTTCAAGTAAGAGAATATTAATTAAATATGCCTTTACAAATAAGGACATCTATTATCTCACACATCAAGAAGACTGGAAGAAGAGTAAATCCAGGGTTGGTTAATTTAGTAGCTCAAAATGTTTAAAGTTATATTATAATAGCTTCCCTGAATCCTTCTAAGTTTTCCTGCATAGTAAGAAAATAGTTAAGGTTCTCACCATTACATCCTGATGTGACCATATCTAAAGGCGGCAAGTGTCACATTTGCAGGTTTATGTGCCTTCTCAGGGTTCTCCTTGTTGCTCACTGACTGTGGTTACGTCACATGCTCTGCCTACAGAAAAGGAATTATACCATGATTGACTTTAACCAACAGAAGCATTATTATGCCCAAGAGAGTGATAATTGGTAGTGAGGGATGAAAAATTATTACTCTTTTATGTACAAAGAGTAGGTAGATACACATTTAGCACATAAATAGATGTATATTATGTCTGTGATATTAAGATTTCATATGGGAAGGTAATTAGAAAAAAAAAGTCTAGAAAAGCTCTTGAAGGGAAAGATAATAAAAGAAGGGTTGATGAACACCCATATTAATTAATCAGTGTTCATTCCTTGGCAAATGATAGTGTTCATGAAGCATTGCCAGCCTAACACTGAAAAAAATCAGCATCTTATTAGTAAACAATGACCATTGGTAATTTCTACCACAGCACCCAACTGAAATAATAAATTTTAATAAGTCATTCCTTCTCTCCTCCAGTTAGATTTATTATCCATCCTCCATGGAAGGAATTAATTGCACCCATGCTACTTTGTCATAGCTTTGATTTGTGACCACTATTGTGCTTACTTTATGTTATTCTCTATTACAGTTAGTTGTCTACAGGTACACTTGCATTCCTACACCAAATGGATAATAAGCTACTTCTGGTAAGGCAGAGTGTCTTCAGCATTTTTTTAGATCTCCCAAAGATCACTGAAGTAAGAGGCACTCAAATGTTTATGGAATTGTATTAACACACACATACACACATATACACACACACACTCACTTTACAGATGGAATGTTTGTGTTATCCCTAAATTGAAATGTTAAAGCCCTAATCCCCAGCCTGAAAATATTTGGAGACAGGGCTTTCCTTTGAGAGGTTATTAGGTTAGATTAAGTCCTGAGGGTACAGCCCTCATGATGGAATTACTGTCTTTATAAGAAGAGATTATTTCTTTCTTTCTATTTCTCTCTCTCTCTCCCCGCCCCCACCTCTCTCTATCTCTCTATCTCTTCTTCTTTTATTCTCTCTCTCTCCTCTTACCCTTTCCCAACTCAGCTCACACTCACTGAGGAAAGGCCATGTGAGGACATGGGATCTGCATGCCAGGAAGAGAGCTCTTGCCAAGAATTGAACTGGCCAGCACCTTGATTTGGGACATCCCAGCCTCCAGAACTGTGAAAAACAAATCTCTGTTATTTAAGCAACCCAGTCTATGGTATTTTGTTATGGTAGCCCAAGCATACAAAGATGTACACACACACACACACACACACACACACACACACACACACACACATATACACACACATATACTCATAAAATATATATAATTACATTCATTTATAAACATTCAATAATTTCTATTATAATGCAATCATTTAAAATTGGCAGAGCAAGTATTAATACTTATTTTATGGTAAGTATTAGCCATATTTTTTCACATGAGAAAACCTAAGCTCAGAGAAGCTAGATGGAAGACTTATCAATGGCAGGAATAGGACTCAAATTCATACAAACTTCCATGTTTTCTAAAATATCACCATTTAATTACTAATGATATTGCATCTGAAAGCAGCAGATACCTGAACTATGTGTTATGAACCATAAACTAGATGTCATATATAAGAAAAGAAATGGTCTTATAAATAGCATTATTATATTTATGAAAGACCTAGTAAAATGTAAATACTCAATTATGTTTAATAATTGAATTTTCAATTTAAAAAAAATCCATTTTTTGGCCAGGCGCAGTGGCTCATGCCTGTAATCCCAGCACTTTGGGAGGCTGAGACAGGCAGATCACGAGGTCAGGAGATCGAGACCATCTTGGCTAACACAGTGAAACCCCGTCTCTACCAAAAATACAATAAAATTAGCCGGGTGCGGTGGCGGGCGCCTGTAGTCCCAGCTACTTGGGAGGCTGAGGCAGGAGAATGGCATGAACCCGGGAGGTGGAGCTTGCAGTGAGCCGAGATCGTGCCACTGCACTCCAGCCTGGGCAACAGAGCAAGACTCTGTCTCAAAATAAAAATTAAAAAAAAAATCCATTTTTCTATTAGTCCCATATTCACTCAAGCTTATCCTAGTTGTTTGTATTGGATCAGCAAAGACTCAGATGTCAGACAGTCATGAACTCCACTTCGAGTATCACCCTTGACTGTTGTGTGACCATAGACATGTTATGTAACTGTTATGTTGACCAGGAAGGACATATGGAGTACAATCATAGAAACAATTTTTTTTTATCAGCTTCTGTCCCATCAAACCTCTTCTGAGGGGCTAGAAACTTTCTTGCCTCTTGAAAGACATCTAGAACAAGTTCATGAATTTTCTTGTCATTTTTAGTTCAGTAACTATAAAACTCCATCTGATGAAATAGTGAAAATGTTTAACCTCATTTGAAGCAAGTCTTCTCTCTTTCCTCAGCTCTGGCTGGCTTTTAGCCTGGCTGCCTGTGATGGAACAGGTGACATGGTAGCTTCCTCTTAGCCCTTCCTAATGTTTCTCCACCTTCCCACTCACAAGACTGCCACTAGCTTCTCCAGGGTTGGGGAGCTGAGAGGAGGAGAGAAGGTGAGAGACAGGCTGATGCTGTTCAGGTGCTGGATGCCTTCTGAGCATGGAAGACGCAGAAACTTCATGGGAAAACTGCCCAGAATCACTCAGAACCTCGCACACAGTACCCTTCAAGTGGAGAAATAGAACTCCTCTGGCTAATAGTGACTCCTGTAGCCTCTAGGATTTCAGCAGTGCACGTATAGCATTGTTTGTCTCCCTGAACAGAAATAAGGGATAAAGACTTGAAGCAGCATTCTCTGAACTATTTTTGGAGAGGGGGGATTATTGCAACTTCCTCAGAATGGTAAAAATTTAATGGAGGCTTGGTTACACCTGCTGATTCTTTGCAAACACAAAAACATTGCCAATGAAAAGGAATTGACAATGTTATAATAAAAGAATAATGAATATTGGGGTATATGAATACATCAGTTTAAATTAAAACAAAGCTTCCTTTTAAGGCTTTTTCTGTACTTTAGCTTGTTAACAACAAATTGTATTTATCTTACACCTTCAAAGATCACCACCACATTTCTTTGGATATGGTTAAGATTTTACTATGCAAGGTTTACTATAAAAGGGCTTACAAGAAGAGTAACAACTGGGAAAGGTCAGAGGACATGCTGTTTTGTTGACCTACTACTCCTGCTTCTTGAGTTTAATGACCGCCTAGTGCGGATGATTGTAAGAAACAACAAAATTACAATCTTATTCTGAAATGATCATTGTGAAATGAGAATGGTTGTCAGTTAAAACAATGTGGGAAACCAAAAGCACTTACAAAACTTTTATTGACATAACTGAAGGTGTCTCTCCTAGAAATTGGGTAGGATAAAGTAATGTACTTTAAAAAAATATAACCTAAGACGTGTTGATAAGAACAAGGCTCTAGAGTGAAGAGAGGGAGCAGGAGGAAGCCAAGCAGTAGTGAGCATTCTTTCTCTGAGGTTTGTGACATGCACACAGGGTTCTGACCACTGGTATCTAAACTCCTTTCTTTATAAAGCTGGGCTATGAAGTTAGTTCTGATGTTTAGTTTCCTATACTCTCCTATCATTTGAGATATCTAAAAGTAGAATAAAACAAAATACAGATGTTTGCATTGACAAAAAGTAAAATAGTTAAAAAGAGAAAGATAAGATGCATGGTAAAGTGAAGAAAATAAAACTCTTTGGTTTTGACTCTGAGTGTTCATTTCAACTGTCTGTAACTTACTCAGATATGCTTAGGCCCTCCCAGTCAGTGTTTCCACATCAACTGTTGGTCTATTTTAGTCCTTAACACAGTGTGTTGCTTTCCTTTTGGTCTGCCTTCCTCACTATCCAATGTGTGGCAGCACACAGGTGTGTCAATAAAGTATTAAGCTTACTAATACTTTATAATGCCAAAATAAATTTATTTCTAAAAATATATAATAAATGTATACAGTTTAAATGAAACAATTCGTTAAAGTGAACTATAAACCTTTACATTGTCCAATTATAGATATTCAAAATATTATACATGATTAAAACTATTTGTTTTGTGAAGTTTTTAGAATTTAATTATTAATTTGACAAAAATAACATTCTAGTAATATTGTGTTTATTCTATGGTTAAATCTTCAAATTTTCATGTGATTTTTGTAGTAGCCTTAAGAATTTAAAATAGCTATTTTTAAATCAACTTTCTCCTGCTATAATGACCTAAATCTTTCATAAATACTTTATAGTTAAATATATGTCTTTCACAAAGGTACTTATTTTTTAATAATAATATCTTAATTAAAGATAGAAAGTCACAAGACAAACATGGCAATCTAATTTTTTAAAAAATGACTTTGATTAAAAAATTAAATAAGCATCATAATGTAGATTAGATAAAACTTGAACTCATGTGCCGTATCTGATAAGCATTCTCTTCCCAGAGCAAATGTTTTATTTTCTTATTTGCATAGGAAAGTTATCAAACAAATAAACGGGCCAAGCAAAACTGTATACATATTACACAGAAAATGACGACAAGATTTTTTGAAAGTTGATAAGTGCAAAATAAAAAACATAGTTACTTTTTTAGTTTAGTTATTTATAACAGTATTAGTAAAAGCTCAAGAAGTTAGACAGAAGGTCATTCAATTAGTATCTGAAGTCAAAATGCTTCGGTCAATTGCAGAATTGCTTATTTTACAAGCCTACATGGAAACTGTCAACACTATATTTAGGGACTAATAAAATAAAAAGAAATAGACCAGACAATGTTCAGTTAATGGTGCAACACATTCAAGTTTCTCGTTTATAGGTTTTATTTGGATTTGTTACACAAACTCAGTATTCAACATATCCCCTAATGTTTTTTATTTCTTTTCAAAATTATTATTTAAAGAATATATAATAATTTTTCCAAGCCTCAAATTCATTCATTAATTTACTCTCAGTGTGTTGTAGAAATAATACCATTTTCTGTATGGCATGATATGAAAAAAAGTTATGACTCACTGGACAAGTGATTTTCAATGGTAGGAATATAGCTTAATAATTACACCTTTACCACCTATAACTTCTGAAACATAGTTAATAGACAATAAATGTTTGATAAATAAATGCACGTATAAACCAATAAATTAAAAAAACACATTCTTTTCTAACTAACAAAAAAATGTTTTCTATGATTATCAGATATATTTTGCTTTTGGTTTTGGTTTTTCCAGAATCCAGATAAGAAAGGTTATCAGCTTTGGATTGGGTTCTTTTTTATAAACTTTTTATTATGAAAATTTTCTAACATACAGTAAAGTAGAAAGAAAAGTCAAACACTCATATGTTCATCACCTACATTAAACATTTGATTACAATTTACCAGATATTTTTGTGTGTGTACGTAATGCATCACTTAAAGAAAATTGTGTGATATTTTGACACCAAATAGGCCTGAGTGAGTCACAGCTGACTGAAATCAATGCTCTCAGCATCAGAACTGAAGAGTTTTGTTTCCTTCACTTTTAGCATATGTCATCACTTTCTCTCTCTCTTTTTAATTATTTGATTTCTTTGTCAATATAAATATTTGCACATTTGTTATTTTAGTCTAATTTTATACATTTCAAGTGACACGGAAATATAATAAACTTAGACTGAGTTTTAGAATTCCATGTATGCGTCTCCAAAAAATGAAGACATTGTCTTCCGTAAGGACACCACCATTTTCAAATTTAACCAAACTAATAGTAATTCCTAGTATTATTTAATACGTAATTCATATTGAAATATACCAGTTATCCCGAAACGTGAATTTTATGGGTAGTTCAAATCAGTCTCCAATGACTACAAATTGCATTTGCTTATGTTTCCTAAGTCCTTAGTAGGGTAAAATTTTAAGAGTATTCTCCTTCTATTAAAAATAATAACTTTTTGTTGTGTATTTCTTTCTCAAATTTCTGTTACTTTACTAGTCATTAACATTTATGTTTATGCCATATGAGCCCTAAAAATCATAGTTACTATAACAAATCATTTTAGCCATTTGTTTCCTATTCTTCCATCACACAGGCATAAACTTCAAAACTCACTGATATTTTTGCAAAACTAATTCAAAGGACCCCAGAATCTGTATTTTGCATGCAAGTGATTCTACTGTGCATCTAATGTACAATCAGGTTTAGAAAGTGCTGTTCTAGGACACACATAATGTCATATGAGAGTACAATACTTAGTAAAAATAAAAAGTACTAACTATAATGTAAAAAAAGCATAATAAATACAGTTCTCCAAGTGGAGGAACTGAATTCAGCTTATAATAAAGAAAAAGAAGATTGTGAGATGAAAAATAAATAATAAACTTACTGTTAAAGATAAAAATATGGTATATATCACTACACCAATGATGCAGATTTACCTGGTGCTTTTATGACAACAAAATCTTATATGATTTGCAAATAAGTGATATTCAACCTATACAGCCTTACTAATCTTCGCCTACAGAAGTAAAGAATTTTTGAAGGTGAGTAAAAGATGGAACAGTTTCAATGGCTATAGAAACTCTAGCCACTTTTCCTGGAATGGAGAAAAAGGAAAGTATAAGTTTTAAGAGTTTCTTTAAGTTAAAAGAGAAGGTTAGTGAGCCCCCTGTTCCATTGCATCATTTATCAGGTGAATTCATGCTGTGAACTTTGCAAATTTGATTGGCAATGTGATAGCTAAGAGTAAGCAGACCAGAAAGCAAATTTTCTTTGTCCTGTCTCTTATCCATTACTGGTTAAAGAACTATTTGAAATAAGTCAAGATGAAGTATAAAGGATTTGTGTGTGTGTGTGTGTGTGTGTGTGTGTGTGTTTTCATTTTAGTGCTACAGATACTCAAGTAAAAAAAAAAAACTTATTGAAAGAATTTACTGAGTTAATTCCTGATCAAAGACTTTACCAATGAAATTTTGCTGAGAGACCCAAAATGTCAGCCATTTAGCAGCTTTCAAGATATAGCATTCTTAGTGATCAGACATAACTCACCAAACACAGGAGACTTAAACCTCCTAGAAAAACAAGAAAAGGGCATTGTTCACCTGTATAAGAAAGTATACATATTCATATTCAAAAGATGTGGTAGATTAAACAGATGTCACTGAATCACAGATTTTGGAGAATGTAAATCTATTTTGGTGGAAATGAGTTCAGAGTTTCAGAATAGATTCCGAGTTTTATTAGTATATTCATGCTCCAGGTTTCTGTGCATGTATCTGAGATAAACCTTCAGAATAGTTCTGTACTATCATTGTAAACCACATCAGTGTGATCTAGCTCCAAATTAAGTACA
Source organism: Homo sapiens (assembly GCF_000001405.40). Lineage (NCBI taxonomy): Eukaryota > Metazoa > Chordata > Mammalia > Primates > Hominidae > Homo > Homo sapiens. The sequence continues at coordinate 199,186,178 of NC_000001.11, forward strand.
AAAATTAAAAACAAAATATTCTCTTAAATAAGCAAAAGCAAAACAAAACAAAATAAAACTTTACTTGAATTTAGGGAATGACATTATAAATTGTAATGTGGCCTGACTAAACATGCCCATGAGTATTTCAAGATTAATTCAATCTCATTTGTATTATCTTGAGAATGAGTCTGTTCACCGTTACTGCAGCACCTACCATTGTTCCTGGCACCAGTATGTTCTCATGAAATGCCTTTGGATTGAATGAGTGAATAAATTAATATTGAATATATATACTTTTCTAAAAAGTATTCAATGACTAACTTTGTCTCCTTAATTGTGCATTAAAGTATAAACAAAGTTAATTTAACTGTTTTAGCAATATTTTTAATAGTTGCAAATCTAGATTTCATCAGTACTATAAGCAAAATATGTCATCTGAAAGATTTCATATAAATTTATGTTTATATGACCACCTGAAAAAAACAAAGAATTGCCTATACTAGAAAGTGTTGAAAGTACTCAATGACACAAATTGTTTGGCTATATAGAGTAAAAATGATATAAATACTTTTAATTTTAAGCTTTGCTTTTATTTTGGTGATTTGAATAAATGATCAGTGCCCACCTTATTCTCTGCATCTATGAGAGGGAATTCATAGAGAAGATCACACATAGGAAGCCAAAAATATATTTATATATGTATAATAATTATAACCATAAATGTAATATTTTTATTTTTAAAATTCTAATTCATGATTTATCTGCTTTCCTAATGCTAGATTTCTAAAATAAACTACATTGCATATCTTCATTTTTATTTATTCTTTAGTAAATATATATTTTTATTATTGTTATATGTTCATGCATATGTGCATGTGTGTACAAACGCACACACACACATATTTCAACATGTTCCAAAGTACATTACATAAGAAACCACTGTCTAAGAATTCAGAGTAGGGTCTTTGGTACCAGGATGAGAATAACTAAGTGGATGAGAATATTCTTTTTAAGTAGTCCGAATTTTAAATAAAATTCATCAGTTCCACACACATAGTAAAATTCTGATCATTATGGTAGTTTAGGCTGGGCATAAGACTGGATAACTTGCCATTAATAGATTATGTTAGGACATTACAACATTACAAAATTTTAAAATGATTCTAACTTATCAACACTGCATCTGTTCCACCTGGACCTCATAATAGGATTGGAATCTAAGAATTTTTTTGATAGGATTCCAACTGTGAATAAAATCACAGAAAACCCTGAGTGCTAAGGAATATTTTAGTGGAGATAGATATGCAATATTTAATTTAAAAGAGAGCATGAACCCGTTGTGGGAGTAGGCCAGAATCAAAGAATTCTTAGCAGGGGTAAACTGTCTCAGCGGCCATGTCCCAAGACAGACAGAATCACCAGCAACAGGTTTCCAACTCAACACAGAGCCTATTCCCTCTGTGTGAGATTTTTTTTTTTCAAAATAATGAAATTTTGCAGAGCATAATAAAACCAACATGGAAGGATGTAAGTTAATTTGTATTTGCCACATCATAGCTATCCATACAGACTGGAAAAAAGGGTAGAAGTTCAAAACAACCAAAGCTTGGTAAAGTGAGACATGAGAAGAATTAGTTTATAATTAAACTCATCTGCTTCTAAATCTCTCTGTAAGCTATTTGTCAGCACCTCTTCTCCACTCTAGAATATGCACTTTAAAATAAAAACTAAGAGGTATTTATTGTATTGAGGGCTTAGTGGAATAAGAATGGTTACCAAAACTTTCTGAAAGAGAATACATTTTCTTGAGAGAATAACACATAATTTAATGTTTAAGGGGTTTCTTATTACTCAAAATAAAGTGCCAGAGAGAGTATAACAAAGAAGGTATGAGAACAGAATTTGTATCCCACCAGTATGAGTTCCAGCTCAACCAATTTAACACCTTGGAGAAGCTATCCAACTTTTCAGTGCTCAATGTTCTTATCTGCTAAATGGATATATTAATAACCCTACTGCACAGATTCTTATAAGAATTAAATGAGATAACAACCATTATGTGCTGAGTATAGTGCCTGGCATATAATAAGTAATCAGCAAGTGTTTGTTTTATTACTATTGAAAGCAGAAGAGAAGTAATAAGTATCCTTTATTGAATACATTATAGTTGCCTGTCAAGCTGGGCACCATAGCAAATCTATTATCTTTTGTCTTTTTTTTTTTTTTAGTTTTTAATCTTGTAAAATGTAAAGATTTTATACAAACTAAAGTCATTGAGAGAATCAAATTAGATGATAAATGAAATTAACTTAAAAATTTCTAGTGAAATAAAAATGTCAGCTATTATCTCACATTCAATGTCCACTGCATGGAAATTTAGGTCACCTGAAATTAAACTGAAGGAATAGAAATTGATGAAATAGAAGGCAACTCTAGAGAGGAATGTGAGAAAAGACTCTACGTAAATTCGAAGTTGTAGTTATGTTATTTCTCAAAGTATTTTGAAGTTACATTTAAATAACTATTCAACGGTTGGAATTAAATTTAATTTGAATGTGTAGACATATTCCTCATGTGTTTGCCTCCTCATGTGATTATGCCTTACGTGAGGTGGAAGAAAATATGTAGGATTCTGTATAACCAGCAGGCCAGTGTTCTCCCTCTCACATCAATTTATGCAGCTTTTCTAAGGTAATGAGGAGAAAAGCATGAATTATTTCACATCTGCAGGTAACATTAAGTTGCTGAATTATTTTCAATCTCTTGCTCACCAAGCCCCTTATCAGACTTGCACACAAGTTAAGAATGAGCTTAAATTTAAATTTGTTTCATTTCATTCTTTTATGTGAGCATGCTAAGAATCAATGCAAGAATCAAGTAAATGATCAAAATATGAGTGCTCAAGTATTTCTAGAACTGAGCGATCAGCCCTCAAATAATGTAAAATGCACGATCTTTATTGTTTTATTTTACTGCTGTTTATTTTGAATTTACATTTTAAACATTTTAAAAATCATAAAGACCTAGCCTCAGCAAAAATGATAGGATATATTCACATATTACTTACTGTTTTCTAAAATGTTCCAAAGTAAAAGCTATTGACGCTTGAATCAGCCAAATTTCTGCATTATGGATCTTTATATACCTTGATGCTGTGTTCTTTACAAGAAAAGGAATTAAAACTTCAAAAGAAGTTTTAGCTGGAAGCTTGTAATTCAAGCTTCTTGGGACAAAAAGTTTTCACTGTGTGCTCATTTTTTATTTTAAATGAAAATACACATTTTACCAACATGCCATTTCAGTTCCATGAAGAAAAGCAGTCAGGAGACTTTATGGTAAAATATTTAAGAGAACCTCGAATATTAGTCAAAAAAAATGCCTGTAAGCTCTCTTAAAATAACTCAGATCCAGAATTTTATTTGCTCATTAGGCTTGTAAGGGGCTCAGGCACAGCCTTTTATAAAAAAGAGAAATACCTTGCTAGGTTTTGACTCAAATGGTTTTGTGAACATATTTTAAAACAAAAATGAGAGTAAGAGAAGCTCATAGTTTTGAAAGCAGCCCTAGAAAGACAGGCAGCAAACTTGGAAGAGAATTCAGCAACAATATAGATGGTAACTAAAATATGACATTAACAACATATCCTGAAAAAAAGAAAAAAAATAAGACAGTGAATTAAAAATAAACCCCACAGAGAGCCTTTGTAAGACCATAGCTACACATGAAGCTATGTATAGATCTGGTGGTTCAGAATTGGGACAGGGACAGTTAAGTTCTCGGCCTTGACAATTGCTAGAACTGACCATTCCTTGAGATCAATGCATTGTTCCATGTAATGAATGAATACAAAGGGATTTCGTAGTTGTTCTAAGATGAGTAAGAGAATCCCATGAGTTGAGTGCAGTGCTATGACTTTCCTCGTTCTCTTGATTCAGTGCCTCGAATTTACTCACTCAAATTCTTTCTACTTCCAGGGCGAAAACTTCATTCTTTTCCCTACAAAGTATTAGCCTCTGACCTATAAGGTCTTTCTTCAATTTGCTGGTATGCCTATGCAGTGTATATGCTTCATTAAATTGTCAATACCTTTAGGGCCTGGGCCTATGTCTTCATGTCATCATTTCCTTCCCACAGAAAGTGCAAGACACTAACCTGCATAGAATAGGCATACAACAAGTTTTAGTCTGATCACATTACATAAATTTAACCTAAATTTAGACAGAATAGAATGTCACATATAGAAGCATTTGAATAGAATGCCCTATGAAGACAGGCAGGACTCTTCTGTGCCTTATTCAATTCTGTATCCTCAGTTCTCAAAGCCATGCCTGGCCTATATGAGATATTCTGTAAGTATTTGTTGGATCAATGTAATTAAATATGGGGCCAGGAGTGGTGGCTCATGCCTGTAATCCTAGCACTTTGAAAGGCCAGGGTGGGAGGATTTCTTGAGCTCACCAGTTCAAGACCAGCCTATGCAACATGACAAGATCCCATCTCTACAAAAAAAAAAAAAAAAAAAAAAAATTAGCTGCGCATGGTGGCATCTGTGGTCCTAGCTTCTTGGGAAGCTGAGGTGGGAGGATCACTTAAGCCCGGAAGGCTGAGGCTGCAGTGAGCCATGATTGTGCCACCACACTCCAGCCTGGCTGACACAAAGAGAGCCTGTCTCAAAATAAATAAATTAATAAATGAATAAATAAATAAATAAATAAAATGTCATTAAATATGTGAACAATATTTACCTAACTCCTCTTACATGCAGTCAGAACTTGGTCCTATTGTGAAATTCTGTAGGAATATGGTGTTTATTCTCAAGGAGCTTAAAGGCCAGCCCAGGAGTTGACACATATAACAAAAAACAGAAGGAACAAGATAGAATCGAAGGTAATGAAAAAAAAAATGAAGCCAAAGACAAAAGAATGGGTTTAAACCTTCTAGAGGAGGAATTATCACTAAGTGGATGTTTTGAAGAAAGCAAGAAATACAAATAACGTGTGTGCTTAGATATTTCTTTGTTTATAATTTGACAGGAAGAAAGAAGGATAGAGGTTTATTGTTGCATAAAGCCTGGAAAAAAGCTGAAAGCAATACCTACAATGATTATTTCAGAGGTTTTATTTCGATGGACTCTAAAACAATCCAAATGTACCTTTGCAGAAGAGATTCGAATGAATGCATTCGAATGAATTTGTGACCAGTGGTAAAAGTTAATAAAAAATATATTTAAAAAATCCACACAAGGACTATGGGCTCAGATCTTAAAAAGTAAAGAATTTACTTGTCTCTCAAGATAAAAAACACTGACAACATGAGGCATTTTCTGAAGGCAAATGGATCGTGAAATAATTAGTGGAGAAGCATGAATATCAACTACAGCCTTTGATCAGTTGCAGAAATTAGGACTGTAGTAGCTACCTAATATCCTTTTGATAAATTCATTTTCCTGGTGAATAACAAATAATAAGCTGAAGCCAACTGAAAACATCAAATCAATGTAATCATAAAGAAACAAATTTTTAGATGGAAAAGACTTTCTTGGTGCTGAGTAGAATTTTATCATAAAATTGTATCATATGAATACAAAATAGAAAGTCTTAAACTTTCTAGAGGAAGAGACTAGAGAAAAGTCACCTTTAAAGGGATAAGGATCAGAATGACATCAGTTTTCTAATCAACACTATGAGAAGCACTATTCGAGAGCAAAAACAAAAACAAACAAAAAACATCAAAATAGTCTTCAAGTGACTTAGGGTAAATGATTATGAATATAGAATTCTATACCTGGGCAGAGTATCCATCAACTGTGAGGGCCATATGAAAACATTTTAAAACAATCAAGGACTCTATAAATTTACCTCCCAGCCAGGCACAGTGGTTCACGTCTGTAATCCCTGCATTTTGGGAGGCCAAGAAGGAAGGATTGCTTGAGCCCAGGAGTTCAAGACCAGCCTGGACAACAGAGTGAGTCCCTGTCTCTACAAAAAAATTTTTAAAAAATTAGCCAAGTGTGATGGCAGGCACCCACAGTCCCAGCTAATTTGGAGGCTAAGGTGGGAAGATCACATCAAGCCTGGGGGGTCGAGGCTGCAGTGAGCTGAGATTGTGCCACTGCACTCTAGCCTGGGTGACAGAGTGAGACACTGTCTCAAAAAAAAAAAAAATTACCTCCCACACATTATTTCTTAGGAAATTACTTAAGGATATATTCAGAAAAATAAAGGTAAAATTTGCAAATGAAAAATATTTTTATAGGAATAGGATAAATCAATTGGGCAAGAGGTTAATGAACCATAAGAAAATTTTAAGAAAAAAGAATGGATTTTAGAAAAAAAGAGAAAATAATCAAGGTTCCAGATAATCTTAGCAGCAAGGTGAGGAAAGCACAGTGTCTGATATCAACCAACAAGAAGAAAGCAATTAAAAACCCTAGAGAAAAAGAAAATTTAAAAGCTCATATAAGAAACCAAAATATGGAATTGAATGAAAGAAGACAAGAGCATTTCTTTGTGCTAGACGCTAGGAAAATTAGTGGGAGAGGGGTGGTGACATTAGACAGAGAAGGCGTATTCTTAGCATACTCTGCAGGCAACAGCACCTATCTAGGTATAATATTATGTCCAGGCAATATAAACCTAGACATAATAATGTAAATGCTATTTTCATTTTCAGCATTTACCTTCTAGAAGTAGCACACTGCCAAAAGAGGGAAAGCTTAATTTAGTGTGGTTTCTGAACAGAATAAAAATTTTAACTTTCTTAAAAATGTGGAAAATTTTGTAGCTGCCTGAAAATGGGAAGTGGAATGTAGCCTGAATGCAGCCTCCAAAATGACATGTTCATATGCGAATCCCCAGAACATGTGAATATTATCATTTGTGGCAAAATGTGTGATTAAATTAAGGGTTTTGAGAAAAGTTTACCTGGGTTATCTGGGTGAGCCCTAAATACAATCACATGTATCGTTCTAAAAGGAAAATACAGGAGATTAAGAAAGAAATGGAGCCAGTGTGACCACAGAGACTGAATTGATGCGGCCACAACCAAGGAACATCTGGAGCCACCAGAAGCTGGAAGACAAAAGAAATGGATTCTCCAGTGCGTCCTTCAGAGAGAGTGCAGCTCTGCTGACACCGTGATTTCAGGGGACTCCAGAACTGTTAGCGAATATATTTCTGTTGTTTTAAGCCATAATGTTTGTGGTAGTTTGTTACTGCAGCCATAGAAAACAAACACAAGTGGAGAAACTTATACTTTGAAGTAAATCAGACACAGATATCACATTTAATTAAGAAAATAAGATACATACACATCACATTGGAAGTGACAAAGGCACTATAACTATGGGTATGGAAGATACCTTAAAATAAGAAAATACTATTTTTAATGTTTATATAAATATGTTTAAAAATTGGAGTGAATAGATACATTTTTTAAAACTATATAGTCCCAAAATTTAGTTAAGAAAAGGGATGAAGAGACTAGTATCTATAAAAGAAATAAAAAAGATAGCCCAGTCACAGGTGCCTTTCAGAAAATTTCTTTTTTTTTTTTTTTGAGACGGAGTCTCGCTCTGTCGCCCAGGCTGGAGTGCAGTGGCGCGATCTCGGCTCACTGCAAGCTCCGCCTCCCGGGTTCACGCCATTCTCCTGCCTCAGCCTCCCGAGTAGCTGGGACTACAGGCGCCCGCTACCACGCCCGGCTAATTTTTTGTATTTTTAGTAGAGACGGGGTTTCACCGTGTTAGCCAGGATGGTCTCGATCTCCTGACCTCGTGATCCGCCCGCCTCGGCCTCCCAAAGTGCTGGGATTACAGGCGTGAGCCACCGCGCCCGGCCCAGAAAATTTCTTACAAAACATTAAACACAGGTGATGCCTGTATAACCTAAATCAATATATAAAAAAAAAAAACCATAGAAAATCTTCTAAGGGTCTAGCAAAACCATTCATGATTGATACATTCATTCTAATTATTTATATCAACCGTAAAATCTTAAATAAAACATTATTAAAGGGAATCTAGCAGTATAGCATGAGTCTAATATATCTCATCCAGATAAGTTAAATTAAAAAATGGTTCAACAGTAGATAATAATCATTAGATTAAGATATTTGAAAAAAATAAAAACTGGAAAACTGGTGAAAATATTTGATAAATTGAATAGCTATTCCAGATTCCAAATTAATATAAAGGAAAGATAAGAAGAAAACTTTCTTAGATTGATAAAGAGAATCTGAAAAATAAAACCAATATAATAGTAAAATATCACAGTTAAAATAAAGCAAAAGATAGACCCACTGTTGTCCAACATTGCACTAAGATTTAATAACAAAAAAAAAGAAAGAAAATAAAAGGACTGATATACTTTGGATGTGTGTCCTTGCCCAAATCTCAGGTTGAAATGATTGAATCATGGGGGTGGATTTCTCAGGAATGGTTTAGTACCATACTCTTGGTGCTGCCACTGCAATAATGAGTGAGTTCTTGTGAGATCTGGTCATTTAAAAACTGTGTGGCACCTCTGTATCAGTCAGGGTTCTCCAGAGGGACAGAACTAATAGAATTTATGTATATGTAAAAGGGAGTTATTTTTTTTCAACTTTTAAGTTCTGGATTACATATGCAGGATGTGCAGGTCTGTTACATAAGTAAACATGTGCCATGGTGGTTTGCTGCACAGATCAACCCGTCCCCTAGGTATTAAGCCCAGGATCCATTAGCTATTCTTTCTGATGCTCTCCCCTACATCCCTGACAGGCCCCAGTGTGTGTTGTTCCCCCACGTGTCCATGTGTTTTAACCACTCAGCTCCCACTTACAACTGAGAACACAGAGTGTTTGGTTTTCTGTTCTTGCGTTAGTCTGCTGAGGCTAATGGCTTCCAGTTCCATCCATGTCCCTGCAAAGCACATGACGTCATTCCTTTGTATGGCTGCATGGTATTCCAGTGATTACTTAAAAATCAAGAAACAACAGATGGCTGGCGAGAAAAGAGAAAAAGGAACGCTTTTCCACTGTTGGCGGGAGTGTAAATTAGTTCAACTATCGTGGAAGACAGTGAATCTTCTAGATTCAAAGATCTAGAAGCAGAAATACCATTTGACCCAGTAATTCCATTATTGGGTATATACCCAAAGGAATATAAATCATTCTGTTACAAAGATACATGCACGTGTATGTTTATTGCAGCAGTATTCACAATAACAAACTCATGAAATCAACCCAAATGCCCATTCATGATAGACTGGATAAGGAAAATGAAAGAGAGTTTATTAAGCAGTATTGACTCACACTATCACAAGGTGAAGTCCCACGATAGACCGTCTGCAAGCTGAGGAGCAAACTGAGCCAGTAGTGGCTCAGTCCAAGTCAAAAAGCCTCAAAAGTAGGGAAGCCAACAGTGCAGCTTTCACTCTATGGCCGGAGGCCCAAGAGCCCCAGGTAGACCACTGGTGTAAATCCAAGATTCCAAAAGTCCAAGATCCTGGAGTCTGATGTTTGAGGGCAGAAAGCATCCAGCATAGGAGTAAGATGAAAGCCAGAAGACTCAGCAAGCCAGCTTATTCAACCTTCTTCTGCCTGCTTTTTCTAGCCACACTGGCAGCCCATTGGATGGTGCCCGCTTACACTGAGGATGGGTCTTCTTCTCCCAGTCCAATGACTCAAATGTTAATCTCCTCTGGCAACACCATTACAGACATATCCAGAAATAATACTTGCATCCTTCAATTCAATCACGTTGACACTAAATGTTAACCATCACAACCTCCCTCCTCTCTCTTGCTCCTGCTTGTGCCATGTGATGTGCCTGCTCTCTCTTAACCTTCTGCCATGACTGTAAGTTCCCTGAGGCCTCCTCAGAAACTGAGCAGATGCTGCAATGCTTCTTGTACAGCCTGCAGAAGCAGAGCCAATTAAATGTCTTTTGTTTATACATTACCCAATCTCAGGTATTTCTCTATAGCAATGTGAGAATAGCCTAACACAATGACTATTTGAAACAATGAGACAAAACTCACATTATTTTCAGAAGATATAATAAGCTTGAAAAATTCAAGAGAATATATTTTAAAAATGGCGTTACTAAGAGTGCTCAGTAAGTTAACCAGATGAACACAATAAAATCTATGTAGAACATTAGAGTAAAACTGGCAGAAACATGCAGGAGATAGGCATAAATTTATTAATCTTTATCAAAGTAGATAAATGAAAATCTGAATGAATGGAGGAATTTATGCTTCCGAATTGGATGACTTGATATTATCAAATAGTTAATTTTCCCTAAATTAATGTCTGAATTAAATGATTTTTCAATCAAACTTTCAACTATTTATAGAACTTTACAACCTGATTCTGGTTAGCTGGCAGGAGTAACATACTTAAATAAGAATAAAGAATAATAATTTAAAATAATATAGAAGAAATTGCTTTACCAGATGTCTATCAAAATATACTATGAAGTCTAGTAATTAAAACAACATGGTACTAGCATAGGTATAGATATATAGATGTAGATCATTTGTATAAATGTTTAAAAATGTGAAGCAATTTTATGCTAAAGGCAGTATTTTGAATGTGTGGGAAAAGATAAAATATTTATTAAGTAGTGTTGAGACAGTGGCTATCTTTACTAAAAATAATAAAGAGGTTCCTACCTCACATTACACACACAAATAATTTGATTTATCAAAAATAGATGAAAATATTAAAATTTAAAATTATTAGATGAACTCTAAGAGAATGTTTGGTTTTATTTTTTAGGTAAGTCAAAGGTCCTGTTTGTGCAGAGACATAAAAAGCACACTTATGAACGCTTAAAGAAATGCAAATTGTTAATATTTTTTTGAAGATCTGTTACTTGACATCATCTTATCAGATAGAAAATGGGCACATCACTTTTCTCAGCAATTCTACTTTTATAAAGCTATTGGCTGGTGCAAAAGTGATTGTGATTTTTGCCATTATTTTCAATGGCAAAAACCGCAATCACTTTTGCCTCAGCCTAATACAAAACCATCTTACAGAAGTACTCACACACACAAAGATGCTACATGCCAGGGTACTCACTTCAGTATTGTTTTTAACATTGAAAAACTTAACTAAATGTGGGAACAGTTGAATAATTGTGACTCATTCATACCATGGAATCCTTATAAACATTTAAAGATATATCTTCTTTGGGAGAAGTAGCATAACTCCCCACCACTGAAGTGTGGGATGTACATTATGAATTCCTTCTTACAGTATGAAAAAGGGTGCCAAAAAAGTAACTTTACAGTAGAAAAACATGACAAATCAGATGATCAAGGTGAACATCATTAGTAACAAGTCACGTTAGTGGCATGTGCCCTTGCATAGTATAATGAGAATGAAACTCCACTTCTGTGGTATTCTTCCAAAACACCCATAACCTGTACCTAACTATGAGAAAAACATCAGAACAAACCAACAAACAAACTGAAGAGTATCCTACAAAATACCTAACCAGCGCTCCTCACAGTGTCAAAATCATCAGCAAACAAAGAAAGTATAAGAAAGGGTCACAATCTAGATGCTAGTAAGGAGACATGACAACTAAATGTCCTGTTGTATTTTGGTTGGGATTCTGGAGCAGAAAAGGGCATTAGTTTAAAAATAAGAGAATTAAGAAAATGTAATGTATGGACTTGAGTTTAATAATAATATGGATATTGGTTTATTCGTTGTGACAAATATACCACATAGTAATATAGGGCAATAACAATAGGGGAAGCTGGGTGAAGGGTATAGAAAAACCTTTCTGTACTAACCTTGCTACTTTTCCATAAATATAAAACTATACTATAATTGACAAAATTATTATTTTAAAATGGTGTACTTAAATATATAGGTTTATATGGTCTTACATAGAGTCTTTAAGATATTTAAGAAAAAGCGGTCAGGCACAGTGGCTCACACCTGTAATCCCAGCACTTTGGGAGGCTGAGGTGGGCGGATCATGAGGTCAGGAGATCCAGACTATCCTGGCAAACATGGTGAAACCCCATCTCTACTAAAAAAAAAATACAAAAATTAGCTGGGCGTGGTGGTGCGTGCCTGTAATCCCAGCTACTCAGGAGGCTGAGGCAGGAGAATCACTTGAACCCTGGAGGTGGAGGTTGCAGTGAGCCAAGATCACGCCACAGGACTCCAGTCTGGTGGCATAGTGAGACTCCGACTCAAATAAATAAATAAATAAATAAATAAATAAATAAAAGCAAGTCACAGAAAATTCATATACTATGATTTTACTTATAGTAAAACACCAAATTAGGAGATGCATATATGTGTGATAATTAAGAGGAAAAATAGTCTGTAAAAATATACACCAAACTACTGAGTTTGTGAAGTGCAGTGAAACAATGGATGATTGCCAAGATTTTCACCAAATTTACTACTCCTTGGATGCTGATATGGTTTGGCTGTGTCTCTACCCAAATCTCACCTTAAATTTTAGTTCCCACAATCCCCATGTGTCGTGGGAGGGACCTGGTAGGAGGTAATTGAATCATGGGGGCCTTTAGACCCATGCTGCTGTTCTCGTGATAGTGAATGAGTTCTCACGAGATCTGATGGTTTTATAAGGGGCTTTCCCACCTTTTGCTCGGCACTTCTCTTTGCTGCCACTATGTGAAGAAGGATGTGCTTCCCGGCACGAGTGCCCCGAAGGGTAGTTCCGGGAACTTGCTCCAAAAGTAGGCCTCCACTTTGGAGACAAAGCCACATCAGTTATTTGAACAGAGGAGAGTTAATATAAAGAATTGTTAATCAGGGAAAGGGAAGCATAAGTAGCATGTGTAAAGGGTCAGCTACTACCACTAGGCCGAATGAGAGTAGACAATGAAAGAACTAAGGTCTCAGAAGAACTACTCTCCCACCGACACACACACACACACTTCAGGCTGAGATTGAGACTTTTTGACATAACTGCACAGATCTCACATGATCACAGGAAAGACTGACAGCAATTTGATGCACAAAGTAAAGCTCTGCCAACCCTCCTCCTGTAGCTATTAATAAAACTACTTCATGAAAAATGAAAAGCCCGTGAGAAATGCTGAACCAAGTGGGACACCAGAATAACAGGTATAACTGGGACTGTTCCAGACAAACCAAGGTGTATGGTCATCTTACCGGTATGTTGTAGTCCAAGAGGATGAGGATTATGTTTCCTATTTAACATTCTTGTCTTCAGTATATTCAATCAGAATGTCCCCAAAAGGAATGGATACATTTAAAAGACAAACAGACCTTTCTAATTGCCATCCAACACCTTGTCATTTAATATTTCCAGGTAACACCCTTGGAATTAATGGGGAGAATGACAAGGCACTAACGAGGCACTAATGGAAGTTTCCCGGTGGTATTACATCAGAAACACTCATTTCCCTTCAAATACAAAATCTGGCAAACCAATTAATGTGATGCTTTCAAACTGAGGTCCCCGGGATTCTGTACATTCCAGAGTCAGCAAGTACTCCACAATATTTCCCTTTCATAGCATGCTTTCATTTTGGTAATGAGCTGAACATTTTAATATAAGCATGTTTTAGATTATCTACTTGGCCACTATATAGGGGAGTTCTCTTGAATTTAGGATCACGTAGATGCTAAGTGGTATTAATTTAATTGTATTGTAGTACGGTAGTGAAAAATAAGAGGCAAATCTGATGTAAATAATTTGTTAGCTCTATGGACTAGCCACATAATATCCAGGAAGACTTTGTCACAGTTTAAATAGAAATAAGTGGCAGGAGAACTTAAGAGACAAGAGATTTGGGCAAATTGAATATATGCATTAGTACAGTCACATTCAACACAATCAGCACCAAAGCAGTCAATATTGATTCCAGTTGAAATAGCAATTTAGCTTTAGCAAGACAGTATCACAAATCACAGACAAGGAGACTCCATGGAGCCATTTAGGCTGGCTACACATGGAGAATGACAACACCATTCCCTAAAGGTTCTCAACATCCAGACCTTGATTCTTATGGACACGTCCTCATCCTAATTAAAACCCTCTTCCCTCAGTGAACGCGTGAAACACTCTTTTTTTTTTCCAACTTTTTTTTACAATCATGGGGTACATGTACATGTTTGTTGCATGAGCAAATTGCATGTAGCTGAGATTTGGTGTACGAATGATCCCCCCACCCAGGTAGTGAGCATAGTACCCAATAGGTAGTTTTTCAACCCTTGCCCCACTCCAATTCTCCCCATTCTAGTAGTCCCCAGTGCCCAGTGTCTATTGCTGCTACCTTTTTTTTTTTTTTTTTTGGACAGAGTCTCACTCTGTCACACCGGCTGGAGTGCAATGGCACTATCTCAGCTCACTGCAACCTCTGCCTCCTGGGTTCAAGCCATTCTCCTGCCTCAGCCTCCTGAGTAGCTGGGATTACAGATGTATGCCACCATGCCCTGCTAATTTTTTTTTTATTTTTAGTAGAGACAGGTTTCACCATGTTGGTCAACCTGATCTTGAACTCCTGACTTCGTGATCTGCCCACCTCGGCCTCCCGAAGTGCTGGGATCACAGGCGTGAGCCACCGTGCCCGGCCTTATTGCTCCCATCTTTACATCCATGTGTACTCAATGTTTAGTTGCTACTTACAAATGACGTAATATGCATGCTTATTTTATCCCCAATTCTTTCTATTACTCAGGAAATGTGTGTGCTGAGCCAATTATCTCTATTTGATTCATTTGGCCAGTGCTTCATTGAGTAGTAAGTGCAGGGGACTTTGGGGATATTAAAGTTATTAGAAATATAAATAATAGCAAATCAGTAACTATATATTTCAAAACACCACTAAAGAATTGGGTATGCCATATTACTGTTTAAAGGATAACATGTATAATTCCCCAGATACATATGAGTTTCATTTAGTATAAAAATTAAGAGTAAAGTGAGGCCAGGCGCGGTGGCTCATGCCTGTAATCCCAGCACTTTTGGAAGCCGAGGCGGGCGGATCACGAGGTCAGGAGATCGACACCTCCTGGCTAACACGGTGAAACACCCTATCTACTAAAAATCCAAAAAAAAAAAAAAAAAAAAAAAAAATTAGCCGGGTGTGGTGGCGGGCACCTGTAGTCCCAGCTACTCAGGAGGCTGAGGCAGGAGAGTGGCGTGAACCCAGGAGGTAGAGCTTGCAGTGAGCCGAGATCGCGCCACTGCACTCCAGCCTGGGCGACAGAGCGAGACTCTGCCTCAAAAAAAAAAAAAAAAAAAGAGTAAAGTGAAAAAGAATTTTATTTCAGATTGGATTTACATCAGCAATGGTAGCTAATCTTCCATCAAATGTATAGAACACAACAAAAATTGGTGGATTTAAAATTTCAGCATAATTAAATCCTTTTAGATTTTTTTTTGAAATTACCTACACAAGAACCACTTAATTTCAAGGTAAGGGGTAACTAATGTGCATTAGTAATTAAAGATAGCTGGCAGAGGGAGTAGATGAGGTGTTTAGAGGAAGAATTTGTGGCTTAGTATTTTCAACCAAGCCAGGAAAGAAAACCCTCTGATTTAACCTCCAATGAAAATTTCTATTTTAATTATGATAATGATGTTATTTAAATTAGCTTCACGTCTATTAACATATATACACTCCCAGGATCTCTAGGCACAAATGCCAGTGACCTTCCCCATAACTTGAGATGCCTTTTGCCTTTCATTCAGAAAAGGGGAATCTTTCACAGCAGAGCAATAGCTTGAACAGATTGCTCAGTAGAGAGCATATTTCTAGGAAATAGTCAAACATGGGCACACGTTCCTGGAGTAGGTATATATTTATATACTGAATGAGTTTCAGAAATGCCAAGTTTCAGGCAGCAAAAGACATCCACTTTGTATTCAGAGAAAGAGGAGGACATTTAAAATAAAATAGATTTAGGAACTAATGTAATGCAAAACTTGAACATGTGCAGACTTTGTTACAGACCAGGTCCCCACTTCATGGTGTGTTTAATAAAAGATAAGGAAACTTTAAAGGTTGAGAAGTTTAAGTTCTCTGAAAATATAAATGATTCTTTGCTGCTTCTCTGAACCCCTGTGAACAATTTTACCTAAGAACATTTGACATTTTAGGAGAACCTACACATTACTTACTTCTGGAAAGCTTCTAGATTCTAAGTTAATATTATCCTATTCCATTTTAAAAAACATTTTTAGAAAAGAATTTGACCAAGAGCCTAGGGTTAAATCTAAATAATGAAAAATATCAAAGAATCCTTTCAATCTTAGTAAAGTTAAGTGACAAAGTCAACTGCCTTAAGTAAGCTGCTATGTTGCCTCCAGGTGCTTCCTCTACAAGGAGTTCCTCAGAGAGGCTAGGATATCGGTGGAAAAAAAAAGTCTGGCAAGGTAAGAGGAAGTTAAATATGATGAGACCACAAAGCAAATATGTTAACTCCTTGAATCTTATCAGCATTCAGGAAACAGTTTGTTCATTCAGTCAAAGGATCTCCCAAGATCCTCCATTACCTGAATTAGTGCGGTATTCAAGGCACTTTGCAATTTTTGCTGAAACGTAACTGTAGAGTCTTATTTTTCATCTCACCCCTTTAGACCCACCCACTCCTCAGCTTGTGCTGTGGTAGGACACAGTGTGTCAATTCACACACCTGTGATTTCTTTTCCCACTCTGTGGCCTCTTTCTGGCATTCCTGACCGGCCAGATAAAATTTGACCACCTTGATGAAACTCCCTGAATCTCAGGCGAAATTAATAACTTGGTTCTTTGTGCATGTTTGAACATAGCATTGGTTACATTTTCCTTTAACTATTTATATTTTTGTCTGACCTTCTCACCAGACAATGTAAAGGGCAAGGATATTATATTATTCACTTTTTAGTCTTCTAAATTAAGCACCATATCATCAGTGTTCTGTAGCATATCATTAGGTTATACATGAACAAATTCAAAATATGCTCAAAAAGCATTCTGCTAAACAAAGTTAAACAGGTTTATTTACTACAGGACTTCTTAGAATCTTCAATATGCTAATTTATATTAGTTTACACCTAATATGCTATGTAGCATATTACACTGGATTTCACAGTTATGTACTATGTAATCCCATTTAGGGGAAACCTCTTCTATTGAACATACTTTAGTAGTTGCCTTCTTAGCACATAATAGATATTCAAAAAATGTGTGTGAATTAAATCTATAAACCATTATTTTTGTACACTATAAGTGATTTAATTTATCATGGAGTTTGGATTTCTCTACAGAAATAGCACTGTCCAGTAGTTAACCTATTCACTTGGAAAATTACTGTTGCCCTTTCTGGGCAATGGAGTATTTGATAAATCACACAGCTTATCTTCATCCCTATTTCCCTATGTTTGGAGCAGGTAATAATCACTTTAATGGTGCTTAAGGATTGTTTTGAAGTACTCTATTTTGTTGAAGTGCAACTTGAAATAAAGATAGATGATTATTGACTAGAACCATTATAAAAAAATAACAGCTTGCTTTGGTATAGAGAAAAAGACTAAGTCTGTGTCATTTTGTCTGAGATATAATTGGTATTTTCAGCCATAATGAATAAGCCTTTCATTTTGGTTTAGTGGGAGTTCTTATATAGAGCAAACCATGTCCTTGGGGGGAAAAAAGTCTTCCTTACCCTAAATTATCTACCATAACTAATTCCTTCAAAGTCATTGGAAAAAAAATAGACATATTTTCTGACTTTGGTTTCTGGCTCAAGATCTCTCTAAGTTCCCTGAATATATTTAATTAAAACCTTCATATAAAAATCACATGAAACAGATTTTTGAAGCCCTGTAATCTGGGCTATTTGTAGGAGTCGTCACCTTGCTACAGACAGACTTCTCTTGGTGGAAAAATCCTCTTAACCAATCGTCAGCTAAAGGTCACTTGCGAGTGTGCAATGCTTAGTGTTTCTCCAGGCCCAGTTTTGCATTACTTCTTGTTTCACTGTAGGTTTTCCTCAACTTCCAAGCTAGCAATTAGCCTCATAATTCAAATATCTTTCAAATAAGAAAAAGCAAACCATTTTATTGAATAATTTCGTATTTTTCACTGTACTGCAAATTAAATACAATTTCTAACTACAAAGATTAGACTAAGTAGAACTATTTCACACAAAAGTAGCTTGTTGATGAGAATATCTGGCCCTGGGATATTTCAATTCTCCACCTGGAGGCTAAGCTTCCAAGTTGTTTGTCCGCTATCATGGCCTTTGTTCTTTACATTTCCTGGCAAATGGTATCCATGGAGAATAACTGTTGCAACAAAATAATATAATTCCATTGTGTTTGGTGAACGTTAGGGGAGGACATGTGAAACCAATATATTTCATCCACTTATGACGCAAAAATGGTTAAATTGGGATTGATTCAATAAATATTTACTGCAAGCTTTCTATGTGCTGGGCACTGCTTAGGCCCTGGGGATAAAGCAATGAGCCAGACACAGTTTCTGTCCTAATGAAACTTAACGTTCTACTCTTTTAGTTGAGCAAAATATGTGTGTTCTTCTTCTGTTTCTTCTCTATACCTAAGCATCCCTTTATAACTTTTTGGTTCCTTTTTTCCTAGTAAAGTTCTTCACTTTTTTATGTGCTTTGCATAAATTAAACTCTGGAATGAGAAAAATAGTAATGCTTAACTCAATGTAACTGAGCAGATTAAGGTGATAAGGTGAGAAATAAAATTATTTCACCTCATTTTCAATGGTTTACAGTTAATATGTATATACAGTAAGCTCATATGCTCAACCATGACCACTAAGGTAGATATAGTTTGTACCCAGTCTCCCAAGCACCCAGATATTTCTCCAGCAAAAGATGACCCTTTGTCACATATTCACTCAAAACTATCTCCGACGCTTGCTTTAACTGATTTCTCAGACATAAAAATATGCAGGAGACTGGGAGTTCATACATTTAAAAATTTTCTTCCAATAAATCCCTTTAGTATTGGCTCTGATCATTGCCATTGCATGATACAAATTGTGTTAAGGAAGATCTTAAAAGTTTGCAGAATTAGATTCAGAATTTTAGAGCTGGAAGACAAAACAAGGATCCATTGTCTTCCATCTCAGTTCTCTTTCCACACAGAGCCAAGGTATATCCTCTTTATTCCCAAGCGCACTTTCTCCAACATAGAGAACATCAATAAAAGCTAACAATACCGACTCCCTCTGTGAATCACTGCAGCCACAAATTACAATAAACCACTCAACCACTTACATTCGCAAAACTAGTAGTTTAAACATACATTTTTGTTTTTAAAATATGCGAAAGTTTCATTGCACAGAAAAATAATAAAATTAATGTTTCTACATCTGATGTTGATTTCTTCAATTCACTCATCAAATAAGCTGTTCAGGTATACAGAGTTATATCTTCAGATAAAACTTTAGAGTTATATTTTCAGATCTTCAGATCAATCAGAAGCATTCACTTTTTCTTCTCTTTTTAGAACCTCTCCCTGTTTTTCCAAGCTCTTCCCCTACTCTCCAAGGCCACCATAGGCTATAATTTTTCCTTCTCTTAAAATCTCATTCCTATTTCTCTTCACCAACCCCAGAAGTATCTGCCTAACCAATTATCCCACCCCAACTACTTGATCATGACAAATTAAGTCTTTGATCTATCTGCCTCTGTGTTTGCTAGGAAATGTATCACACTTCTATTAAAAAGTATAATTAGACTTGTTCTGGTCAAAATAAAACATTCCCTAACAATTAGTGAGAGGAATCTAGGGAACTTCCATAAATGACTAACCAGGAAGGCAAGTATTAAGTTGAGAGGAAGTGTGTGTGTGCACATTTGTGTGTGTGTGCATGTGTGTGTGTGTGAAAACTTTTAGCACCCTACAAGTCACTAAACGTTTTACTATAGATATCTGGAAAGACAGATGGACTTTGAAAAATCTATAAATGTGCCACTTAACTCTAATGACAATACCGTGCCACTGCAAATTTTCCTAAGACCTGTCTCTAAGTCAACAAAGGCAGCTGTGAAAGAAGTTTCTAAATTTTGGATTGAAGATGTGCCAGAGGAAGGACGGATGGGAGGGGTGCTGAATGTTGATTATTCCTGCATTATCAATTCTTACTATGCTACAGCTGTCACAAATTGGGTTCTTTGGAAACAGATGCTGAGACATAGTTTGTGGCATGCGATATTTTATTATAAATGTCCGTGAAGGGAAGGTGAAAAACTAACATCTGGTAGGAAGAAAAAATGAACTGTACTAACCATAACGCAGGCCCAACAAAGCCTCTTCCAAATACATGGAGAGCTCTGGTGAAGTAGAGTTGATCCTTGAGTAACTCAGGACATAGCGATGCTGACTCTCTGTGCAGTCACATATGTGCATATATTAATAGCTTTTGATTCCCCCAAAACTTAACTAATAGCCTACTATTGACCGGAAGCCTTACTGATAATATTAAAATCAATTAACACATATTTTGTACATTGTACGTATTATATACTTACTGTATTTTTATAACAAGGTAAGCTAAAGAAAAGAAAATGTTATTAAGAAAATCATAACAAAAAATATTTACTATTTATTAAGTGAAAGTGAATTATCATAATGGTCTTCATCCTGGTCATATTCACATGGAGTTGGCTGAGGAGGAGAGATAAGGAGGAGGAGGTGGTCTTGCTGTCTTGGGGTGGCAAAGGTGGCAGAGATGCAGAAGATGGAAGGGGAAACAGGAGAGACAAGTTACTCGATGTAACTTCTAGAAACACTTGGTAATTTCTAACATTTTTTGCTTTTTCATTTCTTTAAATATGTTTCTATACAGTACCAATTTTTCTTCCACCATTTGCCGTAGTTTCAGTGCTTGCGTCTTAGATGGGTTCACGTCATAAATGAAGGCAAAACCAGCCTTGAGGCCAGGCACGGTGGCTCACGCCTGTAATCCCAGCACTTTGGGAGGCCGGGGCGTGGGGTGGGGGGTGGATCAAAAGGTCAGGAGTTTGAGACCATCCTGCCTAACACAGTGAAACCATGTCTCTACTAAAAATACAAAAAAATTAGCCAGGCGTGGTGGCGGATGCCTGTAGTCCCAGCTACTCGGGAGGCTGAGGCAAGAGAATGGCATGAACCCAGGAGGCAGAGCTTGCAGTGGGCTGAGATCCCGCCACTGCACTCCAGCCTGGGTGACAGAGCGAGACTCCGTCTCAAACAAACAAACAAACAAAAACAAAAAAAACCAGCCTCGAATAATTGGAACCCTTCTACCAGACTGTCTCCTGTCAATTTGTTTTCTGGCACTGCTTCTTCTAAACCTTATTTCTCATTGCCTGCAACTCATTTCCATCAAGTCATCTTCTGTTAATTCCTCTGATGTAGTATCTATTAGTTCTTAAATTTCTCCAAGATACCTATCTTGAAATCTTTCACTCCCAAACTTTTTTTTCTTTTTTTTTTTTTTTTTTTTTTTTGCCATTTTCACCATCTCTTTCATGATTTCCTTGATTGGCTCAATTGTAGATTCTGTGAAATCATGCACAACATATGAACACAGTTTTCTCCAACAGGAGTGTATTGTTTGGGGCTTGATGGTTTTCACAGCTTTTTCTCTAACAACCTTGATAAATTCAATGGTGTAATCCTTCCAGATTTTTATGATGTTCTCTCTACCAAGGTCCCCTCCAATGTGTTGAAGACATAGAAGATCATGTGTAATGAGCCTTCAAGGTCCTTATGACCCCCTGATCTAGAAGCTGAATTGGAGGTATTGTGTTTGGGGGAAAGCACACCACTTCAATGCCTTTAATGTTGAACTCTTCAGATTCTAGGGGTCCAGGGGCATTGTCTAATACCAAAAAGGAATGTAAAGGGCAGTCCCTTGCTGGCCAATAACTTTTTGACTTCAGGAAGAAAGCACTGATGGAACAAATCCAGAAAAAGGGTTCTTCTGGTCCAGGCCTTCTTGTTATGCAACCAAATACTGGCAGCTGTTATTTAACTTTTCCCTTTACTGCTCAGGGGTTACTAGCTTTGTAGGTAAGGGCAGTCCTGATCATAAACCCAATTGCATTTGCACAAAACAGGAGAGTTAGCCTATCCCTTCCTGCCTTAAATCCTGGAGCTCACTTCTTTTCCTTATTAATAAATGACCTCTGTGGCTTTTTTTTTTTTTTCCAGAATAGAGCATTTTCAAGCTACATTAAAAACCTGTTCAGGCAGATATCCTTTCTCCTGGATTATTTTCTTAATGGTATCTGGAAATTCATCTGCTGCCTCTTGGTCAGCAGAAGCTGCTTCTCCTGTTATCTTGATATTTTTTAAGCCCAATCTCTTTCTAAAATTATCGAACCATCCTTACCTGGTGTTAAATTCTCCAGCTTTAGATCCTTTTAAGTTGTCATGTAACGACATCACTTTTTCTCAAATTATATTAGAATCTATAGGTATACCTTTCTTATAACAATCCTTCACCCACATAAAAGCTGCATTTTCAATGCAAGAACAAAAGGTATTTCACAAAAAGTGCAAGGTATTTTGTCTGCTGGCATAGCTGTAACACTGGCTTCATCAATTTTCTTTTCTTTTTTTTTAAGAGGTCCTTACACTGGATTCATTTATCTTGAAATGGGGGGCAAACTGCAGCTGCCGATCTCAATCTACAGCACATAGGAAGCAATCAACCTTTTCTTGTAATGTTATGACTTATCTCTGTTTCTTGAGAGCACTTCCAGCATCACTAGTGGCAATTTGTATGGATTCTATGGTATTACTTAAAGTGTACAATATTGCATTAAACATGTTGAAAAATGTGCCAGAACTGTGAGAGATCACTTTTCACTGTGATATACAATTTGAGAGATGAACTGCTGATGAGGTGATGATTAGCATCACATGTTTTAAGCAGATACTATCAACACTTAGGATCACTGTAATAGCAATAGGAGGTGGCTCCAAAATTGTTACAGCAGTACAGTATATGCTACAATTCATTTTATGTGGTTATAATGTAATACTGCATTTTCATGTTTGTTTCTATTTCTGGGTACAGCAAATGTCACCATGTATGATCTAAAAGTGCTTGTGTGTGAGTTTTGACAAATTTTAACTTTTGTAATAGATATTTGTATATTTTATGACAGTAAGTTATAAAATAAACTAGTATCTACATCTATTTTCTACATTCATGACATACCTATTTTTTCTTCATGATTTCAATAGTTCTAGGCTATGTGGTTTGTCTGTTAGTTTTTCAAATTGTTGCAAAAAATTTTCTAATATATGTTTTGAAAAAAGTCTGCATACAAGTGGAGCTGCAGTCCCATATTATTCAAAGGTGTACTGTATTGTGCTTTAGTGTGTCCATGTTGGGCTGAAATGTCCCACCATATTCCCCTCTTGCCCAGTCGTCAGATTCAGGCATCCCAGGGAAGAATGTGGCCTGGTGTGGGTGGGAGGGGGAGCAGGGGAAGTGGGAGGGTGGCTCTCTGCAGCAGAGGCAGGTTCTAAAACATCTGACATATGGAGGCTGTCTGCTGACCACAGCTGGGCAGCAATTCCTTCCCTGAAGGGGAATCTGAGAGGTACATCTTCATGTCTTTCACAATAGCTAAGAGAAATTGGGTACAATTCTAGACCTTATATATAAATAATTTGAAATCAAGAATGTGTCGCCAAGCTCATCAACACAACAGGACCATTGATCACTCTCTTCTTCTTATTATTATTATACTTTAAGTTCTGGGGTACATGTGCAAAATGTGCAGTTTTATTACATAGATATATACGTGCCATGGTGGTATGCTGCACCCATCAACCCATCACCTACTTTAGGTATTTCTCCTAATGCTATCCCTCCCCTAGCTCCCCACCTCTGACAGGTCCAGGTGTGTAATGTTCCCCTCCCTTTGTCCATGTGTTCTCATTGTTCAGCTCCCACTTATGAGTGAGAACATGCTGTGTTTGGTTTTCTGTTCTTGTGATAGTTTGCTGAGAATGATAGTTTCCAGCTTCATCCATGTCCCCGCAAAGGACATGAACTAATCCTTTTTTATGGCTGCATAGTATTTCATGGTGTATATGTGCCACATTTTTTTTAATCCAGTCTATCATTGATGGACATTTGGGTTGGTTCCAAGTCTTTGCTATTGTGAATAGTGCTACAATAAACATGTGCATGTGTCTTCATAGTAGAATGATTTATAATGCTTTGTACATATCCAGTAATGGGATTGTTGGGTCAAATGGCATTTCTAGTTCTAGATCCTTGAGGAATCACCACACTGTCTTCCACAATGGTTGAACTAATTTACACTCCTTTATGAAGGACCTCTTTCCTGCAGAACCAGCTAAAAGTATATAAACCCAATTCTGGATATGATCCAAGGGACCATGATATCTCCCCAGTACATCCCTAAAACTTGCAGCTTCTAGATATATATGCAATAGCTTTGCTGTGGGAGCACATCAGGCTGACATTATCCTAATAGTTCTCTTGACTATTGTCTATATGTGAAGAAAGCAGTCTTTCTATATGATTTCTATCCATTTATGCAATCACTCATTGATTCATCTATTAACTAATCATTCTTCCCTTTGCCTACTTGGAGTGCATGTGAGGAATCTGAAACTAAAAAAATTCTTGAGAGGTCAGTCTCCTTGTTCTATAGATACCAGAACTAAAAATCATGCTAATTTATCCAAGGTTTTACATCTAATCATTGTCTAAATTATTACCAGAAGTCTTTGTGTTTTGACTCTTAATTCATGTTACCAGAGCTAATTCCTGCCAGACTCTAAAACACTACCAAACTATATAATACCCTAAATTGAAAATGAAATCAAACTAACTTCATTCAATGTTACCTTCCAAAAATGTTTCTATCATATGCAGTTTAAACTCAAGCCATAATTTATATTCCTGTTAAATTATTTGCTATAATAGAACAAACACATTTAAACACACACACACATTAAACATAACGGCCTTGTTCAGTGTGTATAATATACTAGTTAAATGCATTATTTAATCAATTTCCTCCATTTACTATGACCTTTTCCAAACAAATATTCCAAAATGCATTATGTCATACCTTCAACCATCTTGACTATTACTGCAGATTGCCATGGCTGAATTGCTTGACAGTGACTTGGATAAATGTGATAGTAACTGAACTGATAGTGTTGGCTACTTACCAATCTATTTCTTTGAAATAAACAGTTCCATGTATGGTAGGAAGATTAGTATAGTGACAATGTAGAGGATGTACTAAATATGGAAAAGACAGGGAAGTGAAGATAGAGTAGAAAAACTAGACTGGGTGTTAAAAATGAGTGGCTTACCCTTTGAAGTGAGTTCAGAGGCAAAAGTACAGGTTTTCTATATGATTCTATGTGGATTCTATATGTCCTGAGAGGTTAACTGGATTAAACGGCCTAAGAAGAAAGATGTGACTAACCCTAGTTTTACTTATTCAAATATTTAAAATACATACGAAAATATCAGCACTACTTAATAATGGTTATCATTTATTGAATGTTCTCTATATGCAAGAAATTGCACAAGATTACACAAGTATATATAATAGTATATTTAATGCATATTTATATGTATGTATTAATATATAAAAGCATATGTTAATAAAGTTTTAACAAATAATCATTATTCTAATTTTACATATGAAGGATAGGATCTGAGATTTTAATAATTTGTGATCACAAAACTAATAAGCGGCAGAGCCAGGATATAAGTCCAGGTATGACTGGCCTAAAAGTTTTCATTTTGTTTTCTATGATTATGCTTTGGGAATATCACTCATATCTGAATGATTGTCTGAATTTGATATGTTGTTTTGCCTCAGGTAGCAAATTATTCAAAGTATAGTTGTCAAAGAAGCTCAGGTTTTTTAATGCTCTGAGTACTCAGCTCATAGCCTCATAGCTTTTCCTGACATAGAACAGATCAAATATATATATATTTACTTATTTATTTGATTTATTATATATTTATTTATTTAATCATATATATATATATATATATATATATATATATATAGAGAGAGAGAGAGAGAGAGAGAGAGAGAGAGAGAGAGAGATGGAATCACACTCTATCACCCAGGCTGGAGTACAGTGGTGTAATCTCGGCTCACTGCAACCTCCGCATCCTGGGTTTGAGTGATTCTTGTGCCTCAGCCTCCTGAGTAGCTGGGATTACAGGCATGCACCACCACGCCTGTCTAATTTTTGTATTTTGAGTAGAGACGAAGTTTCACCATGTTGGCCAGGCTGTCTCGAACTCCTGACCTCAAGTGATCCACCCGCCTTGGCTTCCCAAAGTGCTGGGATTACAAGCGTGAGCCACTGTGCCCGGCCAAATATTTTGAAAAGCAATAATAACTGAACTTGGAAAAATAAATCTTATAAGGATAGTTCTATTCCATGACCATTTTAAAAAATAAAGTGTCTTACATTAATTTGTTAAGAGTCACATACATTCCAATGTCAGAAATAGGAGGCGGTGTTTTATATGGACAATGTGGGAGTTACTTCGATTGATTGTGTTTTTAGTACCTCAAAGATTAAAATCTCACTGTATAGATAAGATATGAACATGTGAAAAGTTCACTATCTAAATAATAATTCAAAATAGCAATAAAGAACCTAGAATATATGCTGTATTCAGGTATGGGTGATGTTGGTGTGAGGGATGGGCAGAGAGAGAGTAAAAAGGAAAAATATGAATATAAAATGAAAGCATGATAAATCACTTTAAGAATTTTAAGAAAAATGTAAAGGTGCAGGTAAACTTTTGATAGGCAAGAGAGAGGGCTAGAAAGTTGCACTGAGGCCAGCATTTAGAGGCTATTCAACATGAGGTTAAGAACTTTGGCTTTTATCCTCTAAAACCTAGAAGACATTAAATATGTCTAAGTAGGGGTTGAAATTATCAAACAAATATGATAGGAAGATTAGTTTGGTGACAATGTGGAGGATGGGCTGAATATGAAAAAGACAAGAAATTGAAGGCAGAGCGGAAACACTAGGTTGAGAAGTACTAGAAATGAGTGGCTGGCTCTTTGAAGTGAGTTCAGGGACAAAGGTACGGGTTTTGTAACTCTCACAGATACATTGGTTTATCTAAATAGTAATATTTTGAAATGCAAATTACTAATGCCTTCTATTATTCGTTCTTCAGCAAAGATATTTGACAATGTCTGGGACATTCTGGTGTGTTATATTTATGTTACATATTTTGTTCATGTGTGTTATATATTTTATTCATGTCCTTTGCCCACAGTTTAGAGGGGTTGTTTTTTTCTTGTAAATTTGTTTAAGCTCCTTATAGATGCTGAATATTAGGCCTTTGTCAAAGCCTAGTTTGCAGAAATGTTCTCTCATTCTGTATGTTGTCTTTTTACTCTGTTGATCATTTCTTTTGCTGTGTAGAAGCTCTTTAGCTTAATTAGATCCTATTTGTCATTTTTTTTTTGCTTTTGTTGCGATTGCTTTTGAAGTCTTTATCATGAAACCTTTGCCCATTCCTAGGTCCAGAATGGTATTGCCTAGGTTGTCTTCCAGATTTTTTATAGTTTGGGGTTTTACATTTAAGTCTTTAATCCACCTTGAGTTACTTTTTGTATACGGTGTATCAAAGGTGTCCAGTTTCAATCTTCTGCATACGGCTAGCCAGTTATCCCAGCACCGTTTATTAAATAGGCAATCCTTTCTCCATTTCTTATTTTGGTCAGCTTTGTCAAAGACAAGATAGTTGTAAATGTGTGGTCTTATTTCTGGGTTCTCTATTCTGTTCCATGATCTATGTGTCTCTTCTTGTACCAGTACCATGCTGGTTTGGTTACTGTAGCCCTTTAGTATAGTTTGAAGTTGGGTACCATGATGCCTCCAGCTTTGTTCTTTTTGCTTAGAATTGCCATAGTTATTCGGGCCCTTTTTGGTTCCTTATGGATTTTGAAATAGTTATTTCTAGTTATGGGAAGTATGTTATTGGAGTTTAATAGGAAAAGCATTGAATCTAAAAATTGCTTTGGACAGCATGGCCATTTTAACAATATTGATTCTTCCTATCCATGAGCACGGATAGTTTTCCATTTGTTGTGTTATCTCTGATTTCTTTGAGCAGTGATTTGTAGTTCTCTTTGCAGAAATCTTTCACCGTTTGGTAAGCTGTATTCCTAGATATGCAAATTTTTGTGGCAATTGTGAATGGAATTGCATTCCTGATTTGGCTCTTCGCTTGACTGATGTTGGTGTATAGGAGTGATAGTGATTTTTGCATACTGATTTTGTATCCTAAGACTGCTGAGGTTGCTTATCAGCTGAAGGAGCTTTTGGGCCAAGACTATGGGGTTTTCTAGATATACAATCATGTCACAAACAGGGATAGTTTGACTTCCTCTTTTCCTATTTGGATGCCCTTTATTTCTTTCTCTTGCCTGATTGCCTTGGTCAGGACTTCTAATACTATTTTGAATAGAAGTGGTGAGAGGGGGTATCCTTGTCTTATGTTGGTTTTCAAGGGGAAAGCATCCAGCATTTACCCATTCAGTATAATGTTGGTTATGAGTTTGTCATAGATGACTCTTATTATTTTGGAGTATGTTCCTTCAATATCTAGTTTATTGAGAGTTTTTAATATGAATGGATGTTGAATTTTATCAAAAGCCTTTTCTGCATCTATTGAGATAATCATGTGGTTTCTGTCTCTAGTTCTGTTTATGTGATAAACCGCACTTGTTGATTTGCATATGTTGAACCAACCTTGCATCCCAGGGATAAAGCCTGCTTGATTGTGATGGATAAGCATTTTGATATGCTGCTGGATTCAGTTTGCCAGTATTTGTTGAGGATTTTTGCATTGATGTTTCTCAAGGATATTGGCCTGAAGTTTTCTTTTATTGTTGTGTCTCTGCTGGATTTTTATATCAGGATAATGCTGACCTCATAGCATGAGTTAGGGAGGAGTCCCTCCTCCTCAATATTTTGGAATAGTTTCATCAGGAATGGTACCAGCTCTTCACTGTACATCTGGTAGATTTCGGCTGTGAAACTGCCTGGTCCTGGGCTTTTTTTCGTTGGTAGGCTTATTTATTGCTGACTCAATTTCAGAGCTCATATGGGTCTGTTCAGAGACTTTATTTCTTCCTGATTCAGTCTTGGGAGGGTATATGTGTCCAGGAGTTTATCCGTTTCTTCTAGATTTTCTAATTTATGTGTACAGAGGTGTTCATAATATTTTTTGATGATTATTTGTATTTATGTGAGGTTAGTGGTAATATCCCCATTGTCGTTTCTGATTGTGTTTATTTGGATCTTCTCTCTTTTCTTCTTTATTAGTCTAGCTAGTGGCATTTCTATTTTTATTAATTTTTTTCAAGAAACCAACTCCTGGACTCATTCATCTTTTGAATGTTTTTTCGTGTCTCTATCTCCTTCCGTTCAGCTCTGATTTGGTTATTTCTTGCCTTCTGCTAGCTTTGAGGTTGGTTTTCTCTTGTTTCTCTAGTTCTTTCAGTTCTGATGTTAGGTTGTTAAGTTGAGCTCTTTTTAACTTTTTTATATGGGCACTTAGTGATATAAATTTCCCTCTTAACACTGCCTTAGCTGTGCCCCAGAGATTCTGATATGTTGTATTTGTTCTCACTGGTTTCAAATAACTTCTTGATTTCTGCCTTAGTTTCATTATTTATCCAATATTTGTTCAGAAGCAGGTTATTTAATTTCCATGTAATTGTATGGTTTTCAGTGAATTTCTTAGTCTTAATATCTAATTTTCTTGTGTTATGGCTTGAGAGATTATTTATAATTTTAGTTTTTTGCATTTGCTGAGGAGAGTTTTGTTTCCAATTATCTGATTTATTTTAGAGTATGTGCCATGTCATGGTAAGAAGGGCGTATATTCTATTGGTTTGGGGTGATGAGTTCTGTAGATGTCCATCAAATCCATTTGATCCAGGTCCTCAATATCTGAGTTCAGGTCCTCAATATCTTTATTAATTTTATGTCTCGATGATCTAATATTTTTAGGAGGTGTTAAGGTACCCCACTATTATTGTGTGGGAGCCTAAGTCTCTTTGAAGGTCTCTTAAGAACTTGCTTTATGAATCTGGGTGCTCTTGTGTTGGGTGCATATATTTATGACAGTTAGGTCTTCCTGTTGAATTGAACCCTTTACTATTATGTAATGCTCTTTTTCCTTTTTTTGATTTTTGTTAGTTTAAAGTCTGTTTTGGTTGAAACTAGTATTGTAATTCCTGATTTTTTCTGTTTTCCATTTTCTTGGTAGATTTTTTTCTCCATCCCTTTATTATGAGCGTGTGTGTCATTTGATGTGTGATGGATCTCTTGAAGACAGCACACCAATGGGTCTTGGTTGTGCCTTATAATTGGGGCATTTAGCCCATTTACATTCAAGGTTAGTATTGACTTGTGTGGATTTGATCTTGTTATCATGATGTTGGCTGGCTATTTTTCAGACTTGTTTGTGTGATCACCTCATAGCGTCACTGGACTGTGTACTTCCATGTGTTTTTGTAGTGGCTAGTAACGGTCTTTCCTTTCCATATTTAGTGCTTTTTTCAGGAGCTCTTATAAGGCAGATCTGGTTATAACAAATTCCTTCAGCAATTGCTTATCTTCAAAGAATCGTATTTCTCCTTTGCTTATGAAGCTTAGTTTGGCTGAATATGAAATTCTGGGTTGGACATTCTTTTCTTTAACGATGTTGAATACTGGCTCCCAGTCTCTTCTTGCTTGTAGAGCTTCTGCTGAAAGAACTGCTGTTAGTCTGATGGTCTTCCCTTTATGGGTGGCCTGACCTTTCTCTCTAGCCATCTTTACATTTTTTCTTTCATTTTAACCTTGGAGAATCTGATGATTACGTGTCTTGGGGATGAGCTTGTGAAGTATTTTGCTGGGGTTCTCTGCATTTCCTGAATTTGAATATTGGCCTCTCTAGCTAGGTTGGAAAAATTCTCATGGATGATATCCTGAAATATGTTTTCCAAGTTCGTTCCATTCTCATCTCTTTCAGGGACAACAATGAATTGTAGATTTGGTCTCTTTATATAATCCCATATTTTTGGGAGGTTTTATTCACTCTGTTTCATTGTTTATTCTCTATTCATGTCTGACTTATTTCAGAAAGCCAGTCTCTAATCCCTGAGAGTCTTTTCTCTGCTTTGTTTTCTGCTATCAACACTTGAATTGCATTATGAAATTCCTGTAGTATGTTTTTCAGCTCTATCAGGTCGGTTATATTCTTTTCTATACTGGCTATTTTGTCTGTCAGCTCCTGCCTTGTTTTATCATGATTCTTAGCTTCCTTGGATTGAGTTTCAATGTACTCCTATAGCTCAGTGATCTTTATACCTACCCATATTCTGAATTCTATTTCTGTCATTTCAAGCATCTCAGCCTAGTTTAGAACCCTTGCTGGAGAGGTGATGCAGTCATCTGGAGGAAAGAAGGCACCCTGTATTTTCAACTTGTCAACATTCTTACACTGTTTCTTTCTCATGTTTTGGGCTTATCTTCTTTAATCTTCAAGGTTGCTGACTTTTGGATTTCTTTTTTTATTTTTTTTTTCAAATAGATTTTGGGGGAACAAGTGGTATTTGGTTACATAAGTGGTGATTTGTGAGATTTTGGTGCACCCATCACCCGAGTAGTATACACTGAACCCAATTTATCCTATTTGATGACCTCAAGGGTTTGATTGTGTTATAAGGTGGATTCAGCCAACTGGGTTTGTTTCTGTGAGATTTTTGGGAGTCAACATTCAGTTCCCAGCTCCTGGACTGCATGCTCTGACTCTGGGAGACTCGTATTGGGCCCCAGCTTTGTCCTCTGGCTTCTCAAGGTTAGGAATCTGCTGCACCAGGGGTAAGGGGCTGAGGTGCTCCTGGGCCACTGGTCACTACTCTCCAATAGGTGGTGTCAGCCAAAGTGTTTCATTGTGTGGTGACAGCAGAATTCATCCTCATTCGCATGTGCCTGCAGCAGCTATAGTAACACCACAGTGGGGTGCATACTCATCAGCTGCAGCAGAGTGCTAGCAGGTGCCAGCCTGCCTGCCTCCCTGTGGGCAATCACCACAGTGGCAGAGGAAATGGAGCTGGGTAGGTGGGGGCCCAGCTGGTTACTGTGTGTGCAATCATGCTGGTGGTGGCATTGGCTCCAGAATGAGGCACTAGTGGGCACAGGTCTGTGAGCCTTCTCTGTGTGCCACAAGCAGGAGTGGTCACTCAGGTTCTCTGCCCCTAGTTTCACTCCCACGGCAGTGTTAGCACAAAGCAGGGTACTGGTGGGGACAGGGCTGGCTAGCTTTGTGTCCACCAAGGCTCTGTCTGCAATGGTAGTTGCCAATAGGCAGGGGAGCAGACTGCATTCCCATTGCAGCAGTGGCAGGGCAGGGTGCATGCACATTCATGCAGGAGGGACAATGAAAGCAGAACCTGCCCATGCAGACATGTGACAGCAAAGCAATGTGGGTAGTTCTAGTGAGCCTGGTGGGAAACTGCAGTGTGGGGAGGGAGCATGTGGTCTGGTGAGTGGCAGTGGGGGGCCATCTCGCTGGAGCTCTCTGCCTGTCAGGCATAGTCTGCCAGCACAGAAGCTGTGATGGGGGCCCCCAGGGCATGTGAGGCTGCCCTACAAAGAGGCATGGCCACGCTGGGGCCCCAGGAGAGGCCAGCAGACCAAGGGGTGCCCAGGCTGGATGAGCCCTGCCTGATGGGCATGATTGCCCTGAAGAGTTCAGGACCAACAGTTCCCCTAGGGTTAAAGTCTCTTGTGGAAGCAAGTTGAATCTAGGGGGATGTCCAACCTTGGTTATGTTCCACTACAGATGTTCCCACACCAAACCCTCTGGGCTCTATGTCAGCTGGCTTGCTGCTTCTACCACTTCTCTGAGCAGCTCTCTCTGCCAATTTGAGTGTTGGTGGTGGTCGTGGGGTCTTCTCCTGCTTCGGTTCCAGGGTAAGAGCAGGTTGCACTTTGCCAGTCTAACTCATCCATTCCCCTGGAGCCACTGGGGGCCAGGAATGAGTCCAGGTGTGTAGTAGCCCCATGTAGGGTTCCTAGCTTTTCCCCCCTTCAGCCCAGCTTCTGTGTCTTCCCTCTGAAGATCTGTTAGGAGTACACCAGTCATCTCAGTCCTAGGTGACAGCTGTTCCACCTGGCCATATCTCATCAGCCCTATTATTTCATTAAATAAATTTTTCTATGCCTTTTGCCATCTCTTCTCTTTTTTGAACTCCCATAATATGAACAGTTGTTTGCCTTCTGTTATCTCGTACATCTTGTAGGCTTTCTTCACTCTTATTTTGTATTTCATTCATTGAATTCCTCAATTGCAGATTTCTGTTTGGTTCTTTTTTTATATCTACCTCTTTGTTAAATTTCCCATTAATATCATAAATTGTTTTTCTGGTTTTGTTGACTTGCCTATCTGTATATTTTTGTATCTCATTGAGTTTTCTTAAGATCAATATTTTGAACTTATTTTCCAGAAATTCGTAGGTTTCTTTTTCATTGGTGCCTGCTGTTAGAGAGTTATGGTGTTTCTTTGGTATAGTATTTCCTTGCTTCTTCATGTTGTGTCCTGGCATAAGCATGACTAGACCTTTTCCTTCTGTGTTTTCATGAAGTAAGCACGTCTTTTTGTCTTTCTAATTTACTTCCTATTTTACTTCGATGTCCATGCATCTGGTGGCATAATCACCTCTTACAAACTTTCTAGAGTGGTTTATGTAGAAAAAGACTTTCACCTGCATTTGGGTCTTAGTGTGCCAAGTGGGAAAAGCGTGGTGACTCTTACCAGGTAGATTCAGTTGTGTAGTCTCCATGCAGCATCTTGAGCTACATTCAACAGCAATAATAATTGTGGGTGCCTCAGAGGTCTATGCTTTAGAAGTTTGTGGCAGTCGTGATGCTGGTGTAGGTTGTTAAAGTCCTCAGTGGCAAGACTTTTCAGTCTTTCTATTCTCATTTTCCTCACAATGGGGTGACTTTGCTGAGACGATCTCTACTGGTGTGTGTGAGGTTTCACACAGCCTACAAGCAGCTGCAGTGGCACTGGATTCTAGACACTGGTGCTCAGAATGGTTGTGGGGCCAGGATCCCAGGCTTAGGATCTTGCAAACCTGTTGTGGCACCTGTGTCTTGTGGTACAGGTTTGTTTTCTGTGGCAGAGTTAAATGTTGATTGCCTACAGAGCCAAGATCTGTAACTCTCTCTGAGGTACCTCTAGAATCTTGGGCCCAGAGGGCCAGTTTATAGCTGTGATCTTACCCTTGTGGATCAGGGCACAGCACTGGCCCAACTCTGGAGAAGAAAGGGTGCTCTGGAAATTTGGGCTTGGGAGCATGATATGGCTGCAATTTGGAAACCTCAGCCAACAGGATTCAATGGCAACTTGGGTACCCGAGAATGAGGTACCATTTAATGACTCTGGACCTTGGGATGGTGGGGTTCTGTGAGGCTAGGTGCAGGAGCAACAAGTACACTAGAATGGCAGAGCACAGCTGTTGTTTGGGCCTGAGTAAGGCAAGGAGCAGCACAGTGATTACCCCACTCCCCACAGAGAGGAGTGTCTCAGCAGCTCAGACTCTAGGGGACCTGACCAGCTCTGAGAAAGCAAGGTATTAGAATTGTTTGGCCTGTAGAATGGGTGTCTCAGCTCAGCCACTCTTCTGTTTCCCTAAGACACAGGGTACTAGCTCAGCTCAGCTCTTGGATGCATATCTGCTCAGCTTAAACAAGGCACCATTTCCCCAGGGGATGATGTGCCTGTTTAGCTCAGTCCTGGGAAACTTAACTGTTCTGGGTGGTCCGGGAACCATTTCTCAAGAACATAGAGTATCACTTTAGCATAGACACCAGAGTGTATGACCACTTTGGACAGCCAAGATACCATTTCCTAGAAGATAGGGTGCTGTTTCAACTTATGCACAGGGGCAGACATGACTATTCTAGGATGCCATGGTGCTGTTTTCCCAGGATCGGGATGCTGCTTTGGCTCAGGAACAGAGGGGCATGACTATTCTGGGCAACCAAAACACTATCTCTCCATTTTCTGGCATTGCTTCTGCTCCAGCACAGGTGAGGCAGGGTGCAGTAGCAGCTGGGAGGTTTATTTGGTGGGCCAAGCCACCATTTCCTTGGAAGGCAGTGTGCAGCTTCAGCTCAGGCCCCTAGGGGAAGGGTGCAGCAGACACTGGAAAGGGCATATGGAGCAACTCTGCCAAGGCACTGTTTCCCCAGGAAAGAGAGTACAGCTTCAGCTCAGGCCCCTAGAAGCAGGGCATAACCGCAACTAGGAGAGGTAAATGTAGTGATTCTGCCAAAGCAACAATTCCCCAGGGGGACTGTACAGCTTTAGCATTGGTCCCCAGGTGCAGAACACAGCAATGACTGGGAGAGGTATATGGAGCAGTTCCGCCAAGGCAATGTTTCCTTAAGAGGCAGTGCACAGCTTTAGCTCAGTCCCCTGAGGGTAAGTCATAGCAGCAACAGTGAGGGGTAGATAAAGGGGCTACATCAGGGCCTTATTTCCCAGGAGGGGTTGTACAGGCCCAGCTCTGGCCTTATGGAACAGAGTACAGCTACAACTGAAGCCTGGGGAGACAGGTGGAGGAGCTCCACTGCTTCTTGGCTCTATGGAGAAGGAGGTGACAGCTGGTCATAGCTCAGCTTGGGGATGTTGGGCCACCAGCTGGGGATGGTTTGGTGGTGGCTTGGTCTCAGGAATGAAGATATGCCTTGAGCACTCACCCTTGTAGTAAGGCACACTCTAGTGGTAGTCCTAGTTCTAGGATGGTGCAGTATAGTAGCTGCGTGGACCACCGAGGGCAGTGCACAGTATCAGCTCCTTTTGTGGAGACAGCACAGCTGTGTGGGCTCCAGTTAGCTCCCTCAGGTGGGCTTAGTGCCTGTGAGGACTGCAGGGGACCCCAGTGGTGAGGGCTGTATTTGTCCCAGATGCTGATGGTGGCTACTGGGATCTTATCGTTTACCTTTTCTCCATGGGAGAAGTTCCTTCTAGTTCCCAGCTGATATCTAGTGGGGGATGAAATGATGGAGGCCAGGTGTTCTCTTCTCTATGTGGTTATCCTGAGTTTCTGTGCTCACCAGGATTTCTGTTACTCCTAAGATGTACTTCAGTGCTCTCCCTTAGTTATTTTCCCTAAAATATAGTTGTTCATTCATTGCTTTGGCTCTCATGGTGGGGAGGAAGAGCAGTAGGGGCTTCCAGTAGACCATCTTGCTGATGTCACTTCTCAGACATAGTGAGGTTTTAATAAAGCTAAACAGATTAAAATTAAAGTTTTTTTTTGTTCTGAGATTTTGTCCTTTGTTTCTCTCTTGGACATTAAATTTACTCCTTTTTATTTAAATAATGGTATCAAGAGATGGTAGGTTTTTTTGTACTTGGTTTTTAAAATTTGTACTTGACAAAATAAAAGTTGACACTTCATTTTGAATGGCTTTTTTTGTTTAATTGTGTGGACCATGAAATCTCAAAGTCTGGGAACCACTGATTTATGCCTTGAGGTCAGGCCCAAGGCTTACATCAACTCTGGGAAGTTGCCCTGTGTATCCAGTTAACAAAGTAGATGTTCAATATTCCAGAGTATTGGCACACTATGTCTACTCCACAAGCATGACTAGATCTTTTCATTCTCATATGTTTTCATGAAGTAAGCATGTCTTTTTGTCTTTCTAATTTACTTCCTATAGCTTTATGCTCATTTCTTACAGCCAGTGACATTATATTTATCAAATATCTTAATTAAATTTAACAATGGTCCCTGTGACTTATTATGGGGGAAGTAGAATACAATTAAAATTATCAAGTTAAAAGTAAAATAAGAGATCACATTAAATTCCCCCATTTTATACTCTCTGGGCTACAGATGCCAGTAGCTATACGTTTTGCTAAAACTCAGAGAGATTTAAACAATTTGTCTGGGGTTTGAGATCTAGTTACTAGAAAATTAAAAATCTGGTTACTATGGACATTTTTCTTCACTCATTTAATTAGGTATAAGTCCTGGTAATTGACCTCTCAATTGATCCCCCTTGCCTCCCTGTCTTGCTCTATTCCACTGTCCCCACCCCTACGGGCACTTTTGCCTACATGAGAACCTTAGGCTGTCAATGTCTTTCTCCTAGCTACTACTAGCCATGTTCATCTATCCTTCTGCCAACTTTAATCTTTAGACAGCTGTAAACATAACATTCTCTTGTTCAGAGTTTTTTAGGACTTTTCATTACTGCCTGGATGTCAATCTCCACTGCCCATCATTTAAAGCCTTCCCCAATCCAATTCTGCACACATATTTCTAAATTTCAGACTACAATTTCTACACATAGTAGAAAAACAAAATTCTTTTCATTGAAAGAAGGAAAAGGAAATGAATTAATCATTGAAAGTCTACTAGGTGCTTGTCTTAGTTGATTTGGGTTACTATATAACAAATTATCAAGGACAGAGTGACTTAAACAACAGAAATTTATTTCTCATGGTCCTAGAGTCTGAGGAGTCCAAGATCCAGAGTCTGGGGAGGGCTGGCATCCTGGTTTCTAGATGATTGACTTCTCATTGTATACCCACATAGTCAAAAGAAAACTCATTTCTCTTTTCGTAGGGGCACTAATCCCATTCATGAGGGCTTCACCCTCATGACCTAATTACCTCCCAAAGTCCCCACCTCCTAAACCATCACATTGGCAGTTAGGGCTTCAACATGTGAATTAGGGGACACAAACATTCAGTTCACGATAGTACTAGACCAATTTATGCACATTTTCGTATTTATTTCTTCCCAGAAATCTATGAAATAGATATTATTATTACCATTTCACAAACGAGGAAACTGGGGCTCAGAGACTCTATGAAACATGTGAAAGTTTATAAAAATGATGAGTAATAGAGAAGTGATTCAGGTCTTTCTGCCCCTCAAACATCTGTTCTTTCTACTATTCAGCATTCCTGTCTTTTAATTTGGGAAATAAAATTTTTTGTTCCAGCCTAAACAATTATCAGCACCAGTTGATAGACAGGGACCATTTAGAAAAAGAACTAAAAGTTCCCATGCAGCCTCTAAAATTATGCCAAATATTTGGCCCAACACCTGCCACTATTGGGAACAATAGCTCAGAAATTCCAGACTTGACTAGGGAAGTTTCTCCAGGATGCTGAGAGGATCCACTTCACTCAGGAATATTACCATTTTTATGTTTCAATCTGACATTTCAGTATCCAAGGATAGGTGCCTCATTGATCCCACTTTTATCACTAGAAGTTCACAGCTCAGAGTGGGAAAGGACCTTATTTAACTCCTCAACAAATGAAGCTGATGGAATTCAATGAGGTAAAGTGACTTTCCTAAAGTCATACAGCTAAGAAGGGGCAAACATAAGACCAGGAAGGTCCATTATATCAGTGTATGTAGAAATTCTCTATTATTATCTATTAATATGAGACATTCTTGAAACAGAAAATAAAACAACCATCAATTGAATTTTAAAATTTTAATCATTCTTTCAATATTTAAAAGTTTAAGGGGTAAAAATGCTGTATTGATGAAGATCAAGGGCTGTAATATTGAAAAACTTCAATTAGACATGTTTGGGATATCTTGAGTCTTACCTGAACAGAATCTTGAAGGAAAACAAGACATGAATAGGGAAAACAAAAACAAAACAAAACAAAAATTCTATGATCCCAAATGTCATTCCATTGTCCATGGTGGCAACGTTAATTATGACCCTCTTTTACTGCCTAATGTGACTTCTGAATTCTCAACACAGCACTCCAGGCAACCACCAGTAAGAGAAGTGACTTGACATGCAAAATGAAATCTATTTTCAGAATTGAGCTACCAGCAAGAGCAAACAGATCAAAAAGACATCAACATGGTCAAATGTGGGCCATTCAAGGGACAGTAAGTCAATTAGACTGCCTGAGTATAGTTCACAAATAGCACAGTGTGAAATTAACATAAGGGAGGCCTTGACAAAAAGTTTAATTGAATTCTCTCCTTTAATAATGTCTTTGCCATATTTCAAGTCATCTTTCCTAAAATATTGTAAAATATTTTTGAAAATGTTTGAATTCCTGAGCCATTAGCCTTTTTTCTCTTGGTGAAGATTTAGTTTCATCTTTCCCTCTACTTGTTGAATGTGGCAGTTCTAACCATTAGAACATGTGCTGAGTGATTTGGGCGGCTCTTCGAATCACTTACAAATTGAAGCACTCAAACAAGTTTACATCAGTTTATTCTTCAGTGTCTGCACATGCCCAGATGTCTGAACACAAGAGAAGAACTCTTTAAAAAAAAAAAAAAGAGTATTTTCAGCAGCCTCAAATTTCTATGCATTATACATTCCTGGAACCCTGATAACGTCCAAATTGAAGCACTCTGGGAAGTTTAGAGAGCTTGTATAATTTTAAATTGTCCTATACATGGCTCAGACCTCATGTACTTCACAAATTGAAGAACCTTTCAATTTTGAACATTTCAATAATTTTAAATCAAGGCATGCGCATCTAGATTTAATTTTTACTTGCATTTTAACTTACGTCACATAGACCAACTGAAAAATAAATCATTATTCTGATATATTTCTAGAAACTCACTTCCATTTTCAAAGAGATTTTTAGTGTGTTTCTCTTTGCTGTTTGTGATTAAATCAACATAGCAAAAGCATCACAGGCTGAAGAGGTATGTTTACTACACTTGACTATGTTTGCTGCACTTGAATTTGAAAATGCCAATACAACAATGTGCCTTACTCTAAAAAATTAAAGCCGTGTTACCATTAAGGCTGACATTTGGCTACTACACTGAGTATCACAACTAGTAAGATTTGACTACAAAAGAAAACTTAGCTCTTTTCTTAAAATAAGCTAGCTATGATAACGAGAGCTAGACAGTGGGAAAATTTGAGCTTGTGAGGCCCTAAAGAGTTTTTATTTTCAAAGGTACAAATTATTGAATTTAGAATAAGAAGGAACCTCTGTGGCTACTCAAGTCTGCAGAGTTATATTACATGACTGAATGAATGAATAAAAGCTCTGTACATTATAATTTGGAATGCACTGAATTAGCAAACCTCCCACACCCCCAACCCCCCAAAAAGTAAAGATGTTTAAAGTAAAAGCAAAAGAGTCTGCCATCAGATCTCACAGAATAACTCCGTGGGAATTCCCCACATGAAAGATTACAGGATATGACCTAAGGATATATCACCCTACACAGTCATAAATTAAATTTACTGTAAGAACCACACAAACAGAGAAAAAAAGAATCACAGAGCCGTACAATAAAAGCCAGCCTAAAATTAAGGGTATTGATCATTTGCCTAAGAAGTGAGAGCACAAAACCATAGAGTGATTAATGGTATTATTATTAGAGGAGCTCACCCAACCTCCTATGTTCCCAACAGAAAATTGATACTGTTTTAAATGTTTTGCCACTGTAATTTTTTAATATGTCAGCCAAATGTTTTATCTAATTGCTAAAACACAATCAGGAATAATTTTTAATTCAGTGTTAAGTATTCATTTGAAATAAATGATTGCTTATGTTTCATGTGCAGTGGAAGGAAAACCCACAATTCATCTAATTCTGAATTTTTCTGGTTGCTTTTCTCTTACATAAAATTTCTAGACAATATAGTCGCATTTTCCCTAAGTAAACATGAGTAAATCAAGCCCAGAGCCCATTCTCCAAACTGAGAAGATTGGAAAATGTAATTTCCCACCCTGAGCTCTCAGATGAATAGCCACGAGTACTTCTTAGCAGCTGGGACAAGGAGAAAAAAAAGATACATGGAAAGTATACCTCTGTTTTTAAATAAAAGTAAAGACTTGATTTTAAGTAGAGGTTAGGGTCAGGCCAGGTCAGACATTTGATTCCCTGGGTCAGGCCTCTTCAGTCTGTGACCTACCAAGAGAGGCATCATGTTCTAACTCTTCTCTGACAAAAGCAGCAAAAACAAGGCATTTTAATACAATCTGGACTAATTAGGCTTCCAAGTTAGAATAAAAGAACATTTTTTTTAAAAAAGACATAGAGCCTTTCTTATTTTATGGCAACTAAAAAGAGTATTGTGATCAAATAATGGCATATGTGAAAAGTGGCAAGAGGCAAATTATCCTGTTTTCCAAATTTCAGGAAAATCATTTTTCCAAACTAATAGGATTACCCATCACAAAGAATGTTTGAAACTGCTATTTTATATGGCAACAAATCCAACCATAGAAAAAAGAAAACAGAATGAACAGCCTCAAGAAAGAAACATAATGGAAAAGGCTCATGGGGGCTTGTATTTGGCCTATTATTTACAAGCGAAAAATTCCTTTGTTAGCTGTGAACAGACTTTATGGCAAAACCCCATAGACCAGTCTCAGACCAAGCAAAATCCCTTATAATTGCCAAAATTTGATTTATGTAAACTTAGGAGATCCTGGTCTCTGCCTCACTATTTGCAGGAAAAATGTTTCTGTGAACATGATGAATAGAAATTATGCATAATTGATTAGCGAATGAAAATTCCAGCGTAAGACGTAAGATGCATGCATCCTCATTTTGAAATTTGAGAATTTCATGCTGTGGAATTTCTTTTGTGCCTTTGAGGCATTTTTAACATATATGATTTCAAGAAATATTTTTTCTTATTACAATGGAATTACTATTATGCTAACTCTTTAATTTTTAGTAAAGGAAATTAGTCATATTATCACTGAATAAAATAATAAAAACATTTTAGAAAATACTCGAAACTACTGAAGGAATAACTTACATCCTACCATACATAAGCTTCTTTACATACAATGTCACTGCAATATTTTAAAGAAGTATCAAGAAGAAATTTAAAAGTTTATTTTTCTGGTTTTATTATTCCTTTTCATATGTAAGCTCTGGGTACATTATGAAAAGAAATTGGTTATTTTATTCCTTCTTTTGCCTGAGCTGGGCTACCATTGTTGCTAAACCTCTCAAAAAAAGTAAAACTTTATTCACTATGTGATCGTCTCCAACAAAAATTTTGGCATGGAGGGTCAACTTGTCATATTTCCTCTTCACATGGTTCAATTAAAAATACAGAAAGAGCCCACAATTCAATGAGATAATATGGACCCAAATTTTTTTCACACAGTACAGAATTGTTTATAAATATAGTTGATACAACATAGAAAGCAGACAGTGTAGTAATGATGCCTTTTCTGTAAAATGCATGCTTATTCTTGCATTTATATGTTGGGCATGGACAAGGATGTGTAAGTGGCTGCAGCAATTAAAAAAAAGTAGGAATAAAAAAAGAATACAAAAGAAAAGACAAAAAAAAAAAACACAAATATATATTTTTTTCCAGTGCTTGGTTAGTGGCAGTTTCTGTAACATCTGATAATTCTCTTGAGTCAATTGGTTATTTGGTTTTTTTTTTAACCTTATGGGGGTCATATTATTCTCTTAAGCACAGCATTAGGGAATTCCCCCCCCCCCGACAAAAAATGATAGGTTAAAGGAACATTTGGAAGACAAAAAGATAGGTCTGTGAAGGAGTGAACACTTATAAGAATCAAATGGAGAAATCAAAGTTGAATCCAAAAATTTCATGAATAGAAGATTGACATTAAAGCAAAAGAAAGACCTACAAGTATACCCTGAGGTGTAAGTAGTATAAGCAAAGTGTTACGTACATGTGTATTTACATTTTATTTATTTTTAAGATGGAGAGACTGAATCACATCTGAAAACCAATAAACAAATCAGTGCACAGAGGAGAAACTAGGTGAGGCCAGCTAGAAATCCAGAGAAACCTTTACTGGATTGTTCACAAGTACAGTGATCAAGACACAAATTTAGAGAAAGAGTGTGGGGATTCGTGAAATGTTGGTTCCTAGTTCAGCATTTCTCTTTTAGCTGTAGGGTAAAGGTTTTCAGGAACAGGGAGGAAAATGTCTGGCATCTTTTGGGAGATCCTCTCTAATAAAATCACCTTTGGGATTGTCCCTTGGGCCTACTGGAATATTATCTTCACATACTCCAGAGAATATTTGTGTGACACAAATTACTTGGCTTATATAGTCCTCTTTGGGAAATCACATACATGTTAGACTCTGGCCCAGATAAGAAGAAATCTCATTAACATTTTGCAGACATAGTTTACAGGATGACTATAAGTAACATGAAAAATATGTGAGTGTGTTCTATGCTGTATCAGGAGAGAAAAAAAATTCAACTTAGAAACTATTGCTTCAATGGTTTGGTGGAAGTTCACAGTTTAGAATTTCAGCTCAGTAAATTTTGATAATCAGATTAACATTAGTGTATATATACACATACATATATACATATATACATATATTATATATTAATATATGCATATATAAATAAATATACATACATAGATATATATACATATCATATATATATATATTTCCTAACATAACTAAGCTTACAGACTTGGTTTGAACCTCATTGTATAGAAGCCTATGCAGTAGCAATAATATCCTGAAATTATTTTTATTTTAATACAAGGGATTTGGAATACTTGGCAAACATTAAGACCATTAACTATATTTTCAGATGAAGAACCAACAACAAAATGAGATGACATGGTGCTAGTTATTTTAACTACTCAAAGATAAAAGAAAGAATAGGCTATAGGCAGAGTCCACATAGCGTGATTTTTCAGGCACTGAATATTTTGCAACATTCCATACTTCCTCCTTTGACTCTCAAAAATATTTCCCTCAAAAGATCTTCACTCTATCTAAAATTCAAACACCAGTCAATCTATTCTGGGTACCAATTTAGATTATTTAAAGTTATATTTAAATGCTTCACTAGGAGGAGAAATGTATTAAAACATCAATAACCAGAAAGTCTTTAGGGTAAATTAGTTTATTAGATTAGTTAACCAATTATCTTGAAAATCCCAGAGACACACATCCATCTTAGTGCATGTGAGGAAGTCTAGGCTTGATGTGGGAAAAGGAGAATTGTTCAAGAGGTTAAGATTGCATGAAGGACAGTGTACTGTCCCTCTACTAGAAGAGAACAACTATTTCTAAAGGAAAATGGAAGAAGAAAAAAAAAAGAAAAGAAAGGAAAAGGAAGGGCAAAGAAAGTATCTTAGAAAACTTCACTGTGATTGTCTATTGCTGTACAACAAATCACTCCAAAACATAGTGGCTTAAAAGAACCACTCTCACTTTGTTATGTCTTAGAGTTTCTACGAATCAGGAATTTGGAAGAGCTTGGAAGTGTGGTTTTGGCTCCAGGTCTCTCATGAGGTTACTTAGCCAATATATAGAATTAGAACAGAACAATGCAGGCCTCAGTCAGCTAGGGACTAGATGAGCATTTCTCACTCTCTTTATGTAGTCTCAGAACCTTTTCAAGTCATCTCTTCATGTGGAACAGTTTTAACTTCTTAGCGTGAAGCATGGCAACATAAGTAAGGCCAGACCGTTTATATGTGCTTAAAGGTTTAATAGGTCTAATAGCAAACAAAATTGAATAAACTTTTATGATTTAGCATCAGAAATCACAGTGTATTACTTTTGCCCTAAG
Source organism: Homo sapiens (assembly GCF_000001405.40). Taxonomy (NCBI): domain Eukaryota; kingdom Metazoa; phylum Chordata; class Mammalia; order Primates; family Hominidae; genus Homo; species Homo sapiens. The sequence continues at coordinate 199,230,755 of NC_000001.11, forward strand.
GTATTGGTTTAAATAAGCCACAAAAACTCTCTTAAATAGAAAGAGATTCAAAGTCGCACTGCAGGAAAAGCACATGAGATGGAGAATACTGTTGCAGTCATCTTTAGAACATACAATCTGCTATAGACTAGGATTAGCTTTAAACATCAACTTTAGCTTTACCACCCTTTGCGCAACCATCCATATAGTCAGCATAATTACACCTGTATGTTATCACCAGTGCAAGAAAATTTCAGCTCAACAAATCTTTCTGAGGGAATAATCACTAAAACCATAGAAGATTGAAAGAAGTATATCCATAATCAACTACAATAAAAGTTCATATTTCTTGAGAATTTACTATATGACCAGCTCTGTGCTTAGCTTATTAAATTATCACAATTACCTATAATAAATGCATATAAGGAATTTGATATTAAAGATTATAAATGAAAAGGCATTACTTTACTTTTCTGTAGGACATAACTAAATTTCCCTTAGTTATGTCAGACCTAGCTGACATCCCTTTTTCATAGCTGAACAGAAACAGTGAGAGAGACCTGGTTACTCTAAATTTATAATTCATATAAGTCTCCTGATGTTTTCTATTCTCTGTCTGAGGAAAGAGACAAACCTTAGGTGGACTAATTCTTATAAAAATTTCAACTTTGGACCAATGCAGCTAAATCATTAATGTGTAACAAAAGAAATTAAGAACACCTTTTTGGGGGAAAATTACAGTCTGAAGCCTCTACGATTCTTTATAAGCAATGTCTTACCTAGAAAAAAAACTTACAAAACATGAGAAGATAGATAAATAAAAAATATATAATGCAAGGCAAAGAGAATAAATAAGAGGAGCAGGAGAATGGGGCAAAAGTAGTATTTGAAGGAATAATGGCTAAGAATTTTCCCAAACTAATGAAAACATTATTGATCCAAGATTTGAGAAGCTCAGACAATACCAAGAATGATAATTAGAAAAAAATAAAACACTCAGACACATCAAAATTCAAATGCTGAAAACCAAAGACAAAGACAAAAATCTTAAAAGCAGTTGGAGATTGATTTTTGAAAATTCAACATTAAATCTTATGACTGACTTTTGAAGTGAAACAATGGAACCTAGAAAACAATGCAATAATACCTGCAAAGTGCCCAGATGGGAAAGAACCTGCCAATTTATAATTCGAATTCCTTAGTATACATCTTTCCAAAATTGAAGCAGTTTAAACTTATTTTCAGATTCCTCCCCACCCACCACCACCCAAAAGAGCTAAAAAATGTGTGCCAATCGACCTGCACTATAAGAATTACTAATGAAGTTTTTTCAGGTTGAAATAACAGATGAAACTATAAAGCCACAGGAAGAAAGGAGGAGCACCAGAAATGGTAAACTTGAGAAATACAAAAGACTGTGACTTTTAAAGCAAGGGTAATGATTATGCCTTGTTGTTTTCTAACATAAGGAGAAATAAATTATATGTCCATGATATCAAAAAGCATGGCTGGAGGTGGTAAGTAAATAGAGATAAATGTTTTCAAATTTCTAACATCATTCAAAAAATGGTAAGCATTCTAATTGAAGGGAGATTGTAATAAGTCAAGGATACATATTTTAAACTTTATAATAACCAGAAAATTATAATAAAATATATTTATAAATCTAATAGAAGAGATAAAAATATACTAAGAATATAGAATATATACAGAATATAATTAACCAACTGGACTTAATATTTTAATTTTTAATTAATTAATATTTAAAACCCTATACCCAAGAGTTGAAGAATAGATATTATTTTATAATACTCAAGGGAACATTTAAAATAATAGACTAAATTAGTGTTAGAACATAAGTATGAACAAATTTTAAAAGACTAACATTAAAAGTATGACAAGAGAAATTAATTTAAAAATCAACAAAATTAAAATCAAACAGAACTATAGCCAGAAGATCCCCACATGATTGGAAATTAGGCAGCATATCAGAATATCAAAATGAAAATTAGAAAATATTTGACCTGAATATTAATCTCCATCTGCCTGTCTATTAGAAGGATATTTTTCACTGGATTCAGGGCCCACCAGGATAATCCAGGATGATCTCCTTCCCTCAAGATCCTTGACTTAATCACATCTGCAAAGGCCCTTTTTCCAAATAAGTTAACATTTGTAGGTTCTGAGAATTGGGATCAGGCACATTTTTGAGGCCACCGCTCAAGCTACTACAAACCTCAACAGGATTTTTTTCATGGAAATTAACAAACTGATTCTAAAATTATATGGGCATATCTCAAATAACCAAGTCAAACTTGAGGAAGATGAACAAACTTGGCAGACTTATGTTTTCTGATATCAAGATTTACTATAAAACTACAGTAACTAAGATAGTAGTTAGTACAAATATAGACAGAGAGATCTGTGAAATAGAATAGAGTCCAAAAAAATGCACACACAGTTTATAACAAAGGTTCAATGGTAGTTTAGTAGGAAAAGGGCAATTCTTTAACTAAATGATGCTGAAGTAGTTGAGTATCCACATAGAAACAAAGAAAAAACAAACTACCTGATTTCTACTTTACACTGTATATAAAAATTAATTTGACAAGTGTCTTAGGTAAGGTCTCTAGAAGCAGAGACTAACATCATGATTTATCCCATGAGATTTATTGATAGAGTGGTCTCCAGAAAAAAAGAAAAGTATGAGAGAGACTGAAGCAAATTAAGGGAGAGTAAAAAACCTGACAAGGATATAGTCTTAGGTAAAGTCTAGCCTTGACTTGATCCACCGTTTATGCCTCTGAAGCATAGACTGTATTACCCCATTACCTTTCCTTTGTCAAGGAACCTGGCATTTTATACAGCTGTATGAGTGAGTTATTTGCTGTTGCCATGGTTTGAGGGAGAGGTATAACTTCCCAAGTGAGTCTTTGAGCCATTGGCAACTAATACGCAGCTTGAGATAGATAGATGAACTGATCTGAAAAAAATAGGATCTGTTAAGGGCACTATAATACTTACTACAAGACAGATCACAAAAGTAAAACAATAAAACTTTTGGAAAAAATAGGAAAAATATCTTCAGGTACTTAGGGACAGGTAAATATTTCTTTAAAAAGACACAAAAAAGCTATAAAAATAAATTGATTAAATTAATTTTTTAAAAAAATCAATAACTTCTGGTAAATAAAAAATAAACATCATTACGCCTGCCCTTTTCTGGTTTCCCTAAGCAAGCCCACATCTCTGAAGCAGGCCCTTCATTGAGTCTTTCCATATGGATTATCTGGGGTAAAACCTGCTTCCTATTGAAACTCTAATTACTATGAATATGCAAAACTAGTTTTGTTGTGAGGCTTATATGAGGAAATTCATCTAAAGTGTTAATACAGTGTTTAGCATGTAGCATTTAATAAATCTTAATTTTAAATTAAACACTTTGTTTTATAAGTTTAGCAAACCATCCTCAAGCACTTCAAGATTGGCAAGACCACTTCTATTGTAAAAATATTGACATTATCTCTTATTTCGATGGCATTACATTATTTGATCCTCCCCTAATTCTCTTAATCCTAATTCCATGTTCAAAAACAAACCTTTTGATTTTCATTGTTTCTCATTTAGATTCACTAGTAAAAAAAATCCTGATAGCAGATGTATCACGATAGTCCATTCTCTGTGATGATTATTTCTCATTTCAAATTAATGAACCAGCATTCTAATTCTAACTTGACTCTGAAGCTAGCCTGATGAATGAAAATGAAAACACTATGTTACTTTAAATTTTGTTCTCTTTGATAATATTCTTACGGTAAATGAATGAGTTGTAATTCCGACTTTATACAAACTTCTCATGAGCTTGTATATTTTCATTCAGAAATTCAAGAATTATCTATCCTGCTACATAGTTACATGACCTAGGGATATTTCAGCACATTATAAAAGACCAGTCCCTATCCACATGGATGCTGCATTCTGAGCAGGGAAACAGGAGTAAACAAATGCTTAAAAGGAACACAATGATCAGATGACAATAAGAACTAAGCAGAAAATTAAAACACGGTGATATGATAGAGAGTGAGTAGGTGGCTAGTTTAGATGAGGTTGCTAGGACAGACTTCTCTGGGAAGATGATCTCAGAACTCATCCCTAGATGTCAAGAAAAAGGCAGTCATGACAAGATAAGGAGAAACATGTAAAGCAGAGAGAATGGCTAAGTATAAAAGCCCTGAAGTGAGAATGAGCTAGAGATTCCAAAGATGAGACTTATAATGATCTGTTCATGGAACAGAAGGAATGCCAATGTAGTCTAGAAAGTGATGGAAAAAAATTGTATGAGATGAAATAAGAGAGATAGATAGCTAGTGAGAAGTTCCTCTAGGACTAGGTAGTAAGAGTTTGTGTAATTTTTATTCAGTGTTCATCTGCTCTGGTGCATTGACAGGATAGGCAGATATGGTAGGCTTAACTAGGTTTGGGGTTTTATCATATGACTGTGACAAAAGGAAAAGAAGAGCAAGCTGGATAAACACATAAATAATCAGAGTCTAAACTAATAAGGACATAAAGGGGGAGATGGAGACTATCATGGCAGTGGGATCAATGACTTGAACATTTCATTGCTGAAGTAAAAATTCTGGACTGAGTGACGTACAATCAGAGGTGGCTGTTAGAACGGGAAGCTTCGGATAGAGAACTTGAAGAATATGTGACAAAGTTACAATGCTGAGTGTATGTTGCTGAGGAGGAAAAAATATATTATTGAATACCAAGAGATCAAGGAACTGAAGATGATACAAGGTAATGCATTCCAGAGAACACAGTGAAAGTGAGGGGAGGGCCTAAAAGGGTGGAGGTTTGAGGCCTTTTAGGAGATACTTAGAGATATGGGGAACAGAAGGAATTCATAAAATTATATGCTAAAGCTTGAGTTTCTAGTGAAGGCTATGATAAATAACAAGGTGAATTTAATCTAAAGGTCCATTATTAAACTATGAAAACACTATGTCCCTAAGAGCATCTCTTTCCCTATTTTGTGGGAAAGAAGAAATATTTACTAAAATTAAAATGACAAGGAATTCCTGAAATGGAAAATGAATCCTTAGATGTCATGCAACCTAATTCAATGGGTTCTTAAAAGCCTATATCATAAATAAATAAAAAGAGCTCTCCAGTGTGAAATCCTATAATTCACTCTGGAACATATAGACTTTTATGTTGGTATGTACTTTTTAGGGACTTATCTCAATTCTCTGCTGTCATGTGACAGCTAGCTTCTCTTGTACTCCTGGGAGACTGAATGAATCCTTCCACTCTCTCCCAATCCTTAGGGCTAAATTGTTCCAGTCTTCTAGTTGTTTCAAATTTATCTTCTAGAAGATTCCTCAGAAGGGGCTTATGTGAACAATATTCTCTGAGTTCTTATATGGTCATATTAGTTTATAAGGAGACTTTATAATTTAAGCTCAGTTTGGCTGGAAATAAAAAGGACTTTGAGTCACACTTTATTTCTCCTTCTTCAAAAAATTCCCCATTTTCTTCTCGCATAAAGGATTGTTGTTAAAAAATCTGATAACAATCTAGGTTATTTTTATTAATAAATCAGTTGTTTGTTTTGTCACAGTGCCAAAGGCCTCTTTTCTTTTTTGTAAAGTCCAACCGTTTACCAAAACATATCTCTATGTTGATCCATTCTGGATTGATTTTCCCAGATATATGACATGGAATTTTTATATATAATTTTAATCCCACATTTCTATCTCTTATTAGATACCTAATACGTATATTTTATTTTATTGTAGTAAGACATATATTACAATATGCCATTTTAACAATTTTTAAGTATACAATTCAGTGGCATTAAGTACATTCACAATGCTGTGCAACCATTACCATTATCCATTCCCAGAACTTATTCATCATCATCCTCAACGGAAACTCTCTACCATTCAAGCTCCCCATTTCTACTCAGCAATCCACCTTGATCACCTGTATTCTACTTTCTGTCTCTATGAATTTGCCTATTCTGGGTACCTCCTCTAAAAGAATTATATAACATTTGTCCTTTTCCATTTGGCTTATTTCACTTAGGTAATCTCATCAAAGTTCATTCACACTGTAGCACGTATCAGAATTTCACTCCTTTTTGAGGCTGAGTAATAGTCCTTTGCATGCTTTTACTATACTTTATCCATTAATCTGTTGATGGATATTTGGGTTGCTTCCACCTTTTGGTTATTGTGAATAATACTGCTATGAATATTTGTGTACAACTATTCATTTGAGTCCTTGCTTTCAATTTTATTATTTTTTAATTTTTAATTTTCTTTTTAGAGACAAGGTTTTGCTCTGTCACCCAGGCTGGAGTGCAGTGGCATGATCATAACTCACTGCAGCTTTGAACTTCTGGATTCAAGGGATCCTCCCCACTCAGCCTCCCAAGTAGCTAGGAATACAGGCACTCACACCGTTCTTTTTATTTTTGTAGAGACAGGGTCTTGCTATGTTACCCAGGCTGTTCTTGAACTCCTGGCCTCAAGTAATCCTTCCGCGTTGGCCTCCCAAAGTGCCGGGAGTGCTGCGTGCATTGGCCTCCCAAAGTGCTAGAAATTGTTTTAGATATGTATCTGGTGACGTGAAATTGCTGGATCATATGTTAGTTCTATTTTTAACTTTCTGAAGAATCGCCAGTTTTCCTCAGCAGCTGTACCAGTTTACATTCCTACTAGCACTTGTTAGTTTCCATTCTTTTGATAAAAGCCATTTTAATGGGCGTGGGATGGTGTCTTGTGATTGTCATTTGCATTTTCCTAATGACTAGTGATATTGGGCATCGTTTTACCTACTTATTGGTCATTTGTATATCTTCTTTGGAGAAATGTCTATTTGAATTCTTTGTCCATATTTAAATTGGGTCTTTTGTTTGTGTTTTAATTGTTGAATTTAAGGAATTCTTTATACATTCTGGATATTAATCCCTTATCAGATATATGATTTGCAAATATTACCCCCATTCTGTGGGTTGACTTTTCACTCCCTTGATAGTGTTCTTTCATGCACAAAAGTTTTTAATTTTGATGAAGCTCAACTTACCTATTTTTTCTTTAATTGTCTGTGCTTTTGGTGTTACATCCAAAAAATCATCACCAAATCCAATATCATAAAGATTTTCCCCTATATTTTCTTGTAAGAGGTTTACAGTTTTAGCTCATATATTAGGTCTTTGATCTATTTGAACTGTTTTTTATATGCTGTAAGGCAAGGATCTAACTTCATTCTGTTTCATGTGGATATCTAGTTTTCCCAGTACCACCTGTTGAAAAGACTACCATTTTCCCTATTGAATGGTCTTGGCACCCTTGTTGAAAATTAATTCAACATTATATGCCAAGGTTTATTCCTGAGTTCTGTATTTTATTCCACTTATCTACATTTCTATCTTTATGCCAGTACCACACTATTTTGATTACTGTAGCTTTGTAGAAACTTTTAAAATCAGGAAGTGTGACCCCTCCAACTTTGCTCTTTTTCAAAATTGTTTTGGTTATTTGAGGTCCTTTGAGATTGTATGTGAATTTTAGGATAAGTTTTTATTTCTGTAAAAAATATCCTTGAGAGTTTGATAGAGATTGTATTAAATTGATACATTACTTCAAGGAGTATTATCATCTTAAAAATATTAAGTCTTCCAGTCCATAAACTTTTAGTCCATGAAATGCCTTTCCACTTATTTGTGTCATCCTTATCTCAGTAATGCTTTTTAGTTTTCTGTGTATAAGTCTTTTGTCTCCTTGGTTAAATTTATTCCTATTTATATATAGTTTTAAGTCTTTATTTTCGACAATGTATAGAGTAATAATTTTAGTATTGATGCTATTCTATTTTGTTGGTATTGTTCTTTGTGACTCCTGCATACATTTGCTGCATCTGATTGGCTTATTTTTTACATCTACTACATTCTCTCAAATCTTCCATATCTCTTCCTTGTCTTTTTTAAAATTAAAACAAAATTTTCTCCTACCCTTCTTCTATATATTTTAGACATAATTTATTGTGTTTACTTTTTCTGATGCTCCTTATCATTTAGTTTTCATTTCAAAATGATTTTTCTATTGTTTCTAATTATTTTCAATACCTCATTAGCCTTTTAAAATAATTTTTCCCCATAATCTAATATCTAAGTTTTCTAATTCTCATTGATGCTGTTATTTTATAGTTCTATAATTTTCCTAATTTTTTAAGCTAATTTTGAAATAGTTACACTTTTCAAACATAATATGGGCATATCTTTTTTATAATTATATACAATATCTGACCACAGACCTTTTCTATTATTCACGGATAAGTAAGATGAGCTTTCCTTTATTATCAGGAGGGGAGGGTGGGCAAGGTTGGCTTAATTAACTTTATGGCTCTAGCACTCCCTCCCTCTAGTGCTTTTGTTTCTAGGAAGTATTAAAAATATGACTGCATACTTTCTGAGATACGCTGGCCCTCTCCCTCTCTCTCACTTATATCTCGACCATCTCTCTCCTTTGCCCCTATTGTCTTTATCCTGCTAAATGCAGCTCTTAGTCCTGGTAGTTTCTGATTGGTGCAGGGGTTTAACCTAGAAGGGATTTTGCTAGGTTAATTTCAAGTGTTCATACACCTAGACCGACCAAGCACCATACAATTTTACCACAATGCCCTTGCATTCATCTGTTAATTTGAGCCTGCAAAACCCCTTCCCAGTTTTGACTGCTGTTCTCACGTTGGTTCACTTAGAATTCCAGTTGAGTACTCATTGGCCTATTTGGCATTCTCTGGCAATCATCTGAAGTCCTTTTGCTTCACCTCTCCATCCTGCACACAATTGCTGACACATGGGTCTTGTTGCTGTCAGTAGTTTGGCCCTTGCATCTATATTGTAAGGTCTACAGAGATATCTTAGTTTTGCTTTAGATTCATTGTAAATTTGTTGTGGATTTTCCAAAAACTATTTTTAATTTTGCTATCCTATTCCAGTTGTTCTATTTGTTTTAATGGGGGGATGTGAGGGAACATGAAAACCCTGCTCTTGCCATCTTGTTCTAATCTGCAGAAGTTATTAAAGAAGGAAACATTTTCACCTTTTATCATTTATTTATATCAATGAATGACATATGGAAATAGCATTGAAAAATCTTTTAAACATCTGTTATGTAGTGGAGACATAGTGTTACATTGTTCTTTCTTGTTTTCTTAGTTATATTGTAAAATACAGGAATAATATGTATTAATACTTATATCTATGTGTGTAGGTAGGTATATATGTGTTTATGTGCATATTTAACAAAGAAAAGACCACTGGCTTTTTCCCTTTTTGCACTGCCTTTACCTTTTGGATAGCTTTTCTATAACTAAAACAGTCGAGGGAAATTACCTGTCTCATGCTTATGCAAGCCACCAGCACAATGCCTACAAAAAATAAATACAAGTAAATATCTCTGTTGTTGATGATAATGTTGAGGCTGTTTATCATACAAACTAAATTTTAATTATTCATACACAAGTTTTAAAGTCTCTTCTTTTTTTGCAAAAGAGGGCAAAACTATGATAAAACATATAGTTATTTTGAGTTGAATAGAATAAGAATTTCAGAACTTACCTGAATTTTCAACTTTCTTAGATTACCAGATGCACTCATGTATTCAAACTGAGAGACCTAGCTTTTTTTTTTCCTCACAAGTGAAGCAAGAAACCAGTTATCTGCTTTAATGCCTAAAACAGCTGATTACTCCAAGTTCTCCTAGCGATCCTGTTTCATTCACTGACACATAAGCTTATGCTGATGCTAAATGTAAGGTGACAATTTCAAATGTGTCATTCTTAAAGATTTATATTAGAAGTATAATAAAATATAATCTTCAATGCAGATGCATGAGAAAACTCTCATTTCTTAAGTCAGCATTCAAAACAGAGAAGAGAGAAAAATGGAGCAACTTTTAGAGTACATGTTCCATGCCAGGCACTGTAATTGGTATTATATTTACTATACACCATAAAGATGTGGATAAACATGGGTAACATGATAAAAAGGAAAGAGAGTCCAGAGACCTAGATGCTAGACTTTCCTTTGTTATTAGGCTGTGTTACTCCAAGCTATTCATAATTAATATTTGACAGTGATTTCTTAGAAAAGGCACTTGTCTCAACTAATATACAACTTCATTTCCAAATTGTTGAGATGTGCCTAATCAACATTCAAACACTTCTTATTTTGATGGGATCTCCAAATGGTGTGGAGACAGGGCCCTATCTCCCACTCTGGAAATCAAATGAAAGGAGGTGGTTCTCTCTATCTATTCCCTGTTAATTAAAGGACAGGTATGTGGCTTAGGCTTTTGACCAAATCTTTAAATCTCAAGGGAAGGCTACATAGATGAAAAGACAGACAGACATTATTTATGTGACAGTGGTGAAATTGGGAGCAATAAGTCAGCATTAGTATAGTGGTGACACTGGATGGTTGACTTCTTGGGTGCCTAGCCTCAATTATTTCTAACACAATTTTCTGTAATGTGTTCTCTTGCCTTTCTATTGGTTATGCAAGGTACTATACATCATTTCAACTTTCTTTTTCTTTACTACTTCTGATAAGCAGCATTGGTTTCTGCCATTTGCAACCAAGAACCTTTACACGGAAAACAAAACTTTTTGGCTGAAGTTTATAGGATTAATTGTTTAAATGGGAAGTTACAATTTATAAAGGGTTTAATATCTAAACATTTGAGATTGCTTTAAACTACTAGCATTCTCATTTAATAATATTAATAATATATTATCAAGTAATAATTTTAAAAAATATTTTCACATAATATAAACTTGTGAGCAACTAAAGATTATAGAGCTTAGACTACATAATACACACAGCTTACTAATTTTTAAAGAAATTTCAAAAACAATAAAACTGTCATCATTCAGACACAAAATTATCTTTTTTCAAATCCATATTCTACCACTTAGTATACTGTGAGCTTGCAATATACAATTTGCCATCTCTCTGTAGTTGTGACTTAGGTATCTTTTAATTGTACCAGTGGGACTCACAGAACCTGGCTTTGAAATTAACAGCTGAAGATAACTCTTTGTAGTTTATCACTCCAAAACTCCCTGACATAATCCTTTTTGCTATAATTTGATTTTTTTCTCAAAAAGAAACTCTTCATTTTATTTCTGTTCATAATCTCACAAAGGATCCATCGCTACCCTCGCACCTGATGCAGACCCCTACCCCATCACCTTAAAAAATGCTGATTTCCTAAAGTTAAAATGAACACTTAGTTTCCAACTATGGCCATTCTCAACCCTGCCCATTTCTCCTCATTTGCCTGTATATTCACCTGCTCTGTGAACTTGACCATCTTTTGGCTCCCTCTCCAAAGGTAGTTCCCCAAGGGCACTTGGCCTGAATTTCTGCTTCATTATTTGGGTTCCATTCTTACTTCCTTGACTTACAACCTTCCTTGACTTACATAACCAGGCAGCTTTCCTATTCTCATTTGCATAGTAAATCTGCATAGCTTCCTGGCCCTACTTCCTTATTCTATCCCACAGCCACTCCAGAACCCACCAAAAACAACTTGCAAGAAACCACTGATTTGAATTTCAAGAGATCAAGTTTCCAAGCTCTGTCCTGCTCTCTGCAGTCCCTGTGTACCTTAGTTCCTGGGTTATTTGAGTAGTGTAAATGTTGACCGAGGCCAAACATTCCACCATTCTGAGGAAGGAAGGGGAACCACGTTCAGAAAGGGACAGGAGAGGAGAGATGGATAAAACCAGAGGTAGGGGCGTATGCACCCTGTAGTCCTAGCTCCTTGGGAGGCAGAGGTAAGATGCCTTGAGCCCAGGAGTTTGAGACACGCCTGGGCAAAACGGTCAGACATTGCTTACCCTGCCCCCAAAAAAGGCAAGGGTGTGATAGTAGGAATTAAGTTGGAGACAAAGGGATGATAGAGGGGCCCCTCTCACCTCAACACAAAACCAAAAGTGAGTCAGGGCTGAAAACCAGCTCCCCTTACAACACAAAGCCCTGCCCTGCCCACCTAGCTGTGGTGGTCCTCTGTTTGGAAACTAGTCCACTGGCTTGGTGAGCAGATCCTTGACTTCCTAAGCTCCAGCTTGGCTGACTCAGCTCTCTCCCTCAGCTCCTGCTCTGTGACTCCAGCACATGGCCCTTGTCCCCCAGGGCCTCCCCCTCTGCCCAGTTCTTCTAGTGGTCCCCTCAGAGCCTCTGGTCTCTGTTCTTTTGCATGTGGTACCCTTGGGTGGTGTCAGGATTGGGGTAGGAGACCAGGCTAGAAGGCTAGGTGGAAGGAGAGGAGGCTACTGTGGTGAGGACAAGGGCATCAAGCCCGTTCCCCTGCCAGGGCTTGTTGAGGCAGGAGAGGCCTGCAAAGGGTATACAAGGCAGAAGGTTAGAGAAGGTCAAAGGTGGGGAGGGGGAGAGGGAGAGGCATTGCCAGTGGCTGTGGTGGCCATGGGAATAGGTGGTGGGGGAATTGGGACATCAAAGTAAAAGTTTTCCATCTGTCCCAGCTCCTACTTCAGGAGGGAGGCCATGGCTTCCAGGTCATGTGGGAGCAGGGAAAATGGAGGGAGCCTAGCTGGGGTCACATGGGGGGCTCTAGAGCCCCCTGTAAAGTCAAGAGCCCAGTTATCTGGTCAGAGAAGTCATCACCTGTCAGGGCCTTCACCCTCCCCTCAGCCTGCTCTCCAGGGCTCCCGTGAGGATCTTACGAGGCCCAAAGGGGTAGAGGAGTAGAGGCCCGGGAGAGCACCTCATGGTCTAAGAGCTCGCCCAGGCCCTGTCCACAGCACCAGGAGTGGCATGGCTGCAGCACAGGCTCTGGGCACCTGTGGCAGTGGAGGAGGCAGCAGCACCATCTGGAGGAGGATCTGGGCATTGCTCAGATGTTGCAGACAGGCACCAAGGCGAAAGTGAAGGCTTCCATGGGGGCCGAGCAAAGGCAGCTGCGGCCTCTGCTGAAGAAAGAGGAAAGCCTGAGAGCCTTGAACATGGATCCTTCTCCTCCCGGCTTCCGGGTGAGAAAAAAGGACACCTGACGATGGGGAATCTTATTTGAGCTTTCCATTTCTGAATTTTGCCCAAATAGTCCATTAATCCTTTCTGCCAAATGTTGACTGTGTCCAGATCGGTATTAAGATTTTCCCAACAAACATCTTGTCCCCACTTCTGCTCATAGGGTACCACTATTTTCCCAGGACATTATGCATAAAACTTATTATAAAACTTTGCTCTCCCTACCCTCCACCTGGCATATAATCAGGGATCAAATTCTGTCAATCCTTCCTTCACAATCTTTCCCAAACTCATTTCCACTTATAAATTCCTTTCCTTTACCACTATCATAGTGTAAAATTAATACTTTATTACCTCTGATGTAGATCGTGGACAACTGTACATAGTTAAATAAATATGAATAGAATATCGACACAAAACATAAAGAGAGCTTGACATCTATCTCACCATGTCCTAAAGGAAATTAGAGAAATATGTGTTCCTATCTGCCTGACAAAAGGAAGACAAGGATAGGATGAAAAGAGGTGGCATTTAAGTCTGAAAAATGAGTATTTCAATTGCTTCTGCGTTTCCAGTTTCTGTTCTCTCCAAGTCATCCTCCAATCTGTGTCCTGGTCAATCTTTGCAACATACTGTTTTAACTTTGCAAAGTAAGCAAAAGGGCTAGAGTGATATTTTCTAGATGGTAAGTTAGGCATTTTTATTTGGGAACAATGCAGTCATTGTTAGAAATAAATAGACATGAGACAGTTATGTTGTGTGAAAAGAATGTCTGTGGCCGAGTGTGTTGGCTCACACCTGTAATCCCATAACTTTGGGAGGCCGAGGCCAGTGGATTGCCAGAGCTCAGGAGTTCCAGACCAGCCTGGGCCATGGTGAAACCCTGTCTCTATAATAAATAAATAAATAAATATTCATTTTAAAAAGGAATAAAAGAAAAGAATGTTTGCCAAGAAATCTAAATATTTGTGCACTAAGCCTGGATAACTGAAATTTCCTGGAGGGAATGTATATGTATAAGTTTTTAGAAAAATGATTAAATGAAGAAATGGTTGCAATGATGTTAAATGATCTAGATTTTTCTAATATGGAGTCAATTTTGGACAAACAGGTGAAATTGATTGTCATCTTCAGTGCCTAGAATTCTATTTGTTGCCATATTTGGTATGCCTTCTCGTACTCAGCCATCCAAAACCTTCACATTCTTCTATAACCCTTTTTCTAAACCTATTTTTGGGTGCTTTGGTCATACTGAGGAGTCAGTTACTGATACCCGCTCAGATTAGTGAAAATCTTCCCAGTAGAATTTATAGGTGAATACATATAAAATCTTTTATTAGTACTATCTTTGTATTCCTAGCAAAGTCCCTGATTTTCATTAAATGAATAGTGAACAAACAAGAATTTAAAAGTAAATGATTAAATTGAAGACATAAAGGAAAAAGAAACAAGGAAGACGAATAGAAAGAAAGACAAACTAAAGGGGAAAATAAGAGAGTTCAACACTGAAATTTCTGGTCCTAACCATTGGGTAAGGAAAGACAGCAGGGAGATACTGATGTCTTCAAATATCTAGTGAAATTATACCACATATGTGGTCATCAATTGTGTTGATGGTTGTCATACATAAGAGTAATATACTACATTATAATGAAGAATGCAGTGAGAAGTCCTATGTTTTCTAGTTCTTTAATATTTTTGTGTAAAGCACCCATATGTGAAATATTATGAAACAAATCATCACCTAAAATTAGATGCCATTATCATTCATGGTGATACATGTATGTGTATTCACCAATGATATATCTGTAAAAAAATACAATTGAAAGCAAATGACTGAATTTAATATCTAGACATTTTGTAACAGTTATAATGCTTACTATAAGTCTATAGAATTCTGGGGATGGGGGCAATCTTCTTTACTTAATCCCATCATTTAGAAAACACACTTGAAATGTAGAAACTTTTTCTGAAACTGAATGTATGTGACCATCGATAATAATATTGGAATAAAGTTGTATCTTTCTATCCATCTCATACTGCAAAGCCAACTATATAGTATGGAAAATTTTCCTCTCTTTTCTGACTTACATTCATCTAATGACTTGCCTAGATTGGAAAAGCTATCTTATTTTTTTAAGCTTCCCTCCTCATGTCTTATTCAGCATACATTTTGAGGACAGCTGGAGAAGCACATAATGAGTTACATTAATAACTGAAGATGAAGAATGATGGGCATTCTTAAAGGTAGGGGGAGAGAAAAACTGAGAACATGCAGATGTTTGTGTGCAGCCAGGAGTAAATTAGCAATGCATGTAGTGTATCTAAGATCAGAGATGAAGACGTCATGAAAAGGAAGCCTGTGAATATGATTCTCAGCACCATAGCAACACCTGACATGCTGGAATGCCATTACCTTGAAGCCACACGGCCTATCAATGTAGTTACTCCACCTGGAGAAAAATGGGAGAAACACCCACTTAAACTTACTCGTTTTTTAAAAAACATCTCTAAGGGAATTTTAATCAATGGGAAGTTTGTTTTTACTAGAAAAATGTCAGGTAATGTAGAAGAAGCTAGTGCATCATTATCTAAGAGGGAAGGCACAGAAGGGGAAAGAAGAACTTGAAAGGAAAATAAATTTAATTTTCCATGGAAAGTGGGAAGGAGATAAAAGTAAGAATTTGACTTGTTTTCTATCATAAGCAATATTTCATAAGAAAATGATAATCCCTTGTTAAATGACATAAAAATAATATAAAATTACTCATAAAATAATTGTAAAAAAGACTTGCAACAAGTAAACTTTGATAAGCCTTGCTGTTTTCCATATCTTTTACTTTTCTGCTTTTAGTGTTTCTGTTTTCTATAATGCATTTGTGCCCCTAAATTCAATATTATCTTCCTAATTTTAACTATTCTGATTGAAACTATATTCCTTTCAATGCTCTATTTTCTTTAACCTAAGTATTTCTTGGTTTAGTAAGATTTTTCCTATGTCAAGGCAAAGATCTCTTCCTGCTCATTTAATCTAATGTACTACTAGACCAGATGTGAGCAAAGGGTTGGCGATAGATAATCATTTAAATTATTTAAATTGAACTCTCCATGAGTAGGGCATCAGATTACCACATCAGATTACTGCATAGCTATTACCAAAATCCATTTTCAGTTATACCTCCAGGCATTTTGCAGAGGTAAAGGATGGGAGCTGTTTTGCAGAGGGTATCAGTAATGTATATAGCTAAGAAATGACTATTTAAAGTTCGTAGTGTGGTACAAGGTATGTACTTTGTTTACGTCCCTGCCTGAATTAAACTACTAATTATATCCACTACGAACACAAGAGAATGCATTTGTAATGGAAAAGCTCTAATTAATATTCCTTTGTTTTGGTTCATTAAGGAGGAGACAATAATGATTTGAGACCAAATGAAAACATAATTTAAGAGGAAACCCAAAAATCAAGAAAAACATTAGTGATTGAAGAACACATGAAATAACATTACTCAGCAGAGAACTAGAAGATACTGGGATTAAAAAATGGATCTGGAACCCCTGTGAACAATGATTTTGGACTTTCTGAAAGAGCTTCCTCTTGCCTTCTAAGGCAGTTAGTTATTTACTCATTCCAGCACGCCAGAAACCATCATCCTCAAGTGGATCTCCTAAAGCATGCCTTGTCTTAAGCAAAGAGAACATGTAATGCACCATTATCATTTGCTACCTGTAACTGCACTTCTTTTTCATAGCTCTATCAGACACATTGGTGTGTTATAACATTCTGGTTGAACTCCAGTCATTCAAAATAATATACCATAGTCATAAGCCCTAGCAACAAGTGAGAAGAATCTTGCTGCTTACCCCAAATGGAGAGAGGTCATGGTAATTTAGTGACAGATATGAAAGCAGTCATAACTGACTGATATTCCTCCTAAAGAGAGTGTCTGAAGTGTTATGGCTATTCTGCCATGATACATCTAACAGACTAATTACTATACATTTCTGCTATTCCTCATGGGGAATAACAGTAGGCAGATCTGAAATATGTATCTGAAGATATTTACATTTTTAGTAGAAAATTAAAGTGAATGACTGCCTACATATGTAGTGTGGCAGAGCTGGATATGATTTTTGAAACATACCATACAAATACCATAAGCATAGACTGTTGGCAAGAGTTGCATGAGTGCATATCAAGAAGCTGGCAAAAATGTGTCTGACAAATTATTTCATGTACTAGCTTGATCAAAAGGTATTTGAAATGAACTTAGGTGTGGAGCTGAGAAATAAACAGATAAAAATGCAAATATGGACAATAGAAATAGCTATAAAAGGAAGTCATTTGATGAAGGAGAGATCCAGGAATTTCTCATAAACATTAAGATGATGAAATATGGGGAACAAATGTTATCACAGGTCTACAGACAAATACACTCAAGTCAGATAACAAAGTAAACAATATAGAAAAGGAAATGAATCTCATTAGATGCCATTGCAAAGGTACAATTTAGACTTGATTGAAATAGACTCATGACTAAAATCCATCACTAAGAAAATATGCAATGTTTAAACACAAAAAGTTTTAATAAAAGAATAAATTTGTATTTATATAATAAATATCCATAAAACTGAATATGGTAATATGGTGAAGACTATTTGTTTATGAATAGAAATAAAAAGAACCAGAGCAGTTTTCATAAGGAAAGAAACTATACATTTCCTGGCAGAATTAATGATGTGGACAATGCTTTTCTAAGGTGAACCACAGAATGGACACAGAGAGTACGTTCTGATAAGAGGCTTCAAGAATTTCAGAAAACATCTGATTTTAACATGGTCCAAGATTGAAGTTTCCTATTCTTCTTTTAGAACATATCCAAAAGCAATTTGGAAAGCAAGCTCCATTTTTGATGAAATTAGGAGACAGTGGTAATCTCAAATCATAATATGTGAATAAAAAGGCTGCCAAACTTAATAAAGGACAAACTGAAATGCAAGAGGATCCTTAGAGGACGTCAGATATTGCATATCTCAGATACAACTGGTAAGACACAAATCTCTCAAGCAAGTGACATTTACTGAGGGCCAATACTTTTCTTTTTCAAAATAAGAGAATTGTGAGCACTGGCTGATGGTTGGAGTTTTTCTGAACCCAGTTAGCATGACAAAGAAGCTGGTAGGAAGAGGAGAATAAGAAATACAAGAAGCCCCATTTGCAATAGCAGTTAGGAAGCAAAGAGATGAAGGTGAGGGAATCTGCAAGGTGGCTCCAATCTCTGGTGGCCAAGACAAGTAAAGGCTAAGAAGACTAAGAGGACTTCTTGCTATTACAAGAAAGACTCACCACTTTCAAACTAATCAAAAAGGAACCAGCCAGTGCTCAACATCCCTAATCATGAGGAAAATGCAAATCAAAACCATGTGATATCACCTCACAATTGTTAGGGTGGCTACTATCAAAAGGACAGGACATAAATGTTGATGAGAGTGTGGAGAAAATGAAACCCTAGTACACTGCTATTGGGAATGTAGATTGGTGTAACCATTTTGGAAAGTGGTATAGAGATTCCTAAAAAGATAAAAATAGACCTACTGTATGACCCAGACATCCTTCTTCTGAGTGTATACCCAAAGGAGATGAAATCACTGCTTCATAAAGATATCTGCACTCTCATGTTCATTGCAGCATTATTCGCAATAGCCAAGATATTGAAACAACCTAAGTGTCTGCTGGTGGATGAATGGACTAAGCAAGCACACACGATGGAATATTATTCAGCCTTAAAAAAGAAAAAAATCCTGTCATTTGCCACAACATGGATGAACCTGGAGAACATTATGCTAAGTGAAATAAACTAGACACATAATGAATATTTCCTCATCTCACTTATTTTTGGAATCTTTAAAAAAGGTCAAATATGCAGAGATAGAGAATAAATAGTGACTACCAGGGGGTAAAAGGTTGGGATAGAAAATGGGGAGATGTAGGTCAAAGAACAAAAAGTATCAGATATGTAGAAAGAACAGGTCTAGATATGTAATGTACAACATGAGGACTATAAGTAATAAAATTCTATTTGGAATTTTTGTTAAATAAGTAGATTTTAGCTGCTACTGCCACAAAAAAGTAACTATGTGAGATGATAGATATGTTAATTTACTTCACTGCAGTAATCCTTTTACCAGCTATATAGCCCATAACATCATTATGTAAATCCTCAAATATGCATAATAAAATTTATTTAAAATTTTTTTTAAAATATAAAATAAAAGGAATGAATTAAGGATCTATATACAATGACTAAAAAATAAAGGAAGAAAGATATCAAGACATAAAGTAGAAACTATAACAAATATAATACTAAATTCAATGCGATAAATAGAAAAAACCTTTAATGAAATAGACTTTATTGGAAAACAAGAAGAGGTACAAGAACTCAAAGAAGATACGGCAAAATAACATAAGCTGGCAAAGTTTAGGAAAGAAGTGGCTTAGAAAACAAATTAAACTGTTACAGAGTTGAAGCCCACATTGGAAACAACATAATGGAGTATAAACCTAGCTGAAAACACAGTAATACATATATGAACGGCAGTGATGAAAACAAGCAAAATACAAGGTAAGACGACCATTACTGAAAAAAGATTCAAGGGACAATGTAAATATACAATACCAATAAAGGAGATCTAACATCTACATACTTGGTACCCCTAAAGAAGAAAACCAAAATTATCAAAAATAAAAAAATCAAAAATATAATTCAAAGATACTCTCTGGAAATAAAAGGGCCTACCATGTCAGAGGAAAACCTGACACAAAAAGATCAAAGCCGAGGCATATCCTAATGAAGTTATTGGACTTCAAAATTAAAGAATTCTTGTAATATCCAGACAAAAAGATATGTCACTTATAAGGGAAAAATAATTAAGTGGGCTTCATATATCTTCATAGTGATAGCTCATGCTGGAGGGCGATGTTGGCAACTAGTAGAACAAGATTAAAATTTATCTAAATCAGCAATGAAAATATATAAGGGTATAGCTAATTAAATAAACAGACCACATACTGATTCTGACATATATATATATCACATTTTTCATATATATGTAAAAACAGAAAGAATAATATAATTATAATATAGAATATAATATATAATATAGAATAATATAATAATAATATAGAATAATATAAATTAAAATCAATGGATAAAGACTAAAGTAGTGTAATATCAATGTGAATTGATTAAACTATAATATTAAAAGTAAACAGTCCTTATATCAGCTTCCAAAGCCAGGACCAAGCTACATTCTGTGTACGCATGCTGCACATAAAACACAAGTGATCAGAAAGTTGGGAAGTACAAGGGTGAATAAAGACATAGCCAAATGCACCAAGGGGGAAAGCAGGAGTCATGGATCTAATGATAGGCAGGGTTGAATTCAAAATGTAATCAAACAAAGAGCACCTTACAATGAAGACACAATAGTTTTAAATATATACCTACATTTCTAACCAGTACACTGAATACGAATACCAAAACACAACACAATATAGCATTGGCATTAATAAAACAAAGATTATAGGACTAATAAGCTAAAATAGAGAAACAGTACCTGTAGGAAACTAATTCACTTTTCCAAACCCATGAAGAACAAGGACTCAACTAGAAGCAAGGATAACAGTAACACTATCTAACCACTTTTAAGTCTTACTATGCACCAAACATGAATTTAAGTGGGTTATACATGCTAATGGATTTAATCTTTTTAAAAAACTAATGAGGCAAGAACTCTAATCACAACCAGTTTAAAGATGAGGAAAATAAAACACAGAGAGGTCAACTATCTTGTTCAAGGTAAAATAGTAAATAGGAAAGTTAGCAACTTGAACTTCACGAGAACGTCTTTATGGTTTGCTCTCTTAACTACAACTGCCTCTCCTGTAGAAAGAGGTAAGTTAAGTAATGACGACGTAGGTCTGTTTGTTATATATCAAACTTTTTGCCTGAATACCTTCTTTGCAAATGCACATTTGTCCCAGATATTGAACACAGTTTACTAGATCACAAAAATATCTCAAAACATTCTCCAAGCAGATACAGTATAGAATACAGTAAATCTGATCACAATTCAGTAAATCTGAAACCTATATTTTAAAAAGGTAATTTAAAAAATTACAGCATATATAAGTTGTAAAAGAACTTTCTCTTACATTACTTTTTAGACACAGAGGAAATCAAAATTGACATAAAATGTATTTTGATATGTATACTGATTTAAATCGGTACCAGAAATAAAAGTCCCTGTGCCACTATCTAAAGCTAATTTTTTCCTCTGTACCTTAGATCATATCACCCCAGCATTCTCAGAAATAATCTGTTGATTATCCCTTGTCTCCTGTATATATATTCAAACCCATTTTGTAATGGCTGCTTTCCAGGGGCTTTTAAATATGGACAAGATTTTCTCATAGAAGAGTCTACCTTTCAAACTCTTCAGCTGTTTATCTATCTATCGATCGATCGATCTATCTATCTATCTATTTATCTATCTATATCTGTTTATCTGTTTCTATTCTCTCTCTCTCTCTCTCTCTCTCTGTCATCTATATATCCATCAATTTGAGACAAGATCTCACTCTGTTGCCCAGGCTAGAGTGCAGTGGCACAATCATAGCTCACTGCAGCCTTAAACTTCTGTGCTCAAGCCATCCTCCCACCACAGCCTCCTGAGTAGCTAGGATGACAGATGCTTGCCACCATGCCCAAATAATACTTAACTTTCTTTTTACAGGCAGGTTCTTGCTATGTTGCTCAGACTAGTCTCAAACTCCTGGCCCTATGTTGCTCAGAGTAGTCTCGAACTCCTGGACCTTCATCTCCCTTTCACAGCCAAACTTCTTAAATGAGTTGAAAATATTTAATATCACAGGCTTGATATTTCTCAACTCACAGAAATCTGGCTTTCTGTCTCATGTATACTCTAAAACAGCTTTCAGTTATATTACTTTGAAACAACTCAACAACCATCTTCATGTTGCTAAATGAACATTTCACAGCCTTCCCCATTTCTTAGTCACATGAATGCTATTGGCCATACCTTCCTTTAAAAAAAAAGTTATTTTTTATT
The DNA here is from genome assembly GCF_000001405.40 of Homo sapiens. Taxonomy (NCBI): domain Eukaryota; kingdom Metazoa; phylum Chordata; class Mammalia; order Primates; family Hominidae; genus Homo; species Homo sapiens. The sequence continues at coordinate 199,252,932 of NC_000001.11, forward strand.
TCAATAGGTTTTGGAGGAACAGGTCATGTTTGGTTACATGGATAAGTTCCTTAGTTGTAATTTCTGAGATTTTGGTGCACCCATCACCCTCCCCAAGCAGTGTACACTGTACCCAATGTGTAGTCTTTGATTCCTCACCCCTCCCACCTTTTCCCCTGAGTCCCCAAAGTCCATTGTATCATTCTTATGCCTTTATGAACTTATAGCTTAGCTCCTAATTACGAGTGAGAACATAAGATGTTTGGTTTTCCATCCCTCGATTACTTCACTTAGACTAGTAGTCTCCAATTTCATCCAGGTTGCTGCAAATGCCATTATTTTATTCCTTTTATGGCTGAGTAGCATTCCATTTTATATATATATGTGTGTGTGTGTGTGTGTATGTGTATATATATATATGTGTGTGTATATATATATGTGTGTATATATATATGTATCACATTTTCTTTATCCACTCATTGATTGATGAGCATTTGGGCTGGTTCCATGTTTTTCCAATTGCAAATTGTGCTGCTATAAACAAGCATATGCAGGTATCTTTTCATATAATAACATCTTTTCGTCTGGGTAGATACCTAGTAGTGGGATTGCTAAACCAAATGGTAGATCTACTTTTAGTTCTTTAAGGAATCTCCACACTGTTTTCCATAGTGGTTGTACGAGTTTATATTCCCACCAACAGTGTAAAAGTCTTCTCTTTTCACCACATCTACACCAACATTTATTATTTTTTGGCTTTTTGATTATGGCCATTCTTTCAGGAGTGAGGTGGTATCACATTCCGGTTTTAATTTGCATTTCCCTGATAATTAGTGATGTTGAGCATATTTTCCATATGCTTGCTGGCCATTTGTATATCTTCCTTTGAGTGTTGTCTGTTCATGTACTTAGCCCACTGTTGCATGGGATTGTTTGTTTGTTTTTTCTTGCTGATTTGAGTTCTTTGTAGATTCTGGTTATTAGAATATAGAAAACACTTAATCTTTTTCAGATGTATAGACTGTGAAGATTTTCTCCCACTCTGTGGGTTGTCTGTTAACTCCTGATTATTTCTTTTTCTGTACAGAAGCTTTTGGTTTAATAAGTCCCATCTATTTATTTTCGTTTTTGTTGCATTTGCTTTTGGGTTCTTGGTCATAAAGTCTTTGCCTAAGCCAATGTCTAGAAAGGTTTTTCCAATGTTATCTTCTAGAATTTTTATGGTTTCAGGCCTGAGATTTAAGTCCTTCATCAACCTTGGGTTGATTTTTCTATAAGGTGAGAGATGAGGATCCAATTTCATTCTCCTACTTGTGGCTTGCCGATTATCCCAGCACCACTTGTTGAATAGGGTGTTCTTTCCCCACTTCATGTTTTTGTTTGCTTTGTTGAAGAGCAGTTGGCTGTAAGGATTTGGGTTTATTTCTGGGTTCTTTATTATGTTCCATTGGTCTATGTGCCTATTTTTATACCAATACCATGCTGTTTTGGTGATGATAGCCTTACAGCATAGTTTGAAGTTGAGTAATGTGATGCCTCCAGATTTGTTCTTTTTATTAGTCTTGCTTTGGCTATGTGGGCTCTTTTTTGGGTCCATATGAATTTTAGGATTGCTTTTTCTTGTTCTGTGAAGAAAAATGGTGGCATTTTGATGGAAATTGCATTGAATTTGTAGATTGCATTTGGCAGTAAGGTCATTTTTACAATATTGATTCTACCCATCCATGAGCATGGGATGTGTTTCCATTTGTTTCTGTCATCTATGATTTCTTTCAGCAGTGTTTTGTAGTTTTCCTTGTAGAGGTCTTTCACTTCCTTAGTAAGGTATATTCCTAAGTATTTTAATTTCTTTTTACAGCTATTGTAGAAGGGGGTGGGTTCTTAATCTGGTTCTCAGCTTGGTTGCCATTGGTGTATACCAGAGCTACTGATTTGTGTACATTAATTTTGTATCCTGAAACTTTGCTGAATTCATTTACCAGTTCTAGGAGCATTTTGGGTGAGTCCTTAGGGTTTTCTAGGTATACAACAGTAACATCAGTGAACAGTGACAGTTTGATTTCCTCATTGCCAATTTGGATGTCCTTGATTTCTTTTGTCTGATTCCTCTAAGACTTCCAGTGCTATGTTGCATGGAAGTGGTGAAAGTAGGCATCCTTGTCTTCCTTGTCTTCCAGTTCTCAGAGAGAATGCTTTCTACTTTTTCTCTTTCATTATAATGTTGGCTGTGGGTTTGTCATAGATGGCTTTTATTACTTTAAGGTATGTCCCTTTTATGCCAATTTTACTGAAGGTTTTAATCAAAAAGGGATGCTGGATTTTGTCTAGCTGGATTTTGTAAGATGTTTTTTCTGCATCTATTGTGACGATCATGTGATTTTTGTTTTTAATTCCATTTTTGTGGTGTATTACATTTATTGACTTGCAGATGTTAAACCATTCCTGCATCCCTGGTATAATACCCACTTGATAATGGTGGATTATCTTTTAGATATGCTGTTGGATTTCATTAGCTAGTATTTTGTTGAGGATTTTTGCATCTATGTTCATCAAGGATATTGGTCTGCAGTTTTCTTTTGTTGTTATATCCTTCCCTGGTTTTGGTATTAGGGTGATACTGACTTCACAGAATGATTTGGGGAGGATTCCCTCTTTATCCTGTGGAATAGTGTTTACAGGATTGGTACCAATTTGTCTTTGAATGTCTGATAGAATTCAGCTGTGAATCCGTCTGGTCCTGGACGTTTTTTTGCTGGCAACTTTAAAATTACCATTTCAATCTCTCTGCTTGTTATTGGTCTCTTCCAAGTTTCTATATCTTCCTGGTTTAATATAGGAGGGTTGTATATTTCCAGGAATTTATCCATCTCCCCCAGATTTTCTAGTTTAAGCATGTAAAGGTGTTCATAGTAGCCTTGAACACTCTTTTGTATTTCTGTGGTATTAGTAGTAATATCTCCCATTTTGTTTCTAATTGAGCTTATTTGGATCTTATGTCTTCCATTCTTGGTTAATCTCACTAATGGTCTATCAATTTTATTTATTTTTTCAAAGAACCAGCTTTTTGTTTACTTTTTTTTTGTATTTTTTTGTTGTTTCAATTTCATTTAGTTCTGCTCTGATCTTTGTTATTTCTTTTCTTCTGCAGAGTTTGGGTTTGGCTTGTTCTTGTTTCTCCAGTTCCATGAGATGTGACCTTAGACTGTTTATTTGTGCTCTTTCAGACTTTTTGATGTAGGCATTTAATGCTATGAACTTTCCTCTTGGCACCACTTTAGCTGTATCCCAGAGGTTTTGATATGTCATGTCACTATTATCATTCAGTTCAAATAATTTTTAAATTTCCATCTCAATTTCATTGTTAACCCAGTGATCATTCAGGAACAAGTTATTTAATTTCCATGTATTTGCATGATTTTGAGGGTTCCTTTTTGAGTTGATTTCCAATTTTATTCCACTGTGGTCTGAGAAAGCACTTGATATAATATCAGTTTTCTTAACACTTGTTTTGTGGCCTATCATATCGTCTATCTTGGAGAAAGTTCCATGCACTGAAGAATAGAATTTATATTCTGCGATTGTTGGGTAGAATGTTCCATAAATATCTGTTAAGTCCATTTGTTCTAGGGTATAGTTTAAATCCATTGTTTCTTTGCTGACTTTCTGTCTTGATGACCTGTCTAGTGCTGTCAGGGGAGTATTGAAGTCCCCTACTATCACTGTGTTGCTGTCTATCTCATTTCTTAGGTCTACTAGTAATGGTTCTATAAATTTGAGAGCTCCAGTGTTAGGTGCATATATATTTAGGATTGTGATATTTCCCTTTTATCATTATATAATGTCTGATATGGTTTGGCTGTGTCCTCACCCAAATCTCATCTTGAATTCCTACATGTTGTGGGAGGGACCTGGTGGGAGGTAATTGAATCATGAGGGCAGGTCTTTCCTGAGCTGTTCTCATGATAGTGAATAAGTCTCATGAGATCTGATGGTTCCATAAGGGGGAGTTTCCCTGCACAAGTTTTCTCTCTTTGTCTGCTGCCATCCATGTAAGATGTGACTTGTTCCTCCTTGCCTTCTGCCATGATTGTGAGGCCTCCCCAGCCACGTGGAACTGTAAGTCCATTAAACCCTTTTTCCTGTATAAATTACAGTCTCGGGTATGTCTTTATCAGCAGCATAAAAACGGATTAATACAATGTCCCTCTTTGTCTTTTTTAACTGCTGCTGCTTTAAAGTTTGTTTTGTCTGATTTAAGAATAGCTAGCTACTCCTGCTCACTTTGGTGTCCATTTGCATGGAATGTCCTTTTCTACCCCTTTACCTTAAGTTTATGTGAGTCCTTGTGTTTTAGGTGAGTCTTTTGAAGGCAGGGGATACTTGGTTGGTGAATTCTTATCCATTCTGCAATTCTGTATCTTGTAAGTGGAGCATTTAGGCCATTTACATTCAATGTTAGTATTGAGATGTGAGGTACTATTCCATTCATTGTGCTATTTGTTGCCTGAAAACCTTGGGGTTATTTATGTATTTATTTATTGTATTTTTGTTTTATAGGTCCTGTGAGATTCGTGTTTTAAAGAGGTTCTGTTTTAATGTGTTTCCAGATTTGTTTCAAGATTTAGAACGCCTTTAGCAGTTCTTATAGTGCTGGCTTGGTTGTGGTGAATTCTCTCAGCTTTTGTTTTTGTGAAAAACACTGCATTTTTCCTTCATTTAGAAGCTTAGTTTTGCCGGATACAAAATTCTTGGCTGATAATTGTTTTGTTTAAGGAGACTTAAGATAGGGCCCCAATCCCTTCTAGCTTGTAGGGTTTCTGCTGAGAAATCTGCTGTGAATCTGATAGGTTTTCCTTTACAGATTACCCGGTGCTTTTGCCTCACAGCTCTTGAGATTCTTTCTTTCATCTTGACTTGAGATAAACTGATGACTATGTGCCTAGGCGATGATCTTTTTATGATGAATTTCCCAGGTGTTCTCTGAGTTTCTTGTATTTGGATGTCTGGATTCCTAGCAAGGCCACAAAAGTTTTCCTCAATTATTCCCCCAATTATATTTTCCAAACTTTTAGATTTCTTTTCTCCCTCAGGAATGCCAATTATTCTTAGGTTTGGTCATTTAACATAATCCCAAACTTCTGGAGGCTTTGTTCATTTCTTAAAACTCTTTATTTCTTTGTCTTTGTTGGATTGGGTTACTTCTAAAACCTTGTCTTCCAGCTCTGAAGTTCTTTCTTTTGCTTGTTCAGTTCTATTGCTCTGACTTTCCAGTGCATTTTGCATTTCTCTAAGTTTGTCCTTGATTTCCAGAAGTTGTGATTGTTTTTGTTTTTTATTTATGCTATCTATTTCACTCAAGAATTTTCCTGTTATAGGCTGTATCATGTTTTTTTATTTCTTTAAGTTGGACTTTGCCTTTCTCTGGTGCCTCCTTGACTAACTTAATAATCAACCTCCTGAATTATTTTTCTCGCAATTCAGAGGTTTCATCTTGGTTTGGATCATTGCTGGTGAGCTGATATGATCTTTTAGGGGTGTTAAAGAAACTTGTTTTGTCATATTACCAGAATTGTTTATCTAGTTCCTTCTTATTTGGGTAGACTATATCAGAGGAAAAATCTGGGACTCAAGGGCTGCTGTTCAGATTCTTTTGTCCCACGGAGTCACTGGGTTTCAGATGTATATACAAAACTGCCTAGTTTGAATGACAGCTCAAATTCAATATGTATAAAATCAAACTTAGCCTCTTCCTCTTCTATTGTCTTAGTGAAAGATACTTTCACTAACTCAGTTGCTGAAGCCAGAACTAAGAAGCCATCCTTGACAACTCTCTCTCCCTATACCTTCCCATGTTCAATCTATTACGAAACTCTGTTGATTTTATCCCCTAAGTATACTTTATATCTATCTAATTCTCTTCATATTCACTATTGCTTCTATAATTCAAAATTAAATGATTATAAAGTACTTAACACATATTACTAAATTCTGGACAATAATACTTAATAAAATATGCAAAATATAAAGTAAAATAACACATGAATCCACTTGCCATTTTCTTAATTTCAAAAAAAAAATATATATATATATACCAATGCTCAGCCCAAGTGCTGCTTGTGGGGGAAAATTCAAGTTTAAATCCAAGGCATCATAGAGGACACAATGTGATTGAAACAAATTTAACAAACTCAACTTATTAGAAAATGGAAGGTTCATCATTCCTGTGTTTGGCAGCCCTCATAAAACCTTTCCTGTTACCTTAGTGGAGGTGGAATTTGGAAATTTTGTTTAGAAGGAGCAATAGGAAGTAGAAGGTTTTAGGTTCAAATACATCTCTCTAATTTGCAAAGTAATTTATGAATGTTTAATTGTCATCTCAAGAGGTAAATGTATCCTGAACATAAAGAGAAGAAATAATTTTATTGGAAAGCTCCATGTATAACACAATCCCTTCTTCACTCAACAGCATCATTTAGCATTCAAGTCGACAACAAAGACCTGATACATTTTAGCTTCAAAGTTTTGCTCTTAACCACTGTGCTCTACTATACTACCTGCCATTCAAAATAACAACTTGTGAACCAAAAACAAGGATCAGAGACAAGGCAGAAAATAGTGTCATCAACTGTTGAATATGCCATGCAGGGTTGATAGGACTTAGTCTTCAGCTCATGGGAAACATGTCCTTGGCTGTCCAAAAATAATACATCCTTTTGGTAACAGTCAAGATAGGCTGCCTCAGTAAAAACAGCCCTCAGGTTTTCAGTGATTTAAACAGCAACGGCTTTATTTCTCATTACCACTCTACAAGTTCATTGTTGTTCTCTTTTAGAAAGTGAAGCTAAGGAAGCCTCAATCTCTTTGATTTCACCATTGCTGAAGCAGGAAAAAAGGGAGATGACAAAAGTGTCCTGACTTAAAGTTTCTGTCTAGAAATGACATAAATCATGTCTACTCACATGGTCCTTTCCAAAGCAAATCCTCACAAAAGGGGTAGGAAAATGTAATTCTACCTTGTGCCTGGAAGGAGCAGAGTAAGGCATATTTGATGAATGAAACTAATACCTCGAAAAGACCTTGAATCGGAGGACAGAGTTAAGCCATACCCAGTTTCCTGACCCACAGAAACTGTGAGATAATATATGTTAAGTCAGTTAAAAACAAACAAATAAACCAACAAACAGAAAAAACTAATGACTACAGTAATAACCACAACTTTACAGAATATTGGGGTCCTAAATCAGAATGTTGTTGCAACATCCAGTGAAAGATAGGGAGGCCCGAAGTCTACCCTGTGTATATTCCTGTGTGCTGTCTAACCTGTGGCTGCTCTGTGCATCAGGACAAGCATGGTAATAAGCTGAGTATGAGTTGAAAGTTGCTTGGTACTCACCAAGGTAGGGCAATGGGAATCAGTTACCTGGTTCAGACATTTCATAATTTTCAATGGAGATAATTTAAAACACCCATTTCCACGTTGTATTTTACCATGGATAGAATAGATTAAACCTCTGACATTCTCTCCCCTGGATATTGTTGGCACAAACACCTCACTCTTTCTTATGAATGTCCCTCAAATCTGCAAATCTACATTATTCTGGAAGTTAATTATTTTGCTGATCAGGCCAATGGTGAACAAAATTTTCTCTGGTCACCAAATTCACCAGGCAATGCTTTTTTTTTTTTTTTTTTTCCTATGGGTTAGGGTTGACACAAACCCAGTACTGAGAGTTCAACTGTCTTCTCAGCCTTAGCCTAGGAAGGTCAGGATGAAATACTCCAGATTCAAATGTGTGCCTAGACCAGTCCTCTAAACCAAGGGTAATGTAGAGGAGACTGTAGAAACTGGGCTTCACATACAAACAAATAATTTATTTGGACTGTTGTAAAAGCATTAAGCTAATCCTTAGGAAATAGGGAGGTATCACAGCTGTCACTTGAAAATCTGTCACCTCATGAGGGGAGCCTCATTATTACAGAGTATTTTACTCTTATCATTAAAGAAAATGGGCCATACCATTCCTCAGGAGGCTGTCCTAACTCATTCTGTGTGTCCTTGGACAGCCTAAGGCCATAATCCTCACCTTGCTGAACCTGAGAGATCGGGGGTAGGAGGAGCACAGGCTTCCTACCTCAATCTTACTCATATGTTTTATGTTTTAAGCAGTCTCTGCAGTGGAAAGGTGCCATACTTCTGTGCACTTGTTATGGGTAGAATTGTGCCACTCCAAAACGTTATCAAAGTCTTAACTCCCAGCACCTGTCCATGTGACCTACTTGGAATTATGATCTTTACAGATGATCAAGTTAAGATGAGGTTATTAGTGTGGAGCCTAATCTAATGTGATTGATGTCCTTCTAAAAAACAGAAATTTGGACACAGCAGCAGACATGCATTCAGAGAGAACAGGCAGGTGAACATGAAGGCAGAGATCAAGATGATGTATTTACAAGGCAAAAAATACCAAAGATCGCCGGTAAACCCCAGAAGCTAGGAGAATAGGCATGAGACAAATTCAGTCTCTGGGGATGGTGGGGGACCAGACTCAGCCCTCAGAAGGAATCAGCCCTGCCAACACCTCGATCTCAGCCTTCCAACCTTCAGAACTGTGAGACAATACATTTCTATTGCGTAAACTACCCAGTTAGTGGTATTTTGTTTCAGCAGCCCTAAGAAATTAACACAGCACTGCAAGTCCATGTCTCCCTGAAGATGCTAGGCCTGATAACATTGAGATTTCATTTGCCTGGAGTTCATTTTCTTAAAAAAAGCTGTCTAGGCCCATCCAATGATTTCAGTTAATCCTGCTTTGAAGTCCTATATTTTTCCTTCAGAGACCAGATTTTTCTGTCTCACATACTGAGATCCAATAATATCACTATTTCAATAAATATGGAAAATTTTCCTGAAACAGGACTCTTTGATGACATAATTATAGAAATCTCTATGAAAAAAACAAAAAATACTCAGTAATATGAAAATTGAAATTATATTGGTGACAGTCTATTGCACACAGCATGCTTGAGATTATATGAGCCAATGAATTTAGCTATGAATGTTTAAAAGGCCTTGTCCCATTTAAAACAGTTTGGAAAAGCAATGGATTGCATTAAACAATATAATAATATGAAAAGATTAATATTATCCAGATTACTAAACTAATACTGAAGAAATTCTCTTTAAATAGAAGTATTCTAGAAAGTTTCTAGAAAAAAATTCCATTGGTTATAGTTTTTGTGTTTAAAGTCCTCTCTACTCCATGGAATGTAAACTTATCTGCAGGTTTCATTCAAAATTACATAAAGCAGTATAAATAAATATGTCTATTACAAATATTTTATTGCTATGTCTTTATGGATGGTTTCAGGGAGAAGAAATCCTGTGGACTGTAGATTGTGTTTAGTACAGGAGGCATTTTCCCCAAATCTGAGTTTCTCTTTTCAAATCACTACTGGAGACCACTTGTTAAGTATCAGATTGTGATAATCGGATCAAAAAATAAAATATGTGTGTTTACTCAATCTAGTGTACATCAAGACTCTCTCTCTCTGGCCTGCCCATGCAGTCAGAGTCCTGAGTGCCAGTATGTGGCCCACCACTGGCAATCCCACTGTCTGCTGCCTGGCTTCCCCCCAGAATTAAAGCAGCCACTCACCTGGCTCTGTGTATTGGTTGAGGAGGCAGGACTTCACTGGCTGGGATTAGCCTCTATGAACTGACAATTTACTACTTGTATGACCTGAGTTGAGTCACCATATGAAAACTGAGGATAATAATAGTATCTACTGTTATGGGTTTTATGATGATTAAATGAGATAATATAAAACGATTAACACACTTCAAGGTATATAGTAAGCACTGAAATGTATCAACTCAAATTATCATCCAATATTTACTAATCTCCCATCTTGTCAGCCACTGTGCTGGGCTGGAGGGACCTGAAATGAGTTCATCATTGGCATGAATTAATCACAAGCTCAGCCGTTTCAAGGAAATATTTGTGCCTAACACATTAGATTGTAACTTTTCTTGTATATTACAAAACCAGAGCTTAAGTTTTATCACAGATGTAGACTAATAAAAGTATGTTCATAGAAAAATGAGTGGCAGGACACTGTAGTGGCTGAAAGCATGAGCTCAAACCAGACTGCCTGGGCTTGGATCTCAGCACCTTTGCTACTTTGTGTAATCTTGGGCTTATTTATCTTCTCCGTACTTTAGTTCCCACATTTATTAAAGAAGAGATTATAATACTACCTACCTCACAGGATTATGCAGAGAGATAAACAAATGTACAAAAGTAAATGTAAACAAAAGCAAAATGCCAAGAACAATCTGGGCACATAGAGAGTGTGTTACGAAGTGTCTGCTAGCTCTATTGTGGACTAAATCAAAGGCTACACACAGAGGAGATACAATTAAGTCATCCTGAGGAGAATAAGGACTTCTGAAAGAAGTTTGAGAAGGGTTTGGAGGAATAACTAGAAAATGGGCTGGGCACCGTGGCTCCTGCCTGTAATTGCAACACTTTGGGAGGTGGAGGTGGGAGGATAGCTTGAGCCCAGGAGTTCAGGGCTGCAGTAAGCTATTATAGCGCCACTGCACTCCAGCATGGGGAGAAGAGCAAGACTCTGTCTCAAAAAAAAAAAAAAAAAAAAAAAAAAAGAAGAAGAAGAAAAAAAGGAAATGGGCAGGTGCAGACTTAGGAGAAAGGATGTAATGCATTTTGGATAGAAGACAGTGTGTGCAAAGGCAGACTTTGAATAATGTAGTGTAAAGCAATAGCAAATAATTCCATGGTTTTGGAGCATAGGAAGCTCAGTGCAAGAGGTAGATGGTAGGAATTTATGTTAAGAAGCAGATACCAAATAGATACACTGCAGAATGAACATTGTATGATCCCCTCAGAAGTGCAAATTTTATTTCATTAGTGATGGGGGTACCACCAAAGGTGTTAGGGCAGGAAAAATGCATGTTGAGTTATTATTCAGTAAATATTTATTGAGTGCCTTTTATTTTAAGCAACGTGGATACAGAGAGTAATAAGTGAGACCAGTTCCTTTTTGTTCAGAAATCTGCATTACAGTAATGGCAGAAAGAAAATAAACAATGTGAAAATATATTAAGAAAATGTTCGATTACATAATTACAGAGGATGAGGATGATACGATGGATCACAGGGAATTGGGACTTTTTATACTGAGTGGTCAAGAAAAGACTCTCTGAGAATATAATATCTGGGCTAAGACCAGAAGAAAGAGCAGGAGGCTTCCATACAGGGAGAGAAAGGGATCAGGCCAAGGGAAGAGAACAGCAAGCATGCAGGCCTTGAGGTAGCAAAATGCCCAGTGTGTTCAAGGAACAAAAACGAGGCCTCCTATGGCTGGAGCCAAATGAGCAATGCGTGTGGTAGAGACAACAGCTGCCCATCAAAGATCTGTGCTTCCCCTTCATAGTGTGGAATTATAGCTAGAAAGCCACTGTCCAACCAGTCAGTCACCTCCCTCCCCTCTTGCATCTTGATGGGGCCATGCGACTAGCTTCAATTTGTCAGCTGAGTATCCCCAGGTCAAACCTGGAAGCTTCTTATTGAGGGTGGAAGAGCTTAGTCAGGCTGGGTTTCTGAATGACTGGTTGGAACAGAATCCTGTTGTCCTACCTTAGATTGCTAAATGAGCAAGAAATTAGCCTTTTTGTGTGTTAAGCACTAAAATATTGTTTGTTATAGCAGATAGCAATACCTTAACTAGTATATGGGGTAACTGGTATAAACTGAGGTCAGAGAAAGACTAGATCAGGTAAGGTTTTATAGATCTCAGCAAGGAATTCAGAGCTGTATTTTCAGGTATCTCTGTGAACAGTGTCCTATAAAAACCTCAAACTCACATAATAACTGAACTTACCATTTTTCCTCACCCCTACTTGCTTTCCCTCCTGTATTTCCTCTTTGTTGTGAATATAAAATTATTGAAACTTACTGATTCTCTACAGAAGAGAGAAAGATTAAAGGAAGGAGAACACAGTGAGAAGAATACATACAGGAAGCATCTCCATGAGAGAAGAAAGCAGTGTGGTATATCAAGAATTGCATTGACTTAATCTTTATTCTCAGACGTTTTGAATTCCAATCCTGGTTCTACCACTTACTGGCTGAAAAATGGTGGACCATTTACTTAATCTCTTGGAATGTCATTTCTATCACATATGTACTGGAATGTGTTCTAACCAGAGTTTCCATGTCTAGGCCAACAATTAGCCACAAGTGATAAATTGTAATTGACTGCTCTGATATAACTAAATGAGTCACAAGATATTATCTATTCAATTAAAAAAATTAAAAAATGTCAAAATATTTTAAATATGTCAGGGATTTTTCTTTCACTTTACTTAAAAACATATGTGATTCTGAAGATACTATGTATAGTAGCATACAGGATATATAGTATAGTATATATAGGTCTTATTTATTAAATTATTAAACGCATTTTTTCCTGGTCTCAAATCATGAATGGCCTTGGTGACCTCAGAGCTAGTGATTTCAGAACTTAATGTCAAGAAATATTTCGGTGTAAAGCTTGGGTAAAGCATTCCACCTTTTTCTACTATCTGGTGATTCATTTAAATGCCTCATATGTACAGTGACCATCCAGATCTCTGCAGTGTTAAGAGGCCCCACGGGTACACAAGCAGGGAGAGGTGTCTTTCCAACAATTCTGAGTTGCAGACAGAAAGTTTTGCTTTTAGAAAATTATATTTGGGATCCTAGAATTTAAGTTTATACCATTTTCTATTATCCAAGCCAGTGTTGTTATTTGGGAAACAACTGTTTAGCCAAGGACATTTGATAAATAAGTTGTCTTCGGTATCAGTTAAAAACCTAAGTAGTTCAGAAGGTAATTCCATCAGATAGCTGTTCTAAATGCTAATTAGAAATTTGTGTATATTTTACATTTCTGACTTTGGTTTACATACATTTTATTATTATATTAAACAATGCAGTTAACTATATAATCTTTTAGGGTTTCCTGGTACTAGTAATTTTCTTCATCTTTTTCCTTCTCCCTCATTCTCCTCCTTTGATCTTGCTCAGGTTAGCATAAAGAAATCTGGGTTTTCTTTGTGGCTTTTCTACTAAATTGTGATGCAAATGTGATCAAATTTGATTTTAAATCTCTGGACTTTGGTCTCTTCACCTATTGATTGTAAGACCTTTCTAAGCCTTAGTATACATACTTACATATATACATACATACATACATACATACATATCTATATATAGGTATAGACATAGGTATAGATTTTATTTTAAGAATGTCCATCATGGGCAAATGAACAGAGAGAGAGTAGAACAGAGTATATAAGAGCACATATTTTTGGAATCAAATGCAGCAAGCTCAAGCTCCATCTCTGCCAAGAACAAGTTGTGTGGCTTTGGCCAAATTACCCTCCCGAAGCCTTATTTCCATCAACTGTAGAATGTAGATAAAGACATTACCTAACTTATAAGGTTGTGCTTGTTAAGTAGTGAACTTACTTCAGTGCCTGAAAGAGAGTAAGTACCCTTAATTATTAGCTCTTGCAACTATTATTCATAGGGACCCTTCTGTGTATGGATCCACTGTGAAAAAAGTGAAAAAAGAAAAAAAGTCTACTGTGGGTAGGTTCAATTCCTGGAACACAGTTTAGCCAGCGAATGGCACCTTTGTGCCAAGGAATGAGCATCCCTCCCTTTGGGCACAAAATCCTATAGGAGGTCCCAATCATTAGGGGTAATTGCAAAGCAGACAGACTCAGTAGAACTGAACGTACCATGAAAGGAGGAGCAGTGAAATGAAAACACAGACACTTTGCAATCTAGAATGTTCTATCTTAAAATGTTGAAAGAGAAAGCAATTATTTTACACAACTCTCTCATCTAATTGAATCTCCTTCGTGTTATCTTTTAATCTGAGTAGGTTAGAGAAAAAGAAATGATAGTAAGAGCAATATGTCTATTACTGATGAACCTAATGAACTAGAAATTTTGCTGTACAAATAAATGATGCAAACTGTAATCATTTTGAATTCAAAAAAGAAAATATTTCTGAATTATACTGTTTTCTTAATAAAAGTGCCAAGTTGAAAATAACACATAAGACAGGCATGGCTTATATGTGAAATACGAACATTGTCAAAGCACCTCACCCCGTTGTTTTCTGTAAAGAAAATAACTATTTATTTTTCCTGTTTCCTGATGATGCTGTGGTAGGTAGAATTCCTAAAATTCCCCCACCCAAAGATGTCCCACTCTAATTCCAGGAAGCCATGAATATGATGAGCTATCTCTTCCATAATGAGGCCATAATATATGGCACAGTTGACCTTAAAATACAGAGATTATCCAGGTGGGCCTGATACAATCACATGAATCCTTAAAAACAGAGAGATTTCTCCCACAGATGGCAGACTCCAAGAATAGGAGGAATTCGATGCAGCATTGCTGACTTGAAGATGGAAGGGACCACATGACCTGGAATATGGACAGTCTTTAAGAGCTGAGAGTAGACCTCAGTTTACAACCAGCCAGCAAACATAGACCTCAGTACTACAACTGCAGGGAATTGCACTCAGCCAACAGCTGAATGAGGCTGGAAGCAGATTCTTCCCTAGAGCCTCCAGTTAAGAAACCAACCCTGTGCACACCTGAATTTTGGTCTCATAATACTTGAGTAGTAGAGAATTTAGCCATGGTGGGTCAGACCTCTGACCTATAGAAACTATGAAATAATAGGTCCGTGCTGTTTAAAGCTGTGATGTTTGTGGTAGCTTGCCATCATGCATTCTCATCTAGAATCTTTATTAAAGGAAGATCTGTTTCCAAGATCATTCAGGTTGTTGGCAGAACTCATTTACAGCTTTGAGCAGTCTATCAGCTGGAGACCACCTGCAGTTCCTTTTGGGCAGCCTTTTAATTTCTCAACATGGCTGCTTATTTTATCAAGCTAGCAATGAGAGTCTCTCATTCCAGCTTGCCAAAGCAGAATCTCAGATAACATAATATAATCACAGGAATGATAGCCCAGCATCTTTGCCTGAAGACATACTACACTAAAGACAGGAGTGACATTCCATCACTTTTGCCATATTTTCTTGGAAGAAAGTCACAGGTTCCATTCACTTTGGAGTAGGGGATTATGGGCTGTAAACATGGGGACCACCCTAAGAGTAGTCTGCCATAGCCCATTTTCTGGTCTCAGTAATTTATACGTCTCCCACATGCAAAATACATTCCCTACTCCCAAGGTCCAAGAATCTCATCCCATTATATATCCACTAAAATTACAAAATTTCATTCTCTAAATCGAGTGCACGTGTGGATAAGGTCCCTGGTTATAATTCCTTCAGAACAGCTTCTAGGCACAATTCCTCACCATCTCTGGGTCTGTAAAACCAGAGAGACAAGTTATTTGCCTCAACATATCCAACATACAGTGGTGGAGCAGGCATAGGGTAACAGCTTCAGACACTCCAGTTCAAAAAGGGCAAAAAATAGAAGTGGAAAAACAATCACTGTTGGATAGCAGTTCAGAAACCCAGCTGGTTACACTCCAGCCAGGGTACCTTGATTAGGTTTCAAGGCCTGGAATAATCCTCCATGGCTTCTGGCTCTACATCTGGGTTCTTGATTCTATCTTTTTTGCTGTCCTTCCTTTTTCATAAAAGATACATGTTTACAGCTGAATAGTAATCAGCTGGAATCTGCCAGTAGAAATGTAGGGGTCCAGTAGCCTCCTTTCTTCCTTTCACTTTATTCTCTCTCTCTCTCTCTTTCCATCTCTCTCCCTCTTTCTCTCTTCCTCTATCTCTATCTCTATCTCTCTCTATCTGTATCTCTATCTCTATCTTTCTCAGTCCAAGCTTAGCAATGTTTCAGCTGAAATAATTTTCTCAATAACTTTGTGTGTTTCCTATGGCTTTTAATGGGGTTCACTCTCAGAAAAAAGCTCCATCCACACTTCTTTTTAAGACAAATTCTCCTTGCCAGGCATGGTGGCTCACACCTGTAATCCCAGCACTTTGGGAGGCCACGGTGGGTAGATCGCTTGAGGTCAGGAGTTTGAGACCAGCCTGGCCAACATGGTGAAACCTTGTCTCTACTAAAAGTACAAGAAAGAAAAAATTAGCTGGGCATGGTGGTCTGTGCCTGTAACCCCAGCTACTCAGGAGGCTGAGGCAAGAGAATTGCTGGAACCTGGGAGACGGAGGTTGCAGTAAGCCAAGATCACACCACTGCACTCCAGCCTGGGAAATAGAACGAGACTTCATCTCAAATAAAGAAATAAATAATAAAATAAAAAACAAATCCTTCCATACATCAGCCTCCTTCTGAGCTGTCTAAGGAACATCTCCATTCAATTTCCTAAAGACCCTTTGGTTTGATTGAGAGGATCTGAGAAGCATATCCTTAATTCTTGTGACTAAATACTCTGACTTCTTTATCTTTCCGAGGTTTCACCAAAAGTCTATACAGTCGCATTCTTGGCTCTTTCTCTAAAGCATGCTTTCCTGCCAGGAAAACATCTCCTCATGTTAGAATCTTTTACCCTCTGTAAAGGCTGGGAAGTTTCAAGTTATCAAATCCTGGTTTCTTTGTACTTAACAGTTCTTTCCTCAATTTATCTTTCTCTTCTTGCATTTTATTATAAGCGGTAAGAAGAAACCAAGCAGCCCAATGGCAATCCAACTGACCATTGCATGGAAATATCCTTAGCTATATATTCAACTTTGTCACTTACAAGTTCTGCCTTCCATGAAACTACAGGAGACAAGCTTTCTAACACTATATAATAGCAAGGATCCCATTCCTCCAGTTTCCAATGAAATATTCCTCATGTTCTTCTGAGCCCACACTATCAATATACTTGAAGTCCAGACTTCCATGAACAGTATGCTCAAGGCAAATTAGATTTTTCTATCATGCTGTTCAAAATTTTTCCAGGTTGTGCCCACTGACCAGTTCCAAAGCTGCTGTTACATGACAGGTATTTGTTATAGCAGTACTTTGCTTTGTTGGGGCTTAAAACACAATACTGCAAAGTAGGGCACTTTGACATGCTGAGTACTTTGAACTGAAGGAGATTGGAAGGACTTCAGAAGCAAGAAGTTTTCTCTGATCTTCTCCCATCCTCTTTTCTTCCATCATTTCTCCTACCCTCCTTTCTTCTTCCCTCATTTCTCCCACAAACTAGAGTCACAGAAATTAGAATTCCTCTTCCCCAGGGCAAGTCCTAGAAACTAGAACTCCTCACCCCCAGCACAAACCGTAAAACCTAGAGAGGTCATTCTCTGACCTACCTCCCTTCAAAGTAGGCCCTAAGACCCTCATTCCAGAAGGGTCCTGTTGCATACCTGGGTGAGGTATGCTAGAGGCCAAGAAGAATCTGAACAAACAGACCTTGCTAAGTCCCCCTCAGATAATTATTATTAGATCACGTCCTTTTATTCCAATCACATATTTACATGGCTGTCCCTTCTTCATTGAACCTAAACCTAAAATCGCACAGTTTTCCCTGGGCCTTTGAGTCTTCATTTCTGAATCTTCCTATGTCATGTAAAACTTTGATTAAATGAATTTGTCATGCTTTGTCTCTTGCTAACCTGTCATTTGTTATAGGAGTGTCAGCTGTGAACCTTCTAACAACACTCAGAAACCCAAATCTACATTTGTGTTCTACTGCTGTATAACAAATTACAACAAAATTAGCAGCTTAAGAGACATACATATTTGTTAGCTCACAGTGTCCATGGATCAGGAATCTAGGAAGGGCTTAGTTGGGTTCCCTGCTGAGCCTCATAGGCTGCAATTGAGGTGCTAGTAGGGCTATATTCTCATCGAGAGACTCTACTGGAAAACAGTCCAATTCAAAGCTCACTCAGGATATTGGCACAATCCGTTTCCTTGATGCCATATGATTGAGGGACTGGCTTTTGACCATCAGCTGCAAGGCTGCCTCAGGCTCTAGGAGCTGCCCTCAGCTCCAGAACCTCAGTTTCTGGCTATGTGAGTTTCCTTACTTGGAAGTAAGGAATGGCTTACATGGCTGTTTACTTCATCAACCTAGCAAGGAGAATCTCTTACTTCGGACTGAGAAGGGAGAATCCTCAACATAATGTAATCACAGAAATAACCCCTCACCTTTTCTAGATTCCACTGATTAGAAGCAAGTCACACATATCTGCTGCACTCAAGGGAAGAAGATTTATACAGGGTTTGGGCACGGGGGCCCTCTGCGGCCTGTCTGCCACACGGCATTTCTCCTTCATCCTCTTACTGTTATTGTTTGTACTATGTTGTTGGGATACAAGGACTTTGGATCATGAAGAATAAGGAGAGGAATGGAAATCTGAGTCTCCTTTTTTCCTTGAAATCTCTGCAGAAGTAGTTGAAACTACAAAAAAAAACAAAAAAAAAAAAACTGTATTTTCTGAAGTTCAGCTATCTATGTTGTTCCTGTGCCCCATTACCACAGGTAAATGAGATGACTACATTGAATTTTAAGTTTGCTAAAAGCCATCACATTCAGTACATGCTGTGAGTCCCACCCTTCAAGTTATTAAGACACTGTACATATCCTCCATAAAAGAGAGAAACATCTTTATTGGCTAAAGAGTTTAGTTTTGAACATTCTTCATAAAATGTATCTATACAAAAACAGATATTCTGCTAAAGCACAGCTACTGGTAATAGAGAACCAAATATGTTTGGGATCCAAAGATGATCCTCAAATGCACCATACAAAAAAAAAAATTGCCATTAGAAACCAAGAAATTGGGTTTCAGTCTATCAGTCGTTAATGGTATTATATAAGTT
The DNA here is from genome assembly GCF_000001405.40 of Homo sapiens. Taxonomy (NCBI): domain Eukaryota; kingdom Metazoa; phylum Chordata; class Mammalia; order Primates; family Hominidae; genus Homo; species Homo sapiens. Next base: position 199,271,762 of record NC_000001.11, read on the forward strand.
AGCTTAATTTTTAAACATTTGTTTTAAAAGCCCAAGGTCAGACCCATTTTAGAGATGCTCATGGATTTCTGAAAATAAGGTCTAAAGCATCAAGATGGTACCAGAATAGCCTTGTAGGATGGGCTCCGTCCCTCCTAAGTTTACGTGGTTACCTTGCTGTCTGGAACCTGGTAGAGGGCAGGCCCAGGTGGCCAGTAGACATTAGCCACCCCACACCCCTTCTTTCTCCCTTCTTCACTCATCTAATGTTTGTCGGGCACCTTTATTTCTGGTGACTCCTAGTAAAAAGTTTTGCACAAAGAGTATCTGTGTGGTAATTTCTGTGCTGTTCTAAGTTTTCTTAGCAGAAAAGTTTCATAGCACTAATAGGTTCTTTTTAGCCTTTTATTGTTTTGAGATCTGGTTACCAAGTGGCTTTGGCAGCAAGAAATGCCTGCAATCCTAGCTCTCAAGTGGAACATTTGAAGTCGAGGTTAAAAGTTCTCAAATAGCATTGCCGATTGCTTAACCATATTCAAATACCTTGTCTAAGTTCAGATGACTTTGTTTGCCAAGCAATTTTTATAAATTAGTATTGCTTATCTCAGTACAAAGTTGTGACACGAACAGTGCTATTTCTTCTATTGTTTTATACCTCTTAGTTTTGATTCTCTAACAGGATTGTAAATGTCAAATGTCTGTGTCATCACAGGCCATGTCTTCTTCTTAGGATGATGTGAGGCACATAGTAGGCTCTCAATAAATGCATTTATTGATAGAATATGTTTCTAACATTTTAATCTCACTTACTAGTCCCGCTTACTTGTTTCTGCTCTTAATTGTACAACTAAATCTACATTTACATTGAAAATTCTTTGAAATATATTCCATATTTTTTTCTTTGGCAAAGTGATCACTTTAGTGGTAGACTTCAAAGTAGAATAATGAAGTACAGTACATATCTTCTAATCTAGTCATGCAATTATAGCATTTCTTACAGTATTAACACTCTATCACTAGAAAATCCTCAGGCAATAATGACTAATAAGGAAAGCATTTCCTGGCAACTAATGACCGGCATGGGGGCGCTTGCTCTTGACCCAAAGCCAGCAGCCCTCAGCCCAGCTGGCTACTGCCTAAACCGGACATGCCAGGCCTCCCTCTGAGGTTACTGTGTATTTATTTATAAACTGTTAGTATAGTGACAAGAAATTTAAAATGAGACAATGTTTAGGTGCTGTTCAGAGGAAAGTACCTGTGGGTAGATCATGATACTTTTTTAGTTGTAATTACATGACTCAGATTATTCTTCCTCTCTGTGGGTGACATAATATATATTCAACATTTAGGACTTAAACATTAAATAAAATCTGCTTTTGGAAGCACAGAGAAGGTATAGAGGTGATAACAATAATATAGCTAGCACTTATTGAGCCTTTATAAGATGCCAAGTTCTATGATAAGCACTTTACATGCATTAATTGATTTAATCTTCATAATGAATCTGCAAGGTAAGTAAGAAGAAACAGAGGCACAAATAGGAGAAAATAACATGCCCCAAATCCATAAGTAGTAAGCAGTAGAGCCTGGATTTAAGGCAAGGCCTCCAACTTGATGCCAACTGCTATTCTGTGTTATTACAGTTCCAATAGCAAAACAAAGCAAAAACATTTAAGCCATTATTAACAAATTGTAAAATACCAGAAGTCTTGTATGTACTACTCTATATTGTTTCTCTATAAGATGGCCTCAAATTTTTTCGATAGAAAAATATTTGGAAGTTACGAAGTGTTCTTCAGTTAACTTAGATAACATCCAACAAATAAGACAAAATAAATGTTTAAAAAAAATAAAAAGTACATTGTCAGTGAGACTATTATCAGAGTCCATGAAAATGTTGAAATATATTTTCATCTTATGATAATAATATTGCAAGAAACTTACAGTTAAAATTTTGTAAGTACCTGTATGAGTAAAGAGGAATGAGAATGCACAGAGAGAAAGTTTTTCTTTCCAGAAATATTTCCCTTACAGTCTGGAAACTTCCTTCACCTTTTTTTCTTACCACAACACTGTCCACTAATTGGCAATTTACTTTAGTTAACAAATTTCCATTTTTGAAACACAAGTGCCCCTGGAGAGTCAAGATAGCCTCCTCATTAGTTACTCACATCAAGGTAAAAATTATTTCAATGAGCTTTCTCTTAATATGTAGCTTAATGTTTAGCCCTGGGGTAATTTGAGTTGCAAAAGATAGTTGGAATGGTGAGTGGAGAGCTGAGTTATTTTGAAACAGGAGAATATGAGTCGTAAGAGCTATTGTAAGACCCCACCACAGGGAAGCCTCAAGCAAGAATTGGAACATACGTGGGAACCAAGAAATAGAGATTAGAGGGAGAGCTTATCACATTTGCAAATGCAAACATTGTGACCTACAAATGCATTTAGAAGCAAGGGCTTATCCCTTTTCCAGACTCTAAGCACTGGGAAACAGGTGATAGTGATACCACAGCACTAAGAATGTCTCCTCCTACTTGGCCTGGTGTTGCTGGGCCAAAGCCAAAGCCTGGATCCCTGCTCCCTCCAGGTCCATCTACAGTGCCCTCTGCCACCTGTCACCTGCTACAGCCCATCAGGTGTTCTCCGTCCAGCTGCTTTCAAGGTCCAAAGTAATTGGCAGCTGAGTTCAGTACCTGAGAAATTGTATTGCCTTTTCTCTGTGTCTGGGACTTATTTTATTGCATTAAAAAAATTTAACAGTCTTAACTTGGCTCAGAGGAGTCTAGAACTACAGCACAGGGAATTTTTTTTAATCTAATGGGGCATAGGGTATAATGCAAACATATTCAGTTCTCTGCACTTATGGTGCAGTCTAGCACAAAGAAGGACTAGCCTCCTGACATTAGCATTTTAGCTACAGGGCTGTCACTTGTTGGTTCTTAACCTTTACTCTGCTACTATAGACCTAATGGATGAGGGTCACATATGCATCATAGTATGCCTATGGGCATACTGAATTTAAAAATAAAAAAAAATCTGATGTTATCTGATTTATCTATTTTTGTTTTTATTGACTGTGCTTATGATGTCATATTCAGAAAATTATTTCCAAGGCAAATGTCAAGAAGGATCTCCCCTATGTTTTCTTCTAGTAATTTTACCATTTCAAGTTTTATGTTTAAATCTTTAATCCACGTTGAGTTAGTTTTTGTGCATGGTGATAGAGATCCAATTTCTTTCCTTTTTTTGTTGTTGGTGCTTTTGTTTTTTTGTTTGTTTGTTTTTTGCATGTGGGTGTCCAATTTTCCCAATACCATTTGTTGAAGAGAACATTTTTCCCCATTGTGTGTTCTTGCTACCCTTGCAGAACATTAGTTAAGGGTAAATGTGTGGGTTTATTTCTGGGTTCTGAATTCTGTTCCATTGGTTCACGTGACTGTTTTCTATGACAGTGCCATATTGTTTTGGTTACTGCAGCTTTGTAATTTATAATTTGAAGTCAGGAAATTTGATGCATCCATCTTTATTCTTGTTCAGGATTGCTTTGGCTATTCAAGATCTTTTATAGTTTCATTTGAACTTTCTGATATTTTCTACTTCTGGAAATAATGCTGATGGGATTCTGATAAAAAGATTTTGCACAGTAATAGAAATAATCAGCAAAATAAAGAGGCAATTTAAAGAATAGGAGAAAAATTTGTATACCATCTAACTAATGAGGAGTTAATATTCAAAATAGATTAGAAACTCATACATCTCCATACCAAAACTACAGATAACTGAGTTAAAAAATGGGCAGAGGATTTAAATAGGCAATTCTCAAAAGAAATCCAGATGGCCAACAGGCAAATGAGAAGGTGTTCAACATCTCTAATCATCAGAGAACTGTAAATCAAAACCACAATGAGGTATCACCTTACACCTGTTAGGATGGCTAGCATCAAAAAGACAAAAGAGGACATGTGTTGGTGAGGATGAGGCAAAAAGGAAGCCCTTGTACAATATTGATGGAAATGTAAAATAGTACACCCATTATGGAAAATAGTGTGGTAGTTCCTCAAAAGATTAAAAATAGAACTACCATATGATCTAGCAATCCCATTTCTGGGTGTAGATCTAAAAATAATTGAAAACATGATTGCAAAGAAATATCTGCGCTTTAATGTTTATTTAGCATTGACTAAGATATGAATACAGGTTCACTGTAGCATAAGACAAGATATAGAAACAATATAAATGTCCTATGATGGATGAATAATGTGGTATGTATTCATGTGTGTGTATGTGTATATATATATATATATATACACACACACATATATATACACACATACATATATATATACACACATACATATACATACACAATGAAATATTCTCTAGCTTTCTTTTTTTTGAGAGGGAGTCTTGCTCTGTCGCCCAGGCTGGAGTGCAGTTGCATGATCTCGGGTCACTGCACCCTCCACCTCCTGGGCTCAAGCGATGCTCCTGCCTCAGCCTTCCGAGTAGCTGGGACTATAGGCATGCGCCACCACACCCGGCTAATTTTTTGTATTTTTAGTGGAGATGGGATTTCACTGTGTTAGCCAGGATGGTCTTGATCTCCTGACCTTGTGATCCACCCACCTTGGCCTCCCAAAGTGCTGAGATTATAGGCGTGAGCCACTGTACCCTACCAGTCTAGTTTTTAAAAAGAAGGAACCTACCCATTTACAACAACATGAATGGAGCTGTATAGCTTTATGCTAAGTTAAATAAGCAACACACAAAAAGAGAAATACCACATGATCTCACTTATTTGAGGAATCTGAAATAGTCAAATTCACAGAAGCACAGAGTAGAATGGCGGTTGCCAGGGGCTGAGGGCAGGGGCAATGGGAGGATATTGGTCAAAGGATACAAAGTTTTAGTTATGCAGGATGAATACATTCTAGAGATCTAATGTACAGCATGGTAGCCATAGTTAAATAAGTATTAAATTTGCTATAAATTAAATAATAAAAATACTATGTTTTTACTTGAAATTTCCTAACATTATAAATCTTAAATTGTCTCACCACATATATACACACATTCACATACAGAAATGGTAACTATGTAGAAGTGAAATACGCTAATTGTCTGGAATTTAGTCATCATTTCACAATGTATGCAATAAATGCAATTTTTATACCTCCATGATATCTCAATAAAGCTGTTTTGAAAATGAAAAGCAAACAAACAAACCAAGTGATATAGTTTGGCTGTGTCCCCACCCAAGTCTCATCTTAAATTGTAGCTCCCAAAATTCCCATGTGTTGTGAGAAGGACCCGGTGGGAGGTAATTGAATCATGGGGGCTGGTCTTTCTCATGCTGTTCTCATGAAAGTGAGTAAGTTTCACAAGATCTGATGGTTTTATAGAGGCGAGTTTCCCTGCACAAACTCTCTCTTCTCTTTTTGCCTGCTGCTATTCATGTAAGACATGACTTGCTCCTCCTTGCCTTCCACCATGATTGTGAGGCCTCCCCAGCCATGTGGAACTGTGAGTCCATTAAACCTTTCTTTTGTAAATTGCCCAGTCTTGGGTATGTCTTTATCAGCAGCGTGAACACGGACTAATACACCAAGCAAGCACTTTTACATTAGAAGTAACTTGTAATGCCTACAATTATTGGTACATCAATATTGGTAACACACTCTACATGCTGTAGAAAGGCTGCAGGCTGTTGGTGGCCCCTTGGCAGCACTATTGTAACACCCTTCTTTTCTTAAGAAAAAATATTCACTGCATATGAGTGGATTATACAATAAATTTCAAACCCACTCCAATTACATGTTTTCTTACATATCTATAAAATATAATTTTCCATAATATGCTAGTCATGTAAATATTGCATTAAGTAGTAACTAATTATTTTCCATATCCCTCACAAGTCATGTCACTCACCAGTATGTCATGGCCCATCATGTGAAATCATTGCACCAACAAATTAAAAGGCCAATATCAAATTTGATGTGGATATTACCTCTCTGTCTTACAAGGTATAAACTAACCCAGGATTAATTTCTTGATTGGTTATTGTTATAGGGTTGAATTGTGTCCCTCCCCTCCCCCAAAATCACATGTTAAAGTCTTAATCTCTAGTACCTCAAAATGCGACCATATTTGGAAATAGGGCCTTTTAAGGAGGTAAGGACAGTAATATGAGAAATATGAGATCATATGGGTGGATCCTAATCCAATATGACTGCTGTTCTTATAAGGAGGTTAGGACACAGACACACAGACCATGTGAAGACATAGACAATCTACTAGTCATAGAGAGAGACCGAGGAAACCAATACTGCCAACAGCTTGATCTCAGACTTCTAGCCTTAAGAACTGTGAGAAAATAAATTTCTGTTGTTTACCTAGTTTATGTACCTTATCATGGAAGACTCAGAAAACAAATAGTCATTGACTCTAAATGGTTGAATTTTACTATTGTCAGATTTCTTCTCTAAATACATCACAAATACTGAAAAAAAATGTCTGGACTGAGAATCAAAAATGTGTGTTTTTATTTGTAGTTTTCTTGTTAATTACCTTTGGTAAACTAAAAATTTCTTTGTCTAAATCACCCCTTCAGTAAAATTAGAGATTTTACTAGATTTGTTCTCTCCTGCTTCAACCAGAACCACTCTACTTTTATTATTTTATATCATGGTCTTATGTAAGATTCCATTTGAAGATGACTTCAATTACTAAAGATATCCTTAAGACCATAGCCAAATTATACAATTTCACTTGCCAACCATCTTCTCTAATTTCATTATATGATAATTGTCAATAGTCTATTCTGAAATATAGAATATATATATAGTGAATCTATGATAGTTCTACTTTAAAGTTATTACTTTGCCACTTGAATGACATATCCATTTAAGACTTTATTTCTGAGATGATCAATAGGTATTTTATACTTAGCAAATAACAGATATTAGATTCTATACAAGTCCCTATTCTCTCAATTCAAGATAAATCTATTGGGCTAACTCACTTTTATTAAATGCTTTTCATGTTTAAAAAATAATGTGAGTGAGGCAATCCTTATAGGGATACTTTACATTTATGAAAATTGTTTACTCTGTTGCTTTCTGGATTTAGTGGCCTACAAACAAAATACAAAATCCTCTTCCCCCACCACCCCAGCTCCAGTACTCTCATTGATTTCCTAAAGTTGTAAGTAGTCATAAAATCTAATAAATGTTGGTACTGGCCTTTTGAATCTCATGCAGTAAGTTTAAGTGTAGCTAGAGAAGCTTTATTTATTTATTTTTAGTACATTCACCAAGTGGTTCTAATGAAATGGGTATGAGGATTGGCTTTGAGGAACTACTGCATTACACAAAGCCAGTGATGAGGTGGAGATGGGAAGGTTAGCCAGGCAAGGTGAGTGAAAAGGCAGAAAAACACTTCATCTTGGGGTGGGGGTTAGCATAGGGATAGTGAGGTATGGAAAGGGAAGTAAAGAGGGAAGAAAATAACACTGTGTAGAAATAAACCACAGATTATGCAACATCCCAGTCTGGTCATTTTATTTGAACTATTCTGACAGGCTTAATCTTCCTATTGTCAGATTTCTTCTCTAAATACATCATGGTTGACTCACAAAGAACAATGAGATTGAAGTGAAAGACCCATGTAGAGATCCCTCCTTGAACAAAAATTTCTTAAAACCAAGTCCTCCAAAAGAAAACTGATTTTTAGAGGTTTTAAAAGGGCTGTTTTGGCCCTGATTCCAGTTACCAAGAATTCTCAAGATGCAGGTAGAGTATCCCATTAAGCATTCAAGAGATGTTTTTAATAATTAAGGGACACAGGCCTGGCGTGGTGGCTCATGCCTGTAATCCCAGCACTTTGGGAGGCCAAGGTGGGCAGATCACGAGGTCAGGAGTTCAAGACCAACCCAATCAACATGGTGAAATCCTGTCTTTACTAAAAATACAAAAATTAGCCAGGGGTGGTGGTGCACGCCTATAGTCCCAGCTACTCAGGAGGCTGAGGCAGGAGAATCACTTGAACCTGGGAGGCGGAGGTTGCAATGAGCCCAGATCGCACCATTGCACTCCAGCCTGGGTGAGAGTGAGACTCCGTCTAAAATAATGATGATAATAATAATAATAATAGGACACATATTTTCTTTGAATTTTCTGTAATCTTTCAAAATGTTAGATATCTGGGGATCTTAGGATGAATAACATTTTCCTTTTGGCAGGAAACATCACTTGCTGATTGAGTTTGAAATGAAAGTGTCCCCTATTGCACATGGAATGGGTGACAGGACAATTCCTGTGTAGCACTGCTAGCATTGCCCCCTGCAGTACAGATCAGCACAGTTACACCTACCATCCATCACATGGAATACACACACACATGAAAGAAAAGAAAAAAGATTCTTGCCATTTCTCCATCAGGATTTTTATATTAGGATGCCTGTCAATTACAAACATTTGCATTTCCTTTCTTGGCTCACTTTCTCTTCTTTTATACTTTTTGCTTGTATTTTTCTCATCTGTAATCATACTCTTCTATCATTTTGTCTAGAAATCCAACTAAAACATAGAGCTGCCTCTGGGGAAATTCTGTGCTTTTCGGTAAGCTTCTTGCTTTGCCTCAGAAGTTCTACCATTTGACTCATGGAGTGTCCTTCACTACAAACTTCTGTGACTCAGAAAGAGAAAGATGCCCTCACTCCCAACCTTCCACAGCGTGTCTGGCTGGGTATCAGCCCACAGTTTCTGAGTTGGTATCAGACAGTAAGTCCCTGGAAGCAGGGATTGGCTACTCTGTGGCCCTTAGCACACTGTAGATCAAAAACAGTTAACTCACAACAAATATCGCTCTATGGACAGTGAGAAAAAAATTATTATTTTTCCATTATACGAAAGCTATCATTATGGGAAATTTTAATTTTTTTTTAGAAAACAATTTTAAGTTCCAGGCCAGCACTCTGATGGTTAGACATACTACACCCTACTTCATTTAGGCCGTGCTGATGCCTTTACATATCTAAAAATTTGTTCATCAACTCCCCTCTTTGGCATAATGTGTCAAAAACTGATGCTCCAGACTCTCAAAGAACTGTGATTGCCTAACACTGGAACCAGTAACAGCACGAATAGATTACAATTCATTATTTTCTAGTCATCAGGTTTCACATTTTTGTAGGTTAGATTCTAAGTATATGTGTGCTCTTTTTAATTTGTTGTTTCGTCTAGTATTCTCTCTAATCCTGACTTGTTGGCAGACACATTTGGGGAAAAAAAATTGTTGATCGTATTCTGTCTCAGCGAGACCATTTGGAGAAATAATAGAGATCACTTCCACTTAAAATACATCCACCATGTGCTTCTTGATAAAATTCTTTAATTACTTAATTCCCCTTTTAAAACAGTGAGCTTAACATCTCAATTTGCAAAATGAGAGCCTTTGCAGTTCAATTAGGAATTGAGCCAGTTATTCATGTATATGTATTTACTGGCATGTTTTAATCTCAAACTAATTTAAACACCATTATTTTTAAAAAATTTATTGTTAGTATAATATACAAATTTAAACTCTACAGAAGAGTATATCATGGAAAGATGTGTTGTTTACCTCTCAAATAAAAAATAATTCATAAAACCATATATAGCCCTATTTTATCTCTCTGTATCTGTCTGCCCATGTAAAAAATAATTCATAAAACCATATATAGCCCTCTTTTATCTCTCTGTATCTGTCTACGCATGCCCTAATTTGGTTTCAAAAGAATTTAAGATACAATTATTATATTCTGGCTTTTCGTATATTAAAAAATGTACCACTGACCCAGAATTTTGGAAATTAAAGGTCAATATATATTATCTTACTGAAAAAAATTTTGAAATACTTTTTCAAAGTTAACTGTAAAAGCCACAGCACAGAGTTTGAGGTAATACTTGTCACCAAAGACTCAATATAGTACATAGTCCCTAAATATTTTTTCCATGATTTGTGTTATGTCTTCAAAATTTGAAGAAAATAATATATAATATAGGGCTGGCATGGTGGATCATGCCTGTAATCCCAGCACTTTGGGAGGCTGAGGTAGGAAGATCCCTTGAGCCCAGGAGTTTGAGACCAGCCTAGGCAACACAGTGAGACCCTATCTTTACAAAATGAAAATTAAAAAAAAAAAAAATAGGCAAGCATGGTGGCAAGCACCTGTGTTCCTAGCTACTTAGGAGGCTAAGGTCGGGGGATGGCTTGAGCCTGGGGAGGTTGAGGCTGCAGGGAGTTGTGATCATGCCATTATACTCCAGCCTGGGTGACAGAGTGAGACCTTATCTGAAAAATAAATAAATAAAATAATAACAGTATAATATGTATCTGTGAAACAGGTTTTAATAACTGATTTCAATTTGCTAGTACACATTTTATAGCTTAAGATAAACAATTGTCTTGGAAATAATAAAATACATTTCAATAACTATATTCTTTAATCCATTCTTTTCCCAATGGTCTACTGCCAACCTTCTCAAACGTGATTTTTTTATAGTTGTATACCAAAAGACTTTCACACTTTTGTAACGCAGCAAGCTTTGAGCTACAGAATTTTGTTTTAATGTTCCAAAAATATCATGCAGTTTCTAAGCTCCAAAGTCTCTTTGTCCACTTATTCATCCATCCATCCAATAAATATTTAATGAGTTTCCATTATATACATTACTCTGCTAATTTCTGGAGTTACACACAGAAAAGAAATGGACAGAGGTCTCAATGTTGTTGTAATCTTGTACGTTAGATATGCCCACATTTAACCATAAAAGGAATTATAAAATAATTGCTGTGGATAAGATTCTATATGAATCTAAATGAGCTCCAAAAGTAGGGTCTGGGAAGGAAATGAAGAAAGGCTTGGAAGAGGAGGTAGTATCCAAAGTGGGACTTCCAAGTCACATAAGGAAAAGTGGATATAAGAAAATGATTTAGGGAAGACATTAGCAAAGCCAGAAAGAAAGGAAAGCTTGCATCATATAAAGAAAATAATAGGTAATTAATTTGGTTCTGGCTCATGAAGAAGAGTCATGGAAAATATATATGGAAAGTTTAGGCCAGATTCTACAGTCTTACATGCTAATCTATTGGACTTTGACTTTTACAATTTGTGGCCAGCCGGATGAGACACACATTCTATTCTTGGCTTTCAAAGTACCCTAAGACCTAGCCTTGGCCAACTTTTCCAACAGTGGTTGTAGGTGCTCTATTAATGTCTGTTGATTTGCACTGGAAGTGAATTTCCAACTGTGCATTCGCATGTTGTCTCCAACTTTAGTAAACTACTTTACTTAGCATTTCCCACACATAGCCTGAGATCTCTAGCTCTGTGGCTTTGCTCACAGTTTATTCCATTTGTCACTTCCTGTCCGTTTTGCTTGTTAACATACTCTTTTTCCTCATCACCCATGGTTCATTCTAAATCCACTAACTAGAAATAAACCCTATCTTCTTTGTATTTCTATTATTTTTACTTGTAACATTTACCACATCCTGCAATATGGTACAATAATTTGAATATATTCTTAACTTTCTTATAGGATTATACATATTTAAAATGCAAAAAGAAGAACATTTAAAACACTGTCCCATTGAATTTCAATGAAATTTCATCCACAATGATCAATTAAGCTCTTAAGGATATGAAAAGAATTGGGATTTGGCTGATATGAGATGAACAGGACAGAGACCCTGAGGGCTGGGGACTTGCAATCTAGTGTGGAGGTTAAATACCTTCACTACTCAAATATCAGGCAAACTCAGTAAATATACAGGGAAAATTCCCTAAACCTTCTAGAGAAATAAAAACCTGTACTGCAGGAAAAAAAAAACAGTTTTATAAAAGATTCCCAAAACTATTAACTAGTTCCACCTAAAAGTAGCAGCAAAGATAATCAAATACATAAAATGAGCATATTATTCAATTCCCCAACTTAAAATCATCTAATGCTGGTGACTGAGTAGTTACTTACAAGTCTGCTCTATGAGCTCCATCTTTCCCAAGATATTTTTCATTGCCTGTGTGTGCCAGAAAACTGGAAAAACGTTTAACTTACTACAAGTGATTGATCCAAAAGTGTGGCAGCAGTCCTGCTATCCAAAAATACCAGGTGAAATAGCAGACAGCCAGATATGCACAGCTGGATATGTTTTGCCTCTTTTGGGTCGTCCAAGTTTACCACATGTCAGTTCAGCAATTTAGGATGGATTGGAGACAATCCAGTAGAAAGAAAGGGAAAGTTGTGTTGGTTGCAGTCTGCAGAAGTTCTCTTTCTTGTGTTCTTAATTCATCTCTTTCTCAGATGTTTGTGGTTTGTTTGTCTTTTCAGTTGTGGCAGTGGTTAATACTGCTGATGGGAAAATAATTTGTACAACCTGGGCAGATCTTTTAAAGTTGTAAGTTTACTTAACGTTAATCTGCAGGTGCCCAAATATTACCTATTTGAAAATCCATGTCATCATTGCATAAACTCCTAAAATTTGCATCCATCAATGAGATTTGCCAGTTTTCTTTTTAATCCTTTACCACCCACTTGAAGTGGCTAAATTTAGATGTGTTCCACTGTCTGCTTCACTCATTTAAATAACTGCAATTACAAGCTGACCTGCAAAATAAAGAGCCATAATAGGATGCTTATTTAGATCAAACTATCTTAAATGTGTGTAAGAAATATGACTATTCTAAGGGTCCTTAACAAGATAAGGGTTAGGCCAAATTTGAAGGACAAGGGGAAACTATTCTGTCTGCCATTGCCCCAGGTCTTGGTGTAGTAAAGGAGGTCTACTTGTTTACAATTACTTATCATATTAATCTATTTCACTAAATATTTATTTTTCTAATTGAAAGTCGCTATTATTTTTTTTGCTCCATTACTTTTTAGCACTTGCCACCTCCCCCCAATCCTCTAACATTGCCTCTTACTGTTCCTCCATCAAAGCATCAAGCATCAGATAGCAATGCTTGCATTTAATTGTGAAACAGCTTATTTGCTGTTCTTACGTAAAGGATATAGAAGCAAGGTGTGGGGCTGTAAAAGGGTACTAGGCCAGGAGTCTAATTACATTGCTGTCTTGCTGTGAGCCAACTATACAAACGTGGGCAAGACACTGCACCTCCATAGGGTTAAAAAGCCCTCGAATTTAACCATTCTCCGCCATTATCCTTGACAACAGGGTCAGGGAAGCACAGTTCTCTTTCTGTATATTAAAATAAAGAAATATCCAGATTTATGAAATTTGTAATACATTTCCATGTTTATACTTAAACAAATCTAACACACTGAAAAATGTACTCTTTGTATAATCGCATGTGGAAATAACACCAACACTCTAAAAATGTAGCTCTTTGTGAATGTGAGACTTGAGTAAATGGCTACTTTTCTCATACCTCAGTTTTGGCTGTGCCTCCAATTGACTCATTTTTCTTTCTCTGCATTACTGATTTGTAACTGTACTGCATCATTCTAGTCTTGTCTTCACTTTGGAGCCATCCTTGATGCTGATCAAATCATTTTAATATATATGTGATTGACACTCCCCCATTTTGCCTACAACTCAACCATAATGAACTACCCACTGAAGTTCTTAGAGTATCTCATTCTCTCTTACATATGTGTTTGAACTAGTTGTTTCTCTCCCTAGAATTATTCTCAGATATCTCCTTTTGTTTGAAATTCAAGACATCATGGGCTAGAGAATACCATCCCTGACACACCATTCTTAGCAAGACCAGAGATCTGTCCTCTAAAAGTGGCCTGATTTTACACATCACACACTCCATGTAATTATGTGTTTCTAATTAGCATGTCCTAGATAAATTTATAGCTAACTAATGATTTTACTAAATGTATACTTAAAAGTATTTGGAATTTCAATAATCAACTTGTTCACAGTACACCATATTTAAATCAAAACCAATAGGATTTGCAGTATTGGCATTCATTAAAATGATTTTGTGGTTAAGGAGAATAGGTTAGATAAATAGCACTAGGATGAAAGATGATTATTCATAAACTACATTATGTAGCAACAAGAACCTTGCCGAACCATCTCATCGGCTCAAGTAGGACTCATGGGTAGGGCTTTGGGAAACTTCTTCCTTAACTGCGGTAAAGCTCATTTACACCAGAAGCAGATATTTTCTAAAGACCAGAAATACATTTCAGGGGCAAATGAATGAATAGTGACAATGTAAATTGTTAATTTCCCCCCTAAAGACTTCACATTTCAATAGGGCTCAATGTTTTAAGCTCAGCTTAAGAATCCAGGACTAAAGGAAAGCATTTTCAGAATTGGAGCAGAAAAGTGTGTGTGTGTGTGTGTGTGCGCGTGCGTGCACGCGCACACATACCATTCTCAGCAACCTAAAATTGTATAAGTAATTTTTCCCTATATATAATGCTGTGTTTGTGGGGATTGTCTTCTGACAAATTAGAATTAAATTTCCTTAAAGACCTGTACTAAATTTCATATTTCCCTTGAATTCTCCAATATTGCTTGGCACATACCAAACATTTAATAAAATTACAGCATTAGTTGATATTTATTATTACTGCCTACTGAAACAATATGGATCAGAAAAATGGTTATGTTCTTATGCTCCAAACGTTGTTTCCCCAAATCATGATCCCCATTTTTTCCCTTACTGAAAGAAGACTCAAAGGCTAGAGACTGAACCACATGAATCCTCAAGGTTTCTTTTCAACTTTTTTTTTTATCACTATAGCAATAAATTGGAGGAACCCACTGCTGTGATTTGACCACGACCCTCAGCATTGATTCATCTCAGGATCCTCAAAAGCACTGCTGATTTGCAGTGTCAGAGGATCCAGATCAAGTACATTTAAAGTGCTCTCAATCAAACGCAAAAAGGATTGACTACCTTAAAGATCCAGGCTTTGATTTCAACAGTCAAGAAATTACTTCTGGCTCCACTTTCAAGGAAAACCAAAAAGTTAAAGAGAGAGAGATGGTGATAGAATATAAATATAGTTAAAATATTTATAAGCTATAAGATTGCATTTGGCAAGATCAACTTTTCTTCTACAATAGTGGGAGATGTTCTGTGGCATTCCAAGTTGGCTCTGTGATGATATATTCTCAGTATTAATGTGTCATTTGAGAATGTCTTGATGTTTCCCACATTGATTCTCATGTCATTTACCCACCATGCCTAACAGGCACAGGAAATGGGCAACAGAAACAAAAGTTTCAGGTACCATGATGAAAATGACAAAGTCTCCTTAGCCCTGGGTATGGAAAACAGCAGCAGCCTGGTGCTTCTCTAGAGCAGCTCTGACAGTCACCAGAAGAGACGGGGTTGTTGTGAGCAACAGTAGCCAGTGGTGTGCAAAGAACTTGAGAGATGGAGGTAAATGCCAGGCAAAATACAAGTTCAGGATACTACTTTGTACTTTATGGAGTCATAAAATCTTTATTCTGGAAAGTTCAAAGCCCTTGACAGACATTTCATTAGTCCTCCCTCTCTCCTTTGAGGTACACAGGTGGCAAGTGTAATTATTGTCATTTTTATGAATGGGAAAAAATGAGGCATGGAAGGTTAAGTAACACATTGAAAATTACATAAAACCACATAAACAGAAGACTCCACCAACCCCCTCCCTGATGCTTCCTTAAATGCCCCATGACCTTTTTCACTATGTTGGTCTTATATCACGCTTTTCCTAAAAGCAAATGCTTTAAACAACTTCTTCTGTTCATTAACATATGCTGCTTCTAAAATTTAGAAAAAAAGGAGGCTAAAAAAATAAACAGAGTCTTGGTTTATGTTTCAAATGACCAAATAATTCTTTCTATGCTACTGATATAATCTCATATATCAAATTTATTATATTTTTAACAGAACTTACTTACAGTTGATTTTCTTAGTTCCAGTACTTCCTCTAAAAGATGCCTTAAATCCACATTGCTCAAACACATCCTCTGATTCTAAAATCTATATGTTAAAATGAACTCATGATACTGCTAAGCATCTCAGAAAAGATGAGTCAGATGACGCCTGTAAGGACCAAGAAAAGAGAATGAACTCCCCTTCTTCCTTACAGCTGGCAGAGAACCACCAAGTGGTGATGTTGGAACTATGCACTGCACTCCACCTCCATGTCCTGAAAAGACATCTTTGCTTGGCAGCTCTTCCAATTGAAACATTAAAAAAGAGATGGTAACAGCAACCAAATGGAAAAAGCTGAAAATTACTAGAGAAGGGGGAAAATTTAACTTCTAAGAAGATATTAGAAAGTGGAAACTTTACAAAAATTCTTCTCACCAATGAGGTTGTCCAAAAATCACCCAAATTTATTATAGAATAATAATAACTAAATTTGTGCATGAATCAGTGATGATGTAAAACTATCCTGTAAGTATTACTGAAGGGTTGTTTTTTTTTCTATTTAATTTACCTTCAAAGTAAGGCTTCCAGGATAAGGCTTTCTACTGCACTTCATTATACAATGCCATGTTGACCTGATATATTACCTCAGATGTGAATCTAATAAGGTTTGATTTGTTATGATAAGACTAAAATGAAACATATCACTTTTTTCATGTCTCTTTCTTATAAGCACAGGTGCAATAAATAACCAGTTTCAATATGGGAAGTGTCTTGAGTCTGATTCTTAAAGACACCTTTAAAAAGATGATTTTTTCTACCATATGCAGTTTATATAGGAAAGTAAAATTGTGTAGCCAAACCCCTGTCTCTATTAGTGCTAAAATCGAGTTGAAAACTAAATGCCTGGCGACCTCATGAGGATAATTTACAGGAGTTTACACTGCCTGGTAATACGGAGTGCTTTTTCTCATCTGCCCTTATAAATGTACAAACTGGAAACCACTAGAAAAAAAAATTGGTTTAGATTTATCCCATAGGTTACTAATTGCTCTCGTATCAACATATGAACATATTTTTATGTATAAATACCACGTTTTCCTTTTGTCTTTTAATATACTAAAATAAATACCGATTGCTAAATACTGGCTTTGAAGCTGGTCTTAGGCTCTTAAAATGGCTGTCAAATATGATATTGATTTATTAATAACTCCCATATGGTTAAAAAAAAACCTTTCCAGATCTTTAACATCTTTCAACCATTGCAGTTAATTGTTGTGTTGAAATACTTTTCTTGATCATTCTTACCTAATTCCTTTGTATAAGATTATACTTACTTATTTCACTGCTTAAGGATTCACATTGCTTTGGAGTTCATTTTTTCCGTAAGAAAATACTTTATTCCTGTGAGAGAGAAATGCAGTACTCATATATAACGCAGCTGTGAAACAAATGTAATACTTTATGTACTATTGTAAAGAGACCTTCTAAACTCTAATTTCCTGGGCTGATAGTGAATAATACCTATGTCTACGCCTAATAATCATTCATAATACTTTATTTTTTTCTAACAAAAATGACAATCAGTATTGGCACATGTTATGAAATGAAACCTTTAGCATATTAACAGCTTCCAAGACATGATTTATGGCCAGAATAACATTTGTTGTATTTATGTTACCACTGCAACTACTACTATTATTAATAATAAAAAGGGTTTATTTCAGAAATTATACAACTTAGAAATTTAACTTATAGGTGATTGACAGATGGAAATGCTTAACCATTTTTAGTTCAACCTCAACATTGTAAAGGTAGCATTTTTATGTTTCTTCAGTGCCTTCTTTTCTTCCTGACATTCCTAAATATACAGCCTTGGAAGTCATTACTTTCCTGGCTCCCCACTGGCATTTCTCTTTATAAGCAACACCACTTTTTACAAGAGATCTCTCCACTATAAAATTCATCAGAGATTGTGTGTTTAACATACTTCACCTGAATCCCAGTCTGTCTACTATTATATTTTTGCTTTATTCGTTAATTCTGAAGACTAACTTTTGTCCAGAAATAAATGATCTAATGGAAGAAGGGCATATACTTTTATTTTAACTGTATTTTATTGGCAAAGGATGCCTATAAAACTTTGTTTTGAAGAATTCTGAGGTTATTTAGAAGGTCTTTGGAAAAGGCTCCATAGGTATAGAAAAGGGAAGGACCAACTATGTAACTCCCCAATCAAGATGTATCTATATTTCCTTAGGAAAGACAAATTCCCGCATCTCTATCCTCAATGGAAACTAGATATCAATATATATTGAACTGCAACCAAATTCAAGTTGCCAAGATAAAAGCAACATCACATTAATATGTCTTCTAAACAGTTGGCATCTCTGTATTTGTATTTCCAAGGTAAAATTTTTAGCTGCAGATGAGTCTTAGAAAATAATATTGATCATTTACTCTGTAGAAAGAAATACTAGGATAAAATTTTAATTCAGTTTATTGCCTTTAAATTTCCAGGGACATACATATTTTTTACTTGATAATAAACATGCAAAATCTCAGTAGAAACTGAATGTGAACATTTTTTAAGATAACTTGAATAAAATGTAACTAATACTCTGATTTACTGGGAAATAATTTAAAACCTAAAACATAACAACTATGATGTTCAAAATACATTGAACATAACTCATTCTCTGATTCAGGATGTACTTCCTGACTTCACAGTGCAATCTGGTCATGTTTATGAGCACTGATTACAAAATAAGGTCCTGAAACTGGACAGAGGCAGTATGCACAGTCAAGAAGTACTGGAGGCAGACATACTGTGTTGGCCTCCTCACCCATTCATTTTTATCAGCTCTGTGCCTCAGCTTCCCCATCTGGAAAATGGGGATGATAGTAATATTACCTACAGTTCTGACACCTTCACTTAACACATAGCAAGCCCTCCATAAGTGTTAGTCATTACTGTCATTATGTTATAAAGTATGCAAAATTGACCTGGACTTTTTTTATAATTGAAAGACAGACATTGAAGCATTTGTTGTGTCTGTGTGTTGGGTTTGGTAGTATATTTAAGCATTGTGTTTATTTTATTTTGACAAATCCATATTTTGATCTACTTCCTTATTATGTTTTTCTTATGACTAACAAAATATGTCCTGAATACCCCAAATATAGATAGTTGTACTTCCTTATATTCGAGCTGTTCTAGATAGTTTACAGTTTATTTTGATCTATGATAACTTCATTTATACTATCCGATGAAGACAAATATTTATTAAATAAAGTCATACCTTTAGTATAAATTCCACCATTTTAAAAAATGAACAGGCAGTTTTGGAATGACATCCATTGACTTTTATAAAGAAATTCTTTTTAAAAAATGTAAATTGATCTCCCTTCTTAAACTCTAAAGAACATGGTATTTTCATACCTCATTGAGTGAGATATTGTTTTTTATGTTCTACTTCAAGAGAGGAAAATTTTTATTTAAAATTTTGTGGTTGAGCAGTGAATATGTAAGCTGAGTGGAAATTTCTACCCAGCTTGGATGCTTTGCTGAAGGGTGCTGAGAATGAGATTAGAACTGAGTCCTGTATGCCTAATGAGTAACAGATTTTGATATAAAAACAGGATTCTGTATTTGGATATCTTTGATCTAAGACTACTAAAAAGAATAATAATTGTGGTTATGGGCAAGAGCCTGTTAAAGATGGGAAAATTAGAACTTAAAAAACAATCGTTGACTCTAAATATCCAAACTAATTTCTAAAAAGAAATACATTATTTAAGTGTGAAAATATTTGACTTTTTTTTTTTTTTCTCTTGCCGGTGTCTTTTCTCATATCTGTCAGCACTAAAAGCCCTGGCATGCTCTAAAAGTTTGTTTTGTCAGTCTTGGATCCCACAGAAAAGAATGCAAGGGATCCTATGGGTACTAAATTTATAACCTTAGATATGTAGGGTTTGATAAGCATTCAAATATTTTGTTGACTAACCACATCAAATCAAAGCTGTGAACTTCACCAATCACTAATGATTCCAAGGAACTTGGATGAGATCATTGTATGCAAATCTCCAAGGGTTTAGGGCTTAACCCAGGACCCTTGAAGGTGAAAGGCAAACCCCCTCTTGGCTGGGTCTTCCTGCTAGTTTTGTGTAATTATCAAATGGGCCCTGGGAATTTGTCCAGCAGCCATCCAAAAACAGAAACATACACATTTCGCTTACAGTTAGTACTGCGGCTACCTTGGAATAGAAGAAAGTCAGCAGGTTCATGTTTACGTAAAATGCTTTGAGACTTTAACTCTGAACCAGTCCAATGACCTTTAGCATTGGGAATGCTGAAACATCTAAGAGCACCCCACCTCCAATGCTGGTTCTGGAAATGGCAGAGCAAATTAGTTGATGAGGCTGTGAAACTCCCAGAAGCACTTCTTCTGGATACTTCATTTATGGGAGTGGGAACTAAGCATATCTGAGGGGTGGGAAATGTCACTTTACTGCTGGTAATGCTGTAACTCAGCTGTGAGCGATTAGGAGTCTTGCAAACTGAAGGCTCTCAGAATTCCACAATTCCAGGCAGCAGGGAGCTTGTAAATGTGTGCTTGTAATATGTGTCCCCAGTACACACATTTGTGACCAAATCATTAGAAATCTTTCTAGAAAAAATAATAGGTCATAAGTACAAAATTCTAATTTGTACTTTAAATGTTTCATGGATAGAATATAAAGGTGGGTCCTCTTGATTTTTAATCCTATTATAAGCCTGTAAAGATTGGATGGCTACGAATGCAAAGTAATCTTGCCCTGCTCATGTGTAGTAATATCTGCGCACAGTAGGAAACAGGTCTCATGATCATTATTCTTGCTCTGTGTTTGAAACCAAGTGCTAATATTAGTCAAATATAACTTCTTAGAATGAACATTGGCATTTGCTTTGTTGATAAATTACTATATTAAATATATTTTTTAAATTTTCCTGCCACGAATTAAGGAAGAAATTGGTAATTAAGAACAAAAGGTACATGATACCATGTACATACAATGTACCAGAGGTACGTTTCAATGACATGATATGTTAACTTGAAATATTTATGATTACTTCATAATGAATTAGAAATCAAGACTATGACTGAAGCATATCCATAACTTTATGACTTATTCTGCATTCAGAAGTAGCTAAAGAAAACAATGGCCTTGGTGTATTACAGATGTTCTTTAACCCACCCATTTTTAAAGTCCCCATTTGCTTTAAATAAAGCAGCTCCTACTGTAAATGCCTTTTATTTCTTGATTTTTAAAAGAAATTCCGTGATTTTTCTACTAAAAAATCCCCAGTCCTGACTGTGCACTCTTTCTGCTAGGACATGAGATTGCCCCCAAAATATCTGAAAGACATCAATGTTTTGGAACTTTTTCAGCAGAAATAAATTTCTGTCATAAAAACATCATGAGCTCAGTCAAGCCAGGCTCAATAGCAGTTGCCTGGGGGCAAATAGATTAATCAAAACCAGGAATTCTCTCTCCCACACCTCTAGGAGTGAGTCCCTAACATTTCTGTAGCATATAAACAATTTGCCTATAACATAAGGGCAGCTAAAGGGAATATTCTTAATATTTAAAATATAATCTACTTTGTTCCCTCCACAGAGATTTTTTTTTTGCCTGTGTGCTTAAATATTGTTTTCTTTTCCCTATAACTCTTCCTCTTCTATTCTTCAACTAAATTATTTAGTAAATGCATTAATCTCAGCCTTTATTTGTGCTCTAATGCTTTTCTGATGGGCTTCTCCTCCACAGCTGCCTTTTTTAAAAGCTGCATTTTGTGTACCTCTTTTAGACAGCTCCCAATATAACCAGATGCAAGTATAGCTGGGGGCAGCTGGAGATATTCACCATCTATGTGGAAAAGAACTTGCATTAGTATTAGCCTCATGCTTTGCCTGCCACTAACTTTAGTGACATGTGATGGTGACAGTGATGGTAAGTTGCTGCTGCTTCTTTCTTTCTTCATTCGTAGTTCCTTCTATTTGATTAACATGACACAAAGTTGCTCAGGGTGAGACAAATCCTGTGGAAGGCTAGAGAACATAAGAAACCATCTGTACGGTTCGTGGAGGCTCTCAGGCCTCGTCTGCTTAGGGCCATTATCTACTTGCAACTCCTGCTAGGGCTGTAAATGCCGACAATAATGTTTATAATATTAACAGACAGTTATCAAACAGAATCGGCTATTAGGATAAAGTTCCTATTCCAAGGATTCGAGTAGGTGTATCCTTTTCTATCTTCACCCACCAGGCCAATCATGAAAATATTTTTTAAATTGCTTTTATTTGATATATTCTAAGAATATATCCTAGGGTCTTTTCTAATCAGAGATCCTACTGATTATATCACCAACTGAAACCCATAAACTTCATATTTGTCCTGGAATGCACACACCTAACATTTTCCTCTCATCTACATGAAGCTGAATACATGTTTTCTATTTATCTCAACCTTCTATTGTTCTTTCTTTCTGATTATTCTCTTTATTTTTTCCTGGGGTCAGATCTAAAACTCATTCTACCTACACTTTCCTTGATTTCTGATAGTTCTGCTATTTTAATATATCCATGCTTTGAAATCTTGTTTTTTGTTTGTTTGTTTTTGTTTTGTTTTGTTTGGGAAGGAGTCTCACTCTGTTGCCCAGCCTGGAGTGCAGTGGCGCGATCTTGGCTCACTGCAAGCTCCACCTCCCGGGGTCACACCATTCTCCTGCCTCAGCCTCCCGAGTAGCTGGGACTACAGGCGCCTGCCACCACGCCCGACTAATTTTTTTTTTTTTTTTTTTTTTGTATTTTTAGTAGAGACAGGGTTTCACTGTGTTAGCCAGGATGGTTTCGATCTCCCGACCTCGTGATCTGCCCACCTCGGCCTCCCATAGTGCTGGGATTACAGGCATGAGCCACCGCGCCTGGCCTGAAATCTTGTTTTTCAGGTTTACTTTAATATGGATTGTTTCCCCCCATCAATCTGTCCAATAACTTTAGTACAATAACTTGCTTGCTCACATGCCTGCTATCAGTGTCATCTGGAGACTCACAGTTTTAAGTCTCTGGCTACCCAGGTTTGGTACCTCAGTAGACACAGATTTTTTTGTAGACACGTACTGATGACACCACTTGGAGGTTCCTCTCTAGGAAATCCAAGAAACCCCTTATACTACTGGACATCTGCGAGTGGATGTACTATTGCCACTAGAACTATCCAAGCCTATTTGGACATATGCAGTACATATGTCCTTAGTATATATTTTACAGAGAGGTTATGTAAAGTTATCAAGGGCATAGAAAGTCTTTTTTCCTCTATGAAAATGATGGTGTTTTGTTTTTCTGGGGACAGAGTTATAACTCTTGTAGTTGTGACCTTTTGCTTGCAGGTTGTTTTGACCTCCCACAGAAAATCTCCCATATCTCTGTTTCACAAACATCTCTCTGCTTGGACTATAATTACTGCTTCCTAGCTATTTAAAATAATGCCGCTCAAAAGTCTTTGGTGTCTTTCCAGACTTAATTTGGTCTTTGTTTTTCCCAGTTGAAGGCACACCTGTTTGCTTTTTAGGCCCTATTTACATGTGCACTGCAGCAGAATTGAACGGTTGAAAGTATTATTGCAAGGTTGGTGAATTGGCTGCATTCCAGAGCTTTGTTGTGGGTGGTCCTGTCTTGTCATTGGCGGTTGAACATGACATTAAGATTATATTTGGAAAACTGCTCAAGGAGCAGTGAGTGTTATCCATAACAGATCCAAGTCTCCAGCACTAATTTATAGGGCATGAGTTAGATGGCCAATCAATACTCATTATGATCTAGTCTCTGGCATGCTAGCCTTTATGCTATAATTTTCAAATTTGTGCTTATTTAATTAGTGTTCTTCTAAAACTGTGAAATCTGTTCTTTTTATAATCTTCTGTGTGATTATAGCTATTGGTATGAGATGCTTGTCATAAACTGTGCTGCCTTTAAAGTAACACTAGTACACAGTGTTTTGACCATAAAGAAAAGAAAGAAAAGAGAAGATAGAAAGTCTAAAATCTGTTGCATATGATTTACTTTTTTCCTAATGGCATAGGAATTGGCATTTAAAGGTTTTCTGATATTGAGACCTTTATGTAACACTTTATTCATGCCTTACAGAGATGAAAGTGTCAAAGAGAGCCTGAAGTTCATGGCAGGTACATACTTCCAGGTGTGCTG
Source organism: Homo sapiens (assembly GCF_000001405.40). NCBI lineage: Eukaryota > Metazoa > Chordata > Mammalia > Primates > Hominidae > Homo > Homo sapiens. Next base: position 199,295,879 of record NC_000001.11, read on the forward strand.
TGTTGGCTTAATCAGGATTCTATAAAGTAACTGAAAACTAGTTAATAGTTCTGAGTCTCAGACTCCATTTCTGTTATTTATATGACATATTGAATGAGACTTATCTACAAGCCAAGTATGTGCCAGGCGCTGGGGAAACAGAGGAGCTGGGTTGGGAAGGGACAGACACACTTTGCTGGATGTGGGAAAGTTTCATGGAGAAGAAAACAAATGAGTGGAGTCTAGAAAAATGGAAGGTTTGAGGGGAAGGAAGGTGAGGAGAGCGGAGGGAAATCCAGGACAGGAACAAACGTTAAAGCTCAGAGATCCTACTCAGCATAACATGTTTGAGGAAATACAAACAATAGTGATTCTATTTATCAATTGCTTATTGTGTGCTAGGCTCTGCTATAATTATATTATCAATATTATTCAGACATTTAAAACTCTTTGTGGGATAAGATGGAATATTGATTCGTAGATAGACTCATGCATACATAGATAATTGATAGATTATGCATGTATATTTAATTCTTAGAACATCCTTACAATCTGAATAAAATTATCCTAGTGTAGATAAAAACACTAAGAATCAGAGATACTGAGAAACATATCTAGTACTACATGCTAAAACTGTCTCCAAAGTCCATGTTCCCTTTTCTATCCCACACTATGCTTCTGTCAAATTATATTCACGTCAAGTCATATTCATAACTCATCTAAAGATAAAGCGAATTGTAGTTTCTTCCAAGGCAGTTACTGTGTCTTATAATTCCTTTCAATAGTCAGAATCACTAAGATATGGCACATTTAATGATGATAACGCCCTTTTAAAAACTGCTTTTCAGCTCTGGGTCAAATACAATGACTTAGAAGTTCTAAGTAAACATTGCAATTAGAATCCAATGATCCCTTTACCCCCTACACACATATATACACATCAAGGTTCACAGCTTTCTACCATTCCAGGTAATATCTGGAAAACAAGGTAAAAAAAACATAATGATTAAAAAAAAATACTATAAACATGTAATAAGTAAATTCCTTGCGCTAGAATTTTTAAAAACAAACTAATTGGAATAATATATTGGTAATAAATCTAAATACTTCTTGATATAAAATATCAAAATTTCATAGGGACCAATTACTTCCTTTCTTGGGACTTCATTCTTAGGAACCCCTCACTGCCCCCCCCTCCCCAACCACAAGGTAACAAACAAAAGGTAACAAACCCTATTATTTATAATATTAATTATTAAAATGTTATACATCAAATATTTAACAATGGGTGAACAACAAAATGATGGCTGACCCTCTGCTACAATTTCCCCCTCTTCTAGAGTTTACATCTCAGTTTTTACAAAAACAAAATACCTAAAACTTGATAATAAAATAAAAAAGAACACCTTGTCTTTTCAATGCAATGTTGCAGTATTATTGAATGAGCTCACTCAAGGAGATGCCTTTATGTGACTCACATATGTTACATACTAAAGGTTCCCATTCTGTCAAAGTACATGTAAACTTGAAAATGTTTGTGTTATCAAGGAAGCAATTATGGTTTTATTAAACTACACCATATTAACTACTTTGGTATCTAACCTAGTGATGCTATTCCAGCACTCCTACTTCAAGCCTACATAAATCCTCTCCCTTTAATTCTCCTTTGAGCCAGCTCTATCTTTCTGTTGATTTTCTCATTCATAATATTTGTATGAATCATATTTTAAATTTTTTGAAAAAATATTTATTGACTTAGTAAATGGCACCAATTGTTTAAGCCAAAAATACTGAGGTCAGCCTTAATTTTTTCTCTTTCTCTTACATCTTATAATTAACCCATTAATAAATCATGTTGCCTCTACATTCACATCTCACTACTTGTTTCAATCTAGCCTAAATTACTACAATAGCTGTCTAATAGCTCTTCAACAACCCCTCTTGTCTCTGTCTACGACCAACCCTCTACAAAGTACTCAGCAGGTAGGTATTTTCAAACTTTCAAAGACTCTGACATATGAACAAGTACAAAGTTTTATTATGTGTCCCCAGTCCTACTCCTATACATTTTCACCTCTCAATGATGCCAACCTCATTTCGCACCCTTCTGTCACTGGATGAAAACATTCCACATGGACTGGCTTGCTTTTTTTCTCCAAACTTGAGGCGTGATTATACCTCAAGGCTTTTGAACTTTATCTTTTCTTCCCTCTGCCCATGTTTTCCCAAAGATATTTTCATGACTCACTTCTGCCCTTTTTCACATGTCTTTAAATGTCTTGACCTCAGAGAGATTTTCCTGACCATCTTATCTAAAACAGCCTCTCACTCACTGGCTTTCTATCTCCTTTTCTCCGTTTCCTGAATTTATTTATTTATTTATGTATGTATTTATTTATTTTGCTTTAAAACACTCACTACTCACCATCTTATTATATATTTTTTAATAAGTCTCTGCCTCCCTGACTAGAATGTAAGCTTCATGAGAACAGTTTTAATGCCTTCAGAAAATCATTACATAATACCTTAAAAAGAAAAAAATATCCATATTGTGGTTTCATATTCTTAAGTTTTTCTGCCTACTCCTTTCCCTATGTTTCTTTGGTGTTGAATGCCTTAGACTACCTGTGCCTAATATCTAGGACTGTCCTTGGTGAAATGCTACAGCAGGGAGTTTCCTTACCCACTTTTTGTCTGTTTTCCATTCTTAAATCCCATTTCTTTGGTCCTTCCCAGAAGATGTTTATTCCTGCTCTTACTAAGAACTGAATTCTGATAATACTAAAATCTTAATTTGACATTTTTCCTAGTGGTATTTTTACTTAAAGGGAACACTCAAATCTTAAATGACTGACTTTTTAAAGGTGAAATTTGAGACTTTTGACTTGATCTTCAGGTTATACTTCAAAGACGCTGCCCTGGTACCTGCACCCAGGTCATTTTCTCTGTAGCTGTTAATCACTCATAGTGGCTGTGTTTGGGATATAAGCATGTAACCTAAAATTGCCACTTTAGTCTCCAGTTCAGTGGAGAAGGGAGCTAGCTGAGCATTTTTAGTAGCCATGGCTAGTCTCCCAATTCGTGATCCACATGGAACTTATACTCCAGGCACGCAAGTATGTCAAAATACTTTATCTTTGACAAGCAATGCTTTCCAGAGAGATGACTAGTTCTAGCCAGTCAGTGTGGTCTTGAACTGTAGTGTCATTTCTGGCAAGAACTTTCAAGCCTGCTTAATGTTAACATCAATTGCCATAATGCACTTTGACACTATTTGGGATTTTACACTAGGTAATCTAACCTCTCTCAAGTCAAAATCGATGCATCCAAGAATACCTCAGAAATTGAAAAGTTCAAGTATAATCTTGAGTCTACTTTACCCCTACTGTGGTCCTATATAGATAACAATGGATGTTGTGCAAAAATCTGTGCCTCGAGTATTTTCAGACACATAATGTGTAAAACTGATTTAGAAAAAATAAGATTTGGGATAGTGCATCACTTTGAATTGCACTTTATAAGTTATTTTACATCCTTTTTTGGAGTGAAGTGTTCTTATTCAAAAGTTATATATAGATAGTCTCTATAATTATATATGTCTCTCAGTGAAGCAGTTACTGGTTCTAAGTACACCTCTTATACCTTGACAAGACACTTACATAAGTAGACGAGATCATTGAAAAATAAACATCACATGACAGTTTCTCTTTCCAATGAGACAATTTTGAGTGCAGGTGGGGTGTGAGTAAAATCAATCAGACCTCTTATTTGACTGATTTATACACCTTCATTTTATCAAAAGTGTCCCATTTGACTCTCTGGATAGACATACCCCAAAAACAGTCTAAACAACTCAAGTGTTCATTGTGCTGGAGTCCAACTCCACTAGAAGGCAGGAAGACAAATTTTATGTTCTAAAGTCCTTTCTAGCTCTATGAATAACTAATTATAAGATACATGAATATTTCTTAGTTTCATTAAACGCAATAAGATGAAACTGGACTCCATTTTTTGAGGCCCACTTCTAATGTCCATATTCAACATTGGTGTGAATAATAACTACCTCTACACAACAAACTTGTTTTCTAACTACTGTGTCTCTGGTACATCAGTCATATTCATTTGCCTTTCCACTCCTCTCAATCTATGATGGTTAGTTTCTAAGCCGGTGTGTGTTGGCAGAATGAAGGAGAAAAGAATGGTGAGAAACTAGAGAAAAACTATTTCAGTGCCTACCTATGTCCTCATTGGTATTCTACATTATTTTTCTGAAACATTTGGAATTATATGTTGAGATTTAGGGGCTAGTTTTATAGCCCCATCTGGCCTTAATTCTGTACATACAATTGGACAACATGAATTGGTCCACAATTTTGGTTTATGTCTCTCTGTTCCGGCTTGATCTGAAAATGAAATTTTACTCTGCACTAAATGAAGAACTTGGCTATGAATTGTGCTTATAAAATAAAACAGGTAATATTTTAAATCTTTAAGATTACATTTGAAATTTTTTTAAAAAAAGGTTTCCTTTGGAAACAATAAATCATATCTTCCAATGTGTACCCACCGCAAAGTTTTCTCAAGATCAGTTTTTCCTTTACATTGATAATTAAACTTAGCAGTATTAATATTTATTAAACACCTATGAGGTGCCAGTAACAATTCAGAGCAATAAAAGAGGTGGTCTCTATTGTCAAAAGTGTTAAAAGTTGTTTTATGCCCTTGTGCCTAATCACATGCTGGCCAGAGAGAAAACATTTTTATCAGTGCCCATCAGAGCTGTTGCTTTGTGTGTGTGTGTGTGTGTGTGTCTGTGTGTGTGTTGCCAGGATGTATCCATCCTACTAGTATAATTCTAGTTAAATGCCACAAAATCTGTAGTAAATGCTTTAGAAGGTGCATATCTCCATTCCAACGTTCTTTTCAAAATCAAATCAAATTTGAAAAAAAGAAAAGAAGATAGGTAACTAGATAACAATAGCTGGAAAGGAATGAATCACAAAGATTGGTAGGACAGATGGTCCCTGCTATGGAAATGATACATACAATCAAATTAAAGGAATCAAAAGATAGATAATGTAGGTTACGTTTTTCATTCAGCTTATATAGCACAAAGACACTTTAATGAGAGTTAAAAGAAAATAAAGTCAGTTCACATATAAGGAAGTAATTTTCATTCTGTAAGTAATGAACGTTTGGGACGGCCTTCCAAGCAGGATTTTTGAGGTGAAGGACATGGGGGTTATTCAACAATTGGATGTCTTACTGTAGTACATTCTAATCTGCTAAATAGTATTTTTTTCTTATTTCTTATGTTGTTATAACTGTACAGTCAAACAATGATTTTCAGACCCTAATTAGAACCAAATCTACATAAATGATGCTCATAATAAATCATACAGGGCAAATGGCAAGAAATAAAAGGGAGCTATAAATGCATGCCTGAAGTCAAATCTGTGCTCTTCAAATCTCAGTTATAAGAAAGAAAATATACTAATTAATTAATTTTAAGTACCATTAGAGGAATTTTAATTGTATTGACTTTTCATCCCTCAATCTATGGCTTTAATACACTTTTTAGATCTTGGTAATTTAGGAATTGTATTGATGCTAAGAAGATAGATAGTCTTATTTGTTGAAATATATATTTAAAATGTATTAAATATATATTCATATATAATCCAAATTAAAAACAACAACAAACAATTTAAATGCCTTGGGAAAAGGAGCTAATGAAACAACAGAATTGGAACAGGCCTCCAGAGGTCATATGTCATATTTGCTATGCAATTCCCCTCTCCCAGAACACACACACACACACACACCAGGATTGTGTTACACAACCTAAGTAGTGCTTACTTTCTGGTTAAAAATCAAACAGAAAAGTTGTCAGTCCCCATATCTCTGCATTTCTAAGTTCTCACTATATGTGATAGCATTTAATGTACACACACAGTACCTGATGATGCATCCTTGCTTCAGTGGGTTCTGGAAAGTTCTTCTAGGTCTAGGTAGCAAAGCTTTCACTTATTCATTCTTCCTTCTGTCCATGGATGCTTAATGAACACTACCAGGTTAGACAGATGAGACATAAATATGATCAAAACATCATCATTGACCTTTAGGAGTTTAGGTGGCAAGATACACAAATAAGCCAGTATATAGAGTGTAGTAATAAGAATGACAATACAGCATGATAAATCTTAAAAGAGATCTATACATGTTGTCATGAGAGCAATAAAGAGGGGCACATAAATCACACTGGGAATTCAGAAAAATATTCCTAGGAGAAAAAAAATGCTTATGTGGAAAGTAACTGAACAGAGACAACAGCCAAGGACATTTGAAGTAGAGGGAACAACATGGGAAAGAAACACCATGGTGTATTCGGCAAACCAGTAGTAATTCAGAACAGCAAATGCAAAGAATTTGCATGGAACACTGGCAAGAGACTGATCTAAAGGGATGCATAGAGCCTAACAATGAAGGGCATAACATGGTAACCTTTAGTCAACCTCTATCCTGGAGATTCAGGGAATTGTAGGAGCACATGGAACATGCCTGAATCTGAATATGTCTGGAATACAGGGGACAGTTTGGAGGAATGTTAGCGCAAGTCAGGGGGCTTACATCTATAAGTGATAGAATCATAGTGATAGTTCTGAAAAATAGAAGTCTTGCTGGGAATGTAGAAGAGCAGACTGATTTGAGAGTTATTAGGGAGCAATAATCTATAAAACTTGGTGACTAATTGATTTTGTAGATTACATGAGAAAGGGAGATCTGGTATCCCTCCTAGGTCTCTTAAATAAGAAATATATTTTTAAAAAGTCTGGGGGAAAGAATTACACATTTCCTGTTCCATTTGACATTTCTGTGGCATATCCAGATAGAGATGACTAATGAGCTAGATAAATGTGAAGCTTGCCAAAGGCATAGGAGTCAGTAATAGTTAATACCATGGCTTTGGGGAGGAGCATATATAATATGAGATGAACTAAGGGCTGAGGATGAATAGCTGCAGGTAAAGTTATGATGTATCAATATGGTGAACTATTTCACAATAGGAAAATAAATATTTCTATACAAGTATGTCTCTCAACTGAAGATCATAGGCAAAGGAGAGTGTATAGCTTTTCTTGTTAACACATGCTAATATATTTATATTTTATGTATATATGTTTTTTATATATACACACACACACACACACATATATCTCCATATATATATATATGGAGAGAGAGTGAGTCGAAGATCTCACTGCCACACAGGCTGGAGTGCAGTGGCACAATTATGGCTCAATGTAGCCTCAACCTCCTGGGCTTAAGAGATTCTCTGGCTTCAGCCTCCTGAGTAATCTCTCTATGTTGCCCAGGCTGGTCTCCAATGCCTGGCCTCAAGCAATCCTCCTGACTCAGCCTCCCAAAGTGCTGGGACCACAAGTGTGAGCCACTGTGCCTGGCCACGCTGATACATTTTATAATTATACAATTTACAAATGGGTTTCTTTCTAATCTACTCAGAATGACTGTACTGGAGAAAGTTTTTTAAATGTCTAAGATGAAAAAACAAAATACCTGAGTGAAGTAAGGCACACTGAGTCTATGTTTCTCACTAGATGGAAATCACCCACGGGGCCCTCAGAAGGGGCAGATTTTAAGAGGTTTATACTTCTTAAGGATGGAGGATGTTCACCAAGTACAACTGTTTTCTCTTTTTCATATTTCTATGGAACAATCCCCTTCTCTAGGTGAACCGCAAGACTTCAACATGCCATATTTGGAACATCATTAAAAAATATCCATGCTTTCTCTGTAGCAGTGATCTATTTATGTATGCATTTATTCTACAAATATTTATTGAGCCTCTCTACTGCAGCACTGTTGTTGGTGCTAGCAATACAGCAATGACAAAGCCAGTACTGCCCTGATCTTATGTAGTTTACATTCTAGATAAGGGTATAAAGGGAAATTGCAGGTTTTAGGGGAGAATAGACAGCTTTTATAGAGAAGGTTGTCAAGGATGGTCTCTCTAATGAGATTACTTGCAAATGAAAGACCATTCAAATGGAAACTAAACAAAGTGAGAATGAAATGTGAATACCTGGAGCAAGAGCATTTCAGGCTGAGTGAACAGCAGGTGCAATGGCTCTGAGTGGATTACACTCAGTGTATTTGAGAAAAATCAAGGAAGCCAGTGAGATAGAAATTCAGTGATCAGTGGGGAAGGTGGAATGACATGGTGGCCAGAATCCACATCATGAAGGTCTTCAGGAGATGTGAGGAAGATCTTGGATTTACCAAGCAGTTTAGAAGTCCTTGGAGAGCAGAGTTCGGGAGAACTATGTCATTTATGTCACTCTGGCTGCTGTGTGCAGGACAGATTGCAAATACTCAGAGTAGAAGCAAAATAAATAGGAATCTATCATAGCAATCCAAACAAGGGATAAAATACCCTGAACTTAGGTAGGAGCAATTAGCAGGAAGCAGTTGGTTTCAGGATATATTTTGAAAATAGAGTGATTGGCTAGCTGATGGGTTGTCTATGAAGTGTATGAGAGTCAAAAAAGACATGAATGCAGTTTATTGATTTAAAATTTAAAAATTATATAACTATATTGGAGCTTAGGGGAGAGGAAGTGGGCCATAGTGTAAACTAAGTCATTCTTTATTATAGCAAATATAAATAATGACTGATAGTGATTTTAAAAAGGCCAGGGAAAGCATACAATAGTCATATGAAAATAATTTCCAGAGGAAACAACTAGAAAAATTAAAAATATTTGGTTCTAGCAAGTGGGAGTAGGCAGTGTGAAGATAGAAGAGGGAATAGAGGCTATAAAATTTTTCTTTATAAATCTGCTAATACTAGCAGATTCTAAAAATTTATGTGTATGTATTCATTTAATAAAATAAGTGATTATATATGCATATAATATATTTATATTTATGTAAAATGAATATATTATCAATGAAGGAAGCAGTTGCAGACCAAAAATGTTAAGTTTGATGAGAGTAAGAAAGAGAAAGATTGAATGAGAACAACATGAAGAAGCCAGGATGAGCAGAGTATGTTTGTTTGCATTAAATATGAGTGTTTGAGGGTAATCATACCCAATCTCCTTTTGAATTCAGAATAAGCTAATAAATTGACCAAAAAAATCAAAGTGATAGAGTTCAAACTATCTACCTTATCACTGGTTAAAGCTGGTTTAGAAAATATATATGAGCCACAATTAGGCCTCTATCAACACTCCACTAACGTCTAAACCTTGAGAAAAGCCCACTCATCCCATATGTGTTGAACTCTAATAGAGGATATGGAAAGAGATGGGGTCTCCAGACCTGCCTTCAGAAGGGAAGCTTCAGCCCTGACCCTGGCTGCTCGCCATCTGGAACTTGGAGCAGAACCAAACACCCATTCTCTGGGTAGGTAAGAAAATAAAAAATTCAGAAAGATGGGGATATGCATCACCATTTCTTTTCCTCAATCATAACCAACTATGTGAGTAAAGCATCAGAAAGAAAGGTGGAACCTACTTCCAAAAAAAAAAAAAAAGAGGAAATCCTGACAAAATTTGAAGCAAATTGATTCCAAAGAAGTTTAGGTAAAAATAAGAACATCTGATAATTTAATCCTAGCAGATTTTCAAAGTAATGGGATTTAATATGCCATCACAAGTGTTTCTCAGAGAGAAGAAGAGATGCTTTTCTTCCTTGTTTTTGGAGAAAATCAACACAAGGATAATAAAGTGCTTAGATATAGCTCTGTTAACCGTTTCTATGACATTTGATTTTCCCACATTTCTCTCTAGCAATGGAGAAGCAATAATCTGCTGAGTAAGTGGGAAAGGTGTGGTGGGGCTGGAAGGGAGAGATTTCAGAGAGATATGTATTTAAAACACATTGCAAACAAAGATGTTAATCAATTTTCTCATTGAAGAAAACTGATGATGGATGTTTTCACACAAAAGAATATGGATCATAAGACAGAATGAAAATAACATACACATCTGAGAAACCAGTAAACATTCTTTTTGAGAATGAGTATGCCTGTCATGCTCAGGCAGGTGCCCATCTTCTATACCTAATTCTTCTAGGTAAGAAAGTTATTCATACAGAAAAATCAATCCTCAGAATGTTTGCATGTTTACAAATAGCTTACCTTTCTAAAACATGTCCCATATGATCTGTTCCCACCTCAATGAGTGAACTCATGGGCTCCATGAGACTTGAGAATTTAATAGTCACATTGTCCTCCACATTCCGTTGTTTAGCAAGTCTCATGGCTGTAAGAATTTGAAGGATGTCTTGCTTTGCCCAGCACTTGCCTCATCTGCACTCATTCTCTTATGAGGTGTGTCATATGAATGTCATTTTAAATAAAAGGCAACTCTTTGCATTTAACTAATTTTATGTTTTATGTTATTCAAGTGCTCACAAGAGCTTGCTTAGTTAAACATTTGTAGGTGCCAGTTGACCTCAAGGGGAAACTCTGAAATGTTCTCTCAAAAGTCTAGGATTTGTATAATTTCTTTGATGCCTGGCTTTGCTTTATTATATGATGAGCAGATGTGTATTATTCTGATATACAGTATTAACTAAGTTACAGTTTTAGTTGATTAAATAAGTAAAGGGAAACATGTTGGTTAATCTACATAGACACACACACACACACACACACACACACACACACACACACACTCAAAATCTGATCTAAGCAATCAAGGTGAGGAGCAACTGGAATATACGAAATAAAGCAGGGAGGTTTTACCAGAGAAGAATGCTGAGAAGGATGGAAAGAGGGAAGAACTACATTGTCAGTGAGAAAGAAGGAAAGCTAGAAAGTTGGGCAGCAAAGTATAGAAAGTGGCAGCTATTAGCATTTGTGTGAACTGTGGACCCATTTTGTTTGATAAAGAATTGAAACTCTTTTCAGAAGAATATGTGTAACTATCCATATGTAAAAGTTTGCATATATGTTCATAAGTGGAAGTTAGGAGTTCTCTATCCAGCACAATGCCATAAAATGTGCATTTTAAAGACAACACATGGACCAAAGTATGTCGAAAATCTAGTTGTGCTTTAAAGGACATTCAAAGATTCAGAGATTAAGCTATAATTTTCTTTTTAACACAAGGGCAAAAAGTAGTGAAAAATACATAGTCTTACTCCCCGGAAGAAAAGTGAACCTGAATATGATGCTTCTGGACAAGTGCCTACAGGCTAGACAGATTTCCCACTATTTCTGGAAATTGAACAAGTTACTTGAAGAGCTCTGCCAAACCCAATCCCATTTACTTCACTTTCTCCCCTGCGGCACAGAAGTTCCCCAAGGTAGTAAGAGTCCCCTGGAAATGCGAGTTTAACATGATCCATTGTCAACTTGAGCAATTTCGAATTCCTCCTGGTAACTGACCAAAGGATTTTTATAACTAGTTGTGACTTTCTTAAATTTCTATTTTTAAACAGGTGTCACTATAGAGCCGGAATGACCTGTTTCCAGGTTAATGAACAAGCAAGCATAAATAGATATTCACAAAGAGATGATAATTTTCATTTAAGTAATAATTACAAATTTAAGAGCCTTTTATGGTCCTACACACCTAAGCATCTATAACCTTTTTTTCTCAGTTACTTAATATTTTCTCTGCAGTATCTCGTAGAAACCATAAACAAACTGTAAAGTCACTCCTTAGTAAATTTAGTGCATCTTAAAGGAATGTGGTATCTTAGTAAATTTATGTGCATCTTATGAGAATATGGTATCTCATTTTGACTTCTACAGCAAGCTGTAGAACACTGAGGTATAGGCAGTCTGTTCAGAAAACTGGTTGTCAAGGAAACAGCACCTTCATCCAATTAAAAAACCAAAGGGATCTTCCAACAACATCTTGGGGAGGAAATATTTAAGCATTTCCTGCCCCTGTGCATGTTTTACTTTGATCTATAGATGAGGATATTAGTGGTTTTATTAGTTTCTTTATAAATCAGTTTTTAAAAATGTTTTTCTCCATTAAATCTTAAACAGGAAGACAAAACTGATGTGTTTACAGGTATTAATACTCATTTTACATTTCATGGCTCTTCTCAGAGCATCCTTAGCATATGTTAGAAAAAGTTTACATGAATCAAACAGAAAAAGGTTCTAAATCTCTTTTACGTGGCAAGCATTCGATTTTCTAACAATCAAAATATAAAACCGCAGCACACAACTCCTCACTCTCTTTTCTTCTTGACTAGCTCACATGGTTCTGACGTGTACAGAGACTAGCTAATGGGAGAAACATGGAGTGAAATGCTTCGAGAATGATCCAGAATTAAGTTCCAGAGACAACATTTATTAGCTATTGCTTCATGTGTCTAAGCCCCCCTTTTTCTTATCTGTAAAAGGAAAATAATAATACTCCATCCAGGCAATTGTGGTAAAGAAACACTAAAGCGAAATATGATAGTGTTTTGTAAATCACAAGAGACAACTGCAACCAGGATGAGAGGTACGTGAAACACGGTGCTGCATTAGGTGCATACAGGACGGTGCATACAGGAGCTAGACAGACCCGCATTATAACCCTGAATCATCTACTTGTTGACTGTGTCATTTCAGGAAAATTTTTCATAGGTCTCAATGATCTCATCTGTAAAACAGGCATAATAATATATACGGGTAGTTTAAAGGATGTTATGAGGCCTTAATGAGATACTACATGTAAAGCCATTAGCAGTGTCTAAAGTATCTCTCACTGTCAGGAAATGGAAGAATGCTTAACTTCTTAAATCCCCAACAGATGAAATACTTTCTGGAAAAAGCAGAGATGTATCTTATGAGTAGCAATAAGAAGTGAGTTGGTTCATTTTGAGAGGGGTTGATACATTTTGAGAGAAAAATTTGAGTTTCAGAAGTAGAAGTCATGAAAGGTGAAAGTTCTTGAAATAGCAGCTAACATCTTGAAGAAAAGGGTGATTTTCTATATTATTTAGTAATTTGGAAATGACTATTGACTTGCCCTTCCCAGCAATAACTGCAACGTGATGACATTATTGATAGGTACACATGAATTTTAATAGATAATTTGTATATTATACATCTTTGTATTTTACCTGCCACCACCCATTTCAAATCTTCATGATTTTATTCCAAGATTACTACATTATCTTTGTCATTATTATCTCCCACAAATGGTTACAACATTAATATTACTAAAGTAACATTTTTCATCATGGGATTCTCTAGGGAAAGAAGGAATTCTACTATGTGTTCCATTACAACCAAGAGCCACTCCAATCCCACATAGACCTGCCTTTTGAATCCTGTCTCCCATTTCATCCAACAAGAACCCCTTCCTTTATGCAGGTTATCCCAAACTACCATTAACATTTTGGGGCACTCTTACCCCTTTTCCTTGTTTATTCAAATACCACCTATTCTTTAAAAACTGTGCTCAAGTTCTACCTTTTAACAAATGCTTCCCTAACCTCGCCAGTAAGCTCCTGATCTCACCTTCCTCTGACTTTCCATAGCACTTCTTATCTCGCTTTCATCTGTCACTTGGTCAGATTTTGTTTTCTTTTAATATTTTTGCCTAATCTCTTCAACTAGAGACAATAACCATTTATTAACATTTTAATAACCTTCACTGCTAGCACAATGCCTGGCACATGACATGATTCAAAATATATTTGCAGATATACCCAAGTTTTGAAACCATAGCCTTGGCATTGTTTACATTCTGTCTATATTACATTTTCAAATAAATAGAATTCTCTCTTCACCCACACTAAAATTAACTGATGTATTCTAAATACATGTCTGAATGCTCTCAGACTCAGCTGTCAACTCTTATTTTTGAGTAGCTAAAGGAGAGAATGATCTGACATTTCGAAAATCTTGGTACATATCCTACTTTCTCTAGCACAAGAAAAGGTCTGTTAACCTAAAATTCCTAGCTGTGAAATTCTTCTCTTTGCCTTTCAGCTCAAGTTTTCCTTGAATGAAATGTTATCTCCTACACAGATAACCTAAGAATAAAATAGCATCATAGAAGCAAGGCAAAAAGGTAGTTATTTTTATTGATGTGGGCAAAAGATAAACTTAAGATCTATTGCAGAAAGCATGGTTCACAGGAACATCACAGAATTAGAAATTCTTGGTTACTAAAATAGGTCTTGTTTGATAAGTATCTTCTTCCATTTCTTCACATATAAAATGGCTGCAATCATGATTTTAAATAATATGTCACTTCCCATTGTTTTCCTACTTCTATTGGGTGAATTCTAGAGAGAGTCATAATGGAACTTCCTTCTTACACCTTCTAGAAAATTAGATGTATAGGCAACATTCATTCCGTTTCTACACTGTTCTCTGGGATTCTTAACACAATATAAAATGTCAGCCTTCAAAGAGCTACAGGTCAAAAAGGGGCATAGGTTAAATGAGATTAGAAAATCTGTTGGGTTAAAGAGGGGAAAAAAAAGCAAGTCTGTGTGAACCAAAACTCTCCTGAAACTTAATCCCTTATAACATTTGCATAAAACGCATGACTTGTAGAGCACTTGTATTTATCCCATTTTGATTCTCATAAAGACTTGTGAGGTAAGCCTTGGCTACACCTATATTCTTCCCTCTCTCAATCCGGTTTTTATTAGCATCTGAGGAAAATTGTGGTACAAAGAGATTGATGGTTTTGCCAAAATGGTGTACTATTAGTGGCTGAAGCAGGACTCTAGATTATAAATGGTGATCAATGTGTCAGAGACATTTGAACCAGAGAAAATTCATCTTAAATAAGGGCTGGGTAAAATGAGGCTGAAACTTACTGGACTGCATTCCCGGGAGGTTAGGCATTTGAAGTCATAGGATGGATAGGAGGTTGGCCCAAGATACAGGTCATAAATACCTTGCTGATAAAACAGGTTGCAGTAAAGAAGACAGCCAAAACCCAGCAAAACCAAGATGGTAACAAGAGTGACCTCTCGTCACCCTCACTGTTCTTTCTATGCTAATTATAATGCATTAGGATGCTAAAAGACACTTCCACCAGCACCAAAACAGTTTACAGATGCCATGGCAACATCAAGAAGTTACCCTATAGAGTGTAAAAGGGGAAGAAGCCCTCAGTTCCAGGAACTGCCCACACCTTTCCTGGATAACTCATGAATAATCCACCCCTTGTTTAACATATAATCAAGAAGTAAAAATAAGTATCCTTAGTCGGGCAGCTCAAGCTGCTGCTCTGTCTATGCACTAGCCATTCTTTATTCCTTTACTTTCTTAACAAGCTTGCTTTCACTTTACTCTGTGGATTTGCCCCAAATTCTTTCTTATGTGAGATCCAAGAACCCTTTCCTGGAGTCTGGATCGAACCCCTTTCCAGTAACAAATGCTCTTAACATGAGTCAAATACTTCTCAAGACACTGCTATAAAACCAAACGTATGGCACCCTCTAAATATAGCGCCCCCCCCCACCCCGCCCCCACCACCACCACTGTCCCTTTCCTAATAATTTACTGTTTAAAAGAGGTCTGATTTATACAGGAATGGCAGTGGTTCTCTGGCCCTTTCACTTGGAAATTCCTAGAAGTGGGGAGAAAAACAACCTTCTTAGGTATTTGATAAAATGTTATGTTCATGTCTAGACATTTCTAGAAGTTCATGCAACAAGGTCGTGATTCTAGAGTAGAAATCATAGCAATGAGAGAGGACAGAACTTTTATGTTGGTGAGATTAAAACTCTTTTTACAGATCTAGCTCCCAGACAAAGAATGTCCTTCCCTCCTCCTGTGACTTCCCTTCTTATGCTGACAGTGCAGCAGTAGCACAAAAGACTGCTGGGAACCAACAGCACCCAAATAAAGAAACTTTTCATTCGTAAGATGAGGGCATTTGAAGGGTATATAGCCTTCAGGGACTTTATGCAACTACATCAACCACTGAAATGTTTACATGGATGCTTTTTAGTAATGTCTAAGAACTAGGTTGCCAGCCTTTATTTCTGGTTGGAATTGATTTTCATTGCTGATGAAATCTTGAAGTTCACCATTTAACAAAAGTTAACACTGTTAGGAAATTCCTCTGCAACAAAAAATAAGACTTCCCATAACAATGGGAAGGTAGTATTTTAAGGAAGGATGCATGCGATCTTTCTGAGCCTACTAAACCCTTGAACCACTGTTTTCACTGCAGCGGGGATTCAGTTGTAGCCATGGTGAGCAAATAATCAACAGCTAACATTCTACCACGAACACATTCATGTCCCAGATGCAGCTCTAATGCAAGTTCTCTGATGTTAGGTCATTTATCTTCACCAGGTAACAAGAACACAACTAGTAAGTGGCAGAGCCAGAACTCAAATCCAGGCAGTGTTTCTCCAAAGACCATGCTTTCTAATTCTGACTCATGTCTTTCCTCAGCTAGACTTTCATAGTACCCCTTTCTCTCTCTGAAAGTTTTGTTGAGATTGTAGAAGGCTAAAGGAGGTGAGGAAAAATATAGAAGACCTAGCAACAACAATCTTCCATGGATGATTTCAGCCTATTTTTGTAATACACACCAAAGACTGGGAAAACAGTGAGAAATTGAACCGATGACCTGGAAAACCAGCTCAGGTTAGGAAATGTCAAGTCAGTAGGACTTGCTGAAGGGATGGAGATGAAAGCAAATAAGATTCTCCCACACCCCCTTTTATTTTTGCTTTATAAAATGAAAAGAAGGAAATGAGGATGATCTTCATTTTTTTGTAATAAGCCATGCTTTGTTATATGTCCTGCAAGGCAAATTCATATATACATCCTCCCCATTGTCTGTGCAAAAACTGCACTCCTTATAGAAAGGAAATAAGTAGCAAGTAACTCTGAGACTGCAGCTAGTATTCGGCAAAAATATTTGTAACACAAGTACATCAAAGTCACTAATTCATATTTCACTGTGCTATGAACCTGAAAATTCTCATAAAAATAGCATTTCCTGAAGTGCCACCAGGATATATTGACTGTTAAAAGTGGCACTTCCTGATTGTCTACTGACGCCCAAGTAAAGTATTTATTATGCTGTTACATTCAAGTCTTTTTTTTTATTTTCATGGTGTAATGAAAATGCATTTGTCTACAGTAGCAGCCTTGATTCTTTCCCATTATATTTGTTCATATAATCACTAATCTGCCAAATTTAATAGTTTACTAGTCACTACAAAAACGTCTTCTGACTTTAAGTTGGAATAGGAATAAATCAGTTATATATGCTTCAGGAAAATAAATAGATATATGTGCAAATTTCAGGAAGGATTTTGTGATGTTTACACATTTTGCAATTTGGTCTGAGAACTTGCTATTTTCAGTATAATGGGATTTGAAATACAAATAGCTAAGTTTTATTGACCATTCTCCATGCGCCAGGCACTGTGCTAAGTATTTTGTATGTATTAACTCATTTAATCCACGTATTAGCCCTATACAGTCAGTACTATTGATTCTACCATTTTACAGAAGCATACCGAAGGTTACTCAGTGAGTAAGTGGTACATCTCAGATTTAAACTCAAGCAGTCTGGCTGTAAAGTGGGATTTTTCCACCTCAGCACTATAAACATTTTAGACCAGATAATTTTTATTGTGGGAGGCTGTTTTGTACAGTGTAGGCTGTTTATCAGTGTACGTGGCCTCTCCCTCTAGTTGCCAGTAGCACCACTTCTACCATTCTTCCTTCCAGTTGTGACAACAAAAAATGCCTTCAGGCATTGCCAATTTCCCCTGAGGGATTAAAATGCCCCTTGGATGAGAACCACTGCTCTAGAATACACATTCTCAAAGCAGGCAATATTGCCCTCAAGAGGACAAAATTTGGATCTAGGGGGTACAAAAAAATTCTACTCTTTAATTTATGGAGCGCAGATACATAAGCAGCACATAAACAGATATACAATATATTTGTAGCAATAAAATTTCATTTAAAAAAGTGTCTGAAATGCTCCTTAGGAAGAAAATAATGAATAAAAGGTTGAGAAACACTGGGGTAGAACTTGTACTCTTGATCTCTATGCTATACCGCACAGTAACAGGCCAGATTTGTAAGTCTGAACTCTAGAATGAAACCTAATTTGAATACTCCCTGAAAATGATCAAGGAGATACTCTCTCTGACTTCCTCCTAGAATGAGACCATTACCTTCACCTTCCTGAGGTTTCACCATCATCATTTCAGGCTTATGGATTGGAAAACTTGGTACCTGTGAGGTTTGGGTTCAACAAAACACTTCTATTTTTCAAACATTTTCATTCCAGCTAAAACTGCAAAACCATATTAGCGAAAAGCAATTTTTCTTAAACTTTTTAATCCTGAGTGTATTTCAAACGAAATTTATCCATATATAGTTCTCATTCATTTACTCTTAATTCATCAAGATGGTGTTTTGTAAAAAGCAGTTAACAACGAAGGAGCTGTATGTGTGTTTTGTTTTGTTTTGTTTTTTAACTTGAACCAGGAAGTTGGGCTTTGCTAGGGCTAAATAGATTTAAAACCCTTTAACTTTTTCAATACTTAGCTAAATGTAATTGTCTCTCTTTACTAATCATTAATTTGAAGGCTACTTTTTTGATGTAAAATGTTTTATGGTAGAAAAAGTAACAGAGTGAACAAATGCACTTCATTACAAGAAAAACTAAAAACTGGAACATAAGAACAAGAATGTGGCCAGAGAATTGTATGTTTGCAGAATACACTGCTTCTGTAATCTAATTTGTTATAGGTTGTACTTAGTAATATAAGAATTACATATCTCTTTAAGAAGGTAGGGTTATAATTGTCAAATATTTCTCTGTTTGAAATAATGCTGTGTATTTATAGGAGACTTGCTAGAAATTCCTTCCACTTCTTCCTCCATCCCTACCCACCTCCCTACAATCTTTTAACTTTGTGGCCCCCTTTTGTCTCTTTGAACATAGCTAAAATCATTGCTAAAATAAACAGTGGGTTTCATTAGGACTAAATGTATATGAAAGAAACAGAATAAAAATCTAGCACGCATCTTTAAAAGGTGCTTTACAATTGTGTGTTCAATTATATGTTGAACATATCCATCCAAAGGTAAATGCTAAACTTTTAGACATGTTATATTAAAAAGCAAAGCAATCAAATGGTTTGGAAAAAGTTCTACAAAATTCTGAATAACCAAACTCTCAACTCTTTTATGAAGAGAAAAAAATAAACTGTTTCCATATGAAAGAAGATGATATCATTTACTTTTAGTATTTCCCACACGAATCTAGCTTTTGTGTGTTATGCAAATGCATTAAAAATAGGCAAAAACAATGAATTCAAGAAATAAGTCAATATACTGAAGATACTTAAATGCAACAGAAAGGTGTAGAACTGTGCCAGCAAAAGATTGGTTTAGAGACAGTTCCAAATCATTTTTTTATATACACAATTCTACATCCACAAATAAGTACAGTGTCCTATTGAATCCATATATCTATGAGATGGCCCAGAAATCTACATTTTACAAGCTTCCCATCCAAGGTATATGCATAGTGTATCTGAGACCCATTGATTTAGATAATGGTAATAACTGATTGTTGGACTAACGCAAAGGATTAGATTATCAAGTAAGACTTATGTGAGGCAGAGATCTTACCCATTGTCAAGACTTAATAAATTATTACAAGAATATAGGCACTTTTTAAAATCTTAAAGGGACCAGAGAGAGGTCTGGGATATTGAGAGGGGCTCCCAGGTCCTTCTTACCCACATTAGACATGCCCATCTGGTTCAGAATAGATGAGGTCTCTAAGTGAGGTCCAGGGTTTCCTCATACAGCGGGAGCATTTCAACTACAAAACATCTCTACCTCCAGAGAGCTGTAGAGACCACGTGAAATTCCCCAAGAGCCATGTTTGGCTTCTACTTACTCTTAGTAATCCTTATCCAGGGACATTTTGCTAAGGACATTTCAGAGACAAGGTTTCATTCTCCTAGAACATATTATTATTTACCCAGAGTCCCATTGAAAAGGACTGGAGGCATCCCCTGGTATAAGTCAGTGGATCACAGGCTGGCTGTTTTAACTCCTTCCTCACAAATATAAATGTAATGAGTATGCTACAGACCTGTGATATTCTATGTTGAGTGCTTTCTCAGGCTCCTGGGCTTGGACCTTCTCTATCCTTTCTACCTTAGTTTCCAAACCAACACTCACCCAAATCTTTGTTGAACTAAAACTTATGATATAACTGAGCTCCTCCTCTGATATTATTTATAATATTTTGTCATGGGTTAATTTTTCTCATGTGAAGGCTAATTCACTGTGATCAATGACTGCTTTTATTTATCGATATGACATCTAAGTTGATAGAAACAGAAATGCATAAGAATGAAATGAATCACCAATTTAAGATTTGAGGATACAAGATAAATATTGCTGCTCTTTTCAGTTTAAACTAATTCTAGATATGACAGAGGTCTTGATATGTTTATAAGATAATTAAATATAAATAAAAATTTTAAATAATTTAAAATACTTCCCTCTCAAAATGACAGTACCATCTTTTTCTTTCACTGAACTCATAAAATTAGATTAAGATGGTATAATTCTGATTTGTTCATTATGAAAAGTTGCATGTTTTCAAATAGGAAATGATGTACTTCAAATGTATTATATTTTTAAAAGTTCAAATGGCAAAATATATTGGTTTGAAGGCTGATATAATATCTCTATGGCAAAGGGACCTACAGGAAAGTTTTAGAAACCATCATATTGATTCTAATCAATTTTGCCGTGGAAAACACTAACAACCCAGCACTTGTACTACCACAGGAAAAAAAATCCTTGGGATCCTCTGTCAATGCAAGTGGCAGGGGCACTATCCAGCTGTTTGGAGCAGCAGCAGCAGCAAGTGACAACCTAGAAAAGTATTAGGGTGCAGCATTGAGTCAGTCTCTCCATACAGGCAGTTACTATGTAAATCTTTGAGGGGTTCAGTTATTAATGCATACAGAAAGCTCACAGCATATAGTTCCTTCCCTCTAACATTGCATGCTAGTTCAGATAAATATTTAAAGTAGCATGTACCAAAAAGTTAAAAGACAATTACTTAAAGCACTAATTTTGTGGTAGAGACTTTCTATATAAGATGGAAGAAAGGTGAATTCAGGAAAATTGAGGAAGATGAATTGCAGAAGATGCTCATGTAGAAGGTAAGACAGTGTGAATTTGGTCCTTTTCAACTCACTGCCACCAATAAACAAGAGGCAGGAGAATGGTTGAATGTTTAATAAATAACCAGTCAAAGGAACATGTAGATGAATGAAATAAAAATGGTGATGGTTAGGTCATGTTAAGTTATTCAGACATTCTACTCATAGTTGTTTTTTATATATCAATACATTTTTTCCTATAGCCTGGAGATACAGTGAGATAAAACTATTTTGTATATTTAATCAAATGTCTTTTGCGTTTTCTGCTTAAATGCTCACTATAAGGATTTTTTTAGTAGAAAAAATTGCATAGTCCTCCTCAGATCAGGTTTCTGGCCATAATAATTCATATAACCTTATGCTTTCTATCAGTGATGTTGCTAGTATCTAAGAACTATTGGCTGCAACCATCTAGCTCCTATGAGACCTAGCAAAGGAAGTTTTTAAAAAGATATTAACAAAGGATTGTTTTTCAGTTTTTATCTGAAAAACATTAACTGACAAGGAGACTTATGATCAACAAAAAGAAATTAAAAATGTTTACTACCCCAATAGAGTTACATGACTAAATGAAATATAGTTTCTCAGCTCTGATTCTAAATCTTTGTCTTTCCACCTGAGAAAAGGGAGAACTGAGATACAATTCACCATTATTTCCATAAAGGAATCCACACAGGGACTTTCATTCCAAATTAATCAAAAAATGAGTCTTGAATAAAACTAAACAGTTTTATACTGAATAGAAAAAAAGGCTTTTCTCTTTACAACTGTACAGAAATGAAAGAAAATAGGAATATTTGAAGCATAGGAAGAAAATATACTTTTTCAAGGGTTGTTTTTTAATCTTTATTGTAAGTGTATTCAAATATGGCAAGAAGGACACATTGGGAAGCTCTTGAGGCAGTCCAGGTAAGAAATGGTGGTGGCTTGGACCAGCCTGGTGGCAATGGAGGTAGTGAAAAGATTGATCAGGTTCTGGATACATTGTGCTTTCATTTCGGCTCTCTGCCATCTCTTCCCAACGTAGCAGTCCAAGTGATCCTGTAAAACCTGTCAGATCATGGTACTCCCACTTTTCCCCCATTTTATCTAAGCAAAAACGCAAGTCTTAAATTTTTAATTTTTTTATTTTTTATTAAGACAGAGTCTCACTCTGTTACCGAGGATGGAGTGCAGTGGTGTGATCTCGGCTCACTTCAACCCCAGCCTCCCAGGCTCCCACCTCAGCCTCCCCAGTAGCTAGAACTACAGGCACATGCCACCATGTCTAGCTAATATTTGTGTGTGTGTGTGTGTGTGTGTGTGTGTGTGTGTGTGTGTATTTTTTGTAGAGACAGTGTTTCACCATGTTGCCCAGGCTGGTCTCGAACTCCTAGGCCCAAGTGGTCCACCCGTCTTGGGCTCACAACCTGCTGGGATTACAGGCTTGAGCCATCATCGTGCCTGGCCAAAAGCTCAATTCTTTACAAAAAGTAGGGTAACTATACATTTTATTATCCAAACCAGAGCCCTACGGAATGTGAAAGGTTATTATTACAGGACAAAGAGCTTAAACTTGGGCTATTCCAGACAAAATGATGAGACCCTGTATAACCTGGCCTTTGAATACCTCTTTGACCTCGTCTACTACTTTCTCCCTGACAGTCAGCAATAACCACTGTAGCCTCTGGGATTTGGTCTCTGCTAGGAATGTTCTTATTTTACAGATCTAAATGGCTCCCCACTAATTTCTTCAGGTTCTTTTCAAAGTCACCTCTCAGTGAAAATTTCCTTTGCCAACTTACCTAATAGAGTAACTGTGACCAACTTTTTTCTATCTTCTTTAATTCCTTATTTCTCCCTATAGAACTTCTCACTAAACTAACATACTCTCTATATGTAGTGCAGGTTTTTTAAATAGGTAAATTTGTGTCATGGGGGTTTGTTGTACAGATTATTTTATCACCTAGGTATTAAGCCTAGTACCCATTAGTTATTTTGCCTGATCCTCTCCCTCCTCCAACCTTCCACCCTCCGAAAAGCCTCAGTATGTGTTGTTCCCCTCTGTATGTCCGTGTGTTCTCACCATTTAGTTCCCACTTATAAGTGAGAGCATACAGTATTTGGCTTTCTGTTCCTGTATTAGCTTGCTAAGGATCATGGCCTCCAGATCCAACCATGTTCCTACAAAGGACATGATCTCATTCTTTTTTATGGCTGCAAATTATTCCACGATGTATATGTACCACATCTTCTTTATCCAGTCTATCATTGATGGGCATTTAGGTTTAATTTTATCTTTGCTATCATGCAGAGTGCTGCAGTGAACATATGTGTGCATGTATCTTTATAACAGAATGATTTACCTTCCTTTGGTTATATACTCAGTAATGGGATTTCTGGGTTGAATGCCATTTCTGTCATTAGTCTTTGAGGAATCACCACGCTGCCTTCCACAAAGATTGAACTAATTACACTCCCACTAACAGTGTATACACATTCCTTTTCTCCACAATCTCACCAGCATCTGCTGTTTTGTGACTTTTTAATAATAGGCATTTTGATTGGTTTGAGATGGTATCTCATTGTGGTTTTGATTTGCATTTCTCTAATGATCAGTCATGTTGCGCTTTTTTCATATGATTGCTGGCCACATGTATGTCTTTTTTTGTGAAAAGTGTTCATACCCTTTGCCCACTTTTTAGCGAGGATTTTTTTTCTTATAAATTTGTTGAAGTTCCTAATAGATGCTGGATATTGGACTTTTGTCAGATGCACAGTTTGCAACAATTTTCTCCCATTCTGTAGATTGTCTATTTATTCTATTTATAGTTTCTTTTGCTGTGCAGAAGCTCTTTAGTTTAATTAGATCCCATTTGTCAATTTTTGCTTTTGTCACAATTGTTTTTGGCATCTTTGTCATGAAATCTTTGCCCATGCCTATGTCCTGAGTGGTATTGCCTAGGTTGTCTACCAGGGTTTTTATAGTTTTGGGTTTTACTTGTAAGTCTTTAATCCATCTTGAGTTAATTTTTGTATATGGTATAAGGAAGTAGTTCAGTTTCAATCTTCTGCCTATGGCTAGCCAGTTATCCTACCACTGTTTATTGGAAAGGGAATCACTTCCCCATTGCTTGTTTTTGTTAGATTTGTCAAAGATCAGATAGTTGTAGGTATGTGGTCTTATTTCAAGGTTATCTAACCTGTTCCATTGATCTATGTCTGTTTTTGTACCAGACCATGCTGTTTTGGTTATTGTAGTCCTGTAGAATAGTTTGAAGTCAGGTAGTGTGATGCCTCCACCTTTGTTCTTTTTGTTAGGATTTTCTTCACTATTTCGGCTCTTTTAAGGTTCCATATATTTTTAAAATTAGTTTTTTTCTGGTTCTGTGAAGAATCTCAATGGTAGATTCATAGAAATAGCATTGAATCTGTAAATTGCTTTGGGCAGTATGGCCATTTTAACAATATTGATTTTTCTTATCCATGAGCATGGAATGTTTTTCAGTTTGTTTGTGTCATCCCTGATTTCTTTGAGAAGTGTTTTGCAATTCTCATTATAGAGATCTTTCACCTCCCTAGTTAGCTTTATTCCTAGATATTTTATTCTTTTTTGTGGCAATTGTGAACGGAATTGCCTTCCTGAGTTGGCTCTTGGCTTGACTGTTTTATAGGAATACTAGTAATTTTTGCACATTGATTTGTATCCTAAGACCTCACTGAAGTTGTTTATCAGCTTAAGAAGCTTTTGGGCTAAGACTATGGGGTTTTCTAGACATAGGATCATGTCATCTGCAAACATGGATAGTTTGACTTCCTCTCTTCCTATTTGGATGTCCTTTCTTTCTTTCTCTTGCCTGATTTCCTGGCCAGAACTTCCAATACTATGTTGAATAGGAGTGGTGACAGAGGGCATCCTTGTCTTATACAGTTTTTCAAGGGGAATGCTTCCAGCTTTTGTCCATTTAGTATGATGTTGGCTGTGGGTTTGTCTTAGATGGCTCTTATTATTTTGGGGTATGTTCCTTCAATATATAGTTTGTTGAGAGTGTTTAACATGAATAGATGTTTAATTTTATCAAAAGCCTTTTCTGCATTCATTGAGATAATTTTGTCTTTTGCAAAAACATGAATGAAACTGCAGGTCATGATCTTAAGTGAAATAACTCAGAATCATAAAATCAAATACCACATGTTTTTGCTTATAATTGGCAGCTAAATAATGTGCACAGGTGAGTATAGAGTGTGGAATAATAGAGATTGGAGATTCAGAGGGTGGGGGTAGATGAGGGGTGAATGATGAGAAATTATTTAATTGGTACAATGGACACTATTTGAATGATGATAACACTTAAATCTCAGACTCTAGCACTATTCAATATACCTATGTAACAAAATTGCCATTGTACCACTTAAATTTATACAAAAAATTAAAATAAATACTTTAGCCACATTCCACAAATTTGAATGTCCATTCCTTTTACTGTCTTTCCATTTTAATATGTCTCTGTAATATTTATATTACTTTTTTGTTTTTGCTTTTAGTTTTAATTTTTCAGACATTAATTTTTGGCTGTATTTTGTTATTAGTTTCCCATTTTATTGCCTTATGGCATATAAACTGGTCTATATGTATTGATTATTTTTATAATTGTTGGGGTTTCTTTTGTGGCATATAGACAATTTTTTTTTTTTTTTGAGATGGAGTTTCATTCTGTCACCAGGCTGGAGTGCAGTGGTATGATCTCGGCTCACTGCAACCTCGGCTTCCCAGGTATTCTCCTGCCTCAGCCTCCCAAGTAGCTGGGACTACAGGCATGTGCCACCACATCCAGCTAATGTTTGTATTTTTTGGTAGACACAGGGTTTCACCATGTTGGCCAGGATGGTCTCAATCTCTTGAACTTGTGATCCACCCGCCTCGGCCTCCCAAAGTGCTGGGATTAGAGGTGTGAGCTACCGCGCCCAGCCTGAACAATTTTAAGAAACATTCTGTATGAGTTGCAATGGGATTCATGTTTCTAAATATCTATTACTTAAAACTTTTTAAGTTTATTTCTGAATATTATAAATGTTATTAATTTTTGTTTAAGCTATCAATTTCTGACAGACGTGTCATAATTTATTGATCATGACAAAAAAAATCACAATCTATTGTTCTACTAATATTTTTTGTCTAATTTTCAGTATTTGTTTTAAATTTTTGAAGTTTTCTAGATAGGTGGTGAGCCAGTTAATTAATTGTCTTTCAACTCCAAATCCACCTTTCACTGTCTGTCTGTAATTTTGAGACATTTCTCACTAAGCAGCTGGTATGATGTCAAGCTTTGTCAGTAGGAAGAACTGACAAATATCAGAAGAGTTTCCCTTCCTGGCTTCTGCTTTGCTTCTTTTGTTCCTGTGGCACTGGCCTGGTATGCAAGAGACTCAGTGAAGCTCACTCCCTATTCCTGGTAGGTTCAATCCCACCCCCAGGGGTGGATTCTCAGATGCAAATGGAATCTCTCAAGGCAGTTTCTGGAGAGTTCCATGGTTGCCTAAGCAAGTTTCCAAGCAGTTTTCCGGTAACAGCTTCCAGTGAGTTCAACAGCTCCTTTACCCCACTGTTGGCAACTGCCTGCTGGCTTTCCAGAGTATAGCTGTTACACAGGTTGACTTTCTATTCATAGCAAATTTAACAGCACCCTCAATGCTAAGCAGCTTCCCAGTGAATTTTGTGAACACAATAGCAGATAGTTCTCTGTTCATCAGCTATGGCTCTCTGACTTTGGACTAGTTCAGGAACAACCTAGCAAACTTCTCTAACATCCAGTGGGCTGCAACCATACCTTCTCCTGTGAGGTCTGAATCTCAGCCTTAGGAGGATTCACCACCCCTCCCTCACCTTCCAAGAATGTTTCCTCCTTGACTATTCTCCATTAGTTCTAGGTTATTCTTTAAAGATAATTATTTCTTATTTCCTCTTAGTTAATTCTCTATAAGTAATAAGCTTTTATAATAAATCTTTCCTGCTAAAATTCTGTGTGATTTCTGTCTCCCCAGTACATCCTGACTGATACACATGTACACATATGAAGATCAAGATAAAAAGACTGAAAGAGTTTATTACTCATGAGGCCTGACTTACAAGAATTGCGAAGTTGAAGTGAAAGAATACTAGACAGCAACACCAAAACATATGAAAATATAAAGCTCTTTGATGGAGATAAATATATGGACAAATACGGAATCCTGTAATTTGTAATGGTGATGCATAAATAAATTTAAATTCAGGTATAAAATTTAAAATATAAAAGCACAAAAAATACAAATATAAAAATATGTTGATACAAGATATTAAAACCTGTAATTTGTGATATTAATGACATAAAGTGGAGAATACATTGAGGAATAGAGTTTCTGTATGCAACTGAAGTTAAGTTGTTATCAATTTCAAATAGATTGCTATCACCATAACTGTAAGAGTTTTATATAATCATAACAATTATCACAAAGAATATATCTATAGAAGTGCACAAAAGAAAACGAGAAAGAATCAAATCATGTCACCACCAAAAAAATCAATAAAACACGAAGAAAGACAGCAAGAGAGAGAAACAGGGACAAATACATGACATACCAAAAACTACTAACAAAATTATAATAGTAAGCTCTTTCCTATTAGGAACTACTTAAAATGAAAATGGATTAAACTCTCCAATCAAAAAACAGAATAGTGACTGAATTTAAAAACAAAGATCCAACTGTATGCTCTCTACAACAAACTCACTTTAGATATAAAGACATAAACAGGCTAAAAGTGAAAGGATGGAAAATGATATTCCAGGAAAATAAGAATCAAAGCCAAAGAATGACATTATGTAATGGCCGGGTGCGTTGGCTCACGCCTGTAATCCCAGCACTTTGGGAGGCCCAGGTGGGAGGATCACAAGGTCAGGAGATCAAGACCATCCTGGCCAACGTGGTGAAACCCCGTCTGTATTAAAAATACAAAAATTAGCTGGGCATGGTGGCGCATGCCTGTAGTTCCAGCTACTCAGGAGGCTGAGGCAGGAGAATCACTTGAACCTGGGAGTCGGAGGTTGCAGTGCCCTGAGATCACGCCACTGCACTCCAGCCTGGCGACAGAGTGAGACTTCATCTCAAAAAACAAACCAACAAACAAAAAAGACATTATGTAATGATAAAAGAGTTAATTCACCAGGAAGACATAACAATTATAAATATATATCCACCTAATAGTAGAGCACTCAAATTTGTAAAGCAAACATTGACAGCATTGAAGGGAGAATTTGACATTAACAAATAATAGTAGGAGATTTCAATACCACACTTTCAATAAAGGAAAGATAAGCCAGGAAGAAGATCAACAAGAAAACAGAAAATTTCAATCACTCTGTAGACCAATTGCACCTAACAAGCATGTATGGAACACTCCACCCAACAACAGCAAAATACAGATTCTTTTCAATGTACATTTCTGTATACAGAACATTCTCTAGAATAGATCATGTGTTAGGGGAAAAAAAGAAAAACTATCTTAACAAATTTAAGATTAAAATCATATCAAAACTCTTTTCTCAACCACAGTGGAATGAAACTAGAAATCAATAACAAAAGGAAAACTGGAAAATTCAGAAATCAGAAATATGTGTAAATTAAACAATATACACTTTTTTTTTTTGAGACAAAGTCTTACTCTGTCACCCAGACTGGAGTGCAGTGGTATGATCTGTACTCACTGCAACCTTCGCCTCCTGGGTTCCAGCTATTCTTCTGCCTTAGCATCCTGAGTAGCTGGGATTACGGGTATGTGCCACCATGCCTGGCTAACTTTTGTATTTTTAGTAGAGATGGGGTTTCACCCTTTGGTCCAGGCTGGTCTCAAACTCCTGACCTCATGTAATCCAACTACCTCGGCCTCCCAAAGTGCTGGAATTACAGACATGAGCCACCGTGCCTGGCCACAATACACTCTTGAATAACCAATGGGTTACAGAAGAAGTCACAGCATAAATGAGAATATATTTTGAGATAAATGAAAACAAAACCAATATACCAAAACTTATAAAATGAAGCAAAAGCATTACAAAGAAGGAAGTTTATAGTGGTAAATGACTATATTATAAAAGAAGAAGGATCTAAAATTAACAACCTAACTTTATACCTCAATGAACTAGAAAAAGAACAAACTAAACCCAAAGTTAGCAGAAGGAAGGAAATAAGTATTAAGAGGAGAAATGAAGAAAATACAGAATAGAAAAACAATAGAAAAAATTAACAAAACACAGTTGGTTATTTGAAAAGTTCAACAATCAACAAACCCTTAACTACACTAAAGAAAAAACAACAACAAAAATCAGAAATAAAAGAGGAGACTTTACAACTGATGTACAGAAATAAAAAGGATCATAAAGACTGCTATAGACAATTATATGCCAATGTAATCTAGAAGAAATAGACGAATTTCTAGAAACATACAACCTCTCAAGAAGAAATCATGAAGAAATAGAAAATCTGAACAGACCACAAAAAAGTAAAGAGATTTAATCAGTAATCAAAAGCCTTTCAACTAAAAACAACAACAACAAAAAAACAAAAATACAACCCAGGACCAGACGGCCTCACTGGATAATTATTCCAAACATTTGAAAAATTACCACTAATTTTTCTCAAACTCTTCCAAAAACTTGAAGAAGATAAAACACTTCCAAACTCACTTTATAAGGGCAGTATTGCTCAGATAACAAAATGAGACAAAGATACTGTAAGACAAGAAAAGTACGGACCAATTTCTCTGATAAATATTAATATAAAATATCCTCACCAAAATCCTAGCAAACCAGATTCAACAACATATTAAAAGAATTATATGTCATAACCAGGCAGCATCTATTCCTGAAATGCGAGGATGGTTGAACATATGAAAAACATTCAACGGAGTAGACCAGATTAAAACAATGAAGGGTAAATGCCACAAGATTATCTCAAATGATTCAGAAAAAGCATTTGACAAAATTCAACACCCTTAATGATAAAAATACTCAAAAAACTAGTAATGGAATAAATGATTTCAACAAAATGGAGACCGTGTATGAGAAACCCATAGCCAACACTATATTCAGTGATGACAAACTGGAATCTTCCCTTCCAAGAGTGAGAACAAGATAAGAATGTCCATTCTCATGACTTATATTCAATATGGTACTGGGAATCTTAGTCAGAACAATCACGTAGGAAAAATAAATGCAAGGTATCCAAATTGGAAAGGAAGAAATAAAATTATCTCTGTTTGCAGAAGACATATCTTATATGTAGAAAATCCTAAAGATGCCATATGAAAAAAATCTACAGAAGTAATAAATGAATTTAGCAAAGTTGCAGAATAATGAACACAAAAATCAGCTGCATTTATATTCACTAATAATTTGAAAAAGATACTTAAAAAGCAATTCCAGCAAGGTGTGGTGGCCCACATGTGTAATTTCAGCACTTTGGTAGGCTGAAATTGGAGGACCACTTGAGCCCAGGAGTTTGAGACTAGCCTAGGGTAACATAGTGAGATCCCAACAATACAAAAAATAAATTAGCCAGGCATGGTGGCATGGATGTGTAGTCTCTGCTGTTTGGGAGGCTGAGAGAGGAGGACTGCTTGAGCCCAAGAGGTCAGGGCTGCATGACCCATGATTATGTGTGCCACTGCACTCCAGCCTGGGTGACAGAGCAAAAACTCTGTATCAAAAAAAAAAAAAAAAAAAGCAATTCCATTACAATATTACAATAGCACAAAAAAAGGATAAAATACTTACAAATAAACTTAACTAAGGAAGTGAAGGCTATACTGAAAAATACAAAACAATGATTTTCAAAAAAAGAAGACTTAAGTGCATGGAAAATATCTGATGTTCATGGATTAAAAGACTTAAAGTTGTTAAAATGTCTAAACTACCCAAAGTGATCTACAGATTCAATGCAATCCCTATCAAAGTGTCAATGCTATTTTTTGCCAAAAAAAAACCCAAAATCTAAAATCCATATGGAATCTCAAAGGGCCCCAAATATTAAAATCAATCTTCAGAAAGAAAAACAAAGCTGGAGGCCTCACACTTCCTGATTTCAAAATATCTTACAAAGCTACAGTAATCAAAATGGTATGGTACTGGCATAAAGACAGACATATAGAACAATGAAACAGAATGAAGAATCCAAAAATAAATCCTCATATATATGGTCAAATGATCTTTGACAAAGGTGCCAAGGGCTTCACAATGGGGAAAAGGATAGTCTATTCAATACATACTTGTGGGAAAACTGTATATCCACATACAGAAAAATAAAATTGGACACTTACCTTAAATCATACACAAAAGTCAACTCAAAATTGATTAAGGACCTAAATTAAGGCCTGAAATCATAAAATCCCTGGAAGAAAACATGGGGAAAAACTTCCTTGAAATTGACCTTGACAGTGATTTTTTGGATACGACATCAACTGCTCAGGCAACAAAAGCAAAATAAACAAGTGGTACTATATCAAACAAAAAAGCTTCTACAGAACAAAATAACGAAATAAAAAATTTACCTACAGGTTGGGAGAAAATATTTGCAAACCATATAAAGGGTTACTATTCAGAATATAGAAAGAATTCCTCTAACTCAACAACAAGCAAACCAAACAATCCAATTCAAAATAGGCAAAAAGATTAAACAGACATTTTTTCAAAGATATATAAATGGCCAACAAGCACATGAAAAGATGTTCAACATCAGCAATCAGTAGGAAAATGCAAATCAAAATCACAATGAGATATTTCCTCACATCTGTTAGGTTGGCCATTGTCAACTAAACAAAACAAAACAAAATAACAAGTGTTGGTGAAAATGTTGAAAAATTACAACCCTTGTGCACATTTTGTGGGATTGTAAAGTGGTGCAGCCACTTTGGAAAACAGTATAGAGATCCAACAAAAATTAAAAATAAAGTGACCATTTGATTCAATGATCCCCATTCTGGTTATATGTCCAAAATAATTGAAAACACAAAGAGATGCTTGCATACCCATGTTTATTGCAGCATTATTCACAATAGCCAAGAGGTAGAAGCAACCGAAATGTTCATCAGCAAATGAATGGATAAAGAAAATGTGATATACACACACACACACACACACACACACACACAAACACACACACACACACCTGGAATATTATTCAGCCTTAAAAAGGAAGGAAATCCTGTCATATGCTACCACATGGATGAACCTCGAGGACATTATGCTAAGTGAAATAATACAGTCACAAAAATACTAATATGGAATAATTCCACTTATATGAGGTTTCTAAAATAGTCAAACCCTTAGAAACAGAAATAGAATGATATTTGCCAGGGGATAGAGAGAGGGAAAGAGGAGTCAATCAATAGAGGCAGAATTTCAGTTTGCAAGAGTTCTAGATATCTCTTTAAATAACCATTTAAAAATGGTTAAGATGGAAAATTTTATGTTATGTAGTCTTGCTACAATAAAGAAAAATAATAACACACTTCATCTCAGTGGGTGCTCTGATGTACCTAATACATCTAGGTAAAGATTTTGTTAACCACTCAGAATGCATTGTTCTTTAATCTGAAGACCTATGTCCTTCTTCAAGCACAGTGTAAACAGTTCTTGGCTATTCCTTCAAATATTGCCTCCTCCAAAATCTGATTTTGATATCTCCCTTTGAAACTCTTATGAAAGAAACAACTTCCCATTCTGTGTTCTTCATTAGCGTATTACTCAGATTTTCATGATCTTTATCTTTCTGTGCTGAATTCTGGGTAATTCTTTTGCAGACTTACTCTTTAATTCAGTAATATTTTAAGTGGTGTTTTGTCTACTCTTAAATCCACCGAGTACACTTTAAATTTTAGTAATTGTTTTTCTGGAAGCTTTATTGTTTTTTCTTATTTTCATGATGTTCAATTTTGCAGTTATATTTTTAGGCCCTTGTTTGATCTCTTTTATTACCTTAAGCATTATTATTTTATTTTATAATATCTCAAAATCTGTTCCACTATCTCAAGTTCTTGGGATCCTAATGAATCTGCTGACTCTCCTTTATGGATGATATAAATCCGTATATACGATTGATAAATTATTTCATGTGTGCTCCTACTCAACAGTTTTTTGCATTTGTTTTTTGTTTTATTTCATTTTGCTTTTTCTCTTGAAGTTTATCATGTCATAGAGTTCACATATGTCTCTGCTCTTTCCTAGTATTTTTTAAAGTCTTGAAGGAGTTTTTATTTTACTGTTTCATTTAAAGTTTCTATACTTAAGAAACAGGAAGCCACAAAGAAAGCATACATTTAAAAACCATATTTATGCTGTTCTGAGAGTCATTTTTTCCCACAGGTGACCATTTATTTCAGCTGCGTATGAAATAAACAGATTCTCCTTTGCTGCTTCCCATGCAGAAGAAACCATTTTTCTCTTTCCTTTTTGATAGTATTGGGCAGGACTTGTTTGGGGCAGATACAGATTATCGCTAGTCTAGCCTCAAAGCCATGGCTCCCAGGCTCAGCTCCCAGCCCGGAGATTCTAAATCTCTAAACATTCATGGGCCACTGTGGTATCAACTCCTGCTTACCACTATTCTGGCTTTGAGTTTCTTTTAATTTAATTGGGAATTCTTCTGGCTTTCTGTTAAATGTAAGATAGATAGATAGATAGATAGATAGATAGATAGATAGATAGATAGATAGACAGACAGATAGATAGATAGATCTAGCTAGCTAAATATTACAACATTTCTGTATCTCTGGGGTAGGAAATCTACCCCAAACTTCACCTTACAGATTTTAAAAGTAAACCCAGAACATCTATCTCTAGTTGTGAAAACTGAGACACAGAATTATTAAGTGACTTGTCCACAGTTAGTGGCAAAATATGATTTTGGATATCATACACTTCTAATACTTGATAGAGTTCTTCTTTGTTTTTCCTACATAATGGTGGCTGAGACATACGTCCTGTAATGTACCAAGATGAAAGTGGATACAATCTTATTCATGAATTTTTCTTAATTTGGACTATATAGACTGCAGAATGTATATGAAATGACACAGGAATTGCTTCCCTGAGAGCCCAACTTTTTCTTTTAATGACAAAAATCTTTATCAATGCATATATCTTTGCATATATACAACATTTATGTCTGTATATACAGATATTATATATATGTGACATAGATAAGTAACATTTGAGTGCTAACCACAGGCTAGACACTTTTCCAGTTGCTTAACCTATATAATCTCATGTAATTCTTGCAATGATTTTTGGTAATCAATGATAAGGATGATTTGCAAAGAAAGTAACTTATGCTGCATTAATGCAGTTGTGAAATGATATGAAATCTAGTATTTTCTTCAAGTCTGAGGTTAATGTCACCCAAAAAAGAGAGCTTCACAAGACTGTCAAATCTGAAAAACAGAAATGTTATGGGAAGGAAAAACTATCCTACCCTAAAAGAGAAAAGCCACTCTTCAACACCCATTCAGCTTTGGCTCTCAGTGTAGAAAAGGGAGTGAGATTTGGCCTATCCCCCGTGCGCTTGTTGAATTTATTTGACAGGTCAAAGGAAAAATCTATAATTTTTCACTCTCACATGTGTTTCTCTAAAGCTGCTGGGATTTCTGAAAATTTAAATTATCTTAAAAATAACTCCAGATATCTGTGTTAGGCCTTTCTTGCATTGCTATAAAGAAATACCTGAGACTGGGTAGTTTATAAAGTAAAGAGGTTTAATTGGCTCATGGTTCTGCAGGCTGTAGTGGAAGCCCAGCACCTGCATCTAATCAGCTTCTGGGGAGACCTCAGGGAGCTTCTACTCATGGTGGAAAGCGAAGCGAGAGCAAGCACATCACATTGCAAATGCAGGAGCAAGAGGGATTGGTAGTGGCGGAAGGGTGCCACACTTTACAACAATAGATCTCATGAGAACTCACTTGCTATTGCAAGGACAGCACCAAGCCATGAGGGATCCTCCCCCATGACCCAAACACCTCCCCCAGGGCCTACCTCCAACAGTGAGGATTACAATTCAACATGAGATTTGGGCAGGAACAAATATCCAACTATATCAACACCTAATCAATAATGTATAGTCTCTGCTAACATCTATATTCTGTCTTCTTCATTTGAAATTGTTTAACTCATAGGGTGACATGTTTTCACATGTTTTTACTAAGCCATATTCTAAGAATTATGGAAGCTGTCACAGTGTGGGGAAAGCTTTGGGAAGTGATCTGTGTTTTGTGGCCATGCTTCTAAGTATCCTTACTAACTACCAAGGAAGAGCTTGTGTAATGGAAAAATATTTCTTATACAGTACACAGAATAATATTAACTGTAAAATCTAACATTTCCATTACTTTCCTTAGTATAAAAACCATAATCATGTATAAAAGCTTAAGGTCTGGAATACTGTACAAGAATAACAATAGAACAATTATGTGTTGATATTTATTAAATATACACACACCCCTATGTATTATTTTCCAGTAAATGTTTTAAAATAGTATTCTCTCCTATTTCCATTTATTGAGTTCTTACTATTTGCTAGGAAGTTTATCTTCTTACTGTATGTTGGGCACTTTTAAAATAGATAATCACTTTTTTCCCACATTTTACAAGTGAAAAAACTGTTACAGAAAAAAGGTTGGAAGATCTTCCAAGGCCACATGGCTTATAAGTGATAGAATCAGGATTTAAGCCTAGTCAGTCTGACTTTAAAGTATAATGATACATAATGTTAGCAGGTCAGATTAAGTACACATTTTCTGATGATTTCATTAAGATAGCTGATACAATATTTTATGAAAACCTTACAAACCCATGGAATCAACAACTAGACAGAATTAAAACTTTGTAAGCAATTACAACCAAAACGTCCTCCTTCATCCATTCAATACACCATTATTAAGCGTCTACCATATTTCAGATACTATGTTACAGGCTGGGAATACAGCAGGGAAAAAGGAGGAAAAATGATCCCTATCCTTATGGATATTTTTAAAGAAGGGACGCAGCTAACACAAAAACCAATAAGTAATGTATACAGTATATGAGATGGTAAAGGCTATGGGAGAAAATAAAGCATAAAAGGGGGCCAAGAAACATACAGGGTTGGGGGATGACAGGTTGTCATTTGAAAAAGAGTGTTCAAGGAAGGCCCTGCTGAGAAGGTGACATTTGAGCAAAGGCCTGAAGACAATGTGGGAAAGAACCATATGTATCAAGGCCATTTTTTGGATGAAAATCAATAATTTGCATGAAAACACTGATGATCTGTCGTCTACCTATGCAGTCAACATTAAGGTAGGAGAAATTCCTAGTACATTATTTGATAAAATTAGGATATAAAGTATCTCAGCAATTGAATTATGAACCAGATTTGACTCAATAAACTTTAGAATGAATAAACACCCACCCTTTGCTTGGGCAAGAAAGTTAATAATTACGTTAGTATGGAAACACAGTTTAACAGGAACATATTTGGAAAATACTTAACAATTGCAATCTATTCTATTTGAGCTAGTTGATACTGAGATATCACTTCCAAAAACAGAAAGAAAAAAGGCTAATTGGTTATTCGGCTTCATTCACAAAGATGATATCCAGTAGTATCAAATTGCACTTGTTTTTCTTGGAATTATGCTTTGAAAGATATGCAAACCAGAGGACATTCATTTATGAGAAAACAAGGTGTTTTTGCATTTAGGATCCCACAACTACATTCTAAGAGGATACGCTTCCTTCAGAAAATATACTTGGTTAGTAATAATAAAACTTATTACCTTATAGAGTTTAGTATTATTTAGTTTTATTGATACGAGATTGACTCAAGTCCAAACTGGTAAACCTAAGTTGATATGAGCAATAATAGAAGAGGTCCAACTTGGTTTTTGTTAGGAAAGTCTTCTCCAGGCTATCTAGATCAAGGAAGCTGCATAGGGGAAAACTATTAATAATTGTAGAATTAGTAAGGAGAATTAAATGTAGGAGGAGAAAACCTGGAGATTATTTGAAGAGTAATCATATCGGCCAAAGTTAATTGATTGATAGGACTGTCAATCAGTAGAATTCCACTAGAGAGGCTTTTTATAACTTCATGAGGGAAGGTTAGGAACTGAGAGATGATAATATTAAATTGGGAGAAACATATACCATTACTACAAATCCAGTTCCCTTAGGGAGATGGTTGAAATCATTAAGAAAACTGGTTTTGTTTTGTTTTGTTTTGTTTTTAGGCCTGAAACTTGTAGTCAGGGAGGGGAACCATTTTGTAAGCAATTTCAGCACTTGGGACAGCTTCAGGTTGTGGGCCGTGCCTCACACCTGTAATCCCAGCGCTTTGGGAGCCTGAGGCAGGAGGATCGCCTGAGGCCAGGAGTTTGAGACCAGCCTGGGCACCAAAATGAGACCCTGTCTTTACAAATACTAAAATAAATAAATAAATAAAAATTAGCAGACATCATGGCATGCACTTGTAGTCCTAGCTAGTAGGGAGGCTATGGCAGGAGGATGGCTTGAGCCCAGGAGTTCAAGGCTGCAGTGAGATGATTGCGCCACTGCACTCCAACCTAGACGACAAGCAAAAAAAAAAAAAAAAAAAAAGTCTGTTTATCAATGACTATCATCACAGAGTTAGTTAATTTTATCCTAAAACTTTACTACATGAAATTTTAGACAACCAACATGTAGAAAGACTCTCCTGTAACACTGCTTGCACGCTTCATCTGAATCCAAAACCCATGCTGCTTCTCACTCCACTAAGACGGCAGATCTAAAAATGGTAACTTCAGCATCAGCTGAAAGAAATATATCAGTCTAATATCTCCCATTTAGAATGCAGACAATTCTACAATGCTCTCACCATACCAACTTGCTTTTTACCAGTATTAACTAGAAAATAATAGGAAAAAACAATTTTAGAAACACACCAAAAATGAAAAATTAGGTTAAAATTTAGTCAAAATGAAATGCAAAATAGAGTATTGTAAATCTTATTTCCTACTCTTCATAGCTATATAACCTTGGGCAAGGTATATAACCTCTTTTTATGTCAATTTCCTCATCTGTGCAATGAAGATAATAATAATATCTACCTCAAAGAACTATTGTAAAAATTGATAAAATGATTCATATGAAGCCCTTAGACAAGTACTCTGCAAATAGACAACACTCAGTAAATATTAGTAAGCATTTCCACTATTTTAATTTTAAAATACTTTTTTAAACAGCACAAAGCTTATGAAGGAAAATTGAAATCTAATAAATTGGTAAATAAATAAATAAATAATAAAATAATTAAAGCCAGAGAAAGAAAGGAATGTTCAAAAAACTGGAAAAAATGAATACTAAGATAAAAACAAAAATGAAGAAAGCTAAGATAAATTAAGAGACAGAAGTGAACAGATTTGGAGTTGAGCTAAAATTATGGGCAAAACCCTTTTAAAATGCAAAAATGTAAGATTAAAACTGCAACAAGCTAAAATCAGATTGAAATAAGCAAAAGTACTATTCCAATATATTAAACATTTCTTCAGAGCTTTTGAAGTGGGATATCTCCCACCACTTGAGGTCCAAAAGTTTCAAGTGATAACAATGACTTAATCTTATGTGTTAGAAAATCCCTCAAATAATAATAATAATAAATAATAATAGCTAGCACTAAGTTCTTATGTAACAAACAGTATTCTAAATCTGCATTTGTTAGGTCACCTAATTCTTATCACAACACTGTAAAGTATGCATTATTAATATCTCTGTTTTACAGGTATAGAAACCTAGGAAGTTAAGGAATTTGCCCAAGGTTAGACCTCCAGTACCGGGCAGAATTAGGATTTCAAGAGTCGAGTTCAATATAAAAGAAAAAGAGGCATAGGGATATGGGAATACTGAAAACTAGAAATTTGAAAGACAGAAACAGGTATTTAGAGAGAAATTCTGAAATCTTCATGATTTGTCAGCTAAACACTCATTATCACTCTGAGAAACCTATTTTAAAGATCAATGTGAGTTTTCAAGGGCTTAGTATTAGATTTGTGGTTTTGGTTTGATTTGATGTAGTTTGAGATGAATCAGAATATTCAGATTGGTCTTTAAATAACAGCAGGACAACTCCATAAGACCTATTACATGGGGTCACGTAAAGATTAATGAAGGTTGTCAGAATATAATCACATATTAAAACCAAGATGTTTGCACACATTTTCTACCTCTCCCTCTTAATTAACCCCTATTTTGGGGTGAATAAAATTATTTAAGTACATATGACATGTTCTATCATTTCATAAATAGTTTACAGGAAATCTGTTTGTTACATATTAAGGTATAAACAGAAACAGAAAGAAGGTCAAGGAGAGGAGAAATCACAGAATTTCTTTCTTTCTTTTATGGAATAAATCATGCGGAAAAACTGTAAAGATAGGTGGAAAGAGTCTTGTCAAAGCATTGTTGTATGTATCTCTTCAGGCCCCCTGCCACCATTTGTGTAACAGTGAGGAAAAAGAACAATAACAATTGTTTTCACATTTGGTAAAGAAGTGTAAAAAATGTTCAAATTATAATGTAAGATATTGCCTCCCGGGAACAAGTTGTTCATCTGTTAATCAAGTGAGTTTTGTATCATCATGGCATTGGAATGCTTTTGGTAAACTGTGTCCTAGACAAGACCATATTCTCTATTTTGTCAAGAATTTAGAAAGAAAATTGCTTTGCCTTGATCAACAGAGGGTCCTGTAATTAATAAGTTAAGATACAGTGTTTCCTCTCTTTAAGTACTTCATAATTACTTCTTACTTGTTTTTTGAAGTAAGTATTTGAAAGGCAAAATGAAAAGAAAATAATAAGAACATTTGATTCTTGGACCTGTCATGTAAATGAACCTTTTCCAAGTTTGCAGCATAATGTCTATTATTATAATTAGAGCTTGGAAAGCTAATTCATAGAATAACATCAAATTTAACATTTTCCTGAACTGAATTGAACCTTTTGGGGTTCAGGGAAATTTAGTTCACTTCTTGAAGCCTTGAAAAAAATATGCTGGTTTTAATTATAATGCCTATCAGAAATAGTTCCTTGTCATCATTCTATACTAACAAGGCATGTGTCAGACTAGCACAGTTCAATGCAATATTTCATGCTTCTTGCCTTTTGACCTCCTTCATTTTCCTCATGCTTAGTGTCTATAAGTGATTAATTGATACAACACTAGGATTGATTGATATAATAATAGAAGTAAGATATAAAAGGTTAGGAACATAAAGAAATTTCTGCTCCTTCATCAGTCCAAGGAAGCAGTGACAGCTCCACTGCAGAGGCAATGGCAAAGGGGATTTCAATTGCCCCTGGAGGCTCTGTCCAGGGAGTTGCTGAGTTGCTACTGGCTAGAGGCCCAGGCCTGGAGGAACAGTTCAGTGAGGAGATATGGCAACAGGCATCCACATAACAGTCTGGCTACTTTGTCCTAGGGCTACTGCAGTATGCTGGGGGTCCACTCCAGTCACTACCCCCTGACTAACAAAGGAGCAAAGACCCTAAGTGCCTTTTCCACACCTCCAACAAGCTGCAGTTGAGCCAAGGAGAGGAGGCCAGTCTGACTCCCATGGGTCCCACACACCCCCTACTGCTTGTCACCAGACTGAGAACCCGTGGCTTGGGCCCGCAACACAGACCCTCCATCCTGGGCTGATTGCACTGAGCTACTGCTGACCCGCATCTCTCTGGGGTGGAAGCCCCAGGAGACAAACAAACTCTGGTGAGACAGCAGCCAGCTGATGTGGAGCCCTGAGTGTTTGGTGCTGGAACATCTGTAGTGAAGCATGGCCAAAGATAGCCATCCCCCTGGGTTCAACTTGCTCCCATAAGAGACTTTGTCCCTAGGGGAACTGTTGGGCCTGATCTCTGCGGGGCAGCCTTGAACATCACCCTGGCCTGGTCTGACCTGAGCACTCCTTGGTCTGCTGGCAAATCCTGGGGCCCCAGCCTGATCATGCCTACTTACAGTGCAGTCTCAGGTACCTTGAAGGCCCACACCATATCTTCTGTGCCAGTGGACCATGTCAGACAGATGGAGAGCTCCAGCCAGGAGGCCCCTATAGCTGCACACCAGCCTGAATGTTCTGTCTTCATATTGCAGATTCCTCCAAGCCATGGCAACACCCCACATTGCTTTGCTGGTGCATGTCCACACTCTGCCTTACTTGACTTGCCAGAATGCAGGAGTGTAGTATGCCCCCCAACCCCAACTGCCAGCAAGGTCTGCCCCCGCCAGTACCCAGCCCTTGCTCAGAGAACAGGAACCATCACACACCCTGAGTGATCACTCCTGCTTACGGGGCAAAGAGAAGGCACCCAGACCTGTGCCAGCCAGCACCCTGCCCCAAGTCAACACCACCTCCAGTGCAACTGTGTTCACAGTCTCCAGCAGGGGCCCCTACCTCCCTCCCAGCTGCCTTACCTCTACCACTGTGGTGAATGGCCACAGGGAGGCAGGCACTCCTGCATCTGCTAGTACTCTGCTGCAGCTGCCAGACCTTGGCTCCCCCAGTGCAGTGGACTCCAAATCTCAAGGAGCCCAAGAACAAAGTTGGGGTCCAATACTTGTCTCCCAGAGTTAGAGCACACAGTCCAGAAGTTGGGAGTTGAGCATTGGCCCCCTAAAATCTCCCAGAAATGAAGCCAGTCAGCTGAATCCACCTTATATAACACAATCAAACACTTGAGGTCATCAAATAAGATAAAAGAAAAAAAAAATTTAAAGGTCAGCAATCATAAAGATTGAAGGTAGATAAGTACACAAAGATAAGAAAGAATCAGTGCAAAACGCTTAAAACTCAAAAAGCCAGAGTGTCTTTTTACCTCCAAATGATCACATCACCTCTCCAGCAAGAGATCGGAACTGGGCTGAGGCTGAGATGGCTGAAATGACAGTAGTAGAATTCAAGAATATGGATAGGTATGAAGTTCATTGAGCTATAAGAGTACATTGTAACCCAATTCAAGGAAGCTAAAAATCATGAGAAAACATTGCAGGAGCTGACAGACAAAATCGCCAGTATAGAGAAGAATGTAACCAGCCTTATAGAGCTGAAAAACACACTATAAGAATTTCATAATGAAACCACAAGTATTAATAGCAGAATATACAAGCAGAAAAAAAAAGAATCTCAGAGCTTGAATACCGGCTTTCTGAAATATGACAGGCAGACAAGAGTAGAGAAAAAAACAATGAAAAAGAATGAACATAAGCACCAATAAATATGGGATTCTGTGAAGAGACCAAATCTGTGACTGATTGGTGTACCTGAAAGAGATGGTAAGAACGGAACCAATTTGGAAAACATTTCAGGATATCATCCATGAGAACATTCCCAACCTAGCTAGAGAGGCCAACATTCAAATTCAGGAAATGCAAAGAACCCCAGTAAAATACTTTACATGAAGACCATCCCCAAGACAGATAATCTTCAGATGACGCAAGGTCAAAATGAAAGAAAAAAATGTTAAAGGGAGCTAGAGAGAAAGGTCAGGTCAACATAAGGGGAAGCCAGTCAGACTAACAGTGAACCTCT
This sequence comes from Homo sapiens, assembly GCF_000001405.40. Taxonomy (NCBI): domain Eukaryota; kingdom Metazoa; phylum Chordata; class Mammalia; order Primates; family Hominidae; genus Homo; species Homo sapiens. The sequence goes on from NC_000001.11 coordinate 199,338,642, forward strand.
CAGCTGAAACCGTACAAGCTGGAAGAGATTGGGAGCCAATAGTCAACATTTTCAAAGAAAAGAAAGTCCAACCCAGAATTTCATATTCAGCCAAACTAAGCTTTATAAGCAAAGGAGAAATAAGGTCCTTTTCAGACAAGCAAATCCAGAGGAAATTTGTTATCACCAGACCTACCTTGCAAGAGCTCCTGAAGGAAGCACTAAACATGGAAAGGGGAGATCACTACCAGCCACTACAAAAACACACTAAAGTACATATACCAGTGACACTATAAAGCAACCACATAAACAAGTCTGCAAAATAACCATCATGATGACATCATGATGATAGGATCATGACATGGATGACAGGATCAAACCCACACATGTCAATACTAACCTTAAATGCAAATAGACTAAATGCCCCAATTAAAAGACACAGAGTGGCAAGATGGATAAAGAACCAAGACCCATTGGCGTGCACAAAACAGACTTTCAACCAACAAAAATCAAAAAGACACAAAAGGGCATTCATTATGGTAAAGGGTTCAATCCAACAAGGTCTAACTATTGTAAGTATATAGGCACCCTGCACCCGACACAGGAGCACCCAGATTCATAAAGCAAGTTCCTAGAGATCTTCAAAAGACTTAGTCCCCCATAAAATATTATTGGGAGACTTTAATACCTCATGACAATATTAGACAGATCATCAAGATAGAAAATCAACAAAGATATTCAGGACCTGAACTCAGCACTGGATCAAATGGACCTGATAGACACCTACAGAACTCTCCACACAAAAACAACAGAATATATATTCTTCTATCACCACATGGCACATACTCTAAAATCTATCACACAATTAGAATTAAAACACTCCTCAGCAAATGCAGAAGAACTGAAATCATAAGAAACAGTCTCTCAGACTACAGCACAATCAAATTAGAAATCAAGACCAAGAAGTTCACTCAAAACCATACACTTACACGGAAATTAAATAACCTGCTCCTGAATAACCTTGGGTAAATAATGAAATTAAGGCAGAAATCAAGAAGTTATTTGAAACTAATGAGAACAAGGATATAACATACCAGAATCTCTAGGACACAGTGAAGGCAGTGTTAATAGAAAAAATTGTAGCACTAAATATCCACATTAAAAAGTTAGAAAGATCCCAAGTTAACAACCTAAGATCACAACTAAACGAAGTAGAGACCAACAGCAAACAAATACCAAACATGGCAGAAGACAAGAAATAACCAAAATCAGATCTGAACTGAATGAGACAGAGATGCAAAAAAAAATCATTCAAAAGATAAACAAATCCAGGAGCTGTTTTTTTGAAAAAAAAAATTAGTAAAGTAGATAGACCACTAGCTAGACTAATAAAGAACAAAAGAGAAGATTCAAATAAATGCAATCAGAAACAACAAGGGCGTATTACCACTGACACTAGAGAAATACACACAACGATCAGAGAATATTATGAACACCTCTATGCACATAAACTAGAAAACCTAGAAGAAAGGGATGAATTCCTGGACACATACACCCTCCCAAGACTGAACCAGAAAGAAATTGAAATCCTGAACAGACCAATTACAAGCTCTCAAATAGAGGCAGTAATAAATAGCCCACCAACCAAAAGAAGCCCAGGACCAGATGAATTCACAGCTGAATTCTACCAGAGATACAAAGAAGAGCTGGTATGATTCCTACTGAAGCTATTCCAAAAAACTAAAGAGAAGAGACTACTCCCTAACTCACTCAAGAGGCCAGCATCATCCTGATACCAAAACACGGCAGAAATACAACAACAACAACAAAAAAGTAGGCCAATATCCTTGAGGAACATCAATGCAAAAATCCTCGACAAAATACTGACAAACTAAATTCAGCAGCACAGCAAAACGTTTATCCACCATGACAAAGTAGGCTTTACCCTTGGGATGCAAGGTTGGCTCAACATACACAAATCAATAAATATGATTCATCACATAAACAGAACTAAACACAAAAAACATATGATTATCTCAGTAGTCTCAGTAGATGCAGAAAAGGCTTTTAATAAAATTCAACATCTACCCACGTTTAAAATTCTCAATAAACTATGTGCAGAAGGAACTTACCTCAATAATAAGAGCCATCTATCACAAACCCACAGCCAATATCATACTAAATGGGCAAAAGCTGGAAGCATTCGCCTTGAAAACCAGCATAATACAAGGATGCCCTCTCTCATCACTCCTATTCAACATAGTATTGGAAATTCTGGCCTGGGAAAACAGGCAAAAGAAAGAAAAAAAGGGCATCCAAACAGGAAGAGAGGAAGTCAAACTATCTATCCATGTTTGCAGATGACATGATCCTATACCCAGAAAACCCCAGAGTCTCAGTCCAAAAACTTCTTAAGCTGATAAACGACTTCAGTGAGGTCTTAGGATACAAATCAATGTGCAAAAATTACTAGTATTCCTATAAAACAGTCAAGCCAAGAGCCAACTCAGGAAGGCAATTCCATTCACAATTGCCACAAAAAAGAATAAAATATCTAGGAATAAAGCTAACTAGGGAGGTGAAAGATCTCTATAATGAGAATTACAAAACACTTCTCAAAGAAATCAGAGATGACACAAACAAATGGAAAAACATTCCATGCTCATGGATAAGAAAAACCAATATTGTTAAATTGGCCATACTGCCTAAAGCAATTTACAGATTCAATGCTATTCCTATTAATCTACCATTGAGATTTTTCACAGAACTAGAAGAAACTAATTTAAAAATCATATGGAACCAAAAAAGAGCCCAAATAGCCAAGGAAATACGAACTAAAAGAACAAAGCTGGAGGCATCACATTACCTGACTTCAAACTATACTACAGGGCTGCAGTAACCAACAAAGCATGGTCCCGGCACAGAAACAGCTACATTGACCAATGAAACAGGTTAGAGAACCCAGGAGTAAGACTGCACACACACCTACAACTATCTGATCTTTGACACACCTGACAAAAACAAGCAATGGGGAAAAGATTCCCTATTCAATAAGCAGTGGTAGGATAACTGGCTAACCATAGGGAGAAGATTGAAACTGAACCCATTCCTTATACTATAAAAAAAAGTTAACTCAAGATGAGTTAAAGACTTAAATATAAAACCCAAAACTATAAAAACCCTGGTATACAACCTAGGCAATACCATTCAGGACATAGGCATAGGTAAACATTACATGACAAAGACACCAAAAGCAATTGCAACAAAAGCAAACCTTCAAAAATAGGATCTAATTAAACCAAGAGCTTCAGCACAGCAAAAGAAACTATAAACAGAATAAACAGACAACCTACAGAATGGAAGGAAATTGTTGCAAATTATACATCAGACAAAAGTCTAATATCCAGCATCTATAAGGAACTTAAACAACTTTACAAGAAAAAAATCAAACAACCCCATTAAAATGTGAGCAAAGGATATGAACAGACATGTTTCAAAAAAATACATACATGTGGTGAACAATCATAAGAAAAAAAGCTCAAGACCACTGGTCATTAGAGAAATGCAAATCAAAACCACAATGAGATACCATCTCACACCAGTCAGAATGCCTATTATTAAAAAGTCAAGAATAGACACCAGTGAGGCTGTGGAGAAAAACAACGCTTATTACACTGTTAGTGAAAGCATAATTAATTCAACCATTGTGGAAGACAGTGTGGTAATTCCTCAAAGACCTAAACAGAAATGCCATGTAACTGAACAATCCCATTACCAGGTATATAACCAAAGGATTATACATCATTCTATTATAAAGATATATGCATGCATATGTTCATTGCAGCACTCTTCACAATAGCAAAGACATGGAATCATCCTAAATGTCCATGAGGGATAGACTGGAAAAAGAAAATGTGGTACATATACAGCAGGGAATACTATGCAGCCATAAAAAAGAACGAGATCATGTCCTTTGCAGGGACATTGTTGGAGTTGGAGGGCATTATCCTTAGCAAACTAACGCAGGAAGAGAAAACCAAACACTGCATTTTCTCACTTATAAGTGAAAGCTAAATGATGAGAACACATGGACACATAGAGGGCAACGACACATAGTGGGGGCTATCAGAGGGTGAGAGGAGGGAGAGGATCAGGAAAAATAACTAATGGGTACTAGGCTTCATACATGGGTGATGAAATTATCTGTACAACAAACTCCCATGACACAAGTTTACCTATGTAACAAACCTGCACTTGTACCCCTGAACTTGTATTATGAGTTTGAAAAAGAGAGAAAAAAAGAAAATTTTAAAATTTAGGGAAAAAAATGAGTTTATACAACCAAAACGAGGTCAAAAATACTCAAAATAATTGGCATGGTTTCCCACACCCTGGGGTAGTTGGGTGGGGGAAAGGCATGTCACTATGTTGCTGTTCATTTTTGATTATTCTAATGTCTTTTATTTCCAGTTTGGGATTTTACTCGTATGGCCATATTCTGAATTTTAAAAATTCAAAATGGTACCATTTCCGAAATCATCCATATGACTTTAAATTCTTCCTGTCCAGTTCTCCCATATACTCTCTCATATAAAAATTAGTGTTTAATCCAACCTAATCTTCAATTTTTCAACTTGTCTATGTTATTAATAATGATTTTTACTAAGAAAAGATACAGTTTTTCATTCAGTATTCACAGGTAAGTATTTTCCCCATTGGGAAAATGGGAAAACTTTGGCTTCAGGAGGTAATTTAAGTTGATCAGCAATGCACTCCCTGTGTCTTAGGTCTGCCTAAGTGTAAAGCTCATATTCTCAATCACCACAAAATATGCCTTCCATCTTTAGTTTCTTCCCTAGTTATCCTAGATTACACAATTAATCAGTTCACCAACATAGTCTGTAACATCTTCAAATTTCTCTCTTGACTTTTTGAAGACCCCATTCTCCACTACTCTCAAATTCTAGATCAAACCATTTCTTTTCTCTTCTTCTGTTCTTTGCTTCTGAGACATGTTAGAGGAAATTAAGTTTCTCTGGTCAAAGGCTATATTATAAAAATATTATTTCAAAACAGAGCTTTACATGTGCAAAGCAACATAAACTTGTTTTCTTCCTCAAAACCTCAAATAGAAGCTATCAACAATTCTTAACTCAGCTTTACGGAGTTCCTGAACTTTGCTTTTGTAAGCAAAACCTATGTTTATGTTCCTATTTTTTGATAATAGGACAATAATATTGATTAGATTCTCCAAAAGTCTGTGATTCAAAAAGATTGTGCAAAATTGCCCTAAATCTTCACTATTCTTAACCTCCTTCTTAGTCTCAGAATCACATGAACTTCTTCCAAATTTAGAATTATTAATTACATCTTCCTTATAAATTAAAGCTTGTTATCATTACGAAATGCTTATTTTTTTAACTGTAGCAATGCTTTGGGATTTGTGCTTTCTGTTGGATATAATGCAAGTATATCAGCTTTCTTTTGGTTAGTGTTTGCATTGTACAGCTATTTCCATCCTACTACATTTGACTTACATTTAAAGTATGTCTCTTATAAGTAGCATAGAATTGAGTTTTGAATTCTTGACAGTCTCACAATCTTTGTCTTCAACTGACATATTATAACATTGCTAAATTATCTAGGCTTAAATCTGCCACTCACTTTTTCTGTTTGTCCCATCTGTCCCCCATGCCTCCACCTTGTTTTATCTTCTTTGGGAGTTTGTATTTCATTTTTCTAATTTTCTTTTCCAATAGATTATTAGACATGCTTTTTCCATTCTTTTTAAGTTATCACAGAGATTTCAGTATGAATTTCTTATTTATTGAAGTCAAATGTAAATTAGTACTTTCCCACTTCTCAGACAATGCTTTAATAAAGTATTATCAGGCCAGGTGCAGTGGCTCATGCCTGCAATCCCAGCACTTTGGGAGGCCAAGGCAGGTGAATCACCTGTGGTCAGGAGTTTGAGACCAGCCTGGCTAACATGGTGAAACCCCATCTCTACTACACACACACACACACACACACACACACACACACACACACACAAATTAGCTGGCATAGTGGCATGCACCTGTAATCCCAGATACTTCGGAGACTGAGGCAGGAGAATAGCTTGAACCGGGAGGCAGAGGTTGCAGTGAGCCGAGATTGTGCCACTGCACTCCAGCCTGGGCAACAGAGCCAGACTGTCTCAAAGAAAAAATAAATAAATAAATATTAAAATAATAATTTATCTTTCTTCCAAGTTGAATACTATTGTTTTCTTGCAGCTCCTCAGAAATTATTTTTAAATTTAGATTTAGTTACCTATTTACTTTTTTCAATATTGTTTAAGCCTTCCTAAATCTCTGAGCATTTATCTGGGATCATATTCTTCTGCCTGAACATTCCTTTTAGTATTTCTAAATTTCAGATCTGCTAACAACAAATTATTTGCTTTTGTTGTCTGAATATGCTTTTAATTTACATTCATTTTTGAGGTATAGTTTTATGTAGAATTTTATTTTAACAATTCTAAGTTGACAATTGTGTTATTTTCTGCCCTTTAAATTTATCATTCAATTTTTCACTGGCTTTCATTGTTTCTATATAGAAGTCAATAATTGGTGTTTGGAAGATAATATGTCTTCCCTTTCTCTCTCTGTCAGATTTTAGCTTTGTTTTTTGTCTTAGTTTTCAACAATTTTACCATGAAGGTGTGGTTTTCCAACCTTGATAAAAGACATCAATCCATAGATTTGGGAAGTACTATGGCCCCCAAGACATGTAAATGCAAAGAATATCACCCCATCACTCCCACAGAGTATCTAGCTTATTTTCAGGAGGTTTATTCTGAATCCCTAGATCACCATTGCCAAAAGTACTGTGAACTTCCTCCAACTTTAGGCATGACATGTGTATTTCTCATTTATCCATGATTCTGATATTTATTTCTCTACTTTATCTTCTACTCAGGCTCTAATCATACTCAAATATCTCCCATACAAAAAATATTTTAAAATACTACCTCAACTACAAACTGGTGTCTCCGCTAATTTCTCCTTTACTATAATTAACTTACACTTAAATAGTTTGATTTTGAAAAGAAAAATCAGTCCCCATTCCTACCATCTTCTTTTTTAACATTTCATTTATTTTTGTACTGCAGTAATATAGACTTCTTCCAACAAAACAACCCTCTTGAGGTCACCAGAGTCTTTCTTCACGATTACTGAACCAATGGCTTTATTTCAATCTATAATGAAGCAGGCTTAACTGCTTCAGTGCTACTGAACCATCTCTAATTTGTTAAGGTTATTTATCCTTGGTCTCTGTGACTCTGCTTGTTCTTATTTCTCTTATTGCCTTTCTAAATATGGTTTTTCATCTCCTTGTTTACCCATCTCTAAGAGTTTATTTATGGTTGCTTCCTCAGTTACCTTCACCTTTTGTAAAATACTTCTTCTTAAGTAGCTATGTCTTCACATGTACCTTTTAAATCAATACATTTTCATCTGCTGTTTCAGTCTTTCTTCCAAGGTACGAGTCTCAAATTTCCAACTAATTCATGAAAGCTTCAGTTTTATCATTAGCTACCTCAATCTTAAAAAGTCTTAAATAGAACATAATTTCCTCTGTTCCCTGCACCAGACTTATCATACTTATCATGCTGGAAATATCCTATATCTTATCTCACAGTATAAAACATCACATCTCCAAATTTGGACTCATCTTTGACCTCTATCTTTTTTTTTCCTCTGTCAGATCCTTTTTATTCACACTACTGAACTCTCAAAATCATATCCTAATCTCCCTTGCTACCTCGATAACCCTAATAAATTTTTGATGGTGACTTAAATTTAGTGAATGCTTATAGAGTTCTAAGCATGCTATAATCATTACCTCATTTAATCCTCACAATAAATCAATGAAATCGATATTCTCATTCTCAATTCAGAGATAGGTAAATTAAGACTAATAGAGAGTAAGTAACATACTAACACCACGTAGTTAAAAAACTGGAGGAGCTGAGTTTTGGAAACAGAGAGTTTTGCCAGTTAGCAACTATGCACGTGCCCATGCTTTGTGATTTGCTTATAGTAACAGCTTCATGAAGATTCTCTATCTCCACACAGTCCTAACCAATCAAACCTCCAGATTCCTACTAGAATTATCTTACTGAAGATAAATCTGATCATATCTTGCCCTTGCTTAAAACTTGTTTTGGTGGCTTTCCATTGTGCACAGAATAAAATGACAGTCTAATATCATCAAATCTTGCCCGGTTTAATTCTTTCCTTGGTTGCCACTCTTTCCCCCTGCCAGTGCACGCTATAATCCTCTTCACCAATCCCCTTTCTTATCTCCTAATCTGAATTTACATTTATCCTCTAATCACCTATATTTATCATCTTTCTCTGACTACCTCCTAATTATGTATCTCTCCTCAAATTGTGATTCCTCCATGAAGCACTCCTTCCATTTCCCTTACGTTTTTCAAAATATTATTAATGCAGTATCACTATGTATTAAGTCACTTTTGCATACATGTCTGTTAAATGTCACCTCCACTCAGTGCTACTTTAAGATAACACTATTTTTTTCATTTATATATCCATCAGGAAGCATCGGATATATGCCAGTGAGAACTCAGAAAAGACTTTTTGTATACTCTGGGCCACTGAGCATTACTAGACCACACTGCAAATGCAGAATTTTATCCCACTTAGTGAATGCGTTCTGCACCTTGTGTGTTTTCTTGCACTGGGGACCTATCTTTATACCACTTATTATGTGTTCTTGTGGAAAGTTCTGCTGTATCATGGTTGATAAAAGCTGTGCAAATAATAATGCTGAACCTGCCAAAAGGAAACAAAGAGAGAGTTTCAAGTTGGATGTTAAAATGAAACTTCTATACAAGTTGTGTTTTCTTCAAGGACATGGCTTAAAAAGAAGGATAGGATAGTAACAGCAGCATGTAAGGAGCAGTGAGGGTCTTTGATATTATGGAGCATCCTAAATATAAATGCATCCTGAGATAATACAGGCATAATTACATAAATAGTAATCAGAGAAATAATGACTAGAGATATGCTAAGACTTCAGAATATTAGAAGAACATTTTATAAATGACTGGCAATTCTTAATGCCAAGAATACATCTTCACAGGGACAAGACTATAATGATTCTTTAGAATTCGGTAAGAAACCATGCTTTGTTCATATTTATTTTTCAACATTTAACACAGTACCTGGAATTACATATGAGCTGAAAAAAATATTTTTTAAGTAATTTGAATTGGCTCCCTTGCTATGAAGGTGGATAAGATCACCTAGGGAGTAGTGAGAAGGAAAGAGGGCAGGGCAGCATAGTGGTTGAGCATGTGGTTTCTGGATTCAGACTACCTTGTTCACATCCCAGCTCTACTGCTTACAAGCTCTGTGACTTTTCCTATATTTTCCTTCCTTTGGTATTTCCTTTTAGACATTAAATAATTTGTAGGAACAATAGTACCTATTCACAGGGTGGTTGTGACAATAGAATGACTTAATACATATAAAAGTGTTTAGAAAGGTTCCTGACACTAAATAAGCATTCATTAATTTTTTTTTTCTTCTAAGACAACAAATACCCAAGGAAATTAGTACTTCAAGGAGAGATAAATTGATGGGTGGGGAAGGAGGAAGAGAAGCCTGCAAAAGAAACTGAGGAAAAAGTGGCTAGAGTGGTAGGAACATGTGCGTGTACACACACACGCCTATGTATACACACACACAGCAGTGTACGATCATCCGACCCAAGGAAAGGGTGTTTCCAGAAGGAATTGAATCAATAGTATTGAATGAGGCATGAAGTAAAAAAAAAGATAAGCCATGGATGATGCTTCCCTGATTTAGGGAAAAGGAGGTTTTTGTTGACCTTGAAACAAGAAGTATAACACAAATCACAGTAGACTGAGAAATGAGAGGAGGTGGAGAAGTGGAGGTAGAGATCAATAAATAACTCTTTCAAAAACTTTGAAAGAGGAGAAGGACAATGTAGCACCATTCTCAGTGGAGAGACATGTAAACAAATGTAAAGATGCAGTAATAAATTGTAAGTGCATAAAATTAACTACAACTTACTGTACCACTGTAATCATTTTGTAGCCACCTTCTGTTTTTACTGTGGTGAGCTCAAATGTTGTAAGTATCCCCTTAAGAAGCCATCTGGGGCTAATCATCTCCACATGAGCAGTTTGTCTCCCCAAGAAATTACATATCACAGTGAAAAGTGACCACTTGAAGTTCTCACATATTTTTATCATGTTTAGTGCAATATTGTAAACCTTGAATAACACTATGAGACCCATATGAAGTGCTGCTGGTGATACTGAAAGTGCTCCCAAGAAACAGAGATAAGGCATGACATTGTAAGAAAAAGTTAAATTCCTTGATAGGTACCATAGACTGAGGTCTGCAACTGCAGTTTGGCTGCCATTTCAAGATAAACGAATAGCATAAGAACCTGATATAGTTTGGATTTGTGTCCCTGGCCAAATCTCATGTCGAATTGTAATCCTCAGTGTTGGAGGAGAGACCTGGTGGGAGGTGACTGGACCATGGGGGTGGATTTCCCCCTTGCTGTTCGTGTGATAGTAAGTGAGTTCTCAGGAGATCTTGTTGTTTAAAAGTGTGTAGTTGCCAGGCACGGTGGCTCATGCCTGTAATCCCAACGCTTTGGGAGGCCAAGGCAGGTGGATTACCTGAAGTCAGGGGTTCAAGACCAGCCTGACCAATATGGTGAAACTCTGTCTCTACTAAAAAAAGAAAAAATACGAAAATTAGCCGGGTGTTGTGGCATGTGCCTGTAGTCCCAGCTACTCGGGAGTCTGAGGCAAGAGAATCGCTTGAACCTGGGAGGCAGAGGTTGCAGTGCACCAAGATTCTGCCACTGCACTTCAGCCTGGGTGATGGAGTGAGACTCCATCTCAAAAAAAAAAAAAAAAAAAGAAGTGGGTAGCACCTCCCACTTCACTCTCTTCCTGCTGCTCTGGCCATGTAAGACGTGCCTGCTTCTCCTTCACCTTCCACCATGATTGGAAGTTTCTTGAGGCCTCCCCAGCCAGGTTTCCTGTACAGCCTATGAAACTGTGAGCCAATTAAACCTCTTTTCTTTATAAATTTCAGGTATTTCTCTATAGCAATGTGAGAACAGACTAATACAGAACCATTGTAAAAAAAAAAAAAAAGAAAAGAAAAGATTCAAAAAAGGGAAATTTGTGAAGGCTTTGCTGTAGCAATGCCAGCAGACACAAAACCTTGCACTATTTGCAAAGTAAATTTTTATCTCATATTGAAAAGGCAGCCTGTATGTGGGTACAGGATTGCTGTAAGAAAGGCATACCTACAAACCCTGGACCCATACTTATAGATCCTAATATGATTTGAGAAAAAGTGAAGTCATTACATGACAACTTAAAGCAAAGGAGGGTAAAGGATCTAAACCTGGAGAAGTTTATGCCAGCAAAGGATGGTTTGATAATTTTAGAGAGACGTTTGGCTTAAAAAATATCAGGATGACAGGGAAGCAGTTTCTGCAGACCAACAGGTAGCAGATGAGTTTCCACATATCATTAAGAAAATCATGGAGGAGAAAGTATATCTGCCTGAACAGGTTTTTATTGCAGATGAAAGTGCCATACTCTGGAGAAAGAAAATCCACAAAGGACATTTATTAGTAAGAAAGAAAAGCAAGCACCAAAATTTAAGGCAGTAAGGAATAGGCTAACTCTATTGTTTTATGTAAATGCAGTTGGGTTTATGATCAGGACTGCACTTATCTATAAAGCTGCTAACCCCTGAGTCTTGAAGGGAGAAGATAAATACCAGTTACCAGTCTTTTGGTTGCACAACGAGGCCAGGACAAGAGCCCTTTTTATGGATTGGTTTCATAAATGGTTTCTCCCTGAACTCAGGAAGTTCTTTGCCAGTATCTTTCAAAGTTTGTTTTGTAAGTGGATTTTCAACTATGCAGGGACCTGCACTTCTAACCTCCACACTGTTAAATGGTCAACTATGTATATTAGAACATATCATTCAAAACTATATGTAACAAACACCTAGTATGGCACTGTTGTGTATGCAGTCAGTAGAGGGTGCCATGATAGTTCTGCTATATAATGGAATTTCTAACCTAGAAGAGAGTGTAGAAAATCTTGGTATATAGCAAATATGTTTTAATAACTTTAATGCAAAGTAGCAAGTAACAAATGCACAGTAAATGCTATTGAGTTTAGAGAGAGAAAGAACTAGTGTAGTCAGAGAAGACTTCTTAGGAGAAGTGATTTTTTACTTGAACTTCATGAATACCTAGGATTTGGAAATACAGGTGGTTTGTTTGTTTCATTCCAGGTGAAAAAGAAAAGCTTCATAGAACGCAAGAGATAGAAAGAGCTATAGAAGAAAATTGAAAAATTCTCAGAACATATATTTTCATATTTCTCAACATTTCCATAAAAGAGCATTTCAAGTGGGAGACACTTGCACATAAAAGAACTGCACTAAATGAGAATAATCTAGGCCAATGGTCAAAGTGAGGAGAGTGAGGATTACTCTCACACTTGTTTTACTCTCCTTTTTCACAGCTTTAGAAAGCAGTAGAAACCATAAGAAACAACATCCTAAGAAAACCATGGGCCCCCAAGGGTAAGAAAGACTCTATCAGAGACTTCAAAATTCATGGCAACAGAAACTCTAGGGATTAACATTGATAGTAATAGTAAATGTTAATATCAAAAATATTAATGTTATTTAAATATCAGCACTGATAGCATTAGTGTTAATACTATTCATAATGGCAGAATTGAGCATCAGTATCATTAATCATCATAATAGCTTAAAGCCTCACCGGGAAACGGCCATATCTTATCTTTCAAGGTTGTGCAGCTAGAGCCTGTACAGAGGGTATGCCATTGGGGAGGTGAGGGCAGCTAGCAAGCCAGATATATTGTACAATAGAACAAGTCTAGACTAGACAGTATCTCAAAGACATTTCAAGTTCTTTGTGTATCAGAAAGCTCACTATATGGAAGCCCTTCTCAATGCAACTTGTATGAACCAATTGAAGTGATGAAGGTAGAGGGGGCAGTGAATCCAAGGAATATATTCATAAGACTATTTAATAGCAAAAATTATAAATTATCCCCCTGTCTGCTTATCCCTCTTTCTAGGTATGCTCAGTAATGGAAAGTACTAGTGCTCCTTACAACCTAGATCCAGAACACATCTAATTCTTTAGCCATGAATGAAGCAACCAATACATGTAGAAAGTTAAGGGGAATGTTTAAGCTGCTTTTCTTTTCTTGAATTAATTCATAAATGTCTGTTGGGATATTCAGAAAAATTAGAAACTGTAAGCTTGCCTGGTTTTGCAGAGCTATAAGCTTTGGAGTAGAGCCCACTGCTGTGTTCAGGTTTCATTAGAAGCCAGATTCAGGGTGAGTCTTGACAGTTGATCCATCATAAAACTTACTCCCACCTCCCTCTGTGCAAGTCTTGCTGGAGAAAAGCTTAAATAAGAAGGAAGCGAGAAAATGGGGGTGAGCAGAGGGTAGAGGTTGTGGGGTAGCTAGCACAGCTGTGGGTCATTAACAATAATCACTGCCCGCCAGCATGAAAGGAAGCAGAGCATGAGTACCCCCTTTTCTTCCCTTTCCCTGTAAGAAGCCATCTGGACAAGGCAGTTTGGAATAACCATTAGTAAGGGAATCTGATTCTGTTTGACTTTATTTAAAGTCCCCTTGTAGACCATGCCATTGCTTTGGCTTTGAAATCTGGAACTGAGAAGCCCCAAAATAAAAGCACACCTCTCAGTTTGCAGCACCACGTTGTTGACCTAAATGAAAGTTCGCAGCAGAAAGGGAGGTTATTCCCCTCACTGGAAGACGGAGGGAGTGTGACGCACTGCAGAGGCCAGGGGCTCTGTGTTGCATTGCATTCTGATTTGGGTCGACAGGCCAGCACTATCTCTGCTGTCTGGTAGAAATGTTAATGTGCTTATAATCACCACTTTACTTAAAAACCCAGCTCTAATATTTATTTAGAAATAAAATAATTTGAAGGAAATAGTTTCAAGAAAAAAGAAAAAGAAAGAAACTCCTAAATTTGGGAATATAAAATCTATTTATGGCTTCACTTTTTTTCTTTTGTCTGGCTTCCCTTATTTCATTCACCAAAGTCATTCCACGTGAAATTTTAAATTAAAAAAAAAAAAAACAAGCCATTGTAATTATTCACTTAGTAGATGAAACAGCACTCTACTACTTCTAGTCCATTTACCATCTTTTAAATTTGTTTATACTTTGAAGATATAGAAATATATTCAGTTAAAACAATCTGTTTGAAGACATGGATTTCAATTGACCAGTTTTATTTCTTCTTACAGAGAAGTGATATATTCCTCTTTGAAAGTCATACAAAATAAGACACTATACTTTATAATGAAATCACATAGGAGTTTTACTGGCCTTTTATTAGGAATTAGTTGCTTCTTGATATATTTTAAAGTTTTTTATTGTGAGTTTTTATCATTAGATAATAATAATGTGGTACCAATTATTTTAATAATATAAGGATAAACTTGAACACTCAAAGTTAGCTCCTCAATGTCTCATAAGTTACATATTGGCTCAAAGTTGTTGGCTATAAAACAGTATGTTGGGTCAATGGGTAAAGAGCAGGATTCTGTATTTTGGCATGTAAGATGCGCACAAATTGTCAAACATGGGAAGTCCAGTTGGAAAATGTATATGAATGGCCAAAAATTTAGGCTTTCTCACTAAAAAGAATAATTTTGTCCCCAAACTCCATATACTTTTTTGTTGAACATAGAATGTTTGTAATTATAGTAGTAATAGCACTGAAGATAAGAAAAGATTGTGACATTAACAGAGAAAAATGGTATTTTACCTAGAAAACAATTTCCCTATAGCAGCTTCTGCTTTGTAATATTTTACAGAATCCTTAACATATAACGTAGTATTTTAAAATAGTGTAGATTTGCTAGAAAGACATAGTATACATTTGACAGAGAAAAAAATCAAAGCAAATATAATTTTATGCTTGATTATTTTTAGACTTTTTAAAAAAGAATAGTTTTTGTTGTCGCTTTGGTTTCAGTAATAGAAAAACTCAAGAAATTGTATTTTCTCTACCTTATTTGATGTATTTATACAGTTATATATTTAGCCCTGTTTAAATTGATCAATCAAGACACGAGGCTAGAAAGCTGCTAATGCTGCCTTGATGTTCAAAACCTCTTTGTGTGAAGGTTGACTCAGAGAATTATGTCAGTTAGATTTTTTCCTCAAGATCTAACTGGCGCTTGGTTTACAAAACTCAAAATGAATCCAACAAAAATAAGCTGGAAAAGGACTAGCTGTCCTCATTTGTCCTGCTGTCCTCTTTTCAAGCTATTTTTTTCCTTTCGTGGTAAAGTTTTTACTTTGGGGTTTCTAAAATGCCACAGCTAGCTGTATTTACATTTTGAATACCTAGTCATGTGAAAGCTTTAATTCTCTATTGGCACAGCTTTGAATGATGTGTTTCTTTGAGAATAATCCAAATAGAATGTTCTGGACTCACAAACAGCTGATGCTACCTCTTATGTGTATGAAAAGAACAAGCAGAGTCTTCACAGTAATGGAATGATTCTAGAATAATTTGTACTGCTGCTAGAATAATTTGTACAACTAAAATAATTGGATCGCTTTAAAGACAATGTTATTAGAATCATATGTTGAGTTCCTGTTATAGTAGATGCCCGACCAGAGGGAGGACCTTGACAGAAATAAAGTGTCATTATCAAGAGAAGTTGTGCAATGTGACAGAATGAAAGGAAAAGAAAATCACCTTAGAATCACTTAGGGAGCCTGTCCTTGAAAGGAAAGGCTACCTTGAGGACTTTGAAGGGGCTTTAGTTACTAGGGTAAAGATGTGACTAGTTCTGTCTTGGAAAACAAAATAATACTTGGGAATCTGGGGGTTATCAATGAGTTTAAAGGAGAGGCTGGTATGACTTGATAAAGTCTGCTGAAGCAAACAAGTCTATATCACCACTTCTTGGGCCAATTTCCAGCCTGAGTAATAGCTGTATTCAAACTAAAATAGCTAATTGCTATAGCTAAAAAGCTTTCTACTCAAGCCGGAGGCTGAGAAGTCACTTTTCTGTGAAAAATTGCTGTGAAAGAGCACCAGCCTCCACTCTAATCCCATACCCAGCCTCCAGGGACATCCTCCCCTACTCTGCCCTTCACTCCTGCCACCTGAAATTCACACCCCACCCACTGTTTCCGTGACTTACTTCAGGGAGACTCAGAAACCCAACTTCCATATTTTGAACATGTAATATTTGTGTACTTAAAATCTCCTCTCCGGTGTTTG
Source organism: Homo sapiens (assembly GCF_000001405.40). Classification (NCBI taxonomy): domain Eukaryota; kingdom Metazoa; phylum Chordata; class Mammalia; order Primates; family Hominidae; genus Homo; species Homo sapiens. The sequence goes on from NC_000001.11 coordinate 199,355,030, forward strand.
AAAACATTTCAAAGTACCCATACAAAGCTTTTGCTTTTCTCCTTAGTTTCCTCCAACCCTAATCTTTCCCATCTCAATAAGTGGCACCACTGGCCCTCTGATGTCATTCCAGGAAGTCATCATTGACGATTATCTTTCTCTCATGCTTTACATCCAGTTCATCACCAATTCCTGTTAATTCTACTCCCAGAGTATATATTGAGTCCATCCATTTCCACTGCTACCTCTTTAGTTAAACTCATCATTATAGACAAACGTAATGACCTTCCCACTGCTCTCTCCACTGCCTCTCTCGTCCTCTATGACCCATTCATCAGACAGCATACAAGGTGATTGTTTAAAAAATGCCTCAAAAACTCACTCTTCTTTGCTTAAAACCTCCCAATGTCTTCCCTCTGCTCTTAAAATATATCCAGCCCCTTCACTGTAACTCCAAGATACTACATGAAATTTATCTTAACTCCCCTCTTCAACTTTATTCCATACGATTGCTGCTCAGTTTGTTACAGCCACCCTGGTCTTCTCCTGTTTCTACAATATGCCACACTAGTTACTTCCTTAGAGCCTATTCCTCTACAGGAATTGAAAACAACCAGACTGATAAAGAAAATGTGGCACATATACACCACGGAATACTATGCAGCCATAAAAAAGAATGAGTTCATGTCCTTTGCAGGGACATGGATGAAGCTGGAAACCATCATTCTCAGCAAACTAACACAGGAGCAGAAAACCGAACACCACATGTTCTCACTCATAAGTGAGAGTTGAACAATGAGAACACGTGGACACAGGGAAGGGGAACATCACAAACTGGGGCCTGTCAGGGGGTTGGGGGCAAGGGGAGGGAGAGCATTAAGACAAATACCTAATGCATGTGGGGCTTAAAACCTAGATGACGGCTTGATAGGTGCAGCAAACCAGCATGGCACATGTATACCTATATAACAAATCTGCAGGTTCTGCACATGTATCCCAGAACTCAAAGTAAAATAAAAAAAGAAAAGAAAACAACCAGACCATAAGACTACACATTCCATGTGCAGCCACCACAGTTTCATCCTTTCTTGTCAAACTTCTCAGCACACAGTTTTCAAGCATCACTCACTAATGTCACTAGTGCATGCATTATCATCAAATCTAATGTCCTCTTGTCTTTTTTGTCCTTGCTAAAGCAATGGACATTCCTGTATACATTCTACCTTTCGGAAATTATTTCCATGGGTTTTGGGGAACTTGGTGGCAATGGGTATCAGAGGAAACTTACCATGTTAAGAATTATGCTGCCAGGGCTGCTGAGTTCTATTTCCAGCCCTGCCACTTATTAGATATATGATCTTGAGAAAGGTACTTAAACTCTCTAAGACTCAATTCTCTCACCTACAAATTCAAGCAACTACTTGGTGGTGTAATGTACATAAGGTGCCTAGCACAATGCCTGGCATGGAGTGAACATTAAATAAATAAAACCTAGTATTATTATATGGTTCAATAGCCAACTTTAAAAAGAAGTAGTATGGTATATAATCACAAGAAATCCTGAAATCATTATTATTTGGTATGAGAGGAATGAAAATAAACCCTTCTAAGACCGTCAAAACCCATTTATTCAACCATTTTGCTTTATTGTCTTTCTACATTTGAACTCTGGGGTGAGCACAACTTGCTCTCACAATAATGATTTAAACTAGTGAAGGCCAAAAAGCCAAATTTTCCCCAGGCTATAATTGTGATAAATTTAAGATGTGTTCTAAGAGAGTGATACATTGACCCAAATTCACTAAAGTACTTCTAATTACGATGTTGTTTATTACTATGACAAGTGTTTTGACCACAGGACTGATGTTAGATTCAAAGAGAGGTTTTGTTAACTTGCTGTAAATTTTAAAGTATGTGGGCTGTGTTTTGAACAAAACATGAAGCTCTAATAATAGCAGGATCATTCTTTAAAGCTCCAAGAAATACATGGGTAGACAATCATTTTTATTTAAAAGATATCTTATAATTAGATTAAAATGTTTTTTCCCCCATACTGAAAAAAAGACAGGGTTAGCTGTTCAGAGGCTGAGATAAGCATTCTACCTACAGGCTTCCAGAAAACCTAAGAGAATGACACATGGCCTCCAGAAAGCAGAGAGCAGAACACTAGCACATACAAAAGATGGTAGGGATTCAAGGAGAAAAAATAAAACGATGCCAGCACTCAAAAATTACCTCATTAATGGCTTCCTTGGATTACTTACTGCTTGAAATGTGAGGGAAGCATCTATCAGGGGTTTTCCTCCAAATTAAAACAAATAATAAAATTACATATGATTTCAGTACATTTGCTTCAGGCTCTTAAAAGATAGGAGGGGAAAGAGATGGATAGCTCATGTTGCTACCCATAAAGACATAAGCAATGTACTAAAAGGCACCGGTATTCAGAGAGGCACATTTCCTAAGATGCTACTTGCTCTCCACAGTGGCCAAGCTGATGCTGACTGCAGCATATACATTATTGTTGGTCATTAGCCCATCTGATCCTCATAACACGAGCAAGGAGAATTTGGGTCACACATCCTTAAATCTAGACCTGGGCCTTTCATTTATATTGTATTAAGTGTGGAAAAAAGAAACACCTAATTTAAAATGGTAACACACATCCAGCTTTCACAACTCTTCTATTTTTCCTTTTGTGATTTCTTTCCTCCTCCAAGGTCTTGCTTTCAGTTACAAATAATACAGAAGTGTTTTTCAAGGTAAGATCCAATTATCAATGACGTCAGACTTATCATGGGCGGGGGGGTGGTGACTAATCCGGCATATTCCTTGGCCATGCCCTAGACCTAGTGATCCAGTTAAGCTCCCTCTCCAATTTGAGAGCTATTGGGTTTTTTGAAAAACATATTAAAGAATTGAAATCTCTTCTAAAGTCCTTAAGACAGCATGACCTGTGTCTTGTTTATTTTTAATCCCTCAAAATGCTGAGCAAAGTTGCTGGCATAAAAAAGGTAACCAGTAAAGATCTGTTACGTAAAACAAATGAACAGCAGTTGAATTTCAGTCACCAGCATTAATCAGGTGATCCTCCCTGTGTTCCACAAATACTATCCAGCCAATCTTTCTACTAAGCAGTATTAGGGACATTGGGGAGTACCCTGGGAACAGCTACTTTATAGTAGCTTCAGGGTCCCAGTGAGGTAATGACTATGAGGTGGTACTTTCTTTTTTCTTGCAACACAAAATGGCACAGTAGCTCTCCTAAGCTGAGGCTACAGAAAGGAAGAGAGTTGCTTACAAGGGGAAATATATTCAATTCTAGATTTGAACAGTTGATTGGAGAGTTATTATTTGATCTCAGAGGAATTAGCTGAATACTTAGTTATACATTTCTGTCAACTGCTGCTTCCTATGGGAGGATTTCTGTATAACAACGTCTTACAATTTTCATCTAAGGAATTTTGTTAGTTACTTTTAGCTTCCAGGCATATGCAGTTTTAAACATCCAGGATAGTATGACCTAATGGGAAATTGTTTCAATCTGCAACTGACTTACCAATATAAATGCCAGTGTAAACCCAATGGCCAATCTTATAAGTGTGTAGCACCTTATAGAGTTTTCAAGCATGCTCATAAACAGATAGGATAAGTACCATTGTAAGGTAGAGTCACTAAGGAGTAGTCAATGCAGGGACACAACTGATCCCTTTGTCTTTTCCCTCTGTTATCCATTTAATTCCCCCTTTTCTCCAGCTATCCCCTCAGTAACTCTCAGAGATTTACTTGGTGGTGTAACCCAAATTCTCCTTGCTCATGTTACCAGGACCAGATCAATAGTCCTACTTGGGGAATGTGTTGTTTTCTGTGCCAAAAGAGGCCTACCAGGTACTATGCTTCCCCCTTTTTTGTGGTGGGCAATGCAAGGTATAACAATTTCTGTTTTACATTAGAAGGATGTAATGGCACACTCTGACTACTGAAGCCCTAAAAACTTACTGTTGTGATGAGTCCCAGGATCTTCATGAGGTTTGTTTTCTACTCTCTGGAGCACATGTAACTTACCAAGGCCTCCAGCATACCAGCCACCTCTTACTCATCTTGCTAGATCAACATGATGTCATTGATTTGATAGATCAATATGGCATTCTGTGAGATGTCCAGGTCATCCTAATCTATTCAGACTATATCAGGACAGAAAATAAGAGAAAAACTGTGAACATATATTGCTGCCTATTCCATGTGGATGCAAACTATTTCTGGCCCTCTTTCCTAACTAAGATAGAAAAAAAGCACATTTGTCCAATCACTGCATGCTTATGACATACCTGAAGCCACATTAATCTACTCTAGCCAAGGTACTACCTTTGGTATGGCAGACACCTACTAACATATCTACCCACTTACCAGAATCTGTAATCACAGGCATTTTCCCTGATCATTATCAAAGATAATGGTAATCTTTGATAATTATTTCTGTGTTTCACTAGACCCCTATGTTCTCTTCAGGAACATAATTTCAGTAATTCCTCTCTTTTTGTCCTACATCAAATTTCTTTCTCCTCATTATTATTGCCATTAACATGTATAAGATAGACACATGCCCTTATTTATTTATTACAATAAAACCTCTTGACCTGACTTTCTTTTTTAGCTACAGAGTCATTTCACTTTTCCCTTTTGCAACAAAACTCATAGATTTGCTAAACTCCATTTCGCTCCCACAGTTCTCTTTTAAACACATTCCAAACAGACTTTTGTGACCACCAATCTACCAAAGCTTCTCTTTTCAACTTGACCAATATCCAAATGAGATCCAATGGTCATATTTTAGTACTTGTTTTAATTTACCTAATGAAACATCTAATGCATATGATCACTCTTTCTTAATAAATTTTATTCGTCAGTCTGTTTTTGTGTTCTTTCTTGGTATCTATTGCTAGTTCTCTTTCTCCTCCATGGTCTTTGGGCTTTTTCTTTTCTGCGTACACACTTTTGCTCTGTCATTCAGTATAACCACCTCACAGCTTAAGTACTGTCTACGTGCTGACAGTCTCACAATTTATGTCTCCAGACCAGCCCTCTCCCTTAAATTCCAGATTTGCCTATCTTCCTTTCTACTAAATACACCCACAGAAATGTCTAATATTCATCTAAAAATCAATAAGTCTAAAATTAACTTCTGATCTCACCTGCAGCTTCCCACATCTCAATAAACAGCAACTCCTTCGTTTGGGACAAAGCCTTGGTATCCTCTTGACTCCTTTCTTTTACTTGTAACCTACATCCTTTCTGTCAGGAAATCCTGAAGATTTTGCCTTCAAAATACATCCAGAATCCAACCATCCCTTCTACCATCTTCCTGGTTTGATCCATCATCATCTCTCAAACGGATTCCTCAAATAGACTTCTCACTGGTTTTGCTGCCTAACTCTTACTTCCTTCAGTCCATTTCTTTTTTATGAGATAGGGCCTTATTCTGTTGCCTAGGGTGGAGTGCAGTGGTGTGATAATGGCTCACTTTAGTCCATTCTTAATACATCAGCCAGATAGACTGTAACACTTATCTGCTCCAAACCTTGCTAAGCTCTTCAGTCTCCAAAAGATAAATGCAAAATTCCTCAAGAGTTCCTAGAACCTTAGATGATGTGGTCCCCATTACTACTCTAGCTCACTTCCTTTCTCATCTACTCTTCACCAAATCTCCTAGCTATTCTGGAGTATTTTAGGCAGGATCCCATCACAGGATATATATATTAATAAGATATACATGTATATAAATACTTGTGTGTGTGTATATATATATACACACACATATATAATGTGTACGTATATATTTATATATGCATGTATGTATATATTATATATTATATGTGCATATTATAAATATGTATATTATATATGTATATTATGTGTATTACATATTATATGTGTATATATACATAGATACACACGTATATGTATATATGTTTGTGTGTGTGTGTGTGTGTGTGTATATATATATATATAGGGTCTATTGACTATGACTGGAATATTCTTCCTTCAACTCCTGCAGGTATTTGCTCATATGTCCTTTCTCAATTGGATCTATTCTAACCACCCTGTTTAAATTGAAACTGCCTTTTCTCATGACCCCTGAAATCCTATTCTGCTTTAGCTTTTCATTTTCCCTTAGCACTTACATTGTTTTACATGTGATATAAATTATTTATATATAATATATGTTCTTTCTTCTGGTTAGAATGTAGGCTTCATTTCCTCAGTGATATCCAAACTCTTAGGATAATATTGGCATAAGAGGGCCTCAAAAAAATATTTGATGAATGAATAAATGGACTTCATTAACATTACAAAAGAAGATCTGAATAAATAGGTATATTGTATCGCAAAAGGATAGACTATCTTAACAATATCAATTCTCCTCAAATTTACAAAAATTCAATCCCAAATAACTGACCTTAAATTATAAAATTCAAAACTAAATCCAGACTATCCCAAACAATTATAAATGAGAAGAATAAGATTGGTAGTGGTATTGCCACTGGTCTAGATAAATAGATCAATGGAATCAAATAAAGAAGATATACTATGTAGCAACTTTGAACATTATAGTGATGGCCTTGCAGATCACAGGTAAAATAAATGAAAATGAGAAATTCATATCATATGAAAAGTATAATTATATTCCCATTTCACAAAATTAATTCCAAGTTGCTTAAAGAACTAAATATGAAAATAGAACCTTAAAGCATTTAGAATAAACATAGGAGACTACTTTTATGACGTGGTGTAGAAAAACATTTCTTAACCAAGACTTCAAAGAGACAAATCACAAAAGAAAAGATTAATAAATGTGACTCCATTATGACAAAACACATATAAACAAAGTCTTAGCCACTTAGAGACAATAGTGGCAAAATATTTAATGGCTGAAAGATTAGTATTTATAATATATGCATTTTAAAAGCTTACAAATCTCTAAGAAAAAGAGAAACTTCACAAACAAAAACGTAAGCATGCATATCACAGAATAAATGACCCATATAAATGTGGAAAGATTAAAACTACAATAACATAGTATTTACAGCCATCCAAGAAATAAATATTAATAACTCTGGCAATATTAGAAGATGACACTAGTATAAATTGGTACTATTTTAGAGAATAATCTGAAATATCTAATGAGAGTAAAAAATACATACCTTAAGACTCTGCAACACCTTTAGGCAAATCCTCTTGAAAAAATATTACCTCTATGCTCAAGGAAATATACAAAGTTGTCCCCTATGAAATTTCTACAAATAGCAGTTAATGACAAGACAGGAATTTGTAGTCGAAGAAGACAAATTTATAATTTGATATATTTAAGCTGAGTCATTTGAAACATGATGAAAAATGTGGTTGATGGTTGGAGTAGATTGTTTGAAATAAAGGGAACCAAGGAATTGTAAAATCAGGATGTTAGAAGCATCCTTAGTGAAACTACAGGCAAAAGATGAAATGGAGATAAAGGCTACAACCTAATTATTAGAATTCTTGAGAAATACAGAGAGTTTCTCTCTGGAAAGAAAAACATTAAAGAGGATCATGAAAGGGGGAGACTTGCACTTCAAAAGAGAAATCTGATTTAGTTTGCAAAACAATAATGGAAATTGCCTTGTGAGTCAGGAGAAGAGAGAAAAGAATATCAATAGACAGATCTCAAAGAAACATGAGATGACAAAGAATAAGTCTAATTAAATTAATGCAGAAAGAATAGCAATTTGCATGTCACTTATATGCAATTCTCCATTTATTCCATGTTTCTTTATTTTCAGTTGTAAAGATAAAGATTGTATGATGTTACAAAACATCCAGAATTATATTTCTAATCTTTTCCAATTGTTTGATTAGAAACCTTGATGTGATCAAGAGTAATTATCAAAGCAAACACCAGGCTTGGCAGTCAGGCAGATGTACAGCCTCTTCCTCTATTGCCTATGATATTCTGAATAGGAAGGTGATATAGCTTGGATATATGTCATCTTTAAATCTCACATTGAAATGTAATACTCAGTGTTGGAGGTGGGGCCTGATGGCAGGTGATTATTGGATCATGGAGGTGGATTTCGCATGGTTTAGTTCCATCCCCTTGGTGCTGTCCTCCTGATAGTGAATGAGCTCATGAGATCTGGTTGACTAAAAGTGTGACACATTACCTCCCACTCTTTCCTTGGTCATGTCTGACTTGGTCATGTAACATGCCTGTTTCCACTTTGCTTTCTGCCATGAGTGAAATCTCCCTGAGGCCTTTACAGAAGCTGAGTAGATGCTGGTGCCATGCTTCCTGTGTAGCCTGTGGAATCATGAGCCTATTAAAACTCTTTCCTTTATAAATTACCCAGCTTCACATATTTCTTTATACCAACACAAGAATGGACTAACATAGAAGGCATAGCTTTGTTGATCACTTTTGGTTGAATTTGAAGATGCTGTAAACTGAAGCCCATGTGAAGAAGAAATAACCCTTTATCATTTTATATTGTGACTATTTGATTCTTCTCTCTTTTCTTCTTTATTAGTCTTGCTAGCGGACTATCAGTTTTGTTGGTCTTTTCAAAAAACCAGCTCCTGGATTCACTGATTTTTTGAAGGGTTTTTTTGTGTCTCTATTTCCTTCAGTTCTGCTCTGATCTTAGTTATTTCTCGCCTTCTGCTAGCTTTTGAATGTGTTTGCTCTTGCTTCTCTAGCTCTTTCAATTGTGTTGTTAGGGTGTCAATTTTAGATCTTTCCTGCTTTCTCTTATGGGCATTTAGTGCTATAAATTTCCCTCTACACACTGCTTTGAATGTGTCCCAGAGATTCTGGTATGTTGTGTCTTTGTTCTCATTGGTTTCAAAGAACATCTTTATTTCTGCCTTCATTTCATTATGTACCCAGTAGTCATTCAGGAGCAGGTTGTTCAGTTTCCATGTAGTTGAGCAGTTTTGAGTGAATTTCTTAATCCTGAGTTCTAGTTTGATTGCACTGTGGTCTGAGAGACAGTTTGTTATAATTTCTGTTCTTTTACATTTGCTGAGGAGTGCTTTGCTTACATCTATGTGGTCAATTTTGGAATAGATGTGGTGTCGTGCTGAAAAGAATGTATCTTCTGTTGATTTGGGGTGGAGAGTTCTGTAGATGTCTATTAGGTCCACTTGGTGCAGAGCTGAGTTCAATTCCTGGATATCCTTATTAACTTTCTGTCTCATTGATCTGTCTAATGTTGACAGTGGGTTATTAAAATCTCCCATTATTATTGTGTGGGAGTCTAAGTCTCTTTGTAGGTCTCTAAGGACTTTCTTTATGAATCTGGGTGCTCCTGTATTGGGTGCATATAGATTTAGGATAGTTAGTTCTTCTTGTTGAATTGATCCCCTTACCATTATGTAATGGCCTTCTTTGTCTCTTTTGATCTTTGTTGGTTTAAAGTCTGTTTTATCAGAGACTAGGATTGCAACCCCTGCCTTTTTTTTCTTTTCCATTTGCTTGGTAGATCTTACTCCATCCCTTTATTTTGAGCCTATGTGTGTCTCTGCACATGAGATGGGTTTCCTGAATACAGCACACTGATGGGTCTTGACTCTTCATCCAATTTGCCAGTCTGTGTCTTTTAATTGGAGCATTTAGCCCATTTACATTTAAGGGTAATATTGTTATGTGTGAATTTGATCCTGTCTTTATGATGCTGGCTGGTTATTTTGCTCGTTAGTTTATGCAGTTTCTTCCTAGCCTCAATGGATTCCACAGAAATACAAACTACCATCAGAGAATACTATAAACAACTCTATGCAAATAAACTAGAAAATCTAGAAGAAATTGATAAATTCCTTGAGACATACACCCTCCCAAGACTAAACCAGGAAGAAGTTGAATCTCTGAATAGACCAATAACAGGAGCTGAAATTGAGGCAATAATTAATAGCTTACCAACCAAAAAAAGTCCAGGACCAGATGGATTCACAGCCGAATTCTACCAGAGGTACAAGGAGGAGCTGGTACCATTACTTCTGAAACTATTCCAATCAATAGAAAAAGAGGGAATCCTCCCTAACTCATTTTACGAGGCCAGGATCATCCTGATACCAAAGCCTGGCAGAGACAGAACAAAAAAAGAGAATTTTAGACCAATATCCCTGATGAACATAGATGCAAAAATCCTCAATAAAATACTGGCAAACCGAATCCAGCAGCACATCAAAAAGCTTATCCACCATGATCAAGTGGGCTTCATCCCTGGGATGCAAGGCTGGTTCAACATACGCAAATCAATAAACGTCATCCAGCATATAAACAGAACCAATGACAAAAACCACATGATTATCTCAATAGATGCAGAAAAGGCCTTTGATAAAATTCAATAACTCCTCATGCTAAAAACTCTCAATAAATTAGGTATTGATGGGAGGTACCTCAAAATAATAAGAGCTATCTATGACAAACCCACAGCCAATATCATACTGAATGGGCAAAAACTGGAAGCATTCCCTTTAAAAGCTGGCACAAGACAGGGATGCCCTCTCTCACCACTCCTATTCAACATAGGGTTGGAAGTTCTGGCCAGGGCAATCAGGCAGGAGAAGGAAATAAAGGGTATTCAGTTAGGAAAAGAGGAAGTCAAATTGTCCCTTTTTGCAGATGACATGACTGTATATCTAGAAAACCCCATCATCTCAGCCCAAAATCTCCTTAAGCCGATAAGCAACTTCAGCAAAGTCTCAGGATACAAAATCAATGTGCAAAAATCACAAGCATTCTTATACCCCAATAACAGACAAACAGAGAGCCAAATCATGAGTGAACTCCCATTCACAATTGCTTCAAAGAGAATAAAATACCTAGGATCCAACTTACAAGGGACATGAAGGACCTCTTCAAGGAGAATTACAAACCACTGCTCAATGAAATAAAAGAGGATACAAACAAATGTAAGAACATTCCATGTTCATGGGTAGGAAGAATCAATATCATGAAAATGGCCATACTGTCCAAGGTAATTTATAGATTCAATGCCATCCCTATCAAGCTACCAACGACTTTCTTCACAGAATTGGAAAAAACTACTTTAAAGTTCATATGGAACCAAAAAAGAGCCCGCATTGCCAAGTCAATCCTAAGCCAAAAGAACAAAGCTGGAGGCATCACGCTACCTGACTTCAAACTATACTACAAGGCTACAGTAACCAAAACAGCATGGTACTGCTACCAAAACAGAGATATAGACCAATGGAACAGAACAGAGCCCTCAGAAATAATGCCGCATATCTACAACCATCTGATCTTTGAGAAACCTGACAAAAACAAGAACTGGGGAAACAATTCCCCATTTAATAAATGGTGCTGGGAAAACTGGCTAGCCATATATAGAAAGCTGAAACTGGATCCCTTCCTTACACCTTATACAAAAATTAATTCAAGATGGATTAAAGACTTAAATGTTAGACCTAAAACCATAAAAACCCTAGAAGAAAACCTAGGCAATACCATTCAGGACATAGGCATGGGCAAGGACTTCATGTCTAAAACACCAAAAGCAATGGCAACAAAAGCCAAAATTGACAAACGGGATCTAATTAAACTAAAGAGCTTCTGCACAGCCAAGGAAACTGTCATCAGAGTGAACAGGCAACCTACAGAATGGGAGAAAATTTTTGCAATCTACTCGTCTGACAAATGGCTAATATCTAGAATCTACAATGAACTCAAACAAATTTACAAGAAAAAAACAAACAACCCCATCAACAAGTGGGCGAAGGATATGAACAGACACTTCTCAAAAGAAGACATTTATGCAGCCAAAAGACACATGAAAAGATGCTCATCATCACTGGCCATCAGAGAAATGCAAATCAAAAACACACTGAGATACCATCTCACACCAGTTAAAATGGCGATCATTAAAAAGTCAGGAAACAACAGGTGCTGGAGAGGATGTGGAGAAATAGGAATGCTTTTACACTATTGGTGGGACTGTAAACTAGTTCAACTGTTGTGGAAGTTAGTGTGGTGATTCCTCAGGGATCTAGAACTAGAAATACCATTTGACCCAGCCATCCCATTACTGGGTATATACCCAAAGGATTATAAATCGTGCTGCTATAAAGACACATGCACACGTTTGTTTATTGTGGCACTATTTACAAAAGCAAAGACTTGGAACCAAGCCACATGTCCAACAATGATAGACTGGATTAAGAAAATGTGGCACATATACACCATGGAATACCATGCAGCCATAAAAAATGATGAGTTCATGTCCTTTGTAGGGACACGGATGAAGCTGGAAACCATCATTCTCAGCAAACTATCACAAGAGGAAAAAACCAAACACTGCATGCTCTCACTCATAGGTGGGAATTGAACAATAAGAACACATGGACACAGGAAGGGGAACATCACACACTGGGGACTGTTGTGGGGTGGGGGGAGGGGGGAGGGATAGAATTAGGGATATACCTAATGTTAAATGACAAGTTAATGGGTGCAGCACACCAACATGGTACATGTATACATATATAACTAACCTGCACGTTGTGTACATGTACCCTAAAACTTAAAGTATAATAAAAAAATAAAAAAAGAAGAAATAAGCAAAATTTATTTTTTCTCTTTCATTTTTAATTTGCTATCCTTATTGGATATCAGATTTATGATAAGTATTTTAAATATCAATTTAGTCTGGAATCCTGGAAAAGAAGGAAAGAAGGAAGGAAGAAAGAGGAAGAAAAGAAGGGAAAAAGAAAGAAATATGGGGTTAAGCAAGTCTATTAAATTGGGTTAATGACTATATTACCAGTTGAAAGGGCCTCAATCTTTTAAATGAAGCCATGATAAAACAGTAAAATTAATTACCAAAGAGCCACATTAAGAATGGGAAAAAGACCCATTGAGTAGACAGGCAAGGAAGGGCTGATTTTAAGAACCTCTTATGGCATTCTACTCTCCAACCAGGCCCCTTGTCATCTAAACCATCGGATACTGCAAAAGAACTTCTGTTTTTTCCTCACCCACTATTCCTAATCTTGAATCTTATTTAATGAACAAATACTGGTTAAATGTAGACTTAACATTAAAATGTATTTACTGAAATATATTGATCTTATTAAAAATAATATTAAAACTTCTTGAGATATTCTCAATAGTTGGTTTGATTTAATTTTTGAAAAGTTCCAAAGAACTATTTTTGAGCTCCAGTGTTTAATAGTCAAAAATTGGGGCATAGATGCATCACCACCTTATGTGGGATCTGCCTCTCTGCGCCATACACGTGTGGAACTCAGAGCAAGCCACGTCCCCTCCTCTGGCCACAGTTAATTCATATGATGGTGGTTAACTCATTCAAGTAGAGTCAGAATCCCTTTACCCAGAATTTGGAATTGGGACTAAGAGACCAATTCAGTTCCTTTCCAGAAAGGAATTTAGTAGTGTCTTGTTTGAGAACCTGAGAAGCACAGTGAGTCAATGTATGAAGAGAAAGAACAAAGCATATGTGAAGGGAGGAATAGGAAGCCTCAGAGAATAATAGAGAGTAAAGATGAGGAGAGGAGCTTGAAAAAGTATTCTTGGTTTCAAGGGCTTGGATGCATTTCAACTGTAGAGTTTCACGAAATCATTCAGTCTTTTTATAGTAAGTTATTTCTCCTTAAGCTGGTTTAAATGGGTTTTCTGTTATTTGAAAACCAGAGTCCTAGCTATTATAACCACTTTCTAATCATTACTGATCATGGAATTACTAATCCCTATGCCTACTTACGTTTTTCAAATTATAAACTCCTTCAGAATAAAGTCTAGTTTATAATCATGTTAGTGACCCTGCTTCATCAACCTTCTCTCTGGGCTTCACCTCAAAGTATTACTCTGCAATGCAGTGATTGAACTGCTAAGAAAAGTCTGTTGAATAGATGGATTTATTGAGTGATAGAGGCTTCAATTGTCTAGACTTGTAAGTGTGTGATGTTCTCTCTTCTGCTTTTGCCCCCACCCTTTTTATTTAGACCATTTAAGATGAATTTTTAAATACCAGGGCCATGACTGATAGAACAGCTAGTGCTCTCAGGTGTAAAAAGAACATGATGGTACAAATGACAAGTTACCTTCTAGAGTAATCTAAGCCTATGTCTACTGAACCAGTTTTCCACAAATGAAATACATTTAGTTGTACTCTCCAGTTCTTGATTATTTGGGAAAAAATAGCACAGAACCCTGAGGCCAGATGCCTTGAGTTATGTCCTAAATATGCCTGTAAAAGGTTTTGTTCGTTTTTTAATGGTATGAAACACAATGATCAACATATTAGTTAATAACGCCTTTCTTATATATAAAAGAAGAAAGTTGAATTACTACATGATCTCTAAGATGCCTTCCAAGTTTTAACATTATTTGACTTAATTCTTTATAGAAGGATTGACATTATAAACTATCAACAGCCATTATAACACTTTTGTTGAATTTCAACAGATGGGACAACCACAGCAAGGCACCAATTGCTGTTAATGGCAACTAAATAGGACATATGTATATATATGAAGAGTTGTTTCCTCTCCACAGACAAACTGCTTTTTCTTGACTTTTTAAATATGCTTCACCCAGCATGTAACTGTATTCTTAATTAATATGTCCTTTTACAGAATTTTTCTTTTGAATTTTTTTTCAGGAATGGATTTTAATCCTAATAACTGAAGAAGGTATAGTTTAAAAAATTTGTAAGTTATTTTGTATGTCAAATCATACTTTTCTCAAATGACCATGATCAATCTTAAAAGAAATTTCATTAACATTTTATTTATTTACATTTTTACTTTTCTAGAGACAGGATCTTGCTCTGTCACCCAAGCTGAATATTTTTAATGTCTCTAAGAAACAGGAATAAAACAAGTTGCATCCGAAACTTTCATAAGCTTACTGTATTGAGAAAGTTTCCAAGCCCTGACACAGGGAGAGGAACCCAGATGGAGCGCAGTGGTCTCTTTACATTGAGGAGACAGAGTTGAAAGTACAGGAGACTAAGGCAACAGGAGTTTTAGGGCAGAATACTGGAGGGGAGAGAGTCACGCAAAAATAGAATCCTGGATGTTTGCAGAGCTCTCTCCACTTGAAGTCTCCAGCTGATTATTCATCTGAACATACATGTGAAATAACTACTTGAGGTCAGGTAAAGAACCACCTGAAAGAATTAGGGAGAACAGTTCCCATGAATCATGTAGCACTAATAATAGTTGGTATTCTCATCAGCCAGAGTGGTAAAAACCTTGCAATACATGCAGAGTTAAGTAGAGTACCCAGAGAATATTACCTCAATTATGGAAGAAAATATAATTTTAATATAGTCATATCTAGCATCCAATAAGGCTATATTCACAATGTTTGGCATTTAAATAAACATTATTAGGCATTCAAAGAATCAGAAAAATATAATTCATAATGAGGAGAAATACCAATCAAAACTGCACGATATGACACAGATGATAGAATTAGTAATACGAGGACTTTATATGGATATTCTTATGCTCAGGGTAGAAGAAATAAAAAGTACATTCAGAAAGACCATAGGTTTTTTAGACAGAGGATTAATGCATTTATTACACAAATTACTAACTCGTTTCTCATCTATGAATCTAGGTTGATAAGCTCTTGGAATAAGAAAGCCCAGCCTGGCAGCCATGGACCTTTGTTGCGGTCAGAATGAGTTGCAAAGATAATAAGGAGAGTTCCCTTCACCCAACTTCTCTACACTAGCCTCTTACATAATTATGGTACATTATTAATAGCAGGAAATTAACATCAATACAATGTTATTAACTAAAGACTTTATTTAGATTTCAGCAGTTTTTTCCCTAATGTTCTTTTTTTAAGCCATCATTGATCTTCTAGAGGTGAAAAACAGAGGTTGAAATAAAAAGTTAATGGTATAGGATTAATAGCAAATTATACTCTTTAGAGAAAAAGACTAGTGAATATGAATAAATAAAAATAAAAACCAACCAATATGAAACAAACACAGAGAAAAAAGAATTTAAACAAAAACAAATAGAGCCACAGTAAAATGTGAGGCAACTTCAAGTAGCCTAACACACATGTAATTGGAAGACTTGCAGAGAGACAGACAGGAGCATTAAAAATATTTGAACAAATAATGGCCAAAATTTTTCCAAAATTGATAAAATTCTAAAGCTGCAGATCAAAGAAGCACAAGTAAAAGAATCATCAGAGAAACTACACAAAGGCACATCATAATCAAATTTGCCTTAAACCAGTGATAAAGAGAAAATATTAAAAGAAGAAAAAAAGACTTACTTAAAGAGAGGAACAAAGATATGAATGAAGCACTTTTATCAAAATAGAAGATAGTTAAGCAACATCTTTAAAATATTGAAAGAAACATTTGTCAGCCTAGATTTCTATGCTATGCAACAATATTTATGAGAACAGAAAGCGAAACAAAGACAATTTTTCAGACATACAAAATCTGAAAGAATTTTTTACCAACACTTAAAAAATGTTAAGAAAAATTGTTCAAGCATTCAGAAAATAATACCATATGGAAATCTGTAGCTACACAAAGAAATGAAGAGCACAGAAATAGAAAAGACATAGAAAAATTTTAACTAAGTTATTCTTATATTTTAAATAACTTAAAAAAATAATTAGCTAGTTAGTTGATTTCTGACTAACTGGTCAGAAATACTGGTCAGAAATACTGGTGTAAAGCCATTTCATTGGAAAAAGGATTTTCTGTTCAAAAATAGTGCTGGAACAATTGGCAACCCATATGCAAAAGGAAAAACATAGACCATACCTCACACCATACACAAAAATTAACTCATGATGGACAAGAATGCACTGAGGGTGAAGTAGGATTCTCCTGCCCCTCCCAAAGCCAAAGCAAAGGCTTTGAAGGCCAAGAAGGTAGTGCTGAAAGGCATCCATAGCCACACAAAAAAGATGATTTGTGGGGGCCCAAGACACTGTGCCTCCAAAGGCAGCCCAAATATCCTTGGAAAACCCCAGGAAAAACAACCTTGGCTACTATGCCAACATCAAGTTCCCCTGACCACTGAGTCAGCCATGAAGAAGAAAGAAGACAACAACACACTTGTGTTCATTGTAGATGTTAAAGCCAGTGAGCACCAGGTCAAACAGGGTATGAAGAAGGTGTATGACATTGATGTGGCCAAGGTCAACACCCTGATCAGCCTCATGGAGAGAAGAAAGTATATTTTCAACTGTCAACTGGTTCCTGATTATGATGCTTTTGATGTCACCATAAGATATAAAACAGACATTAACAAATGTTGATGAAGGTGTAGAGAAAATGGATCCCTTAGACATTGCTGGTGGAAATGTAAAATGGTGCAGCCATTTGGAGAACAGTTTGGGAGCTTCTTATAAAGTTAAACATAAAACTACCATAAAACCCAGAAATTTCACTCCTAGGTGTCTACCCAAGAGAAATGAAAACATATGTTCACACAAAGACACCCACATGAATGTTTACAACAGGGTTATTCATTATAGCTGAAAACTATAGACTCTATCTGGGTTCCTGTCCTTGTACCATGGCTTGGAAGCTCTCTCAATGTCATAAGCTGATAAAAGTTTAGTGCTCAACTTGTTTTATTCTTGTTTCTTAGAGGCATTAAAATATTAATAAAATTTATTTTAAGATTATGATTATTGTGAGAAAATTATAATTTGATATACAAAATAACTTATAACTAAAATTTTAAAATTATATTGACTTTCAGAAAGTATAACCTTACTATAAGTAAAGTTCTTATACTATATATGATATAATATAATATAATCCAATACTATATGAAGCTAGACTGTGATAAATTAAAGAGGTACACTATAGACTTTAAGACAACTACTAAAAACTCAAAATGTTATAGCTAATAAATTAATAATGTAGACAAAAATTAACTTTAAAATACAGCTAATTCAGCAGAAGGCAAAGTGGGCACAAGGAACAAAGAAATATGGGATGTATAAGAGAAAGTAACAAATTATAGACTCAAACACAATCATAGAGATAATCACATTAAATATAAAATATCTAAATACTCCTATTAAAAGGCAGAGGTTGTCAGATATATCAAAAGGTAAGACTCAACTATATGCTGCCTACAAGATTCTACTTAAAATATGAATACACAAAGAGATCAATATGGTTTTGCTGTGTTGCCACCCAAATATCATCTTGAATTGTGGTTCCCATAATCCCCATGTGTCGTGGGAGGGATCAGGTGGAGATAGTTGAATCATAGAGGTGGTTTCCCCCATCCTGTTGTCAGTGATAGTGAGTTAGTTCTCACAAGATTTGATGGTTTTATTAAGGGGCTTCCCCCTTCACTAGGCACTCATTCTTCTCCTTTCTGCCGTCATGTGAGGAAGGATGTGTTTGCTTGCCCTTCTGCCCAGATTGTAAGTTTCCTGAGCCTCCCCAGCCCAGCAGAACTGAGTCAATTAAACCTCTTTTCTTTATAAATTCCAGTATTGGGCAGTTCTTTATAGTAACATGAGAATGGACTAACATGTAGATTAAAAATACATCAATGGAAAAAGACATATCATGCTAAAACTATTTTTTAAATCTGGAGTATCTGCATAAATATTAGAAACAGATGATTTCATAGCAGATAAGATTACCAGGAATAAATATCCATGAAGAAGTCAATTCATGAAAAAGATAAAACAAATAATCTCAAATGTTTATGTACCTAATAGCATAACTTCAAGGATTATAAAGAAAATCCATAATGGAACATATCATGGAACTAAGACAATATAAGATAATCAACAATTATAGTCAAAGATTTCAACTTACCTCTCAATAATTAGTAGTACAAAGAGATGTAAAATCAGTTAAGATACAGAAGATTTGAACAGCAGCATCAATCAACTTGATCCAATTCACATTTATAAAATACTTCACACAAAATAGCATAAGGGACGCTCATTTCCAGTGCCCACAAAACATTTACCAGGCGAGACTATATTCTGACCCACAAATTTTAAAGAACATAAATCATACAAATGTATTATCTGACCAGAGTGAAGCTTAGGTAGACATTAATAACAGAAAGATATCTAGAAAATCTCTAAATGTTTGGAAAATAAACAACACACTTCTAAATAACCTATGGGTTAAACAAGAATGCAAAATGAAAACTAAGTGAATGAATTTGTGGAATTAAATTAGTGTTTAATTTATAGCACTAACACCTATATTAAAAACAAAAGGTTTAAAATTGGCCAAGCGCGGTGGCTCATGCCTGTAATCCCAACACTTTGGGAAGCCGAGGGAGGCAGATCATCTGAGGTCAGGAGTTCAAGACCAGCCTGGTCAACAGGGTAAAACCCTGTCTCTACTAAGAATACTGAAAATTAGCTGGGCATGGTGGCACATGCCTGTAATCCCAGCTACTTAGGAGGCTGAGGCAGGAGAATCACTTGCAACTAGGAGGTGAAAGTTGCAGTGAGCCGAGATTGAGCCATTGCACTCCAGCCTGGGCAAAAACAGTGAAACTCTGTCTCAAAAAAAAAAAAAAAAAAGAAAAGAAAGAAAGGTCTAAAATTAATGACCTAAGCTGCCACCTAAAGACACTTAAAAAAAATAGCAAATCAAACACAAAATAAGCAGAAATAAGAAAATAATTAAGATTATAATCATATAATTATTATATTAATTATGCATAATTATATCTAATTGTACTAATTAAATATTTCTGATAATTATATAATAATTCAAAGCAAAAAATTCAATGTTATGGTAAACATAATGTTCTCCATTGTTTATAAAGGTCAATGAAAATAAAAAACAATTGTTCCTTTGAAAAGATCAGTAACATAAATAAACCTAGTAGATTTGTCAGAAAATGTAAGAGGAGAAAACTCACAAAACACCAATATCAAGAATGAAATAGGAATCATAACTATAGATCCCACAATTATAACTTTTAAAGTAATTAAATTTGTCTTTTAAAACTTCCCAAAATAAAAACTCCAGACCCATATGATTTCACCAGTGGATTTCACCAAATATCTAAGGAAAAGGGATTATCAATTCTATACAAATTCTTCCATAAATTGAAGAAAAGAGAATACTTTTCAAGTCATTCTCTAAGAAGAGAATTAACTGAGAGGAGGTCAAAATATCAACATTAACAGGAGTTTGAAAGAAGTCAATTCCAAGTCTCATAGATGACCTTGAGAGGCTCAAGACTTCAGTAGAAGAAGTCACTGCAGATGTGGTGGAAAGAGAAAGAGAACTAGAATTAGAAGTGGAGCCTAATATTGTGACTGAATTGTTGTAATACCATGATAAAATCTGAATGGATGAGGAGCTGCTTCTTCAGGACGAGCAAAGAAAGTGGTTTTTTGAGATAGAATCTGCTTCTGAAGAAGAGGCTGTGAACATTGTTAAAATGACAACAAAAGATTTAGAATATTACATATACTGAGTTGATAAAGCAGCAGTAGGGTTTGAGAGGATTGACTCCAATTTTGAAAGAAGTTTTACTGAGGGCAAAATGCTGTCAAGCAGCAACACATGCTACAGAAAAATCTGGGGGAAGGAATAGTTAACTGATGCAGCACCCTTCATGGTTGTCTTATTTTTTAAAATTGCCACAGGCACTCCTACTTTCAGCAACTACCATTTTCATCAGTTAGCAGCCATCAACACCAAGGCAAGGCCCTCTACCAACAAAAAGATTATGAGTAGCTAAAGACTCAGATGATTGTTAGTATTTTTTTGCAATAAAATATTTTTAAATTAAGGCATGCATATTGTTTTAAGCATAATACTATTACACACTTAACAGGCTACGGTATAGTACGAACATAACTTTTATATGCACTGGGAAATCAAAAGATTTGTGTGAATTATTTCATTGCAATATTCGGTTTATTGTAGTGGTCTGGAACTGAACCTGCAATATCTCTAAGGTATGTCTGTACTATGTTCATGAATCAGAAGACACAGTATCATTAACATACCAATTCTTCCCAAAGTTATCTACAGATTCAATGTAAATTCAATCAAATTGCCAACAGGGTTTTTGTTTTGTAAATATCAGTGTGTTAATTCAAATATTTATATGAAAAGGCAAAGGAACAAGACTAGCCAAAACAATTTTGAAAAAGTAAAAGTTGGAGGACTCACACTACCTAATTTCAAGTTTGATTATAAAGCTGTGATAAAAACAGTATAGTACTGAAATTTTATAGATCAATGAAATATAGTTCAGAAATAGACCTACACAAATATGATAAATTGATTATCAACAAAGGTGCAAAGGCAAGTCAATGAAGAAAGGATAGTCTTTATCAACTAGATATTTACATGTAAACAACAATGGACCTCATTCCATACCTTCTACCATACACAAGTATCAGTTCAAAAGGGATCATAGCTCTAAACTGAAAATCAAAAACCATAAACTGGCTAGAAAAGAATATAGGGAAAAATATTTGAGACCTTCAGTTAGGCAAAGCTTTGTTAGATATTACACTAAAAGCACAAGCCATAAAGGAAAAAGCGGTAAGTTGGACTTTATCAAAATGCAAAACTTCTGTTCTTCAAAAGACACAATTAAGAAAACAAAAAGATAAGCCATAGGCTGATAGAAAATATTTGCAATTCATATATTTGATAATGGACTTGTACCCACAATATATAAATAACTCTAAACTCAATAATAAGAAAACAACATTTCAGTTTAAAAATAGGACAATGATTTGTATAGACAGTTCATAAAAAAAGATATATCAATGGAAAATAAGCCTATGAAAACATAATCAATCTCAATAGGTATTAGATAAGTGCAAATTGGACCCACAATGAGACACCATAACACATTTATTAGAATGGCCATATTAACAAACAAACAAACAAAAACTGGCAATACCGTGTGCTGGCAAAGATGTTTAGAGCAATTGGAACTCTTTTTACATTGCTGATAGGAATACACAATGGTACACCCACCTTAGAAAACTCTTTGTCAGTTTCTGATAAAATTAACATACACTTATTATATGATCCAATGATCCTACTCCTAAATATTTACGCTACAGAAATAACACATTCACACATTCTGCACATTAATGCTCATAACAGCATTAACTATTATCACCAAAAACTGGAAACGACCAAATTTTCTTCATGTAAAGAATGGATAAATAAATGTGCCTATTCATATCATGAAATACTACTTAGCAAAAAAGCATAAAAAATCTGCTAATACACATAACAATATGAATAAATCTCAAGTGCATCACGCTAAGTGAAAGAAGGCAGACTCAAAGGGTTTATACTGTATGATTCAATTTATATGACATTCTGGCATGGGAAAAATTATAGGGACATAAATCAGTTGCCAGAGACAAGTTGGGGGAGAGGATGACTAAGGACCATGGGGAGATTTTTGAGGTATGGGAACTATTCTATATTTTGATTTTGATTGCATTTACATGACTGTACTGTGGTTGTCAAAACCTACAAAACTATCTTCTAAAAGAATAAAGTATTATATTTTGATAAAATAAGACACAAAGAAAAAACCAGCTTCATTTTTCAAATAGAAATACAAAGTCATTTCTATGAAAATAAAAGTTCAATAAATCTAATAAAAAGGTCTACAGTATTATATACTCAACAGTATGGGAGATTATGTTATTACTCCAAAATATTAAGAGCTCCATTCTGAGGTGGACTATATACAGCAGATCTTCGTTATTTGCAGAGTTTGTGTTTGTGAATTTGTTCACTTGTGAAAATTTATTTTTAATCTCAAGATGATAGGGCATTTTCATGGTCATGTGTGAACACTTGCAGAGTGGCAAAAAACTGAGTGACCTGACATATACGTTCTCAGCTGAGGGGAAATAACGTGATGCTCTGTCTCTATGTTTCAGCCATCATACTGTACACAAGTGTGCTTTTCTTGGTCTACTTAGTGACACCTTTTTCACATTTTAATGCTTTTTATTGGTGATTTTTGCCTTTTAAATTGGCCCTCAAGCATAATGCTGAAGTGCTATCTATCTAGCGTTCCTAAATGCAAGAAGGTTGTGTGATGTGTCTTATGTTACAAACTATGTATACCCAATGTTAAGAGTAGCTCTAGTTATAAGTCAATTATTGAATAAACACATAATATGCACACTCTAATAAAGTTAATTGCTATAATCTTTCTACCTTTACAGCTAAATAACATTCTTTTAATATATGTTGAATTCCACCTTTTTTGAGATTACTGGGTATGGTTGTAGAAATAATATAAAGTTAATAAGTATTTTTATTTATACTTGATTGAATGCTTTTGAAAAATCAAATTTAATAATAATTAAAATTATCAAGGTGGGTTTTCAAAAAATTTCATTCTTACAACTGGCATATGAAGCAGACAGTATTATTATCCCAGTTTCAGAGACGAAACATCCAGATTCAGTGTGGTTACACTAACACCTTCAAGGTTAAAGAAGCTAGTGCCTGAGGGAACAGTTTTAAACTCTAGTGGGTCGGACTCCAAAGCTCTTGCTCTCAATCACTACAGGAGTGCAATATTGGCACAGTTTTTCTTGTCTTTTTCATTTTTTTGTAAATGACATTTTAAAACTAGTACAGAATTTCAAAGGTCCAACATCATATTCATTAGTTTGTATCACCTTGCCTTTACAGTCAACAAATTTAATTGGGGAAGAGGCATATATCAGAAAGATTTTTCTATAATTATTTCAGAAATTATCACATTGATCTTGTAGATTGCCCTATTCATGAGCATTCACGTGTTGTTTTTAGAAAAATAATTAAATGTCCCTTTCTTCATAAATAAAGCTTTATATAATGCATTTTGATGGAAGTGAAGGTAGTGAAAGAAACTATTTCCTGATGTGTAACCATCTAAATGTATGTGTTTTTCACTTTGCACTTCATTCTGTATTTGTGAATTTGCTCACTCAAATTTATGTGTAATCTCAGATACCTGTGGCACTTTCATAGTCACTTTCTGCAAAGGATGACTAGCACACTTGTTGGTCAAAGTTCCTGTTCATTGAATATATGCATCTTGTTGGCTCTGATTTAAAAAAAAATTAATCTATCAACCTAGAAAATACCTGATTTAGTGTCTTGCTACTGCCATAAAGTTTCCTCTGTTGTATGCTTCCCTCTCTAATACATGCCAGCCTGTTGAATTATGCAAAAACAAATACAAAAAAGGAAAACATTGTATCTACTTTTTGTTTTGAGTTTTATATGGTTATTTTTGAGAGATAATAAATACGGAAAATTCAATAGCAAATTTAACTGATTGGGAAAAGTCCATCTAACATATAAGTAACTAAAAATTATTACTCTGAGCTTATCCTTCCTTGGCCAATGTAAATCCAAATACATAAATTTAGTATTATTGGGGAAGGAAGAAGACCCTGACCTTGATTCTTTCTACATGTATGTCTAGTTATGAATTTCTGAATCCTCTTATTTGACTTTAAACCTAGATTTGTTGACAACTGTCAAGTGGGGAAGAGCTATTTTATATGAACCTATAAGAAGAAATAAGAATTAACTCATAGTATTTAGGAACAGAAGCATAATGCCCCAAAGGGAGCTTTTGGTTGCTGTCTTCCTTCATTTACCTACTACTTTCAGGTACAATATTTCCATCTTTCTTATCTATTCAGCCTATCTGTTGGTCACTGGAGTATCTTGCCAAATAAAGGAAAATAAAGGCATTGACTTTAAAAAAAAAAGTAGATATCAATAACCAAGAAGAAAGTGAACATTCCTTTTTTTTCTTGCAAATGCAGAAGACATATAACAGCTGTATTTCTAATGGCAGAAAAATTGACTCTTAGGTGGCAAGGCTGTGAATTGCTGCTGTACAATATCATTTAGACATCGGGTTTACAATCCATTTCCAAGGAAACATGCTATTTATCATTTCCCTCAATGTCATTAATCACTTTTCAAGATGCATTTCTATATCCCATCTTGTCCTCTCAAATTGATTTATCTTAAAGACCAATTAATGACTCTTCAAATCCACTTCAAAAACAAAATTATGTTCAGATAATGGTTCCTTTTTCTTGAAGAATATAAATTATAGTAATATATAGAAACTGAAATCTATAACAGAAGAGCAATGAACTTGTTTGGACCCTAAATGCATTTGGCTAATACTATGATATTCTGAACTGAGCATTCTATTGCAAAACAAAAGGGACTCAAATAGAAGCAACTCATTTGGGAATTATATTGTTTACATAATTCATATTTTTTCTTTTTTTTTCACATGAACAGTTGCCATTAAAGATGCATTAAAAGCTTGCCATTCCTTTGGAATAAGGTATGAAAAATGACATTAACCCTGGGAGCAAAGAACTCTTTGAATTTGTCATGACTTTTCTCTGCCCTTTCATGAAACTAAACGCAGGGTGATTTTTGGCCACTGACACGCTAGCCACTTTTGGAGTAAGACCAGTGAGTAAATTTGATTTTAAAACTGACCACGACTTTTCATTGACATTTATAGGCAGAGACAGATGTTAACTTGTAATAAATTTGAAAGCAGAATTTTATTTTCAGAGCCATGAACCAAATATGAACTTTCCAATGCCGCTTCCTCCATTCGCGCATAACTTTTCAGTATTTATTGTAGTTTGGTCTGGCAATCTACTAGAAATTTTTCCAAATCAAATTAGTTGAAATATTGCAATGCCATCTTTTAAAAATCTTTATTGAGATATAATTCAAAGGCCATACAATTTACCCATTGAAAATGTACAATTTAATGTTTTCTTAGTATATGCACAGAGTTGTGGAACCATTACCACAATCTAATTTAGAACATTTTTTATCACCCCCAGATGAAACTGCATACCCATTAGCAATCACTCTTATTCTATCCCCCATCCTTAGTTAATGGCTTCCTGTTTCTAGAGATTTGCCTATTCCAGACACTTTTATATAATGGAATCATAGATTGTGAACTTTAGTGATAGTATTTTTTTCTTTTTTAAGATGGAGTCTGGCTTTGTCGCCCAGGCTGGAGTGCAGTGGCACGATCTCGGCTCACGATAGTCTTATTTACTTAGCATGTCTTCAAGGTTCATAAATGTTGTAGCATAAATCAGTATTTCATTCCTTTTTGTGGCAAATAATATTTCATTTTATGGATATATCACATTTTATCTATCCATGCATAAATTGATAAGCATTTGCATTGTTACCACTTTTTGACAATTATGAATAATAGTACCGTAGATATTTATACACAAGATTTTATATAAATGTGTAAGTTTTTTAATTCTCTTGGTTTTATACCTAGAAGTGAAGTTGCTGAGTGTCATGGTAACTCTATGTTTAACATTTTAGAGATCAAACAATTTTGCAAAGCAGTTGCACAAGTTGACATCCCCACCAACAATATATAAGTGTTCCCATTTCTCCACATTCTCTCTAACACTAGTTATTGCCTACCTATGTAATTATAACTATCCTGGTGGGTATAAAGTGGCATTTGATTGTGGTTTTGACTTGCATTCCTTAATGACTAATGTTGTTGAACATCTTTTCAGATGTTTTTTTGCCAATTTGTATATCTTCTTTAGAGAAATACTTATTCATAGCCTTTGTGTACTTTTAAATGCGTATTTGTCTTTTTATTGTTGATTTGTAAGAATTCTAAATATATTCTGGATACAAATCTCTTATTAGATATGTAATTTACATTTTTTTCTCACTTTATAGGGTTTCCTTTTTACTTTCTTACAGTGTTTTTTGTGATGCAGAAGTTTTTAGTTTGACAAAAAACAATTTACCTGGGTTTTTTCCCCTTTGGTTGGTTGTACTTTCAGTGTTGTATCTAACAAGTCATTACTTAACTAAAAGTCATGAAGACTTACTTTATAAAATGTTTATAGTTTTAGCTGTAATGTTGGTCTGTGATTAATTTCAGTTAATGCTGTGTATGGTGTATAAAATGGGTTCATCTTCATTCTTTTGCATATGGATTTTCAGTAGTTCCAGCACAATTAACTGAAAAAAAAAATCTCTCCATTAAATAATTTGACATTTTTGTTTAAAATCAATTGACCATATAGATAAGGATTTATTTCTGGATTCAAAATTCTGTTCCATTGATTGATAAATCTATTGTTAGGCCAGTACCACTCTGACTTGATTATTTTAACTTTGTAGACTGTTTTGAAATCATGAAGTGTGATTCCTATAACTTTATTCTTTTTCCAATATTATTTTGGATATTCTGGGTCCCTTGAAATTTTATATGAATTTCAGAATTAGTTTTTACACTTAGGCAAAAAAGCTGAGATTTTTATAGAGATTGTGTTGAATCTGTAGACCATCATGGGGAGTAATATTGTCATGTTAACATATTAAGTCCTCTAATCTATAAATATGGAATATTTTTCTATTCCTTTAGATCTTATAATTTCTTCCAATAACGTTATATAGTTTTCTGAATATGTGTTTTACATTTCTTTAAACATATTCCTAAATATTTTATTATTTTTGATGCTATTGTAGATGCAATTGTTTTCTTAATATTATTTTCAGGTTGTTCATTGCCAGTGTGTAGAAACACAGTTGATTTTCATCTATTGGTCTTGTATCCTGCAACCTTGCTGAAATTGTTTACTGGTACTAATAGTTTTTTAGTGGAGTCCTTAAGACTTGCTATGTACAAGGTCCATGTTGCTGAAGTAGAAATAATTTATTTATTCCTTTCCAATTGAGTCTTTTACTACTACTGCTAGCCTAATTGCTCTGGCTAGAGCAATGGAAGTATATTGGATTTTGTTTAAAAAAATTACCTATTGACATGATCACGATTTCTGTCCTTTATTCTATTAATATTGCATGTTACATTCTTTTCATATGTTAATTCAACCTGAGATAAATTGCATTTGAGCATGGTGTGAATTTTTTTTTGCGTGTGTTGCTGGATTCAGTTTGTAAATATTTTGGAAGAGATTTTTGTGTCAATAATCATAAAAAATACTGGTACAGTATACCCTTTCCCTGAGTTGCCTTGTCTGATTATGGTATCAGGGCAATACTGACTGCATAGAATAAGGGCATAAGTGTTTCTTCCTTTTCCATTTTCAGAAGAGTTTGTAAAGGATTGGTATTAACTTTTAAATGTTTGATAAAAATTGCCAATGAAGTTACCTGGAATGGAAATGTTGTTTGCAGACATTTTAAAATTCCTAATTAAGTCCTTGCTTATTATAAGTCTGTTTAGATTTTCAATTTCTTATTGAGTCAGTTTTGAATGTAACTTTTTAGGAACATGGTAATTGTATCATAGATTTACTGGCATACAGTACTTCATAGTATTTCCTTATAGTCATACTTACTTCTGTAAAGACATTAGTAATGTCAACTATTCATTCCCGATTTAGCAATTTGAGTCTTCTGTCTTGTTAGCATGATCATAATGGCTAAATGTTTGTCAATTTTGTTGATTTTTTAAAAAAATCTCTTGGTTTTGTTCATTTTCTGTATTGTTTTTTCTCTATTTTATTTATTTCCACTATAATCTTTATTATTTTCTTTGTTCTGTTTCATTTGGATTTAGTTTGACCTTTTTTTTCTGGTTTCTCAAGGTGAAAGTTTAGGTAATCGATTTAAAGTTTTTCTTCTTTTTTAAATACAGGCATTTACACAACTAAATTTCACTCTAAGCATTGTTTTAGCTGTATATCACAAATTTTAGCATGTTGTGTTCTCATTTTTTTATCTCAAAGTATTTTCTAATTTACTTTGTAATGCCTTCTTTTACTCATTGGTTATTTAGGAGCACATTGTTTAATATCCACATATTTGTGAGTTTCCTGAAGTTCCTTTAATTGTTCTAACTTAATTCTATTTTGTCCAGAGAACATACTTCATATGATTTTAACACTGTTAAATTTGCTGACACATATTTCTTAGCCCAGTATGTTGTTTATTCTGGATAATGTTCCATGTATGCTTGACAATGTATACTCAGCAAATTAAAGTGTTCTGTAGATGTCCATTTGTTTTAACTGGTTTAAAGGGTTCTGCATTCTCATTGGTCTTCTAAATAGTCACATCATTGAAAGTAGGTTGTTAAAGCCTCCAATTATTATTGTTGCATTGCCCATTTCATGCCTTCAATTTTGTTAGTCTTGCTTAATGCATTTTTGGGTTCTGTTGTTAAATACATATATGTCTATAATTATTATCTTCTTGATGAATTGACCCTTTTAATGATAAAACATTCTTCTTTAGTAACTTTGTCTTTTTAAAAATTCTTTTTTTGGGGGCTGGGTGCAGTGACTCACACCTATAATTACAGCACTTTGGCTGAGCTGGGCAGATCACGAGGTCAGGAGTTCGAGACCAGCCTGACCAACATGGCAAAACCCCGTCTCTACTAAAAATAAAAAAATTAGCTGGGCATGGTGGCAGGTGCCTGTAATCCCAGCTACTCAGGAAGCTGAGGGAGGAGAATTGCTTGAACTCAGGAGGTAGAGGCTGCAGTGAGCCAAGATCATGCCACTGCACTCCAGCCTGGGGGTGACAAGAGCAAGACTCTGTCTCAAAAAAAAAAAAAAAAAATTCTTTTTTTCATAATATTAGTATAGTCACTCCAACTCTCTTAAGATTGCTATTTGCATGACACAAAATTTTTCATTCTTTAACTTTCAACCTATTTTTATCTTTGAATCTAAAGTGTGCTGTCAATAGACAGTGTGTAGTTGAATCTTGTTTTTTGCACAATCTAACAATTCCTGTCTTTGGTTAGATTGTTAAAAACATTTGCATCTAATGTTATTAATATGGTTTGACTTATGGCTGTCATTTTGCTTTTCATTTTCTATATGTCTCATGGTTCATTCTTCTCTTCCTCCTTGACTAAACTGTCCCTTCCAGGCAAAAACTGCTGCCTTAGACTGGGAGATGAGAGTGAAGTAAGCTTCCTTTTCTTGGCTGAATCCATTGAGAATAGGGCTTAAATCACACTGAGCTGGGGATCAGGCATGTCTTTAATATAACAGACTTCCATAGTTCTTACTCAGACTTAGTATTATAGATTTTCTTGAATAAATATTTCTCAATTTCCTCTATGTTCTTAGAACAGTTTCCAGTGACTAAATTTTTTTTTAACAATTTTCAACAGTTATAGTTCTTTCACTGGGGAGAGGGTTCACAGAGGTCATTACACACCCATCCCAGAAATGTTTCTGCCATACCATTTTATATGTATTCTGAGGAACTTGAGACAATGCGCATAAGTTCTTATCAGTGTCAGAGCAATACAAAGTATATCCAATATATGCTTCTCGGATTCCTCATCTCTGATTTTCAATTTCTCTTCTGACATGGAAAAATATAAAGAAAGAAAGGACATCTGGGCACTTCTTTTTTACTTTATACTTTCAATTGACGAGTTGGAAAAGACAGTGGAACTGAACAACCCAAACGCCTGCTAGAGATTTTCAGCTTTCCACAGCTCTCGCTAAAAGTGTTGCTATGGCCAGGCACAGTGGCTCACACCTATAATCCCAGCACTTCGGGAGGCTGAGGAAGTGGATCACTTTAGACCAGGAGTTTGAGACCAGCCTGGTCAATATAGCAAAACCTTGTCTCTACTAAAAATACAAAAATTAGTTGGGCATGGTGGCGCATGCCTGTAATCCCAGCTACTTGGGAGCCTGAGTCATAAGAATTGCTTGAACCTGACAGGCAGAGGTTGCAGTGACCTGAGATCACACCACGGCACTACAGCTTGGGTGACAGAGTGGGACTCTGTCTCAAAGAAAAATTAAAATAAATAAAGTGTTTATATGTAAGCATAAATCATATTCATAACAGCACTTCTGTTGGGTAGATTGATGGTACTTTTATACCTCCTGAATTAAAGTTCATATAAATGTGTGCTGGAAATGTCTAGACTGAAATATGATATCTGAACCTGTCAATGTCTGAGAGAAACCTTTTATATCAATCTGAATAGTTTAGATTTGATCTTTACCCCTAACTCTTGTAGAGTTCTTGAAAATGTACTACAAATAATGCCTATAGCGGCAAAAGGACCTTTACTCTAAGGTATATGTGTCACAGTTGCTAAAGAACAATATTAGAAGTACATAAAAAATTCTACCAGGAATATGAGCCACTTTTGCCTCTAATAAGGTACCTGTTAAGAATATAACTCATAATCTAATAAGAGACAAGTGGCAAATACAGTTAATGTAAATTTTTATTTTAAAAAAATGGTATTTCAAGTTTCAGCTCCAACATGTAAAGAGCTTTGAAGTTGTCACGTGGGTACTTAGAAGAAAAAATAACTGAACAAATTGGGGGGAAAATAATTTTCTTGAGGTTGCAGGGCAAACCAGCTTTCAGAAATCTGGAAAGATGGACAAATTCACAAAAACACAGCTGAATTCAGTTGATCTGGTACAGAAGCTGCTGGAAATATAAACTTGTAGAGACAGTTAAATAGTAATGTTGATGAATGGATGAGGGTTAAGTGTAGACTTCCTTCAGAGTGAAAGATGCCTTGGAGCTGCATTCTCAATACTTTCATGGAAATCCAGCAGGTTTGAAAAGCCAAGAAAGCTCACTTCTTATTTTTGGCAGGAAGAGGTGAAAGATACCATTTTGAAGTATGACCAATGTGTTCTCCAGATGAATAATAAAGGTCCATTGTCCAGTGAAAAATATTTCACCAGAGCTTTATCTCACATAGGCAGAAAAGCAACTTCAGCCCACCTCTAGCCTTCCTGTGTCATCCAAGGTGCCGGTGGGTGGTGGGGAGGGAGCGAAGGTGAAAAACTTAGGTCACAGACCAGGGACTTGTTATCAAAGAGGTTTCATGACTTACTTGCTCATGGTCACATGTCCAGTTGAAGTATAAAAGCATATTTAGTAGTTCCAAAATAGACCTTCTTGAGGCTTCTAATATAGAACTGAATTTAAAATAAAACAAAAATAGCTTTTCTTTTGCAACAGGTTTGCCACCAGAACACAGGTATTGTAAAAACCACCCCTAAAAGCCACAGTGGAAAGTGAATAAAATTTGTATCCACATGGTTGCCTTGGACCCCAGGTTCAGGCAAGTCCACCACTACCAGCCATCTGATCTATAAATGTAGTAGCATTGACAAAAGAACCACTGAAAATTTTGAGAATGAGGCTGCTGACATGGGAAAGGGCTCCTTCAAGTATTCCTGGGTCTTGAATAAACTGAAAGCTGAGCCTGAGTATGATGTCACCATTGATATTCCCCTCTGGAAATCTGAGACCATCAGATACGACTATCATTGATGCCCCAGAACACAGAGACTTTATCAAAAACATGATTACAGCCACATCTCAAGCTGGCTGTGCTGTCCTTATTGTTACTGCTCACATATACATCACAGTAGATGAATTTGAAGCTGGAATCTCCAAGAATGGGCAGAGCCATGAGCATGTCCTTCTGGCTTCCACACTGAGTGTGAAAGAACTAATTGTTGGTTAGCAAAATGGATTCTGCTGAGCCACTCTACAGCCAGAAGAAATACAAGGAAATTGTTAAGGAAGTTAGCACTTACAGTAATTGGTTACAAACCTGCCATAGTAGCATTTGTGCCAATTTCTGGTTGGAATAGAGACAACATGCCAGAGCCAAGTGCTCACATGCCTTGGTTCAATGGGTGGAAAGTCACCTGTAAAGATGGCAATGCAGTGGAACCACACTGCTAGAAGCTCTGGATTGCATCCATCCAAACCAATGCCTTCAACTGACAAGTTGCATCTGCCTTTCCAGGATGTCTACAAAATTGGTAGTATTGGTAATGTGCCTTTGGGCTGAGTGGAAACTGGTGTTCTCAAACCCAGCATGGTGTTCCCTTTGCTCTAGTCAATGTTACAACTGAAATAAAGTCTGTTGAAATGCACCATGAAGCTTTGAGTGAAGCTCTTCCTGGGGACAGCATGGGCTTCAATATCAAGAATGTGTCTGTCAAAGATGTTCGTTGTGGCAATGTTGTTGGTGACAGCAAAAATGACCCACCAATGGAAGCAGCTGGCTTCACTGCTCAAGTGATTATCCTGAACCATCCAGGCCAAATCCCTGTTGGCAGTGCCCCTGTACTGGATTGTCACACAGCTCACCTTACTTGCAAGTTTGCTGAACTGAAGGAAAAGATTGATTGCCATTCTGGTAAGAAGCTGGAAAATGGCCCTAAATTCTTGAAATCTGGTGATGCTGCCATTTGTTGATGAGGTTCCTGGCAAGCCACGCATGTTGAGGACTCCTCTGACTATCCTCCTCTGCGTCCTTTGGCTGTTCGTAATGCGAGATAGACAGCTGCCGTGGTGTCATCCAAGTAGCGGACAAGAAGGCTGCTAGGAGCTGGCAAGTTCACCAAGTCTCCCCAGAAAGCTCAGAAGGCTAAATGAATATTATCCCTAATACCTGCCAACCCAGTCTTAACAGTTGTGGAAGAAGAGCCTCAAAACTCTTTGTTTCAACTGGCCATTTAAAAGACTGGCTAATGATAATAATGCATCATAAAACCTTTAAAAGGAAAGGAGAATGTTTTGTGGGCCATTTTTTGTTTTTTTGTTTTTTTGCATGTGGCAGTTTTAACTTATTAGTTTTTTAAAAACAACTTGACCAAAAATCTGTCACAGAATTTGAGACCCATTAAAACAAAGTTTAATGAGAAAATAAATAAAAAAGAAGGTTTGTAAATAAAAATAAAATACTTCATCAAACCTAAGCCATAAAAATACATATTTTTCCCTGAGTCTTTGGGTCTTCACTTCTGAAAACCCCCATATCATGTAAAACTTCTGTTAAACAAATTTGTTATGCTTTTCTCTTGTTAATCTTTCTTGTATATGGGTGAGAGAAAGCTATTACTTTTTCTCTTCTGTAAGTTCAAAATATTTATTTTATATTGAGACATAGCAGCAAATATTTGTGGATCAGCACAAGTCTCTGGAACCAAGTCTTTTGGAAAGAGTGGTTGATTAAAGTATTTTTATTTGGCCAGTGCCAAAAAATAACTATAAAATAACTAATTTTCAAATATGTGCTATAAATTAGTTCTAAATAAATATAAATATTGAAAATAATTTAGGTTTCTAATTAGTCTTTCCAGACTGCATCAACCTAGAGAAGTTATATAAGTCACCATAAGCGAAACAAGCTGTTTTTACTGGTTCGGCTCTCATCTTCAGAATTGTTATCCGTAATGACACTTCTAGCTTCTGCTCCAGTCTCTCTGGAATACTTGGGAAAACTCAGAAGATGTCTCATATAGTGGCCTTCGAAGACATTATCAGGGTACTTACCATTCAGTATGCACCTATCTGACTCTGAGGATGGCTACAAGGATCTCAGGTCACTTTTTGCAGAGGCTCCAGGCCTGTACCCAGGGGAAATGACCCTCCAAAAGTGGTAGTTCTTGCTCCTTGCTTGAATTGCAGGGGATGAATAGAAGAAAATGGTCTAGATATTCTGAGTAATTTACATTATGATCACCTCAAGATTATCTTTCCATCTGTCCTTGGGTCAGGCTGCATTATTCTCTCTTAAAATAAAATTTTTCCCATGAAAAGATTAGTCCATCCTATAATAGAGCTAAAGAAACCTTCTAGATGTGACAAATTATAGCTATTCTTTCAGCTTTAGTTACATATTTGATCAGAAACCTCTTAATATACTAATACAGGTAAAACAGTAAAATTCAAGGTATTGGAATTTTTCTTTTTTTTAGAACACATGTACTTTTTTGATTTAACTTTTATTTTAAGTTCAGGGGTACATATGTAGGTTTGTTACGTAAGTAAACGTGCGTCATGGGGGTTTGTTTTACAGATTATTGTATCATCCAGCTATTAAGCCTAGTACTCATTAGTTAGTTTTCCTGATCCTCTCCCACCTCTCCACCTCCACCTTCCAATAGGCCCCAGTGTGTGTTGCTCCCCTCTGTGTGTCCATGTGTTACCCTTTAAGTCCCACTTGTAAGTGAGAACATGTGGTATTTGGTTTTCTGTTCCTGTGTTAGTTTGCTAAGGATAATGGCCTCCAGATTCATCCATGTTCCTGCAAAGAACATAATCTTGTTCTTTTTTATGGCTGCATAGTATTCCACAGTGTATACATACCACATTTTCTTTATCCAGTCTACCATTGACGGGCATTTAGGTTGATTGGCTATTAGAATTTTTCTATAGGTGCTATTATTTTCCTAATAGAAATATTTATATTTAACATGTACAAAAAAACCATATAAACAGAAAGTAAATAGGAAAGTCTGTTTTACTCTAGAAGTTTCTGACTTTCCAGCACATACTACCAAAATATATACCATTTTTTTTCCAGAGCAGTATAGCAACAACTCATTCAAGATTTTGAATATTGTCTTTACAAACCTTATTATACATCATAAATTAATCTCCTAAATAAAAAATTTCTCCATTACTATTTCATCCATTATCAACTGCTAAGCTCTCATCTCTTCAAGAACGACACATTCCTTCAGTCCTAGATCTACCTGTATCACTTACACTTCTTAAGGTATATTTATACTGTGACCTCAACCTCACTCTGCTTCCAGCTGCACAATGTTTTAATTTTTATTTCATGTCATCTCTGTTGGACATACATTTAAGACAACTAGTGGTATGAAAAAGCACTCAGGTTCTTCCTATCTGTGAAATTCTGTGTTCTAGGACCAAAGATAAATCACCTATGGGCAAGGAAAGCTTTTTATGTTGTTCTTCTTGGGCCTATTTAGCTTAAAGCATTTACTGAATCATATGCTACAGGGTTCAACTGTTTTCCAGAAGATCCAATAACTTGGAGATATAAAATAATAAAAATTAAAAAAAATAAGTAAAACAATTTGAAGCACTGTCTCAAAGTAAGGAAAAAAAGAACATAACTCACTGAGAATAATGGGCAGAGTAAGTTATATTAAACTTTCCTAAACAATTATGATGGTAGAATAGAGCATATTTTCATTTCAAAGCACTAATGTCTCAAACACATGTTTTATAAATAAACTTTTTAAAAATGTTTTATTTTGAAATATTATGGGAAATGAGTATTATTTTTGTCTCCTTTTCATTTTTGTCAGTAATTATTTGCTTCAGAATAGTTTCTTATTATTAAATGTTAAGGTTAGGCTAACTCCCTTTGTGCATGTGGAAATGTAGAGGCTTAACAGTATCTTATTTTCCAAAATTGTAAGTAATGAGACTTTCTTTCCCCTTGTTGTTATTAAAATTTCAGCTGTCACTTTAGCAGTACTACTCTTCGGATATGCAATCAACTGTTTGGAAAGAAGAGATAAAAGTCAAATTTTTACTATACTAAAACATAAGTCTCAAAAGATGGAGTGGACATACTTTACCCTATTCCTCTCATTAAGTACAGATCAAAACCTCAGACATTATATGTAAAAGAAACATAAGAAGACTCTGAAAGTGGAGACAAGACTGGCTAGGGACCGTGGGACCAAAGAATGACAGCAGTGTGTTTCCTGAGTTTCCCTTTTATCTCATATATCCTGGATTGGGTGCTAAAGAATCCAGCAACCCAGAAATATCATCGGCTGCAGCTAAGAGATTTTTCTCATGAAAAGCCTGCTCTCTCTAACCAAAAGAGGACGAAAAGGGCGCCTAGCAAGACAGAAAACTTTTAGATAATAACAGCACAACTCCAGTCAAACATTAATGGAAATGCATAACGCAGTCTCCCTCCCAACCCCATCAGCAAAGGCTAGACGGGAGCTTGGACTCCACCCTCATTAGATGGAAACATGGTACCCAAATTCCCCCACATGATAATATCAGAGAAGGTGGAGTAAGAAACCAAGACCTTCATTCCTGTCCCAAGGTAACTCCTGTCACACCTTCGTAGTGTCAGTGGAGACCATGCAGGCAATCAATCTACATGCTGACCTGGCTGTTACAAGACACCCAGTTCCCTCCTTGCCATGTTAGTGTCTGTATTAGTCAGGGTTCTCTAGAGGCACAGAACGAATAGGATGAATATATAAAAGAGAGTTTATTAAGGAGTATTAACTCACATGATCACAAGGTTCCACAATAGGCCATCTGCAAGCAAAGAGGCCAGTCTGAGTCCCAAAGCTGAAGAACTTGGATTCTGATGTTTGAGGACAGGAAGCATTCAACACAGGAGAAAGATGTAGGCTGGGAGGCTAAGCCAGTCTAGTCTCTCCACGTTCTTCTGCCCACTTTCTATTCTGGCCGCACTGGCAGCTGATTAGATGGCACCCACCCAGATTGACGGTGGGTCTGCCTCTCCCAGTACACTGCATCAAATACTAATCTCCTTTGGCAGCACCCTCACAGACACACCCAGGAACAATACTCTGCATCCTTCAATCCAATCAAGTTGACAGTATTAACCATCACAGTGTCCAAAGAGAATGAATAGGAAAAATAAAGGACATTTATGACCTCAAGCAATAATGAAGACTGCCTTGTCCTTCTGCCTAGTATCAGTAGAGGTCATGTGGTACAAAGTAACAAGGTACTTCTCCTCCTCCCAGATAGGATGATGCCATCATAGACCTAGTGAGAGCCTAAACTCCCATCCCTGCCGATCAGTAACAAAGTACAACTTCCCCTTTGTGTATCAGTGAAGGCCACACTTACCTGGCAGTAATGAGGTAGCACTTCTGCCAGTGTGGTATTAGAGGAGGCCTGCTGAAACAGAAGATTTAAATAAGATCTGGATTCTCATAGCCTAATACGCAATATGTCCAGAATACAGTAGAAATTTACTTATCATACCAAGAACCAGGACAATCAAGTTGAATGAGAAAAGACAATCACTGCTCAACTGAAACGAATCTCAGGGATATGCGAACCTGTAGCAAAGAATCAAACACCTGTGTCATTGGAGTCCCATGAGAAGATAAAGAAGGTGAGACTAAAACAGTACTTAAAACAATGTCTGCAAATTTACCAATTTTGGCAAAAGGTACAAATTACAGATATAAGAAGCTTAGTGTAAGCATAATAGAACTTGCGGCCCATTTCTTTGCTGTCAAACTTTTCATTATCTCCTCATTCATGCAAAGAAGGAGGAGGTGAAGAAGAAAAAGAAAAAGAAGGAGAGCACAGAAGTAGGAGGAGGAAAAGGAGATGAAGAATAAGAAGCAGCAACAGTTTAGTGTACCTTAAACAGGATGAACCCAACAAATTCCATGCCAAGACGCATCATATCATACCTATGAAAACTAAAGCATAAAAAAATTGAAAGCAGCAAGAAGAACTACATCCTACCTGTAGTTTGGATAATAGCAGATTTATCATAAAAATTATGGAGGCTGGAAGAAAGTGGTAAAGAAAAAAACAATCAACCTAGAATCCAATATTCAGTGAAAATATCCTTCAGAAATTAAGAAGAAAGCAAGGTAGTATTAGATAAAGAAAAACTAAGGGAATTTCTAGCCAGCAGTGCTATCCTTAAGGGAAAGGAAAGACTGAAGAAAGTTCTTAGAACAGAAAGAAAATGATTTAATAAAAAGGATCTTGAAATATCAGGGAGGAAAAACAGAGTAACATAAAGAGTAAAAATATATATGGCAATATAATAGGTTTTTTCTTATCTTCTTTAGCGTTCTCAATTACGTTTGAAGAAAAACTTTTAACACTATGTGAATTGGTTCTTTTTAAATTTTTAACCTTTCTAGGTACATAGTAGCTGTATATATTAATGGGGCACATGAGATATTTTGATACAGGCATGCAATGCAAAATAATCACATCAGAGTAAATGGAGTATCTATCATTTAAAGCATTTGTCATCTCCTTCTGTTACAAACAATCTAATTACACTCTTTTAATTATTGTAAAATTTACAATAAATTATTGTTGACTGTAACCACCCTGTTGTGCTATCAAATACTAGATCTTATTCATTCTAACTACATTTTTGTACCCATTAACCATCCCCATTTTCCCTCCTCCCCGCTACCCTTCCCAGCCTTTGGTAACCATTATTCTGCTCTCTATCTCCAGGAGTTCATTTTTTTTTTTTAATTTTTAGCTTCCATAAATGAGTGCAAAACGTTAAGTTTGTCTTTCCATGCCTGACTTGTTTCACTTAACATAATATCTTCCAGTTCCATCATTGTTGCTGCAAATGACAGGGTCTCATTAATTTTACAGCTGAATAATACGCCATTGTGTATATCTACCACATTTTCTTTATCCATCCATCTTTTATGGACACTTAGGTTGCTCCCATATCTTTACTATTGTGAATAGCGCTACAATAAACACGACAGTGCAGATATCTCTTCAATATGCTGAGTTCCTTTCTTTGGGATATATACCTAGCAGTGAGATTGCAGGATCATGAAGTGGTTTGTAATGTATGTAGAAGAAAAATTTAAGACAGTTTTACTACAATCAGGGGAAATGAAAAGGACTTAAAGAAATTTAAGATGACTATATTTGACTCAAACTGATAAAATGTCACACTAGATGGGAAAATTATATATATATAATATTTCTATTTTCATTTTATATATAATATTTCCATGTTCATTCAGATAATGTGTTTTTG
Organism: Homo sapiens; assembly: GCF_000001405.40. Classification (NCBI taxonomy): domain Eukaryota; kingdom Metazoa; phylum Chordata; class Mammalia; order Primates; family Hominidae; genus Homo; species Homo sapiens. Next base: position 199,394,633 of record NC_000001.11, read on the forward strand.
AGTGTATCTCTTTTTTGTGTGATCTATTTTTAGTGACTATTCTGGGTATGTAATGTAATATACCCAGAATAGTCACTAAAAATAGATACACACAAAAAGAGATACACTCAAAAACATATTAGGTAAATCAACATAGAAGCCTAAAAATACTGTCCAAGTAGCCCACGGAAAGGTAGAAAAAGGAAATAGAGAAGTAAAAAGTAGAACAATTAGAAAACAAGAAAATAAAATGTCAGGACATAAGCCCTAACATATCAATAATTATATCAAATGTAAACCGCCTAAATACACTAATTAAAAGACAGAGGTTGGCAAGATGATTACTATTGGAACAAAACAATAACTTGAATGGATTTCAAGGGCATTGTGCACCTCAACAGAATTCCAGGGAGCGCAGCTGTCATAGTGACTCAATCACTTGTTTCAGGAAAGAACAGCCTCAGCAGCGTCATCATGAGTCTCATAAAAGCCATCAACAGCAATAGCACCAGCAAAATACAGAACTCAAGTGGCCTAAGTGATAGACACCATCAAAGGAGCAGAAAAAAAATGACAAAAATGAGTGAACATACCTGAGACCTTCTTGGCTTTTTATATAGAGACCATATGAAGTCAACATTTATTAAGTTAATGGGGTAGAGAGAACACTATAATAGCTAGTATTTTACATTTTATCAGTATTATTGTTTTACTTTCCTTCATCAAAGTTGTTACCAAAAGGAAAGAGGGAAAAAGAAAAATGTCCATGTAAATATACCCACAATAGAATTCACACTAAATTTTTTCCAAAAAATGCAAAAAAAAAATAATAATAATAAGGCACAATTTCAGGAGATGCTAAGTTATAGACAAATACAGTCCATAGACCAACATACATATTGTGACCAATAAATTATTAATATTAATGAGCAAGTAAACTAAAATAAATTGAGCCTCAGTTCAGCACAATAATAAACCAGGAGATTCCCTATAACTAGATGTGATTACACTTCTGATTGACATGAAATGGTAGACGTATAACCAAACTCAAACAGCACTAATTTATGTAAGTGAGGCATCATAGTAGTCCAGTTAATGAAGTTATAAACCTACAGTCAAAACCCATGAACCTAAGGGTAGATGTATTTTAATGGCATTTATGAGAAAAGAAAAAGGAGATATGAATACAAATAATACATCTCAGACCTATATTACAAACTGCAAAGTCAGATGCAGTAAATGAATGATATTTTCCCAATTCAATGCACAAATCTGACAAACAAGCATAATGTGGGGATTGAAAAACAGCTGGATGACTGGATGACTCTGTTCACACACACAAAATGAGAACATTTAAAAAATCATTTCCTTGTCTTGGTGAAAATTTTAACTTCCATGAATTTTATTTTACTTTGGAATAAAAGCAATACACAAGTAAACAAATAAGGGAAAAAATAGTTAGTGAAGTATTTCTCTGAAGAAAATAAAGGTTTGCTGAGAAAACCAACAACAACAAAAAAAGATATTTGCATAAAACAGAGCTTGCTGTTTGTCACTGATAAAAGGTGGTATCAAAAAAAAAAAAAAACTGGGCTTCTTAATCTTTTGCTTCTAACTTGTCTGTCAGCTACAATAATTTTCATACCAAAAAGAATGAACAAACTTTGATAGAATAAATGTTTAAGTCCGTTTTTGTAAGATAATAACAAAACTACACTTTCTCATTTAAATCTCCAAAATATGTTATATATGAAATGGAATACATTATATACCAGATAAAAATGCTGTCATCAGAGTAGACTGGTGATGGATCAAACCTAGTATGAAGTAATCTGATAGCAATAAATACAAAACCTCTCTTTTGTGGCCAAAAAAGCCATAACTGTGTAAGTAACAGGATAGGGAAAACATGCTATTTTTTATATCCTATCTTATCACCAGACAATGTCATTATAAAATTTGAGTGATGAAAGACTGAGAGCAAAGATGAAAATAGCAACTGCTATGTTAGATGATGGGGATGGGGTGATGTGGACTTGGTAAGAAGCCAAAACCTTGTCTGTGATGAAGTAGAGATTGGTTTGGTCAGATACTGTGTTTATTTTTAAATATCTATCAAATCTAAGCATGGAAACAAAGCAGAATCACTAGAAAAGCCAATAATCAAATTACAAAAAGACAAAACACGGGTCCCTCATCAGGCATGTCAACAGTCTGGAAAAATGCTTATGGATAGCATTTCTGTTGTACAAGTATCTTTTTAAAAGACTGATAGCTTTACTTCTGTACTTAAAATATAATATGACATCACGTAGCTTAGCATCACTGTATAAAAACTTAGAGTATTTAATTTATAGAAAGCCCAGTTTGAGTTAATAGTGGCATACAAAATAATAATGATAATAATAATATAATTTGTTAGCATGTATTAAGAGAAATAGTGTGTGAAGAATTAGATTGTGCTATTGGTATTTTACTACTGTGCTCTAGCTCAAATATCCATGAAGTTTAGTACTGGGAACCATAACTTAAAGCAGGAAGGTCCTCCTAGGACAGTACACCTAAAGAAGAAAGAAATTAAACATTTATTCAGGTGCAGTAGAAAAGCCTAAGTGAAAACAAGGTAGTTGGGTTCAAATATTTGAAAAATTATCATAGGAGAGTGTTGACTTGTTCTATGCAGTCTCAAGGAGTGGATCTATGACTCGTAGTTGATCTAAAAGAAATATATATTTTAATTAAATAAATAAACTCTTTGAAAATTGTTTTCAAAATTAAATGGGCTAGATCAGGATACAGTGAATTAAAAGCATAGACTGTAATAAAAGCCTTATAGGGAGAAAACTCAAATACTGAATAAGGTGAAAAATATTAAATTAGATATTGAATAATGGACTGCGACTGTTTTTACCTGAAGATTCTATAATTTTAGTTATTAAGTGTCAAAGTGCCCAAGTTGGACTTTTCACTTTATGTCCTTGACTCAGCATTTGAAGAAGTATAAAATGGAATACCATAGAGAAAAGGAAGTACATAAAGGGCAAAGGTAATTCCAAGGAAAATTAATTCTGTTCCAGTTGTGTCTTTTTTCATCTTGCTCGTCATTATCACTACTATAGCCATATAATTCTCCTTAAAATTCTTCATTGGTTCTAGACATTCCATTTAGTCTAACTTCTCAGCCTATCATTCAAATGTTTCAAATAATGAATTAATCTATAACAACTCTCCAACCCTAGCTTTTAAGTCAAGTCAAATTTATTTTTATCTTTCAAATCATTCTTCCCCACCAGAGTGTTCTCTGTTCTTATATTGTTGTCTCCCACTAAGATATGTAACAGAATACTGGAAGAGAGGAGCAAATTCTTAGCAAATAATTGCTGAGTTGTCAACACTTGACTATGCTCTAAGGCCTATAGCTGCATTTTAGAATTGAACTCCCATAAAGTGCAGTCTTTTTCCTCCTAATTTAAAAACATCTATTTAGTTTTGGGATCACTAACGAAGTTATAATGTACTTTTCTATCAGTTTGTACCTAGACATAACCAGTTTTAATCACAGAAACAAATACCTAAATACCAGAGGTACAAGAGCACTTTCCCTAAAGAAATGCACAATCAAAGACAGAAAAAGAAAACAGAGTGTGAAATGCTACAACATGGTAAGTTCCATGTGTACCAGGGGAACCCTTAAGAGTACCCTAAGAGTGGTACTTATCATCTTCTTGTGAAAATCAGTTAACAATCTATAAAAGGAAGTAAATCTAAGTTGCCCTGAAGGAGAAAACTTAGCCCAGCAAGGAAGTATGGTAAAGGAGCTGTGAAACAAGGGAAACTGTGTGTACAAAGGGCCAGAAACAAGAGGGAGAGGCATATTCAGTGACCTGAAAATGTTTCATTATAAAGAAGATATGCATGAAAAAGCTGTAGAAATAACAAAGAGATAATGAAAGATCTTTGATGCCATGCTAAAAAGTTGGCATTTTTTTTTTGGTAAGTGATAACCCAAAGACAGTTTCTAAGACCGTGTTCTAAGACAGATTCTAACATTCATTTCTAAGAAATGTTTGACTCAATGAAGGAGGATGTCTGGTGTTTCAAAGTTAGAGAATTTTATCTTTAGGACTTCAAACTTAAATTTAACCACATTTAATTCACTGGTATTGCTAGTACTAAGCTATTACTGATAACATTTCAGTCGGTATACAATGAAGAACCTAGATGCAAGTAAGCCACACGGGACACAACTCAGAACATGTCCCTACGAGTAAGAGGTAGTCCTTCCAGAGAGAAAGAGAAAATTGATAAAAGGGAAGTGCTTAGATTCATCCCAGATAAAAAGGCATCAATATACATCCAGCCACCACAACAGAAATAGTTTTGTTCTTAAGTTATTTGTAGGTGATTAGTTGGAACCCATGAAGCACTTGCCCTTAGAATCATTGTGGCGAATAGTAGTTAGACCCTCTACTTCTTCCTCCCTTCCAACCAATAGGAGCCAGGAACTCTGTCTTCCCTGGTCTAGGGAAATACTTTATCAATGTAAACCAAAAATAAAAGTCTAAGGGCTCCCCTACCACATAAATGGACCCCTCCTCTCAGCTAAGAGCATTCCAAAGCTAACCTGAAAACTAGTTCAAGCCACGATGGGAAGAGGGGAGCCAGACATGCCTCATTATACCCTCCTCCCTTTTGGAATTACTGATAGAACATGACTGTTTAAGTCTGCTAAAAAATATTTATGATCTATTCTCTGAAGGCTGCTACCTGGAGGCTCAACTGCATGATGAAACTTTGGTATTCACAGCTGGGCGTGGTGGCTCACGCCTGTAATCCCAGCACTTTGGGAGGCTGAGACAGGCAGATCACGAGGTCAGGAGATTGAGACCATCCTGGCTAACACAGTGAAACCCATCTCTACTAAAAATACAAAAAAATTAGCCAGGCGTGGTGGCGGGCACCTGTAGTCCCAGCTTCTTGGGAGGCTGAGCCAGGAGAATGGTGTGAACCTGGGAGGCGAAGCTTGAAGTGAGCTGAGATCGCACCACAGCACTCCAGCCTGGGCAACAGAGCAAAACTCTGTTTCAAATTAAAAAACAACTTTGGTATCCACAATCCCTTATCATAACCCAGACACTCCTTTGTATTGATAAATAATTCTTTCAACCAATTGCCAATCAGAAAATCTTTGAATCTGCCTATGACATGGAAACCCCCACTTTCAGTTGTCCTGCCTTTCCAGACTGAACTAAGGTACATCTTACATGTTTTGCTTGGTGTTTGATGTCTCCTTAAAATGTATAAAACCAAGCTGTACCTGACCACCTTCAGCACATGTTCTCAGAATCTCCTGAGGACCATTGGTCACTCATATTTGGCTCAGAAGAAATCTCTTCAAATATTTTACAGTTTGGCTCTTTTTGTTGACATCAATAAAGATAGGAAGTAAGATAGATAAAGGGTATGAAGGAAACGAAAAGTTGATGACAGAACAAGCCCTCAAGGCAGAGTTGTCTGTGAGTGCCCAGAATATGTTTCCTGTGTAATTCTCAGGATGTTCCTCTTTCTCCGATTCTCTACCTTTTGCTTCTGACTATCTATGTTTACCCACCCAGGCCTGCTCTAATAACCAAAGTAGTCAGCCAGCCTTGTGTGCCTCTGTTGTTTGTGTGTGTGTGTGTATGTGTGTGTGTGTGTGTGTGTGTGATTTTCTCAGGGTTTTATTATTGTTGTGTTGTCCATCTACCTTCAGAGAATGAGTTAGGGCCAATTCAATAGACTAAGCTATAAAACCTCCACTGTTTCGTTCCAGGGGATTTTAAACTAAGGAGGAAAAGACTTGAGTTTTAAGGATGTAAGCAGAGGAAGAGTGAGTGTGAGAAACATAAAGCACTTCTTTTGTTTTCCTTCCTCTTTTTCTTTGTCATAACTAGTTTTTCTACCCAATTCCCTTTCATGAACCCTCACCTTGTGGTGAAATTAGAAAGTGGAACTATATATCCTGTGAAGGACAAAATAAGAAATTGTGATTACAAGCTGAGTGCAGTGGTTCATGCCTATAATACCAATACTTTGGGAGGCTGAGGCAGGAGGATTACTTGAAGCCAGGAGTTTGGAATAAGCTGGAGCAATAATGCAAGACCCTGTCTCTAGAAAAAATGTAAAATAACCCTGTGGTATGGTGGTGTGTACTTGCAGTCCCAGCTCCTTGGGAGGCTGAGGAGAAAGAATTGCTTGAGCCCAGGAGTTTGAGGCTGCAGTATACCATGATCGTGCCACTGCACTTCAGCCTGGGTGACAGAGGGAGACCCTGTCTCCAAAGGAAGGAAGGAAGGAAGGAAGGCAGGGAGGGAGGGAGGGAGGGAGGGGAGGGGGGAGGGGAGGGGAGTTGGGGGGAAGGAATTAGGACTACATTTTCATGGAGAGCAGAATTAGAGAACTGTGCAATTAAACACAGAAAGCCAAATAATTAAAAACAGCCTTAAATATTGAATAGTTTGCTTTAAATAATTATTTTAAACATATTTAATTTCAAAATCACTGTTTTTAAGACCATACACAATATAAAGATAAAAATCAAGATAAAAAAGTAATTAATGGTTTATAATTATATTTGTTATATTCCTTGTAGAATTACACTTTGTACTTTTATAGCTTTGGTCAACTTTTACTAACTGAAATATAAGCTGTTATTTTGGCCTACAATTTCCTCAATAGAAATGTCTTTTTAATGGGGAAAAGTATCTTCTTGTCTGACAAATGCACAATGCATAAAATATTAAAGATCTTAAAATCGCAAAGTGGTATGATCCCAGAGAGAGAACGTCTTTTTACACATGGTACCTCCCTGATCAAAACAGATATGTTCTGTTATCTCTGAAATCCAGGATAGGATTTAGTCTCCTTGACCTTAACCAACCTGTGCAATAAACCAACAATTATTTAAGTAATGTTTCCAATAGCAACAACATTTAACAATGAAGAAATAAAATTCCAGCTCTAATTAATAAAATGCAACTTCAATCTTGAACTATTAAATATTTTTTCTAAAAATCTCATGAATTCAGTAAAAAAGAAATTCTCTTAACCAAAATATTATTAGTATTAGTGAATCATAGCCAAAGGAGCATAAAGCTCTTTAAAAATAATTTTAATATTAAACATATTAATAATATGAAACATTTTAAAGATAAAACATTGATTTAAAAGATATAAATTATTAATCACAAATATCAGACATTAAAGGTATTAAGGAAAACTAAATGTTTTAAACAATGCCCTCCATTTGGAATCTGGTACAGTAAAATTAAATGTTTAAGAAGCAAATTGATATCCCTGAAAATTTGGAGTACAAATAAATAAAACATTAGTATTTTTATTTTTAACACCTTTCATACAATAATGAAGATTTGCTTTTCTTTTTTCTAAATTATGTATCTGTCTAATTTTTTTCTGAGAAAAAGTCATTAAGAACCAGAAGAACAAGAATAGATTCAACCATTCAATTCTTTGGTACTCTTCAAAGATGGGTAATAGTTGAAAATCATTATCCCTGGTCTCTATTTTGTTGTACTCCATACTATGTCTTCTCTGTTGATAAGCTGTTACAGGTCTTCAAAATGTTTACCATTTGACTTTGATGTCCACACCACATTTGTTGATTTAGAGGCTTTATTTGAGATATCACGAGTCCAGTTGCCCATCCCACTGTCGTGGTTCAAGTTATTACTCAGCTGCCATCATTGATAATTCCATTCCATCTCTGAACAGAGTATAGTATTCCTCTTAGGTTGGTGATGTTGAATAAGTATGTTTGTCACCACTTGTTTCAATCATTTTGCATTCCTGGAACTTTGACTGCCATATTTTATATGATATGGGCACATCAATAGCTGAATTTCTCTGTTTAATTAAATTGATCACCTCTGGCAATAGGTTATCAGAGCTCTATTAAACAAAATGATACTTTAAATGTTCTGCCTAGAGGGTTTTCATAGGTGTTAGAGGAATAAAATTAGCTCCACTGGTTAGGATGCTGCCAATAGTTACATTCACTTATTCTTTCTCAAAACCTGACACTTAAAAATGAAGAAGAAAGCCTGCTTCCTACCCATGAGGAGCTTGCAATCTGATTCTATGCTATTCATTAAACAGAATAATTTATGCGTGCTGTAAATTCAGCTGATAGAGGAGATTAGTTTGGGAAGACTGAATGCAATAGAGCTCTTCTATAATGCTTGAGGTAGGGAAGATACATTCGATTAACACTTATTTAATTCTAACTATGTGCCAAGAACTTTCACATATTTCATTAAAACATCTCTTTTTCACTGGGATAATTGTATTTAATCCCCTTTTGAGGAACTTAAAGCCCACAGAATGCAAATAATTTTCCCAAGATCGCACAGTTAATAAGTGGCAGAGCTAGGATATAAATAAACTGTATCTAAGCTCTAAATTCTATCATCTTTCTGCTGTACCAACAAGAACTCCTTTAGTCTATGCTGGCTTTGCAGTATTGAGGGCAATGCAGACTGGATCACAAATGAAATAAAGTTTGAATCCATTAATTAAGCTGTAGTATTGCCAGGCTTTTTGTAACAAGGTTTTCAGTTTTTCAAGCACATGGATCTCCGAGTTTGAAACCAGATGCATAGATAATCACTATTGTCTTGCTTGGAAAGTGAAGATGGACCCATACATAGAGGCTTCTCTCTTGTGCCTATATAACTTCATTTTAGGCAGAGATCTGCCAACCAATGTGAGTCGGACCTGGAGAATACAGAATCACATACAAGCTTTTCTCCTGAAATATGCTTCTTTAATAGAGTTGAAATGAAAATCAGAAGTACCTACATTTTACTTTGAAATAGTCAGAAATGCCTTGAAGAAATAGAAAGGGACCATTGCAGTCTCCACATTTAGTGCTATTTAAAAAATTTCTCCCAACAATCCTATGCTGTAGTATACAACACAGCATATTCAAAATAGTTGTGGGAGAACAGCTGTACTGATCAGATGCAGATTTTAAAAGTGGATGAAATAGCGGTATTGTGTCATCAAATCTTCCAGCCCTGGGAGCAAATGATAAGACATGCTCTTTTTTTTTTTTTCTTTTTTTTTCACTTGCAGGTGCAATCATTTACAACTAAATGGCAGGAATGTCTCTCACACAAGCAGTTAATATGCACTAGAATTTTCCCAGTAACCAGATGGCATGCATTTCATACCAAGCTTGTTGAAATAAGAACTGAAATCATCTGCCAATAAGTTGCATGGAAGTTTTCCACAGTCTCCTTAGGTGACCCCATTTAAGATTTTGAATTTTTTGAGGTCAGAAAGCTTATAAATATTCAGTTCTTGGTGACTCACTTTCAGGGCTGTGGTGGGGTAATTATAGAATAATTCTAGTTAGCCATCAATGAAAATATTCTGACTTTAGCTTATGTTTGGTTCTGCTTTTTTTTTCTTATTACCTTCCTCATTTTTAATACAGTCTTTACTAAGAGTGCCACCTAAAGAAAAATAATGAATCAAAACAGCCATGAACAATGTTAGTTTCTTTGACTGGAAACATCATTATTGTGAGCCCAAAACTTTAAAGAATGTATGGAAGTACAGAAATTATATTTAAAATGTTTTGAATGTAGTACACATTTGTTTTGGCCTCAACAGCATGCATTACTCCACCATCTGCTACCAATGCTCTAATATTCCTTGAAACAATATCCCTACCCTAGACCTATTCCTAGCTGGAGGAGGATGATGTGATCTGGACCTGCCTAAACAGGATACATCACAGAGTTGCAGCCAGGATGGTCACATGTCCCAAGTCAGCCAATCAGGGCTAGAGAAGCACAACTATGGAATTTTTGTTGAAATTGTTAGGGAGAAATATATTTCTTTTCCTTTAGACTTATAAAATATAGACATGGAGATGCTGGTGGGCATCTTACTATCATGTAAGAGAGTTTGCTTGAGAATAAATTCAAAAGAGTGGAAAGAAGGACTTAGAGATGAAAACAGTAAAATAGAAATAAATGAGAAAGAGAAGAAATTAGAATAAGAAGAGAGGGGGAGTCAGAATGATTGTGTCCTGATGATACTATTGAAACCCTTGATGTAGTTGAAGCCTAATTCTATACTCAGAATTGTTTTAGTTATAATAAACAACACATTCCATGTTGGCTTAAGTTAGTATGAGCCAGGATCTCTGCTACTTGCAACTTTAAAAGTCTTGAATGATGTATATATAGGAAATTACATTGGTGCTGTTCCTAATTCCAAAAAGCAATGAGGTGTTCCCAGGGATTGATTAAATTACTCTATGGGAAATTTCTGCTCAACTTTTGGAGCAGAGTTCATTTTCTTGGAAATATAAGTCAAAATTCTTGTTTTATCTAAATAAACCAAGACACAGATGGCTTGCTTGTCCAGTCTCACAGTAGGAGACAGCCTGTGAAGATGAGTGGGGCCATTGATGAGAAAAATTCCCTTACCCATGAATTGTTCATTTTTTCATGTTTATACACATGGACAGCAATGTCATAAGCTGCAGGGTTGTTGTGTTTTTCCCATATGTGAAGGAAACCACATAACTTTAGAATGACTGTTTTTTCTTAGGGAAAGAAAGGGAGTAAAACACTATTTCAGATGCCATCTAGACTTATGGTTTCCTTTGTCCTTTTGGGCTTAGCTTTCAGCTTCATTTATTCAATATGGCCCTGAATGGATTTATGAGGCATAACCAGGACTCTCTAGTCCATCTCTTACAGTGACTACTCCAGGTTTCTCCTGTCCTTTCACTTCAACATTTCTCTCTCTCTCTCTTTTTCTCACCTCTCTCTCTGTGTATGTGTGTGAGAGAGAGACAGAGAGAGAAAGAGAGAGAGAGACAGAGAGAGAGAGAGATCTCCTACTCAAAACCAGCAATTTCAGAAAACTTGTCCATTTTCAAGCTGATCTTTTTTTTCCTATGTTCCTTATCACATTCCTTCCCATCCCTCTAAAGACAGCTCTGTTGCTTGTGCATGCTTTTTTATATCCACAATCTTTCCTATTTTGATCAACTGGCTTTTTGTCTTCTGCCTTCACGTATTAAAAACATCAAACTTGCCTTGGGAGGAGAAAATCCTGGGTACTACCGCCTGTATCATTCCCATATGATGGGAGTCATTAGTACCACATGCCTAGGTCTGGTTTATGTCTCCTGATGAAATCCTTGTGATTAGGTAGGGCTATGTGACTAGATCTTGTCATGGAGTTGTGAGGGAAAGGGACGTCTGTCACTTCTACTAGAACACTTATTTGTCAATGCAAGATTATTCAGAGCTCCCTTTCTATTTGCTGATACCCATCAACACTCCAGATAGTAGATGTTCCATCAACTTGGGTCCAAAAGTGAGGACACACAGAGCAGAATGCCAGCCAAAGGGCATGTAGTGGTGAAATCTTTGCTGTGTACATTGTTATCAAGGTTTGAAAGCTGTTTGTTACTGTAGCTTAAATTGATGTATTCTGACTGACATACTTACTGTTCTGTTTTTTCTTAGTTTAATTTCTAGTCTCTTAAGAGGAAGATATTTTTTAGGTGTTGTCACTATGTTATGAACATTCCTTCACATTTAATAGGTAAATCTAGCATCCATGTCACTGAAGTTACAAACAAACTCTTACACTCCTGCTCTGTGTTTCCTGCCTATATTTTGTGCTATCTTGACTTTCTGTTGCAACTCGTACCTCTGATCATGACGGTCATCCTGAAATTCCCATGGGTTCTGTTGCCCTCAACTCTGACTTATCAACTTCCTTTCATACTTTTCCCTGTTTCCCATGTTAATCCAAGGTTTAGTCCTGGCAGGATACTATGACGAAAAGTGCCCACACCATGGAATAAGGTGGCCTCGGTTTAAATTCTAGCTTAATCAACTTATTAGCTATATGACACTGGGCAAGTCACTTAACCTGTCTCAGTCTCAATTTCCTTTTTAGTAAAATAGGGATGCTAATAATAAAAAAGCAGCACTGTCACAAGGATTAGCAACATAATTAATGCAAAATGCCTAGCTCATAGTTGAGACTAAATAATGATGACAATGATTTTTATGCAATTCAAATGCCTCTAATCTCTTTGCTTTGGGGGGTCTATTTTTCCCTAAACAGGATGATTGTATTATACAATCCTAGAGAGCACTACTCACATTGCGTTCTAATTATTGGCTCCCCCTGAAGTGCAAGTCCAATGTGACAGTTGTGTTTAAAGTTGTAATATTGTAAGATACCATTTTAAAAGACCAGCAAGAATTCCAAATATTTGTCTTTGTCCCTGTCTTGTTAATGGCAGAAAATCCAATTCTCTGCTACTTTTCCTTTCTCATATAATTTTGGGAATTCTTGCTACACAAATATTTAACATGTTACACAAACCCATGATGGCTGTTGCTTTGATGGTCTAAACAATTGCTGCCACAGAATTTCACGGACCTTCCTCTATCTGCTATGGTCTGAAAGCTTTTGTTACTCCAAAATTCGTATGTTGTAACTTAATCCCCAGTGTCGTGGTATTAAGAGGCAGAGTCTTTGAGATGTGACTAGGTAATGATGGTTCTGCCCTCATGAATAGGATTAGTGCCCTTATCAAAGGGGCCCAAGGGAGTTTGTTTGTCTCTTCCACCATGTGGGGACACAAAGAAAATGACATCTCTGAGGCACAGGCCCTAATCAGACACCAAATCCTCTGGCACCTTAGTCTTGGACTTCCCAGTCTCCAGAACTATAAGCAATACATTTTTATTGTTTATACATTATTCAACCTAAGATATTTTGTTACAGCAGCAAGAATGTACTAAGACACCATCTGTTTAACTGGCTGATTCAGGCTGATGTTGCTTGGCCTATACCTGTATTATTCCCCAAAGTAAAGCTAAGATCCACTGAAATGTTTAACTTGTTACTCCAGAAGGCTTGGAGATAAAGTACATCACAAAGAGTAGTTGATGGCTTTCAATGGAATTGGATCTGAGAAGAGGCTACACTTAGGACACACTGGTTCAAATCTAGTACCTAGAAGGCTGTCAACTAGCTCAGCATCTAACAATGGGAAGCCCCAACTTAGAACCTAGAATCAACTCTCTTAGGACCCAGAGGAAAAATATAGGTCATTTTCTACTCCAAGCCATGACTTCTTTCCTGCAGGAGGAATTCTCTTCCATGATGTTGACAGCCTCAATTACAGCAGAAGCTAACAGGGGAAGTAGTAAAACTGAACAGCAGTAATCCTGGCTGGAAAGTCACTGATGGTCAATTATGAAAGATCTGTCACAGGAGAAGCCTTCAATAGAAGCAAGTGAGTAATAGAAGACAGAATTGATTGGGCTCTAGTGTCAGCATGGGTTGAATCTCAGATCTATCACTTATTAATACTGTGACTGTGAGGAAGTCACTACAACTCTGTGCCTGAGCTTCTTCATAACTGAAGATGACATTAGCATCTGTATCATAGGATTGTTATGGAGATTGAATGAGATAATGCACATGAAGTACTTAGTATAATGTCTGCCTACTCTAAGCACTCACTACAAGTATTTGGAAGTATTCCAAATCAGGTATTATTATTATCATTATTAATAGCTAAAACCTACCATTTGTGAAGCACCTATTCTGTGCCAGGCACAATGTTAAGAACTTTACATATATTTAACCCTATGAGCTAAATATGTTATTTATATTATTGCAGGTAAAGAGAAGTTACATGACTTTTTCCAGATCAGAACTGAGACTGGAACTCAAAGCTCTCTTTTTATGTTTGCCCCCATTGTCCTGAGAATGCAACTACAAGATCCAGGAGCCTATCCCCAAATTTCACAGAGTTTATTAAAAATGACAATGTATTTGGGACACAAACACATCATCAAGGTGAAGATTCCAGCTCTTCTTGTTCAGCCTCTTGCCACCAGAGTAAGAGGAAGATATTCCTATTACCTTTCTTGTCTTTCTAGATGATCTGTAAGCCTGAACTCCTGTGGCCTCCTGTTCATAACACACATATATACACCCCCACACCAACACACCCCCACATACACACCTACACACACACACACACACACACATGCACACCTACATGTACCTCTTCTCACTCTGCAACTGCAGGTCCATATTTCAGAAAAGTATCCCTGTTGAGCACCCCAATATGTATTACTAAGCAGAAGACTTAGAAAATCAAGTCTGAAGCGAGCCTTCAAAAACACTGTGTATATTTAGCTTATAGCTGTTTGACTGAAACAACATTCCAAAGTGACCTTTCCTGGAGGAAAAAAAAAAAATCAACTTTTACCTAAAATGAAAAAACTTCCTGGACACCCTAGAATGGCAATGTTTAAAATATTTTCAGACCCAGTATCTACTGACCTGTTTATCCCATGAACTTGAATACAATCCACAAGTTAACATCAAGTATCACCACCATGTTATTGACTCTGAAAGTAAAAACTCTTGACTAGACCCTTGAGCCAAGATTTTTTTTTTTTTTTTTTGAGACAGAGTCTCACTCTGTCACCCAGGCTGGAGTGCAGTGGGAGCCAAGTTTTAATTCCATATTTTCTGCTTCCAGAACATCTCCACTTGGATGCCCAGCTGTCAACTAAGAACTACACGTATAGGGGAAAACGATAGTGTACACTGATTCGAAGTGTGGCTATACAATTATCCAGTCTTGTTTGAATCCATGTCCTACCATTTGCAGCTCTGTGACCTTGAGCAACTTGACCTCTGAGACTCAATTTTCTGAGCTATAAAATAGGACTAGTAACAGAGTGTATATCACAGGGCTGTGAGAAAGAAATAATACATATAAGACATACCAGAATGCCTGGGACGTCGTACATGTCTGATAGATATTTTTCTATTGTTTCTTTACATTATTATTACTTTTTTATTTATTTTTATTTTTTGAGACGGAGTCTCACTCTGTTGCCCAGGATGGAGTGCGGTGGCATGATCTCGGCTCACTACAACCTCCGCCTTCCGGGTTCAAGTGATTCTCCTGCCTCAGCCTCCTGAGTAGCTGGGACTACAGGTTAGCACCACCACACCCAGATAATTTTTGTATTTTTAGTAGAGATGGGGTTTCACCATGTTGGCCAGGATGGTCTCAATCTCTTGACCTCGTGATCCATCCACCTTGGCCTCCCATAGTGCTGGGATTATAGGCGTGAGACACCGTGCCCAGCCTACATTATTATTATTATGCACAAATTAAATTCATCTTTCCTCATTATCCACAAGTAAACTTTAGTTCCACTCAATGGTACTTTTTCTTCAGGATCAAAACCTTGGAGGTTTTTAAACTTATCTTTTGTTATCCATATGTCACTTAAGTTCTTTATAGAATGATATATCAGTGAATAAATACATTATAAATGAATGAAAAAAAGGACATAATCACCAAGTACTAATTTTTTCTTTCAATAATTTTTCTCTTTCTCTTCATTCCTCCTCTCAAGAACCTGGCTTGAAATTCCACCTCCTAATCAACTCCATGAAGTCCCCAGACTACACAGTCACCCTTTAAGTTTTTGCCCCTGTAATTCATTGTTAAATCAAATTTTCTAAGATACTGTTTTCAATTCATCATTATATAATGATTCCTGATCTCCTTATTTGATTTTATGCCAAATTTCTCATTTTGGCTTTTAGAGGTCACCATCAGTAGGCCCCTTCTCCACAGTTTGATCTCTTTCTGCTCCCAGCACTGACTCTCTGTCCCCTTTCATAGAGTCCTCATCCTTATCACATGCCCAAGGCATTGGTAAAGGTAAATGTCATCCTGGCTCAGCCACCTGGAATCCCTCAAGCTTTTTAAAACCCAAATGTGATCATGCTCCTCCTCTGCACTTCATCCTGTGATAGCTCTTTTGCCTTTAGAATAAAACACAATCTCTTTGCCAACATGTTTATAGAGTCAACTATGTTTTAAACATCGTAGTAGGCAAAGATGAGCAAGGTACAGTCCTGGCTTTTAAGGTGCTCAGAGTCTTAGAGGATGTGAAAGTGACCTATAAACTTGGCCCCTCCCTACCTCTGGCTCATTTGTCACTTCTCACTTGAGTCCTATTCTTCAGCCTTATTTAATGAATTGCCAGCAGTTCTCCAAATGTGCCCTGCTCCCTCACCTTCCCTTGGAAGGTTCTCCTAGGTCCACCACCACCCCGTCTAGCTTGGGCAGTCGTCTTCTGTGTTCCTAGAGCATTCTGTGATAGCGTCTTTCATAGCATCAAAATAGTGGTAAGAAGTCTCCCCAACAGAACAGCCAATAGGAATTGTGTTAGACTCTTGTGACAGCTAGTATATACCATAAAACAATAATGTGTTACTCTCTTCTGCTTATTGGCTTTTATGTCAATGCTTTGATGCTCTTCTTCAGAAAGAAAGTGTCCACGTATTTAAAAATTGTTATGAGCCATCCCTTCATTGGCCTGCCTTCCTTCCTCAAGGGAATTTACCTTTCACTGAAGGTTCCTCAGTCTTTTCCCACAAAGCTTGAGTTCCAAACCTTAGCATCCTTTATTGCTCTCTTTCAGGCTCCAACCTCTTAATAGTTTGTACTTTTCTACCACTTAGGATTTGCAACCCTGGATCTTGTTTTGTAGACATGTAATTAAGTAACAATTAAATGAACTTAGGGATCAAACAAGTCTGTTTTCAAATTGTAGCTCTGCTGTAGTAAAATTTAGAAATCACTTTCTCTTTCTGAACCTCAGTGTTTTCATACCTAAAATGTAATAATAAAAGATTGTCTTATAGAATTGTTGGGAGTATTAAAGATACACTTTATGCAAAACTCCACAGTAGCCAGAACGTGTTAGGAAATCTAGGTCTGCTTATCTATCTATCTATCTATCTATTTTTCATCTATCTAAAAATGCTTTGTTGTTCAGCCCCTAGATTTTGTCACCAAGCCTGGTGCTTACTTCTTTATACTTTTAGTCAGATGGCCTCAACAGTGATGGCCACAACAAAGACTCCTGTCAGAGAATTTCCAATCACTGAGCACATGAATAAATTATTAGAGCATTTAACTTCCTCCTGCACTCTCAGCAGAGGTCTTTTTTCTTGTTTCCCAGAGAAAATAACACCATCAGACAGGCACTCCCTGAATATCTCACTCCCAAGTCTCCAGACCTGCAGTAGGAGAATGTGCCTCCAATTGAATGTCCTCTTCTCCTACCCTGTCACAAACTTCTGCCATCAGACTCTCTCACTAATACCTCTCATACTGTGGGCTATGAGTTAATCTTTATATGAGTGAGTTAGCCCTCATACTCTCTAATAACTTTAAACACTTACTCTACTAAAATACAAAGATTATTATAACAAAGAAAATATTTTATAAAAGTATCAACTCATCAAGAAAACATAACAATCCTATATGTGCATGATGCTAATAACAGAGATGCAACACACCTGAAACAAAACCTGATCAAAGTAACAGAGGAAGTTAAAAACACATCTACAATTATAGTTGAAAATGTCAGCATTCCCTTCTCAGTAACTGGTTTATAAAAAGTTGACAAAACAAGTAATCATTTATAAAAGAATTGAACAACCACTATCAGTCAAATTCACCTAGTTGAAATTTATATAACACTATACTCAACAACAATAGAATATATATTTTTTCAGGCACACATGGAATATACACCAAATAAACCAAATTCTGGGCCATTCAAAATAAATAAAATAAAATTCTAAAAATATTTAAAAATTGAAAGTATGCAGAGCTTATTCTTAGATCACAATAGAAATTAACTAGAAATTAATAACAGAGTAGTACCTGAAAGATTACTAAATAATTGAAAATTAAACAGCACACATATGAGTAAACTATTAATCAAAATAGAAATCACAATGGAAATTAGAAAATATTTTGGATTGGATGAAATAAAGAAACTACATAAAGAATTTGCGGAATGCAAGAAAAGCAGTACTTAGAGGAAAACTTATAAACTTGAATGCTTAAAAATCAATGATATGTTTCTATCTTGAGAAACTAGAAAAATAGAATCAAATTAAACTAAATGTAAGAAGAAGAAAGAATAGAGATAACAAATTAATAAAAAAAACAGGAAAAAAGAACTGAGAAATAATAATGAAATCAAAGAGTGGTTCTT
This sequence comes from Homo sapiens, assembly GCF_000001405.40. Classification (NCBI taxonomy): domain Eukaryota; kingdom Metazoa; phylum Chordata; class Mammalia; order Primates; family Hominidae; genus Homo; species Homo sapiens. Next base: position 199,412,779 of record NC_000001.11, read on the forward strand.
TGATGAGATCAGTAAGGTTAATAAACCTCTAGTCAGACTGATCAGGAAAAGTAACAGAAGACACAAAAAACCAGTCTGAAGCATGAAAGAGGAAACATCAAATGCTCTAGATTTTAAGAAGATAAGAGAATATTGTAAAAAACTTTTATACCAACAAATTTGACAACATAAAGAATGGACAAATTTCTTAATAAAATACAGACTACCAAAGCTCAGTCAAGAAAAAATAGATAATCCAAATATCCACACATCTATTAGAAAAATTGAATTTATAATTTGAAGTCTTCTGCCAAAGAAAACTCTAGGCTTTACTGGTAACTTTTACCAAATTTTAAAAGAAGAAATAAAAAATTTTAAAGAACAAATGCTTCCAGAAAATTGAAGAAGGCCAGTATTACCCTAATACAAAAACTATGTAACTATTACATGAGAGGAAGTTAAAGACCCATATTTCTCATGAATACAAATTCAAAAACATTTATCACAATTTTAACAATAAAGTCCAACATTATCTAAGACTATAATATTTAATGGCTGTGATGGTTAACTTTATGTCATCTTAACTAGACCACAGGATGCCCAGATAATTTGGTTAAACATTATTTCTGGGTGTGTCTGTGAGGGTGTTCCCAGGAAAAAAAAATTAACATTTAAATTGGTAGACTGAGCAAAAGCAGATTGCCCTCCTCAGTGTGTGTAGGCACCATGCATCATCCATCCCACTGAGCACTTGAATCAAAGAAACGGTCTGAGAAAGTTTGGATTCTGTCTCTATGACTGTTTGAAGTGAGGCTTCAGTCTTCTCCTTCCCTTATACCATTGGTTCTCTACTTCTCAGAATAATACCAGCCAGCTTTCCTGATTCTCCAGCTTGCAGACAGCAGATTAGCCTATATAACCATATAAGCCAATTCCTTATAATAACATACATAATATATACATATGTAATACATGTATGTGTGTATATATTTATATGTATGTACGTTTGTGTGTGTGTGTGTGCGTGTGTGTGTGTGTGTGTATCTACACATGCATCTTCTATTGTTTCTTTATCTCTGGAAAACCCTAACAGATGCAATGAACAAGTGGGATTCAATCCAAAAATGTTGGTTTAACATTGAAAAACATATGCAATTCACCATATTAACATATAAAAAAAACCAATATGATTATTTCAAAGATGCAGAAAAATTATTTGACAAAATTTAATACCCATGTAAGATTTTTTAAACTAATACATGAACAGATCAAATTTTTTGACTTCAAAAGGGAAATTTATGAAATAACCTACAGCTAGCATCATATTTAATGTTGAAAGACTGAATGCTTTCTCCCTAATATCAGGAACAAGACAATCTGTTTTCATGACATCTGTTAAATATTGTACTAGACAATCTGACGACTGCAATAAGGCAAAAAAAAAAAAAATTCCAGGTTGAAAAAGAAGAAGTAAAACTATCTTTGCATAGATGATATTTTGATATTTTAGATTATCTTAAAAACTCTAAAAAAGAGCCTACTTGGATCTAATAATTCAATTTATCAAGGTCTCAGAGCACAAAGTCAATATAAAAAAGTCAATTATATTTTTATATAACAATGAATATTTAAAAATGAAATTTAAAACCCATACCACTTACGATAACATCAAAAACATCAAATTCCTAAGAGCAAATATAACAAAAATTTTTAAGACCTCTACCGTGGAAACTATAAAATATTATTAAGGAAATTAAAGACTTTAATAAATGATAGTATATTACCATGTTTGAGGATTAAAAGACTCAAAATTGTTTAGATGGTAGTTCTCCTCAATTTGCTCTACTTATTTAAGGCAGTCCATGCTAAAGTCACAGAGTTTTGTTGTTTATTTTTGTTCTTTTTTTTTTATGGAAATCCACAAGCTAGTTATAAAATCTATATGGAAAGGCACAGAACCTGGAACAGCAAAAGAAACATCAAGTAAGAAGATAAAAAGCTAAAAAATTTACATTACCAGAGATTAAGACTTACTCTACATCTACAGTAATTAAAACCACATGTATTTCACAAGTATAGACCAACTGACCAGTGGGACAGAATGAAGATGTGAGAAACAGAGCCACATATGTACAATCAACTGATTTCTAAGAAACTATTTATTAATATGTATTTCAGGGAAAATATTTATAATAAATTGTGCCAAGTCAATAGTGTATTCATATGGAAAACAATAAACCTTGACCCCCTACTTCACCCCATAAACAAACACACATGCACACACACACGATTTATAGACCTGTATCAGACAGCTTCTAAAATAAAACATAGAAAAATATTTGTATTACCTTAAAATTGGAAAAGATGTTTTTCACAGGGTTTTTGAAAAGCACTAATAATAAAAGAAATAGTACATTGGACTTCATTAAAATTAAGAATTTCTATTTATCAAAAGTCACTATTAAGCAAATAATGGGTATGTTTTTGTCCTCCAAGATGGCAGATTAGATGCTTTTAGCATACCTCAGCCACTTGGAAATAGCAAAACAGTGCATAAAGATCAACCCTGTGAGCTTTAATTCAAGAAAGAAAATGGGAATTCACTGGAATAGCAAAGGACACCCAAATCACGGAAAAGATAAGGTGAGCAAGCAGCCCCCATTATGGCATTTGCCTGATAAAATTGAGTGAAGCACCTGCACATGAGGTAGACAGAGAGTCTTCCTCTGTAACTCACCTTTCCACTAGGGATCCTTGCAACCTAGGCCTAGGAAGAGCATCCTGCTTGTCCCAAGCCCTGGAGCTAACTTGGGGAGTGGCTGGGAAATGCTAAAAGGAAAATACACCTGGAAAAGCTGCAGAAATTTTTCCAGGCCCAGGACTGAGAGGAGGACTCCATTTTTAATACAGGCTCATACAAAGTCAGTCATAACTTAGTAACCCGGCAGTGTGGCTGCGCAGGCTTTCTAGTCTCGGGCCAGAGGTTGAAGTGCTTGCTCTAGAGTTGGTAAAGGAACCCCACAGCCAGATTGAGTGGCAAGTGTAGTTAATTCTCCAACAGTAGATGCTGAAATTGGGCTCTGTCCTGTCACAGGACTGGAGTACGAGCGATATGGTTTGGATCTGTGTCCCCACGTAAATCTCATATTTAATTGTAATCCGCAGTGTTGGAGGTGGGGCCTGGTGGGAGGTGAGTAGATTATGAGGGTGAATCCTTCATGAATGGTTTAGCAATACCCTTTTGGTGCTGCTCTCATGATAGCATGGTCACAAGATGTGGTTGTTTCAAAGTGTGTGGCACCTCCCCCTCTCTCTCTTCCTCCAGCTCTAGCCATGTGAAGTGCATCAGTCCTTTTTGCCTTCTGCCACGATTTTAAGTTCCCTGAGACCCTCCCCCCATCCCCCAACAAGAAGCTGATGCTGCCATGCTTCTTGCACAGCCTGCAGAACCATGATCCAGTTAAATCACTTTTCTTTATAAATTACCCAGTCTTAAGTATTTCTTTATAGCAAAGTGAAAATGGACTAATACAGGGAGGAAAGCTGCTGAAACTGCAATTTCTCCTGGGCAATGAAACTTGCAGCCAGGAACAGCTTTGTGGCCTGAAACTGATTTGTGTTTGTCATTGCTGGGTGGCCCAGTGTGTTCCCCTGAGATTGTAGTATAGTAGGGGCTTCTCTGCTCCACATTCAGGAATATCTTCAGACATTTGAAACACACACTCACCTGGCTTGGCAGCCTCAGCCACCCTGCCCTTCTTGTGCAAAGATCATGGTGCAGCAGGGATCTCTCCACTCCATGCCCAGGCAGATCTCCAGGCATTTGGAGCACCCACTTAAATAGATCAACAGCCTAAGCTATCTTACCTTTCCTGTGCAGAGGCAAGAATGTTGACTCTCACCACTCCTATTCAACATAGTACAGAAAGTCCTAGCCAGACCAATAAGACAAGACAACAAAATAAAAGACATCCAGATTGGAAAAAAGGAAGTCAAATTATCTCAGCTCACTGATGACATGATCGTATACCTAGAAAGCCCTAAAGACTCCTCTAAAAGACTCCTAGACTTGGTAAATAAATTCAATAAAGTTTAAGGATACAAAAATCAATGTACATAACCAGTAGCATTTCTACAAACCAATAAATTTCACGTTGAGAACCGAATCAATAACTAAATCACATTGAAAATAGCCTTCCCACATACACACAGTATCTAGGAATACATTTAACCAAGGAGGTGAAAGATCTCTACAAGGAGAATTACAAAACACTAATGAAAGAAATCATAGATGACACAAACAAATAAAAAAGCCTCCCATACTCATGAGTTAGAGAATCAATATGATTAAAATGACCATTCTGACCAAAGTAATCTACAGGTTCAATGCAATCCCTTTCAAATTACCAACACTATTTTTCACCAAATAAGAAAAGAATCCTAAAATTTATATGGAACCAGAAAAGACCCCAAATCACTAAAGCAATTCTAAACAAAAAGAACAAATCTGGAGGAATTACACTGCCTGACTTCAAATTATACTACAAAGCTATAATAACTAAAACAGCATGCTACTGGTACAAAAATACATACATAGATAAAAGGAACAGAATGAAGAATCAAGATGCAAAGCTACAAACCTACAGCCAAATGATCTTTGACAAGGTAGACAAAAATAAACAATGGGAAAAGGACATCTTTTTCAATAAATGGTGCTGGGAAAATTGGCCAGCCATATGCAGAAGAATGAAAATGGACACTTATCTCTTACCATATATAAAAAATAAAGATTTAATATAAGACTTGAAGCTACATAAATTCTAGAAGAAAACCTAGAAAAAAATATTCTGGACATTGGCCTAGGCAAATAATTTATCATTAAGTGATATTTTCTCCAAAATGAAATGCAACTAAAACAAAAAATAGACAATGGGAATTAATTAAACTAAAAAGCTTCTGCACAGTAGAAAAAAAAAAACAGAATAAACAGACCATCTACAGAAAGGGAGAAAATATTTGCAAATTATGCTTCTGGCAAAGGATTCATATTCAGAATCTACAAGGAACTCAAACAACTCAACAAGAGAAAAAACATACAACCCCATTAAAAGTTGGGCAAAGGACATGAACAAACATTTCCCAAAAGAAGAAATGCAAGCAACCAGAAAATACATGAAAAAAATAAACCTTAACATCATTAATCAACAGAGAAATGAAAATTATGACTACAATGAGATATCATGTTATGTTACACCAATCAGAATGGCTAATACTATTTGTTTTGGAGCACACACATTTATTTATTTATTTATTTTTAATTTTACTTTAAGTTCTGGGATAAATGTGCAGAACATGCAGGTTTGTTACATAAGTATGCATGTGCCATGCTGGTTTGTTGCACCTGTCAACCCATCATCTAGGTTTTAAGCCCCCCATGCATTAAGTATTTGTCCTAATGCTCCCTCCCCTTACCCCCGACCCCACAACAAGGTCCAGTGTGTGTTGTTCCCCTCCCTGTGTCCTGTGTTCTCAATGCTCAACTCCCACTGATGAGTGAGAACATGCGGTATTTAGTTTTCTGTTCCTGTGTTAGTTTGCTGAGAATAATGGTTTCCAGCTTCATCCATGTCCGTGCAAAGGACATGAACTCATTCTTTTTTATGGCTGCATAGTATTCCACGGTGTGTATGTGCCACATTTTCGTTATCCAGTCTATCATTGATGGGCATTTGAGTTGGTTCCATGTCTTTGCTATTGTAAACAGTGCTGCAATAAACATAAGTGTGCATGTGTCTTTACAGTAGAATTATTTATAATCCTTTGGGTATATACCTAGTAATGGGATTGCTGGGTCAAATGGTATTTCTGGTTCTAGATCCTTCAGGAATCACCACACTGTCTTCCACACAATGGAAGAACTAATTTACACTCCCATCAACAGTGTAAAAGCATTCCTATTTCTCCACAGCCTCGCCAGCATCTGTTGTTTCCTGACTTTTTAATGATCACCATTCTAACTGGCATGAGATGGTATCTCATTGTGGTTTTGATTTACATTTCTGTAATGTCCAGTGATGATGAGGTTTTTTCATATGTTTGTTGGCTGCATAAATGCCTGCTTTTGAGAAGTGTCTGTTCATATATGATTTCCATTTTTTGCATTTGCTGAGGAGTGTTTTACTTCCAATTGTGTGGTTGATTTTAGAATACATGCTATGTGGTGAATGTATATTCTATTGATTTGGGGTGAAGAGTTCTGTAAATGTCTATTAGGTCTGCTTGGTCCAGAGTAGAGTTCAAGTCCTGATTATCCTTGTTAATTTTCTGTCTCATTGGTCTAATATACATAGTGGTGCGTTAAAGTCTCCCATTATTATTGTGTGGGAGTCTAAGTCTCTTTGTAGGTCTCTAAGAACTTGTTTATATGAATCTGGGTGCTCCGGTACTGGGTGCATATATATTTAGGATAGTTAGCTCTTCTTATTGCATTGATCTCGTTACCATTATGTAATGTTCTTCTTTGTCTTTTTTGATCTTTGTTTGTTTAAAGTCTGTTTTATCAGAGACCAGGATTGCAACCCCTGCTTTTTTTTTTTCTTTCCATTTACTTGGTATATATTCCTCCATACCTTTATTTTGAGCCTATGTGTGTCTTTGCACATGAGATGGGTCTTCTGAATCCAGCATACCTATGGGTCTTGACTGTATCCAATTTGCCAGTATGTGCCTTTTAATTGGGACATTTAGTCCATTTATGTTTAAGGTTAATAATGTTATGTGTGAATTTGATCCTGTCATCATGATGCTAGCTGGTTATTTTGCAACTGGGTACCTCAGTTGGAAATGCAGAAATCACCTCCCTCTGTATTGGTCTCACTGGGACCTGCAGACCAGAGCTATTCCTATTTGGCCATCTTGACCCCTCCCCAGAATGGCTATTATTGAAAAGTCAAAAAAACAAGTGTTGGCATGGATGAGGAGAAAGGGGGCTGCTTATACAATGTTGATGGGAATGTAAATTAGTACAATCTTTATAGAAAACAGTATGAAGGTTTCTCAAAGAACTAAAAACAGAACTCCTATTCCATTCAGCAAGCCCACTACTGGTTATCTACCCAAAAGAAAATAAATCATTACATCAAACAGACACTTGTATTTGTATCTTCATTGTAACATTGTTCACAATGACCAAGTCATGGAACCAACCTACGTGTTCATCAAGAGTCAACTGGATAAAGATAATGTGATAAATATACACCATGGAATACTATGCAGCCATAAAAAATAAAATCATGCCCTTTGCAGCAACATGGATTAAGCCAGAGGCCATTGAGTGAACTGACTCAGAACCAGAAAACCAAATACCGTATGTTCTCACCTATAAGTGGAAGCTAAACAATGGATATACAGGAACATAAAATGGAAATAATAGAAACTGGTGACTCTAAAAGGGAGGACTCTGGAAGAGGGGCAACAGTTGAAAAATTATCTATCAGGTATAATGTTCACTATATGGGTGATGGGTATATCAGAAGCTCAATCCCCTCCTGCATGCAATATACCCATGTAACAGACAAGCACTTGTACCTCCTTAATGTCAAATTAAGAATTAAATAAATTAAGAAAAGGAAGTAAAAGGCAAACATGCTATAGAGTGGGAAAAGATATCTCAAATACATAAAATGCTAAAAGCATTTTAGAATTTCTAAAAAGTAAATTTCAAATTATTAACTTAAAAATAGGTAAAAATTCAAGACATATAAGCAAAGACTTGAAAAGAAGTCTTCACTTTCAGAAAGAAGGATATCAAAATGAACAATAAACATTTGAAAAGACTCTCAATATTATTAGTCATCAGAAAAATGCAAATTAAAATCATGACATACCACTATATATCCACCATGGCTAAAATTAAAAAGAATTTCAATATCAAATGTTGGTGAAATTTTGGAGTAAATGAAACTCTTCCACATTAATTACAGAAGTGTGATTTGATACAAACATTTTAAAAAACTTTGGCAGTATCTACTAAAATTAGATATACTAGATATATCTCTAATTCCATTCTTGAATGCATTCCCAACCAAAATAAGCACTACATCCAATGAAAGCCATAGCCAAGAATATTTATAGTATTTTTATGTACCATATCCACAAATCATAAAGAACTCAATTTTCATCACCAATAGAATGAGGAAATAAACTGTGGAATCTTCACACAATAGAACACCACAAAATAACGTAAAACAACAAAGTTCTGATACATGCAACAAAAACAAAGATAACCCTCAATGCTATAATAATAACAAAAAGAAGTAAAGCAAAACTAATTTTAATATTTTGGTGACAGATTTCAAGATAAAGGGTTCCCTCATGTGCAGAAGGATGAGAAAAAAGGATACAGGGTTGATCAAATCACCTAGGAAGTCAGAGTAGATAGAAAAGATGAGGATCTTAAAAATAATCTTGACAAAGAACAGTCAATGGAGTAAGAGACAAAAATAGAAGCACTTGTTTATGTAAGACAAATGCTAAAAAAATTCCATAAAGGATCAACCCTATCAAATGCTACTTGGAGCATAAAATGTCCGTGGTAAAAATTAAACACTAGACTGAAGGACTTCAGCAAGATGGTGGAAAAGGAAGCTCCTGATGTTTCCTCCTCCCATCAATTCACTAATAACTTACACACTGATCAAGTTCCTCTGAGAGAAATCCAGAAGCTAGTTTCACACAGAGGGCAAATGAGAAAATATCCACATTAAATTGAGTAGAAAAATCTGAGACATACTTGTACCACAAACCCCACCCCAAGCACAGCACCTTACCATCAGAAGGGAACTCCCAATTCACAACTTCTCACTAAGGAGTGAAGGGTTTAGACCTTACACATAGTACTCGAACTTTTACAGTTGCCAGCTGAGAAATCAGCTTCTAAGTCACTTAGCTTTGGGAGTAAACAGGGCTCAGAATTCATGAGTGTTATAGCACCACAATGAACAGAGGCAGTTTTAATGATCACTTTCATCAGCTATCCCCTCCAGGTTCCATGCAGCGTGAGCAAGCAAAAATGTCCATCTCCCAGCTTCTCACTTGAAGAGGTCTTACTGTATACTTTCCTAGCTCCTGCCTAAAGGTCAGGCATCTAATTAGCCTGCATCTGGGAACTGAAGGAAAAATGAATAGAAATCCTCCAGAGGTTTGAATGGGCATGTGTGCACTTCTCATGCCTTCTCCTCTCAGCTTGCTTGCTCTAGCAACAAAGCTGTATCTCCAGCTCTCTCTGGAAGGAGTTTGTCCACACCTCAAGTATCCTAACTTTTACAGCTCCCAATCAAGGGACTAGCTCCAAAGTCACCTCCCCCTGGGAGCTAAAAGGGATCAGCATTTGTAACTTCTCAGAACCACAGCCAAAAAAAAAGAGGCCATTTTAAATGAGTGCACACTTCTAGCATCTGTTTCTCACAATTCAAGACAGAGTTAGAAAACACAAATGATAAGCTTTGAGTTGCTTTCTGGAAGAAGTTTGACAGCACACCTAATGTCTCGACTATCCCAACTGTTGCCTGTGGGCCAGGCTTTTAATTAGGCTGTATCTGGGAGCTGATGAAGCAATCCATAGTCCTCTTGGAGCCTGAAATGGCATCTCACAGCTCCTCCTGCTGGAATGCTCCAGTGATAGAACTAAGCTTCCAGCTAAGCCACCTGTCTCTAAGAGTGGGTGGAACTTGGTATCCACTGGAGTGACAAAGAGCAAAGCAATGGATTGAAAGAGTGTGCTGTCTGAACAAGAGTACAGACATTTGCCACAGATACTCTGTCCAGTTTAGTGCAGAGCAAGTGAGAGATAAACTCTAGCTTCCACTGTTTCCTTGAAGAGAAGGGAAACTAGACCTCACATCTAGAACCCAAAATTTTTCATTTTCTTGAAGGACTGGCTTCTATCTCACCTATTTCAAGACACTATTGAGACTTGGCACACCCTAATCTCCTGCGATCCACTAAGAACAAAAGCAGTGATTTTTGACAGGTACGAAGATTTGAGAGGTACCCAGTATTTCTAGCTAGGCTAGCTGATGAAGTTTAACTCCCACATGAGGCCAATCTGACCAGGTGGCTATCTTATCTAATGTACAAAAATCAACACAAAGTCTAAAGGAAAGTGAAGTAACAGGAAAAATATATTCCAAACACAAAAGCAAGATAAATCTCCATAATCTAATAAAGTGGAAATAATTGATTTATCCAACAGATAATTTAACATAATGGTCATAAAGATGCTCATCAAGGTCAGGACAGCAATGCGTGAACAAACTAGGAATTTCACCAAAGAGATATAAAATATTCTTTAAAATACCAAGCAGAATTTATAGAGCTGTAGAATACAACAACTGAGCTAAAAAATTCAACAGGGAGATTCAACAACAGAATAGATCAAGTGACGGAAAGGATCAGGAAACCCAAAAAAAGGTCATCTGAAATTAGCCAGTCAGTGAAACAAAAGAGAAAAAATAATTTAAAAGCACGAAGATAGCTTAAGTAACAATGAGATGCCATCAAGCAGACCAATATACACATTATGAATATTCCAGAAGAAGAGAGAGAGAGAGAAACAAGTAGAAAACATATTCAAAGAAATGTTTAAAAATGTCCCAAACCTGGGGAAGGAAGTAAACAGCCAGATGCAGAAATCCCAAACAACACCAAATGAGATAAATACAAAACGATCCAAAGACAAAGAAATTTTGAGAGCAGCACTAGAAAAACAGCTTGTTACATGAAGGGAGCCTCTGTCAGACTATCAGTGGATTTTTCAGCAAAAAGATAGGAAGACCTCAAGTTAACAACCTAAGATCACACCTCAAGGAACTAGAAAAATAAAAACAAACAAAACCCAAAGCTAGCAGAAGAAATGAAATTACAAAGATCAGAACGGAACGAAATAACATTAAGACCAAAAATAAATAAATGAAAAGTTCGTTTTTTGAAAAGATAAACAAAGTTGATAGATCACTCACTAGAATAACCAAGAAAAAAGATTTAAATAATCACAATAAGAAATAATAAAGGTGATATTACAAATGATACCACAGAAATACAAGATTATCAGAGACTACTATAGACAGCTCTACAGACGCAAACCAGAAAACTTAGAAGAAATGAATAAATTCTTGGAAACATAAAACCACCCAAGATTGAACCGGGAAGACATAGAAATTCTGAACACACCAGTAATGAGTAGTAAAATAGAATCACTCCTTTAAAAATCTCCCCCACACACACAAAAGCAAGCCCAGGACAAGATGGATTCACAGAATTGTATCAGATATACAAAGAAGAATTGATATGAATCCTACTGAAACTATTCCAAAAAAGCAAAGATGAGGGAATCCTTCCTAACTCTTTCTGTGAACTCAGTATCATCCTGACACCAACTCCAAGCAAGGACACACGAAATAAAGAAAACTACAGGCGAATATCCTTGACGAACATAGATACAAAAATCTTCAACAAAATACTGGCTAGCCAAATCCAATAGTCCATCAAAAAGATAGTACACCATGATCAAGTGGGCTTTATTCCAGGAATGCAAAGATAATTCATTATATGCAAATCAATCAGTGCAATTGATCACATTACAGAACTAAAAACAAAACAATATGATCATCCCAATCGACGCAAAAAAGGCATTCAGAAAAATTCAATATCCCTTCATGATAAAAAAAACTCTCACAATATAGGCATTAAAGAAACATATCTAAAAATAAAAGCCAGAACAGACAAACCCACAGACAATATTATACTGAATAGAGAAAAGTTGAAAGCATTCCCTGTAAAAACTAGAACAAGACATGCATGCCCACTCTCACCAATCCTATTCAACGTATTGCTGGAAGTCCTAGCCAGAGCAATTAGGCAAGACAACAAAATAAAAGGCATCCAAAATAGAATAGAGACAGTCAAATTATTTCTATTCACTGGTGATATGAGTTTATGTCTAGAAAACTCTAGACTCCTCCAAAAGCTCCTAGATTTAATAAATTACTTCAGTAAAGTTTCAGAACACAAAATCACTGTATAAAAATCAGTAGCATTTCTATACACCAACAACAGTCAAGATGAGAACAAAGTCAAGAAGGTAATCTTGTTTATAATAGCTTCAAAAGTAAAATAAAATACCTAGGAATATATTCAACCAAGGAGGTAAAAGACCTTTACAAAAAGAATTACAAAATCCTGATGAAAGAAATAGATGACACAAACAAATGAAAAAACATTGCATGCTCATAGATTGGAAGACTCTATATTGCTAAAATGAACATATGGCCCAAAGCAGTTTACAGATCCAATGTCATCCCTTTCAAATTACCAGCATCATTTTCAACAGAATTAGAAAAAACAAATTTAAAATTCATTAGGAACCAAAAAAAAAAAAAAAAAAAAAAAGAAAAGCTCAAGTAGTCAAACAACAATGAAAGAATAAAGCTAAAGGCATTATATTACCTGACTTGAAATTATACTACAAGGTTATAGTAAGCAAAACAGCATGATGCTGATATAAAAACAGACACACTTTTCAGTGATACAGAGCAGAGAACCCAGACATAAAACCACATACCTAAAATTAAGTTTTCTTCAATAAAGTCAACAAAAATATATACACTGGGGAAAGGACAACCTATTCAGTAAATGGTGCTGGAAAAATTGTATTGCCATGAGCAGAAGAAAGAAACTGGGCCCCATCTCTCCAGGCTAGCTGATGAAGTACCAAACTGTATACTGTATACAAAGACTAACTCAAGATGGATTGAAGACTTAAATGTATGATGTGACACTATATAAGTCTTAGAAAAAAAAACTGAGGAAAAACTCTTCTAGACGAATTGGCCTAGGTAAATAATTTATGACCAATTTGTCAAATGCAACAAAAACACAAATAGACAAATGGAACTTAGTTAAACTAAAAAGCTTCTGCAAAGCAAAATATATGATCAACATAGTAAATAGACAACCTACAGAATGGGAAAAAATATTTGCAAGCCATGCATCCAATAAAGGCCTACTATGCAGAATCTACCCAAACAACTGGACAGGAAAAAACAAACAACCCCATTAAAAAGTGGACATAGGACATGAACAGATATTTTTCAAAAGAAGGCATACAAAAATCCAACAAGCATATGAAAACATGCTTGGTATCACTAAAAATCAGAAAAAATGCAAATTAAAACCACAATGAGATATATTTTACACCAGTCAGAATGACCATTACTGAAAGTCAAAAAATAACAGATATTGGCAAGGATGCAAAGAAAAGGGAATGTTATACACTGGTGGTAGGAATGTAAATTAGTAAAACCTCTATGTAAAACAGTAAGGAGATTTATCAAAGAACTGAAAATAGAACTACCATCCCTTTCAGCAATCCCAGTACTTGGCCATAAGCCCAAAGGAAAAAATTATTATATGAAAAATACCTGCACTTTTATGTTTATTGCAGCACTATTCACAACAGCAAAGATATGAGATCAATCTAAGTGTCCATCAATGGAAGACTGGATAAAGAAAATATGCATACCATGGAATATTACTCAGCCATAAAAAATAATGAAATTATGTCTTTTACAGCAACATGAGTGGCATGAGGCCATTATCTTAAGTGAAACAACTCAGAAACAGGAAGTCATATACTGCATGTTCTCACTTATTAGTGAGAGCTAAAAGACGGATACACCTGGATATACAGAGTGGAATAAGCGACACCGAAAAATACAAAAGTGTAAAGTGTGGGGAGTGAGGGTTGAAAAATTACCTATTGGATACAATTTGAGTGATAGGGACACTAAAAGCTCAGACTTTACCACTACACAATATATGCATGTAAGAAATTTGCAACTTACCCATGAATCTATAAAAATAAAAAATTAATATATAATTATCCTTGAAAACAATAAAGTAAGTGAATGCATATATAATTTATGAGCCATGAAAAATAAAAAATAAAGAGACTTTACTTAACTCCCAAATAAAAAGACATTGTGGCTGAATTAATTTAAAAACAACTGTATACCATGTTGTAAAGATTCAACTGTATACCATGCACAAGAAACTCATTTTAGATTCAAGGACACATATAGGTTGAAAGTAAAGGAATAGAAAAAGTTATTACATGTAAATAATAACCAAAAGAAAGCAGGAGTGCTATACTTACACTAGACAAAACAGAATTTAATCCAAAAACTGTCTCAACAAAGAAGGTCATAACATAACAATAAAATGGTCAGTTCAAGAGAAAGATATAATAATTGTAACTACATACACATCCAACATCAGACACATAAGAATATAAAACAAATATTGACAGATCTGAAAGGGAAAAATTGATAGCAACACAGTAATAGTAAGAGACTTCAATACATCACATTTAATAATGAATAGAAAATCCAGATAGCAAATCAATAATTAAATGTCCGACTGTGGCCAGGCGTGGTGGCTCACACCTGTAATCACAGTACTTTGGGAGGCTGAAGCGGGCAAATCACAAGGTCAAGAGATCAAGACCATCCTGGCCAACATGGTGAAACCCCGTCTCTACTAAAAATACAAAAATTAGCTGGGCATGGTGGCACATGCCTGTAGTCCCAGCTACTCAGGAGGCTGAGGCAGGAGAATCGCTTGAACCCGGGAGGCAGAGCTTGCAGTGCGCCGAGATGACGCCACTGCACTCCAGGCTGGGTGACAGAGCAAGACTCCATCTCAAAAAAAAAAAAAAGAAAAAAGAAAAGAAAAAAAAGAAGTCAGACTGCACAACACTATAGACCAAATGGATCTACAAAACAAATATGGAACTTTTCACCCAACAGTAGAAGAATACACACTCCTCTCAAGCACACATAAAACCTTCTCCAGAATATGTTAGGTCACAAAACAAGTCTTAACAAATTGAAGAAGATCGGAACAGTACCAAGTACTTTTTTCTGGCCACAGTTAAATGAAACTAAAAATCAACAACAGCAACAAAACGGGAAAATTCACAGATATGTGGAAACTAAATAATATACGCTTGAAAAACCACTGCATCAAAGAGGAAATCAAAAGGGAATTTAAAAAATATCTAGAGACAAAAATGAAAGCACAACCTACTAAAACGTATGAGATGCAGCAAAAGCAATACTAAGAGGAAAGTTTACAGCAATAAATGCCTACATTCAAAAAGAAGAATCATCTCAAATATATAATCTAGCTTTATGCCTCAAAAACCTAGACAAAAAACAAACTAAAGCCAAAATTAGCAAAAGGAAGGAAATAATAAAAATCAGAGCAAGAATAACTCAAGTAGATACTAGAAAACAAATCAACAAACAAAAAGCTGTGATTTTTTTAAAGAATTAACAACATTTACAATTCTATAGCTGGGTTGAAAAAAGACTCAAATAAAATTATTAGTAAAAGAAAAGATACTACAACTGATGCCACAGAAATACAAAAAATTATAAGATACTTCTGTGAATAATTATATGCCAACAAATTGGAGGTCCTAGAAGAAATGGAGAAATCCATAGAAGCATACAACCTAGTAAGACTGAACCATGATGAAATAGAAAATATGAACAGATCAATAATGACTAAGGAGACTAAATCAATAATCAAAACTCCCAACGACAAAATGAAGCCCAAGACTTGCTGTCTTCATTGGTGAATGCTGCCAAACATTTTAAAAATAATTAACGCTAATTATTCTTAAAGTCTTCCCAAGACTAGAAGTACAGAGAATACTTCTAAACTCATTTTATAAAACCAGCATCATCCTGATACTAAAGCTAGAGAAAGACACCACAAAAAAAGCTATAGGCCAATGTCTCTGATTAACATTGATGCAAAAATCCTCAATCAAATACTTACAAACAAAATTCAACAACATGTCAAAGCAATTATACACCATGACCAAGTGAGATTTATCTCTGGTATGCAGGTTGGTTTAATATATGCAAATCAATCAATGTGATATATGAAATTAACAGAATGAAAGATAAAAACTATGTTATCTCAATATACACAGAAAAACATTTGACAAATTTTATCACCCTTTTATGATTAAAACTCTCAACAAATAGGTATAGAAAGAAATTTGCTCAAAACATTAAAGGCCATTTATAAAGAGCCCATAGCTAATATGATCATCAATGTTATCTTAGAGAAAACTTTTTCCTCTGAGGTCTTGTACAAGCCAAGGATGCCTACTCCCACCACTTTTATTACTAAAAGTACTGGCAAAAGCAGTCAGACAGAAAAAGAAATAAGAGGTATCTAAATCATAAAAGAAAACATAAAATTATTTCTCTTTGCAGATGATGTGATCCTGTATGTAGAACCCTTTAAGATTACAAAAAAAAAACTTTTAAAACTAATAAATAAACTCAGTAAATTTGCAGGATACAAAATCCACATAGAATAATCAGTTGCACTTCTTTACATCAACAACAATCTATCTGAAAAGGAAATCAAGAAAATAATTTCATTTATAATATCATCAAAAAGAATAATATACTAACAAATAAATTTAACCAAGGAGCTGAAAAATCTGTACACCAAAATCTATTAAGCATTGATGAAACAAATTGAAGAACCCATAAATTGAAAGATCTTGTGTTCATGGATTTGAAGAATTAATATTTTTTTAAATGTCCATACCACCCCAAATGATATACAGATTCAATGCAATCCCTATCAAAATCCCAAATGGTATTTTTAACCAACATAGAGAAGACAATTCCAAAACTTGTATGTAACCACAAAAGACCCCAAATATTCACCTTGAGAAAGAACAAAGTTGGAGGCATCACACTTCCTAATTTAAAATTATATTACAAAGCTATAGCAATCAAAACACTGTTACTGGCATAATTATAGAAACATAGACCAATAGAACTGAATTGAAAGGCTGGAAATAGACCTTAACATATACAATCAATTTTCAACAAGGGCACCAAGAATACACAATGGAGAGAGAATAGCCTCTTCAACTAATGGTTCTGGAAAAACTGGATACCCACATGTAAAAAAATAAAATAAAATAAAACTCTACCCTTACACCATACACAAAAATCAACACAAAATTAATTAGTTAAAACAACACAAAATTAAATACTTAAATGTAATATCTGAAACGGTAAAACACCTAGTAAAGAACATGGGGAAAATCTTCTTGATATTGGCATTGACAATAACTTGGATATAATAGCAAAAGCTAAGCCAACAAAATAAAATATATACAAGTGGAACTACATCAGACTTTAAAACTTCTGCACAGCAAAGGAACTAATCAGTGAAATGAAAAGACAACCCATGGACTGAAAGAAAATATTTGCAAACCATATATGATGAGGGTTAACATTCAAAACATATAAGTATCTCCTACAACGCAACAATAACAGCAATAAAGAAACCAATAATCCAATTTAAAAATGGGCAAGGACTTGAACAGATTTTTTTCCAAAGATGACATACAAATGGATAAGTGGTATCTGAAAAGCAACACTGGACAAATGCAAATAAAAACCACAATGAGATGTTACCACAATACCTGTTAGGATGACTATTATAAAAAGAAAATAGATAAGTGTTGATGAGGATGTAGAGGAAAGGGAACCTTTGTACACTGTTGGTGGCAATATAAATTGGTATAGCCAATATGTAAAACAGTATGAAGGTTCCTTAAAATAATAAAAATAAAACTACCATATGATCTAGCAATCCCTCTTCTGTGTATACATCCAAAGTAAAATTAGTACCTTGAAGAGATACCTGTGCTCTCATGATCATTCCAACATTATTTACAATAGCCAAACAACCTAAATGTCCATCAACAAAAGAACAGATTTTAAAAGTTATGGTAGATATATACGCAATGAAATATTATTCCACTTTTAAAAAGGAGATTCTGTCATTTATAACAATATGGTAAGTGAAATAAGCTAGACCAGAAATTTCAAGAGCTCAATTATATTTGCAGTGTTAAAAGATCAAATATATAGAAATAGAGAGTAAAATGGTGGTTACCTGGGGTGAGGAGGTAGGGGGGAATGGGGAGATATTGGTAAAAGAGTATAAAGTTAACAGTTATGTAGAATGAAAAAAATCTAATCTCATGATCTAATGTATAGCATGATGACTATAGTTACAGTATTGTATACTAAAAATCTGAGGCCAGGGCTGGTGGCTTCTGCCTGTAATCCCAGCACTTTGAGAGGCTGAGGTGGGAGGATCATTTAAGCCCAAGAATTCAAGACCAGCCTGGGCAACAAAATGGGACCTCATCTCTACCAAAAATTTAAAAATTAGCTGAGCGTGGTGGTGCACATCTATAGTTCCAGCTACTCAGAAGGTTGAGGTGGGAGCATCTTTTGAACCCAGGAGGTTGAGGCCGTAGTGAGCCGTGATTATGCCAGTGCATTTCAGCCTGCACAATGAAGCAAGACTCTGTCTCAAAAAAAGAAAGAAATTTGATAAAAGTAGATTTCAGGTTCTCTCACAACACAAAAAAGGATACAAGATGTGAAGTGATGGATACGTGAATTTGCTTGACTATAGTGTAATTTCACTATGTGTAGGTATATCAAAACATTATGTACACCTTAAATTTATGCAACTTTTTTTTAAGAAATACTAGATTGGGAAACATGCATATCATTGGTGACTTTTAGCTCCCCAAGTATAGTTTCAGTGGTGCTATAGGCACTAAAGCATAATTGGAGTAGGCAAAAGAAGTATGAATATAATTGGATATGAGGAATATGGATACTATTTTTAATAAACTTTCCTATAAGGGAAACAGAGAAATGTAGCAAAAACTAGATGGTGTTAAAAGAAAAACTTCAGCCGAATTAAATTTAAAGGAGTTTAATTGAGCAATGAATGATTTGCGAATTGGGCAACCCCCAGAAGAATCACAGTAGATTCAGAGAGACTCCAGAGCAGCCATGTGGTAGAAGAAGATTTAAAGACAAAGAAAAGTGAAGTGACGTTACAGAAATCAGAAGTGAGGTACAGAAACAATTGGATTGGTTACAGCTCAGTGTATGCCTTCTTTCAAAACAGTTTGAATACTTGACAACAGTGTATGAGTGGTTGAAGTATGGCTGCTGGGATTGGTCAAGACTCAGCTATTGTTACAGGCACATACTCCCAAGTTAGGTTACAGTTTGTCCCCAAGGTCTCAAATATAGAAGTATAGAGTCCTTCTCATCCCATATTTAGTTTAACAATGGGAAATGGGAGGTCAAGTGACTTTCTTATAAGGTACTGTAAGACTACATGCTGATTCAGTTAAAAGGAAATTATAAAGATGTATGGGCAGAGGGATGATACAATGTCATGAGTGGCATCCTTTTAGAGTTATGAAATATGACCCTGCTCCGTTAATGGTTGTTTCCACTTGGAGTACATCTCTGGTTACACTGTTTCCGTCACAAAAACATAAGACACCTTGTTGCACTGACTTAATTAATCTTGAAATCCCAACCACACACCTGCTATAGCTTGTTTTTAATTTTGTAACCTTCTAAACAATGTTATAATGTATGATGGATTTTTTTCCTGGTTTACCATTAATCCAAAGGTGCAAAACTGTCTTTTAAATAGGAATGGTGTGTGCTGCTTCTGTACCATCAAGTGCTCTGGTACTGTAAAAACATTTAGTACACAAGGACCACTAGAAATCTTCTGAATTACTGATCAGCAACAAAGTCATTCTTCAGTATCCATGGGGCATGGGTTTCAGGACCCCACGGAAGCTAAAATCAGAGGATGTTCAAGTCCCTAATATAAAATGATGTAGTATTTGCAAATAAGCTATGCATATTTTCCCATATACTTTAAACAATCCCTAGATTACTTATAATACCTAGTACAATAGTTGTTATACTTTATTGTTTAGGCAATAGTAACAAGAGTAAAAGCCTGTACATGTGCAATATAGATGCAATTTTTTAAAAAAATGTTTTCGATCTTCAGTCAGTTGAATTGGCAGATGGAAACCCATGGACGTGGTGAGCTGACTGTATATTGTTCTGTTAGAAATGGAAATTTCTTGTAGAAAATTCCAGTGAGAGTTTTCTCTTATTCTATCCAAAACAAATAAATATAAACATAAATTGACTCTTTTGAATAAAAGTACAGCAAGAGAATTATTAATTTTTAAAACAACCTAAGCATGTTTAGATCTACAGAGCAACATGAACATTGAATATTACTAATAAAATGATAGTTATGGTTTTCACTCACTTTTTTCTGCAAAAATGAAATAAATAATGCATTGTTTCTGTTCTCCTTTTTTTTTTTCTCTCTCTCTCTCCTGGTTTTATTTTTCTGTTAATGGAGTGGCAATTTCATCACATTCCACACATACAGTATGTTTTAACAGTTTTTACATTCTGATAACGACTTTGGTGAAAAAGCAGTGAATAATGTGTTAACATTGCTAAAAATGACCTTAACATTTATATTTTCTGAATATGTTATTTGAACAAATAACCTCTATCTTATTTAATATATTTTTGCTCACATTTCCTAAGTAAATTTATATGTGTATGTAAAGACTAAAACCTAAC
Source organism: Homo sapiens (assembly GCF_000001405.40). Taxonomy (NCBI): domain Eukaryota; kingdom Metazoa; phylum Chordata; class Mammalia; order Primates; family Hominidae; genus Homo; species Homo sapiens. Next base: position 199,433,367 of record NC_000001.11, read on the forward strand.
ACTTACCCATGTTCAGTAACAACTGAGTAGAGGGTGAGCCCTAAAATTAATTCTGAAAAAAGTTTATTTGTCTTCAAGTTGCTGTCTTCATGTGAATTGCTATTTGAAGCTAAGTAGCTGATAATTTCTAGACATATTCATTCTTTTGTTCCTAAAGCCAGTTGTTTGAATATTAGAAAGAAATATTCATGTCCAAAAGCTTCATGCTAACAGGCAAACAATTACATGAAGATAAGTGTCAACATAATTAGAGTATATTCCTTATAGATATTTTGTGAATGGTAGGCTTTATGGGGACATTTTTCCTTTGGAATGATAAAACAAGAAGAGGATTCCTTCAGCATGACTTCAGGTTTCTCATGTCTTTTTTAATTTGAGGGTTTGTGCCTTCAGCTTGTCTGCAGATAACACAAGTGTGGGGTGGTCTTAGATTTTAAACTGTATCCTGACAATGCCATTGTCATATAATAATGGGGGGGGGCAATTTAGCTTATCTTGCTTCTTACAGATCTTTTCTGTAAAGTATTTTGCTGAAAATCATAATATACCTCTTATTATAGCACAGTACTTTATGTTTAGAAGGCATGTATTAAAAATCAATATAATTCAGTCAAGCCAAGTTTTATTCAATGCCCGTATGTGTTAACCACATCACAGGCGATGAAATTTGTTTGCATTAAGAGACCCTCTAAAATTTCTACTTTTCTCATGTTTATTTACTTACCTCAAAATAAATAATTTAATTCCAAAGACATGGTATTATCTCTAAATTAAATTTAAAATAATATATAACTAGAATTGTGTTGGTCTTATAAATTAAAGGTATATTCTTGGCAACAGAAACCAGTGAGTTGGCTGGTGGAAAGAAATAATAAATTCTTCATTCCCTTGTTTTGTCTTAATTCCTTCCTTCCTCTATCAAAAATCACAATGCATTCTAAAAAAAAAAAAAAAAAAAAAAAAAAAAAAAAAAAAAAGGACTCTGAGTCAGAGAGACCCTGACTCTCCAGCTTTCATTCTGTGTACACCAGTATTGGGAAATGACTCAGTTCAATGCCAGGGCCCTGCCTGCTTGTCTATTAACCTAATTGACAGTGCCTGTGACACGTGTCAGGCTGACTTCTCTCAGAACAGCTTACAGATTTGAGCAAATTGGAAAGAGTGAAGGCAGGAAAACCTAACCACTATTGCTCCTTCATCTCCAGGAGAACAAAGTGCCAG